>NC_000022.11:19959564-21209564 GCF_000001405.40 Homo sapiens
GGTTAGCTGTCGGGAGGTGGGGTGGGCAGGGGCCAGGGCTCTGTTGGTGGCCCGGGGCAGCCAGTCCCTCTGCTCAGGGCTTCAGTTCACACTCACAAGGGAATCCCAGCGCTCTTCTCCTCTGGCGGTTGCTGGAGGGCCTTGTGAGGTGGCCGTGGGCACTGTAGCCCCCAGGCACTGCATTGTGGCCTGGGCGTGTTGGCCTTTGAGCCTTTGGCCTTGAGCACTTCCCCATCCCCCATGGCTCTTGGCCGTTGGGGCCCAGTTGGCCGCAGAGCCTTTGGCCTTGAGCACTTCCCCAGCCCCCATGGCTCTTGGCCATTGGACCCCAGTTGGCCACAGAGCCGCGGGCAGGTGGGACAGGCGGGCACTGGGTGCCTCCTTGCACCAGCCAGGCCCAGCCTGCAGAGTGGAGTGGGCCGGTCCCTCCTGCCAGGCAAAGGAAGGGGGCTTCGGGCCCCTCCCTGCTGTGGCCTCCTCCCCTCTGCTGCCTCCCACTAGGCCCTGGGAGACACTGCCTGCAGATTTATGAACAGACAGACCTAGAGATTAGAGATTCAAAAGCCAAATTCTTACACAATTCAAGTATTAACGCAGATTTGGATTTATAATTTGGGACTCCAAGGTCTACCAAGTAATTTGCTGTTTCAGAATAGCCCTTTTAATTTGGGGTATATATTTCTAACACTGTTTTTTAAATATGGAGAGTAAACAAAATGGCCCATTATCTGACCACACAAATACTAGTAGTCATTATAGATAAACCATAGCAGATAAATAATAGTAAACAAAGCAACAGGCTGTGTCATAGGAAATCCCCACCATGAAGAAAGGAGCAAGGTGGAAAGTTCTGGCTGCTTCAGGTCTGCATGGTCCCTCTCCACCATGGTTCCCCCTGTCATCTTCCTGCCAGAATAAGGACACTGTCCTTAGGGAAGCACCATCTCTTGTTTTTTCCCCACGAGCCCTGTGGGTCATGGCACGTCCTGCCCCGCTGGGAAACACAGTGGGCCACGGGTTTCCCTGCAGGCCTGGGACCCTTCCCAAGGGTAGCAGCAGAAGGCAGCACGATTCCCACTCCTGCAGCTGTGGACAGGGGCACCCCCACTGTCACTGAGCCCTGCACCGGGTTCCATCACCTGCTCGGGGCTCTGGCCTTTGGCCTTTTCCTGTGAGCTGCATGTTGGCCACTGTGACCTATCTGTCTCATCATCTTTTTCTTACTGGTTTGTGTATGTTCTTGGTAAACTAGCCCTTGGTCTTACACATCATTTCCAAGGTACTAAGGACTCTTCAGGGGAAATACAACTTGAGCAGAGTGGTTCCCTCCTCTTGTGGTTCACAAGGTGCAGGTGCACACACACATAGCCCACAGGGCAGTGTGGACAGGGACCAGGAGACTGCCCCTGGGGTCCCTGGCTGGGGGACACTAGTAGGGATGTCCCTTGGCCTCTCTGAGGCCTTCTGCTGTCTCTTCTGAGGCCGGAAAGGCGAAGCACTGCCCTCGCCCTGCTAGGGAAGGCTCAGGCCAGGCTGGCCCTATCCGGGGAAGGGGCTCAGGTATCTGGACCTTGGTCATCGCCAGGTTAGGGTTTATGTTGATGATTATCCAAAGGCAAAATTGATTTCCACAGAAATAACATCTGCTTTGCTGCCGAGCTCAGAGGAGACCCCAGACCCCTCCCGCAGCCAGAGGGCTGGAGCCTGCTCAGAGGTGCTTTGAAGGTGAGTTGGCCAACGGAAGCCGGGGCAGTGCCAGGGTGGGTACAGATTCCGGCCCGGTGCATGGGCACAGGTCTGCTGAGCACATGTCCACTCTGCCTGTGTAAATAGGCCACATGGCCTGAAATCCCCTAGAAGCCTGGTGTCCGCATGACCTCCCCCTAGGGCGGAGCCTCTGCTTCCCTGTTCTCTTCTGCTCTGTCCTCTGGTGCCCTGAGGCTGGCCTCCAGGGGTGTCCCCTCTGTGGCCCTAGGCCTGCCTCCTTGCCTGGGTGTGCCTTTCTAAAATGGAGCGTCCAGCAGAGAGTGGGATCTCCTATGCCACTGGGAGCCCAGGGCCCCATCCCAGAAAGACCTCTGAGTGAGCACAGGGGCCCTAGAAGAAGTTTCCTTGTGTCCTTCCCGTTTTAGGGTCTGTGACCTGAACCCCTGGGCTTCTGCCTCAGGCCTCCTGTGCTCTGCTCTCTGCCTGCTGGGTCCCCTCACCAGGCTTCTGTCTGGTTCCCAGGCTACCTGCCTGGAGGGTCACACCAGGAGGATTTCAAACAGGTTTCAAGTGGGGTCACTTGCCATCACTGTGCCCCACGAGGTACACTGTTGTGGGCGGCAGGGCTGGCCTTTCTCATCTGGGACATGCCACGTTGCTGTTCCCAAGGGGAGTGGTGAGTGGGTCTGTCCTGGTGTGCCTGGCCTGGGGACTGCCAGTGTCCTTACTTGGACACTCAATGAAAAGGCCACATGAATCCCTGGGGCGTCCAGAGCATGGGTGACCAGCACGGGCTCACCACATGAGGCCAAGGGGCTGCACCATACAGCCTCTCCTTTGGCCACCCGTGACTACCCCCAACTCCGGGCCATGGGGCTTCCCTACCCCTGGGTGTCCTCTAAGCCAGCTGGGAGACAACAGCCTGAGTCCGTGTCTGCTTCTGTATTTTGTGTGGTTTTAGAGGATCCCTGGGCTGCCTGGGGAAGCACCCAGGGCCAGGGAGTGTGACCCTGCAGGCTCCACACAGGACTGCCAGAGGCACACACCTGCTCTGTCTACCCGAGGGCACCAGAGGGCACGAGAAGGCTGGCTCCCTGGCGCTGACACGTCAGGCAACTGAGGCACAAGGCTGGCATTTCTGAACCTTGCCCCTCTGCAAACACAAGGGGGCGATGGTGGCACTCCAAGCAAAGGGGCGTGTGGGTGCTGCAGGAGGAGCACAGAGCACTGGCGCCCCTCCCCTCCCGCCCTGCAGATGCCGGAGGCCCCGCCTCTGCTGTTGGCAGCTGTGTTGCTGGGCCTGGTGCTGCTGGTGGTGCTGCTGCTGCTTCTGAGGCACTGGGGCTGGGGCCTGTGCCTTATCGGCTGGAACGAGTTCATCCTGCAGCCCATCCACAACCTGCTCATGGGTGACACCAAGGAGCAGCGCATCCTGAACCACGTGCTGCAGCATGCGGAGCCCGGGAACGCACAGAGCGTGCTGGAGGCCATTGACACCTACTGCGAGCAGAAGGAGTGGGCCATGAACGTGGGCGACAAGAAAGGTGGGGTCCGGGCCAGCAGGTGCTCAGCTCTGGGACAGGGACCCAGGACCAGGCATCAAAGCCCTTACAGGAGAAGCTGTTATCACCCCATTTCCAGGGGGCTGGGAACCCTGGGATATGCCCAGATAGGGCTGGGGGGCTCCTCTGGAGTCCCAGGGTGCCAGGGTCCCTGATGACCCCTGCAGGCCCTGCTGCCTGCTGCCCCAGGACAACAGGCCCCCACACTCACAGGGTCTGACGGTGGTGCAGTTCCCCTTGAACTCTGTTCTGGCCACCATGGGACCTGCCTGGGGACCAGTCAGACAGGTTCTCCTGGGCCCGCCTCCCGCTTGAACTTCAGCCTGGGGCACAGGATGTGTTACCGGGCTCACGGAGTGACTCAGGGAACTAGTGCCGCCCCAGGGCCCCAAGGTGGGCGGTTCGGTGATTCAGAGAGGGCAGCTCTGTGTTAGGACACACTGGGGCCAGCCAGGAAGGGTGGAAAAGATAGGGACCAGCGTGAGCATAGAGGCTAAGGGACCATGGGAGCTCCAAGCGCGCTCACAGTGGGGACCAGGTCCTGGGGGCTGGGGACACCAGGGAGGTGAAATACCCCTCCAGCGGGTAGGGAGGGTGGGCAGAGGAGGGCCAGCGGCCAGGCATTTGGGAGGGGCTCCTGCTCTTTGGGAGAGGTGGGGGGCCGTGCCTGGGGATCCAAGTTCCCCTCTCTCCACCTGTGCTCACCTCTCCTCCGTCCCCAACCCTGCACAGGCAAGATCGTGGACGCCGTGATTCAGGAGCACCAGCCCTCCGTGCTGCTGGAGCTGGGGGCCTACTGTGGCTACTCAGCTGTGCGCATGGCCCGCCTGCTGTCACCAGGGGCGAGGCTCATCACCATCGAGATCAACCCCGACTGTGCCGCCATCACCCAGCGGATGGTGGATTTCGCTGGCGTGAAGGACAAGGTGTGCATGCCTGACCCGTTGTCAGACCTGGAAAAAGGGCCGGCTGTGGGCAGGGAGGGCATGCGCACTTTGTCCTCCCCACCAGGTGTTCACACCACGTTCACTGAAAACCCACTATCACCAGGCCCCTCAGTGCTTCCCAGCCTGGGGCTGAGGAAAGACCCCCCCAGCAGCTCAGTGAGGGTCTCACAGCTCTGGGTAAACTGCCAAGGTGGCACCAGGAGGGGCAGGGACAGAGTGGGGCCTTGTCATCCCAGAACCCTAAAGAAAACTGATGAATGCTTGTATGGGTGTGTAAAGATGGCCTCCTGTCTGTGTGGGCGTGGGCACTGACAGGCGCTGTTGTATAGGTGTGTAGGGATGGCCTCCTGTCTGTGAGGACGTGGGCACTGACAGGCGCTGTTCCAGGTCACCCTTGTGGTTGGAGCGTCCCAGGACATCATCCCCCAGCTGAAGAAGAAGTATGATGTGGACACACTGGACATGGTCTTCCTCGACCACTGGAAGGACCGGTACCTGCCGGACACGCTTCTCTTGGAGGTGAGCCCCAACCAGGATGGCATCCGTGCCAGCTGCTGCCCAGAGCCCATTCAGTCAGCCTCAGCCTCTCCAAAGAGCCAGGCATTCCAGTAGAGCCCTGTGTGGACACAGCTCGCTCTGGAGGCACCACCTGAGGTCTGGGAGTGTGGGGGACTGAGGAGGCCCTGTGGTGGGTGGAGATGGGTGGGGAGCTGGGCCAGGGGCCTGGCTGGGTGGCCTGTTGGGAACTGGGGAGCCAGCTGCCTGTGCAGGTGCAAAATGGGTGGCAGAAGTGGGGTGCACACCCCAGACCAGACACCAGGGCAGAAACGGCACAGGACCAAGGAGATGGGGTGGGGAAGGGCCGCTCTGGGCCCAGCCTGCTCTCCCCCAAGCAAGCCACTGCTCGTGCAAAGAAAGCATGTGTCTCCTGCAGATCTTCCTCCTGAGGCCCCATCTTGTGCATTCCCCCAACCCAGCCCCACTGGCGAGGACCCTGAGTGCCCCGAGTGAGGCTAGACAGCGGGTGGGGCTGTCCTCGCTTCCCTGGGGGGCGTGGGGCACTGGTGGCCCTTCACAGACTGATGCTTAAGGAGCCTCACATCAGTGACACACTGCCCCATCCCTCCCTGGTGGTCAGCGACACTGAGTGGCTCTGTGATCCTCCACTGGGCTTGGGACACCCACCCTCACGGCCTCCCCACCTGGTGCTCGCTCACCTGCAGCTCTCCCAGAAACTGGACACTGCTGTTAGCAGCCGGACTAGGAGCACGAGGGGCACAGCCCCCATGCCTGGCTAGGTAGGGCCGCTGGACCCTGGACACGGATTGGAAGGAACCAGCACTAGCAGAAGCCTGAGGTGTGAAAGGGCAGAGAATGTTCCAGGAACAATGGGAGTCAGGGCACACAGGACTTTGGGCAGGTGAGGATGAGGTTAGACCTGTCTTCTGGAGCTGGGCTCAGGGGCTCATGCCTGTAACCCTTGCACTTTGGGAGGCTACGGCAGGAGGAGCGCTTGAGGCCAGGAGAGTTCGAGACCAGCCTGGGCAACATGGCAAAAGAAAAAATATATATATATATTTTAGATGGAGTCTTGCTCTGTCACCAGGCTGGAGTGCAGTGGCACGATCACGGCTCACTGCAACCTCCACCTCTTGGGTTCAAGCGATTACCCTGCCTTAGCCTCCTGAGTAGCTGGGACTACAGGCGCGCGCTGCCACACCCGGCTAGTTTTTTGTAGTTTAGTAGAGATGGGGTTTCACCACATTGGCCAGGATGGTCTCAATATCCTGACTTCGTGATCCGCCCGCCTCGGCCTCCCAAAGTGCTGGGATTACAGGCGTGAGCCACTGCGTCCGGCCGTATTCCAGCTTTCAAAACAACAAAAAACAACAAAAACTTTTCTGGAAAGATCCCTGTCAGCCTTGTGGAGTGTGGAGAGGGCTGTGGGGAGGGCATTTCAGATGCCCTGAACTCACGAGGAGGCACTGAACCCTGGCCGTGGAGAGGGAGGACCTGTAGTGGCCAAGGGGGTGGGCATTGGGAGGGTGGGAGGGAGACCTACAGGCCAAGACAGGGTAGCTGGAGGGGGGCTCACCCCTGACAAAGGAGCATGATGCTGGCAATTGGGTATTGATGGCAGAGAGCTGGCACTCAGCCAGATGGGCTTCACTTGGGCAGGAAAGACACCCACAGCTGGGCCTGCGTTACTGCGGCCGAGTTTCAGCAGCTGTGATGTGGGTGCTAATTACAGGGGCCTGCCTTCATAGAAAAGTAGCAAACATTGCAGTTTAGTAACTAGGAAACTAATAGTTTTCTCAGTGCTGCTTGCGCAAAGCTGGTAATTATCTCAAAAGAAGCAAAGTCATGAAGTGGGAAGTCATGAATTGGGAATGGGTGTCCTTGTTAAACGCACATCTGCACACTCAGGGCTGGGGCCCTGTGCCCCCTTGTGGAGGGTTAGGGGACAACCTGGCTCTTGTGAGGGTCTAGCCATCCCCTCAGTGGGTTCTGTGAGCATCGGAGGCACGAGGGGTGAGGGGCTCAGGAGCAGGTTGCAATTCAAAATCAAGGGCTGCTTTGAGGAGGCCTCTCCACCGGGCTGCTGTAGTCACCAAGTCCAGCCCATGCCCAAAGGAAGAGGAATGAGTTCCCCCTTAAAAAAAAAAAAAAAAAAAGAAAAAGACAGAGTCTTGCTCTGTGCCCAGGCTGGAGTGCAGTGATGACATCATAGCTCACTGTAGCCTCAAACTCCTGAGCTCCAGTGATCCTCCCACCTCAGCCTCCTGAGTAGCTAGGACTAAAGGCATGCACCACTACACCTGGCTAATTTAAAAATTTTTTGTAGAAATGGGGTCTCCCTATGTTGCCCAGACTGGTCTCAAACTCCTGGCCTCAAGCGATCCTCTTGCCTCAACCTCCCAAAGTGCTGGGAGTACAGGTGTGTGCTTGGTCTGAGGCTCCAACTTTTTGTTGTTGTTTCTCGAGACAGTCTCTCGCTCTGTCGCCCAGGCTGGAGTGCAGTGGCGCGATCTTGGCTCCCTGCAACCTCTGTGAGGCTCCAACTCTTGAAGGGAGGAGAGTCTAAGGAGGGTGGGCCAGATGAAAACCACCTCAGCATAGTGTCACCTGCTCCTCTGACACTGTCGCTTCTCCACGGCATTAGATTTTCAGTCCTGCTCAGACGCTGATGCATGTTTAGCCAGTTCTCCAGGTGGTCTGAGTAGCTGGTAGGAGGCTTGCAGTGTCGGGCGACAGGCAGGACAGGTGCTGCCTTCTTTCCCCTCTTGACCAGTTTCGTAAAGGAGTGGGCCCCTGGCAGCCTCCAAAGGTGACCCATGCTCCTTTCTGCCCTTCCCTCCTTCTTTCCTGTTTAACTCGTGCAGGTGCAGTGGTCTGGTGTCTTTCAGTCCGCTGACGTCTTCTGTATCCCTGATGACCAGATTGGGCTCCTGAGTCCCCTGGCGCAACCCGAGAAGTCCAGGAGCCCAGGCCCCTCACTCATGCATTCCCTGGCCCAGACTGGAAGGCAGCCGCCCTGCTCAAGGCCTAGGCCATTGTCCTCCTCCCGGGTGGCGCTTTGTTCTACGTCTTTTCAGCTGACATTGCTAGGACATTTTTTTTTTTTTCTAAATGAAAACACATCATGATTCATGGTGGTACTTCCTGCTCAACTCCGGACCTTGGGGCTGTCCCCTGACCTCACTGACCTTGCAGCCGTGTGGTGTCCATACTGTCACATGAAAGCCCCCTGCTTTCTCTGCAGCATACAGGCTGGAAACGACCGCCACCCACCACCAGGACAGCTGCAAGCCCTGTGGGACTCTCCAGGCCCATCCCAGAGGCATGTGGGGTCGGATACCAGTGTTTCAAGGCACCTGCCTGCAAATTGATTTTATTATACTTTAGATGTTTGAGATTGCTTGTTAACTTTTGTTTGGTGACTAAGTCAAATTTCCAAGACAAGGTGACTGGGGTGTCCCTTGCCCTGGTAGGTCCTTCCTCCCCATAGGCAAACACTTCCTCTCAAGGTTTCTTGTTTATGTGATGTAAGCAAACCCTTTTCTGATAGCATAGATAGGCAAGCATCCTATGAGGTTTCTCCCGATAGTGGACCCCACGGGCCATGCCCTATGGCTGCGTGTCCAGTAACAACTCCTTCCTTCTGCACAGAACCCAGGCAGAGGAACTCTGTGTCCTCCCAGGGCCCAGGCACTGGTGAAGATGGGGGGTCTGCAAATGCAGGAGCTTGGGGATGTCCAGAACTGACCCCAAGGGGCAGGCTTGTTGATGGGAGGTCTGCCCCACCTCAGCCCTGCAGGGTCACCCTGGTCAGGCCAATATTGTCTCCAGGGACCATACCAGCAACCCCTCTCCTTGGGTGCCTCTCCCTCATAGGCCTGAGTTCCTGGCACTGGGTGTTGAGGGCCCCATTGTTTCCACTCACCCAGCTAGCATTTATTGAGCACCTACTGTGTGCCACATGCTGTTCTAAGGGATGGATACTCCTGAGATGGATACAGGAGTTGATGAGAGAAAGGTCCCTGTCCTCACGGGGCCCATGTTCTGAAGGTGGCACCCAAGTCTTGTACAGTCCTTTCCTGCAGGAGTCACGCTGGGCAGAAAGTGGAAACCTGGCCCCAGGGGCTAGGCACAGGCGTGGTGCCGTGGCCTAGTGAGGAGCACCCATCCTGGTTTGGGGCAGGTTCTCTGGGCACCTCTGACCCTCACCTCCCCCACCCCCCGGTCTGTTTGCAGGAATGTGGCCTGCTGCGGAAGGGGACAGTGCTACTGGCTGACAACGTGATCTGCCCAGGTGCGCCAGACTTCCTAGCACACGTGCGCGGGAGCAGCTGCTTTGAGTGCACACACTACCAATCGTTCCTGGAATACAGGGAGGTGGTGGACGGCCTGGAGAAGGCCATCTACAAGGGCCCAGGCAGCGAAGCAGGGCCCTGACTGCCCCCCCGGCCCCCCTCTCGGGCTCTCTCACCCAGCCTGGTACTGAAGGTGCCAGACGTGCTCCTGCTGACCTTCTGCGGCTCCGGGCTGTGTCCTAAATGCAAAGCACACCTCGGCCGAGGCCTGCGCCCTGACATGCTAACCTCTCTGAACTGCAACACTGGATTGTTCTTTTTTAAGACTCAATCATGACTTCTTTACTAACACTGGCTAGCTATATTATCTTATATACTAATATCATGTTTTAAAAATATAAAATAGAAATTAAGAATCTAAATATTTAGATATAACTCGACTTAGTACATCCTTCTCAACTGCCATTCCCCTGCTGCCCTTGACTTGGGCACCAAACATTCAAAGCTCCCCTTGACGGACGCTAACGCTAAGGGCGGGGCCCCTAGCTGGCTGGGTTCTGGGTGGCACGCCTGGCCCACTGGCCTCCCAGCCACAGTGGTGCAGAGGTCAGCCCTCCTGCAGCTAGGCCAGGGGCACCTGTTAGCCCCATGGGGACGACTGCCGGCCTGGGAAACGAAGAGGAGTCAGCCAGCATTCACACCTTTCTGACCAAGCAGGCGCTGGGGACAGGTGGACCCCGCAGCAGCACCAGCCCCTCTGGGCCCCATGTGGCACAGAGTGGAAGCATCTCCTTCCCTACTCCCCACTGGGCCTTGCTTACAGAAGAGGCAATGGCTCAGACCAGCTCCCGCATCCCTGTAGTTGCCTCCCTGGCCCATGAGTGAGGATGCAGTGCTGGTTTCTGCCCACCTACACCTAGAGCTGTCCCCATCTCCTCCAAGGGGTCAGACTGCTAGCCACCTCAGAGGCTCCAAGGGCCCAGTTCCCAGGCCCAGGACAGGAATCAACCCTGTGCTAGCTGAGTTCACCTGCACCGAGACCAGCCCCTAGCCAAGATTCTACTCCTGGGCTCAAGGCCTGGCTAGCCCCCAGCCAGCCCACTCCTATGGATAGACAGACCAGTGAGCCCAAGTGGACAAGTTTGGGGCCACCCAGGGACCAGAAACAGAGCCTCTGCAGGACACAGCAGATGGGCACCTGGGACCACCTCCACCCAGGGCCCTGCCCCAGACGCGCAGAGGCCCGACACAAGGGAGAAGCCAGCCACTTGTGCCAGACCTGAGTGGCAGAAAGCAAAAAGTTCCTTTGCTGCTTTAATTTTTAAATTTTCTTACAAAAATTTAGGTGTTTACCAATAGTCTTATTTTGGCTTATTTTTAATGCTTTTTCTCAGTGTTTTTCTTCTGTTTCTGAGTCACGAACAGCAGGCACTGAAAGCAGTCCCCCAGCCACTGCCGAAGGTCAGTCCCGGAGGTGCTGCCCAGGCTCCAGGCAGATGCGGCAGCCCCGGCCCCAGCCAGCATGGGCTGGAGAAAGGCTCTCTACTGCACAGGGGCCTCACGTGACTGCAGGGCTCTGGGGAGGTGGGGCACCTGTAGCCTGACCCCCACCTTGCTGCTTCCAAAGCTTCCTTGCCCAGGGCTGGGCCTTGTGGGGCACCCCCCACACCGTGGTCTGCCTGCCTGCAGGGTGCCCAGGGAGACCCTCCGCCTTTAGAAGTCCAAGTTCTTTCCCAGCCCCCTCCCTGCCTAGCTGCCTGCCCCTGGCGCCAGACCTGGCCCGCACCACTGGGGCACTGTGTTCCCAGGGGCACCCTCCTATCCCACCAGCCCCAAAGCCCAGCCAGGCACCCTTCCCTGCCACCTCCCTGGGCCCTGCCCCAGCAGCCCAGTCGGCCTCCTCGGGCCTTCTGTCACTCGCTCACACACAGCACCATGTCAGTAAACAGCTAACTCAGGCCTAGGGAGTTAGGTAGGATGGGGGGAGTGGGGTGGGGGGGCAGGAGGGTGTCCCCAAAGTCAGGCTTGGCTGGGGCGAGGCGCTGCCAACCCCTGCCGCCAGGGGGCTCCAAGCTCCACGGCACGATCTGCTCAGGGTGGCCCTTCTTCCACGATCCAAGCCCTAAGAACAAGAGGCTGGGCCTGGGCCCTGCAGAGGGAAAGGGGATGGTGGACGCTGCAGCCACTGAGTGGCACAGGACCACGTGTAACCTCAGGGCAGGGCAGCCAACTCCACAGGCTACATGGATGGAGATGTGGATAGAAGCATCTGCCCTGGGTGGTGTGGGCTGACCCCAAGGGTCTTGGCACCAGGGCTGATCCTGACTTGCTGGTCCCCGAAGGGCGTTGGAGGGTATGGTGCCCATCCCTACTCTGGTCCCATTTCCTCAGGCCCCTGATCCCACAGTGCCTGGGACAGGGCTGTGGGCCCAGGGAGCACCCTCCCTCTCTGACCTCTGCCTGGTCTTTCCGGGAATGGGCCACTGGGCTGCTGGACTGGAGGCCAAAGTCCTGCGGGGAACGTGCGGGAAGAGCAGAGCGTGCAGGCAGCGGAGACTAACAAGAAGCCCTGGCCCAGAGGGCAGGAACAGGTGGACGAACAACCAGATGAGAGAACGTACCAGGCATGCAAGCTAGACCCAGGAATCAACGGGCTGAGGCTTAGCGTCCCCTACGGCGTCCACCAGCCTGACCGCGGGCCTGCTGGGCCCGGGGGGAGGGGCCTTCCTGCTGGGGTCGAGCTGCAGCGCACGGGTGGGCATTAGAGGCACAATAGAGCAGGTTAGTTAGAGCTCCTGGGGGGACAGGGCAGGGGCAGGGCCGAGGCTGGCGATGTAAGGGTTGGCCTGCCAGGACAGCACAGGTAGCACCAAGGGCGCAGGGAGCCGGAAACGTGTGGCTCACACGGGCCCAGGGCGGGCACGTGCACACACACAGGCCTGCACAGGAAGCCAGGGGATTGGCACACAGCAGGCAGCAGGTCCTGCCATCGCTGGTGGACCCTGGTGGGCTCTCACACGCACATGCACAGAAGGGTGCACACACACTAGCTCACAGGCTCTGGCCCATGCAGGGTGTGGCCGGGCAGTGTTGTCCCCAGTGGGTGGGAGCTGCAAACTTGTCAGTACCCACAGACTGACTGGCGTGAAGGGGCTGCTTCCTGGGCTTGGCCCCACAACCCAGCTGTACCCCAGGGCCCAGACCAGACCCAGCATGGCCTAGGCTGCTCTCCAGCAACCCCTAGACACGGGGCCTCACCGGGGACCTGCCCACAGCCACATGACCACTTACTTTCAAGGGTTCCTTCTCAGAGGCCTCTCCTGCAGAGCTGGCGCCCCGTGGCCTCCGCTCCCTCCGGTCCACCGTGGAGTATCCGTCTGTAGATGGGGTAAGGTGGGGCATGAGGGGCGCTCTGAGGGAGGCCCTGTAGGAGCAGATCTCCCTCTCAGCCCAGACACAGGGGACTCGTGGGACAGGGGCTTTGGGAGACAGCCCCCACCCACCCTGTCCTGGAGATCCAGGCTGGTGCCAGCTCTCACCAACACCCTGCCAACTCTCCAGACTCCCCTCCACTTGTGGGTCAGAGCCCCTGGCTGAGCACTAATCCCTCTCTAGCTGCCCTGTACCTCACCCTCTAAGCACCCCTAAACCAAATATCTCTCCTCCACCCAGCACCATCTACACCCCATAAAACCAGCAGGCCCACTTCAGGCCTTGGTCCCCTCCCGGCACAGAAAACCAACCACACTGCATCTGCACTCACCTGGGCCCAGCGCATCCATGGGGATCACATCCCGGCTGCCAGTTTTCTCGCCCTCTGCAAGGCAGGAGGAGGAGACGGGCTGCATGTGGCAGCCAGGGGGGATCGGGGCAGAGAAGCCCACACAGGGCTGGCCCAGGTAGCCCTAGAGGCTCTCTGTCACTAAGGTGCCCAACCTCTGCCAGCTGGCAGCCTCACCCCAGCTTGACAACAGCGCGGATGCTGTGGGAAGGGAGTAGCCAAGAGGCAGAGGGCAGGGAAAGTGGCCTATGGAAGCCGTCTCAGTGGGAGGCCTGACTCCTCCTTCACCTTCACCCAAGGGTCAGGCAACTGGGGCAGCTGGGGTCGCCACCCTCTAGGCTCCCTAAGCTCCACCACTCACCAAGGCTCTTGTCCACCAGTGGCAGCGTGCTGTCATCGAAGCCCCCAGGACTCAGTGCTCCCTTAGGCCCCTTGGCAGTAGCAGCAGCTGACTGAGACATAAAACACAGACACAGGGTGGGTGAAGCACATGGAGTGGGAATAAGGCAAAGTGAGCAGGGAATGGAAGGAAGGCCAGGGAAGCCGCACCTGGAAGCGCGCCTTGGTCCAACCATCTTTCTGCAAGGTACCACGCAGCTCCTTGTAGCTCCACACTGTCTGCAGCACGTGTGACGCCGCCTTCGCTTCGCGTACCGATTGGCTGTGGGGCCGGGGGCGGGGTCAGTGGTGGCCCCTCCCCCACCTCCGCGGCTCCCCAAGCCACCGACCCCGCCCCTCCACACCTGGAGGCCACGAGAGCCACCAACGCTGGCACCCCGCGTGCCTGCAGGAGCGAGCGCGCGTTATCCAGGCTGTCGGACACGATTTCGTGGATGGTGTTGAGCACCGCCACCACGGTGTCTTCCTCCAGGCAGGCCCCCGGTCGCGGCGGAGCCTGTGCATTGCGCACATTCCGCACAAGCTCAGCCATGGCGTAGCTCCCTGAGGGGCAGGACTAGGTGTCAGAACACACCTCTGCCCCACCTCTCCAGGAAGGAGCAGGGATCCCGCGAGGGCGAGGGGCACTGCCAGGAGAGCCCCTGGAGACCGCCTGTGTGCAGGCGGTCACAGGAGCCCCTGTGAGCAGGGCGCTGAGCTTCAGAGACAGGGCCGGGGGGACTGGAGCTACCTCCAGTTGGGACAGCGCCCAAGCGAGAGGGCCGGGGCCTGGACTCCCAAACCACTCATCCTCCAAGCCCCTCCGATGGGACCCCAAAGCTGCAGGCACAGTTCGGTGCCCAGGCGTGGGCTTTGCAGGCGTCCTCACCGATGAGGTCTTTGTTGCGCCGGTCCAGCGAGAGGTTGCGCAGAGCGATGGCGACGGCGCGCACCACCTTGTCGGTCTCAGACTGCAGCAGTTCCACAAGCACCGGCAGCCCGCGCTCTTTGCGCACTGTGGCGCGGATGTACGTGGCCCACTGCGGAGGCGGGGAGAGGGTTGCTCAGACATACATGCCAGGCACTCTCCCACCTCCAGACGCTGACCGCTCTCTCCAGCTGGACCTTCCTGCTCCCGTGCCCGACAAAGCCCTACCCCAAAAGCTCAACGGCACCTCCACCGAGGTTTTCCCACCGTCCAGGGTGCACGCATTGCCCGCAGCCCATACACCTCTTGGATCCTGGGGTGGTGGTGTGGCCCCTCCTTTCCCCGCCAGCCGAGGCAGGAGCTGCACCAGTGAGGTGCCTGGGATTCCCTCTCTCAGGACTTGCCCACCCTGCCCGACCTGGTCCCTCACCATCCAGTTGCCGGCACTGAGGTTCTGCAGAGCGCCGGCGGCAGCCTCCAGGGTGTTGAAGTTCCGGCTCTCCGTGAGGAGGGAGAGGTAGAGACGTACCACCTCGGGCTGGTACAGCAGCTCAAAGCCTAGGTGCAGGGCAACCGCCACCCACGGTCACCCAGAATCTGCTCTCATCCATCATACCCCTCCCGCTTCCCGCTTCAGAGCTCCCAGGGCGTGGGTGAGCTGGGGCCAGGGATGGGTGTGGATGAGTCACGTAATATTTACTATCAACATATAGTCACCCAAGGGGAAAAGCGTTCCCATTTCACAGAGGAACAAACTGAGGCTCAAATCAGTTGGACCTGCCTGGCAGCAGGAGCATCCAGGAGGCCTGGGGTGGGGAGGGAGGTGTCAACCAGGAACGCTCTCCTAGCAACAAGACCCGCATTTCCCGGTAGGTCCCTGAAGCTATGCATCCTGGCCACGCCCCTGGTAATAGGGCCCACCCTCCCTGGCAACAAGACCAGCATTGGCCAGTAACTGAGAGTTGTATAACCAAGGCCACACCCCTAGCAAGAGGACCTGCTTTCACCAGTAACTGAAGCTGTGCAGAGAGCTACGCCCCCTAGCAACAGGGCCCACCCTCCCCCACTGACAATAGAGCCCACCCTCTGTAAGTCAACTGATGCAGTGCAACCAGGGCAGCTGCCCTAGCAACAGGAGGCACTCTTCCTGGCAACCACTCCAAGTTCCCGGGCAACTGAGGCGCCGTCCTGCTGCTCTGCCCAGTGCTCCAGAAATGAGGGGTCAAAACAGCCTTCCAAGCTTGCCTGTCTCCAAACTGGGGCTTCAGCCTGGCTTGGGTACTACCTCGATCTCCCCTGTACCCACCCAGTGACATTTCATCACACCCTCGCCAGTCCTCATGCCCCATGCTCCCTCTACTCCTGCCCTGCTGGGCTTTCTGCTCCAACACACTCCAAGCACACTCCCCGCTGGGGTATCTGCATCAGCCCTGCTCTGCCTGTAATACTCCCCCACAGCCCTCCTGCGGCTGGAGCCCTCCACCCTGGTGACATGCAGGCTCTTCCAACTGGCTAGGCCCCACCAGGACAGACCTCTCTCTCAAGCCAGATCCCAGCATACAGCCCAATAGGCACTGCCCTGTCCCTGCAGGTGTTCGTCTGGCCCAGCCTCTGAACCTGGATGTGAGCATGCCCGCCTGGCTCCCAGCCCCCTCAGATAACTCAGCTTTGTGGCTAACACAGGAGGCCCTGCCTCCACTGGAGGCGTCCCTCCAAACCTTCCCACCTCTTACGCACCGTGAGGCCGAGCAAGCCCTCGGCCTCTCTGTGCCTGTCTCCCCCAACCTTGCCTGACATGACCCATGGCACTTCCTCCCATTCTAAACCCTCAGCAGGTGTCCTGGTGCTGAATCACCCTCCAGGAAATCCTGCACCTAGGGGCCTGTTTCCCCATCTGTTCCCTGAGGCCCTCCAGGCCTGCTTGATGGCTCAAAGCTTCACTACCAGGGCAATCCTGAGCCCAGACATCCCCCAGTGGAGCTGGCTTCATCTCAGCCCACTCACCTTTGGCGGCCTCAGTTCGCTTGGGCAGGTCTAGCGTGTCAAAGTTCCGGTCCATCTCACCATCCTTCTTTCCTGGAAGGGAAAGGTGGTGGGAGGTGAGGCAGACCCCATATGGGGAATGGGTGTATCAGGAGAGTTGGGCACAGTTCTCTCCTACCCAGGCCCCAAAAGGCACCCCCATGTCCAGGCCTGGGCACCTGTGGGAGTGGAGCACCGTTGTCAGAGTTTGGGCAGACAGTTTAGCCTAGGGGTAGGAGTTGGTGGCAGTGGGGCCTGGGGATGTCCCAGCCCTGCCCCTAGGACTCATCTCCCACCAGGTGCTGGGAGCTGTACCACAGACCCTCCCGGTGGCTCCCTTGCAACTGCCAGGTATGTAGACTGAGGGAAGCCAGGAGCCCTGGCTGGATGGTAGGTGGATACAAGCCAAGAAACTGAAGGCTGACCAGGACAAGACTCACTTGGGTCACACAGTAAGGCAGAACTAGGGGGAAACTCCCCCAGCTGGGGTCAGGACATTGTCCCAGGATCTACTAGCCAGGAGAAACCCCACAGCAGCCCACCTAACATTTGTGTAGCCCTGGCTTGCACACGTCTGTGACAGTGAGCCCACTGTCAACCACTCTCCCCATGTCAGATGATGCTTCTACCCCTTCAGAAGGCAGCAGAGTGGAGCCAGATGACCTGGGGTCCCTGCCCTGCTCACCCTCATGGGACCCTTGTATCCCTCCGAGCCACATGATGCCCCATTCTATCAGAGAAACAGACTGCTCCTTGGTGCCCCTAGAGATAAGTACCCCCGGGCCCTGCCCACTCTTGGCTCTGCCCAACTCTGCCCAGGTAGGCAAGTCTGAGGTTACAGAATGAGCCCCGTGGCCTTCCCACCTGCCACTGTCATAAAGATGGCAGCCCGAGTGATGAAGCCAGGGGTGGGGCAGGGCCCTGGGGCTGGAACGTGCTCGCCTCTTCCCAGGTACCCACTGCACACGCCAGGCCTGGAGAGCAGGATAAAAAGGGACTCACCTTGGTGGAACCACTCCTCTGGGAGGCCGGAGGAAGCAGAGGAGAGAGGAGAGGAGCCTGAACAGGCAGCACTCATCACCCCCCCATGCCCTCCCGGAAGCCTCAGGTTCCCACTGCACACCCTGGATCAAGCAGGCAGCATGTGGAACCTCATCCCATCACTTCTGGGCACTGAGCACCCACCAGGGGTACAAGAAGAGGGAGGCCTGGGGTCAGTGGGGCAGGGGCAGGTGGCGTACAGGTCCCCCACAGCTGCTGGGGAGGTCCTGGGAACCTACACCCTGCTAGTGCAGTAGAGAAGGTGTGCAGGGCATCTTGCCCAGGCAGATGGGGGGCTGCCCCACAGGTTGGTGGCAGTCTACAGCTATTCTGTGAACAGTGAGCAGGCAGCAGCCATGGCTCCTTCCCAACTCATGGGCAAGTGGAACTCTCCCCGGAGTAGAAAGACTGGGTCTGGGCATTGGTTGGTTTCCCTTGTGTACTCCCTGGGGGTCCCACAGTGTAGATGGGGAAGGTTGGACCTGGGTCCCATCAACCATGTGACCCAGGGCAGTCCAGCCTCCTTGACTCCTGGCTTCCCTGCCTGCCTGTTGGGGGCTGACCAGGTGTCCTCTAGCCTCCATGATGGGCTGCTGTGGGTGTACAGAGAGCCTTCCGCTGGGGCAGGAGTTGAGATGGTAGAGATGATACCCCAGTCCGCCCCACCCACCTTTGGCCTTCTTGCCTCCAAAGCAGCTGGCATCATCCCGCCTCCGGCGCTGGGAGCCTACAGCACTGCCCAGGGGCCCGGGCTCGGCCTCCTGGTACCTGTCGGCCCCGGGCACCTCCTTGTGCACGTGGTAGGACAGGTTCCGCATGATGCACACGCAGTTCTCCACCGACTGCAGGGAGAGGTGAGTGGGTGGGGCAGGGCACCCTAGGCACAGGGCTGGCCCTCAGGAAAGACTGGCCACAGCTGGTGTGCATGAGGGCACCGGGAGCAAAGGAACAGGGAGTCCTCAGTGGAGGGGAGCAAAAGGGCGGTAACCGCCAGGAAGGGTCCATGGGAGGAAGCCTCTGCCCTCACGGCACACCTTCTGCCTGCAGGACGGTGCCCACTTCAGTGTGGTCACTGCGAGGCGGGCCACACCCAGAACGCCACCCCAGACCCACAAGCCCATTCCCCTGTGCTGCTCCCACAGTTCCAGCCTCCTGGGACCTGCATGATCGTCTCTCCAGCCCTTGGTATGAGGCTGTGACCGTCCCTGCCCACCTTGTTGTCAGTGTCCTTCCGGCCCACAGCCGACTGCAGGGCATGCAGGAGCGCGTCCACCAGCCCTTCACACTCCCGGAGTCGCCGCCGGGCCTCAGCACCATCGGAGCTCACATTCCTGTGTGGCCAAGAGCAGGCCAGGTGACCCCTGGCTACCAGAAACTCCCTGGCTCCACCCTGGCCTTGTGGGCTTGTCTTCATCTGCAAAATAGGCCCTGCTGCTGCCCTCCTAGCACTAATGGGAAAGGACCCCACAGTCTGGAGCTCAGTGAAGGGGGAGAAGCTAACTGCCCCCAGGCCTCAGGAGGGGAGCCCTGGCAGACAACTATCTTGGCTGGGGATAGCTGGGCAGGGAAAGACAGGGTTTCCCTGCCTCCCAGCTGACCTGGAAAGGGACAGGTGCACTCTCAGAGAGACCTGAACCTGTGCAAGGGCAATTCTGGGTCCCTCGCCACCCCAATGGCAGCTCTGGGCCCCACCTTACCCCAAGGTCAAGAGCCTGCAGGGCTGCGCGGGAACACCCTGATGGACAAGCAGGACTGTGGGGACCCAGGACTCTGTGGGGTCAGCAGGGCCTCCCAGGGGTAGGAGGGGAAGGGCAGAGGTCACAGGTGGCTGGGATGAGCCTCCCAGGCAGATGAACAGGAAGGTCCCAGCTCCCCCTCTGGCTGTCAAGTGATGGGAAGGTAGGTGAGAGCTGGGCAGGGCTACGGTACCACAGAGACCCCTCCAGAGGGTGCCCCTGGGAAGACTGGGACACCACTTGGGGGTGAGGACAGCTCCATCAGGCCCCACTTCTCATCCACAGGACTTGTGCCACAGCTCTGAAGCTCCTAAGCTCTGGCGCTCCTAAGCTCGCCGCCATCTTCCACACTATCTGGGACCACGAGGACGGGGCCTGGTGTGCATGTGGGCTTTAGCACCAGGTCTGGTCCACACCTCAGGCAGCCCGACGTGTTCTTGAAGACAGTTGTCCACTCGGCGTCCCGTGGCTTGGAGTCCTCGTTGGGCTCACGCTCCCATCCTGAGTGGGGCACGATCACCTCGTGGGTCAGCGTCTGCAGGCCATGGTCAATGATGACCATCTTCAGGGGCTCATAGGATGACAGGTTCCACAGGGTGCCTGTGGGGTGCGATTGGCCAATCTGTGCTGACCATATGCACCGCCTGCCTACCTCCCCAGGTGGCCACGCTCAGGACCTGTCCCACTCTCCTCATGTCCCAGCTCATGCAGAACAGTAGGAAGTAACAAAAGCCGTGAGTGGTTCCGGGGGACACCCAGTACTGGTTTCCAGCTAGGAAGGAGCCCCAAAGGGGAGGAGGTGCAGAGGAGGGTGTGGCAGTGCTGTCCCGTCCCACCCATTCCCTGCCATGTGGCAGGTGGCACTAACACTCCTGAGGCCACAGGGCCTCACAGAGACACGGTGACCCTACCTGTCCCTCAGCTCTCACAAGGCACAAGCCCCACCACTGCACGGTTGGGGTGGGAACCAAGGAGGTGGGTCCCAGGAGAGTTTCTGTGGGGGCAGGAGGTGTGAAGGCAGGAGGTGAGGGGACATGCCCGAGGGGCGCAGCGTCAGCCTCCCTGCTATGGTAGAGACTGGGGAACCTGTCACAGTGTCTGGGCCTGATGCCTGGCTCCTGGGGCAAGCGTCTCAGCAGCTGCACTCCTGCCTACCGGGTGCTTTCCCAGGCGGTCGCAGGCCGAGTGGCCTCGTTCCTCCCGGGTTGAGCCTCACACTCTTCTCTTCCCAGGGGATGTGAGCATGGCCAGGTCCCACTCACCAGTGACAAGCTCACGGACCTCGTTGTCCCGGGCAGCCCTCAGCAGGCGCACCAGGGCAGGCACACCACCGCAGTCCCGGATGGCGGCCTTGTTGTCAGTGTCGCGGCCATAGGAGAGGTTGCGCAGTGCCCCACAGGCCCGGCGCCGCACCTCAGCCCGCGGGTGGTCCAGCAGTGCCACAAGCAGCGGCAGCCCCCGCAACTGCCGTACACGCCGCTTGACACCCTCGTTCTCAAAGCACAGATGCTGCAGGTAGGCGGCCGCATTGGCCTTCACGGGGTCCACGGGGTGCCGCAGCATGGCCAGCACCTCAGGCAGCTCAGGGTCCCGCCAGCGCGGCTCCTTGCGGGCGCTATCCACTGAGGGCGAGCGCCGCACCAGCCGGTCCAGGCTGCCCATGCTGCCCCGTTCAGGCTGGGCCAGGGGCGCCGTCACCATTGGGAACGCAGGCCGCTCGTCCGCCAGCTCGCCGCCATCATCTGCTGTGTCCTCGTAGGCCCTGCACAGGCAAGTGGGGCGCGTGGACATCGTCACAGCAGCCGCCAGCCCTGCCTCTGAGCTGCCCCATCACACCTTCTTCAGGACTGCAAACTCACCCAGCAGCGCTGGGCTGAGAGCACCTGTATCTTGGCCCGGAGCATGGTGGGGACACAGAGAGTCATGCACCAGCCCAGTGAGAACCAATTCAGAGCCAAATGCCAAACCCCAGCCAGCGGCTACCAGGACCCAGGCAACCCTCCCAGGACAGCAAACTCACTCACTGCTGTCACCGGGCAGTTTCCCAATCCCGAGCAAAACAAGTTTCTGTGAGACATCTGCTATGGCTGCTGGAGAGACCGTCTCACCTCCCTTCCACAAAACCACCCCATCTTCCATGAGGCCCATCTCTGGCTGTGCCAGGATGTAGGGGGAGTAAATGGCCCTCTCCGCATGAAGCCATCCCAGTAGGACCACCTGAGGAGTATTCAGGCCACCAGCCCCTTGGGGCACAAGATCTCCTTAGCTCTCAGTAGCCCTGTGGGTTGCTGTCATCAAACCGCCTGCCCTGAGGCTAGGAGTGACGGTCAGGTGACTTGGCCAGGGTCACACAACAAAATCCTGACCCGGGCTGTGGTCACATCCCCACTCCAGAGATGCAGAAACTGAGGGCAATGGGGACAGAACCAGGGGCTGTGACAAGGGCCAGGGCTCTGGGTTCTGGTTACCCAGAGTGTGGCTGGAGCAAGGCCAGTGGCCGGCACTCTTCCCAGCTTTCCTGGGCCCTGGGCCTGCAGGACAGTGCCCAGCCGAACTCCTACCACCCCAGGGTCCACCTTTCTTCTGTCCCTGACGAGAGCCAAGGCCAATTCAAACTAACATGCATGACTAACTCAACTGCGCCACTTGACAAGTGGGGCACTCTGTAGTTGGGGGGTGGAGGGCAGACTTCCCAGAGGAGGTAGCCACAGGGGACGGGGTGCAGCTCACCTGGTATGAAGGCCCCGCCCACACTCAGGCCTCCTCCTTGTGGCCGTGCCATAGTCAGGCTCCAGCTCAGGGCCACCCTCGTCATCAGCGGCCAGGCTGCGCGTGTCATCCTCCAAGCCATACGGCTCTGCCTGGAAGCGCTCGGGCAGGGAGCGGCCACCTGGTGGCCCAGGCTCAGGACCCACCGGGAAGGCTTCCCGGTGGCCAGGCAGTGTGAAGCAGCCATCACCAGGGCCTGGGCCAAGGGGGCCAGCACGTGGGGGCCGCATGCCCAGCCCTCGGGACAGGCTGCCATAGCTGGGGCTGTCCCGGGGCTCGGGGCCTTCGGGAAAGCCACCCCCACTGCTGAGGTAGGCTCGAGAGAGTGTGGCCACTGGGCCACCACCACGCAGCAGGAAATGCCGGTCCAGGGCACCATCTGCAAAAGGGCCTAGTGGGGGGCCGCCATCCAGCAGGGGGAGTCCATCTGGGCCCACGGGCACCTGGCGTACTGTCCGAGTGGTCACCGTCTTGACAGTCTTGGTGACCTGGTGGATGGATAGGCAGGTAGGTGGGGTAGCACGAGAGGCCTAGAAACTGCTTTGCTGGGGTCTGGCTGGCCTTAATTTCCCACTCGAGCAATGAGAGGCCCCACGTGGCAAGCTTCCATGTCCACTCTGCAGGTGGGACAGCTGCAGCAGCCTGGCCCTGCTCACCCACCCACTGCCTGGGCCTGGCCATACCTTGGTCTCGGTGCGCCGGGTTGTGCCATCTTCGGATGTGACAATAGACACATGGGAAGTGGGTGTGCCGGGGTCCTCCTCCACCGTCACGGTCTCCTCCAGCACATCAGGTGCCTCCGGCATCGTGGCCAGTGAGGCCTGGCTGCCTGGGCTCTGCTCCTGGGGCAAGGAGGGACATTGGTGGGCAGGCCTGCTGCTCAGTCACCCCTGGAGTGCAGGTCTCCACACACAGCAGCTCTGCCTCAGCTCATGCTGGCCAGCACACCAGGGTGCCTTCCTCCTGGTCCTGAACCCACCCACCCCAAGGCCTGTTTCGGCCCAAGCTGACAAGGACAGCAATAAGTTCTTGCCCTCTGAACATCGAGGTGCTAACCCTGCCCCGGCACCCCATCCTGGGGGGACCCTGGGGCTGGACCCCCATCTCAGGTCTCCTCAGGCTGAGTTGGCAGATAAGGACATAGACCCTGGGGGGTGAAGTCTTCAGGGCCCTCCCCAAGCTGCATGGCCTGGCTGCCACAGGCTCCTCCAGGCCCCAGGAGGTGCCAGTGAGACCTGCAGCATGCCTTCCTGATGTCAACCACCACCCCTAGCTGGGACATCATGGTGTCCTGGGGCCTCCTCCCTCACCTGCCCCAGACACCTTGAGTATAGAAGCCTTGTGGGGGCTGTTTCAGCACTGCCTACTGACTCCTGTGGCCACACTAAGGTTCCCGCCACCAACGCCAGCCAGACGCCCTCAAGGGACAGAAATACGCAGTTCCCAGAACACCCCATGCACCTGCAGCACCAGTATGTCCTTATTCCTTCCAGCCCAGACATTCTTGAGTGTTGTGTAGGCACAGGTTTGCCCTACCTCGGGCCAGTGGCTGGCGCCCCCAGTGACTGAGACTCTGGGCATCATATCAGAGACCAGACACAGTAGATTTGAGCCTATGGGTGCCCTTGCCACCATTCTGCATGGGGTGACGACACTGGAATTCTAGGCAAGACAACTCTGGACTGAGACTTTTCTATCCACATGCCTACTGACTGGACTTGCCAGTGGGGAAACTGAGGCTCAAAGAGGATAGGCTGGCCCACATCAGAGCCAGGCCCAACCCCTGCCGCGCTGAGTGGCTTGAGGACCTAAGACTCACAGCCTGCCCCGGGCCTCTGACTGCACAGGTGCCTGGCCCCAGGGCCACATGGCACCAACATCCGGGGATCGGCATCTAGCCAGGATGGGCAGGAGCTGAAACCCAAGCCCTGGTGGGTGGGTCAGGCGGAGCACATTCCCAGGCAGCCAGGGCAGGGTCAGCAGGAGGACAGGTCCTGCTTTGTGGCCCAGGCCCCTGGTCCCTGCACAATGGGTCCCTTGCCTGGGCCCCCTGGGGCCTGCACAGACACTAAGCTCTGCCAGGCTCCAGAGGCAGACTCTGCCCATTCTTGGGCCTGGGAGGTGAGCCAGGTTAGATGCTCAGCGCTGCCCTCAGGACCTGCCTGCCAAGGCTCGTGGGCTGGGAAGCCTCCCCAGGTCAGGGTCCTATCCTGGGGGAATACTTGACCCCCAAATGCATGCAGTGCAGGTGTCCAGGAAGGGGCCTGCACCAACATGTTAGGACAGGTGTATCCCTCAGGCTGACAGAGGAAAGAAGTGGCCACAGAAGGCACCTCCCCCTCTCCCACAGGCAGGGTCTTGGAGGATGACAGATAACTTTATAGATGGGGAAACTGAGGCCTGGCAGGGGGAAGAGGATTTACCTAGAACTTCACAGTCCAAGTGGGATTTCAAGCACCCCCAGAGAAGGCAATCTGGCAAGGAAGGCTTTGGGCCTCATCTCGCCCTCAGTCTTGAGATGTAGGTGGAATGCCTGCTGTGGACCTGGCTAGGAAAAGGGGACCTGTTCCCTGGGAAAAAGAAATAGACTGAGGCCTAGAGTGGGGACAACTGGCACGCTGCCAGGCAGGGCAGGCTGGGCTCTTCTCCAAAGGCACTGGGGAGCTGGGACTGCTCTGAAGCAGGAGAAGGCTTGTGTGGCCCATCACTGCTGGGGCTGGGCTGCCCCATCTGTATCTGGCAAATGTGTGTCAGGCCCTGAGCTCTCTCTGCTGGGCCCTGGGCGGGGCTCATCTGAGTTCAAGCAGGGGCCCAGGCACTGAGGGGCTGCAGTTCTGGCGACAGAGTGAGGAGGGTATAAAGCAAGACTGAGGAAACGTTACCCAGGACTCTGCCAGTGGGATGTAGCCCCTCATATATGTATATATTTACATCTATTAAAAACTCAGAGAAAAACCCCCTCTTCCCTAGCTAGGCAGTGGGGGTAAGCGGGAGAGGAAAAGGGGAGGACATCTCAGGACCCCGATGCCACTCTGTGGCCCAGCTTATCCCTCCCACCAAGGCTGTGGTGAGGGTCTGACAGGCAGAGCTGGGGTGGTCCAGGAGAGCCACGCCCCCGCAGCAAGACCTGGCAACCCTGCGGCACCACCCATCAGCCCCGGCCTAGCAGCCCCGCAGTAGGATCCAGAGGCCCCAAGAGTCCCTGCTGGCAAATGACCTCAGGGAGCTAAAAACGAGGGATGACTTCACCCGGGTGGCAGGTGCATGAGTCAGCCAGTGATCACAGGAAAGCCCGGCCCCTGCTACACATGCCCAGGCACACACACATGCATATACATGACCCCTCAGACAGGGACACATGCATGTACATACACGTGTGCAAGTACCCAGCCCGGCACAGGCCGAGCACATCAACCCGTGTGCTCTAACAGCACCCCAAGGGCACGGCGCCCACTGTTCCCAGAGGCACACTCGTGAGCACACATCCTCCCGTCCTCCACCGTGTATCGGAGACCCTTATCCATGCAGGGCCTCACAGAGTCTCAACACACAGGGACAGGGGCCACCAACTCTGCCAATCATCTGCCCAGCATCCACTCTGGGAGTCTCAGAGCTGGCTGGCAGATGGAGAAACTGAGGTGTAGAGTAGTGAGAGGCCCATAGCCAGCTGGTGGCTCAGCTCTCTGCAACATCTTTAGGGTGGGGCTGTGGAATGGTGGGCTGACTCTCAACAGGAGTTGGCTGCAGTCCCTGGATCCCTGTCTGGCCCCAGTGTCCATGTCTGACGTGCACCTGCCCAGGCTGGCCCACTCTCAGGGACCCTGGCCCTGCAGCCCCACACAGCCTCTGCCTCAGACCCAACTCTGGGCTGCTCCCCTCTGTACCCTAGACATGGGCTCTACCCTGAACACCCCACCTCCAGCCCAATCCCACATGCTGCATCCTGTCAGTCGTCTCTCATCACCCCCTCCCCAGCTGGGGCCCCATCCTTGCTCCTCTTGCACCCCGCCCGGCCTCCCAGCACTCATCCCTCCCTTGGCTCTTCAATCTCTGGTGCACCAGGTCTGGGGCCCCCAGGACTGGCCCAGAAACAGGCTGCTGCCCAGGCCTGGGGTTTCCCATGAGCTCCCTTGGGCTTGTGGGAGGGGCCAGAGTGACCAGGGAGGTAGACCACCTACCCCTGCTCACAAGAGGGTCCCGGGAACACAGGGCTGAGCCCAGCATAGGGGCTCTGGGCCCCATCACGCACCTTCGGCTCAGCTTCTTCACAAGGAGGTGAGAAGGACAGAGGGGGCTGGGGTCGTGGGACGTGCTGGGTAGCATCAGTCTCACTTTTGTGGCAAAATGCAAGGAACACAGGGAGCAGAAAAGCAAGATTGGACCAACACACAGAGGGATGCTGGGGCACAGGTGGCTGGGCCCTGGTCCCATATTACTTATCTACCCAAACCACCGGACTTCACAGATGCACCACGGTCTGTGTCCTGAAGAACAGACTGCAGGGGCAGGCCCCTCCCCTGTCCAAGGCCTGGCTAGCACACACAGAGAATGAGTTAAGGTGAGATTGCACACCTGGATCCCACACCTGCAGGCCAGGCTCCCAGAGGGCAGGAGGTGGCTGCTGTCCGATGGATGAATGAATGAATCTTCTCCATCCCCATTATGGCCCTCCCAGGTAGAGTCCAGGACAAGCCAGGCTGGCATCTCTCACCAGGCAGCAAGCCCTTGGCCACCACAAAATGCCCTTTCCCTTGGTGCCACAGCCTCTGACCAGTCTCCAAGACCTGGAGCTTACTTCTCCACACAGCAGTGCACCTGCCAGGGCGTGGCCCCAGGCAGAGATGCCAAAAAGCCAAGCTGGGGGAGCAAACTTGGGGTGGGAGAGCAGGGCTGACTGTCATCCACCTCAGCTTCCCCAAGCTCAGCTTGGGGTCATCAGACACACTGTGACCATGGATTTCCCAAAAACTGGTCCCTCCACCTCTGAGGGCCAGACCCTGGGGGCCACACCAGGGCCGTAGGACAGGCAGGGGCCTAGTTGCCCAGGTAGCAGGTGTGTGGGAGACCTGCCTCCCACCACAGAGGGTCTTGGCTGGTCTCTCCTCTGCTCAGTTTCCCTGCCTGTTACTGAACCCAGCACTGCTCTGAGCAGAGGACAAACTGCCTATGCCTCCCCCCACCTCAATGCTGAGAGGGGGAGGATCCCGTTTTCCTTAGAGATCTCCTCCAGCATCCATTAGTGGGCAGGGCCTGTCTCTATCCCTCCCATCACGTGCGCCTCGGAGGCAGAGAAGACTTCCATTAAAGCTCCGGAAGCTCCTTTGCAGGTCCCGGGAGTCAGAGCCGGCGTAGGGGGTGTGGAGGGGAGAGGAGGAACCCTCTCAGGGAGCAGAAGGCCTACCCGGGCTTCCCTCTTCAGACTTCAGCCTCCTTCCTGCACAGACAGAAGCCGCTCAGGAAGGCCCTGGCTCTCCACCCGTGTCCCCAGGCACCTGTCCTGGGCGCTGGCCAAGAAGCGTCCATCCGGTCCGGGCCGGTGCCAAGAGGAGGGTCAAACTGCCAGGGGTCCCGACCCCCCCAGGCCCCGCGGATGGGCTCCAGAGACCCTGCGGCCCGCCCTGCATACCCGGGGGCACCGCGCTCACACCGCCACCCGCCCGGCCCTGGCCCCAGCCTGACGCAGCCCAGCCAGGGGCGCAAGACAATAGCTGCCTCGGGCCAGCGGCTCCGCGGAACAAAAGCGGGTCCTCCCGGGCAGGCCGACGCCCCGCCCTCTGCCTCCGACCCCGGGCCAGGGTCCCCCCAAGCCAACTTCCCTCCAACCTGTCTGAGTTCGGCCGGCATCGGGCCGGGACTCGGGGGGCGCTGGCCAGCAGCGGGGGAGGCGGTGGCTGGACCAGGCTCGGCTCCGGCGCCTCGGCCGCTCGGGCTCAGGCTCGGCGGACTCGCTCCCCGCGGGGGCGGATCTGGCGGCGGTCACGGCGAGCAGCCAATCGGGCGGGGCCGCGCCCAGGTGGGGCGTGGCGGGGGCCGGGGTGGGCGTGGCGGGCGGGGGGCGGGCAATGTGAGGTCCCGCCCCCCAGAGACAGGGGGCGGGGCCCTGCAGCCCCGGGTCGCCCCCTGTCCCCCCACTTCCCACCACCTCCCCCCACCCACTGCCGGCCTGGACTTCTGCTCCCTCCCCCTCCCTGCGGCAGGGGTGTCACTTTCCCGCCGAAAGACTTTGGCCAAGTCCTTCCCAGGCCTCGGTTTGGCCTCGGTTTATGACCACACTTCAGTCCGCCTGCAAAGGGGGAAACAGTTCCGGCAGGGCAGGTGCCCGTGCTGCGATGCACAGAGCACAAGGCCTCCCTCACTGGCACAAACCTGGCTGCGACTCAGTTTCACCTGCCATGAAATGGGGGCCGATGAGACAGTAGTCACGGCTCTGTGAGATCTCTCCAGTCTCCCAGATCCCCCCTCACCCTCCTGCCCAGCCGCCACTCTGAATGGGCCTGCGAAGAACTGTCCCCACAGAGTTCGATGGGGACCTGGAAAAGGGCCCTGCAGGGGACCCCCACTTTGTATCTTGGGTTCTCCCCATCGAGGCACAGAAGCCCCGAATGCACCCCCACTGCTCCCCCAGGCCAGCCTCAATGTGGGCCACACCCTAGGGAATCTAGTTCTGCTGCAGTGAAAAATGGGAGGGGAAGGGCCAGGCTGGAGCCACCTTCTTATGTCAAACCCCACAAAGGCCAAGCCAATGGCTCCAGCATCACGAACAGGGAAACAGGTTCTGAGATTAAATGAGCTGAGACCAACCCAGGGAGACTCAGTGGGTCTGGCAAGAGAAAGGGCTCGGGCCCAGGCCTCCCACTGGCTTCTCCGCAGACCCCTCAGAAAACAGCCTCCGCAGGGACCACTCCCTGCTGCCCTGAGCGCCATATACAGAGGCCACTCGGCTAGCATGCTCAAGATTCTAGGTACCCACCATGTGCCCCTCTGAGCCTCAGTTCCCCCACCTGCAGAGGGGTGAGCTACCCTACCACTGGCTGGACCCCTGTATCTTGCATCTAGGGCCAACCTGCCTGGAACCCCTGGAGCAGAGCGCAGAAGACCAGACACTGCGCCAAAAACGCGCCCGCATCTTATCTTTAAGCTGGCTCCATCTTCTCAACTGCACCAGCAGCTAGTGCCCCAGCCACCTATCCACCTAAGACGAGCCCAAGGCAAGTTCCCTGATGGCACCCCTCCCCACTGGGTGGGCGTCAGCCCTGTTTCAGCTGGCTGTCTAGAGGAGGGGCCCCTTCCTGCTGGAAGATGAAGGGCAGGTAGCCAGGACCCTGGAGCAGCCCAGTGAGTGCAGCAGCACTCCCCCTAGCCTGGTTCCCCAGCCTCAGCCCCCAGCTACCTGCCTTGCCATTGCCCTGGCTTCCCAAAGCCCGGGCTCTGACCCTGTGGCTCAGCAGGTAGATCGCTAGGCACTTCCTACTGAAACCAATCTGGGAAACCTGGCCAGCCCAAGGAGGCCCTGCCTCCCCTAGTATCCTCATCAGCCCAGCCAGTTGAGCTGCAGCCCTGGCAACACATGCTCTCTTCAATCCCAGCCTGAGAAAATCAAGGGTAGGGGGTCGGGGGGAGAGTTCAGGGGCAGGGGTGGTAGGTGGAGGGGCAGTAGCCTGAGGTCTTGAAGTCTTTTGCCTGAGGAGGTCAGGGTAGCTCCAGGCTGTGGGAACATCTTCCCACCAGGGCATCAACCCTCCGGGGTGCCTTGGGTCCTCCCACACTGCCTGTCCGAGGACAGTTCCGGTCTGGGAGGGTTGGACTGAGCACACTGGCGCCTGAGAGGCGGCCTCGGGGTCACTGGCTTCCACTGTCCCTATATGGCCCAGCTGGGCCCAGCGTTCTGCTTCCCCGCCTCAAGTTTGAGGGTAGAGGCCTCACATTTTGGAGTATCTCAAGTCTGAGGGCTGTGAGAGTGGCCCCAGCACCGAGACCCACCAGAGGCCTCTGAGCACCAGGGGCCATGAAAAAGGGCCCCCTAGTGAGTCTCGGACCCTCTGGGGACATTAATTTGACTCTCACCATGCACTGGTGCTGGGCTGGGCCTTCTATGTGGGTCTCATGAGCAGACGTAGGAAGCATGACGCCTGCTGGCCGACACCAAGTCTGGACACCAAGACTCAAGGAGTAGTCACCAACCCCAGGTCCCTCGGCCTGACACAGGCTGCTGGTTCTGAGCCCCACATGCCCCAGCCAGGTGAGGAGAGCCCATGGGGCTGCCTCAACAGAGACCAGCGTTTGCTCCCTTTCTCTCTAGATGAGAAGGGCCAGGCTGCCCCAAGCTCCTGGCATGTGTGTGCCAGGCGCAGGTCCCCAGAGTCAGGGCCCAGCAGGACCAAAGAAGGGCGGGTGGAGGTGCAGGTGCTGGGAGTATGCTGGGGGGAGGTCTGGCTGCTGGGTTTAGCGGGGCAGGGAGCTGAGCCAGGGAGACAGGACTCTGCAGGGAGAGCCCTCTAGGGTCACTCTGTGAAGAACCCAGAGGCCGCAGCAGGAGGCAACCCCCCCAGCCTCTAAGCTGGGTGGTGAGGAGAGCCCCCTTCCCCGTGGCTGCTGGGACAGCTCCACCCTGACTCCCCACTGTGCTAGCCCTCAGTCAGTAACAGGAACCATGATAATCACACCACATCCCAAGTCTCCCTGCATGTACTTGTTCCGGCCTCCTAACCCCAAGCCAGGGGCTCTTGCTGTTTCATCTACAGGTTAGAGCACTGGGGTGCTGGGAATGGGGTGTCCCAGTGGTCTAACTGCTCACTGCATACCCCAACTTTAGAGTTCTTAGGGCCTGGCCATGGAACACAGAAGGCTCTATACCTCCTGAGGCTGAGTAGGGGCCGGAGCCCAGTCTGAGGATAATGGCCAGCAGAGAAAATGAGGCTCCCAGGTCAGCCTCTAAGCTGCAGGCAGAGCTCTGGGCCTCCTCCTGGGGCTGACCCACCAGTGCATGCAATGAACACTGTGGCAGGGTTAGGCATGGTGCAGGCAAACCCCTAAAGTGTCTCTAGGCAGACCAAAGAGCTGCCCAGAACAGACCCCATCCAGCTGCCTGGGCCCTGAGGGCTCAGTGGAGGGTGCTGTTCTGAGTGTTGGGCTGTGTCCTGCCCACTCTTCACATGGTGCCTAGTACACCCAAGTGGGACTTCCAGCCCAACCTGGGATCCCATTTTCCTTTCCTCCCCAGGAGCCCCAGCAAATCTTGCAATAAGCGAGCGCATGCTGGCTTGTGGTCCACCAGGACCCACTGATTGTTTTCCCACTTGGCAATTTTCACCCTTCCCAAGTCACTAGGCTGTTACCTGGAGGACCAGCTGTTGCCAGGCCATTGGCAGGGGCTGCCCACTGCCCATGCCACCACTGACCATGCCAGGCTGCTGGGCACGCTCCAGCTGTAGGGCAACATGGCGCCGCTCCTGCTCCAGTGCCCGTGTCAGCCTCTCGAAGCGGGCCTCCTGCTCCTTCACCGAGGCCAGGATGCTGGCGGCCGAGTGCACATTGCAGTCCTCCATGACCAGAGCGCCCGCCAGCTGCAGGCAAAGCAGAGTAAGCTCAGTGGGGTGGGGCACAGCCTGGCAAGGCCATCATGGGCCCCTGCCCGCCCCACTCACAGACCATACAACTCACTCCCAGACCAGAGCATCCAGCCCTCTAGAGGGAAGCACACTGATTAAATTCTAAATTAAAAGCCATTAATCCGAGGCTGGCCGGAAGCAGCCGGCTCACTCCCCATGGGTTTTGGGACTCTAACCTGGCTCCTCTGCTTCCTGCTAGACCTAGCAGAAACATGGGCCGTGGGCGGCTTGGAGCCCGCTGGGAAGGGCAGGAAGAGCTCATTAGAGCTTCTTACCTCCCAGGCCCTCTGCCACTCATACCACATGCCAGCCCACCCTCCATTTCACAGGGCCACCCCACTCCCATCTCACAGAGGCAGATGCCAGGGCCAAGAAAGGGTGGGGGACCATTTGTAGCCACACAGCTGGTGTGGCATGGCCAGTGTGGCCAGCAAGCAGGGAGTGAGAAGCTGCTCCACTGATGGGTGCCCAAGACCCCGAGGCAGGCGCAGGTGACCATAGCCTGAGAGCTCCTGGCAACACTGGTCTGCAGACCAGCAGTCCAGCCTCCACTCATATCCACATTGGCCAGAAACAAGAGTGGTGCTGCTACACATGACAGAGTAAAAACTGAGGACAAGCCTGGTTGAGGTTCTGGCTGGGACTGCATGAAGTTAAGAGACCATAAGCCTGAAGTGGCTGGTGTGTGTGATGCCTCATCCAGAAAAGGGCAGGGGCCAGGCATCTGAGGCCAAGCACAGGGTGGGATTGGGCCTGCTGGGCCCAGCCCAGTGTTGCCCCTCAGGGCCCCAGAGCCCCAGGGGAGCAGGCGGGGGCCATGAGGGCTTGGCAGCCGCAGAGACAAACCAGCACTTTCCCTCCCAGCTTGCCCCCTGGCTGCCCAGAATGTTTGTTTTTCATGGGTAAAAAGAAGCAGGACAAGTATGCGGAGCTCCAATCCAGGCTCACCACAGTGGGCAGGGCATAGCCACGAGGCCACACTGCCCGGAGCACAGTGAGCATGGCCGGGTGCCCAGGGCTGCTCAGGCATCCTCCTGCCCAGTCCCGCCAGCCCACTGAGGCCAACTCCGCTGGATCCCTTGCCCTTGCACCAATATAGGGCCCTCCACGGGGAGGACACGCACTGCGGGTGACATCCCCAGAGCGTCAGCACTGCTGCTCACTGGTCTGGATGGAGCCAGCTGCAAGGACAGAGAGCCCCCAAGAGGAAAAGCAGCGCTGGGCTCAGCTGCGCCAGCAACACGGTGCGGGGACATGGGTGCACCTCATAGGTGAAGAGACACTGTGGAGCCCAGCCCCACCGACAGCTGGGAAAACAGGCCCAGCAAGAGCGAGAGACCAGTGCAGGCCCCCAAAGCTGCTCTCCATTTCCCCAGCACCTGTCCCACAAATGAAACTGTCAACACAACCTTTCGGGGAAGCCAGCATGAGTGGAGGAGCTGTTTTAAGCCAGCCACAGAATGGAAGAATGCAGGGAGAGCTGGGGGCCGCCGCCCGAGACTGAGGTGCAGACTGGGCGCTCCAGCAAAGGGATAAACAGCACTGCACTCCCCAAGCATGGTCACACAGCTCTTCTCTACACACCTGATGCTGTCTACCCACAGGCCCCAGACCCAACACAGGGGAGCCTTGTGCACTAATGGACTGAACCTAGTGCTAGGCCCGAGGTGGGAATGGTAGGGTATTCCCCCTGGGACGGCCAGGGCGGATGGCAGGGCCCATATCACTCCAGCCCTCAGCCCAGTCCTGGCTGCAGCACCAGCCCATCTCAGCCGAACCTCAGAAGCAAGGGACAGAAGGAAATGGGACGCTGCCTTGGATGGCAACAATCAGGACCACAGGATAGCCACTGGCCTCATGGACCTGGGGTGGCTTACTTCCCTCCCTGTGCAGAGACATGGACCCTCGTCTACACCACACACCCCATCCCCCATCTAGCAGGACCAGGCTTGGGCTGCAGACCCTGCGGACAGCTTCCCTGACCTAAGCCCCTCCAGCACACCCTGGCTCTGGGGACTAAAGATGCCCACCCTAAAGGGGGCCCACTGGCTCTGGCTGAGGGCTCAGTACTCCAAGGCCACAGTGGGAAGGTGACCAAACCCCACGATGACCTTCTCATTGCCGAACTTGGCTTGATTGGTGCAAAACAATCATGTATCTCCCTGGAAACATCCAGAAACACTGGCCAGTGTTGTGGGGAGAGTCTGGCAGCCATGCTCAGGAGAGCAGAGACCTTGGTGCTGGGCCTGTGCCATCTGCCCCAGCCGCAGGGTGCACCCTGCATTTGCCCTGGGGGGAAGTGCCCTAGGCCCGCAGGTCATGGCCTCGGCATCTCAGGTGTCTCAAGAGCAACCCGGGATATGCTCCAGGCAGAGCACAGAAGGCCCAGGCCCACTCCCCTGACATGGTGGACTCTGGCCTATGACAGGAGCCAGTCTGGATACAAGGGATCCTGGCCCAGAACCAAAGAGGGCTGCTTTTCAGATGGTAACTCAAAATGCTGTTTTTATATTCAAGTAATAAATATATGATGTCAAGGAAAGCAAAATGTGCATGGATTCTTAAGATCGATGGGGCCTGAGTGGATGCTGGGCAGAGTGGGCACCGGATTTGCTTTTGCTAGAGCCCAGGAGGGCCCTGGGGGAAGGCTAGGAAGGGGGACACTGCAGGGACCTTGGCTGTCCAGCCAATGCCACCTTGGCCTCCCCTAACCTGGTAAGGGCCCAGCATTGCCTTGTCGGGTGGACCCCTCATGACCCCCCACCCAAAACACAGCAACCAGCTTCATGCCCAACTCTGAGGAGGCCACTTCTTGCCAAACATGCTGGCCCCAGAAGTTTACTTAGCCGCAAGGCAGGAATGACATTGCACAGCCCACGAGTGACCAGACTTCAGGACCATGTGGACAACACCATGTTCCAACCAGAAAACATCAGGAACTGAAGGGGGGCTGGAAAGGTCGGGGCTAAACTGAAACTCTGAAAAATAAACTGCAAAACAAAAGTGACGACCCAGCCCCCACCCAGCCCCAGCCACAATGGACATTGGCCACGTACCCAAGGGAATCCAGGACCAGGACGTGAGCCTCCAGGTGCTCTCACAGGACAAACTGCTGGGCAAGCAGGTGGCCCGAGGAGAGAAGCATGGCAGGAGAAGAGGGTGGCCCCAGGCACACAGCCCATGGAAGACTAGAGGGAGGGCAAGCAAAGGAGAGACAGCGAAGGATGGACAGACAGATGGATACAGGGGTGGATGGGGGATGGATGAATGAATGGAGGGTGGCTGGGGCAGTGGTGGAGGATGGACAGAGGGACGGACAGATTGATGGACAGGTCGGAGGATCGTGGGAGATGGACAGAGATGAATGGATGGATGGGGGATGGTGGGGAATGGACAGATGGATGAATGAATGGGTCGGGGGGATGCTGAAGGATGAACTTATAGATGAATGAATGGATGGGTGGGTGGAGGGATGGTGGGAGATAGACATACAGATGAATGGATGGATGGGTGGGTGGGGGGATGGTGGAGGATGAACAAATAAATGAATGGATGGATGGGTGGGTCGGGGGATAGTGGAGGAAGAACATATAGATGAATGGATGGATGGGTGGGTGGGGGGATGGTGGAGGATGAACATATAGATGAATGGATGGATGGGTGGGTGGGGGGATGGTGGAGGATGAACAAACAGATGAATGGATGGATGGGTGGGTGGGGGGATGGTGGAGGATGAACATATGGATGAATGGATGGATGGGTGGGTGGGGGGATGGTGGAGGATGAACATATGGATGAATGGATGGATGGGTGGGTGGGGGATGGTGGAGGATGAACATATGGATGAATGGATGGATGGGTGGGTAGGTGGGGGGGAATGATGGGAGATGGACATATAGATGAATGGATGGATGGGTGGGTCGGGGGATGGTGGGAGATGAAGATATAGATGAATGGATGGATGGGTGGGTAGGAGGATGGTAGGCGATGGACAGAGAGAAAAACAGACGCATAGATGGGATGGTGGGGGATGGATGGATGAACGTATGGATGGATGGGGGGGGATGGTGGAGGATGGACAGACGGATGGACAGATTGGGGAATGAGGGGTATGGACAGACAGACGGGTGAATGGATAGGGAGGTGGATGAAGTCATAGAAGGGTAGACAGCTAGATGGATGATTGGATGGGTTTACAGATGAATGGATGGATGAGTAATAGATTTGTGGGTGGGTGGCTGGAGGGATGGGAGAAGAGGAGGCCAGATAGAAGGGGGTGTAACTGAGTGAGTGAACAAGTGTGTGGACAGGAGACTAATAGGTGGTTATATAAGAAAATGAGGGGAGATGAGAGGATGGGTGAATGGTGGCTAGTTGGATGGGAAGGTGGCTGGATGGATACGGGTGGTGGTAGAGGGATAAAATGATGATGGAAGAATGTGTAGGAGGGTGGGCAGATGGGATGCTGAAGGCTGGGTGGATGGAGGAGTGGATGAAGGAGAAAACAGAGTGCGATGCATGAATGGAAGGGGGGGTGGGCTGTGTAAGGGCCGGTGGGCAGGAAGGAAATGCTGGAACCTCACTAAGTGGGGAAAGCCCCGGCCCGCAAACCCTCTGGGGCAAACCATGGTCAGCACACACTGTCAGGAACACGAAGGCATGGTGAGGAACCTGAGGGTAGAAGCTAAATCCTTTCCCTGAAACCAAAGCTGACATTTGACGACATCTTGCCAACCCAGACATTCCTCCTCGGGAGTGCGGCCAGAGCCTTGTCCGGAAAATGAAATTATGGGGCCCGAGTCCAGTGTGGGTTGAGGAATTAGAGGAATTTCCGAAGGGTCAGGCCAGTGAAGGGTGGCAGGCGGGGCCTGGCTCCCATCCTGACCCCTTGCCAGCTGTCTACCAGAACACAGCCAGGGCTGCGCTGGCCCCCCCCTCGAGGGGAGAGACGGGACGGATGACCATCGAGCCTCCTCCCATACCCCCTTTCCCCTCCACCCTTCCCTACAAGGAGGAAATGATGCCAGAAGTGCCCTGGCAGGAGTTGGACCCAGGCCCAGCACCCACCTTCTGCCTGGGAGGACATCCTGGGAGCTGCCAGCACAGAGACTTCCTCGTCCCCCTAGCTGGCCAGGCCTTGTGGGGGCCCCATGTTTACCCTGTTGCCCCTACTGTGGTCAGATGGTGCCCAAAGCCTTGTGGGTAGCTTCTGGCCAAGCCCACTGGCCGGGCACTGTACTCAAGCTGGGACAGGGCCAGAGCCGGGGGCCTGGGGTTCACAGGGCGGAGTCCACATCCATCTGTGCCAAGGCCAGGACCACAGTCCCTTGCAGACTGTGTTGGATCCGGGGTGCCTGGGCTGGGGATGACTGTTCTCAGCCTCCAAGCAGCAGAAAGAACCCCCGAGGAAAGACGCACAAGCGTGACTTTGTGAGAATGAAACTTTCTGTATATCCAAAAAAAAAAAAAAGGGCCACACAGTGTGGTCATGTTTTTTAAAGAACTGACACCATTTAGAGCAACACATGCAGTGAGCGTTTTGATGAAATGACGGGTGCTGGCGTTACTCGCAGACCATGACTCCAGCATGGTGAGGCTGGTGTGGGGTGTGCAGGACCCATCACACTAGGCTCTCCACTTCTGTGCTTTTGTAATTTTCCATAATGGAAGAAGCAGCCACAAAGAAAATGAAAAGACAATCGACATGTTGGGATCAAGTATTTGTAACATACAACAACAAAGTGGCATCCTCAGCCCATTAGGTGCTCTCATAGGCTGCTCCAGAGCCCCACAGTCCTGCCCCTGCCAGTCTACCACTCCTCGAAGCACGCGCCGCTGGCATAATCAGAACCTCAGTAGGAAATAGACAAACCAGATACCCTCCCCACCAGGCAGGCGAGTGAAAGCAGAGGCCAGGGACCAATCTCCCCAGGGGCCAGGGCGGTGCCCACTGTCAGAGAGCCATAATCAGATTCAGCCTGGAAATTTGATTTCCCCAGCAGAGGCAATGAGCCAGGCTGGATGAGACGCCATCGGGGGTTGGGTAGAGGGACAGAGATAGCTCCCCAGGCTGTCCACATGCTCACTCAGTGGCACCCGCTGATCATGTGAGGGACCACTCCCATGTCCAGGGAGAATACTCAGAAAGGGCCTCTTCCCACGCTGCTCCTGCCCTGCACTAATGCAGTGCCCAAGGCCAAAGGTGGCCAAGACCAAAGCTACACTGGCCAGCCCCAGGGGGCATGCTGGATGGGAGGTCCAGGGGGACTAGGGGCTGTGTGGGGCTGATACGGAAGCTGGGGTCCGGTCAAGGCAGGGTCACTGCTGGGGGCCAGGGAGCTGGGAAGCCTAAGGTTAGGGCAAGGGCTGGCTCTAGTGGCCGAACGAGCCCAGTGACTGCAGGCAGGACGTGACAGGTGAGCAGGCAGGGCAGGCGAGTGTCCCAGCAACTGTCCCTCCTCTGTGGGAGGCATGAGCCACAGGGAGCCACTGCTGGAGGTCCCTAAAGGGTCTGGGCTTAAGATTCTCAATCCAGCAGGTCACAGACACCTGCTCCCTGTGCCAACAGCAGCATCCTTTAAGTCTCCTTGGTCTCCTGAGACCTGCCTCTCCATGAGGAGACATGAGATGGGGTGGAAAGGAGTCCTCCAGGTCCCGATTCAAAACAGCCCCCAATGCCCTTCCTGTGCCTGACCCAGACTCTAGCTACAGCTGCAGCAGTGGGTGGTCCTGCAGACTCCAAGCCGTGGAGTAGTGGCAGTGAGGGGCCACATTCTCTGGGCTCCCTGCTGCATCCTGCCCAGGGCACCACCAAGGGCTCAAAGGCTGGGGAGCTCCAGGGAGAGGGCTGCAGAGGCTGCCAGTGCAGTGTCTTCTCCCCTGCACACTCAGCCCACCCACTCCGCCCCCAATGATGAGCATGAAGTTTGTAGGAGTGTGGAGAGGTGTAGTGCCCTACTAAGTGGGCCGGACATTGGTGGCGGTGGCTGGCCCATTGCCTCCACGGCTTACCGGGACGGGCACCCACCCCGCAAGGTGCCGTGTGGCCCATGCCCTGCCTTAGGGAGGGCAGGCGCAGTGGAGGCGGAGGCGGGGTGTAAAAGGCCCAGACATGGAGCTGAGCCCCGTCCTCTGTACTCTGGGGTGGGCACAGGGACCAAAGCATCCCTGAGGAGCGAACTGACAGGGTTCACAGCTAGGCTGGGATCAGAGGCAGACAGCCACAGGGCCTGGGAGCCCTGCCCTACCATGCCCTACGGCCCCACTGAGGCACTGTAGGAGACAGCTGTCCACCAGGCTGAGGGGCCTCAGCGGGCAGGTGCAGCAGTCACCACGCTGGCCACCAGCCTGAGTGCACAGGGCCGTCCGCCTGCAACGCCCTTTCCCCCCTCATTGGAAGACGGGGTTAGACCCCTTCTTCCCAGCCCCTCTATCACCATGGAAACACCCAGGCTTCTCCTGAGGGACAGAGCCTCTTTGTGGTGACACAAAGCCCCTTTGAGGGGAGGTGGGGTGCAGCCCCTGGGAGCCTGTGGCCAAAGGGCCCCTGGGGGGTAAAGCAGGGCCCGCCGGCCCAGCCCCCCTCCCAGGTTTCGGAGCCAAGGAAGCTGAGGTAGGAGAGCCTTCAGGTTAGGCCAGCCCGCCCCAGCTGCCCACCCAGAAGGGTCTCCGGATGGATGAGCCGGACAGCCCAGGAGGCCAGGCTGAGGCTGGGCAGAGACAGCACCGAGAAGCCTCTCTGCAGGAGCTGGGGGGTTCCTGCTTTCCCCTCTGTTGTTTTGACAAAGAACACACTCTGCTTAGATAAGTGGAAAACAGCACTGGCAGGGGAGCTCCCGCCAGTCAGGAAATGCCCAGGATGGCTGCAGGAACAGTGCCTGGTGGGAGATGGGGACAGGAAGTCCTCCGTGGGAGGGCAGGCAGGGGCCGTGAGACGGCAGGTCAGACAGTGGGAGGTCTGGCACCAGGTGTGCCGAGAGGACTGGCCCTGGCATCTGGGCCCCACTCAGTTTACTGTCCTCTCACTTCTCAAGCCTCAGCCTCCGTCTTCACCTATCCGCCCAGGGGGAAATGTCACTGGCCTTGCTGCAGCCACAACTCTGGGACAGGCCAGAGTTGGATAAAACGGAACCTCACCATGGCTTGGCTTATTCCAGGGCTGGGGAAATGGAACCCTGAGGATGATGTGGGTCCCTGGCACAGTGACAGCATGGCTGTCCCATCCATGCTACAGCCCCACAGCCAGGGAGGCAGAGGAGGCCAGGCCACATTTCCCCAGACTCCCAGCCCTGGAGCCCCTCCTGTACTGGCCTGAGAGTCCCTGCCCCCACCCACTGACTGCTGCTGACCAGGCACCTGGCAGCTCCCTGCATGTGGGCGCCCTGCCTAGAGGCCCTCCCGAGTTGACCTCACTCTGACCCACAGCAGCTTTGCTAACTAAGCCCCTGGGGTGGGGTTGGGGTGGGGATCACTGGCCCCCTGCGGCAGCACGAGGAGGCACTGGCCCAGGGAGAGATCCATCCTTTTGTAGGCAAATCTACCTGACTACTAGGGAGTGGGGCCAAGGGCTGCCCCCACAGGGCAGTGCCTGGGTCAGCAAGCACTTGCTGCACCCCCAATGGAGGCCCTCACCACACCCCTCCCAACCTGCCTTCCCCACTGGCACCCCACTCTCTGCTGACACCTGCAGGCACAGGGGTGGGGGTTGGGACCCTCCAGCTGCCGTGGCAGGGAGTGGCCATAGGGTGGTTGCTGTGGTGGACGTAGGCCATATGGTTCAGAATGGATCAGAGGATGGTGTGGGTGGGAGAATTAAGTCTGGGCTGACCGCAAGGGATCAGGCCTGGGTGGCTGGAGGGAGGGGCCGGGACCCTGAGTGGGAGGGTGCAAAGGGAGTCTCTGAGGCTGGAGAGGCTGAGGGACCACTAGATGCATGAAGTTCTGGAAGAAAGGGGTTCAGGCTGGAGACAGAACCACCGGCACCTTCAGCCTGTGAAGCCGAGAGATAAGACAGGTGCAAGCCCCACTGCCTCCTCCAAAGGACCCTCCCCTGACCTTCTAGAACAAGGGGACAAAGTCACTTTCCCAGCCATCATCTTCCCTGCACTGGAAGGGGCAGAACGAGGACCCAGCACTGAGAGGTGAGCCTCAGGAAGGAGGCAGTGCTGCCAGCCCTTGGGGACAACAGCCTGTCCCCTGAAAGTCCCAAAACCCTTGGGAAAGGTGCTCCTCACTGTACCCTTCTCCCACCCAGCACATCAGAGGAGCCAGTGGTGTGAGATCTTGACCCAGCATGAAGTAGAGCCCACCCTGTCATATGCAGGGAGGTTCCATGTCCCCTTTGGTCTGCCCTTGCCCCAGGGTCCTGTGTGGCCTCTGGCCAGAGCTGGCTGCTCCCAGGGTGCCTGGGGCACCGCTCATCCCTTCCAGAGCCTGAGCTGGATGCTGGCCTTGCCGCTCCCAACCCCCTCCTCTGCTGGGAGCCAGCTCCACTCCGGAGTGCCCATGGCAACAGGCCTAGACACCAACCTCCAGCAAGTGCACAAAGTCCTGCCTTTCATATGCAAGCAACACAGAGGGCCAGGCAGGGGGCTGCACCACCCCATCCAGGGCAGATTCCAGGCCCTGCAGCCTCCCATCTGGCTCCCACCGCCACATACCAGGAGAGCCTCGGGACTTGACTGTGTGTCCAGTCCCCACTACAAAGAGGTGGGAGAAGTGCTGACAGTTTGGGGCCCTCCTCAAAGGCACCTACTGGCACATGTGTGCAGCCACCCACACTGCTACGGTGTGAATGCTAGTGTTCCCCAAATTCACATTAAAACCTAATCTCCAATGTGACAGTATTAAGAGGTAGGGCCTTTAGGAGGTGATTAGTGCCCTTATATGATCAGTGTCCTTATCAAAGCGGCTCTTGAGGGCTGGTTTACCCCTTCCACCATGAGAGGACACACAGCGCCATCTATCAATAGCCCTCACCAGACACGGAATCTGCTGGCGCCTCGATCTTGGACTTCCCAGCCTCCAGCACTGTGAACAGTATGTTTCTGTTGTTTATAAAGGACTCCATCTAAGGTATTTGGTGGCAGAGCGTGAATGAACTAAGACACACACAGACACACACACAAGCACACCCAGGCACAGGGACCCACAGCTGCCCCACAGGCACACGCACCAGCAGGCACACTCGTCCACACCCATATGGCTGCTGCTTATCCCACCTAGAAGTCCCGACAGGCCCTTTGGGGGGTGGGGGACATCTTGGCTCCTGGTGAAGATCAGCATGCTAGGCAGACTCCATTCCTGTCTTGGACACCGGGCAAGGCAGACCCCCTCTGAGACCCCTGAGGCCGGGTCAAGCCTGCCCCTGACACCAAGATCTGCAGGACCCCCTGCCTCTGATCCCACATGAGGTTCCTCTGAGACAGGTGGGAGTGGCTGGGCCTGCAGACCCCGAGCTTGCACAGACCCACCTGCAGGGACAAGCACAACTTACAGCAGCCTAGTGCCCAGGGAAGACCCTTCCACCATGGGAGGACTCAGGAAGCCGCTTCCCGCTGAGTCACATTTAGCGCATTTCTTAGGAAACAGCTGGTATGTGCCCTAGAAGGTTAAAGACGGTGTTCAACTCCGCTGGCCACAGACCACAATGAAAAGGAGCTGCTGGCTGGGCACGATGGCTCATACCTATAATCCCAGCACTTTGGAAGGCCAAGGTGGGAGGATCACCTGAGGTTGGGAGTTCGAGACCTGCCTGACCAACATGGAGAAACCCCATCTCTACTAAAGATACAAACAAAATTAGCTGGGTGTGGTGGTGCATGCCTGTAATCCCAGCTACTCAGGACTGAGGCTGAGGCAGGAGGCAGAGGTTGTGGTGAGCCAGGATCACCTCACTGTACTCCAGCCTGGGCAACAAAAGCAAAACTTCATCTCAAAAAAAGAAAAGAAAGAAAGAAAAGGAGCCGCTATAAATAATGAGGATCCCATGGAGATTTAAAGGAAATCCCAGCAGAGGCAGTAAACAGCAGACTGTAGAAAACACGCAGTGTGAGGCTGGAGAAAGTACACTAAGACGGTCCTCCCAACCCCAACAGCAAACAGGAGAGATGACAAGAGGATGGTAGGAGCCACAGAAGACAGAGCCCAGGGCCAAACTTCCACATGATAGGAGTTTCCAGAGCGAGAACGACAGACAGTGCTCTTCCAACCACAGAAAAACGGCCAGAAACCACCTCAACAGGAGTACGTCCAACGGGGCTATCAGCGTCAGGGCTGGAATCTGAGTTAGGGTGTGAGCCTTCTGTCCAGAAAAGAAGCCCAGGAAGTCACGGATGTGTCTACCTCTGGCTTTTACAATTCAGTCTCATTTCCTCTGGCTCCTAAATGCGCTGTGTCCACTTCGAGGTGTAGGGAGGAGGGTGCCCAGCTCTGACCTGCGGGCTGTGCTGAAGCCTGGGCCTCTCTCTATACCAGGCCGTCTGCAGGCCTGCAGGGGCTGCATACTGTCCCTCTGTAAATGTCAGCCTCAACACGCTGCTGCCTGCTGCCTGGCTCCCGTCTCTCACAGCTCAGAAGCTGTTTTATGATAAAAAAGAGCTGACAGCTTTGTTAAAACAAACAAACGCCTCTCCTCTCTACTTGAGATCTTTTACAAAGTTAACATCGCTCTGAAACCCCATAAGGAAAAATTATGGTGAGGTTTCTGGATTTTCAGAGGCAGCAAACTCATCTTACCTAGAGCCCTGGACTACCCAGAGAAGTAGTTTTAAGAACCAAAAGAAGAGAAGAATTCAGGAGTAAATGAGGCCTGGATAACCCAAGGGATCCTGTGCTTGCACTGCTGGGATTCAAATTTGGGGGCTGCCACCACCACAAGTTTGTGAGAAGCCCACAGCCTGCGCATGAAGATTGTGTCAAGGGAATAGCAGCTGCTGATGTGTGGAATTGATTTTTTCAGCAAGGGCCTGCGATTCTGAATGCATTAAGGCAGCTCCAGTTGTCTGTAGCAGTCCTCTGTCAGCTGCCCATTGGAAGCATTTTTACTGGCTCAGGAAATTCATGGGTTTGTGGACTGATGACTCCAACAGATTAGGTACAAATCCAAGAACCACAAAACAAAATCTAACCAAGCCAAACAACAATCAAACAATAAAACAGAACAAAAAAAAACCTCAATTTGTTTTCCTTTTCTTTGTATAACATTAAAATAAAAAGATGGTAACAGACTACCATAAAGAATTATACACCAACAAATTAGATAACCCAGATGAAATGGAAAAATTTCCTAGAAACACACAACCTACCAAGACTGAATCATGAAGAAATAGAAAACATTGATTAGATTTACAACTAGCAACAAAACTGAATCAGTAATCAAAAACCTCCAGCAAAGATGGTTTCACTGGTGTATTCTACCAAACATTCAAGTAATTTTAACACCAATCGTCCTCAAACTTTTCCCAAAAATAAAGAGGAAGGAACACTTCCTAATTCATTTTATGAGGTCAGCCTTACCCTAATACCAAAGCCAGGAAAAGACACTACAAGAAAAGAAAACCACAGGCCAATAACCCTTATGAATACTGAAACAAAAATTCTCAAAACAAACAAACAAACAAAAAAACACTAGCAAACCAAATTCAGCTGCATTTTACAAGAATTATAAACCTAACCAAGTGGGATTTTACTCCTGGAATGCAAGGATGGTTCCATGTACAAAAATCAATCAATGTAATACGCCACAGTAATAGAATAAAGGACAAAAATCACAATCATGTCAAATGATGCAGGAAAAACATTTAACAAAATTCAATAGTCTGTCATGATAAAAACACTCAAACTAGGAAAAGAAGGAAACTTTCTCAACATGATGAAAGCTATATGTGAAAAGCCCATAACATCATACTCAATGGTGAAAGACTGAAAGCTTTTCTCCTAAGATCATAAACAAGACAAAGATGGCTGTTTTGACCACTTCCATTCAACATAGTACTAGAAGTTTTAGACAGAGTAATTAGGCAAGAAAAAGAAATAAAAGACATCCAAATTAGAAAGAAAGAAAAACCATCTCTGTTCATAGACGACATAACCTTATATAAAACCGTAAAGATTCTACATGCATTTTTTAAAAACTCTATTAGATGTAAAAAATGAAATCAGCAAAGGTGCAGGATAAAAAATGAATACCCAGAAATCAGTTGCATTTCTATATATGAACAATGAACAACCTGAAAGGGAAATTTAAAAAAACTATTCCATTTACAATACCATTAAAAAGAATAGAATACATAATACTAAACTTAAGAAACTTAAGATCTGTACACTGAAAACTATAAAACATTACCAAGAAAAATTTAAAAAGACCTAAATCAGTGGAAAGATATCCCATGTTCATGGCTGGGAAGATTTACCACTGTCACAATGACGATACTACTGAAAGGGATCTACAGATTCAGTGCAATTCCTATTAAAATCCCAATGACAGCCAGGCATAGTAGCATGTATCTGTAATCCTAGCTAGTCAGAGGCTGAGGCTAAAGAACTGCTTGAACCCAGGGGTTCAAGGCCGCAGTAAGCTAGGATCACACCATTGCATTCCAGCCTAGATGACAGAACAAGACCTGTCAAAAAAAAAAAAGAAAAGAAAAAAAAAATCCCAATGACATTGTTTGCAGAAACAGAGAAATCTATCATAAGATTTATATCGATCTTTAAGGAGCCCAAAGAGCCAAAACAATCTGGAAAAAGAACAACATTTAAGGACTCACACTTCCTGATTTCAAAACTTACTACAAAGCTACAGTAATCAAAACAGTGTGGTATTAGCATAAGGACAGACACAAAGACCAATGGAATAGAATACAGAGCCCAGAAACAAACCCTCATGAATACGGTCAAATGACCTTCAATAAAGGTGCCAAGACCATTCATTAGGGAAATGATGGTATTTTCAACAAATGATGGAACTGGATACACACACGTAAATGAATGAACTCACACCCTTACCTTATTACATACACAAAAATTAACTCAAAATAGATGAAAGATCTAAACATAAGACCTCAAACTATAAAACTCTTAGAAGAAAATATAGGGGAAAGTCTTCATGACACTGGATTTGGCAATGATATCTTAGATAAGATACCAAAAACACAGGCAACAGAAGGAAAAATAAATTGTACTACATCCAAATTTAAAATGTATGTTCATCAAAGGACACAATCAATATAGTGAAAAAGCAACCAACAGAATGGGAGAAAAGATTTGTAAATCATATATCTGAAAAGGAATTCATATCCAGAATATGTAAAGAACTCCCAAAACTTAACAACAGCAAAAAAACACAAATAACCCAATTTAAAAATGAGTGGAGTTGAACTGACATTTCTCCAAAGAAGATATATAAACGGCCAACAAGCACGTTAAAAAATTTGCTCAACATTTCTATCATTAGGGAAGAGCAAATCAAGGCTGCAATGAAATATCACCTTACACCTATTAGGATGGCTAGTCTAAAAAAAAAAAAAAAGTTTTGGCAGAGATACAGACAAATTAAGACCCTTGTGCACTGCTGGTGGGAATGTAAGATCAGTATGGCAATTCCTCAAAAAATTAAAAATAGAATTACCATATGGTCCAGCAATCAGAAAATTCTGCATTATGTATCTAAAAGAATTGAGGCCAGGCGTGGTGGCTCACGCCTGTAATCCCAACACTTTGGGAGGCCGAGGCGGGTGGATCACAAGGTCAGGAGATCGAGACCATCCTGGCTAGCACGGTGAAACCCCGTCTCTACTAAAAACACAAAAAAATTAGCCGGGCGTGGTGACAGGCGCCTGTAGTCCCAGCTACTTGTGAACTTGGGAGGCGGAGCTTGCAGTGAGCCAAGATCGTGCCACTGCACTCCAGCCTGGGCGGCAGAGCGAGACTCCGTCTAAAAAAAAAAAAAAAAAGAATTGAAAGCAGAGTCTCCAAGAGATATGTGCACAATCATATTCACAGCAGCATTATTCACAATAGCCAAAAAGGGGAAGCAACCCAAGTGTCCACCAGTGGAAAAATGGATAAACAAAATGTGGTATAGATATACAATGGAATATCAGGCATCAAATTCTGACATATGATATTCTCATGATACTAAGTGAAATAAGCCAGTCACAAAAAGACAGATACTGTGAGATTCTATTTATGTAAGGCATCTAAAGTAGTCAAACAATAGGAAAAGTAGAAGCACTTCAAGAAAGGGGCAAACGGGGAGTTTTCTAATGGGTACAGAGTTTCTATTTTGCAAGAATAAAAAAAAGTTCTGAAATTGGTTGCACAGCAATGTGAACAAACAACACTACTGAATTGTACACTTGAAAATGGTTAAGATAGTAAATTTTGTTATGTGTATTCTACCATAATTAAAAATTAAAATTAAAAAAGAGGCTCCCTGGCCAGGCGTGGTGGCTCACGCCTGTAATCTCAGCACTTTGGGAGGCCAAGGCGGGCGGATCACGAGGTCAGGAGATCGAGACCATCCTGGCTAACATGGTGAAACCCCGTCTCTACTAAAAGTACAAAAAAAATTAGCCGGGTGTGGCGGTGAGCGCCTGTAGTTCCAGCTACTTGGGAGGCTGAGGCAGGAGAATGGTGTGAACCCAGGAGGCGGAGCTTGCAGTGAGCCGAGATCGCGCCACTGCACTCCAGCCTGGGCGGTAGAGCGTGACTCTGTCTCAAAAAAAAAAAAGAGGCTCCCTCACATAATAAGTAAGAAATTGCATAATACCCTTTTATTTATTTATTTTTTGAGACGGAGTCTTGCCCTGTCGCCAGGCTAGAGTGCAGTGGCGCGATCTCGGCTCACTGCAACTTCCGCCTCCTGGGTTCAAGTGATTCTCCTGCCTCAGCCTCCCGAGTAGCTGGGACTACAGGCGCGTGCCACCATGCCTAGCTAATTTTTGTATTTTTAGTAGAGACGGGGTTTCACCATGTTGACCAGGATGGTCTTGATCTCTTGACCTCGTGATCTGCCTGCCTCAGCCTCCCAAAGTGCTGGGATTACAAGCATGAGCCACCGCGCCTGGCCTACCCTTTTGAAATAAATAGTATATCAAAGGTAAAAATTTAAGGCTGGGTGCAGTGGCTCACACCTGTAATCCCAGCACTTTGGGAGGCCAAGGCAAGTGGATTGCTGGGGCCCAGAAGTTCGAGACCAACCTGGGCAACATGGCACAACCCTGTCTGTACAAAAAATACAAAAATTAGCCAGGCATGGCCGGGAGCGGTGGCTCACACCTGTAATCCCAGCACTTTGGGAGGCCGAGGCGGGAGGATCACCTGAGGTCAGGAGTTCGACACCAGCCTGGACATGGTGAAATCCCATCTCTATTAAAAAAAAAAATTTAAAAATTAGCTGGTGATGGTGGCAGGCACCTGTAATCCCAGCTACTCGGGAGGTTGAGGCAGGAGAATTGCTTGAACGTGGGAGGTGAAGGTTGCAGTGAGCCAAGAATGCGCCACTGCACCCCAGTCTGGGTGACAGAGCGAGACTCCGTCTCAAAACAAACAAACAAAAAGGAAACAGTTCAGATGCAGCTGTAAAAACAAAGTTAAATCCTTGCCGTCCATTTACATCAGAATAAATACTAGTTTGTGCTATGGGCTGAACGTGTCCCCCAAAGTTCACGTGTTGGAAACTTAATTCCCAACGCAACAGTGTTGAAGGTAGGACCTCTAAGAGGTGTTTAGGTCACAAGGGCTCTGCTACATGAATGGATTAATTCCGTTACAGTGGGAGTGGATTTGTTATCTCGGGAGCAGGTTACTGATAAAAGGATGGGTTCCGCCTCCTTCAGCGCTCTCTCACGTGTGCTCCTGCCCTTCTGCCACCTCCTGGGGGATGTAGCGACAAAGAAGGCCCTCGCCAGATGTGGCCCCTCAATCCTGGACTTCCCCATCTCCAAAATTGTTAGAAATAAGTCTTTGTTTTTCAGGAATTAGCCAGTCTCAGGTATTCTGATACAGCAGCCCAAAATGGACTAAGACAGACAGATTAAATGCTGTGTACAAAACTAAAGTAAAAATACCTTCTAGAAGAAAAGACAGGTGCATCTTTATCTGGCTGCATGCTAGGGAGAGTTGACTACACAGAGAGACGGAATATCTAAAAATGGGGAAAAATCCAACACACTTCACCACAAAATATGAAACATTTTTGACATCAAAATGATCATAAACAAAAACTAAAAGGGTGAGAAAAATGTGCAGTAGGCAGAAAGAGGAGTGAAGAATTAATATCTTTAATATACAAAGACTCATACAATGGCTGAGAAACACATCAAAACCCAAGAGAAGGCCTGTCATAGGGGCCAGGCGGCCGCAGGAGACGAAGCCGCAACCCCCTGCAGGCACACGGCGGCTGATGGAGGAGGCCAGGCTGGTGCTGGTCTCTGAGAGGACACCACTGCTGGCCAGCTATGGGAAACGGCAGGGCATCTGTGTCCCCGCCAGCCCTTCTCACTCAGGCCTGGTCTCAGCACGCACCACCCCATCACACCCTCCCAGCTCCCCCTCCTAAGGGAGCCATGCTACTCATCACCATCTTGTAACCCCACAGTTGGCCACTGGTTCCTCTGTGTGTTGTGGATCTCCTCAACCAGGCTGGGAGCTCCTCAGGGGCAGGGCTGGGCCTGATGTGCCTGTGATGCCCAGGACCCAGCATGAGGCTGGGTGAGTGGGTGCTGAGTGTGGTGACACATGGGTGTTTACATCAGCCCCTGTCCCAGCTGAGCCCTGAGGCTCCCTCCCCAGCTGCCTCCCGCTGTGGACAGGACCACACCCCAGGGCCCAGCAGAGCAGGCAGCCGCAAGCCAGAGCCCAGGTTGCCCAAGCCAGAGCAGAGATGGCACAAATGCCATCACCCATCGCACCAGTGCCCAGGGCAGACATGAAAAACCAATCACCACAGCAGACAGGAATAAGCAATCACCACATTCCAGATGGGCAGGATAGGAGATGGGGAAAGGCAGAGAAAGAGGCACAGAGAGGGCCACAGAGAAACATAGAGAAGACCAAGAACTGGAGGGGGGAGGGAAAAGAAGGGACAAGAAAGGAGCAAGCAACAGGAGGGAGAGTGAGCAAGTGTGCCTGGGCAGCCTCGGACCTGCCCAGCCAACCACCCTCCTGCGGACCCTGTTACCAGGGCTGTCGTTTGGTGTCTGGCTGACCTGGCCTCCCTGAAGTGTGGTGACCTACGAGGAGTTAAGGGCAGTGGGACAGCCCCTCCTGCCACCCTGAGATGCCCTGTCACCTGTGCCACAAGCAAGCCAAGTACCCTGCCTGAGCTTCTTTGTCCCAACCCAGAAGACCCTGCATGGCCAAATGGCCTGAGCAGTGACATTCTCGGCCAGACGCTGGTCCTCCCACACAGCCAGGCGGCAGCAGACCCAGCTCCCACTAGGCTGGCCCGGCCGGCAGCTTTCCATGCCCAAGGACTTGGGAACAGGCAAGGAGTCAGTCATCCTGTCCCTCCCATCTGCCCTAGATCCCTCAGCCTAGGTCACTCAGGCATCCGGAGGCCATGGCCTTCTCCCTACCACTTAGGCACAGCACTGGCTGGGCCATGCCTCCACAATGGGCACTAATTGTCACTGAGAAACCACAGGGCTGTCAGCCATGCCTCCCACAGAGACTGCTTTTTGGGGGGACAGGCAGATGGCCAGGGTGGGGACTGGAGGAACAAGAATGGCCAGGAGCCATTCTCTTAAGCCATCACCCACTCTGCTGAACAGCACCCATCGTGGCAAAACTCTGGCAGCGTGGATGTGAGCAGGGTATGCCTTACCATCCTTCAGAGGGTCCTGGGGGACATGGACCACTCAGCCTCCAACCCTGCCATGCTTCCCAGGCGCTATGCCTCAGTCCCACTGGAGCTAGCAGCCATGATAAGCAGAGGAACCCCAAACACAGATAACACCTGAGGCCACGGGCCAGTACACATGGCCTACGGCTGTGATCAGAGTACATTCAGACTATTCAGTTATGGGCTGTCTGCAGCCATTTTCATCCTACAATGGCAGAGAACTGCAGCTGTGACAGAGACCATAAGGCCTGCAAAATTGAATTACTTACTATCAGACCTTTTCAAACAAAGTTTTGTGTGCCTGGCCTCCAGGACTATCCTCTGTCCCTGTGGCTCCAGTCTCTGGGGGGCAAGCGAATGGCCTGGCCCAGCAGGCTGTGCCAATACTGGATGCCACTGCGGCTGGCATCCTAGCTCAGGCAGGTGAAGAGCAGACCCAGTGAATGTCCAAACCAACACTGACCAGCAACCTCGTCAGCCAGCCCCAAACAGGCTTGTCCCTAAAGCCAGACATCAAACCAGTGGCTGCTGCCCATATTCAGGCCAGTAACAAACCCAAGCTGGTGGCAGGAGGCCCTCACATCCACCCTGTCCAGCCCAGGGGCTGTGCCTACCCAGGGTGAGAAGGACCAGGAGCACACAGTGTCCAGGGCCAGTCCATCCCTGTCACCCCCACCCGCCAGGCCCACCAGAACACTCTGCTGTCCTATGTGGGAGAGGATGTCCCCAAGCTAAACCCAGGCCACTCACCTGTCTTGAGGGAAGATCAGCATGTCCCGACACCCACCCTGCAGGCTCTGGCTCCTGCAGGGAAACCAGAGGGCATGAGTGAGGTCAATCCAGCTGGGTAGGTCCCTGCCGGATAAAGGTACACAAGCCCAGACCGTCCTCTAAGCAGGACCTTGTCATGCCTGATCTGAAGGTCATCCCGTGGTGCTCCTGACTCATAACCACACACTCATGTGTACCTTCTTGCCCCCACATGTCCAGGACTGTAGGTGACACTGGGCTGCCACGGTTCCTTGTCAGCATGTCTAATGCTGTTGACCATCCTTCAGAAACGTGATCCTTCAGAGATGTGGACTGATAATGACGTCTTCCCCATCACACACAGCACAGCAGTATTCCCACCCCAGGGTAGCCAGGCTCAGGGTCCTGTTGCCCCACGCAGGTGCTCACAGCCCCATAAGACATCTGCTCCACCTCCCTAGAGTCCGCTCCCGCCTTGTGGGCGAGGCCACGTGCCTCTCCTGAGGTTCCCTGAGGCCAACATAGATCCTGGGCCCTCCCAGGCAGGCAGCTGCCCCCAACAGTCTCCAGTACAGGGAGGGCGGGGAAGCAGGCAGGTTCCTGGCCCTGGAGCTGTGGCCAGGTGTGAATAACCATTTGTCTGGGATGGGGGACCTGGCACTCAAGCCTGGGGAGCTGAGGCTTATGGGCTGGAGCAGGAGACAAGGGGGTGCCTGTACTCACACAGCTTTCAGCCTTCCTCAGGGGAGGACCCTGCGGCTTCCTGTCTCAGCTAATGGCCCCGGGGACACATTCCCTCTCCTTATATCTAGGCCCGGGGATATTGCCAGAGTGTTCATGTCATAAAAATGAAAAACAGGACACTGCAGACAGACAGGGAAGGGCTGGGCCTCGGATGGGAGGCTGTCTCTGGGGGACATCGGTAATGAGAGCTCTCTCCCCCGCCTCTACGGTGTTTTCTAGATTGTTCTGAGGCCCCGCCCAATAGTCCTTTGTGGTCATGGTCCATTCTGGTGCCCCAACGGTGTGTTTCCCCGTCTCACGACAGCCTCTTCATCATGGGAAGGGGTCCAAGTGAGGGTGGGCGACTGGCTACGCCTCAGGGTGGGATCATGGGGGGTGGGATGCAGGGCCTGAGGCAGGGAAGAACTGGGGACCAAGCCAGGCACATGTGCATATGCATGTGCGTGCATGTGAATATGAGTGTGTGTGTGCACCTGAGATGGGCAGGCCCGGTTGGGAGCCCATCCACCAGCACTGCGCCCCGAGGAAGAGGAGATGCTGCTCCTACTCCAAGGTCTGAGGCTTAGGAACCAGCTTTTGCTCTGAGTGTGACATTTCTAGGAAACCTCTGGTTTTAGCTTAAGTGTTCACATAGGTTTTGTACCACAGAGAACCATGTGACTTTTTTTTTTTATCCCTGATAAGCACCAGCCTCTCCCCCGGAGTCACCATGTGCCACAGAACCGAGACACACTGGCTGTGAGCCGTCATCTCACTGACTCTACCAGGTGTCTCAGGTTGGCTATATACCCCATTTTACACATGGAGAAACTGGGTCCCAGCCAGACAAGGGCTGGGCCAGGATTTAACTCAGGTCTTCCTGCCTCCAGGCCTCCCAAAGTCCCCCCCCCCCACCCAGTTGGGGAAGTGTGACCAAAGGAGAACATGGGTCCTTCCTCATGGGCCTCCTACCTCATGGGGTCCAGCCAGGCCAAGAACCTGCAACCATATGGTAGAGCCAATAGCAGACCCTGGGAAGGGGTCCAAGTGAGGCATTGGAGAGGGCTTCCCCCAGGAGATGGGTGGGAGCAGAGGATAGCAGCACCACAGGAGGCTGAGTGGTAGGAGCAGCCAGAGCTGTGGGTATCCTTCCTAAGGGTGCACTAGGCACATCAGCATCGTACAGGCAGGGGCAGAGCAGAGCATCTGTGGACAACCTAAGGGAGCTCTGGGCAGTGGACGGACAGAGGGACGACAGACAGGACAGTGATGTGAAGGCAGAACTAGTGATAGGATCATATGGGAAGGTGGGGAGGTGCTCACCTTGGGGAGCCCCCCTGAGTGCTCTGCAAGCTCTGGGGTCACCTGCCTGGCCAAGGACCCAGTACCAGCCGCCTCAAAGCGGGGGAATGACCACGCCCTTTATTGGGCCCTTTTCCCAGTGAGGATGGCCTGGGCCTACCCATGCCATGGGACCCCCACACTGGGTCTCCCCACCAAACTGTCCAGACCCGATGGCTGGCCATGGGGCTCTGTCAGCCCCTGGCTACACCCCACTGATGCCCTAGTAAGCCCTGTGGTTCTGGCACGGTATCCATGGTCCAACCAGAGGGCTGAGAGGTCTCACACTGGGGCATAAGCCTGGCCCAGGCCACACAGCCAGATTGGCAAGCTACAGTCCTTTGGATAGCTGACGGCACAGGGCAGCTCCCATGGGTACACACTGGGCCCAGAACTGGGATGGAGGATGCAGCCTGGGCTGGGTAGGCAATGAGGGGCCCAGGTGAGCTCGCTCTGCACTCCCTGCAGTGTGGCCTCAGCAGGCCACCCCCTCCCCAAGTCTCCTCGCTTCCTGCTCTATGAGCGCGAGGTGACACTGACTGTAGGTAGCTGAGAACATGCCCTGGCAACAGCCAATGCAGGCAGGTGAATGGAGTGCCCCGTGGCCAGTGGACAGGGAAGGTCCATGCTGCTCAATGACAATGCTGTCCACTACAGCAAAACCGAGTGTTCTCCTAGGCCTGCTGCCACCCTGGGCACATAGTGAGAACACGCCCACTTCTGCTGTGGACATTGAGGCACAGACCACACCTGGGAAGGCTTGGGAGGCCCCTGGGCACACACTTGAAGGACACTGCACTTTTGGGGCTACGCAGGCACAGGGCTAGTCCTTCACTGTCCCTGCTGAGCCTGTGTGTGGTCACCCACCAGCTGGCCTTCAGGCTTCCTTCTGCCTGCACCAAGCATGTTGGGGGTACCGAGGGGCCTTGCTTGGCTCCTTTCCAACTCCACGCCCTCAATAGGCGGCTTGGAGGCCGAGCTCCGGTCATCCAAGCCAGGTGTCTGGGGAAGGGTCCTGGTCTGCCGCAGGAAGCTGGGTGGAGCCGGTCTTGCCTGCTGTGGCGGTCCCAGCTGCCCTCTGGTGGCCATGCTCAGCTCCCCGTTGCTCTGCCAGAGGCGGCAGCCCCTCAATCAGCAGGGGCAGTGGGAAGGGCCTGTGCATAACTGGTTATGGAGTGGGGGGAACTCTGTGGCCCCAGGCACCCACCAGCTCTGGGTCATCTTCCCGACCTGAAACAGGCCAAGATATGAAGGCCCTGAGCCAGGAAAACCTACTAAGGGATCCCTGATCCCAAGTCCCCTCAGAGTGACCCAAGACTTCATCTTGGGTTTTTCTGTTTGTTTTTTTGTGGGTATTTTTTTTTCTTTTTTTGAGACGGAGTCTCACCCTGTCACCCAGGCTGGAGTGCGATGGCACAATCTTGGCTCACTGCAACCTCTGCCTCCCAGGTTCAGGCAACCCTCCTGCCTCAGTCTCCCCAGCAGCTGGGATTACAGGCATATGCCACCAGGTCCAGCTAATTTGTTTTGTATTTTTAGTAGAAACAGGGTTTCACCATGTTGGCCAGGCTGGTCTCAAACTCCTGACCTCAGGTGATCTGTCTGCCTGCCTCGGCCTCCCAAAGTGCTGGGATTACAGGTACGAGCCACCGTGACCAGCCCATCCTGGTTGTTTTGTTTGTTTTTGTTTTTTGGAGATAGAGTCTCGCTCTATCACCCAGGCTGGAGTGCAGTGGTGTGATCTTGGCTCACTGCAACCCTCACCTCCCCGGTTCAAGCGATTCTCCTGCCTCAGCCTCTTGAGTAGCTGGGACTACAGGCGCATGCCACCATGCCCGACTAATTTTTGTATTTTTAGTAGAGACAGGGTTTCACCATGTTGGCCAGGCTAGTGTCAAACTCCTGACCTCAGGTGATCCACCTGCCTTGGCCTCCCAAAGTGTTGGGATTACAGGCATGAGCCACTGCGCCCGGCCTCATTCTGGTCTTAATTGAAGCTGCTGACAAAAGAACAGACACCTCCCCATGACTAAGCCACCATCAGGGAAGTCCCCAGGACCCCCAAGGCCCAGCTGGTGCTCTGCAGTGCTGTCCCTGGACCCCCACCCTCCATTCCTGGCCCTGTCTACAGAATGGGCCCTGACTCCCTATCCCAGCTCTACCCTGTCACTCCCTCTGCCAGGGCCAGGCGGGGAGCACGACAGATGGGCTGGACAGAGGGTGGTGCCTGGCATCCGTGTGCAGAGCTCCCTGCTCCACCCAGAGACCGGGGATCCTGCTGCTCCTGCACCTTCTGTCCTTACTCAGGACAGCCTCATGCTCCCCCAGGCCAGACTCCTGGGGTGAAGGAGCACAGGGAACTCACCCTGAATCCCTGTGTAGCACAAACAGAAGGAGGGGTGCTACCCTACCCTCACAGAGCCACAGAGATGCAGAGGGCCCCGGGACTGGGGGGAGACTACAGGGCCACCTCTGGAGGGAGTGCCAGAGCAAACATGGGAGCCAAGCAGCCCAGATGTGGTGGGTGGGGAGACTCAAATTTAGCAGGATTGAGGGTCAGAACTTGTTCTCCCAGGAGGAACCTTGGTCAGAAGGTCCTTGTGTTTATGCTGAAAAGCCTGACAGGGCAGCTCAGCCAAGAGCTGGGCAGGGGCTGGCTTGGCTGTGCTCAACTACCCTCTCAGCTGGGACTTGAGTCCCTTAGCGAATGTTCTGTGCCCAGTCCTCTGCTGGGCGCTGGTGGACCCCAGAATGGGGGTAGGGTGGGGACAGGGGACAGCTGGGAGCAGACATTGCGGATAGGATGGGGCAAGACTGGGGGAAATGCCTTCCCAGACACGCTGCGGCTCACACTGTCGCCTGATCTAAGGCCTGGATCACCTGCTTAGGAGCTGACCGGCCACTGGCATGGCACACCGGGCAAGAGAGCGCTGACTGCCCCCCTGCATTCAGCACCATCCCAGCTCCAATAGAGTGAGTACAAGATAGGTAACACCTGCCTTGTTTGGACCAGACCTCTAAACACCGCCCAGATCCCAGAGTAAAGGCAGATAAGGCAGTAGTTAAGAAGTAGGAAGAAGTAAAGGCAGCTACCCCAGAGAAGCTAAGGTCGGGAGAGGTGGAGGCTCCCACTGCACCCCCCTGGCCCATACCATAGGGGAGGTTTCCCCCACAGCAGCCTGGGTACTCACCTGAGGTTATTAGACAGCAGCATTAAGAGCCTACTCTAAAAAATACCCACGGGGCACCTTTCTTTTCCTTATTTCTAAATATGCCTGGATGTAGGGAAAGGGAGCTGAAGTCCTTTAGTTCCATTTTAAGTATGTTACATTACACATAGCTAAGAAACGGTGAAATATTGTAAGCAGCCAATATTTAATTATTTAAAAATTAAAATAGGCTGGAGCTCTCAGGCCACCTGCCCAGGGCGACTCCCCAGCAAACCGAGCAGTCTCCCTCAGAGTGGAGATGACATGTCTCCGCACCGGCACCGAGGGGGCGCAGGGCGGCGTGGGGAGGGGGACCCAGGCCGGGGGTCCGGGTGGCGCGCCCTCTCTCACCCCCGAGGCGGCAGGAGCAGCGCGGCGCGAGGACACCTCCGGGCCGTCGGTGCCCCTGAGCTTCCCGGCGGCGCGCTGCCCCAGGAAAGTTCCCGGCCTGCCGCCCCTCGGGCTGTTGGAAAGTTTCGGCGGCTGCAGGGCCCTGGCAGCTAGGCGCCAAGCGTCGCGCGGGGCGGGCACGGCTGCGGGGTCGGGCCGCGCTCGGCTGGAGTGCTCAGTGCAAGACGCCCGGACGGGTAGGGTAGGGCCCCAAGGCCACGCACAAAGAGACCCGCCCCCGCCGGCCCGGGGTCTCGGACGCCGCAGAGCGCGCGGACAAGACGCGGGTGGGGCGGAGATTGGCTCCGACGTCCGGCCCAGACCCTCGCCCGGATCTCGACTCCAGGGATAGGACCCTGTCCGGACCGCTGCCCGGAATGCGTCCCATATCTGCAGCCCCGCCCCCAGTCCCGGCTCCGACCCGAGGCCCCAGCCCCGGGTCCCACACCCCGCCCACTGGCTCAGGCTTACCTGGAGCGCAGCGTGGGCGGCCCCGCAGCGCGGCCTCGGACCCCAGAAGGGCTTCCCCGGGTCCGTTGGCGCGCGGGGAGCGGCGTTCCCAGGGCGCGGCGCGGTGCGGCGCGGCGCGGGTCGCAGTCCACGCGGCCGCAACTCGGACCGGTGCGGGGGCCGCCCCCTCCCTCCAGGCCCAGCGCGCAACCCGAGACCCCGGGCCAGCCCTCCCGCCCTCACGCGGCCCGTGCGCAAAGCGGACCGGGCCGGCGACGCGAATCTCCGCCCCGCCCCATCTGACAGCAAATTTTCCCATTGGTCGAGAGACCCGGCGCGGCACGGCAACCGGCGCCGATTGGGCGGATGCGCGGAGATGACGGCTTGCCATTGGGCCTCCGGGATGTCAGTCCCGGCGGATGACCGGCCCCCTCGCGGAGGGGCCGCGGCCCCGCACCTGCCCGAACCTCTGCGGCGGCGGTGGCAGGGTACGCGGGACCGCTCCCTCCCAGCCGACTTACGAGAACATCCCCCGACCATCCAGCCCCGAGCAGGGACTGGCAGAGCCGGCGCCCCTTCCCCGGACTCTGGCCGCGTAGCCTCCGCCACCACTCCCAGTTCACAGGTATCCTTCTTCAGCGCCTGCTACTCGCTGCGCGCTGCGCGCCGCTCCCTCCTGTCGACATCGAATTGTATTCTTCACGCAAGCCGCGAGAGAGAGTTCTGCTGCTATCCCCATTTTACAGTTGGGAAACAGCCTCAGAGAGGTTCTCACTTGCTTGAACACAGTCGTCTGACCCTGGGGCCTGGGGGCTCTCTCATCCTCACGCCCCTGGGTCCCCGCAGCGGGGAGACGATGGAGGTAGGAGCTGCAGTATTTCCGAGGGCAGGAAGGGACCCCCTCGGTAAACCAGGGGCTCACCTCCCCCACCAGGCCTGGATGTAGAGACCTCTTGGGCTTGTCCCACCCTGCAGGCCCCCCATGGGGCCGCCCTTTCTTACCTCCTCCTGGCATTCTCACAGCCCCACAGCTCTGCGTCTGGGGAGGCAGAGTTGTGCGTTTATGCCCGCACCCCGTACTACTGTCCCATTTTCTTCACCCTACCTGGAGTCAGGAAGAAACGGTGCTTCACTGCCTGTTGAGATTCACGTAGGTTACATTTCCTTGCCAGATTAAGAGCACCTGACATGAGTGGGACCATGACCCTCCGCCAGCTCTGCGTAACCTTGTGGTGTAGGGGGGAACCAGCAGGGATGCTGCCCAGTGGGCTTTTCTAGGGGGAGGTCCTGAGATGACTTCTTAGCCAGTGACCCTGGCTCACGCATGCTGTCATCCTTTCCTGCCCTGGATGCACCTGGAGATGACCAGTTCCTCGGCTCATTGCATTCTCCAAGGCCGCCTGGGGAACCAAACTGCCCACAACCATGCTTATGAGTGGTGGAGGGGTGTGACCAGACACTCTTGTCTTATCCACCCATATTGGGAGTCCAGTGTGTTCATCCAATCATTCCTTGGCCAGGACAAAGAAAATGAAATGGCCCAAGGCAAGAACTCACTGCTGGGACCACCGCTGGGTCCATCTGTGTGCTGGCAGCATGGTGAATCGATCCCAGCTGCCTTTCAGAGCCAGGCAGCTACTATCAATCGATTGGAGCTGGCACTTGACGTGCCAATTGGCCTCCTGGCATAGGGTTGTTGCTTGCTGCTCTGGGAGGGCAGAATGAAGTAGCTGTCCCTAGAATAGGGGCCCTCACAAACCAGGTAGCTGTCATCCTGTGGAGCAGCACCATGGTGACATTCTGGCTCAGGTGCTGTGTAGCTGAGGGGTCGTTTCCTCCATTTAGGAGTAGACGTAATGAGTCCAGCTGTCCCCAGCCATCTCTTCAAGGCCATTGGACCCTGGTTCTGCTGGAGCCCCTCTTCTCACAGTTACCTCATAGTCCTGCACCACCCCCTCCCCACACTTGCAAGAGGGACTGGACAGACCTCTGTTGAAAGAGTGCAAAAGACAGAACCATACACCAAAATCTGTGCAAGTGAGACTACCTCTCCTCTCATCACCACCCCTACCACCCATAGGGTTGCAGAGACCTGTCTGCCCTCGGCAGGCAGGATCATTAGCTGAGGTCAGAGGATGTCGGGGCAGCACCAATTCAAACAGGACTCAGGACCGCTGTCCAGCAGTCGGCCCATTAGGCTGCAGCCAGGGGTCAGAAACACAACAAGGGAGGCTGGGCGCAGTGGCTCATGCCTGTAATCCCAGCACTTTGGGAGGCCAAGGCAGGCAAATCACCAGAGGTCAGGAGTTCGAGACCAGCCTGGCCAACATAGCAAAACCCCATCTCTACTAAAAGAATACAAAAAAAAGTAGCGGGGCATGGTGGTAGACGCCCATAGTCCCAGCTACTTGGGAGGCTGAGGCAGGAGATCGCTTGAACCTGGGAGGCGGAGGTTGCAGTGAGCTGAAATTGCACCACCGCACGGCAGCCTAGGAGACAGAGCGAGACTCCATCTCAAAAAAAAGGAAAAAAGAAAAAGATAAGAAAAACACAGCAAGGGAGACCACAGGGACCAGTAGCCCAGTGTTCTCCCTCTCTCATCCTCTCACCTAGCTCCATGCGGACAGCTGTGAGGCCCCCGGAGAAAGCCACAGAGAGAAAATGCTTTCAGCTGGGTGTCAAGAACTTTTCAAGAGTGGCAGCTGTTGAAATCAAAAGAGTGGCCACAGAAGGTAGTGAGCTTCCTATCTGAGTTTGTGTGCAATTAGAGGTTGGATGCCAGTGAGCCTGTTGCAGCCCCAAGATCCCAGGGCTTAGGTGCCCATCCTAGACCCATTTCATCTGCCGTCACCTGCTTCCTGGCATCGCATGTCATCCAGACTGGAGTGTCAGTGGTGACAAAGAAGATCAGAGTGTCTGCTCTGGCTCTGTCTAGCTGGGAAAAGTATGGCTGGGGGTGGGGATGGCCCAAGGCCACAAGGTATGACAGAACAGGATGCAAACCACCATCTGACATGTTACTGCATCCCTCTTTGTGGGCAAAGGGAAACCTTGGTCAACTCATGTCCAGCTTTGAGGTGCATGGCCTGGTGCTTTGGGGAAGCCCATTCTCCAGGTGCTGCCATGAACCCCAGGGCACAGTCCATCACCCCCAAGCCCCAGATCCCACTTGTCCACCACCACCACCTCTTGGCCCTATAGATTGCATAGGTTTGGCTGCTCAGAGGGAAATCACTGGTACCAGCCCCACATGATCCCACTGCTGGATGGTGGGAGAGACAACCATGTCTGGCTGGGTCTGCGGCCCGCTGGCCATGAGTCCCTGGGCATCTGGAGTCCTTGTAAAAGGTTCTGTTGGGTTCCAGGGGAAACACAGATAAGATAGCAAAAGTGTGGAGCACAACGGGCCCGCATGTAGGTCCAGGTTAGACTCTTGCCGTTGCTGATTACCAGCCAGGCTCTTCCCATCCCTGAGCCCCAGTTTTCTGCAGGGCATCAGGGCACCTAGGTCTTCAACACAGGTTGAAGCTAATGTGGCCTCTCTTGCTTGCCACCTTTTTCAACTTCAACTGAATGACATAACTGCTCCAAGTCTCAGTGTTTACATCTATAAAGTGGGATGAAAGAACTGCTGACCCAGACATTGGGTTTAGAGTGCTTTACACATTATCATTATCCCTAATGTCTTTGTCATCCATGTCATAGTTTTTTGAATGCTCACTTTGAGGCAGGGCCTGAGCCTCTGGGCTTTGACTCTCCACCTTTCTGCCACATAGGCCCAGGCACAGCCCAGAGGCTACAGGAGCAGCGGTCCCAGCTAATGCCTCTGTCCTGTTGGGAGGGCCCCAGTCAGTGCCCACCTGCTCACCCTGCACAAGTCAAGCTGGGCCAGCCCCTCGTCGCTGGGGCCTGGACCTGGATGTGAGCTCAAAGGCTACACTGGGGGGTGGAAGTGGGGGAGGTGGTGGGTGTGCAGGGTATAGTGCTCAAATGCCTAGTCCAGGGTCTGGGGGTACATACTGGGAATGGCAGGGACATCAGGGAGGAAAGAGCCGACCTGGAGGCCATAAAGTGAAGGAAGGGATGACCAAGAGGAAGATGGCCAGGTCCAGAGGTGGGGTTGAGTGAACAGGATGGGGAGACCAGGACGCAGTCTGAGGGGGCCAGTCCGGAAGTGAGCATTCCTGTACCTCTTCCGAGAGAGGCCGCAGGGTGAGCAGGTGACAGATGGTGTCCATGAGGGCATGGACTCAGGGGCGGCTGCGACCTCCCATGGCGTCCCTGCAGGCAGGGAGCCGCGGAGTCCCCGAAGGCCGCTGGATCAGGAAGCGCTCAGACGCCCGCGCAGCCCGAAGCTTTGGCGCAGCCCCGGGGGCGGGGCGCCAGGAGGTGGCAGCCTCCGAGCGACAGCGCGCCCAGCCAACGGGACGCCGGCATGCGGCGCGCCGCCCCGCCCCTCGCTGCGCGGCCCAATGGTGAACGCGCCGGCTTCGGGCTGGGCGGTACTGGGCTGGCTGCGGTGGCGCGCGGGCGCGGCACCCGGAAGTCGGCGGCGGTGGCGGAGGCGGTGAGTGCGCGGCTCCGGGGCTGGCCGACTCCGCTAGTGGCCCGGCCGGCCTGGGCTCGGGGGCTCCGGGCTCTGGGCTCTGGGTGCGCGGACCGGGCCAGGCTGCTTGAAGGTGGGTGGGCTGGCCGCACTTCCTCACCCTGCCTCAGTTTCCCCTTTCTGAGGTATGGTATAGAATCAGGCGGCTGGGTCAGGGGCAACCACGTCGATCCCGGCCGACGAAAATGCCCCGCGCGTTACTGGAAGGTGTTTTTGATAATCCCCGCTGGCACGGGATGCGAGGGACTCTGGCAGGTGGGACCAGACTCGCTGCGGGGAGGCTGAGATCGGCAGGGTTGGGAGCTGCGTGGTCCCTGCAGGGTGTGTGGGCTGCTCGGCCTTGGCCAGCATCAGGGACAGCTCTGGCGCCCGGTCACTCTGCCCCCTACCCGCGGCCTGCTGCGGGCCAGCAGGGTGACAGCTAATGTGGGTGTGAGTAGATAGTAAGTGCTGGGTCATCCCTGCGCCTGGATGCGGCCTTCCTGGGGAGGTTTGGGTAGTTAGATCCCCCACCCCCAACTCCAGAGCGTCAGAGGTAGGGGCTGGCAGGGCTGCACTCAGGGCAGTCCTTGCCCCACCGCTGGGCTTTGTAGCAGCCTGGGCTTTGCCCGTTTTCCTCTAGGAAGTGGGCACAGAGGGCTGTTTGCTGAGACCCCCACCTTCCCTGCCCCTAGCACCTCTCCTGTGCTCCCTTGGCTTCCTGCTGGACCACAAGCTTTAGAGTGAACCGTCTGCCCTTGGACAAGTCCCTGGGCCTCAGGCCCCCTTCCTCTTCAGGAATGTCACATGCCCTGCCCTGGCCAGGCCTGTTTGCACTGTCGTGTGGCTCTAGACCTGCTGACCACTGTTTTGCTGCCACTCTGGGCACAGTGCCCTCTTCCATGAGGCAGATGTGACGGCAGCTATAAGGGGGTAGCTGAGTAGCTCTTTGGAAGGCTTTCTCACGCTAGCTCATTTGCCTCTGGGCAGCCTTTTGGGGCAAGCATTCATTGATCCAGTCCTGCTCATACAAGGAAAACTCAGGCTAAGGTGGCAGATCGTGTTCCCAAGGTCATTCAGAGCCAGGGCCTGCTCCCAGTGCCTCTACTACTCCTGGGCCACTCTCTTAGGAGTGTCCCTGTGTCTGTGTCCTGCGTCTGTGTTGGGTGGGCTGGGAGCAGCTGGAGAGGGTGACCATGTTGTTAGATGGACACAGCAGAGCCTCTGTTCCCACAGGATCCTAGTGCTCTGGTGGTCCAGGGTAGGGTGCCCTGGTGCCCCCACCCCCTTTGACCCCTACACAGCTTTGTGTTACTTGCATGTCCTCAGACTGCAGGCCCCTCAGACCAAGCCCCTGCCTGCTGTGATGTGTGGTGGCCATAGCCCTTCCCTGAGCTAAGGTGACCAGCTGTCAGCTCTTCCTGGGCTGCCCAGCCTCTTGTGCTTCCTTGGTCTTCACTTGTGGGCTGTCATTCTGATTACGTTTTGCAGTGTGTGGAATCACGTGCAGTGTCCTGGGAACTTGATCCTGTGCCCGGCTTCTGCGCCAGACGGCGAACTTGGAGGGCACCCCGGTGCCCACCCAAGGGTGCTGCTTCTGAAAACACCCACAGGGATATGAGGGGCTTCTCAGGGACCCCAGAAGGGGTCTGGAGAGAAATGGCCCGGGATAGGGAGGCTGGGAAGACTTCTCGAAGTAGGGCCATGCTTGTCATTGACACTCCAGATGCATGAGAAGCAGGGCCCATCCTTTGGTGACGTGTCAGTCAGCACATGGCAGCAGCATGGCAGAGCCTGGCCTTTGTTGGCCCCTACCATAGGGCTTGGGCTGTCTTGAAAACAAGCCTATCCCTACCATGAGGATGGGCTCCGTGAAAACAAGGTCACCCCAGAAAGACTGAGCTGCTTTTTGAGGTTATCACAGCTTTTTCCCCTTTTTCTCTCAACTTCCCTTTTAGACTGCAAAAATAGTTTATGCATGCTTAAAGATAAAAAAGGCTGGCCTCCTTCTCCCAGCGGCTGCTCCCCTGGTGCACTTGCTGACATTTGGGGGTACATCCATTGAGATCTTCAGTGCCATGCTAACTTGAAACTTGAAGTGCTTGCCTTCATCCTCTTTGCGGGCATGGTAGGAGTGCCCCCCTTTTTTTTTGTTTTTACTAACCACTCAGGCCGCAGGGGCCGCTGCGAGGCTGGCCTGTCCCTGGCTTGTGAGGAAGCTGAGTGTTCCTCCCAGGAGGGCCTGAGGATGGGGCCACCCTGTGTCCAGAGCTTGCTGTCTGCTCACGATGCCTCTTGTTTGTGCTATTCCTTGGAACTGGGAAGAGACAGTGATCCTCTGGTGTGAGGCTGAAGAAATGCCCCGGAAGCATTGTGAAGATCTGAGGAGAGAGTACCACTGTAGAAAATGTGTCATGATAGGCCAAGCACGGTGGCTCACGCCTGTAATCCCAGCAGTTTGGGAGGCCGAGGCGGGTGGATCACGAGGCCAGGAGATCGAGACCATCCTGGCTAACACGGTGAAACCCCGTCTCTACTAAAAATACAAAAAAATTAGCCGGACGTGGTGGTGGCAGGCACCTGTAGTCCCAGCTACTCGGGAGGCTGAGGCAGGAGAATGGCGTGAACCCAGGAGGCAGAGCTTGCAGTGAGCCGGGATCGTGCCACTGCACTCCAGCCTGGGCAACAGAGCGAAACTCCATCTCAAAAAAAAAAAAAGAAAATGTGTCATAATAAAATGCCATTTAGGCCCGGCACGGTGGCTCACACCTATAATCCCAGCACTTTGGGAGGCCGAGACAGGTGGATCACCTGAGGTCAGGAGTTCGAGATCAGCCTGGCCAACATAGTGAAACCCCGTCCCTACTAAAAACAAAATACAAAAATTTGCTGGGCATGGTGGCAGGTGCCTGTAATCCCAACTACTCGAAAGGCTGAGGCAGGAGAATTGCTTGAACCCAGGAGGCGAACGTTGCAGTGAGAGAGGTCACCCTCTCCAGCTGCCCCCAGCCCACCCAACAGGACCATTGCACTCCAGCCTGGGCGACAAGAGCAAAACTCCATCTAAAAATAAAAATAAAAAATGCCATTTAATAGCCAGAGAGTGTAAACTGGTGAGCTCTTGCTGCGGAGATAGGAGGGAGCAGGGCATTGCAGTGGACTGGAGACTCAGAGGGTTTCCTGACGTCAGGACTTTCTTCGCCCAGGCCCCGTGAACAGCGACACTGTGTTCCCACGTGTGTTTACCTCCTCTGCTGACAGCCACCGGGAGCCCGCGTCACATGTCTGTGTCTGCCTTTGAAAAGAGCAACTCGTGCTTTCAAGCTCTGCCCCTGGGGGCTGCCACCGCTGATGGAGTGGGGATTACAAGGGATGGGGATTGGGCGCCCGGCTGCTCAGCCCTGCAGCACCAGCCCTTGTGGCCATTGAGGCCATTAAATGGGGGCAGCAGACTGTAGGGCTTAGTCACCCTCTGTTCAGGGACTCACCATGTGCAGCCCCAATAGGAGCCCGACTTGATGGCTACCCTCCCAAGTGTCTAGGTCCCCTTGACCCTGTGGTACTAATAGCTTGCCATTCCTCTGTCACCACTGCTTTCTGCTTAGCACACATCCCCTCTGCCCATGTGCTATGCTTGCCTTTTCGCTTGCCAAAGGGAAGTGGTTCCGCCAAAAGCGTGTGTCCCATCCCCTCTGGCCCCCAGGGTCTCCAGGTGTGGTGTTGCTGCGACAGCCCAGCTACACCCCGTCCTATGCAGAGCTGTCTTGCACCAGGGCTGATTGGGTCTTCTCTTGCTTTCTGTGAACAAGTGACTCTTGGGTTCTTGCCCTTCCTTCCCTCTCTTCCCTGCCCATAGAAATGTCCCAGCCCTGGCAGGGAAGGAGGGCAGGATCTGTACATTTTCTTTTTTTTTGCGTTTTGAGACAGAGTCTTGCTTTGTCACCTCAAAAGGCTGAGGCAGGAGAATCGCTTGAATACCGGAGGCAGAGGTTGCAGTGACCTGAGATCGTGCCACTGCAACCTCTGCCTCTCAGGTTCAATGCGATTCTCCTGCCTCAGCCTCCTGAGTAGCTGGGATTACAGGCGTGCATCACCACGCCCTGCTAATTTTTGTGTTTTTAGTAGAGACGGGGTTTCACCATTTTAGCCAGGCTGGTCTTGAACTCCTGACCTCAGGTGATCCACCCACCTCGGCCTCCCAAAGTGTTGGGATTACAGGTGTGAGCCACTGTGCCTGGCCAGTGCACTTTCTTTTGAGGGTAGACATTACTGTTCCCCGCCGGGAAGCATGCTTACTGGGTGTGCACGCTTTCAGTGTCTGGCGTGACAGATTGTACAAAGTGAACCCAGCCACACAGCTACCGTCCATATCACACCACCACCAGCACCCAGATATCTCCCTCGTGTCCCCCAGTGGCTGCCTAGACCAGGTGGCCCTGCCCTGCCTCCTGTCCCCATGGGCAGATGTTGCTTATCTCTGGCCTCTGCATGAAAGACCAAGCAGAGTGCTATCTTCTGGCTGAGACCTCCCTGCTGCCTCATCACCATGGAAAGGCACAGGCTGGCTTCTTTTCCAGGTTATGGACTTTCTTACTGTGTCACTTTGTGGACTTGGGCACCTGCAGAGTGCCTGGCATGGTGAGCAGGAGTTGGGGCATGGCGTGATCTAGGCAGGGTTTGGAAGGTTCTTTGAATAGCCAAGGGGGACAGTCTGGAGGGTGCCCTCCAGACACCTGAGAATGCATTGAAGCTAGGGTGACTACTGCAGCATCAGAGGCCTGGTGACACATTTAAGGCCTCAAGGGGCCCATGTGACTAGAAGTCCAGGATGTGGCTGAGGTGGGCCAGACTGGATGGCCAGCGGCCACCTAAGGACAATTGGCTGTGCGTTTGGGAAGCATGGGTGGTCCCCACCTCACAGCAGTCGCACAGGCAGACAGTGGGCAGATCCAAGAGCTTCACCAAGGCTGGGCGGGGTGGCTCACGCCTATAATCCCAGCATTTTGGGAGGCTGAGGCGGGGGGATCATGAGGTCAGGAGTTCAAGACCAGCCTGACCAACATGGTGAAAACCTGTCTTTACTAAAAATACAAAAATTAGCCAGGCATGGTGGCACGCACCTGTAATGACAGTTACTTGGGAGGCTGAGGCAGGAGAATTGCTTGAACCCAGCAGGTGGAGGTTGTAGTGAGCTGAGATCGCGCCGTTGAACTCCAGCCTGGGCGACATAGCGAGACTTCGTCTCAAAAAAAAAAAAAAAGAGCTTCACCACTGTGCAACCATACAAGGTAGATAAGAAAAAGGAGTTCTCATTTTGGGACAGGGAGGGCCTTTAGCAGGACGGGACATGACTGCTGTACAGTAATGATGGGAAAATCCCATGTAATATAAGGCTATTTCTACTAGACAGCATCACAGGCAGAGCTGAAAGGCAGGGGATGGCTAGGGAGAAAACAGTTGCAGGCCTGGGACAGGCACATGGTTGCCCACATCACACCAGCTGCACTACGGGTCAGTGAGACAAAGGCCTAGCAGTCAGTACCCATGTTGGTGAATTGTTGGCAAGAACATACAGGAGGTCACAAGTTGCCCAGCCAGTGGGGGATGCCCATAAAACCCTGGCGGGAACATTTCCCACACTGCATACACCCTGGAGGCAGGTGAGTGGCAACAGGTTCTGGTGCTAGACGTTAGCGGGGACTTGGCCAAGTCTGTTTATCTGAAAGCGTCACCCATGGATGGAGCAATTCCACCTCTTGCGTCTATCCTAGGAATGTCCTCAGCTGCTCTCCCACTGTTGTAAAGAAATACCTGGGACTGGGTCATTTATTAAAAAAAGAGGTTTAATTGGCTCTCGGTTCTGCAAGGTGCACAGGAAGCATGATCCTGGCATTTGCTCAGCTTCTGGGGAGGCCTCAGGAAACTTACAATCATGGCAGAAGGAAAAGCAGGAGCCAGCACTTCACACGGCTGGAGCAGGAGGAAGAGAGAGATGGGGGAGGTGCCACACACTTAAAACCAGATCTCGTGAGAACTCTATCACTGTACAGCACCGGGGGGGATGGTGTTAAACTTTCATGAGAATTCTGCCCCCATGATCCAATCGCCTCCCACCAGGTCCTGCCTCCAACACTGGGAATTAAATTCAACGTGAGATTTGGTGGGGACACAGATCCAAGCCAAATCAGCCCATGTGCAGAGCATGTGCTAGGGATGGTCGCTTGATGGGACGAAGACACCAGCCACAGCTGAGAGGCAGAGCAGCGGGAAAGCTGGGCAGTGGTGAACCAGTGGGGACATGGCTCTGGTGGAGACAGACCTCATGGCCAATCAGGGAGAACGGAGCAATGGGACCCTAGCGTGTTAACCCCACAGCATACATGTGTCTGCTCACATGTGTGTGCAAGCAGGTTAAGAACACTCTGGCGCCACAGGCAGCCCTTGGCTGAGGCTTTTTTTCCTTTTTTTTTTGAGACTCAGAGTCTTGCCTTGTCACCCAGGCTGGAGTGCAGTGGTGCTATCATAGCTCACTGCAGCCTCAAACTCCTGGGCTCGAGCAATCCTTCTGCCTCAGCCTCCTGAGTAGCTGGGACTACAGATGCATGTCACCATGCTCGGCTAATTTTATTTTATTATTATTTATTTTATTTTACTTTACTTTTTTGAAACGGAGTCTCGCGCTGTCACCCAGGCTGGAGTGAAGTGGCACAATCTCGGTTCACGGCGCCCTCCGGCTCCTGGGTTCAAGTGATCCTCCTGCCTCAGCCTCCTGAGTAGCTGGGATTACAGGCCTGCACTACCATGCCTGGCTAATTTTTGTATTTTTAGTAGAGACCGGGTTTCACCGTGTTGGCCAGGCTGGTCTTGAATTCCTGACCTCAAATGATCTGCCCGCCTCAGCCTCCCAAAGTGCAGGGATTACAGCCATGAGCCACTGCACCCTACCTTATTTTATTATATTATTAGTATTATATTGAGACAGAGTCTCCCTCTGTTGCTGTGTTGCGGAAGTGCAGTGACATGATCATAATTCACTGCAGCCTTGATCTTCTAGGCTCAAGCCATCCTCCTACCTCAGCCTCCCAAGTAGTTGGGACCACAGGCATATGCCACTGCACCTGGCTAATTGTTTTTATTTGCTTTTTGTAGACAGGGACTTGCTGTGTTTCACAGGCTGGACTTAAACTCCTGGCCTCAAACAATCCTCCTGCTTTAGCCTCCCAAAGTGCTGGGATGACAGACATGAGCCCTGAAGGGATGGGGCTTTGGCCCGTTAAATGTCACTGGAAATGTTTCCCTCCAGAATGTGCTCCTGGGTGACCTGAGCGATGGTATTAACAACTATGGGTCCCACCAGCCTCCAGAGCTGCCAGTCGTGGCTACAGGAGACTCAGCCTTAGGCTGGGGCACAGAGAGGCTGAATAGAGGGTGAATGAACAGGCAGCGTATGGGAGGGACCAGCGTTTCTTGGTATTATACAAAAGCTAGTGGAGGTGGTGCTGGTTGGTGTGGGGTGGGCGACTGGCACGGTCAGATGCCTGATGCCTGTTGGCCTCCTCAGAAGGGGAGGCTGGCAGTAGTGGGTTCTGGGACATGCAGGAGGGTGGCCTGGATTTGCCCTGCAGCACTGAGGTCTGCCTGTTCCCCACTGGGTCCTCCATTTGAGGCCCTGTCAGCATGGCCCTCGTCCCCCTTGCTTCTTTTCCCCATGGGCCTCTGCAAGGTTACTGCCCACCCTCCACCCCACCTACCTGCCTGTGGTGGGCACTGAGAGCCAGGGAAGCAGATCCTCACTGCCAGGCAGCAGGCCATGTGCGCATCCATCAGGGTGCCAGACCTTGTCCCCACGCAGCCCTGGCTGGGGTCACTGCTGCTGCTGCTCTCTGCCTGTGGCTCTGGCCCATCTTTGCCCAGGCGTTCTGTCTGAATGGTTTTCTTGTCGTGCCTTTTTTAGACACCGCATGGAGTGAGGTTTGGGGCTTGCCTCAACTGGAGTCTCATTCTTCTTAGAGAGGGAGTTTAGCCCGTTTCCATTTGGCCTTAGGACAGAAGGCCCTGTTGGTTTCTCTGAGAAGCCAGGGGAGGAGCCCTAGGCTGGAGAGGGGATTCTAGAGCGGGGTGGCTCTCAGAAGCAGAAGGTGGGCAGAGAGGACGGTGCACGCTGGGAGAGTTCTCGAAAGCATCAGCAGATGGGCCCAGAGTGCCTGGAAAGCTTCCGTCCTTCACAGACAGCGCCATGCTCTAAGAATAACCCATGCCAAGTCCAGGCTTTCTTCCTGTTTTGCAGAATTACCAGGTTGTTAGGCTAGGGGAACGTATGCTGGGATTCTGGGAAGAATTCCACCCGCACTGGTATTCTTAGAGGACGGGAAGCCCTTGGCTGCGGTGTGAAGAGGGCTCTCTCTTTCCATTCATATCTCATAGATCCTCTGGCCAGGCTTGGGGGTGTTGAGGGACTCCAGGAGTGTGGGGGGAACTTCCTCCCTGGAAGAGGCCTGTGCTCTGTCCCTGCTGAGGCTGGTGGCATTTGCAGTCACATGGTGAGCTCACAGTGACTGTCCCCCTCTTACCTCCCTGGCAGGGTTGGCAAAGACCACACCAAAGTCCCAAGTGATTAGTTCCCCGGCCTCCCTGCACAGAGGCTGTGCATGTCCCCTGGGCATTCACTCTAGCTGTCTGGGCTGCAGGGAGGCAGGGTGCCTGGCCCAACTGGAGATGGCACTCTACTGGGGGTGGTTAAGTGTTGACCATCACAAAGGCGACCTCTTTTGTCACATCTGTGTGAGAGGAGCTGGACTTTCTCAGATATGGATGAGCCTCACGACGCACATCCTTTCGTCCCTTGCTTGTCTACCAAGTCCCTATGTGCTCCAGGAGGCAGTGGTACAGGCCAGCCGCTCCGTATGACCAGAGAACCAGTGCCTCACACTCCAGCGCATTTCCTTCCCAGGGTGCACCAGGACTCTTGTAAAGAGGGCATTCTCGTGTAAGCAGTTGCTTTTTTTTTTTTTTTTTTTAATTTTTATTTTTTTGAGATGGAGTTTCCCTCTTGTCTCTTAGGCTGGAGTGCAATGGCACGATCTCGGTTCACTGCAACCTCCACCTCGTGGGTTCAAGTGATTCTCCTGCCTCAGCCTCCTCAGTAGCTAGGATTATAGGCACGCACCACCACACCTGGCTAATTTGTTTGTTTGTTTGTTTGTTTGTTTTTTGAGATGGAGTCTTGCTCTGTTGCCCAGGCTGGAGGACAGTGGTACGATCTTGGCTCACTACAACCTCTGCCTCCTGGGTTCAAGCAAGTCTTCTGTCTCAGCCTCCCAAGTAGCTGGGACTACAGGCGCCCGCCACCACGCCCGGCTAATTTTTGTATTTTTAGTAGAGACAGGGTTTCACCATATTGGCCAGGCTGGTCTCGAACTCTTGACCTCGTGATCCACCCACCTTGGCCTCCCAAAGTGCTGGAATTACAGGCGTGATAATTTTTGTATTTTTAGTAAAGATGGGGTTTCACCATGTTGGCCAGGCTGGCCTCAAACTCCTGACCTCAGGTGATCCACCCGCCTTGGCTTCCCAAAGTGTTGGGATTACAGGCGTGAGCCACCTCGCCCAACCAGCAGTTGCTGTAAAATTTTTTAAAAGGATGTCACTTATACTACCCAGTCATTAAGACTTCCTGAGGTGGAAAGATCACTTCAGCCCATGAGTTTGAGAATAGCCTGGGCAACATAATGAGACCCCACCTCTCCAAAAAAATTTAAAAATTAGGGCCAGGCGTGGTGGCTCATGTCTGTAATACCAGCACTTTGGGAGGCCAAGGTGGGTGGGTCACAAGGTCAGGAGATCGAGACCATCCTGGCCAACATGGTGAAACCCCATCTCTACTAAAAATACAAAAATTAGCTGGGTGTGATGGCACGCACCTCTAGTCCCAGCTATTTGAGAGGCTGAGGCAGGAGAATCGCTTGAACCAGGGAGGAGGAGGCTGCAGTGAGCTGAGATCGCGCCGCTGCACTCCAGCCTAGGTGACAGATCGAGACTCTGTCTCAAAAAAAAAAAATTAGCCGGGTGTGGTGGTATGCAGCTGTAATCTTAGCTACTTGGGAGGCTGAGGTGGGAGGATGGCTTGAGCCCAGGAGTTCGAGGCTGCAGTGAGCTATGATCACACGACTGCACCTGGGCGACAGAGTGGAGGTGATGTGCTTCCTCAAATAGCCATGAGAACAACGCTTCTTTTCTTGTCCTGGCTCAGGAACCTCACCACCATGCCACGTTGCCCTGCTGCGCTGTGCTGGTGTCGTAGGTCGGTGGCAGGACATTTGCCCACCTCACAGGCTCTGCTTTCAGTCTTGAAGTATGGCTCCTCTCGACTGCTGCCCACACGGCCTCCTGTTGTCAGCCTGGGCTACATATCTGGGCTCTTCCATCCCTGTGGGCCTGGTGAGGCCTGGCCATGTGCCTGTGTCATGCCAGTTGCTTTCAAGATGATGTTTCTAGTAGGACCACATGTGAACACAGTGACCACCATGGCCAGGAGGAAGCTGGCTGCCCATCACCAGCTTGCCCAGGGACCTCTTGCACCCTGGCGGGGATCAGCAGATCCTGCTATGAGAGAGCAGAAGGCAGCATGCTGACTTCCAGGAGTGTCCACAGCGTGGCTGGGCAGAGCAGAGCTACAAATGAACAGATCCAGTGCCGAGGCCATCCTGACTCTCTCAGGGGCTGCCAGGCCGTGGGTGCAGGGTCCAGCAGGCCCACTTGATCCCAGCATCCCACGTGTGCCTGCTCGGGGTGGCCAGCTCACTGCTTCTTCACCTCTAGCCCAACCAGCAGGTGCCCCACCATGAGCCCCTCCAGGCTCACCTTGCCCATCCCTGCCATGTGACCTGGGACTCTTGAGATGAGATCACAGCTGCAGAGCACACAGCACAGGGAGGAGCTCATCAGCATCTTCCCACCTGTGGTGCCCTGGCCCAGCCTCCTTCCGGTTGGGGTTGGACCCGCCCTGGCAGCCAGGTTTTGCGTCACCTGCCCCACCCGCCCTGTAACCTACTTGCCCAACTGCTATCCCGGTGGCCGTGAGGCCAGTTGACAGAATGGAGAGGGGTAAGCATTTTCCGCCTGGAGAGGATGGGCGTGTGGCCATCTGACTGCTTCTGCAAGCCTGGTGGTTGTGTGCAGGCTGCCCTGGTGGTCTTAGCCCCTTGGGGCAGGCGGGGTCCTGTGCAGGATGCAGAGACTGGGCGTGGCTTCCTGCAGATGTTCAGATGCTTCTGGGCTGTGGCCTCTGAGACCCAGGGCAAGGCTGCTGACTGGACCCCAGACCCTCCTGCCTGCCTCTTCCTCCAGCTGCTCTTTGTGGTCTGGTTCTGGCCGCCTGGGCCTCAGGGCCAACCCTGCATGGCTTTGACCACTCTGGCCTTCTTGGACTGCCAAGGACATGCTGAGAGTTGGTTGGGCTTGGCCCAAGTGCTGAGCCCAGGGCAGGGGTGGGGACAGGCAGGGCGGAGCCTCACCTGGAAAGCCAGGCACGATTCTCCCTGGGACACCAACCCTCCTGTAGAGTTGGCCAATTCGGGCAACCTTGAGGGCGAGCTCTGTGTGGCACAAGAGATGCCCTGAGGAGCCCAGCCTCACCTGGTGTGATGGGACCTGTGGAAGTTGTGGGAAGTGGTCCTGGCCACCCGTGTGCCCACATGCCCTGCGCCCAGATCAAGATATGGTGACCAAAAGGACAAGGACTATATCCATGGCTCCCTCCCAGAGCCTGGCAAGTCAGCAGGCATGAGAGGGTGTTGGAATGCTGTGGTGGGCCTGTGTGGGGACCTTGTAGGACCTAGGGAACCTGCAGGGCTTGGCTTAGGGAGCACACAGGGGCCCAGGCAAAGGCAAGGTCACAGGTCGGGGGAGGTGAAGCTGGCAGGGGGAGGGGGAGACCTGCTGGCTAGAGCTGGGTTGGGGGCCGGTGGGCAGTGGGCCTGGCTCGAGCAGGGGGCGAGGGATTGGAGAGAAAGGCAGTTCCTGATGGTCCCCTCCCCAGGGGCTGGCTTTCCTCTGGTCCTTCCCTCCCAATGACCGCGTCTTCGTCGAGGCCACAGCCCTTGGCTCTGCGCCCACACCTCCAGTGCCAGGCTGTCCGGAGATCTGTTTATGGCCTTCCCTTGGACCATGGAGCCCTCCCTGCCACTGGTGCCTGGAGGGCTGGTCTGCTGCCCCTGCACCCTGGCCAGCTAGGATGGTGGGGTCCTGCAGCTGAACTGGGGGTGCCTTTCTGCCTGTCTGTCCTACGTGTATCAGTGGCCAGAACTGCCCTCATCCATGGCCTTGCCAGCAGCTGGGCGTGCAGCCCAGGGAGGGCTGAGGTCGGCTGAAGTTGATTGAGACCAACGGCCTTCTCTAACACCCCAGAGGAGCATGTCCCTGGTGAGCAGGCCTTGGGCAGCCCTGGGCTCCAGGCCAGTGGGATTCCAGTAGAGACCAGCTGGCAGGGCTTCTCCAGTGACTGCAGCCAGGGGTTCTCATGTGCAGGAAAGACCAGCTCCTCCAGAGTAAAGGGACTTGTGTCTTCTGGCCACATGGTGAGTGCTGGGCCCACCCCATCAGTGGCACCTTGGGTGCACTCCCAAAGCCCAGCGTGTTCCCCATCTTCCTGCACTGCATTCGGGATGGTTCTGCATCATCAGCTGCACCTGATTGCTCTTAAACCCACAGCTGAGCTTTAATGTGCAGTCACTGAAGCTTTCATTTCTAAAATAGCTTCCTAAGAGTTCTTTTGGCCAGGCATGGTGGCTCATGCCTGTAATCCTAACACTTTGGGAGGCCGAGGTGGGTGGATCACCTGAGGTCAGGAGTTGGAGACCAGCCTGACCAACATGGAGAAACCCCGTCTCCACTAAAAATACAAAATTAGCTGGGCGTGGTGGCGCATGCCTGTAATCCCAGCTACTCGGGAGGCTGAGGCAGGAGAATTGCTTGAACTCGGGGGGCGGAGGTTGCGGTGAGCCGAGATTATGCCAGCCAGCCTGGGCAACAGGAGCAAAAACAAAACAACAACAACAAAAAAAAACCGAGTTCCTTTTGCTGCTTTGTAAACCCAGTTTGCTCTTCATCACTTCCTTTGCCCTGCAGATGTTTCTGAGCTGTCTGTTTTCTTTCTGCCATCAGAGCATGGTTGGTTGATGATGCATGTACGGTTATCTTTCTGCTGGTTCTTGCTCATGGTGCTTCTTTCATTATGTGGTTCTTTCTGACTATGTACTGCTTCTGGTCTTTGAAAAATGATTTTGAGACTTCTTTGAAGTATAGGATGAAGGTATCTTTCTCCAGAGAGAACTTCAGGCACAGGGGCACTACGAGTGCTGGAACCCCTTAAAACTGTGCTTGGCTTGTGGGTCCTTGTACCCCCAGTGTGGACCTGGACGGCTGGCTGTGCCACAGCTTCTCAGAAACTTCCCTTCACTTATGTGCAATGTCCCCATAACCCCTGGGGGTGGCTGCGGCTGTAGTTCATCTCTCCCTAAGCATCGCTCTTTGGAGTCCCAGCCTAACTTAGAGGAGAGTCTTCTGTTAGGTTCTTCATCCTGTGGGGGTGACTGGACCTTGTCTTCTGTCTCCTTCGCCCCCGAGGCCACCAGAGTATGAGCCCCAGTGTGTTCAGTGGGCAAACGCTCTCAGGCAGGATTGGCCACTGTGTTCTGCTGTCCTCTGTGGGCCACGCTCTCCGAACTGTTGGCCAAATGCTGCATGAGCTCATCAGCTCCTGGCAATTTTTAAGATGTTTTCATATTTCATCCAGCATCTTGAGTTGTTTTTACCAAAAGGATTGCCCCTAGTAGCCTGCCCACCCTCGGATGATGGCCCCCTGTGGGCGCTTCCAGGGCACCCGGCAAGGGGACCCAACCCACTTCCAGCCCCACAGTCTGCTTCCCACAGGGCCCCCTTGCAACAACACACCCTTTAGCTTCCCATCCTATGCAGAGTGGTGGCCAGCAGACCATCTCAAATGGCTGCCCATCCCCCTGACCCAGTGCGTCTGCACGTGGCGCTTATTGCTATCCCAATACTTCAACTGCACAGCCACCAGCTCCTCACTGGAGCAGATGGTCCCCAATGGCCATCCCTAATGCCCGTGCCTATGGAGGCACATACACTGAGCCCTCTTCACCTCCGTCCCCACTCATTAGACTTTTCTCAGAGGAATCTTTTTGGGTCTCTTCAGTATTTGAACAGCTTCTTGGCTGTCCCATGTCCCAGCTGTGAGCACTGGCTCTGCCCTGGAGCCGTGTCACTAAATCATTGCACATGTGCACATTTCAGGGAACTTGGGTGTCACCCTTGGGTGGCCTCGGAATCTAATCTCCGTTCTGCACTCGTTTGCATTGTGGAAAACTGCCTGCTCTGGGCCCCAGAGGTCCCTGGGTGGGGACGAGGTGTATGCTAAGTGTGCAGTCACCCAGCGTGTCCCCGGCACGTGTCCATGCCAGCTGCTGTGGGTGTGTGGGGCCTTCGGGTCCTGTGGGATGGCGAGTGTGTGTGCTGAGCAGGACCTGTAGGGCCTGCATCCCAGGTGAGTGGGCCATGCTGTTGGAGGCGGAGGCAGGGCTGCCCCCACTGGTGGCGTGTGGGGTGGGTTTGGTGCTGTTGCAGGGGAGGAGATGTGCATGTGGGGGACAGTCTTGAAGGAAGAATGTATACAGTGGTCTATTTCCAAGACAAAGTGTCTTAAATTGGCTTAGCTCAGCAAACTACAGAAGAAACAGGATATACTAGGCCACCCTGCTTGGATAGCTGATGTGTGCTTGTCGGCCTCCACTTTCCCCGCACTTAGTTGCCTTCACCCGAACCAAAGAAGTTCAGTCTAAGCTGAAAGTTTACTAGCCTGCAAAATAGCTCATTTTGTCTGTTCTTATCAGCCTGCCTGCTACTTAGGTCGTAAGTTAAATACTTAAAAAGTCCCTGAGCTAACTAGGACTGCAATGCATTGTGGGCTGCAACAAAATACAGCAAGACAAGCCCCCAAAAAAACACCTGAAGCCCCTACCCAACAATTAATAGGCGACGTCCGGGAAAATTGTGACCCCACAGTACTCGGCCTATGAGGAACTGGGGGAGGGACCTGCGTACTAGGGGATAAATTGCTTGTCGAAACTGTGCTGGGTGTGCCTGTCTGACACCTGATCTTGCAAGACTGTCATTAAAAGTCTCACTTTCGCTGTTCTCTGGGTCTGAGTTCATTCTTTAGATTTGGATGGGTAAGTTTGTTTCTCACAGTGTGGCTCCTGCCCTCACTTCTGCTGCCCCCCGGGGACCCCCTCGGCACCCCAGCTCGGTGTGTCCAGGCCTTAAGACTACCATGGTGCTGATGGGATGCTTCTGTTCAGGGCTGGTGTTGCAGGTGGTGGAGAGACAGTCTGGCCAGTGCCAATGAGTGCATGGGTTTGGGAGTTGTTTGTGTGGCACCGGCCAAGAGTGTGGTGTCCAGTTCCCCCACACCCAGCAAGTAGTACAGACACCACAGAGGTGGTTCTCTCTGTTCTGGCCTGTTGCAGGTTCGGAGGGCAGCCCTGAGTGTCTGCCATCCGCTCAACTCAGTGTTTTCCTTTTCCCGCAGACCTCGCGACCTGTGTCAGCAGAGCCGCCCTGCACCACCATGTGCATCATCTTCTTTAAGTTTGATCCTCGCCCTGTTTCCAAAAACGCGTACAGGTAACCCCCTCGCTCTGCATCTGCTGCGCCCTGCAGGGTCCTGGGTGCCCAGCCAGTTCTCATGCCACCCAAGCTGCTGTGTGCAGGAAGGTGTGTGGGCCAGGACGGGGCTGCACAGGCCTGGCACTGCCCTCCAGGACAGGGTCACTCAGTGTGGGATGCTGTCAGAATGCCTCTCGGGGCGGGGACTCCAGTCAATGTACAAAGACGTGAAGACTCAGCCACAGAAGGCAGCCACAGGTAGGACAGAGGAGTGACATGGGTCCAGGTGGGCTGCAGTTCTATGGGCTTTGAGGAGGGTCGGGCGGCAGAACTGGGACAACGGCGTCAGTGAGTGAGAGCCAGCTTGGGCTGGCGGGTCACAGCTGCTGGTGAGAAGTCAAAGTGGCGGCCAGGCTAGGGGTCTGTGGGTGGGTCCTGAGCTGAGGAAAAAGAACCTGGGGAAGAGGGGACGCTGAGGACCAGCCAGAGGAGTCAGGAAATCGAGGCCAGAAGCCACCCCTGACCCTGGACTCAGGACGGCCACACCTCCATTCCCCAGGACACCCCAGCATTTATCCACACAGAGAACGAGGCAGAGATATAACCCACATCTAAAATGAAACGTGTAACCACTCTCTAATGCAACTGCTCGGGAAGTTTTCATCATTTTAAAATCTGTACCAGAAATGATTTGAACCATTTCAAGAGGGTCTCAGATTTGAGTCACTGCAAAGTTGCATAGACACCATGCTGCTTGACTTCAAGGCTGAGTGAAGTCATTTCAGGCCAAGGAATCAGGAAGGAAGGGTGTCTGGTGTTTTCCCTTTTTGCAGTTGGGTGAGTGGCAGGTCCCAGCAGCAGACAGCATGCTGCAGGGAAGGTGGAAGAAATGTTAGGAAAGAACTATTGACTGCTACAGGGACTGGAGTAGTGTTGGGCTGGCTAGTGAGTGAACAGAACTCTAAAGAATGTAGGGGCTGGCCGAGCACGGTGGCTCACGCCTGTAATCCCAGCACTTTGGGAGGCCAAGGTGGGCGGATCACAAGGTCAGGAGATCCAGACCATCCTGGATAACACATCTCTACTAAAAACACACAAAAAAATTAGCTGGGCATGGGGGTGGGCGCCTGTAGTCCCAGCCACTTGGGAGGCTGAGACAAGAGAATGGCGTGAACCTGGGAGGCAGAGCTTGCAGTGAGCCGAGATTGCGCCACTGCACTCCAGCATGGGCAACAGAGCGAGACTGCATCTCAAAAAAAAGATGAAGGTAAAATAAGGTCATGTGGGTAGGCCCTAATCAATGTGATGGGTGACTCAGATACGCACAGGGGAAGCTGGTGTGTATACAGAGATAGAAGCAGTCGTCTGCATACCGAGAAGACCCTCAAAAGGAGCCAGCCCTGCTGACGCCTTGATCTTGGATCTCCAGCATCCAATGCTGCGAGACAATAGTGTCTGTTGTTGCAGCCGCCTGGTCTGTGGTGCTTAGTTACGGCAGCCCCAGGAAACTAGCACGCTGAGGAGAGCCAGCCAGCTCTGTATGCGTTTCAGGGCTGCCTCCTGCAGGCTGCTGAAGAGACTCAACCCACCCCGAGTGCTCCCATCTCTGGAAAGGAAGCTTGATGGCTGGCCTGCGGGTGCTGGTCAGTGCCACCCAGCCCCTTGGGTGGAGAGGAGGAGGGTTGACATGGGCCCCTCTTGCTTTCACTCAGAACCCGTGTGTTGCTGCCAGGACCTGTCCTGCGGGTCCTGCCATTCCAGTTGGCCTCGGGATTTCTCTGGACTATTTTCCGAAGCCCTAAGCCAAAGACGAAATGTGCCACCTCTGGGTGACTGAGCAAATGTGCGCTGTGTTTTCCTGACTTCATGGGAGGGTGTGAGACACTTCTGGTGGCTGCTTCTGCTCTGCCTGTGGGGTGTCCAGCCAGGGGAAGGGCACGCTGCAGGCTGGGAGCACAGACACTTCTATGGAGCCCCTGACAGCACCTCTGCAGCACTTTGGGAGGCCTCGTACAGGTACCCAGCTAGGCTGGGCTGGACTCCTCACCTGTGGACTGGAGTAAAAAGTAGGGTGCTTTAGGCCACTATGTTTTTTTTTTTTATTATTATTATTATTATTTTAGAGACAGGATCTTGCTCTGTTGCCCAGGCTGGAGTACAGTGGTATGATCATAGCTTACTGCAGCCTCAAACTCGCCGGCTCAAGCGATCCTCCCACTTCAGCATGCCTAAGTAACTGGGACTACAACACCATGCCCGGCTAATTTTTTTTTTTTTGGTAGAGACAAGTTCTCACTATGTTGTCCAGGGTGGTCTCGAACTCCTGGGCCCAAGTGATCCTCCTGCCTCAGCCTCCCAAAATGCTGGGATTACATGCGTGAGCCACCATGCCCGGCCTCGGCCACTGTATTTGGTAATTTGATACCCATCACGGAAAACCAAGACCCTGCAGCAAGATAACACAATCACTTCATGATGTCACCCTATCTCTTTCAAAACTGCCTGTTTACAGCCGGGTGCGGTGGCTCACGCCTGTAATCCCAGCACTTTGGGAGGCTGAGGTGGGTGGATCACTTGAGGTCAGGAGTTCGAGACCAGCCTGGCCAACATGGTGAAACCCCATCTCTACTAAAAATACAAAAATTAGCCTGGCATGGTGGCGCACACCTGTAATCCCAGCTATTAGGGAGGCTAAGGCAGGAGAATTGCTTGAGCCTGGGAGGCAGAGGTTACAGGGAACTGAGATAGCGCCACTGCACTCCAGCCTGGATGACAGAGTGAGACTCCATCTTAAAAAAAAGAAAAAACGAAAAAAAACCTGCCTGTTTACAGCCCCACGTGATGCCACTTGCTGGCTTCAGCCTAGAGTGGCTGCAGGACAAGCTGTTACTCCATGGGACAGCTTCCATGGGGTCACCACTGAGGGTTTGATCACTGGATCTCAGGCCAGAGTACCTCCTATCTGTCACCAAACTGTCCCCCAGACAGTGCACACACTCACCCCCCGGCAGAACACACTCACCCCCCGAGATGATGCACATACCCCCCGGACAGTACACGCACTCACCCTGCCTAGCAGCGTGGGTGTCAGGTGGTGATGGATAATTAGTGGTTTCAGTTATTGGAACAAAATAAAGCCGAGGTGACTTGCCATCCTCAGGGACCTCACCGTGGTGGGTGCATCCCTGTCTCTCTGGACGTGGGGCGCAGATAGGCTTCTACCCATGTGCAGCCCCACCAGTGATGACTGAGAGAGCTACTTCCTCCTCCCTTTGGGGCTTGATCTGGGTGCTCAGCATGCTGGCTTGTCCCTGAATTATGTATTCAATGAAATCCCTGGCAAACCACCAGCAATTCAGCTAAACATGACTGCTGGAACAAAAATAACCTGGCAATTAATGTTCCTGAGTTATTAGGCAAACATATATAATTGCTCCTTGTTTAAAAACAGACAGCTGAACATCTTAGGACAAAAGTCCATGCTCAGTCAGCTTTTCTTCCTACTTTTCTCCCCTTTATTTTCCCTTTGTAAGAGCATTATGTCAGAATCAGCACCCGAAGCCAACAGCCCCAGCCTGGTTTGGGGCTGGACTGGGATGAGGTGTCCCTGGCTCCCCCGACCCCTGTTCACCTGCAGGGCTGTGGGACGTGGAAGCAGAGGAGGAAGGTATTTAAGAGAGAATGCTGAGCAGAACCACATGGAGCTTGACCCCACCCATAGGGTGGAGGAGCTGTCATCCCAGACCCTGGCACATCCCCACCATAGCACTCAGGGACTGCGGTGTTCCCCCTTCTCCTGCCCGCTGGCCAGGACACAACCAATGGGCACCTACAGGACTGGCCCATCCAGGTCTGGGGCAAGTGCACTGCCTTCTACTAGCACTGTCCAGCCCAGGGAAGGTGGGCTCTCCTGCCATCCCTGCTGCAGAGGTTGGGGGGCACTTCTGCCCAGAAGGGACATGGAGACTTGGGCTGGGTCTGGGTTGAAACATGGCAGTTAGAGGTACAAAGGCTGAGGCTCATCAGGGACAGAGACCACCTCCCCCTACCCCAGGCAGCACATCCCTGAGACCTGGTGCAGCCCTGGGGCCAGCTGGGTGTCAGACCAGGCTGAATGGGGCACCCTGGAGGTGGTAAGGCTTCCATAGCAGACCCCAAGGGCTCTAGGGCATGGCACAGTCCCTGGCAATGACCAAAAGCATTTCCCCAGTTCTGCTGGCAAGAAGCTTCAGGGGCAGGCACTGAGTGGGGGGCACACATGTGCACACAGGTGTGAATGCCTCCAAGGGCATGAATGGTGGGTGCTAGCACCATGTACTTTTTTGTTTGAAATGGAGTTTCGTTCTGTCGCCCAGGCTAGAGTGCAGTGGCACGATCTCAGCTCCCTGCAACCTCCGCCTCCCGGGTTCAAGCAATTCTCTGCCTCAACCTCTCGAGCAGCTGGGATTACAGGCGCCCGCCACCACACCCGGCTAATTTTTTTTTTTTTTTTTTGAGACGGAGTCTTGCTCTGTCACTCAGGCTGGAGTACAGTAGCATGATCTCGGCTCACTGCAAACTCTGCCTCCCGGGTTCACACCATTGTCCTGCCTCAGCCTCCCGAGTAGCTGGGACTACAGGCGCCCGCCACCACACCTGGCTAATTTTTTGTATTTTTAGTAGAGACGGGGTTTTACCGTGTTAGCCAGGATGGTCTCGATCTCTTGACCTCGTGATCCTCCCACCTTGGCCTCTCAAAGTGCTGGGATTACAGGCGTGAGCCACCGGGCCCGGCCTAATTTTTGTATTTTTAATAGAGATGGGGTTTCACCATCTTGGCCAGGCTGGTCTTGAACTCCTGACCTCATGATCCACCCACCTCGGCCTCGCAAAATGCTGGGATTACAGGCATGAGCCACCGTACCCAGCTGTGAGCACCACTTTCACTCCCAATTTTATGAATGTCTGTTATTTCACATTTAATCAGGAGCAAATGTTGTTTTATGAAATTGATGTGCAATGATCAATATGGAAATTATTTTTAAACACTTGTCGGGCTCTCACCACTGCAACTTGGTTTCAGACTCAGATTGTGATGGCAGGACAGCTGAGCTCTGCTCCTTGGAGCTGCCTCTCCGGCACAAGTGCTCAGGGGGTCTTCAGCCATCACTTTTTTTTTTTTTTTAGAGACAGGGCTTCTCTGTTCCCCAGGTTGGAGTGCAATGGTGCAGTCACAGTTCACTGCAGCCTCAAACTCCTGGGCTCAAATGATCCTGCTGCCTCAGCCTCCCCAGTAGTTGGGAATACAGGCATGCACCACCACACCTGACTAATTTTTGTATTTTTTTTTTGTAGATATGGGGTCTTACTTTCTTGCCCAAGCTGGTCTCAAAACTCCTAGCCTCAAGTGATCCTCCCACTTTGGCCTCCCAAACTGCTGGGATTACAGGTGTCATCCACTGTGCCTGGCCCAGCCATCGCTTCTTAGACCCTCAGGTCTAATGGACATTGCAGGAACTGACCCCTTCCACTCAGTCACTGCTGTGTCCTTATTTGTTTTCTTCTAATGTCCAAGCTGGGACTTGAAAGTCAGTTTTCTTTCCTCAAGACCAGGGCTCTTAAAGTTTAGATGTCTCTCCTAATTCCAAAAGAAATATTTGTTTGATTAGGCTGGATGTGGTGGCTCACACCTGTAATCCTCCGCCTCGGAGGCCGAGGCGGGTAGATCATTTGAGGTCAGGAGTTCAAGACCAGCTTGGCCAACATGGTGAAACCCCATCTCTACTAAAAATACAAAAAATTAGCTGGGTGTGGTGGCGGGTGCCTGTAATCCCAGCTACTCAGGAGGCTGAGGCGGGAGAATAGCTTGAACCCGGGAGGCGGGAGTTGCAGTGAGCCGATGTCACGCCACTGCACTCTAGCCTGGGTGACACAGAGAGACTCCATCTCAAAAAATAAAAATAAATAAAAATGGAAATATTTGTTTGATTCATAATGCAAAAAAACTAGTAAAACAGTGAAGTTCCCATCCACTCCCAACCAACCCGAGAAATTAACTCCAAAACACACAGAATGGAGCAGCCCTCAGAGGCCCACATGCTGTGCCATTCAATCTGTATCCTTGAGCTCACGCTTCCAAGAGCCCACGGGTTTGTTGTGGGTGTTCCCAGGGCTGGGGACAGATGGACAGAAGGAGGAACAGCCCCCCACCCTCCAGCCTGGGCTCCCGGCATGGAGCCCAGGCTCCATGGTGCCCCTAAGGGCCTGGCAGACCCGTCTCCCGCCATTGAATGGTGTGGATGTGTGTCCCTGCCTAGCATCCTCCTGTTTCCCGTGCGGTCCCAGCTGCAGGCTCCCGAGAGCTCACCTGGAGCCACGGTGCTCCTTCCTCCAGTGTGGGTGCAGCAGGACTGCCGGCTTCCTGCCCTCTCTGAGACTGGCCCTTGTTGCCACTGAGGCCAGTTTTGTGTGTGAAAAGAGAAAAAGACTTGGCTCGCTCGTTTCCATCTGAAGCCATCAGTGATGCTTTCCTCTTGCAGGCTCATCTTGGCAGCCAACAGGGATGAATTCTACAGCCGACCCTCCAAGTTAGCTGACTTCTGGGGGAACAACAACGAGATCCTCAGTGGTGAGTCTTCCTGCGTGCTCAGCGGTGGCTGCGCCTTGTTGCTTCCCTAGCCCCTGCGTGGCCCGAGTGACCCTAACTGAGTGGTGCTGCTTCCAAGTGTGATGGCGGGGTGTAGAGGTGGAACTGATGGGGCTCGTGGTCGGGGCCAGCCCCAGCACCGGGCATTGCCAGAGCTGCCCACCCAGCACTGTCTGCGTGGCTTCCTGTGCCATGCGTCTGCATGGGGGCCCCATCATGTGAAAGCATCAGTTGGTTTTATATGGATCCCTCCTTTTTGCTGAGGGCATGTGGGTGGATTTGTGTGATGTACAGATCCACACTCAGTCACTTTGTGAAGCAACCCAGTCATATGAGTGTGTGCATGCGTGTGTATGCGTGCGTGTGTGTGCCTGTGTTTGTGTTTCTGTTTGTATATGAGCACCCTTGCTTCAGGGATGGTGGGGCTGAGTTTGGGAAGCTGGTGGTGCTGAAGCCCCGTCACCTGCACCATGCCTGTGTTGCATTAGGTGTACTTATAGGGCAGAAGTAGGGGTGAGAACCAGGTCCTCCCCACCAAAGATACCAGCCTCATTGAAGTCCTGTTGGACAGGAACCAGTTCCTGCCCATGGGGTGGTGGGAGTCTACCTGGAAGGTGCGCATAGATGGCTGGTGAGGCCACGGGTTACTCTGCCTGCGTACCAGGCGCCAAGTGGGCCCGAGGCATCCTGGCATGCTCCAGGGTGCCCACTCAGGCCAGATGTGTGACCTCGTGGGCCCATGGAGGCTGTGTGTGCCCTGTGCTGCCTCCCAGGCCGGGAGGGCAGGTGTTGGGATTATAGGTGTGAACCCAACACTTAAGGAGGCTGAGGCAGGAGGATTACTTGAGCCCAGGAGTTCAAGACCAGTCTGGGCAACATGGTAAAACCCTGTCTCTACAAAAAAAAATACAAAAATTAGCCAGGCGTGGTGGCATGTGCCTGTGGCCCCAGCTACTCAGGAGGCTGAGGCTAGAGAATTGCCTGAGCCCGGAAAGCAGAGGTTTCAGTGAGCTGAGATTGTGCCACTGCACTCCAGCATGGGTGACAGAGCGAGACCCTGTCTCATTCAATCAGTCAATCAATCAATCAAATAAAAGCTCAGCTGTGGGGTTTTGTGAGGACTCCTGTGTAGGCCTGTGGCCTGGCAGTAGTGTGAGAATGCTGCTGAGGCTGGGTGGTCCCGGCACCGTGTGGGAGGAGGACGGGTGCATGGAGACTGAGGCAGGGTGGTCCTAGGCCTGCTGGTATAGGAGGATGCAGTGGGTGCAGGGCTGGTCAGGACGGGTGGGTGAAGGCACAAGACTGATGTCCTTGGAAGGTGGAAGGTTTTCATAGATGAAGATGTGGCGGCTCAGAGGGTTACCCTCTTCTGGTTCCTTGACTATTGTGCCCTCCTGGGCTCCATCCCACCCTGGCACCCAGGTCTGTCAGCTGCCTCTGAACTAGTGCCAACCCCAGCAGCTCCAGTCTTGTGGAATTGTTCACCCCTGTGGTGTTTTGATGGTGGCAGCTGGTGCATGGATGTACACGGGCTTCTGCCAAGTGTCGGGGTGACCATATCACTAAGGCCCACATCCTCTCACTCTCTGGCGTCACCGGATTGTATGCAAAAGTTTAGGACAGTGGTTCTCCAGGTGTGGTCCTTGGGCCTGTAGCACCAGCTTTACTTGAGAACTTGTTAGAAATGAAATCACCCTGGGCCGGTGGCTCACACCTGTAATCTCAGCACTTTGGGAGTCCAAGGCAGGAGGATCCCTTGAGGCCAGGAGCTTGAGACCGGCCTGGGCAACGTAGTGAGTCCCTGTCTTTACAAAAAAAAAAAAAAAAATTAGCCAGCTGTGGTGGCATATGCCTGTTGTCCCAGTTACTCAGGAGGCTGAGGTGGGAGGATCGCCTGAGCCTGGAAGGTAGAAGCTGCAGTGAACCGAGACTGAGCCACTGCAGTTAGCCTAGGCAACAGAGTGAGACCCTGTCTGAAAAAAAAGAAAAGAAATGCAAATCAAAATCATTAAATTCATAAAAATTTGGCCATCACTTCTTTTTTTTTTTTTTTTTTTTTGAGATGGAATTTTGCTCTTGTTGCCCAGGCTGGAGTGCAATGGTGCCATCTCAGCTCACCGCAACCTCCATCTCCCGGGTTCAAGCTGTTCTCCTGCTTCAGCCTTCCTAATAGCTGGGATTACAGGCATGCACCACCACACCAGGCTAATTTTGTATTTTTAGTAGAGATGGGGTTTCTCCATGTTGGTCAGGCTGGCCTTGAACTCCCGACCTCAGGTGATCCGCCCGCCTTGTCCTCCCAAAGTGCTGGGATTAGAAGCATGAGCCATTGCACCCAGCGGCCATTACTTTTTCAAGTAGTTTTTCTGTCTTCTCTCTCACTCTCTCCTTCTCTCCAGTTACACACATATATTAGTTCACTTGCCCTTGTCCCACACCTCTGCGATGCTCTCTGCGTACTTTTCTCGGTGCCCCTAGATCTTGAGGTTTTCCAGCCTGGTGTCTGGGAGCCAGCCCTACTCCCTGCCCTGTGTGAGCACTGGTGGTTCTTGCCCCAGTGTCATATAGTCTCCTCCCTGAGATGCTGATCAGACATTCTCTGTGTAGCTCCTTCCTCTCTGGACTTTTGTGCCACTGTCTTAGTTCGTTTGTGTTGCTCTAAAGGAAAAAGCTGAGTCTGGGTAATTTTTTTCTTTTTTTTTGAGATAGGGTCTCACTCTGTTGCCCAGGCTGGAGTGCAGTGGCACAATCCTGTCTCACTGCAGCCTCTAACTCCTGGCCTCAAGTGATCCTCCCACCTCAGCCTCCCTAGTAGCTGGGACTACAAGTGCACATCACCATGCCCAGCTAATTTTTAAAAATAATTTGTAGCGACAAAGCCTTGCTGTGTTGCACAAGCTGGTTTCAAAGTCCTGGCCTGAAGTGACCCTCCTTTCTTGGCCTCCGAAAGTGCTGGGATTACAGATAATAAGCCATGGTGCCCAGCCAAGGCTGGGTAATTTTTTTTTTTTTTTTTTTTTTGAGACAGAGTCTTGCTCTGTCGCTTAGGCTGGAGTGCAATGGTGCGACCTTGGCTCACTGCAACCTCCACCTCCCAGGTTCAAGTGATTCTCCTGCCTCAGCCTCCTGAGTAGCTGGGATTACAGGCACCTGCCACCACACCCTGCTAATTTTTGTATTTTTGTATTTTTTTATTATTATTCTTTAAGTTCTAGGGTACATGTGCAGAACGTGCAGGTTTGTTACATAGGTATACATACATGTGCCATGTTGGTTTGCTGCACCCATCAACTCATCATTTACATTGGGTATTTCTCCTAACGCTATCCTTCCCCCAGCCCAATTTTTGTATTTTTAGTAGAGATGGGGTTTCACCAGGTTGGCTGGGCTGGTCTCAAACTCCTGACCTCAAGTGATCCACAAGGCTGGGTAATTTATAAAGAAAAGAGGTTTATTTGGCTTAGAGTTCTACAGGGGACCTGAAGCACAGTGTCAGCATCTGCTTCTGATGCAGGCCTCAGGAAGCTTCTACTGATGGTGGAAGGGGAAGGGGAGGTGGTATGTGCAGATCACACACGGAGGGAGGAAGCCAGAGAGAGGGAGGAGGCGCCACGCTCTTTTAAACAACCAGTTCTCAAAGGAACTAATAGAGCTAGAACTCATCACTGTGAGGACAACACCAAGCCGTTCATGAAGGATCTGCCATTAGGTAGATCTGTCTCCCATTAGACCCCACCTCCAACACTGGGGATCAGTTTTTTGGTTTGTTTGTTTTTTTTTTTTTTTTTTGAGACAGAGTTTCACTCTTGTTGCCCAGGCTGGAGTGCAATGGCACGATCTCGGCTCACCACAAGCTCCGCCTCCAAGGTTCAAGCAATTCTCCTGCCTCAGCCTCCTGAGTAGCTGGGATTACAGGCGCCTGCCACCATGCCCAGCTAATTTTTTGTGTTTTTAGTAGAGACGGGGTTTCACCATGTTGGTCAGGCTGGTCTCGAACTCTTGACCTCAGGCAATCCACCCGCCTCAGCCTCCCAAAATGCTGAGATTAGAGGCGTGAGCCACCTCACCCAGCCCGGGGATCAGATTTTAACATGAGGTCTGGGGGACAAACATCCAAACTATGGCAGCCATGAACTCTGGTTGTCTTAGTTTCCCCAAACACTAAGCCCCTCTTCTCAGCTCAGGGAGTCTGCTGAATTCGGCCTGGTCCCCCCACTCCCTGGGCTGGGTCCTGGAGCCTCTCTAATCATGGGCTCACTTTGTTTCCTGTCTGTCATATCCTTTTTTGTAAAACCCATTTGATATGGTTTGGCTGTGTCTCCACCCAAATCTCATCTTGAATTATAGTTCCCCAAATCCCCACATGTCCTGGGAGAGACCCAGTGGGAGGTAATTGAATCATGGGGCATTACCCCCATGCTGCTATTCTCATGATAGTGAGTTCTCATGAGATCTGATAGTGTTTTGTTTTTTTTTTTTTGAGACTGAGTTTCGCTCTTGTTACCCAGGCTGGAGTGCAATGGTGCGATCTCGGCTCACTGCAACCTCCACCTCCCAGGTTCAAGCAATTCTCCTGCCTCAGCCTCCTGAGTAGCTGGAATTACAGCCGCTTGCCACCACGCCCAGCTAATTTTTGTATTTTTAGTAGAGATGGGGTTTCACCATGTTGGCCAGGCTGGTCTCGAACTCCTGACCTCAGGTGATCCGCCTGCCTCGGCCTTCCGAAGTGCTGACATTACAGGCATGAGCTGCCGCTCCCAGCCAAGATCTGATGGTTTTATAAGGGGCTTTTCCTGCTTTGCTTGGAACTTCTCCTTCCTGCCACCATGTGAAGAAGGACATGTTTGCTTCCCCTTCTGCCATGATTGTAAGTTTCCTGAGGCCTCCCCAGCCATGCTGAACTATGAGTCACATATCTTTCCTTTATAAATTACCCAGTCTCGGGTATGTCCTTGTAGCAGCATGAGAATGGACTAATAAATACACCATTGTTTCTTGAGTTTTATTTATTTATTTATTTTTTGGTTGTTTTATGCAGGAGGGTAAATCTGGTCCTTGTTGCTTGGGCAATTTGGAAGTTTTGTTCTTGTTTTAATTATTGATTTGTAAGAGTTATTTACCCATTCTGGATATGAGTCCTTTGTGCCTACTCATTTCCTTAATGATAGCTTATGGTGAGCAGAATTTTTTTTTTTTCTTTTGAGTGGGTGGAGTCTTACTCTGTTGCCAGGCTGGAGTACAGTGGTGCGATCTCAGCTCACTGCAACCTCCGCCTCCCAGGTTCAAGTGATTCTTCTGCCTCAGCCTCCTGAGTAGCTGGGACTACAAGCATGCACCACCATGCCCAGCTAATTTTTGTATTTTTAGTAGAGATGGGGTTTCACCATGTTGGCCAGGATGGGCTCAATCTCTTGACCTCTTGATCTGCCTGCCTTGGCCTCCCAAAGTGGTAGGATTACAGGCGTGAGCCACTGCGCCCGGCCAGAATATTTCATTTTAACAAAGTACAGTTTATCTTATCTTTTATGAGTTGTTCTTTTTGTGCCTTATCCAAAAAGTCTTTGCCTACCCAGAGGAAAATATATAACAATATTTTCCTCCATTTGCTTCTAGAAGCCTAATTTTTGTTTTTATGTTTGGTCTATGATTTATCTCAAGGTTTTGTACATGGTGTGAGGTAGGGGTTGAGATTTACTGCCTCCAACCCCCAAATCTCTCTAGTTGTTCCAGCATCATTTATTAAATGGATTATCTTTTGCCTAGTTCATTACTATGGCAACTTGGTTGTACATCAGTTGAACATATATGTGTGGGTCTATTCCTGACTCTGTTGTATCCCATTGATCTATGTATCTGTCTTGATGCCAACACCATGCAGTCTATGAGTGCTGCTGCTTTTTAGTAAGTCTTGAAATCAGGCTGAGCACTGTGGCTCACACCTGTAATCCCAGCACTTTGGGAGACCGAGGTGGGCAGATCACCTGAGGTTGGGAGTTCAAGACCAGCCTGACCAACATGGAGAAACCCCGTCTCTACTAAAAATACAAAATTAGCTGGGTGTGGTGGTCCATGCCTGTAATCCCAGCTACTCGGGAGGCTGAGGCAGGAGAATCACTTGAACCCGGGAGGCGGAGGTTGCGGTGAGCTGAGATCACGCCATTGCACTCCAGCCTGGGTAACAAGAGCGAAACTCTGTCTCAAAAAAAAAAAAAAAAAGAAAAAAGAAATCAGGCAATGTGGGTCTGCCTTCTTTTTCGGGACTATTTTGGCCATCCCAGTTCCTTTGCATATGCATAGATATTTCAGCCAGTCTGTTAATTGCTATAAAACGAAAAGCCCCCTGGGATTTTGACTGGGCAGGTTTTGAATCTATGGGTCATGTGGGGAGAAGTGTCACCTTAACAATACTGAGTTGTCTAAGAAGTACCCAGTGAAACAAATAATAACAAGAAGAAACACTGTTGAGGCTGGGCACGGTGGCTCACGCCTGTAATTCCAGCACTTTGGAAGGCCGAGGCGGGCCGATCATGAGATCAGGAGACCGAGACCATCTTGGCTAACACGGTGAAACCCTGTCTCTACTAAAAAAATATGAAAAAATTAGCTAGGTGTGGTGGTGGGCACCTGTAGTCCCAGCTACTTGGGAGGCTGAGGCAGGAGAATGGCCTGAACCCGGGAGGCGGAGCTTGCAGTGAACTGAGATCACACCACTGCACTCCAGCCTAGGCGACAGAGCAAGACTCTAAAAAACAAAAACAAACAAAAAAACACTATTGAATCTTTCAGTGAATATGCATGTCTCTCCTTAAATCAGGTCAGCTCAACTTGAGACCCTCAACAGTGCCCTGGAGTTTTCAGTCTTTGTCACTCATTTTTCATTAAATATTTTCCTGGTGGTTTTTTTTTTTTTTTTTTTTTTTGAGACGGAGTCTTGGTCTGTTGCCCAGGCTAGAGTGCAATGGCGCCATCTCTGCTCATTGCAACCTCCACCTCCCGGGTTCCAGCAATTCTCCTGTCTCAGCCTCCCGAGTAGCTGGAACTACAGGTGCCTGCCACCATGCCCAGCTAATTTTTGTATTTTTAGTAGAGATGGGGTTTCATCATATTGGCCAGGCTGGTCTCGAACTCCTGACCTCGTGATCCGCCCGCCTTGGCCTCCCAAAGTGCTGGGATTACAGGCGTGAGCCACTGCACCCGGCTTTTTTTTTTTTTTTTAATCACACTAAGGATTTTAAAAATGCTGTTATAAATGGTATATTTAAATGCTCACTTTCCAGTTCTTGCTAGCATTTACTTATTAGTTCTAATACATCGGTTTTGGTATTCCTTTTGGGTTTTCTTCATATATGATCCTGCTGGTTGCAAATACAGTTTTGTTGGGTTTTTTTTTTTTTTTTGAGACAGAGTTTCGCTGAGAGTGCAATGGTGTGATCTCGGCTCACTGCAACCTCCACCTCCCGGGTTCAAGCAATTCCCCTGCCTCAGCCCCCCGAGTAGCTGGGATTATAGGCTGCCTCAGCCTCCTAAGTAGTTGGGATTACAGGCATGCACCACCACGCCTGGCTAATTTTGTATCTTTAATAGAAATGGTGTTTCTCCATGTTGGTCAGGCTGGTCTTGAACTCCCAACCTCAGGTGATCTGCCCGCCTCGGCCTCCCAAAGGGCTGGGATTACAGGTGTGAGTCACCGCACGGGGCCACAAATACAGTTTTATTTCTTTATTTTTGATCTTTACATCTTTTCTTTTTCTGTTATAATTAATTATTGTTATAAAAATAATATCTTAGGGCCAGGCACGGTGGCTCACACCTGTAATCCCAGCACTTTGGGACGCCAAGGCGGACGGATCACCTGAGGTTGGGAATTCGAGACCAGCCTGGCCAACATGGAGAAACTCCGTTTCTACTAAAAATACAAAATTAGCCAGGTGTGATGGCACATGCCTGTAATTCCAGCTACTCAGGAGGCTGAGGCAGGAGAATCGCTTGAACCCAGGAGGGAGAGGTTGCAGTGAGCCGAGAGCACACCATTGCACTCCAGCCTGGGCAACAAGAGCGAAACTCTGTCTCAAAAAGTAATAATAACAATAATAAATAAAATAACATCCTAGCCAGTGCAGTGGCTCACTCCTGTAATCCCAGCACTTTGGGAGGCTGAGTCGGGAGGATCGCTTGAGCCCAGGAGTTCGAGACAAGCCTGGGCAACACAGCAAAACTTTGTCTGTACAAAAAAATGCAAAAATCAGCCGAGTGTGATGGTACCTGCCTGTGGTCCCAGCTACTTGGGCTGAGGTGGGAGGATCGCTTGAGCCTGGGAGGTGGAGGTTGCAGTGAACTGTGTGATTGCCACTGAACTCCAGCTTGGGTGACAGAGTGAGACTCTGTCTCAAAAAAATAAAAAATGAAATAAAATAATAAAAATAACATCTTAATGACAGCCTTTTTTGCCCCAATCTTTGGGTAAAATGACCCCCTGGTCTAAGAAGGAGCCCTCCTGTGGCTTTCAGAGCCCTCCAACCTTGTGGCATTAGCAGTGGCCCATGCCCTGCAGATTTGGCGGGGGTGAAGGTCCTGGTTGTGTGCTGGGCTCCTAGTGAAGGGCCTGCCCTTTGGGCCTGGTGCATCCTGCTGGGTGAGGACAGCCAGCGTCCCTGCACCCCATTCATGCGATTGGAGCCTAGTGCTGCCCCTCAGCCTTGACGCTGGCCCAAGTGGAAGGATGTGTTCTGCAGGGCATCTGTTGGGATAGGTGTGGTTGGTGTCATAGTTGTCCTGCAGGACAGGGATCTCACTTGCACGACCCATGAACCCCAGGGGCTGCCTGGCCTTGAAGAGTTCCAGCCACGATTCCATAGCTGGGGCTGCTGGGCCAAGCCGCATGTCGAACGTCCTCGAGGAGCTTGAGGCAGGAGCTGGGCCGAGTATGCGTCTCCCAGGGCTGGGAACCAGGTGGGGGACTGGAATGGGTGGCATCAATGGTGGTAACACTGTCATCTGCCACAGGGCTGGACATGGAGGAAGGCAAGGAAGGAGGCACATGGCTGGGCATCAGCACACGTGGCAAGCTGGCAGCACTCACCAACTACCTGCAGCCGCAGCTGGACTGGCAGGCCCGAGGGCGAGGTAAGGCGAGTGGGGTGGGGCCAAGGTGAGACAGGGTGGGGTGGGGCAGGCCTAGGTGAGACAAGGTGGGGCCAAGGGACTACAGGACTGGCCAATGTATGGTGGAGTGGGGCGGGCCAAGGTAGGAAGTGCCAAGGTGCTTGTGCTTGGGAGTGGGATGGGGCAGGGCTGAGGTACCGTGGGGCAGGGCCAGGTTACAGAGTGGGCGGTGACAAAGCGTGGCAGGGCAGGGCCCAGGTAAGGGTGGGGACAAGAAGGGGGAAGCTGGGCCCCGTGGCAGGTGGGTGGCTTCCGTGGGCATATCACTGCCGCCACTGAGGTGTGCTGCAGGGGTATGCGGCAGAGACAGGAAGAGTGAGGAGGGGAGCATCCCATTTCCCACACCCTGGCCCTCTGGCGTCGCAGCCAGGAGCCCACTCCCACCTGACCCACGCAGCACTGTTTACTCCTCTCAGGGCGCACTCTCCCCTTGTCCTCATGCATGGCACTCCTGACTGCTGTGTCACTGTCCCCTGCCTGGAATGTTTGTAGAGTAGATGCCTTCCCCGAGACGACAGCTCTGTGGACACACATTGTCCCCACTGAAAGGTGTTGTTTACTTCATGCTGGATTTCCATAGGAAGACATAGTGGGGAAATTTTTTTTTTAATAAAATGAGCAGTTTTCAGTGCCGACCTGAGTGGCAGCCAGGCTAATGAGGTGTGGCTGACTCTTGCGGCAGTCATGACAGGCCAGGGCTCCAGTGGGACCCCTCATCTTCCTGCATCCTCCCCAGGGGGCCCCATATCAGTGTTCCTGGGAGAAGAGCACATGCCTGCAGCTGTGGACACAGCATCTGTCCCCTGCCTACAGGTGAACTTGTCACCCACTTTCTGACCACTGACGTGGACAGCTTGTCCTACCTGAAGAAGGTCTCTATGGAGGGCCATCTGTACAATGGCTTCAACCTCATAGCAGCCGACCTGAGGTGGGTCTGCCAGAGGGGGATGGCGGCTCTGCCCAGCACTGCCTCGGGGGCAGGCCTCAGGCTCATCAGGAAGTGGGGTTCCACTGGGGGCTGTGGCAGCCTCTCCAGGGACGTTGCTCCTCGTGACTTGGCAAACATTCTGAGGACTGAGCCTGTCACAGATGTACCAACTCGGGTATTTGGGGGTGAAGCCCAAGGCTTCCTGTGATGGCATGAGGGCTGCCGGATCCCTGGAGAAAGCTGAGGCTGTGAAGAACAGTCACATAGAGTGGCTCTGGCCGGGTGTCCTCCCTCCCACGGGCAGGCTGTGCAGAGCAGCCCTCCGCAGCCCTGGCTTGGAGTGACTGGGATGCTGTGCTCCCAGGGAAGCTCCTGTTGGAGATGAGGCCGCAGGAACTGCGGAGGTTTTGGTGTTTTGCCCTTCCGTGAAGTGAGCATTCCTCCCTCCTGCCCTCCTCCCCCTCCAAAGCCCCAGAACTTGGCCAATGCTGTTAGTCCGGGGCCTTCTGCCAGGACAGGCAAACGGGAAGTGGTCGGCACATTGTGGCGGGCCCTGAAGCTGCCTCCTTCCACAAGGGCAGGTCCATGGGCCTCTCTCCTGGCTCCCGAGCTCCAGGCCTGCTGTTCGTTGAGCATCCCTTGTGTGTGGCATGCCCAGCCCTGCCCCACATGGGTCTGCACACTTGCTATGGAGGCTGGGAGAGTTGCAGTGTCCCCTAGGTGGAAGGCCGAGGGCTGGTGCGGGGCACTTGCTGTCCGGAGCCGTTCTTCCTGCCCATGCCTTCGTGACTCCAGGTGGCAGAGCCCCTGTGCTCTCTGCATGCCCCCATGCTCAGGAACCACTTTTCCCGGTCAGTAGTTCCATGTGGGTCTGATTAGTCTCAGGAGAGTTCCTCTGCGGCCGTGGCACCAGCAGGACTTGGCACTCAGCAGCTGTGTGGAGGTGGGGTGCCAAGGGTGCCATGCCTTGAGCAGATACACGGGCTCCTGTGGTTGGGGGTTGGGGGTTTGGGCTCCTCAGAGCCTGTGCAACTCTCCCGGCTCCAAAGGCTGCAGAGTGAGGGTCAGCCTCCTGGACCTAGCCTGAGGATACAGGCAGTGGCCAGGAGAGCATACCACAGGTCAGGCAAAAGCTGGTGCCAGGGCCGAGGCTGGAGGGCGGGGGCATCGGAGGTCAGTGAGCAGCCCTGCTGGTAGGTGCAGATGAGGAAGCCAAGGCCTGGAAGGGAGAGAGGCTTGTCATGGCCACAGCTATCCCTGGGTGAGGCCTGCCCTCCGCCTGGCCTGTGGTATAGTGCTGGCAGCATGGGTGTCCAGTTCTGTAGGTCCTTACACAGAAAGCCCAGAGGAGATTTTTGCCTGCAAACAGTCTCTGAAATTATGAACCAAGTATCTTAGGAAAGTTGCCAAAGACCATGGTGAGGAAGAACGGGAGTGGAATGTGAACATAGACGGGGGGGCCCTTGAAGCCTACCAGGGGTGGGGAAGGTGGGTCCCACCTGGGGGCAGCACTTCGGGGAGGAAGGCACCATGCCTGGCTCTTTCTCTGCATCTGTTCCATCTTGAAGGCCCAGGGCTCCATGCCCAGCATCTGGCCTGGGAGGGCATCTCACAGGCCACAAAGAGATCCTCTTCACTTTGCAAAAAAGGCACTCCAAGTTCTAGAAGACTTACTGTGGTATTGAGGATTGGAATATTTTCAGCTGGGGAGCATTTTGAACTATTTTCTTTTTAAAAAATGATTTATTTATTTTGTAGAGATGGGGTCTTGCTATGTTGCCCAGTCTGGTTTCAAACTCCTGGCCTCAAGCAGTCCTCCCTCCTTAGTCTCCAGATTAGCTGGGACTATAGGCATGAGTCACTATGCCCAGCTCTACTGTCCCTTAACTATTTTAAAGTGTACACTTAACACTTGAGAGTAGGAAAATGTGGTCTTTGGCGCTTTCTTTGGAAGCCTCGATCACCCTGGGGCCACACTGGGGCCACCTGTCCAGAAACCCTCATAGATGAGCTGTGGTAAGGGGCCTGATGGAGAGGTTGGTGATGTGGGGATGGGGCTCAGCCCTGCAGTTGTCCCCATGGGCAGCCTCTGTGTGTCCATGCCATGGGGCATTCGGCATGGCAGGAGGGCATTTTAGATCCTGTGCCTCCTGGGCTGGTGGGCCCCGAGGTGAGCTGGGAACATACCCGTGATGCTGGACAAGAGCTGGGGCCTCCATGACCCCGCCTGCCAGGCACCTGAGGGGCTGGGTCCTGCAAGCTCCTGACCTGGCCGCAGCGGGCTACTGCGCACATCGCTAGCCTCCAGAAACAGGGCTGTGAGATCACCGGGCAGTGTCGGGGAGGACGCCCTATGGCTGTAGTCTGACATTCTCTCCCCTTGGCCTGCAGCACAGCAAAGGGAGACGTCATTTGCTACTATGGGAACCGAGGGGAGCCTGATCCTATCGTTTTGACGCCAGGTGAGCCTGCCCTGGCAGCCTGATGGGGTGGGGGACTGTTTCTATGCAGAGGTCACCCTTGTGCTTTTTAGAGACCAGGCACTTGTCATATTACTCTTCTGAGATGACTTTGTGGCCATTTAAGTGCCTTATGGTCTGTGGGCACCTTGCCCTGCACCTGGACACTTCAGAGAGCCCTGGCTCCCTGCTCACCCCCTCCCCATGGGCTTTTCCTGCTGAGCAAGGTGCGCCCCTGTTCTGGGCTTCCCACCGCAGCCCTGCAGCCCAGCCGGCCACCCCCAGCCTCACTTCCTGTGCCGTCCCAGTGTGCCCTGTGCCTGTTCCTTCTCAGAACCTCTGGAGCCATCACCACCTGGGGTTCTTGCCTGGTCTGCTCCCTGACGCACAAGTACACACCCCACTCAAGCCCCACACAGATGCACGCCTCCTGCACCCAGTCCCCAGTCTGATCCCCGGTCCCCATCCTCAGGGCCTCGAGCCCCTCTGCGCCAGGTCACACTCCACGGCTGGGCCCTTCCTGCCCTGGCTCTGCACCACTGCCCAGGCTGTGCCTCCTGCTACATGCCCTTCCTTTCCCCCTCCTCGGGTGCTGCGATTTCCTGGAAGCTTCCTCTGCCAGTGCCCCAACCTGGAGAGAATGTGTCACATTGCCCCCCTCTGCAGCCATGTTCTGGGAGGGAGGTCTGCATCTTGTCCCAGGTCTGGTGCCAGGACAAAGCAGCACTCCTGGGAAATGGCATTTCCCCTGGGTGCACAAAACTGTAGGGACCATAGCCTAGGTTCCGGGGACTGCTGGCTCACTCACTCCCACACTCGCTGCCCACAGACACTCCTCGCTGGTGGCATCGTGGAACTCTGTGCCTTAAACGCCCGCTCTGGTCCCTCTACTCAAGCTGCTGGCTCACACAGGGTGTTCCGGCGCCTGGGGAGTGTGTCAGTGCCCTTAGCGCCACCCACACCCCTCTGTGAGGGGGCTCCCTCACACCCCTGGCTCCTCTGAAGCTCCATGCCCACGTCACACAGACTTTCTTTTGCATTTGGCACAAATCACCAAGTGAGGTTGCAGGTCACAGGTGCACACCTTCCCACTGGGTGTACACGGTGGAACTGAAGCCCCAGGCGTCCCTGGAGGGGCCCGAGGGAGATGATAAGCAGTCCCCAGGACAGCTGAGTGGCCCCATCCCACCTGCATCTTAGGGGGCTGGTGGTGCTGACGGGCTCATCATGAGTCCTGTGGTCCTTGCCTGGCCCACACTGGAGCTGGCTTCCAGCTTCCCACGTCTGCCCAGTGATGTTTCATCCACAGATAGGCCCAGCCCCCATTTGCTAGGGTGGTGCCCAGACCCGAACCCCTGGGCTAGTTGGGATCTCCAGAGGAGGCATCTGCCTGGAGGGTGGCTTCCAGTGTGTCCCACCCACTGCCCCCACGCCTACCAGCTGGTGCCCTCTCCTCCACCTGGGGCTTATCCTTCCGGCCACCCTCTGTGACCCTGGTCTTCCCCTCCCTACCTTGGATACAACTGTGGGCAGCCCACCTGAGCTCCCAAGAGCTGGGCAGTGGCACAGACACAGAGACTACCAGCGAGGCAGGGATGTGGCCCCAGAAGGTCCTGAGCTTGCAAAGGATTGTTCTGGCTGTCTCAGCCAGCTCTTGCTGTTCCACCTGCCCCAGAACCTCCGCATCAGTTGAGGGTCGTGGGGTTGGAATGTGTGGCGAAGTAGGTCTGTGGCAGTGGAGTTGGGCCATGCTGAGCCTGTGACTGCCCAGGAGAGAATTGGAAACTAAAAGGTGCAAAAGCAGTCAGAGACTCCCTACCACCCCCTCACTGTGAACATTGGCCCAGCGGCCTCTGGGGCAGTCGCTGTAACCATCCACGTGGCATCCTCGGTTCTCAGAGGCTGAGACCTCCGTGGCTGGAGATGCTTATTTTCTGCTCAGTTGTTGTTCTGTAGAACTTATTTCTGTCTACATCCTGCCTCATCCCTGAGCCTGCCCCACCTGGTCCACATTGCCTTTTTTTTTTTGATAAAGTTTTATTGAGATATGACTGACTAGCGGCACAGTTCACCCATTTAAAGTGTATCATTCAGTAGGTTTCGTTTCATTCACAGAGTTGAGCAACTGTCATCACTACCTAATTCCAGGACATTTCTTGATCCCCAAAGAAAGCCATACCTGTCAGCAGCCACTCCCCATTCCCCGTCTCTTCAGCGCCTGCAACCTTTAATCTGCTTTCTGTCTCTGGATTTGCCTATTCTGGACACTTTGTATAAAGGGAATCCTATAATATGTAGTTTAGGGGACTGACTTTTTTCACTTAGTGTTGTCGTCTAAAAACTCACCAGTGGCGAGGCACGGTGGCTGACGCCTGTAATCCTAGCACTTTAGGAGGCCAAGGCGGGCAGATCACGAGGTCAGGAGATCGAGACCATCCTGGCTAACACGGTGAGACCCCATCTCTACTAAAAATACAAAAAATTAGCCGGGCGTGTTGGCAGGTGCCTATAGTCCCAGCTACTTGGGAGGCTGAGGCGGGAGAATGGCGTGAACACAGGAGGCGGAGCTTGCAGTGAGCTGAGATCGCGCCACTGTACTCCAGCCTGGGCGACAGAGTGAGATTGCATCTCAAAAAAAAAAAAAACAAAGAAAAACTCACCAGCATGGCTAAATGATAGAAAGGAGAGTTTTATTTGCCATATCAGTTTGCAGACCCGGAAGAGAGAGTCTCTAGCATGGACTGAGGTGCTCTCTTTGAAGAGGGGAAGGGCAGTTTGAGTTTTATGCCTCCCAAGGTCCATATCACACAATAGAGTCATACATATTCAGCAGGTTTGGGGAAAAGCCATACATATTTATGAGGGGACCCGAGAACATATGCAATAGATAAACATACATGTAACATACATCCCATGTTCACTTTGGGGCAGGGTTTTAGCATTAAAATGAGGTAGAATCTGGATCTTTCCATCAGAAGGTGAGCTCTAGGACACAGTTGGAGTGCAGCCTCTATGAACTGCTGAAACTGGCTTATGGTCTGTAGTTGCTTATCAGAAAAGAGTGTTTGAAGGCTGGTTCTCTGTCCAGTCAGGGTTGTGGTGGTCTGGGCTGTCAAGAGTTAGGAGGGTCTGATAACGTGTGTGATCTCTACTGTTGTGAGGGAGTTTATCAAGACTGTGGTTTTTCTTGTAGCTGTAGGAATTTAGGGAGTTGCTGAGACAGCTGCCCTGAACCCTCGAGCCAGTTGGTACTTTTTGTTTCTTCCCTTTATCCATTAATGGACACTTGAGTTTTTTCCACCTTTTGGCTGTTGGAAACAGTGCTGCTCACAGTGTGACCTCACAGCATTTGTGTGGTCATATGTTTTTATGGCTCTCATGTGAATACGTAGGAATGGAGTTGTTAAGTCGTATGGTAACCCTGTTTAACCTTTTGAGGAACATCCAAACTGTTTGCCAAAGCAGCCGCAGCATTATACATTCCCACCAGCAGTGTATGCGGGTTGCAGCTTCTCTGAATCCTCACCAAAACTTGCTATGTTCTGTGTTTTTGATGATAGCCACGATAGTGGGTGTGAAGTTGTGTGGACTCGTGGTTTGGTTTGCGTTTCTCTGATGGCTATGATGTTGAGCAGCTATTCTCATGCTCGTTGGCCATTTGTATGTCTTCTTTGGAGAAATGGTTATTCAGACTGGGTTGTCTTTTTGAGTTATAGGAGTGACTTATACATTCATTCTAGCTACAAGTCTCTTATTTAAAGCACAAAGCTTAAAATTTTTAAGTCCTATGTCTCTCTCTTTTTTTTTCTTTTGTTGCTCATGCTTTTGGTTTCTTATCTAAGAAACCATTGCCTAATCTAAGGTCATGAAGCTTTCCCCAATACTTTCTTCTTAGAGTTTTATAGCTTTTGCTCTTTCACTTAGGTCTTTGGTTTGACTTAAGTTAACTATTTTTTTTTTTTTGAGACAGGGTCTGGCTCTGTCACCCAGGCTGGAGTGCAGTGGTGCAGTCATGGCCCACTGCACTGTCAACCTCCTGGGCTTAAGAGATCCTCCCAGCCGGGCGCGGTGGCTCACGCCTGTAATCCCAGCACTTTGGGAGGCCAAGGCGGGTGGATCACAAGGTCAGGAGATCGAGACCATCCTGGCTAAACCGGTGAAACCCCGTCTCTACTAAAAATACAAAAAATTATCCAGGCGTGGTGGCGGGTGCCTGTAGTCCCAGCTACGTGGGAGGCTGAGACAGGAGAATGGCGTGAACCCGGGAGGTGGAGCTTGCAGTGAGCCGAGATTGCGCCACCGCACTCCAGCCTGGGCGACAGAGTAAGACTCCGTCTCAAAAAAAAAAAAAAAAAAAAGAGATCCTCCCTCCCAAGTAGCTGGGACTGCAGATGTGTGCCACCATGTTCAGCTAACTTTTATGTTTTGTAGAGATAAGGCCTCACTATTTTGCTATTTTGCCGAGGCTGGTCTTGAACTCCTGGGCTCCAGTGATCCTCCTGCCCCAGCCTCCCGATGTGCTGGGATTATAGGAGTGAGCCACCTCTCTTGACCTGAGTTAACTTTTGTGTATGGTGTCAGGTAGAGTCCAACTCCCTTCTTTGCCCATGACTATGCAGTTCAATGGTCTTCCATGTTGTTCATGATGGAAAAAGCACTGTGACACCTGGGGCTGGCGGCTTGGCTCTGGGGGCCCCAGCAGAGCCAGGCTGTCTCCCTGGGAAATGCCTCGGCCAAGATATTCTCCTGGAAGTCTGACAGGGAGAGGGTGGTGTCTTGGTCTCCCTGGTGCATCATTTGGGGTGCTTGGCTCCCATCAAGCCCACCCCTGCTGCCCTGGCCTCTAGAGAAGAGCCTCTGAGGTGAGGTGCTTCTCCACCTCAAGTCCCTGCCCTTCACTTTCTGTGACATGAGAAACCCTTTTCCTGTTGGCCATGCCTTCTGCCAACACTCTGGGAGCTTGTTCAGAGTCTGTGCAGAGCCCCCCGGCTCTCCTAACCTGGGGCCTGGCTGGTACGCAGAGGTGGGCCATGCTCTGCTGAGGCCCAGCCTACACCTGTGCCCACTGTGTGGCGCTGTTGGGGGTTCCCCAAACAGGGACATGATTGTGGTGGGTGCCTCCTGGCCTCTGGTGGCTAATTCTCCCACTCTTGAACTTCTCAGGTGGCCCCCCAACCTGGCGTGAGGTGAAGAGGTTCCCTCTTGGCTGTCCCCTTTGCCTGTGAGATCTCAGGTTGCTCATTTCTTATTCATCCATCCATCGAGGCTGCTGGGCATCTGTGCCTTGTGGTCTCCTGTGGGTGCCCGCTTCCGCCTACTGCTGAGTTCTCCTCTCCTTGCCATGCCATCAGGTCAGGAATGAGCATGGGGAAGGAGCTGGAGCATGGAGCGGCTTGGCCTCAGTCTGGCCTGATTTCATGGTCCCCAGCTGTACCCCGTGTTAGGTGGGTGGCAGGTGGCAATTTGCCCTGACATGGCACAGCAGGGCCTCTGCATGGCCCGCTGATTGCTCCTCACAGGCACCTACGGGCTGAGCAACGCGCTGCTGGAGACTCCCTGGAGGAAGCTGTGCTTTGGGAAGCAGCTCTTCCTGGAGGCTGTGGAACGGAGCCAGGCGCTGCCCAAGGATGTGCTCATCGCCAGCCTCCTGGATGTGCTCAACAATGAAGAGGCGTGAGTGGGCGGGTCCTGCTGGGGTGAGCCCCAGTGTCCCGCCACCAGGGCAGAGGGAAAGGCAGGCCCTGCTGCCCCGGGAGGCCCATGGAAGTGGCCAGGCTGGGTCCCCAGCTGCAGGGAAGCTGATGGATATCCTGTCCTCCCTGCCTGTCCCCTTGAGCCAGCTGAGGTTTCCAACACCAGGGACTTTTGATGACAGAAGATGGGCCCAGGCCCAGGCCCAGGCCCAGGGGAGGCTCAGTGCACCCAGAGGCTTGATGCAGCCACGTGGGGCCCAGAGCAGATGGATGCTCCCCTCTGCATGCCGAGAGCTTGTGGGAAGTTCCAGAAGATTCTAGACACTCAGCAAACCCAGGCGGAAGAGACACATCATGGAAATGAGTGGCTAGGGTCAGCACGCTCAGGGTTGATGGGCTTCCCGCAAGCGGTCTGTCCCCAGCGACCCTGGGCTGAGTGCTGGGCAGGGACTTGCAGTTCCGGGAACTGCCTGGGTGTAGGAGCTCCCACCCACTTCCTTGCCCGTAGGCCTCAAGGCCCCTCAGGGGCCAGGCACTGGGGTCTTCGTTGCCCCAGCCGGGGGTCCTGGTGCTTGCCATGCCAGCCTTTCTCCCACTGGGCGAGATGCCCCACCCATCCCTCGCTCCCCACCCAGGTCAGACCACTGCCCTGCCCAGGTGATCCAGCGTCCACTCCCACCCTGTCCAGCTTGCCCCCTTCAGAGAAGCACCCATGGACCATCTCCCACTCCTCCCCCTGGGGCCCCTTTCTGCCCCCTGCCTACCCTCCTTCTCCTCTGGGCCTCTGATAGGCGGCCTCGTCCTTCAGCCTCAGCATCGCTGCCTCACTGGAAGAGCCCCACCTGGGCATGCCCAGCAGCCCCTCCCAGCTGTAAGTCCACACAGCCCCCATCAATGTGCCATCTGGGGCAGGCCGAGGACCGGCCCTGGCTGCCCTCACTGATGGCTGGAGCCCCGATGCTAGCTACAATGGCTGGCTTGAGTGGACTTCTGTCACAGAGGCAAATGCCCACAGGGCACCTCTTGGGGCAGGCAGGGAGCTTGTATGTGCCATCTGGGGCCAAAGCTCCACGATTGAGTCATAAGTTAAGGGTAGATGGAGATTTTCCGCCTTGAGCAGAAACGTGGAGGAAACACGCCTGGTGTGTGACTCACGCCTGTAATCCCAGCACTTTGGGAAGCCGAGGTGGGCGGATCACCTGAGGTCAGGAGGTCAAAACCAACTTGGTCAACATGGTGAAACTCTGTCTCTACTAAAAACACAAAATTAGATGGCTGGGTGGTGCACGCCTGTAATCCCAGCTGACGGCTGGAGCCCCGATGCTAGCTACAATGGCTGGCTTGAGTGGACTTCTGTCAGGAGAATTGCTTGAACTCGGGAGGTGGAAGTTGCAGTGAGCCAAGATCGTACCATTGCGCTCTAGTCTGGGCGACAAGAGTGAAACTCCTCCTCAAAAAAAGAAAATAAGAGAAAAGAGAAGAGAAGAGGAAAAAGAAAAGAAGAAAAGAAACAACCCTTGCAGTTCCCCGGCCACTCCCCAGAGCCAGTTAGGCCACCAGGTGGGCTGGGGCTAGACCCGGCTGCGGGCGGGCCACAGAGGGACTAATGGCCACCACTTCTCTCCATCCTGCAGGCAGCTGCCAGACCCGGCCATCGAGGACCAGGGTGGGGAGTACGTGCAGCCCATGCTGAGCAAGTACGCGGCTGTGTGCGTGCGCTGCCCTGGCTACGGCACCAGGTATTGCAGCACCGTGGGTGCGCCACCTCCTATCCCATGTCCCACCTCCCACGCTAGAGGGCCGGCAAAGAAGCCAAGTGCCCATAGCCAGAGCCAGGCTTCTTCCTCGCCTGAGTGGATTCCAGAGCTTCTGCCCTGTCCAGACGCAGCTGCAGGGTGAGCAGATACCACAGGCTCCCGGGGCCCCACAGGCTGGGCTTAAGGAGCCAGTACACAGCCACACAGGGCCAGGATGGCTTCAGGGCTGCCTGCACATTGGTGGATCCCTGCGGGCAAACGCCCCGGCACCATGGCACTAGGCCTGCAGGCTGTACCCTTGGGTGGTGGCTGCTGGCCAGCCTTTCCTGCCTGGGGCTGGCTGGCCCATTGGCAGGTGCAGGGTGTCATTTCCTTCAGCCCCTCCTCTGTCATAGGCTCATCTTCCTGTGTGTGAGGGGAAGGCAAGTGCCAACTCCACTCCCTGGCAGGCCGCATAGCCGCTGGGTCCCACCCCACGGGGTGCACTGCGTATGTGTCTGCCCTGGGAACCAGCCTGTGCTGGGGCTGTTGGGGGATCCAGGGCCACCCTCCGTCTGCAAAGCCCACGGCAGAGAGGGTTGGAGGAGAGGAGAGTGTGCTGAATGTTTGCTTCAGGTGGGCTGGCATGGCCTGGGCAGTGGAAGAGAGGGCACAGGAGGGAAGCCTTCCAGACAGAGGAGGCCTGGGCCCCAAGTGGTCAACAGCTTGACCTCTTGGAAGAACCAAGCATGGCTGTGTCTGGGAACCTGGGCCTCCAAAGGGGAAGTGTGTGGTCAGCCCGCAGGCTGCCCTATGCCTTGGCTCATGCTACACGGGGAGAGCAGGGCAGGGTGGGGTGGTTCCCAGTGAAGGTGGCAGGACTCAGCAAGTGTGGGCCTGTGGAGCCAGCCAAGAGCTCACACGCCACTGATGGCCCCTCATCATCCCCAAGACTGAGGCTGCTGCTCTCTGTGACTTGGCACAGCCTCCAGGCATGGGGTTCCTAACTCTACCTGCCTGCATTCTTGCCCTATTTGTGGCTGTGACAGGCAGGGCAGGGCTGAGGGACACCAGGTGAACGAGGGCCCCTGCTCTCTTTCAGAACCAACACTATCATCCTGGTAGATGCGGACGGCCACGTGACCTTCACTGAGCGTAGCATGATGGACAAGGACCTCTCCCACTGGGAGACCAGAACCTATGAGTTCACACTGCAGAGCTAACCCCACCTCTGGGCCTGGCCAGTGGGCTCCTGGGGGGCCCTGCCTTGAGGGGCACTGTGGACAGGAAACCTTCCTTTGCCATACTGCATTGCACTGCCCGTGGCTTGGCCAGCATCCCCCGGATCAGGGCCCTGTGGTTTGCGTGTTACCCATCTGTGTCCCCATGCCCAGTTCAGGGTCTGCCTTTATGCCAGTGAGGAGCAGCAGAGTCTGATACTAGGTCTAGGACCGGCCGAGGTATACCATGAACATGTGGATACACCTGAGCCCACTCTTGCACATGTACACAGGCACTCACATGGCACACACATACACTCCTGCGTGTGCACAAGCACACACATGCAAGCCATATACATGGACACCGACACAGGCACATGTACGTGCACAGGTGTGCTACACATGTGCACACATGCACAGTTGCACAGACACACACACACAGGTGCACACACACGATGCCGAACAAGGCAGAAGGGCGACTCTCACCTCTCATGTGCTTCTGGCCAGTAGGTCTTTGTTCTGGTCCAACGACAGGAGTAGGCTTGTATTTAAAAGCGGCCCCTCCTCTCCTGTGGCCACAGAACACAGGCGTGCTTGGACTCTTGACAAGCAGACCTGCTCCTGCAGAGGAGACAGCCACATTTGGAATTGGGCACCGAGAAGACCTGAGAAAAACCCACTCTCTCTTTTTTTTTTTTTTGAGACGGAGTCTTGCTCTGTCACCCAGGCTGGAGTGCAGTGGCACGATCTCGGCTCACTGCAACCTCCGCCTCCCAAGTTCAAGCAATTCTCCTGCCCCAGCCTCCTGATTAGCTGGGATTACAGGCGTGTGCCACCATGCCCAGCTAATTTTTGTGTTTTTAGTAGAGACGGGGTTTCACCATGTTGGTCAGGCTGGTCTTGAACTCCTGACGTGGTGATCCACCTGCCTCGGCCTCCCAAAGTGCTGGGATTACAGGCGTGAGCCACCACGCCTGGCCGAAAAACCCACTCTCATAACAGAAGTGCAGACTCATTGCTAGATTCAGTGCCCTTGAGTGTGCCAGAGGTCCTCTGTGTTTGAGACAATCCTGTGTGTGCCAGGAGGCTCCGTGTGCACCAGGGGCTCTCAGAATCCCGCTTACCCAGCTGGAGACCATGCCTCTGGCAGCCCCATCTCAGCCAGCCCTGCTCTCTCCCTCTTCCCTCCAGGTGAGGCAAACTTCATAGGAATCTGTACCTGAATGTGAGCTCCTGATAATAAAACTCTGAGGCTTTGGTGAGCGCATTTCGAGGCCTTTCCCTTGTATGCAGGGTGCCAGTGGGAGCTGCTATGTCTCCTGTGCAGCCAGACACCCTGGACGAGGCCCTTCCCACCTCCCCCTTTCCTCACGGCTTCTTCAGCACCACATGTGGATGCCTGTGGGTCAGTCCATCTGTCCATGGGCAGGGGCCGCTGTGAGAGACCCCATGCGCGTGGGATGTGGTAGATGCTGATTATGGGGCCAGCCACCCATACAGGTCTATCAGGTCGCAATGGAGGCCCCACTGGAGCGGGAGGCAGGCTGGCCTGGACTTCTGTTGGATGATGGGGGCCAGGGGATGGTAGGAGGGGCAGGAGAGCAGGTCTGCATCTGTCTCAGCCCCAGGAGCTCCTGGTTTGGGGCCAGCTCTAAGGAGCTTCATCCCTGAGCCTGGCCGAGTATAAGGGGGTCCCGGATATCCAATGCTGAGACCTAGACTTTTCTAAGCCTCTGCACCCAACCCCTAACTTGGCCTTTTCAGACCCATGAGAGTGCAGGGTGGGTGTGGACCTGCGCCAGGGCTTCCCAGCCTGATTGTGACATGATGTGAGTCCACCTAGGGAGGAGCAGGGGCCTCCCCGTCTCTTCCCCTTCTTGCCCAGACCACTTTGCTGGGCTCAGAGCCTTCCATGGCTCACTTTGAACTCAGAAGAGTTTCCCAGCTGCGACCCAGGCTGCACCCCCAGGCCTGAGGAGAAACTGAGGCCCCACATCCCATACGTGTCCTCTGAGTCAGGACAACAGGCTCCCGGCTGGGGGCACTGCCCTTGCTGCCAACACATTCACCTGCCCCAGTGGCTACCATGTCCTGTGCCGGTGACCAGTGCCAGTCCCCAACCTGGATGGTGCCCTGCCCTCATGAAGAGCCCCCCGGATGTTCACCTCTGCCCAGAGACCCGGCCTGCCCAGGAAGAGCAGTCTCTGCTCTTGTGTGGGTCCCTCTGCCCCCACCCTGCCCAGGGCTCCCCAGCAGCCTGAGGCCCCTAAGGAAGAACAGCCCTCAATGGTGATTCTATTGGTGTTATGAGTTGTGTCCCCAAAGAGATATATCAGTGTCCTGACCCACAGTACCTCAGAATGTGACTGCATTTGGAGATAGGGTTCTTCCAGGGGTAACCAAGGTAGAATGAGGTCGTTAGTGTGGGCCCTAATCCAATATGACGGCTATCCTTATAAAAAGAGGAACATTTAGGCTGGATACAGTGGCTCATGCCTATAATCCCAGCACCTTGGGAGGCTGAGGCAGGAGGACTGCTTGAGCTCAGGAGTTCAAGACCAGCCTGGGGCAACATGTCGAAACGCTGTGTCTACCAAAAAAAAAAAAAAAAAATACAAAAATTAGCTGGCCATTGTGACTCACACCTGTAGTGCGAGGCTGAGGTGGGAGAATCGCTTGAACCCAGGAGGCAGAGGTTGCAGTGAGCCAAGATTGCACTACTGCACTCTGCCTGGGCAACAGAGGGAGACTCTGTCTCAAAAAAACAAAAAAGGAAGATTTGGGCTGGGCGCAGCGGCTCACATTGTAATCCCAGCCCTTTGGGAGGCCAAAGCTGGAGGACTGCTTGAGCCCAGATTAGCCTGGGCAACATAGCAAGACCCCATCTCTAAAGAAAAATGAAAATTAAAAAATTAGCAGGGCATGGTGGTACACACCTGTAGTCCCAGCTACTTGGGAGGCTGAGGTAGGAGGATCACTTGAGCTCAGGAGGTGGAGGCTGCAGTGAGCCGTGATTGCACCACTGCACTTCAGCCTGGATGATGGAGAAAAACCCTGTCTCTTAAAAAAAAAAAAAAAGGAAAAAGAAAGATTTGGACACGGACGGATACGCGCACAGGAAGAACACCGTGTAAAGACTGGAATTCTGCTCCACGAGCCAAGGCATCACCAGAAGCTGGGAGAGGGGCCTGCTTCAGAGCCTCTCTTAGAGCCTTCAGAGGGAGCAGACCTGCTGTCACTCTGATCATGGACTTCCAGCATCCAGAGCTGTGTGACAATAAATGTCTGTTATCTTAAGTGGTTCAATTTGTGATGCTTTTTTTTTTTTTTTTTTGGAGACAGGGTCTCACTCCATTGCCCAGACTGGAGTGCAGTGGCAAGATCACAGCTCACTGCAGCCTCCACCTCCTGAGGTCAGGCAATCTTCCCACCTAGTCCCCTGAGTAGATAGGACTACAGGTGCATACGACCACGTCCAGCTAATTTTTTGTATTTTTTGTAGAGACGGGGTTTTACCATGTTGCCTGAACTGGTCCCAAACTCCTGGGCTCACATGATCCTCCCACCTTGGCCTCCCATAGTGCTGGGATTACAGGTGTGAGCTACTGAGCCCAGACTGTGGTGCTTTTTTTTTTTTTTTTTTTTTTTGAGACGGAGTCTCACTCTGTCACCCAGGCTGGAGTATGGTGGCACAGTCTTGGCTCACTGCAACCTCCACCTCCCGGGTTCAAGCAATTCTCCTGCCTCAGCCTCCTGAGTAGCTGGGACTACAGGCACCTGCCACCACGTCCAGCTAATTTTTTGTATTTTTAGTAGAGACGGGGTTTCACTGTGTTAGCCAGGATGGTCTTGATCTCCTGACCTTGTGATCCGCCCGCCTCGGCCTCCCAAAGTGCTGGGATTACAGGCGTGAGCCACCGCTCCCGGCCGACTGTGGTGCTTTTTTAAGGCGGCCCTAACAGACTAACACAGTAGTGATCTTCACTTTACAGATGAAGGAACTGCGGCTTGGGGAGATACCATAACGGCCCCCCGGTTCCGAGACAGGTGGAGAGGCAGAACCATGGGCCAGGACAGAATAGGATGAGTACAAGGTGGCATCTCTGGGGGTGCCTGCCCCACAGATCCATGGTCTTCCCATGCTGGTGTCCCCACAATGTCTGGCACTGCTCCCCGCTTCACCTTACTTGCCCAGGCCTACCCCCATACCCTCAGCTCACAGCTACACACTCTGCACAGCTCCCACCCCAGGGTCTTTGTGCTCACAGTTCCCCTGCAGATACCCAAACCACACTCTTCCCCCAGTTCCTGCAGGTCTTTACTGAAGTCTCGGGCAGGCAACTCATTTAAAGTTTCAGTTTAGCCCAGCACGGTGGCACACACCTGTAATCCCAGCTACTTAGGAGGCTGAGGTGTGAGCGTCGCTTGAGCCCAGGAGTTTGAGGCTGTAGTAAGCCATGATTGCACGACTGCACTCCAGCGTGTGCGACACAGCGAGCCCCCATCTTGAAAGAAAGAAAAAAGAAATTAAAAAGGAGGCTGGGCACTTTGGCTCACACCTGTAATCCCAGCACTTTGAGAGGCCAAGGTGGGCAGATCACTTGAGTTCGAGACCAGCCTGACCAGCATGGTGAAACCCCATCTCTACTAAATATACAAAAATTAGCTGGACATGGTGGCGGATGCCTGTAATCCCAGCTATTCGGGAGGCTAAGGCAGGAGAATTGCTTGAACCTGGGATGCGGAGGTTGCAGTGAGCTGAGATCGTACCACTGCACCCCAGCCTGGGTAACAGAGCTAGATTGTATCTCAAAAAAAAAAAAAAAAAAAAAAAAAGGAAGGAAGGAGGAAGGAAAGAAGGAGGGAGGAAGAAGGAAGGAAGGAACTCTCTTTTTCTCTATGGCAATGAGCACGTACCATCTGGCATGCTGTGTGCTAGGATTGGTTCTTGCCTGTCTCCATCAGAATGGGAGCTTCAGGAAGGCAGGGACCTTCCTTCTCTTGCCCACTACTGTACTCTGATGCCCAGGCCAGGCAGGCATTTGAGCCAAGAATGACAGTGCTGGTGCTTCCCAAGCCCCCATCTATTTGGGCCAACCCCTTGATGCAAGGCCCTTGTGCTAATAGAGGGTATAGGGGTCCAAAGCCAGTGCCTTCTAGAAGAGCTTTGGACGTGACACCAGGAATGGCTGGGCCTGGACAATGGCCTTCCTGGCACTGCCCAGCCAGTCCTCTGTGCTTGTTGCCAGATGCACCTGATCCCTGAGTCCCCAGCATGGGTCTCTTTCTCCCAGGCAGATGGGGAACTCACCTTCTTCTCAGATGCCCCTTCCCAACATAAGCTGCTTCTGCCCTCTGGCCCCGAGATGGCCAAGGTGAGCTGTGTAGACATAGAGTCTGGAGGCATGGGGCTGGCTAACGTGGAGGCAATTCTATGAACAGACATGGCCAGGCCAGGAATGCGGCATGGCCTCAGGTCTCATCCTTGAAGGCCTGGGCTCCTGGTCTGCCTGCAGACTTCCTGAGACCACGTCTTGTTCTCATCTGCCAGCAGATGCCTGGCTCATGGGTGAGCCGGGCTTAGGTGGAAACACAGGAGCCCAGAGGGGAAAGGATCCTCCCCCAGCTTGGGCTGGAGTCCCAACTTCCAATCATCAATCTTTGCAACCCTGGGGCTGGACCTGGCTAGTTCCATGGTAAGGATCCTTCTCCGTCACCCAGTCAGTCCCAGGCTGTGTGGGAAACTGGCTGTGGTGGGCAGGTCTGAGGTCTCAAGTCTGACAGGGGCCACTGGAGCCTCCAACTCACCAATCAACCAAGTGTGAGAGGTTGCTTTGGTTGAATGGCCATGTGCTGGGGTCTGACTGGCCCAGCCACAGGGAGGCTGGCATCCCCTAGCTGAGTCCTGGACCCAGACCCTCCAGGGCATGGAGCCCATTGTGAGGTGTCTGGTGCTGAAGTGGTGGGGGAGGCCCGTGCAGGCCTACAGCTTTGTCATCTGCAACATTCCTCTCCCCACTTTCTTTAAACTTTTTCATTTAGAAATGATTTCAATGGCCAGGCGTGGTGGCTCATGCCTGTAATCCCAGCACTTTGGGAGGCTGAGGCGGGTGGATAACCTGAGGTCAGGAGTTCGCGACCAGCCTGACCAAAATGGAGAAACCTTGTCTCTACGAAAAATACAAAATTAGCTGGGCATGGTGGCACATGCATGTAATCCCAGCACTTTGGGAGGCTGAGGCAGGTAGATAACCTGAGGTCAGGAGTTCGCGACCAGCCTGACCAAAATGGAGAAACCTTGTCTCTACAAAAAATACAAAATTAGCTGAGCATGGTGGCACCTGCCTGTAATCCCAGCGACTTGGGAGGCCGAGGCAGGAGAATCACTTGAACCCGGGAGGCAGAGGTTGCAGTGAGCCGAGATCATGCCATTGTCCTCCAGCCTGGGTGACGAGAGTGAGACTCCGTCTCAAAAAAAAAAAAAAAAAAATGAAACCTCGTCTCTACAAAATATACAAAAATTAGCTGGGCATGGTGGCAGGTGCCTGTAATCCCAGCTACTTGGGAGGCTAAGGCAGGAGACTCGCTTGAACCCAGGAGGCAGAGGTTGCGGTGAGCCAAGATGGCACCACTGCACTCTAGCCTGGTGACACGGCAAGACTCCATCTCAAAAAAAAAAATTTTTTTTTCAATTTACTAAAGGATTTAAAAAGTAGAACAAAAAATTCTAGTGTCTTTCACCCAGTTACCCCAAATGTGAATGCCGCACCCAATCACAGAAAAATGATTACAACCAGGAAATTAACACTGATAATGTTAAAGAAAGAATTACTGAATGACATTTGCTAAAGCACTGTAGGGAAGACTTTATTCAGGACCGTCTTGCTAGGTCTAGGGACCACAGGAATGAGATTCTGCAGTGGGGGAGAGAGATTAAGCTCAAGTCCGAATGGGCAAGTGGGAACTGATGATAGCTGAGGAGCAGGGCGGTGGGAGCTGGGTCAGCACATGGAAAATGACTAAGAAGAAACACCCCGGGTGAGGGAGATTCTGGCTACACCAATTAACAGGATTTTTGCTGAAGACAGGCCACAGTGACCGGACATCTTCACCTGGGGGACAGTGTAGGAACGGATTAGATAAGGAGGGTGATCAGATGTCGAGGGTCAGGGGATGCTTCTTGCTAAAGTGACTTTGCAGGGTTCTTGCTCTAAGTGAAATTTACAAGGAAGTGCACAGATGGGCCTAGAAGAAGGTTCAGAAGCCTGGTTTGGCCAAGCAAAGAATCTTTGTCGGTCCCTCCTCTTGTTCAAGGAAAGAAGAGGTTATCTTTCCTTGAATAGTACGAGTCCATTTCCTTGCTGGGCTGCCTTTTGTTCATTAAAGGCCAGCTGAATCATCTGCTGGGACCGGCAGTAGAGGAGATATCCTCCATGGTGTGAGCCATCAGGCGTTGCATGTTGAAGATAAAAGAAAAAGATATTAGTTGGAACCAACTATAAACTCAGTTTCTGAGTTCAGAGGGCAGCTACTCAAGATTTCCAGGTGCTGTGCTTGAAGCATCTTCAGATGGAGTAGGGGCTAACAGACTATCATGGACGGCAGTTTGCGTGTCATGAAGTCTGCCCACAAATTATCTGTTGTGGTGCCATCTTAAAGTTTCTTTCTTTTTTTTTTTAGACAGAGTCTTGCTGTTGTTGCCCAGGCTGGAGTGCAGTGGCGCAATCTCAGCTCACTGCAACCTCTGCCTCCCAGGTTCAAGCGATTCTCTTGCCTCAGCCTCCAGAGTAGCTGGGACTACAGGCACACACCACCATGCCCAGCTAATTTTTGTAATTTTTGTAGAGACGGAGTTTCACCATGTTGGCCAGGATGATCTCAATCTCTTGACCTCGTGACCTGCCCACGTTGGCCTCCCAAAGTGTTGGGATTACAGGCGTGAGCCACCGTGCCTGGCCTAAAGTTTCTATCAAGTTGTCCGGGTTCAGCTTAAAGGGCTTCAGGAAATGGGAAGTTTTAATTTTTAGCGGTTCCAGGCCAGAAGGGTGGGAAAAAAACTGGAAACATCAGTTTAGAGAAAATCAAATATTGGAGGAAACTAGAAGAATTCAGGATCCAATCCAGTTTGTAGGTAAATATCAAAACCTCAAAAACAATGAACAGGGCTAGAATCTGATAATGGGTGCACTATAGTTTTCTTCTGAAACTAATTTTTCTCTATATAGTCACCCCACTTCTATCAAAGATGTTGAAGTAAGACTAATTTGTTTGTAGCTAAGTTTAGGTTGATTAAACTTGGCCTAATTACTTACATAAGTGCCGCAACAATAGTGATTGAACACATAGGCTTTCTTTAAGTTTCCTTTGCTAGGACTTTTTTTTTTTTTTTTTTTTTTTTGTCACGGAGTCTCGCTCTGTCGCCCAGGCTGGAGTGCAGTGGCGTGATCTCCGCTCACTGCAAGCTCCGCCTCCCAGGTTCACTCCATTCCCCTGCCTCAGCCTCCCAAGTAGCTGGGACTACAGGCACCCGTCACTATGCCCGGCTAATTTTTTTTTGTATTTTTTTTAATAGAGATGGGGTTTCACCGTGTTAGCCAGGATGGTCTTGATCTCCTGACTTCGTGATCCGCCCGCCTCGGCCTCCCAAAGTGCTGGCATTACAGGCGTGAGCCACCGTGCCCAGCCTGCTAGGACTTTTAATAAGGCATCTCAGATTGGGCTTTTAAAAGCCTTGCCAGGCTAGGAAGCCAAGCCGAAGCTTCACCATCATACTTCATTTGCAATCATTATAGGTTTGGGTGAATTCCTCTCTTTTTGAGGTCCCCCAAAATATCCTGACATCCTTGGGCCTGTCAGGAAGTGACTTTCCTTACTCACCTACAAGGCAACCACATGACCCATGTATTCAAGGTTTAAAACCCATTTTTCCCCAAGGGCTTTATTGGTTCCATAAAGTCATCTTAGTTACTTAAAGTTGTCTGGCCATAGCTAAAAATATGGCATTCTAGTCAAAGCTTTGGTAATATAAACAGCATTTCCAATTGTGTCCTGTTACAAAGAGAACAGGTTCTTACTGAACTTATGTAAATAACCATATTGCCATTAAAATAAAAATACTCATGAATAGTTTCCGAATTATGGAAGGATAAGGTACAGAGAAAAAGTAATTGTTTCACTTTTGTTTACAAAGGCATACTTTACCAAACTGCTGTAAGCTATGGATAACTTAAAAGAGAAAAAAAAGTTTCCTTAAATCTGGAAAACAAAACATTAAAGAACCAGCAATGTTTCAAACAAAACATAAAAAAATTATCCTGGCTGGGTACAGTGGCTCACACCTGTAATGCTTAGGGAGGCTGAGATGGGAGGATCATTTGAGGCCAAGAGTTTGAAACCAGCCTGGTCAACATAGTGAGACCCTATCTCTACAATAAAATTAAATAAATAAATAATTGTAATTGGTTTATTCATTGCCATGTAATTTATTCTTGTTCTGTTTGATCTTGATCAGCAGTTTCACGAACCCCTCAGTGTCTTCATTCAAGTTCTGGAAATTCTGGCCAGGTGTGGTGGCTCACGCCTGTAATCCCAGCACTTTGGGAGGCCAAGGCAGGCAGATCAGTTGAGGCCAGGAATTTGAGACCAGCCTGGCCAATATGGTGAAACCCTGTCTCTACTAAAAATATAAAAATTAACAGGGCGTGGTGGTGGGCGCCTGTAATCCCAGTTACTTGGGTGGCTGAGGCAGGAGAATCGCTGGAACCCGGCAGGCAGAGGTTGCAGGGAGCCAAGATTGCACCACTGCATGCTGGCCTGGGTGACAGAGTAAGACTATGTCTCAAAAAAAAAAAAAAAAAAAGAGTTCTGGAAATTTTTTTTTTTTTTTTTTGAGACGGAGTGTCAGTCACCCAGGCTGGAGTGCAATGGCACGATCTTGGCTTACTGCAAGCTTCGCCTCCTGAGTTCAAGTAATTCTCCTGTCTCAGCCTCCAGAGTAGCTGGGACTAAAGGCACACACCACCACACCCAGCTAATTTTTGTGTTTTTAGTAGAGATGGGGTTTCACCATATTGGCCAGGATGGTCTCAATCTCTTGACCTCGTGATCCGCCCGCCTCGGCCTCCCAAAGTGCTGGGATTATAGGTGTGAGCCACTGCGCCTGGCCCCAGCCACATTTCTTAAGTAATCAAAAACCTAATAAAAGACAATATGAAGAACAAGGAACTATCTTGATATAACACAAAAATCTTTGTTTCCAAGGTCAATTATTTAAAAGGTAAACAGAGGCCAGGCGAGGTGGCTCACGCCTGTAATGCCAGCACTTTGGGAGGCCGAGGCGGGCGGATTACGAGGTCAGGAGATCGAGACCATCCTGGCTAACACAGTGAAATCCCGTCTCTACTAAAAAAATACAAAAAATTAGCCGGGCATGGTGGTGGGCGCCTGTAGTCCCAGCTACTCGGGAGGCTGAGGCAGGAGAATGGCGTGAACCCAGGAGGCGGAGCTTGCAGTGAGCCGAGATCGTGCCATTGCACTCCATCCTGGGCGACAGAGTGAGACTCCGTCTCAAAAATAAAAAGTAAAATAATAATAATAATAATAAAAGGTAAACAGAAATCTTCATAATCTCAAATACTGTAAGAAAACTTTGTCATTTCAACAGAGAAGATCAAGTTAAAGTTCTGCATCATAGCACTACTAATAAAGCTAATTTTAACAAAACCTTATAAATGAATCCATCCAATCTCATGCAAGATAATATTTCTTTTCCAAGATTTCTTTTCTATAGATCTTTTACAACTTAAAAAAAATATCTGGCCGGGCACGGTGGCTCATGCCTGTAATCCCAGCACTTTGGGAGGCCGAGGCGGGTGGATCATGAGGTGAGGAGATCGAGACCAGCCTGGCTAACACGGTGAAACCCTGTCTCTACTAAAAATATAAAAAATTAGCCAGGTATGGTGGCGGGCAGCTGTAGTTCCAGCTACTCGGGAGGCTGAGGCAGGAGCATGGCGTGAACCCGGGAGGCAGAGGTTTCAGTGAGTCGAGATCTTGCCACTGCACTCCAGCCTGGGTGACACAGAGAGATGCCATCTCAAAAAAAAAAAATCTATCAGTACTTTTTTTCCCCTACATTTTTTTTCTTTCTCATTCTGGAACAACCAGTTGCTATATATATTAGCACAGAGTCAGTTATTCCTTTAAGGGATTTTATAAATTAATTTGGTGCTACTATCTGGAGGTAGAAAAATATCATGTATATATAACATACAAACATACATATGTAGTTGCTCTGCAACTGAAGTTGGCAGAGGCCAGACCCAGTGGCTCACGCCTGTAATCCCAGCACTTTGGGAGGCCAAGGCAGGCAGATCACTTAAGGCCAGGAGTTTGAGACCAGTCTTGCCAACATGGTGAAACCTGGTCTCTACAAAAATACAAAAAAATCAGCTGGGCGTAGTGGCGTGCGCTTATAGTCCCAGCTACCTTGGAGACTGAGGCAGGAGAATAGCTTGAACCCAGGAGGTGGAGGCTGCAGTGAGCCGAGACTGCGCCACTGCACTCCAGCCTGGGTGACCCAGTGAGTCTCTGTCTTAAATAAATACATAAATAAATAAACAAACAAATAAATAAAGTTGGCAGAGTATATAGTCTGAAGGGGTTTGAGGAAAGGGGATTCAGGTGACTGAGAAGTTCCGATGGGAGAAGTAGGATCCAATAGAGAGAACAGAGAGGCCTCACAGTGGGAAGAAAAGACTGCCAGCCCAGGAGTCAGGGAGTGAATCCCCATTCAGAATGAAGAGCCACAAGGAAGACCTTCCAACCCAGGAAGTATTATACCTTTCAAAAGAAGGCTGGGACCTTAAAAATCAAAATCTGTCCTTACCAGCTAAAATAAAAGTTTTTCTACAGTCATGGCTCAGGAGTTTGACTCACCAGTAGATCCCCAATCAGCCAGTCAGAAGACAAAGGCTGCAAAGTTGCACATTGAGAGTCCTGGGTCAGAGGCCTGTGGCACCACAACCATTAAAGAAAAAAATTATTCAGCCCTTGTCAAAGCACGGTCGGGAAGGCCTTATTCAGGAGCATTGCCACTGGCATATGGACCACAGGCAATGGGGTTTTGCTGCAGGGGAGAGATTGGGCTGAACTCTGAATACAGCATGGACAAGTGTGAACTGATAGCCAAGGAGCAGGGCGGGGGTCAGTGGATGAAAAATTACTAAGAAGAAACATAAGTGATAAGGGGGATACTGGCTAAGCTGACCTAAGAGGATTCTTGCTGAAGACAGGCTGGGGTGATCAGACATCACCTAGAGGATGGTGGAGGGATGAGGAATTTCATCAGTATTGAGGGCGATCAGATATCAAAAGCAGGGTGGTTCTTGCTAAACTGGAATTCTCAGACGGGCCTAGAAGATTTAGGAGCCTGACTAAAGTTTGGCCAAGCAAATAATCTTTTGTCAATACAACAACACGATACTTTTTACTGTTTGTTTTTTTTTTTTTTTTTTTTTTTTTTTTTTTTGAGACAGAGTCTCCTGCTGTCTCCCAGGCTGGAGTGCAGTGGCGCGATCTCAGCTCACTGCAACCTTTGCATCCCGGGTTCAAGCAATTCTCCTGCCTCAGCCTCCCAAGTAGCTGCAACTACAGGTGCGTGCCACCATGCCCGGCTAATGTTTTTGTATTTTTAGTAGAGACGGGGTTTCACCCTGTTAGCCAGGATGGTCTCGATCTCCTGACCTCGTGATCTGCCTGCCTCAGCCTCCCAAAGTGCTGGGATTACAGGCGTGAGCCACCGCGCCAGGCCAATACAATAGTATTAACTAATCTACAGACCTTGTTTGAATTATATCAATTGTCCCATTAATGTCCCTTTTCTGAGCCAGGATCCCATCTATCGTCTGGATTCCACACTGCATTTTGTTATCTCTTTTAATTGAAGATGGCTCCTCAGTCCATCTTTGACTTGAATGATCTCGATACTTGAAAAGCACTGGCTGGTAATTTTGCAGAATGCCCCTAATTTGGGGTTTGTCTGCTCTTCATTCAGATTCTGCCTTTTGGGCAAAAATACCCACAAGTGAACTTGTGTTCTTCTCAGGAGGTCCACAGTATGTCCTCTTACTGGAACTAACTTTTTTCATTTCTATTGAGGCAGAATTTATATACAATGCAATACACATGTTTAAATGGTACAATTTGCTAAGTTTGCTGGTGACCTTGATGGCTTGGTTAAAGGTGGTGTCGCCCAAGTTTTCTTCCACTCTAAAACTACTATTTTCCCTAGGCAATTAGTATCCTGGGGGAGAAACTTTGCAACACTGAAAACAAAACAAAACCTGTTTGTCATGTTTTTGCCCACTATTTTTTTTTTTTTTTGAGATGGAGTCTCACTCTGTCACCCAGGCTGGAGTGCAGTGGCGTGATCCCGGCTCACCACAACCTCTGCCTCCCAGGTTCAAGTGATTCTCCTGCCTTGGCCTCCCGAGTAGCTGGGACTACAGGCACGTGCCACCATGCCCAGCTAATTTTTTTTGTAGTTTTAGTAGAGACGAGGTTTCACCATCTTGGCCAGGATGGTCTTGATCTCTTGACCTCGTGACCCACCCGCCTCGGCCTCCCAAAGTGCTGGGATTACAGGCGTAAGCCACTGTGCCTGGCCTAATTTTTTTGTAGGGGGTTGGGGGCCGGGGACCGAGTCTCGTTCTGTTGCCCATGCTGGAGTGCAGTGGCTGGATCTTGGCTCACTGCAACTCCTGCCTCCCAGGTTCAAGCAATTCTCCAGCTTCAGCCTCCGTAGCTGGGACAACAGGCACCTGCCACCAAGCCCTGCTATTTTTTTTTGTATTTATAGTAGAGACAGGGTTTCACCATGTTGGTCAGGCTGGTCTCGAACTCCTAACCTCAAGTGATCCGCCCGCCTCGGCCTCCCAAAGTGCTGGGATTACACGCATGAGCCACTGTGCCTGGCCTTGCTCACTATTTTTTCTGGAGACGGTCTCGTTCTGTCACCCAGGTTGGAGTGCAGTGGCCCGATCTCAGATCATTGCAACCTCCACCTCCCGGGTTCAAGCGATTCTCCTGCCTCAGCCTCCCGAGTAGCTGGGATTACAGGTGCCTGCTACCACGCCTGGCTACTTTTTGTATTTTCAGTAGAGATAAGGTTTCGCCACGTTGCCCAAGCTGGTGTGGAACTCTTGAGCTCAGGTGATCCGCCTGCTTCGGCCTCCCAAAGTACTGGGGTTACAGGCGTGAGCCACAGGGCCCGGCCCACTATTTTTATCACTCAAGATTTTCGTCTACAGCAGCTATTATTGGGGTGGCTACCCAGTGGAAAATTTTTCTATTTCCACTATTCCTTCCACATTTATTGACAGGAAAGCTAGTCTAAGGAAGAGCTGTACCCTCACTTACTCAGACCCTCGTTTTCCTTTTTTTTTTTTTTTTTTTTGAGACGGAGTCTCACTCTGCCGCCCAGGCTAGAGTGAAAGTGGTGCTATCTCGGATCACTGCAGCCTGGAACTCCTGGACTCAGGTGATCCTTCCACCTCAGCCTCCCGAGTAGCTCGGACCACAGGCGCCCGCCACCACGCGGCTAATTAAAAATAATTTTGGGCCCGGCGCGGTGGCTCATGCCTGTAATCCCAGCACTTTGGGAGGCCGAGGCGGGCAGATCAATTGAGGCCAGGAGTTTGATACCAGCCTGGCCAACATGGTGAAACCCCGTCTCTACCAAAAATATAAAAATTAGCCGGGCGTGGTGGTGGGCGCCTGTAATCCCAGTTACTCGGGTGGGTGAGCCAGGAGAATCGCTTGAATCCGGGAGGCAAAGGTTGCAGTGAGCTGAGATCGCGCCACTGCACCCCAGCCTGGGAGACAAAGCGAGACACCGCCTCAAAAAAAAAAAAAAAAAGAAAGAAAATTTGTAGATACTGGGCTCTCACTATGTTAGCCAGGCTGGTCTCGAACTCCTGGGCTCAAGTAATCCTCCTGACTCGACCTCCCAAAACTCTGGGATTACAGGCGCAAGCCACCGTGCCCGGCCGAACCACCGTGCCCGGCCGAACCCTCCCTGTTTTGGAAATCCTGTATTAGCAAAGGGGACAGCGCCAGACAGTTGAGCACACGCGTTCTTTATAAATGATGATGTCTGATACAGTGATGCTTTTAACAGGGTTGTGTAACGCCTGTGTGTGCACGGTCTCTTCTGCAGTGTCCACCGAAGGTGGCCCGTCTGCGTGTCCGCTCCCGGCGTACTCCGCGCTCCCTGTTCCCGGCATTCCCCGCGCTCCCCGAGCTTCCCGCGCTCCCCTGCTCCCGGCATTCCCGGTGCTTCCCGTTCCCGGCGCTCCTCGCGGCCGCCGCCCTCAGTCCAGCGAGCCCCGCCTGGGCAGCGACTGTTAGCGCGACCGCGGCCTGGGCGCCTGGTCCCTCCCGCGCGGCCGCGCTATTGGGCCGCGCGCGGCGGACACACGCGCTACGCGCCGCCGATTGGCGGCCTCCGCAGCGCGCTCTGCGGCTCCCCCAATGCGGGGCGGCCGCGCGCGGGGATTGGCCGCACGCCGCGAAGGCCCGCCCTCCGCTCGCCCGGCGCGGCAGGCGGGTGCCGGCGACCGGAGAGCCTGGACAGGCTTTCCAGATGGCTGCGGCGGTCGGTCGGTGAGGCTTTCCCGGCTGTGGTTTGGCTGCGGGCGGCTTGGGCAGCCCGCGGGCGCCTCAGGTAGGTGCGGGGCGCGAGGGGCGCCCGCGGGCGGTTGGGCGGGCGCCGCGGCCTGCGCGAGGGCGCGCCCTTCCCTCCCGCCTCCCTCCGGGACCGAGGCCGCGGGCGGGGCGGGGGCGCGGAGCCCGGCCTTTGTGAGGCAACATGGCCGCGGGCGGTGGAGAGCGCGGGGTGGGGACGCCTCCGGGGCTGGGGGGCGGGCCCCGGGCCCAGGCGTTGCCGACTCTCGTCGCTGTCCGCCCGGGTAAAGAGGCTCCTCTCCCGGAGGGCCCGAAGCCTAGCATCGCCTTCAGGCGGGAAAGGTGTGGACAGGGCCAGTGCTCGCCTGGGACCCTGCCGGCTTTAACACAGTTTGGGAAATCCAAGAAGTCGCCTAAGTCTTTTTGTCCACAGAATGCTCACGGGTTGAGTGTCACGTAGATAATTGGGATACGGTTTTATTGTAACAATGAGCATGGCGGAAATAAATGGAAGGTGGCAACCTGTTGACAGTGATGCCTGTCTGGTGTCAACCGATGGACTTGGGTTTCTTGTGGCAGGAGTCTGATTTGCCTTTTTGCATGCTTGCATGTACCTTGTTCCTGCACGGCAGTCCTGTCTTTGGCTGTCGACTGTTCGAGGCCAACCACCAGGCGAGGATCCACTGTTTCCTGGCCAGACTAGACTCCCAGCTGTGGGAGTGGCCCAAACCCTGCTGCAGGCCTTCACTCACAAAAGGGAGTGAATGGCCAGCCCGGGGTACCCAGTGTTGCCTCTAAGTGCGGGATATGAGGCCTGTTGGAGGATGACAAAAGGAACGGATGAGGTCATACTGCCGCTGGGTTGGGCGGGAGGCTGCAGCGGGAGAGACTTGACCAAAAGGCAGCCTCCATGGCGCTGGCACTGGTGCTGGCCCGTCACAGCCAGTGCCTCTGTTAGCCAACACAGCAAGTGGGCTAGGAGGAAGGGTGCTGTCCAAGTGTACGGGTTTTCTCCCCGTGCCAAGGGTCCAGGGGAGCTTGCCGTGAGCCCGTTCCTGTCCGATAGTCCTGTTGGCAAGGCAGGGTTTGCATGCGGTGTTTGGTCAGCTGGAGCAGTGGGGAGGCCTACGGGCAGAGAGCTCCCCTTTGAGCCCTTTGCGGCCAGGCGCTGTGTGGAGCACTTCCCAGGGGTTGTTTTGTAGTCTCACCGTGACCTTGGGGTAGGAAATGTGCTTCTGGCTGGCTTGCCCAGTCTTAGACTCTCTTGTTGTAGCCCTCTCCTTTGTGATGTCACCCAGCCTCCTGACTTTAATGCCAGCTTTCCTTGACATCTTCACAGCTCCAGCCCTGGCCTCTCTTCTGATTTCCAGCCTGGTGTTTCTGGCCACCTCTTCCATATCTCCATGTGTTACTTTGGCGCCAAGTAGCCATATCCAAACCAAACTCAAATCTTCACCCATGCCAAAACATTCCTTGGCCTATCTAAAGTCCCTTTGATTCCTCTCTTTCTTACACCTTCATGCAGTCCTAAGGAGGCCCCGTCAGCTCACCTATTTCTAAGCACAGACCATTTCTCACCACCTTCAAGTTAACATCCTGGCCCAGCCTACCTGGTGAGCCTCTAATTCTCTTTACTGTCACCTTAGGTCCTCACTCCCCATCCACCATCTATAGTTTTTCTGGACACAGAGTGATTCTTCTTTCTTTCTTTTTTTTTTTTTTTGTTTTTTTGAGACAGAATCTCGCTCTGTCGCCCAGACTGGAGTGCAGTGGCGTGATCTCAGCTCACTGCAACTTCTGCCTCCCGGGTTCAAGCGATTCTCCTGCCTCAGCCTCCCAAGTAGCTGGGACTGCAGGCGTCCACCACCACCACGCCCGGCTGATTTTTGTATTTTTAGTAGAGACGGGGTTTCACCATGTTGGCCAGGCTGGTCTCGAACTCCTGGCCTCAAATGATCTGCCTGCCTCAGCCTTCCAGAGCGCTGGGATTACAGGCGTGAGCCACTGTGCCTGGCCACAGAGTGATTCTTTTTATTTTTTTGAGACAGAGTCTCGCTTTGTTGCTCAGGCTGGAGTGCAGTGGTGCGATCTCCCGCTCACTGTAAGCTTCGCCTCCTGGGTTCAAGCCATTCTCCTGCCTCAGCCTCCCGAGTAGCTGGGACTATAGGCGCCCACCACCACACTCGGCTAATTTTTTGTATTTTTAATAGAGACGGGGTTTCAATGTGTTAGCCAGGGTGGTGTCGATCTCCTGACCTTGTGGTCCGCCTGCCTCAGCCTCCCAAAGTGCTGGGATTACAGTCGTGCACCACCGCGCCCGGCCCAGAGTGGTTCTTTTAAACCATAAGATGGTATAAAACAGAGGCGGTGTAGATGCAAGCCAGCTTGCCTGCTTGTAAAGCAGCTCCATCACTTCCTGGCTGTATGACCTTGAGCATGTGGGTGAACCTTTCTTCCATAATGCTATGTGAGACCTGGGTGAGTTAAAATGCTTAAAGTGCTTAGAACAGGGCCTGGCTGAGGTTTGGTTGCCACTGCTATCCTGGAATCAGCTGATGCCACTGTGTGGGCCTTCCTATCCGGTGGCCCATCTCTCTCACTAAGAGCCAAAGTCCTGGCAGCAGCCTGGGAGGACCAGCCCTGATCCATCTGCCCTCATGGACTTGGCCCACTGTCACGTCCCCTCAGCACACTGCCCCAGCTGGCCACACCACATTCCTGACCCCAGCCCTCTGCTTTTCCTCTCAGTGTCACCTGGAACATCCCCTCCTCCCAGCCCTGTAACCCACCTGGCTCACTCCTGCCTTCACGTGGATGCAGGCCATGAGGCCTTCTTGGATCCCCCTTCCTAAAACTGCCTCCCCTTCTTCAGGCGCTTTCCTTGTTTTGTTTTTGCTTGAATACTTCTTGGCATGTGACAGGGTGCATGCTTTTCTTAGTTGTTAGCGGTCCATCTCCCCCACTAAAATGTGAGCTCTGTAGGGCAGGGTTTTGTCCACCTTGTGTCTGTAGCATCTAGGATGGTGTGTGTGTGTGTGATGAATGGAGAAAGCTTATAGAGGGGAGGAAGGAACTTGCCCAGGACTGCCCACCACTGAGGTCTGGGGCTGGGCAGGTTTCCTGCTTTCCTAAGGAGCTCACTCACTTGTAAGGCACCAGGCTTTCCTGCTGTGCATTTCTTCAGTGCCGCCGCTTGGCCCCATTAGCACCTTTGCTTGGAACGTCTACTCTAGCTGCTTCTTCGCCTTCTGTGGTAGCAGGCTTCCCCATTCCGTCCCACTGTTGGTCTCTAATCCCCTGCTCCTTGTGGCTTCTTCATGTAGCTTTTTGTGTCCCAGAATCATGGATTGACTCACCAGGGTCTCTATGGGACTGCCAGGTTCTGAGGTGTGTGGCCCTGGTCTTCCTTGTAATCTGTGGCACTGGGCGCATTGACCCCTCGGTCTGTTTTCTCTAATGGTCTTTCTTGGTTGCCAGGAGACTGACCTCACCCCACTTAGTGTTCCTCATGCCTGCCTGGTTGCTGCCCACAGCCTCTTGAGCGTCTTCAGCACTTTATAGTCAGTTGTTAGCTCTGTGCTGTGTTTCCTGGATCCTCAGCACCTTTGATGGACACATCTTTGGGAACATACGGTGTGAAATTCCCATTAGATTCAGAAATGTTAGGACATCTTAGAATCCAGGAAATGGGGTGACAGTGCAGTGGTCATTGACCTGCCAGTGTGTCCAGGCCCTGTGACCTTGTCTCTTGTCCATATAGTGCGTTCCTCGGAGTAGATGGCCAGTGGATAGTTGTTAAATGTATTGATTAAACCTAAACTAGTCTCTGGTTTTCATGTTGTGTCCCCTTCGAAGTACATCCACCATGCCTTGTCCCTTGTTAAATGTGTGATGTCTGCATCTCCTGTTCTTTCCGGGAATCTTGGGAGGATGTTAGGTCATGCAGTGCGGTTTGCATGTGTGCATCTTTACTGGTATGCACGCATGTGCATGCATGCGTGTTCCTGTGCACGTTGTGGGAGTGTGCATGTGCGTGTGTCTGCATGTGTTCCTTCTGCTCTGATGCAGGGTTTTCTGGCTGCCCCCTCAGACCCATCTTCCCTGCTTCATGTTGTCCCTTTCTTCATGCTTCCTCTGTAGTAAGGCTTCCTAGAGTTGCATCCTTAACCCTCATCTCTGGGTGGCCTTCCTCCTGTGGGTTTGGCGACTACCTCCTCAGTGCGTCCTGGCCTTCCGTATCTGGACCAGTCATGGCTCCAGAGTTGTGGCCTCGGCACCTTCAGAGCCTGCCTGGAGGTCCCCTCTGTTCTCCTCGCCAGGCTCCTGCCTGCATGCTGGAATTTGGGTGTCCTTCCTTGTCTTTAGTTCCCTCTTTTCTCTGCTATCCACCTCCGTTGGGTCAACAAGTGCGGTCAGTTCTGTGACACTGTTCTTGGCCCATTGCCAGGGCCTCTTTCACACCTTTGTCCTCTGGCCTGGAGGACTGTCCCCGTGCCTTGGATGCAGTTGCTTCTGCCTGGCACAGCTGTGGGTCTCCCCTCTCAAGTAGGAACCTACTTGTGGCATGAGAGTCGCTTCACCTTCAGTGGCTCCTTATTGTCCCCAGGGCGGAACGGGCTGCAGGTGGCACCCAGGCCTCTCTGTGCCTCGGCTCCAGCTGTCTCTTGTGGCTCCCCACCCCAAATCCTGGCAGGTCCCTTCCCCACAGCCACCCACCCCTCTCCTCCATCGGGAACAGAACTATGCTGCCACCTCTGGTGACCTCAGCACGCTGCATCACTGTCCCCGTCCACGTGCTACCCTGTGGGCCCAGGAGAGCCCTGGGGTCCCTGGGTAGCAGAGCGCCTGGCCATGCCTCTGAGGCCCCTAGTGCCGCAGAGTTGAGCTGAGGGTCTCGCGCTCGCCCTCTGACTGACCCAGCCCTTGCAGGTGAGTGGATTGCTGTGCTCTGGTGGCCTGAGGGAGGCCACGCGCCTTCTGTGTGTTCCAGAAAGGGTGCCTCCCACTGCATGCTTGCTTATCTGAGTTAGAAGAATGCTGTGGTGGAGTTTAGTGTAAATTTTTAAAATATTTTTTGAGCCTTATGATTATATAGTTTTTGTGTTTCTGAAGTAGGAATTAAAGTGGGCATTAACAAAATATTTAACTTTGGACTTAAGTTATAATTCAGGTTCTGAAGAATAAAAGTAAGGTTAGTTTGTTTTGATGCCTAAAAAGTCCTCTTAGGGAATATTATTTTGAAGCCCTTTACTATGCTGTTAATAGTGCTTGGCTTTTAACTTGGTACCAGGGAATTGGAAGGTTTCTGTCATTTTGTGACGATATTTTTAAATTTCTTTGCAGGTAGAAGAAGAAAGGTGCCACTCCGGCATGAAGACAGACTCGCTTAGTCGCCAGTCACTTAAGCTGAGTGCATTGTGATTTCCAATAATTGAGGCAGTGGTTCTAAAAGCTGTCTACATTAATGAAAAGAGCAATGTGGCCAGCTTGACTAAGCCGCCAGCGCACAGCGCGGCAGGACGCGCCCGGGTCTCAGCGGACTTGTGCATGTTAGCTGTGTAGATTTATGTGAGGGCTTGTAAAACTCTGGTCTTGTAAACTAGTCTTAAGCGCTTTTAATATGGAGACAGATGAGAGCCCCTCTCCGCTCCCGTGTGGGCCCGCAGGAGAAGCGGTGATGGAGAGCCGAGCTCGCCCCTTCCAAGCGCTGCCCCGTGAGCAGTCTCCACCACCTCCCCTGCAAACGTCCAGTGGTGCAGAGGTAATGGACGTTGGCTCTGGTGGTGATGGACAGTCCGAACTCCCTGCTGAGGACCCCTTCAACTTCTACGGAGCTTCTCTTCTCTCCAAAGGATCCTTCTCTAAGGGCCGCCTCCTCATAGACCCGAACTGTAGTGGCCACAGCCCGCGCACCGCCCGGCACGCACCTGCGGTCCGGAAGTTCTCCCCTGACCTTAAGTTGCTTAAGGATGTAAAGATTAGCGTGAGCTTTACCGAGAGCTGCAGGAGTAAGGACAGGAAGGTGCTGTACACAGGAGCAGAGCGCGACGTGCGGGCGGAGTGCGGTCTGCTCCTTAGCCCTGTCAGTGGGGACGTGCATGCTTGTCCCTTTGGCGGGAGTGTTGGTGACGGGGTAGGCATAGGGGGTGAGAGTGCTGATAAGAAGGATGAGGAGAATGAGCTGGATCAGGAAAAGAGAGTGGAGTATGCAGTGCTCGATGAGTTAGAAGATTTTACTGACAATTTGGAGCTAGATGAAGAAGGAGCAGGCGGGTTCACGGCTAAAGCAATCGTTCAGAGAGACAGAGTGGATGAAGAGGCCTTGAATTTCCCCTACGAGGTATGTTGGCAGCCCCTCCTCTAGAGGGCTCTTAGCAAAACCCAAAGAGAGATTTGGGAATTGCAGCATCTTTTGAAAGCAGGGAAATTAAAAAAAAAAAAAACAAAAACCAAAATCCCCTCTGAGGTGGAATAATGTTAATGTGGAGAAGAGAAAGATGTAAGGAGTCCAGATTTTTAAAGTTTCCTAATGAAAAGTTTGGCCCATGGGTAGGCCCTGCATCCCTGATCTAGCGCGTGGGGCAGCAGGTGCTGCTGAGTTACGCTCCTTGGCAGTGTGTGCCCCTGGACCAGGTGTGTTGGTGTCAGCTGGTAGCTTCATCCTGTTTGTTTTTCAGATGATCATGCACCCTAAGGGCACATCTAGGCCCCCTGAGAGCACCTCCTTTCTGTGTCTGTTCTCAGGAATGCTGTTGAGCTCTCCTGTTGCAGGAGCATGAGCGCCAGGGGCTCTGGTGTCTGAACAGCGTGTTTTGCAGGATGACTTTGACAACGATGTGGATGCTCTGCTGGAAGAAGGCCTTTGTGCCCCCAAAAAGAGGCGAACAGAGGAAAAATATGGCGGAGACAGCGACCATCCGTCCGATGGAGAGACAAGTGTGCAGCCGATGATGACCAAGATTAAAACAGTGCTCAAAAGTACGTGTGTGGGTCAGAAGCAGTGGGTGTTCCAGGGCAGTGGAGGGGTGGTTGCTTCCTTAGCAGAAATGCTTTGAGAGAGCTCTGGTGCCAGGTAGTGGGCTGGGTGGAGGCATGTTTGAGGACAGGACAGAAATATCTGAGGAGGGAAACACAGGATGGGAGGACGTCCTGATGCATGACCCAGATGCGGATCCTGGTGTGTGCTATGGAAACCACAGAGCAGCAGGCACTGTGCAGAGGAATGGGAGGGGACTTCTGAGGGGGTCAGGAGGGGATGTTGGTATATGCCAGGAGCCAGCATGACCATCAGCTGGAGGGTGTGGAGACCAAGGGCAAGGTGGGTACACAGTGAGATGGCAGGTGATAGTTGTGATCCAGGTTCTAGTCCTGGACCAAGTGTCACAGGAAGCCACCAGAAGCAAGTGGTGTTACCTGATTTTTGTTTAACAACATGGCTTCTGGGCCACAGCATGGTGTGTGCACTTCAGCTGGGCAGGGTGGAAGTGCCCTGGTCGACGTGGCACTTCCTCAACTTTGAGTTGAGGGTAGTGGGGAGAGCACTTGAGAGGCGCCCAGAGTTGCACTGTGAGGCTCTGTCATCGATGTGGTGCAGGTGTTGGGGGAGTCGGAGTTGGTGGCTTGGAGGCACCTATGAGGGTCCTGGTGGAGATGTGGGGCTCGGTAGAGGGACTGAAGAGATGCACGGGGACTCAGGCTCACAGGTGAGACCCCAGGCTGAGGGCTGGGGTGCACAAGGTGGCAGGGTGCGACTGGGAGCAAAGCAAGGGGCGGGTGGCACATGGCCATCCTCCTTGGGCCATTGAGGGGACAAGTTAGCTATGCCAGGTGCCACATGTTGCTGCCTATGTCGTGTTGGTAGCAGTTAAGCAGGAGGGCTTTTGGTCTAGACGGTTGCAGGCAGGGTAAACCTGGGGCTTCAGCTTCTGGGGCTGGGGGCAGGAGTCTTGACCTCGGGGCCTCTAGGAGGCTGGTTTGGTGCTGCATTTTCAACAGGCTCATTCAGAAGGTAAACCCACATTCGTCCTGCACAGCTCACTGGTCAGCAGCCATTCTGGCCTGGATGCCTGGATGTTCACAGACGGACAGCTGCATGTGACCCCCACCTCAGGTGGCTGGGCCAACTTTGTGACCACTCACTGTCACAGAGGAGCAGCCCCAGCGGACCCGTGGCCCGTCTCTTGCTTGGCTCCGTATTCCCTTTGCTTCTTTTCCTGACTTAACCTAAAGCTGGCAGGAGGCAGCTCCATCTTGGCCTGACTCTGTGGGGAGAGAGCCCACGCAGTGTGCATGCACCCCTGACCTTTAACACTCCCTCCCTGAATCATCACCTGATGGTGGCCTGGGTACAGGTGTCAGGTCCAGGGTCAGGGCCACTTGGTGGGTACCTAGCCCTGAGAGTCACTGGCCCTTTTTCCCCTTATGTATATTTTTTAAGGTTTCATTTGCTTTCTTCTGTTTTTTAATTTTTTTTTTGAGGCGGGGTCTTGCTGTTACCCAGGTTGGAGTAGCTCACTACAGCCTCAGCCTCCCAGGCTCAAGTGATCCTCCCACCTCAGCTTCCCAAGTAGCCAGGACTATAGGTGTATGCCACCATGCCTGGATAATTTTAAAAAGTTTTTTGTAGAGTCAGGGTCTTGCTGTGTTGCCTAGGCTGGTCTTTCTAAGTTTTTAACTTGTTCCCAATACCTGTGAGAAAATTAAGTTTTAGTTACATCTTTGCCTTACGCTCTTCCCAGCAGTCAGGCCTGGTGGCAGGTGTCAAGTTGATAAGTCGTAAACCTCTTCCTCACAACTGCCTATAAAGCAAAGAAGGGGTTGGGAGTAGTGTATTAAACCAACTTAGAAACGGAATCATTTGAAGCAGTGTTTTGTATGCTGCTGAGAGTGCAGCTCAGTTACAATAAAGACTTGTCACCTGGTCACTGGGAGCAGTGGCTGACAGCCATGCAGTTTATTAGCAAAGCTCATCCAGCCCCAAGGCGCCTCTGGCCACAACCAGACAGGCAGCAAAGGAGTCCAGTGTCCACAGTGCTTACCAGATGTGGAGGCAGGAGCTGAGGCTGGGACTTATATCTTGCACAGACCTGTTCTGTGCTCCTTCATGTGCTGGTTTGACACGTGTAAATTCCCACCTCAGGCCACATGCTATCTGTCCTAGGCCTGGAGGCATAGCAGTGAGCAAGGCAGAGAGGAATTTCGATTATCTGTGAAGACCCAGTTAAACACATGCTAGTACCCAACAATTTCTTGTGCAGGAGGTGCTGTGGCAACAATTCCAAGTGTTTTTACAGTGATTATAGGATGTTCTTGTCTTCCTGTGCAGGTCGTGGCCGCCCACCTACAGAGCCGCTGCCCGACGGGTGGATCATGACATTCCATAACTCTGGAGTCCCGGTGTACCTACACAGAGAGTCTCGGGTGGTCACCTGGTCCAGGCCATACTTCTTGGGAACGGGAAGCATACGGGTAGGGGAGGCATCAGTCGTGACTTTAGGCTTGTAAGTTCTCAGACCAAAACGTGCACATCCACACACATGGCACCGCAGCCAAGCAGAGGCCGGTGAAAGGCATCAGAGTTTCAGACTCTCGGGTTGTCCTTGTAATCCATATTGCAATTTCACTATCCACAGAAACACGACCCTCCTCTGAGTAGCATCCCTTGTCTGCATTATAAGAAAATGAAGGACAACGAGGAACGGGAGCAAAGCAGTGACCTCACCCCTAGTGGGGATGTGTCCCCCGTCAAGCCCCTGAGCCGATCTGCAGAGCTGGAGTTTCCCCTGGATGAGCCTGACTCTATGGGTGCTGACCCGGGGCCCCCGGACGAGAAAGACCCACTAGGGGCTGAGGCAGCCCCTGGGGCCCTGGGGCAGGTGAAGGCCAAAGTCGAGGTGTGCAAAGATGAATCCGTTGGTGAGTTTTTGAAGGACTCTTCCCTTCTTGCCTCCTGGGACCCATGAGCTTTGTTTTTCTAATGAAGGCCATAATTGTTCATAGTTCCTAGTTGTACTTGTGAGCAAGGGGCTGTGCACCTCCACTGTTGGTGTGGCTGAAAGGCTTGTCTTCCTGTCCTTGCAAGAACCTGCCTGGGTGCAGCACCCTAGGCTCCTGTCTGTGGGCTCTGTGGTGTCTGCATGGCTGAGGCTGCTGGGGAGATGGCTGCTGGCACTGGCAGTGGGCCGTTTTCTCTCTGGTTGTTTGTATGATCTTTCCCTAAGTCTTGCTTTTTCAGTAGGATGTGCTCATGTGGCATTGTTTTGATTTGTCTTGATGAGCTCAGTGAGCCTCTTTAATCCATGACTCAGTGTTGGGAAACTGTCACCATTCTGTGGATAGTTCCCTCTTCAATCCTGCAATTGCTTGCTGGATGTGTACTGGTGTTTCCCATTCTCTCTTCCATGTCTTTTAGCCTAGTCCCGCCATTTAAGTCTTAGTTCTCTCTTCAGGTGTGGCAGGTCTCTGTGAACCCACCTGCTGGATTACTTTCAAAGAGCACTTTCCATTTTCTAGGTTTCTATTTGTCTGTACATCACTACCCAGCCTGTCTCATAACTCCGTGGAGTGTGGGGTGCCCTAGAAGAGCCTGTGATGGGGGCTGTTGCTGAGGATGGGGAAGTGGCCCGGGAGGAAATGTGACAAATGCGAGGCCCTGTGCAGGGAGCTGCCTGGGTGTGTTGCTGACTACAGAGGTGGCCAGGATGGCCAGAAGGAAAAGAGTGAGGTGGTCAGAGAGGTGGCGGGCGCATGGAGCCCGGGTGCTGCTGGCATTCGGGCACCTGTTTTGATACAGGGAGGAAGTCCCGAAGGCCATCTGACTTTTTTAAGCTGTCTTTTTTCCTTTTCATTTTTGTATTCTTCCTGCCCCAAATAAAGTAAAAGAACATCTCAGAAATTCATCCAGAAGGGACCTGCCAGAATAATCTGAGCTGGTGTAGGGAGGCCTTCATTCTTTGCTTCCCTCCCCTTTGAAAGGGACGGGGAAAGGAAATAGTGTCATGTGGCCTGGGCCTGCCCCATGCACTGGGCTGTGAGAACCTGACTCCTATGTTGGAAGTTAAGTAATTTGTTTCTCTGGTAAATCTGGGACAGATCTCGAGGAATTTCGAAGCTACCTGGAGAAGCGTTTTGACTTTGAGCAAGTTACTGTGAAAAAATTCAGGACTTGGGCTGAGCGGCGGCAATTCAATCGGGAAATGAAGCGGAAGCAGGCGGAGTCCGAGAGGCCCATCTTGCCAGCCAATCAGAAGCTCATTACTTTATCAGTGCAAGATGCACCCACAAAGAAAGGTATAAGCCTCTGCATTTTAACATCAGCAGACTGGTTATGCTGTTATTTCTAATGTGATGTGTTGAGGGCATGTTTTATGAGTTGCATTTCGTTCAAAGTTTATGTTTATCCCATGAATGCAGGGGTCTGCCACATTCACGGTCGTGAGCCCCTAGTTACTGACATGGTAACAGGAAGCTGTGTGCTAGCTTGTGGCACTGCTTCACACTTGCTGAGATGGTTCTTTTTGTCACAGAGTTTGTTATTAACCCCAACGGGAAATCCGAGGTCTGCATCCTGCACGAGTACATGCAGCGTGTCCTCAAGGTCCGCCCTGTCTATAATTTCTTTGAATGTGGTAAGTCTAACCTTCCCCATTTCAGTCCTAAAGAATCACAAGGTGTAACTTTGGTCAGGGCTGGGGAGGCAGGCGCTGACCGCTAGCCCTACTCTACTGGAACGGGAGGAAAGGGAAGGGTAGAGAGCAGCGTGCTGCAGATGGGTGGCTTGTTTCCTGGAGCCGCGCCCCATCTGAGTGGGTGGCTCTGCTTTTCCCTTCCAGTCTGTCCCCTCTCCCCACCTTCCTCTTGTCCTGCCCCATCTGCCTTGCTGGTTTCTGATCCTGCGTTGTCATGGACAGCCTTATTGCGAGCAAGGCCTCCCCACTGTGCACTGGGTCCTTTCCCTGGTCTCCTGGTGCCCCTGGGTGTCTGAAGGGTTCTTGGGCATGCATTTCCCACCAGCTCTGTCTTCCTTGGGTGCCCTCATCACACCTTTGTGAAGACCAGTCTGTCTTCCCCTTGGAAGCTGGAGCCTGGGGGTCACTCATCCTTTGAGGTGGTGTTTCTTTGGCAAGCCACATCTTGTGCTTTCCCATTCCGGCAGTCCTGTGTCCGTCTTTCGTAGACCTTGGTCCCTGTCGTAGGAGGCTCTGCCCCCAGCCTCCTGCTGCCCCTCTGGCTCACCATCTCCCACGTGCCTCATTTCCCTCCACTTTCCCAGCTGTGCCCTTTGCTGCTGCTTGTCTGCTGCCCGTCTCCAGTCCCAGGGAGCCCCAGGTCTCTGCAGTCAAGCACAGGCCCACTCTCTGCAGGGACAGCCCCTGACTGCGCCTTGTCTGTCGGTGTGGGCAGACTGTGCACACGCTTTTGATGTCTTGACTCGTATGTTTTAAAACAAGTAATTTTAATTTTAAGAGAACCCAAGTGAGCCTTTTGGTGCCTCGGTGACCATTGATGGTGTGACTTACGGATCTGGAACTGCAAGCAGCAAAAAACTTGCGAAGAATAAAGCTGGTAACGTGCTTGCTTGGGTGTCAAAGATACGTGCTGCCTGCTGTGTCTGCCTCGCTGCTTGGTTAGGGAGGGGCTGAGCAGTGGTGACAAGTGGGGGATGTGGGTGGGGCATGTTTATTTTATTTATGTAATCATCTACTTTGATTTTTAAAATTACATGCTCATTGGAAAAGACTCAAATAGAGCAAAATGTGAGACTTAAAAGTAGAAGGCCTCGGCCGGGCGTGGTGTCTCATGCCTGTAATCCCAGCACTTTGGGAGGCTGAAGTGGGCAGATCACGAGGTCAGGAGATCGAGACCATCCTGGCTAACACGGTGAAACCCTCTCTCTACTAAAAATACAAAAAATTAGCCGGGTGTGGTGGCGGGCACCTGTAGTCTCAGCTACTCGGGAGGCTGAGGCAGGAGAATGGCGTGAACAAGCGAGGCAGAGCTTGCAGTGAGCTGAGATCGTGCCACTGCACTCCAGCCTGGGCGACAGTGCAAGACTCTGTCTAAAAAAAAAAAAGTAGAAGGCCTCTCTACTGAGTGACAGCTGGGCCAGTATGTCCCTCCCTAGTCCTGGCCCTGCACATATTCAGGGGTGTGCCTAGAGCCAACTGGGCTGTGCTGGGCACATGCTGTAGTGCTTGTTTGTTTTTAAACTGAGCAGCATGTGGGCATGCCAGGAGGGAGGAGAAGCGGGCCAGCATGCTGTTGGCATCCTCCCCCAGTGGTGCTGGCTCTTACCGGCACTATTTCCTGAGTCCTCCCACTCCATGTTTGGGCCTAGCCACACAGAACACCTGGCACAGCGCAGCTCTGGGAAGGCTGTGTGTCCTGGCGAAGACCCACTGCCCTTTTGGACCATGCCCTTGCCGTTTGCATTCATGCCCTGCATTCGTGGTAGTTGACATTCTTTCACAAAAAGCCATTTGCCTCAGCGTCCAGGGTTAGTTGGCTTCTTGTAGGGTGGTGTTGGGTGTACCCCAGGCCCTCGCACCCACAGGTTGATTCTCGAGGTATCTGTCATTGCCGTGTGTTTTCCAGAAGGCCTGCTGCCCATCTTAGATTCTGCCTAAGAGACTTTTGCAGCTCAACAAAGGGGGTGTGGTGGAGGTTTTGACAGATAACTTGCAGTGGGGCCTTTTGTGGGGGTGGAGATGCCTTGGGCGTGGCTGTGTGCTCTTCCCTCTGCGGGATCACCCGCTTTCCTCCCTATGTGCTGGAACCCACTTCCCTTGCCCAGACTCTTGGCTGCCCTATAGACAGCTTGGCTCCATGTCTTGCCAGCACTGATAGCTCTGTGGGGTCTATGGAGCCATCAGCCCTTGGCTATGGCAACTCCGACCCCAGTGGGCATATCCGTGCCCTGCCCTCTAGCAGCTCCCTCTAGCGTCTCTCAGACCTGGCTGCATCTCTCCACCCACGCCAGCCACTGCTGCTGCCACCTGGTCTAGGTACCTGCAGTAGCCTGCTCTCAGGCCTCCCTGCATGGTCCAGGGCCCGCAAAGCTGTTTTCTCACGTGCCACCGAAGTGGTTCCCTAACATACAGCTCCGAGCTCCTCCCTGCCTGCTCCCAGGACCCCAGGGTGAGAGCGCACACACCCAGTGTGGCCCGTGAGGCTTTCTGGTAGCCTGCCACACGTCTGGGCTTTTCCTTCTGTCCTCTCCTGACCCTGTCACTGAAGTGCTGTCTCTCCTCAGGGCCCTCGCTCAGCCTCTGAGCTGTGGGGATGGGAGGCAGCAGTGCACAGTTCACTCTGCAGGGTGGTGAGAAGAGGGCAGTGCCCAAGCCTCACCCTCGGGCTCTTTTTTTTCATAGCCCGAGCTACACTGGAAATCCTCATCCCTGACTTTGTTAAACAGACCTCTGAAGAGAAGCCCAAAGACAGTGAAGAACTCGAGGTGAGTGTTGTGGTCCTGCCCTGCTGGGAGCTGTGTGTGCAGTGCGGCTACCCTGCCCTGTTAGTGTGAGCTGGGGGTGTCCGTGGGCTGTGCTCATGCCTTCCATGCCCTGTAGGTTAGTCTCATCCAGCCTCCAGGTTCTTCTGTTTGTATTTCATAAAGAGGAAACTTGCCTGTCTTTGTATAGGCAGGGAAAAAATGTCCTTTTTGTTAGAGATTTTTGTCCTCTTTTGCAGCATTGAGTGTGCACCGTAAATGTCGGGTACACATAGGTTTGTGATGGGAATGAATCTTTGAGGCAGTCTACAAGATTTAGATTGTTCTTTTTTTTGAGACAAAGTCTTGCTCTGTCACCCAGGCAGTGACAGAGTTTGATCTTGACCCACTGCAACTTTCACCTCCCGGATTCAAGTGATTCTCCCACCTCAGCTTCCTGAGTAGCTGGGATTACAGGTGTGTGCCACCATTTCTGGCTAATTTTTGTATTTTTAGTAGAGATGGGGTTTCACCATGTTGGCCAGGCTGGTCTCGAACTCCTGACCTCGGGTGATCCACTCGCTTCCGCCTCCTAAAGTGCTGGGATTACAGGCATTAGCCACTGCGCCCGGCCCTAGATTGTTCTTTATATACTTGACCCTTGAGTAACGTGGAAGTTAGGGGCACCAGCCTCTCACGTGGTCGAAAATTCACGCATCACTTTCAGTCCTCCCAAACCTTAACTACTTACTGGTAACCTACTCTTGACCAGAAGCCGTACCAGTAACAAACAATTGATTAATACATATTTTGTTATGTACATATTACTACATCTGTCCCCAACCTAGTTTTGGCACCAGAGATCAGTTTCAGGGAAGACAATTTTTCCACAGACGGTGTTGGGGGGCGGGGATGGTTTCAGGATGACTCAAGCACATCACATTTATTGTGCACTTTTTATTTCTATTATCACTACACTGTAATATGTAATGTAATCACTATACAACTCACCATAATATAAAACCAGTGGGAGCCCTGAGCTTGTTTTCTTGCAACTAGATGGTTCCCTCTGATGACGATGGGAGACAGTGACAGATCATCAGGCATTAGATTTGCATAAGGAGTACACAACCTAGATCCCTTGAATGCACTGTTCACAATAGGGTTCACACTCCTATGAGAATCTAATGCTACTGCTGATCTGACAGGAGACAGAGCTCAGGTGTAAAATGAGTGATGGGGAGCAGCTGTAAATACAGATTAAGCTTCACTTGCTCACTTACTCCCCCTGCCCCCACCACTCATGTCCTGCTATGCAGCCCGGTTCCTAACAGGCCATGGATTGGTACCAGTCCATGGCCTGGGGGTTGGGGACCCCTGATATATACTGTATTCTTACATTAAAGTAAGTTACAAAAAGAATGTTATTAAGAAAATCATAAGGAAGAGAAAATTTATTTACTGTTCTTGAAATGGAAACATCATCATGAAGGTCTTCATCCTCCACATCTTCATGTCGAATAGCTGAGGAGGAGGGGGAAGAAGAAGAGTTGGCCTTGGTATCTCAGGGGTGGCAGAGGCAGAAGAAAATTTTTGTATAAGTGGGCCCATGGAGTTCAAATCCATGTTGTTCAAGGGTCAGCCATGTGAAGAACCATTTAAAACTAGCTGTAAACCTTTTTGGGTAAATGGTTATTTGTAGCAAGGGCTTGTGGAATTTTGAAGGGTGCATTCTTATTTATATAATAGCTTTATTGAGATAGTTTACATACTATAAATTTGGCCTTTTAAACTATATAAGTGGATTTTTATATATTCAGAGTTGTATAACCATCATAACTACCTAATTTTAGAGTATCTCAACACCCCCAAAAGAAACTCCATACCCATTAGCATTCCCTCTTAGTTCTCTCCAACCACCAAAAGCCACTAATCTGCTTTCTGTCTCTATATATCTGCCAACTCTGGACATTTCATATTAGCGGAATCATACAATATGTGGTCTTTTGTGACTGGCTTCCTTCACTTAGTGTGCTATGTCAGCTGTAGGTTTTTATCAGAATAAGGAAATTTCCTTTTGTTCCTGGTTTGCTGAGAGTTTTTGTAGGAATGATGTTAGATTTTGTCAAATGTTTTTCTGCTTCTATTCAGATGATCATGTTTTTTTTTGTCTTTTATTTTAGTAATATAGTGTATTATATTGGTTTTTGAATGGTGAGCCAACCTTGCATTCCTGGGATATATCCCACTTGGTCATGACATATAATGATTTTTTTAATATGTTGCTGGATTCATTTTGCTGGTATTTTGTTAAGGATTTTTGCATTTGTAGTTATAAGCAATATTGATCTGTAGTTTTCTTGTGATATCTTTGTCCAGTGTAACAGCAGGTACAGGTATCAGGATAATACTGGCCTCATAAAATGGTTGGAACATGTTCCATTTTCTTCTGTTGTGTGGAATAGTTTGTGAAGGATTGGTGTTCATTTTTTAAATGTTTTGTAGACTGCGTTCAGTGAAACCTTCTGGTCCCAGGCTTTTCTTTGTCCAGAGCTACTTAATTGCTAATTCAATCTTACATGTTATAGGTCTATTGAGATTATCTATTTCTTCTTGAGCCAGTGTTGATAGTTTGTGTCTTTTTTGGAATTTTTTTCCCATTTGATGTAGATTATCTAATTGATTAGCATATATTTGTTCCTAGTATCCCCATATGACCCTTTTTTATTTCTATATGGTTGTGATGGTCCCTTGCTGTCATTCCTGATTTCAGTAATTTGAGGCTTTCTTCTTTTTCTTGATCAGTAAATTGTTACACTTGATGATACATCACAGGTCTCTGAGGCTCTGTTGTTTCTTCTCTGTACTTTTTTCTTTCTGTTCCTCAGTGTGGATTATTTCAATTGCCCTGTCTTCAAGTTTGCTCCTTTATCTTCTGTTGGCTCACATTCTGCTGGTAAACCCCTCTAGTGACTGTTTCATAATTTCTGTCTTTTTTAAAAAAATTCTTTATTGGGTAATGCATTGTTTTTATACTTTAATTCTTTTTTTTTTTTTTTTTAATTATATATATAGGGTCAGGCATGGTGGCTCACACCTGTAATCCCAGCACTTTGGGAGGCCAAGGCGGGCAGATCACAAGGTCAAGAGATCGAGACCATCCTGGCCAACATGGTGAAACCCCGTCTCTACTAAAAATACAAAAATTAGCTGGGTGTGGTGGTGGGCACCTGTAATTGCAGCTACCCGGGAGGCTGAGGCAGAAGAACCACTTGAACCCAGGAGGTGGAGGTTGCAGTGAGCTGATACTGCGCCACTGTGCTCCAGCCTGGTGACAGAGCGAGACTCCTGTCTCAAAAAAAAAAAAAGGAAAAAGAAAAAAAATATATATATATATGGGGTAGAGATGGGGTTTCACCATATTGCTCAGGCTGGTCTCGAACTCCTAGGCTCAAGCAATCTGCCCACCTCAGCCTCCCAAATTGTTGAGATGACAGACGTGCCACTGTGCTGGCATTATACTTCAGTTCTTTAGACATGGTTTCTTAGTCCTTTGAGTATGTTTTCTGTAGGTGATGTAAAATCTGTTTCTGGTAAGTCCAGTTCTCAGAGAGCGTGTATATTAAACTGCCTTTCCCTTCATGTATGGGCTGTCTCTACTTTCCTATTTCTTTGCATATCTCAGAATTTTTTGTTATTGTCAAGAATTGGACATTTAAAATATATGGCAACTCTGGAAATCACATTACCTCACCTCCCTTAAGTTTATAGTTTTTGTCATATGTCCTTGCTCTCTATTTGTGACTGTATCAGTTTGCTAGGGATACTGTAACAAAGTGTCACAGACTGGGAGGCTTAAATGACAGAGATGTATAGTCTCAAAGTTCTGGAAGCCAGAAGTCCAAAATGAAGGTGTCAGAAGGCTAAGAGAAGGCCTTTCTCCGTGGGTGGAGGATAGCGATCTCCATGTCCATGCCTTTCTCTCTGTGTGCATGCTGGTCTCCACATTGCCCATTTGATAGAGACACCTGTCTCACTGGATTAGGCCCTACCCTAATGACCTCATTGTAATGTGATGACCTCTGTAAAGACCTTGTCTCCAAATACTGTTGCATTCTGAGGGACTTCAACATGTAAATTTGGGGGTGACAGTTTACCTCATAATAGTGACTTTCCTAGATTGATTCTGTGAAGTGTGTATTCTTTATGATTTGTGGCCACTGAATACACGGGCCCTTTAGCTGAGTGGTCTCCTGATGCTTGGACAGGGATTTTCGTAAATTCCCTGAGCCAGTAAGTCTCCCGGCCTGTGATGAGAGCTGTGGGTCTGTGGGGCTCACCTGGTGTGCTCCGGTGGCTGCCAACTGTCTTAGCCTTTGTGTGCCACCTGCACAGAGTCTCCAGGTCAGTCAGCTGGGAGGTTTTCCTGGGCCTGTGCGCAGTCATCTCCAGACATACGCTAGAGCCTTTCAGAGCCCCATGGACATCTCCAGCTTTTCCTTCTTGGGTTCTTGGCCAGCCTCTTGTTTGCCCAACTAGTGCCCCAGCCTCTGGCAGCTGCAGGGTGAAACAGTTGCCACTGGTTCCTTTTGACAAAAGCCCTCAGGAACTGGGCTGTTTTCACTGAGTGAGATCAAATAAAGACAAATCCTGCCATGAGGCTTTTCCAGAGGGTGGCCAGGTAAACCCAACAGTGACAGTTCTCTGGGCCTGGGGCCTTGAGGACCCGTTCTCCATTGAGTGGCTACCACTGAGCTGGGGAGAAGGGCTGGGAATGGGGCGAGTTAAGATGCCAGCAACTCCTTGTTCTTAGCAAGACTCGTTGTCTTTCTTGAATCAACACTCCTCAGATTGTTGAAAGCCTTTCTTTAGTTTCCAGGGTTCTGAAAGAATTAATTCTGACCATTTTTGCTAGTGTTCTTGTTGCTTTAATGGAGGAGAGCAGATTTTGGAGGTCCTTATTCGGCCATTCCAGAACTACTTTAGGATGGGTTTTGTAAAGTTTTCTCATCTTTGTGGACTGGTGCTGTTATAAAATATGGTTAAGTGTCTATGGTAGTACTAACTTGCTCTTAAGTTTCTTGAACTCCTGGCTTCAAGCAGTCCTCCTGCCTCAGCCTCCCAGGATGATGGGATTACAGGCGTGAGCCACCACACCTAGTCTCTTGCTCTCAAGTTTCTACATGTTTTCTGTGCTTTATGTAACTGCTTCATCGTGGACAGGCTACAGACAGATTGCAGACCACATGTGGATCAAGCACAGTCTCCAAGTACTAGCTGTTCCAGGAAGAGTCACATTTGTCCCTTTTTTTTTGAGATGGAGTCTCGCTCTGTTGCCAGGCTGGAGTGCAGTGGTTCGATCTCTGCTTACTGCAACCTCCGCCTCCTGGGTTCAAGCGATTCTTCTGCCTCAGCCTCCTGAGTAGTTGGGACTACAGGTGCACGCCACCACGCCCGGCTAATTTTTGTATTTTTAGTAGAGATGGGGTTTCACCGTGTTGGCCAGGATGGTCTCTATCTCTTGACCTCGTGATCCGTCCGTCTTGGCCTCCCAAAGTGCTGGGATTATAGGCGTGAGCCACTGCACCTGGCCACATTTGATTTTATTTCTGAGTGACCCAACCGTGGGAAATATGGCTCCCAGGGAGGCTTCCAAGGCCCTCTGGGGAAGTGCTTGCGTAGACCCTGGCCCACCAAAACTCTTAGTATGGGTTGCTGCAGACGATGGTGCCTGAGTTGTGTAGGTCTCACGCTGCCTTCCTGTCTGAGTAAAAGCCCTGCCTGTTCTTTGCTATGGGGTGGTGGAAATGTCCATGAACCACTGTGGTTTCTGGTGCCAGGAGAGGGCCCAGCGGGGAGTCAGGTTCTCAGCCTCCACTCTGGGGTTCTTCTGTGAAGTGGAGAGGCTTTGCAGAAACCACATTGCAAAGTAGTCTGAGAAAGAAGAGGTTTCCCCAGGTGGAGAAGGACATGGGGGTGGGGCATGTGGTGGCTTCCGCTGTAGACTCCCCTGCCTGGGGCTTTTTCCACACCCCTACTCCGATCCTCCCACACTGCAGCCTGTCTGGAGCTAGCGTCATATCTCCCCAGGTAAGGAGCTCAGTTTCGTGGGACTGCCCCCACTTCCTGTGCCAGCCGCAAATGGGGGCCCCTGCCACCCGGCACAGGACCCCTCCTCGTGCTTGGAAATTTGCTAGGACTCAGGAACTCAGGAAAAATTTTACTTATGAAACTTATTTTTCATGAAGGGCTGAAAGTTCCTCCCCTCTACTGACACATTTGATTTCTCCGGGGAGCCCACCCTGGCCACCTCCTCAGCATAAGCTCTGTGGTGGGGTCGTTTTGAATCACAAAAGACAAACCTAGCACTCAGGAAATCCTCAGGGTTTTAAGAACTCTGTTCTGGGAACCTGAGAGAAGACCGTGTGTTTTTATGATGCCATGCCTTGGTTTAGGGTGCCTTTTGTATGTGCCCCTCCTGAGAAGCTCTTTGACCCTCTTATTTGTATATATGTCATCTGTGGGCTGGGCGCGGTGGCTCACGCCTGTAATCCCAGCACTTTGGGAGGCCGAGGCGGGCAGATTACGAGGTAAGGACATCGAGACCATCCTGGCTAACACGGTGAAACCCCGTCTCTACTAAAAACATACAAAAAATTAGCCGGGCATGGTGGTGGGCGCCTGCAGTCCCAGCTACTCGGGAGGCTGAGGCAGGAGAATGGCGTGAACCCAGGAGGCGGAGCTTGCAGCGAGCTGAGATTGCGCCACTGCACTCCAGCCTGGGCGACGGAGCGAGAATATGTCTCAAAAAAAAAAAAATGTATATATGTCATCTGTGATGTCCCCATTTAAAAATCTGTCAGAGGGGAAAGTAGCTTTTCCCTCCGTTGTAGGGTGGTGGGGGTGTTTAGACAGGGGTGGCCATCTCCTGTTCCTGGGAAGTTTCTATTTGCTGGTCCTCCCTAGCGAGGCTCTCAGGTTGTGTCCCCGCCCCCTGCTCCTCCCAGCTGCCTGTGCAGAGGTGCCAACACCTGTCCTTGGACTGTCCCCTGGACAGCCTGGGGCGTGGGGTAGTATCCCCTCCTTGTGTGGACTCCGGAGGTGGGGTTGACATGTCAGGAGGGGCGGGTTGATGCCTGTGAGGTGTGGTGGCCACGCGTGTATGCTACTTGATTAAAAAGGGAAAAAAGGAACAACTGGCATCATTTCCTTTTCACAAAGCTTGTGGTGATCTCTTGGTATTTTGTTGCTAGCTGTGGGTTGGTGGTTCATGGCTATTAAATTTAGGTATTAGTGACCAAGTGTTTTCTTTTTTTTTTTTCATCTTATTTTAAAATTTACATAGAGTTAAATTCACTTTTTGGTACAGTACTGTGAGTTTTGACAAATACACAGTCATGTAACCAACACTGCAATCAAGATGCAGAACATTTCTGTACATTCCAACATTCTTCTTTGTTGGTCAAACTCTCCCACCTGTATCCTCTGGTGGGCACTGAACTGCCCCTGTAGTTTTGCCAGATCCTGAATGTCCTCTTAGTGGAGTCACCTGGTACGTAGCCTTTGAACCTGGCCTCTGGCTTGGTGTGGTGTGACGCATCCGTCGTGTGGTCATTTGTACTCCTGAGTGCTGGCCACCAGGTGGCTGTGCCCCTCAGTGCGTCTCTCCATTCTTCCTTGAGGGACACTGACAGGTTTCTGGGTTTTGGTGATGGGCAGTAAGGCTGCTGTAAGGTCGTCCAGGTCTGTGTGTGATGGGCGGATTCGTTTCCTTCAGGTAAACCCTTGGGATGGGGTTGCTGGGCTGTGTGGCAGGTGCACGCTTATGTTAGCATTGCCCTCACACCTTTCTCAGTCACTAGGTGACCGTGGAAGTGTGTCTGTTTTGGGGCTGTCTACTGTCTTTCGAGCTGTGTGTCCTTTTCCTGATGCCACACTTTCCTGATGACTTGAAGTCTTGATACTGGGAGTCCTCCAACTTCGTTATTCTTTCTCAAAAAATTGTTTTGGCTATTCTAGCTCCTTTGCTGTTCCATGTAGACTTTAGAAACAATATGTCAGTTTCTATAAAAAATTCTGGGCTGGGTGCAGTGGCTCACGCCTGTAATCCCAGCACTTTGGGAGGCCGAGGTGGGTGGATTACCTGAGGTTAGGAGTTCGAGACCTGCCTGGCCAACATGGTGAAACCCCATCTCTACTTAAATACAAAAATTAGGTGGGCGTGGTGGCGGGCACATGTAATCCCAGCTACTCAGGAGGCTGAGGCAGGAGAATCGCTTGAACCCAGGAGGCGGAAGGTGAGGTGGCAGTGAGCCGAGATTGTGCCATTGCACTCCAGCCTGGGCAACAAGAGCGAAACCCCATCTTAAAAAAAAAAAAAAAATCTGCCTGCATTTTGATTGGAATTGATCCTGTAGATCAATCTGGGGAGAATGGACATCCTAACAATATTGGATTTTCCAAATCATAAACATAGTTCATCTGTTCATTTATTTAGGTCTTCTTTGATATCTTTCATGGGTGGTCGGCAGTTTTCATCACACAGGCCCTGTGTATATTCTACTAGATTTATAGTTAAATATTTTATGTATGGCACTGTGATGAATAGTACCTTAGTTCCAATTGATTGTTTATTGCTAGCTTACAGAGCTAGAATTTGTTTTATTTGCACTGATTTATTCTAGTAGTTTTTCTGTAGATTCCTTATCCAGTTTTCTTCTCTAATTTGTTAATGTAGTTAATTACGTTGTTTTTTTAAAAATGTGTTCCTGGGATAAGTCCTACTTGGGCATGGTATATGTTCCTTTTCATGTGTTAATGGCTTTAATTTGCTAGTTCCCTGCTGCATCTGTGTTCTTGGTGTTAAGGTCATGGTACGGGTAGTGTCATCAAGCGAAGTGGGAAGTAGCCCTCCTCCTGAGTTTTTCAGAAGGGCAGGACAGATATAGGATTGGTATCATTTCTTCCTTAAAATTTGGGCCTGGAGTTTTCCTAATGGGAAAGTTTTAAACTACTACTGTATGAACTACTAACTATAACTATGACTACTCTGAACTACTGTTGAGTTTCTTGAACAGGTGTAGGGCTGTTGAGGCTACTGAGATAGTTTGTGTCTTGCCAGGCATTGGTCCATCTCATATAGATAGTGGAATGTAGAGGTGTCGGGCGTCTGTGGTGCTCCCACACGGTCCTTTGGCATCTGCCAGGCACTGATTGCTTAGGTTTCTCCTGTGCTGTTTGTCAGAAGCAACAGGGATTTGTCTGCAGGTCACTTCTGCCATCTGTCTGCTCTCATGAGCTGGAGCCTCCACCTGTCCCTGGCGGGTTAACCCTCAGTAGCACATGTGGCCTCAGGCAGCTTGGTGCAGGGCATCCTGGTGTCGGTCTTTTTTTTTTTTTTTTTTGAGACGGAGTCTCGCTCTGTCGCCCAGGCCGGACTGCGGACTGCAGTGGCGCAATCTTGGCTCACTGCAAGCTCTGCTTCCCGGGTTCACGCCATTCTCCTGCCTCAGCCTCCCGAGTAGCTGGGACTACAGGCGCCTGCCACCGCGCCCGGCTAATTTTTTTTTGTATTTTTAGTAGAGACGGGGTTTCACCTTGTTAGCCAGGATGGTCTCGATCTCCTGACCTCGTGATCCACCCGCCTCGGCCTCCCAAAGTGCTGGGATTACAGGCGTGAGCCACCGCGCCCGGCTGGCGTCGGTCTTTTGCCAGAAACTTCTGAGCGTGCTCTCTAGCTGTGTGTGTGTCAGCCACTGCCTCAGCTTCTCCAGGGCCAGTCCCGAAGCCGTGGGGTATGTGGGTTCTTGTGGGCCGACAGCACTGGACGTTGCTAATTGGTTGGCTGGTTGACAAACCCTTGAGGTTCCAGGGCCTGATGTCTTGGTGAGTGACCTTCCCTGGAAAAAGACCCATGTTGATTTGTGCACTTGAGAGGAGCAGTGTCTTCTGGGGACCTATTTGAAGACAGTAGCCAAGCCATACCTCGAGGATTTTTCGCTTGCCAACCTCAGGGCTAGTGCCTTCCTCTTCTATGCAGTTGCAGCGAGTTGGCCTTGCTGCTTGCTGGAGCGGCGAGGGCAGAGGAGCTGCCCACTGCCCTGTCTGTAGGGCCAGTGTCCCTGTGGAGCGGGCTTGGCACACTGTGGAGCCTGCACAGCGAGGCGTGTGAATCATTTGATTCTAGGTTTCCTCGCTGCCCATGGGCCAGGCAGGCTCCAGGTCCCTGCAGACCCCTCCAGAACAGGGCCAGTGGGGGAAGCACTGTGAGGGTGTGGCTGATGGGTAATCTCCAGTGCTTCAAAGTGTGGTCTTTTTTGGAAAGAGGATGATTGCAGATAGAATTAGGTTAACATGAGATCACACTGAAGCAGAGCAGTGGTGTGATCCAGTGTGTCTGGTGTTTCTCTAAGAAGAGGGAGGAGGGGCAGGGCTAGTAGTCCATATGAAAATCGGAGCAATGCTGCCATAGCCAAGGGATGCCGGGGCCACCAGGAGCTGGCAGAGGCTCCCTAGAGGCTTCTGAAAGAGGATGGCCCTGCTGAGGCCTTGATTTCAGACTTCAGAATGGTGAGAGAATAAACCTCTTGTTCTAAGCCACTGACTTTGTGGTATGTTGTCACAGGAGCTCCACCAGGGAGGTTGTCCATGCTCCAGAGTGGGCTGGATAGCATCTTCCTTTCACCCAGGAGGCACTCTCAGCTTCAGCCAAAGTCCTAGTCTGGGAAGGCACAGTGGGCAATGTCTCTGCACCTCAGCCTGCTGCAGCTTCCCTATGCCTCACTGTGTGGAATCTCCCCATCACCTCTTGTTTCCCTGTCTGCCTCTCTTGTCCTTCCTGTGTGTTCTTGGGTTGGCTGCAGAGCCAGGGTGATGACACTGTTGGAAGCCTTGCTGGGCTGGGCCTCTGCTGGCCACCTGGGGCTGGGCTCTGTGTAGCTGTGTGGGGCTTTGGCCTTTGGGGAGCTGGGCCTTTTAAGGCCAGCTTTTGGGTCTGGCTGACTTTCCCTCTCCTGTAGTCTCAGTTGTGGCAATAGTAAAGCCTCTCTGCAAAGGTGCTTTATCTTTATAGAGTTCTGAGAAGGGTGCCTTATGGATCAGAATCAGATCCAAATAAGGTGGGCCTGGCCAGCCAGCCATGTACCTGGGGCCCTCTTAGGATACCAGACTCCATCCCACAGTGCTCAGGGTGGAAGGGTGCTGTGGGCTCTGGAGATGGGCAACTGGACGGTGAGGTACGGAGCATGTCTTGTACCCGGTGGGTTCCTTGCAGAGTTGAGGTATGAAGTGCTAGGCGAGCTCACAAGAACAGACATTAAGCATCTGGGGAAAGCCAACCGCAGGCCCAGCCATGAAGAGGCCGGTGGGCCTGGTGGGGACTCACAAGCCTCTGCTTTGTGTTGTAGTATTTTAACCACATCAGCATCGAGGACTCGCGGGTCTACGAGCTGACCAGCAAGGCTGGGCTGTTGTCTCCATATCAGATCCTCCACGAGTGCCTTAAAAGGTAGGGTAGGGGGGTGCCTCCCCCCATGAGTCAGGTCGGGGGAGCTCCTCTCTGGCGTCTCATATTCTTGTGGCTGTTTGTCCCAAGGCAGAGGCATGGCCAGGTTTCCCTGGGTACACAGCAGCCCCTTGGCCCTGGCCACCAGTCAGTCCCACAGGCCTGAATCGGGCGTGTGGAGAATTCCCTCCTCTGGCTGAGATGCAGTCTGGGGAGAGGCTTGGTCATTTCCTAAGGGCTTCCCAGAGCAGGCCTCCTCAGAGGCAGCTGGCTGCTCTGCTCAGGGGACGCCATCTGTTGTCTGTTTTCTCTTAAAGAAACCATGGGATGGGTGACACGTCTATCAAGTTTGAAGTGGTTCCTGGGAAAAACCAGAAGAGTGAATACGTCATGGCGTGTGGCAAGCACACAGTGCGCGGGTGGTGTAAGGACTCCTTCTCTGCTGCCTGGTGGCCGCTGGGCGGGCGGCCCCTGGTGTGGCCCTGCGCCTCTGTGGCTTGGTCTCAGCTGTTGCCCTGGCATTGTCCCTGAGCCCAGCTGTGTGTGCTGGCCACCACACGTTCAGCCTAAGGCGGACTGGCAGCCGTCCTGCCTGCACTTTCCCTGTCTTTTCCCTTTCCCCCGCTGTCACCCCTGTCTCCGTCCAGCCCTTGTCCCTGTGGCAGGAGGAAAGGCCCTCCTCCTCGAACAGCCAGCAGAATCCTGCTGCTCCCTGTTTCTGGAGGTGTGCGTCTTGGCGGGAGGGAGGCTCTCGGCTGCGTGGCTTTGAGTGGTAGTGTCCTCAGCTCCTAGACTCTGAGGGCCACTCTCTCAAGGTGGCAGCTGGGTACTGTGAGACTCAGGTGCCCAGAGCAGTGGCAGAGTGCTGCCTATTCCTGTAGAATGTGCCCTGGCTGGCCCTCGGGGTGTGGGTCAGGAGGGCTGGGAGCGGCAGGGGGCCCCATGAGCACTGGGTGTTTGTGACCCCCTCTCCATGCTTGCTCTTTCTCTGTGTAGGTAAGAACAAGAGAGTTGGAAAGCAGTTAGCCTCACAGAAGATCCTTCAGCTGCTGCACCCACATGTCAAGAACTGGGGGTCTTTACTGCGCATGTATGGCCGTGAGAGCAGCAAGATGGTCAAGCAGGTAACTGGCCATCAGCAGGTCCCAGGGCAGCCTGTGCTGCCACCCTGGAGCGTATTCCTGAGGCTCTGTGCTCAGAGGGGGCAGAGCTGGGCAGCTCTGCTGTTGCTCACAGCTGCCTCTCTCCTGGGCCACTTGTGTGGCTTTGTGGGCAGGGGTGGGGTCGTCCCAGCTACATCTCCTATCCCAGCCTGCTGGGCATGGTCAGTGAAGTGTGGGTGATTGGGAACGCAGGCTGGGCCCAGCTATGTGGCTTGTAGGGAGATGGCCAAAGTGCAAGGCAGGGCCAGGCAGGAGATGCTGAAGGTGCGCCCGGCTCGGAGGTGTGCAAAGGCTCAGGAGCCAGGGCCAGCTCTCCCTGCTTGAAGGAGAGCGAGTGTGTCAGGGTAGCTCTCCCTGGTACCAGTGCCGGTCCATCTCTAACAGAAGAGCATATGTGTACCATCTGTCTTGTTTCTGCTGTTGTGGCCAACATCCTGCAGTGTAAGCCAGTGCCCACTCCTGAGGGGTGGAGGGTAACATGGGGAGGTGAGTGTAATCATTTTCCTCAAATGATTACAGAAACTCTCTGGGTTCTTGCCCTCCTGGTCATTGGAAGGGGAAGTAGTTGTGGAGGGGTTAGGCCTGCAGGTGGGGCAGCCCTAGGACTGTGTGGTGGGTGGGCCCTCTGCCCAAGCCAGCTGCCAAGAGCAGGGCCTGCCTTTAGGTCCCTGAGACCGAGGCCTCGGCACTGTCCCCGAAGAGGCCTTTACTCTGGACATGATAAGGGAGGGTGAGGGGGCTCACACGGGCCACCAGGGCATGTTAAGGAACTTGAGAGAGATTTTTGGGAAGCAAGTTGAAATGTAGGTAGCACTTGCTTCTGCCCTTGCTGTGCATGGTCCTTGGCTGTGACGGAGGGAGAGAAGGCAAGCCCCACTCTGGCCCGGGGGTGGGAAACTTCCCTGAGCAGGAGGGGGAAAGGTCCCAGCCAGGCACAGCCACAGCTTGGGGGAGCTCTGGCATCCCGAGGAACCACAGCACCCTTGGGGCTGGCCTAAGACGGGAAGGGGCTGAGGCCAGCCTGATGCTGCTCTGCATTCATGGAGTGTGCAGAGAGCTCAGTGCCTGAGGCTGATGGGCTGGGCTGCAGCGTGCTGTTCTTACTGGCTATGGCCACACTCTGGTTTCACTCCTTGATGAGGACTCTGGGCACCACGAGCACCTCACCTCCCTACTCTGCCCATGGCAGGAGGCCATATAAGTGGCGTGGTGTGGGCAGAAAGGCCTGGCAGCTATGGACTGCCCCTCGCTCTCTGCTGCTGTCAGTGGGCCTGGCATCACTGAGGCGGGCCAGTCAGCATGCAGTTATGTTGCCACAGCTCCTGGCTGTTTCGTGTCTGCCAGACCCTGGGCGCGCCTGCCTTCAGGGTCCCAGGCACACAGCTGCTGGGCAGCGGGCAGGCCGTAGAGCTACAGCCTGCAGTCCTGAGCGTGAGGTGCTATACTTCCCAGGAGACATCGGACAAGAGTGTGATTGAGCTGCAGCAGTATGCCAAGAAGAACAAGCCCAACCTGCACATCCTCAGCAAGCTCCAAGAGGAGATGAAGAGGCTAGCTGAGGAAAGGGTGAGTGCCACCCTAGCGGGAGGGCTGCCGGGCCACGGCCATTCCTGTGGCACCTGTGGAGGGACAGCAGACCCCAGGACCCGTGCCTGAGCTGACACCTTGGAAATGCTTGGATCCTCCTTCCAAAATCAGATACAGGCTTTTCTTTGAGCTTCGACATGTGTGATAGTTTTATAAATCACTTCAGTTTTGGTTCTGTTGTTAGAGAGCTGGCAGGCCAGCCTGTTGGTGGACCATGAAGGTCACAGTCTTGGTGGGCCACCTGAGTCCCATGTCCTCCCTGGGTGTTTGGAGGTAGGTCAGTGCACCTGCCAGGGTTGAATCTGTAGGGCTTGGTCCTGATGAAGCCTCCTAAAGCCACCTTGGGAACCCCACTCAAAGAGGGGCCTGTCAGGCTGGCAGTGGTGTCTTCTGTCTTCAGGCATCGTCTGCCTGGCCACGGCGTGACCTGCCCACCTGGGCCTTCTGGGTGGGAGCTTTCTTAAGTGTGGCAGTCCCCTGGCCTGGGTGAGAGCCCCAGGAGGTATCTGCTGCCGCCCAGGCCAGCAGGTCCCTTGCTGCTCCCTGGGGTGGGGCTTGGCCTCCTGGAGCCAGTGGGACTGCCTGGTTTGCCCCTGGTCGGAAGAGGGGCTGTGGGGCTCAAGGGCAGCAGGTGCAGGACATAGTGCTCCTGGCTGGGCCTGGGGCAAGCAAAAGCTGGGCAAGGGAGGAACACCCAATGGGGAGGCCTGGCCTGTCCCTGTAACTGCACCCAAAATTCTTCACTTCTTGGTACATGTCCTGATTGCCAGGGAGGCTGCACATGTTGTACTCTGATGGCAATGCAGGGGGCCTCTGCAATCTCAGGCTGGCCTGCCCCAGGCCTTCCCTGCTCCTCCTAGCCTGGCATCACAAGCACTGGTGCCGTTGGGGCTCCAGGGCCTCCTGGCATGATCTGCTGGGCTCTCCCTCCACCTTGTGTCTTCCCGAGCCTCTGCCAAGCCCACCTCACTGGTACCCCTGACCTTTGTTGTTCTTTCAGGAGGAGACTCGAAAGAAGCCCAAGATGTCCATTGTGGCGTCCGCCCAGCCTGGCGGTGAGCCCCTGTGCACCGTGGACGTGTGAGGGAGGTGGCACGGGCCAGGGCGCGGGGGCCGCCAGCCGCACTTCTGAGGAGACCAGCAGTCATGCATCGTGCACCACAGTGTCAGGCCTCCAACCCACGCTCCTTCCCTGTGGCCAACCTGTGGGCCCGGCCTTAGGGTGGAGGCTTTAGTGTACAGGGACAGCCATGGCCACACAGCACACATGTGGAGCAGCGGCTCTCCCTGGAAAGCTCCAGGCCTGAATGGATGGACTCAGCGACTGCACCAGTGGCAGCTGGTGACTGTGGACAGTGGTGGACCCTGCTTCTGTGCACCTGCTGCAGGCTCTTTTTATGAAGGCTTTCATGAATTTTAGTATGTAATACGCACTGACGACACATGATGCTTGGATGACAGATGAGAGGGGATGGCTGAGTCCTGTGGCTGGCCCGTGATGCCAGGTGGCCCATGTGCCCAGGGCGCCTGCAGGGCTGCTACAGGGACCTGGTCAGGAGGTGCACATGGTGCCCTGCCCTCACCCACCCTCTGTGTTTCCCCTTCTTTGAAAAGGTAGAAGAGAAAGGAATATTTTAAACCTTTTTGGCTTAAACAGAATTTTAGCATCAGAACTAGCTTTCTGGGATTGGAGGCAAACCATCAAGGTGGTCCCTCTCCAGTCTGGACACGATGCCAGCAAGGATGACGTCCTGCCACCTCCTGGAGTTACCCTGGCCTCCTAGGGTCCCTTTTTCTGATGAAGTCTTAATTCCCTAAAAGCGCCTCTTTGGACACTGAGGCCCTCTCTGCCTTTCCTGGCCTCCGGCAACAGTTTTTTACAAAGATTTTTTGCAGTCGAGTCCATATGTCCACCCATTGATTTTTAAAGCTTTTGTGATATTTTAGCATTTTGAAAGACTTTCACAGTGAGAGTAGAAGGTAGATTTGGAATCATGCATTTTAGCAAGTGGACTTGTTGAAACAGGAAGCAAGGGCCTTCAGTGTAGCCCATTCTTGATCCAGAGCTGTTGCCTGTGACAGCGGTTTCTCTGGATGTCAAAGGCAGCTGCCTGGTGCCCAGCTTGCTTCTCGACTGGTGGCCCCTATGGGTGGGTGTGCGATGGAAATGTGTTCCTGCCGGAGTCTGAGGCACCAGGGTGTGCTCAAAGGCTGGCCCTGGTGGTGGACTGGCACCTGTGCAGAGTGCCGTGTGCTTGTGGTGCGCCATCTGAAGCAAGAGTCCAGCGTTCTGCCGTGTCTGTCCCCCACCATGCCCCCTACAGGCGGTACTGATGGCGCTTTTTTTTTTTTTTCTGTCAGGAAAACAATGTTGGCCTGTGGGCCGCCCACAACATATCCTTCCCTCACTACCTGTGTGACCAAGGTTGGCTTCTGTTGACCTTTAAAAAAGAAACCCTCAACTCAAATTGCTATAATTAGACACTTGCTTCTGTCTTGCCTCCTGTCTGCAGCTGTGAATAGTCATTTGACTGTGACTGTTGCCCTTAGCCAGCCAGATGCGCCTGTGAACCAAAGCTTCGTGCACATGTGTTCCCCTAAAGGTTGGGGAGCCTCGCTGTGTCTTGCTGTTCCCAGGCACCACCACAGCAGGTGCTGCCATACTCTTGTGGTCTCTGTGCGCCCCCCCCCCCCCCCCACCCGTCTGCCAAGCATGGGTATGAATCGTGCACACAGCCATGCTTCAAGGCCGGGGCAGGGGAGCCTGTGCTGATGCCATCCAGGGCACTGGGCTGTGCCTGGAAGGCGAGCCTTGATTGTCTGAACACATAAAGCAAACTGTCCAGAAGGGAATGGCTGATGTCTTTATTCTGAGGGTGAGAGGCTGGCACCCTGTGGACCCTTGACTGGCCAGATCCCCTCCTGGGGCCTCCCTGCAGGCTGGACCCTGCCTTTGTAACAGCTGAGCAGCACCCCAGCATGGCCCCTTCCTTGGTTGATGCCCTCTCTGCTGGGCTGAGGGCCAGGCTGGCCACAGAGGGGCCAACTCTGCCCAGTGTTCTCCACCCCATGCCCCCAGCTGGTGCAGTTCCCAGACCTCTCTCTGCCTCTCCTCAAGTTTAAGTATCAAATCGAACATTCTTTTTTAAAGTAAGCTCTGCCCTGACTCCCCCAGCCATGCAGAGAGGCTTGCAGAGCTGCCTAGGCCTAGTTTGGCCCTTTCCCTGGCACCCAGGCCCTGTGTTCAGACCCCTGGCTCTCATCACAGAAACACCCTTTGTTGAGCAGTTGTTTATTCTGGCCCTCACAGCCTTGGCTAGTCCACAAAGGCCCTGGGGATGGGCAACAGGCTACAGGAACCCACCTGTCTTCCTGGTCAGGGCCCCTGGCCCCTAGCAGCAGGCCAATCCTGGTGGGGCACAGGGTTCTGTGCCCTTTGGCTGCCTACCTCTGAATATCCTGGCCAGCAAGCCATGCCTTCCCCGCCCCTGGGGCCCTGGGAGCCCTTCAGCTCCTGTCCCCATAATGGGTCCTGGGCCTAGGATGAGGGGAAGGTCCCAGTTTCTTGTAGGGTGTTATCTGGGGGTCCTGGTGTGGGTTGAGCTGGAGGGCTGTGGGGCCCCAAGACCCCTGTGCCATTGGGGTGCTCCACCCTCTCAAACAGGATGAGCATCTCACAGTGCGGGGTCTGCGGGAACAGGTCCACTGCCACAGCCTTGACCGGCCGGAAGGGAATGCCCTTCACCCGGTTAGATGGGGCTCTGCAGAGGCTGTGGGGGGAAAAGGGGGGCGCTAAGGTCAGCCGATAGGCTAATCAGGGGCTCCTGTGGGAGCTGGGGGCTTGGTAGCAGGCCTAGCCCCCACCCAGGCCCCTGCAGACACTCACTCCACAAAGTTGCCCATGGCTGCCCGGGGGTTGCATGAGACGTACAGCAGCCGCCTGAGGTTCTTAGCTCTCCGGATGGCCAGGATCACCTTGGAATCTGAGGAGGCAAACACCAGCTGGGTCCCCACAGCCAGAGAGTGCATAACATGGTGAGCCACCCCATGTGTCCTCGTTCCCGTGCCACCTCCTTAAGCAAAAGCCACTCACGCAAGCCAGCACGGGGTGGGTCCAGGATGGCCACGAGGTGCTGGGAGGCCAGTCTGCTCACCAGGGTGGGCACCAGGTCCTCGGCCCTCCCGCAGTGGAACTCCACATTACTCAACTCTGAAGAGATGGCACCGTGGCCTGTCAGAGGGCCACATGCCCTCCCAGCAGGGCCAGCCCTGGGGAACCCCTAGCCAAAGAGCTTGCTCACTTGCTCTACCTGTCGGGCAGCCCCCAAGCCCTGGCTGTGGCTGAGGCTTGCAGCAGGGGTGGCGGCTGCCCCCATCCCCACCCCCACCCACGGCCTTGCCACTCACCATTGTCCTGGGCGTTCACCCGGGCGTCCTCCACAGCCTCTGGGCATAGCTCGACCCCAATGACCCTCTTTACCTTCTGAAACAGGAAAGCGTGGTGTCGCCCCACCCAGGGAGGGGAGTACATGGGGCCCTGTGGGCAGCAAAGAGGAGCTGGGCCTGGGGCATGATGGAGTCAGCTGTGGTGACTTTGAGCTGGGGTCAATGGGGGTCTTGGGGTGGGGAGAGGGTGCCCTCAGCAGGGCAGGAGGGCTCACCCGGGCCAGGGCCAGGCCAATGGTGCCGGTGCCACAGCACACGTCCAGCACCATGCTCCCCGCATCCAATTGGGCCCAGTCCTGGATGACTGTGTAGAGCACCTCGGCTGCGGGTGTGTTCACCTGGGGGCAGGCGGTGCCCAGGATGTCAGTGGCTCCTCTCCTGTGGTGCCACTGGTGCCCCGACGCCCACATTCCTGGTCCCTCCATCCTGCCGGGACCTCCGGCGCCCACTCCCCACCTTGGTGCCCAACGTCTTCCCTGACCCCACCTTGGACCAGCCTTGCTGATGCCCTCATCCAGCCCCTGGCTTTAAAAGCCAAGCCCGTGCTAAGCACAGCCTCCTCCTTGCCCCACTTGGTTGAGGGCTCATGAGGCCCCGCAGGCCAATAGGCTGTACCTTCCCTGCCCCAGCAAGGGGGCTTTGCCTCCCACAACTCACACCGGGGCCCCTGGAATCACCCAACTGCAGCTCCCACCCCCACACCTAGCCCTCCAGGAGGTCCTGCCAGGCCTGTCTCCAAAAACGGCCGCTCCAGGTCCCCACAGCCTTCCTGCAGCAGTGAGCAAACAGTGAAACAGTATTTCCCAGCCCAGAGGCCACCATGGCCTCCCTCCTGCCGAGCCCAGAGCAGTGCCCTGTGGTAATGCACTGAGGGCCACTCCTCATCCTCCCTGTGACAAGGGCCACTGCCGTGTGTACCTCTAGGTTATCCCGAGTCAAATCAGTGATGACCAACCTCTTTCTTACTTCACCCTCCCCTGTGGCTCACCTGCCTGGATACTCCCCCAAATCTCACCGCCTGAGCCCACTGTTCCCATCACGTCCTGATGGTGCGTCAGGCCTCCCTCAACATGTCCCCATGCCCACCAGGGACTCATGGCTACCTGGAAGAAGGCGTGTGGAGAGATCCGGAAGGTCAGCCCTAGCAGGTCCTCGTGGATGCACCGGTCCCCAGCCACATGCTCCAGGGGCAGGCCCTCCTGGCTAGGAGTCTTTCTGTGGGCGAAGGTGCAGGTCCTTCAGTGTCACAGTCCCTGCAGGGACCTGCCCCGCCCCACTCGGGCTCCTTACCGCTGTCCCTCCTCCACGAAGTAGAGGCAGGTCACTCCACTGGCCCTGCCTGGCCCTGCTGTGAAGTGCTGCGCTAGGGAGGTCTTCAGCTCTGCCAGCTCCTCAGGGCTCAGCTTCTGGAGTAAGTGGTGAAAAGTTCCCATCAGGCTGTGCTGAGGCCCACCTAGGCTAGGCACCCTCCCCCAGCAGGGCCCCCGTTGAGACCTGGGGGTGGAAGTAGGCAATGGCCATGGCCTGGTGGCGGCGGCTGGTGCGCACAGTCAGCTGCTTCCAGTGGCCTGTGTACGTCTCTGGGTCGTATGCCGAGTATGGAGTGGACCTGTGGGAATCACGAGCTGGCCCAAGTGCCCACAACTGGGCAAGCAGTCCCCCTGCTCTCTCCTCTGGCCACACCTTCCTTCATCTGGCTGAAATGGCAGGCACTCCAGAATTCCCGGGGCAGGATCACCACCCTCTGCTCCCACACCGCATAGGACTTCCCGGGAGCCCCGTCACAGGTCCTCACCGGATGAACTCCTGGAAGGCCTTCACCACCTGCTTGGTGGCTTCGGGGATGTGCACGGTGTCAAACGGGGCTGCCACAGCACACGTCCCGCCCTTGTACTTGCCGAGCCGACAGCCCACGGTGTTATCCTCCCCATCCACCCCGACGCCAACCAGAAACTCACACTTATTACGATACTCAGTCTGCAGGGAGAGAGAGCTGCACCTTACCCTGGCTGCCCAGCGCTTGGGCCTGGAAACCCTGATTTCCCCACAGGGGCTGGCAGTCAAACAAGAGGAACAGCTGACAACTATGTGATGTTACCAGAAGAAAACACAAAGCAGGGAGATCAACAGGAAGGGTGAGCAAAAGCAAAGTTTTTCAAAACCCAGGATAGGGGTTTGTGGCCACCGAAGTCTAGTCTGACCTGCTGGGGTGATGGCCTGACCCCCTCCAGCGGGCAGCAGGCCTTGTTGTGCTTGTGCCTCTGCTCGAGCAGCCAGGGCAGCAAGGCACGGTTGGTGCTCCCGATTTCCCTGTAAGAGGAGCAGATCGGTGGTTGGACTCCACCTACTGCCCCCGACCCATGCCAGGCCACTCCCCAAATGTCCAGGCTCCTGACCCCTCCTTTGGGATGTCATTGTGCCCACTGTGACGTGGGTGTCTTGCTGGCTAGCTCCCAAAGGGGCCGCCAGATCCTGTGCTGGGCCTCCCAACTGGTGCATGGACAGGCTGAGGAAGCACAGGCCGGGCAGAGCCCTGGCCAAGAGGGGCGTCTTGCGCCCACACTCACTTGGCAAGTTTCTGCAGCACCTGCTCGCACTCCAGCTGCTTCCGCTCAAGCTGCTCAGCATAGGGCACTGTCCATAGAGGGGTCACCACGTCGGCCACTCGTGTTACTGGTGGCTCACTCTCACCCTCCTGTCGCCTCCTCCTGGCCATGGGGTCGGCCTTGGGCCGGGCCAGGCGCACACTGAGTGGGCGGCCTTTCCAGAGGGCACCATGCAAAACGCGCAGGGCCTTGTCCCTCTCTGCAGCGCTGCGGAATGTCACAAAGGCGCAGGGTGGTTGCCCAAAGAGTTTGGTTTTGTGGGGCTGCAGACCAAAGCGGCCCAGGAAGCGCCGGACGTCGCTGAAGCTGGCGTGGCGAGGCACGTTCTGCAGCTCCAGTTTAAAGATCTCAGAGGTAAACAAGTCATCCCTGATGTAGCTGTAGAGCCCGGGCTGAGGCCCCGGCCCTGTAGCCGCCCCAGCGCCCTCTTTCTCCACCTCCTCCAGGGCTGCCGGGGCTGCAGGGGGCACCGAGACGGTAGGGCAGCTCAGGGCACTGCTGCTCTCCTGGCCACAGCTCTCCATGGGCTTCGGGCCCTGTGTGGGGACAGATGGGGTGCTAGGGTGAGGACTAGGCCCTGGGGGCCTGGCCCCCCAAGCTTCCTTATGGGACACCCAGACCTCCGTCGGTGCACTCTGCACTCAGCCCTGCCCCTCCCCCAGTCTACCCTCCCGACCCCATTCCCGTCTCCTTTCCTCCCCTATCGCACCTGCCTCGTCCCCACCTATTCTCTGGCAGGTTTCCTGACCCACCCCGCCTCCTCCCACCCCATCCCCGTCTCTACCCAGCGTCTCCCCGCACTCTACCTCGTTGTCGAGGTTCTCACTCATCGCCCAGGCGGTTCTCCGCCTAGACCAGGGACGCCATGGGGGCCGCCTGGCCACCTCGTCCTGGGCCTGTCACAAGGGAAGTGGCCTGTCACAAGGGAAGTGCTCAGAGGGGAGGTGCTCACAGAGCCGGTGCAACGCCGCGAGGTCGCCGCCACCCCCGGCTTCGCCCCAGGCGGGGCGGGACTCGAACCTGCGATGCTCAGGTCCGGGTCTCAGGCTTGGGGCTGTACCGCCCGCCCGCCAGGGGCCCGCGCCGGCCGCTCGCTTCGCCAGCCACTCTTAGTCCGCCAGCGCGTGCGGCGGAGGCCGAGCGTCTCTATGATCCTGGCTTCTGGCAACGTCATCGTCACGCGCCGGATCCAACCCCCAACCACTTTAGCCAGCTCTAGAGGCGCGCGTGGCCGGGACGGAAGTGCGCGCGGGTGTCGCCGGGAGTGCGCGCTCCTCTGGCTGACGGGCGGGCCGGGCATGCGCCGCGGGCGTTTTGGCGGGAAGCGCGGGGCGGGCCGGACAATGAGAGTGTCCGCCTCCTGAGCCAATAAAGCTGTACTGGTTTTGAATCGCGGCGCGTTTCCCGCCGCTGGGGTCAGGGGTCGAGGTTCGGGTCGTGGGGCGGAGGGAAGAGCGGGCGGGCGGGAGGCGCCGGCGCCAGACGCGGAGGGAAGGAGCTACGAGTAGCCGCCGAGAGGCCGCGGAGCCAGCGACGACCGACCCAGCCGAGCCGCCGCCGCCGCCGCGCCCCCATGGCGGCCGCCAAGGTGCCGCCGGGCCCAAGCGGGGACAGGGTGGGCGGGCGGGGCCGGGGCCGTTATCAGCGGCCACGTGGGCGGCCCGCGCCGCCGCCACCAACCTCCGCCGGCCTGCAGGCTCGGCCGTCTGCTGGGCCTCGGTGGCGCGGAGTCGGGGCGCGTGGGGTTTGGGGGCTCGAGGCCTGCGGAGTTGGGGCGTTTGGGGGTGCAGGCTCTGCAGAGGCCTGGGGGCTGCAGGGCCCCCGCGTGACCTTGGGGTGGGTTGGGGAGCGGCCGTCGCCACGCGGGACGGCCCCAGCCTCCAGGAACTGGTGCGGGCGGCGGGTTTCCTCCGGCTCGGCCCACTTGGGGCTCCCCACTAGTACGGTGCATTTATTCTTTCCGTCGCCCACGCAGCACTTCATTCATTCGGTTCTTACGTCTGGAACCGCCACTGGCCTCTGTGGCAGAAGCTCGCGTTCCAGCGTGGGGCACAGGTCCTAGATGCGCCGACCCAGGCGGCGGCTTTGTTGGCTGCGGTGTCTGGTTGAGTGCGGGCCGCTGCAGAGCCGCAGTGCTGTGGGGAACAGTGAAGAGCAGCGAAAAGCTTATGTTTTCTTTTCCAGTTTGAGTCTAGTGGTGAAGTCTTGGGTCTCTTACGGACTTCTGGGTGACCAAGGCATGTGTTCTGGAAGACTCGAACCTAAAATATGATTATTGGTGCTCTCTTATCCTCTAAATTGGGCCAGGATTTCATGACTTTCACCGGTACAATTTATCTAGTTATTAACTTAGTTTTCTGAACTGTGAAAAAATTGCTGGCAGAGCTGTGAATCCAGTGTAAATACTAGCAGTCCTGTAGCGACTTTTTTCGTTTTACTAAGCAAGAGCACAACTATTTCCTAATTAGTCAAAACTGAAAGAGTTACATTTTGCTTTAAAGTAATATTTCAAAATCTATTTCGACCCATCATTGTGTCCTTTGATCTTCACACAGCAGGTATCATCTGCATTTTATGGATGAGGAAGAAACTGATGCTCAAAGAGATGAGGCAGTTTCTGCCAGGCCACTCTCTGCAAGTGTTGGCGGCTTGTAGGGTCCCCCATCAGTCTGTGCACAGATCTGATTGATGTCTGTGAATCTGGGGGAGGGGCCCCAAGTTCTGGTGTCTCACTCTGTGCTCACATGGAGCTGGGCATAAACGCAGAGCTTTCCTAGTGTGGAAGAGTGGGCCTAATTTCTTGCTTTGGGGTTGGGCCCATCCTTGTATCTGAAGTCCCTTCATTGTCGGAGGGCTGACCACTGCAGGCACTGGTTGGGCTCTGGTTGTGAGCCAGATCCATAGGCCAGCAGTGTAACCTCTTTGTATCTCCACAGGACACTCATGAGGACCATGATACTTCCACTGAGAATACAGACGAGTCCAACCATGACCCTCAGTTTGAGCCAATAGTTTCTCTTCCTGAGCAAGAAATTAAAACACTGGAAGAAGATGAAGAGGAACTTTTTAAAATGTAAGTAGGCTGATGTCCCAGAAATAGGACTCTTTAAGGTTGAGGTTACAACTTTTATGGGTGTCCAGGTTTTGGCCTGACTTTTAATCAGACTGAGGCTGCTTAAAGAAAGGGCCTAAAGTTGGTGACTAATCCCATGTGGAAATTTAACCCGTTCCTTTCATGAATCTTCACCAGATGCCCTTGCTGCCCTGCAGCCAGTTGCATGAAGGGCATCCCATCTTGCTGCTCTGTCCACTGGCATGGCGGCCCCACTGCCCTTTTTTGCCACTGGCTTCTGAGGATCCAGGGAGTCCCTTGGTTGAGCAGGGGGTTTTAAGTTTTTGCAGCATAGACTTCTTTGGCATCGTGAAGCTTATAAATCCCCCACCCGGTGTCTGTTGTTGTTGTTGTTTTGAGATGGAGTCTCGCTCTGTCGCCCAGGCTGGAGTGCAGTGGTGCGATCTTGGCTCATTGCAAGCTCCGCCTCCCAGGTTCACGCCATTCTCCTGCCTCAGCTGGAACTACAGGCACCCGCCACCACGCCCAGCTAATTTTTTGTATTTTTAGTAGAGACGGAGTTTCACCGTATTAGCCAGGATGGTCTCGATCTCCTGACCTCATGATCTGCCCACCCCAGCCTCCCAAAGTGCTGGGATTACAGGCGTCAGCTACCGCGCCCGGCCCACCCTTAATATACAACATGATGCTTGCGATAACACATGAAAATAGGTGATGGTTTAGTTATTAAAACCACTTAAAAAAATTCTGTACATGTGCTTCTTGACGCTTTCAGTTAAGAGCTGGCTACAGTGGTGGGTACCAGCCTTGTGTCTTGTGACAGTGTCACAGCACCACAGAGACTGTGGCCTGTCGCCTACACTCAGGATTGCAACAAACATCATGTTTAGTTACACACCTCAGTGAAAATGAGGTTGTAGTTTTTCCCTGTTCAAGTTCATGGAATCCCCCCATCCTTGAAGTTGCTTTAAGAGTCCAGGTTAAGGTTTTGTTGCTCTGGGGTGGGAGAGGGAAGCAGAGAGAGTCATTCCTACTGTGAGTTTCCTATCCAAGGAAGGGGGCCAGGAGGGATACCTGGGAAAGGAGAGCTGTGTGTCACCCTTTGGTCACAGAGGGTGATGGACATCTCCCTGAAACCACTGGGTGGCCATGGCTCCACTCTGCTGATGCATTGCCGTAGCCCCTGTTTGGGAGTAGCTCTTTGCTGTGGTGAAGTGCTTGCCTCTGTTCCCTCACTGCCCATGTCGGGTGGGAGGTGCTCCTGGTGGCCTGGGCCCAGGCCCTTCCTGAGGGAGGTGAGGCCAGCAGGGTGGGCCCGGGTCTTTGCAGTAAAGCTCCAGGGGCATCCTGTTGGGGAACCCTGTGAGACAGTCTCTTGCCAGAATCATGTTGGGGCAGAGAGCAGAGTCGTCTGAGAGAGGCAGGCAGAGCTGTGCACAGAGGGAGGGCGCCAGCCTGAGCCCTGAGTGCACTGCTGGATTCTGGGTGCCCTGGTCCCCAGCGGGAGGGGCTGCTCCTGGGCAGGAGGGCCAGGTGTTGGCCAGGGCCTGTTGCCTGATTAGAGGCCTGGGCCTCTTCTCTGGGTCATCTGACCTCAGATGACCCGCCCGCCTCAGCCTCCCAAAATGCTGGGATTACAGGTGTGAGCCACCGCGTCCGGTCATCTAATTCTCTTGGTTGTGGAAGTGGAATTCAAGATGACCTGGAGTTTTTTGGGCTGCTGTGCTTCCTGGTGGTGTCGTGACAGAGGTCCTTGGCCTGCACCTGATCCATGTTGTCCCTGCAGATCTCTGGGGCTGGGGTGCTCTTGCACAGTGACCATGGGACGGAGTCTTGCTCTGTTGCCCAGGCTGGAGTGCAGTGGCGCGATCTTGGCTCACTGCAACCTCTGCCTCCCAGGTTCAAGCAATTTTCCTGCCTCAGCTTCTTGAATAGCTGGGGCTATAGGCGCATGCCTCCATGCCTGGCTGATTTTTTGTATTTTTAGTAGAGATGGGGTTTCACCGAGTTAGTCAGGATGGTCTGGATCTCCTGACCTCATGATCCACCTGCCTTGGCCTCCCAAAGTGCTGGAATTACAGGCGTGAGCCCCCGCGCCTGCTCTCTCTTTTTTTTTTGAGATGGAATTTCGCTCTTGCTGCCCAGGCTGGTGCGCAATGGTGTGATCTCAGCTCGCCGCAACCTCTGCCTCCCGGCTTCAAGGGATTCTCCTGCCTCAGCCTCCCGAGTAGCTGGGATTACAGGCATGTGCCACCACACCCGGCTAATTTTGTATTTTTAGTAGAGAGGGGGTTTCTCCACGTTGGTCAGGCTGGTCTCGAACTCCCGACGTCAGGTGATCCACCCACCTCAGCCTCCCAAAGTGTGGGATTACAGGCGTGGGCCACTGTGCCCTGTTTTGTTTTGTTTTTTTTTAAAATAGGGTCTCACTCTCACCCAGGCTGGAGTGCAGCAGTGGTATCATGGCTCACTGCAGCCTTGAACTCCTGCGCTCAAGGGATCCTCCTCCCTCTGCCTCTTGAGTAGCTGAGACTACGGGTGTTAGCCATCATGTCCAGCTAATTTTTATCTTTTTGTAGAGATAGTGTCTTGCTATGTTGCCCAGGCTGGTCCCCACTGAGGGAAATATTGTGACTGTAGGAGCAGTGGGGCAATCTCCACTCACTGTATCCTCTGCCTCCTGGGCTCAAGTGATTGTCGTGCCTCAGCCTCCTGAGTAGCTGGGATTACAGGCGTGCATCACCACACTCAGATGATTTTTGTATTTGTAGTAGAGATGGGGTTTCACCATGTTGGCCAGGCTGGTTTTGAACTCCTAACCTCAGATGACCTGCCCGCCTCGGCCTCCCCGAATGCTGGGATTACAAATGAGCCACCGCGCCCGGTCGTCTAATTCTCTTGGTTGTGGAACCGGAATTCAAGATGACCTGGAGTTTGTTGGGCTGCTGCGCTTTCTGGTGGTGTTGTGACGGGCAGTTCTTGGAGCCTGAAGAAGGGCTGGGGCGTTCGTGGAGGCATGGGGTCCTGCAGTGCAGAGTTGTCCTGTGTCCTCCTGCGCAGGCCCTGCATGTGGGCTGCAGGTCTGCACTCTTAACCTCACGGCTTTTCTTGCAGGCGGGCAAAACTGTTCCGATTTGCCTCTGAGAACGATCTCCCAGAATGGAAGGAGCGAGGCACTGGTGACGTCAAGCTCCTGAAGCACAAGGAGAAAGGGGCCATCCGCCTCCTCATGCGGAGGGACAAGACCCTGAAGATCTGTGCCAACCACTACAGTAGGTGGCATGAACGACCACCTCGACAGTCCCCAGCAGCTTGGCCTGGGACCTTTGGGAAGATTCAGGGCTGATTGGGAACTGGGGAGCGTGTTATTTCATGGAGTGCAAGTTTGTGGTGTGTTTGTTGAATTTAAAACCAGAAATACGTTTTTCAGACGTGCCTCTGAACTCAGAGCAGGCCCGCAGCGAAGCTTAGAGCACACGGGGGTGTGGAGTCAGCCAGACGGGCCCTGATGGGAGGACGCAGCGCCCAGGCTGGGCTCGGGACGAGGAGTGAGTGCTGCAGGGCGAGGGGGTGCTGTGTGTGTGTGTGTGTGTGTGTGTGTGTGTGTGTGTGTGGTGTCTGGGGGGTGGGGGTTGGTGTCTGGGGGGGGTTAATGGGGGGTATGTGTAGTATCTAGGGGGCTGTGGTGTCTACTGGTGGTGGTGTATAGGGGTGTGTGGTTCGGTGTGTGTGGTGTCTGGGGCAGGGGGCTGTGTGGTGTCTGAAGGTGTGTGGTGTCTGGGGCGGGGGTTGTGTGGTTGGGTGTGGTGTTTGGGGGTGTGTAGTTGGTCTGGTGTCTGGGGGGTGTGGTGGGGTATGTGGTTGGGTGTGGTGTCTGGCGGGGGTGGTTGGGGGTGTGTGGTTGGGGGTCTGGTGTCTGGGTGTTTGGTGTTTGGGGTGTGTATGTGGTGTCTGGGGGTGTGTGTAGTGTCTGAAGGTGTGTGGTCTGGGGGGCTGTGTGGTGTCTGAAGGTGTGTCGGGGCATGTGTGGTGTCTGAAGGTGTGTGGTGTCTGGGGAGGTGTACAGTGTGTGGTGTCTGGGGGGCGGGTGTGGTATCCGGGGTGTGTGTAGGGGTCATCTGGTGTTTGGTGTCTAGGGGGGTTTGTGGTGTCTAAGGGGTGTGGTTGGGTGTGTGTGGTGTCTGGGGGTGTTGGGGTGTGTGGTGTCTGGGGGTGTTGGGGTGTGTGGTGTCTGGGGGTGTTGGGGTGTGTGTTGTCTGGGGGTGTTGGGGTGTGTGGTGTTGGGGGGGGTGTGTGGTGTCTGGGGGGGTTTGGTGTCTGAGGGGGTGCGGTATCGCGGTGGGGGTGTGTGTGAGAGAGATTGGGGGTGTTCGGGCAGTGTAAGAGCAGATGTGTGAGGTGCCCAGGCACCAGCCTCCCCAGTTATGGTGTGTTCTACCCTCACCAGGATCTTCCTGGGGAGGAAACGGGAGGGGAACGGGGCTGAGAAGGTGGCCAGGTCCTGGGCGCCTCTGAAGCTACATAAGTAGAGGCCCTTGGGCAGGTTCAGCCAAGAGCTCCAGCCACCCTGTGAGGGGTCCAGCCTGGCCTGCAAAGAAGTGGCAGTAGGTTGTCCTGAGTATGGCTGGCTGCCAGCTGTCTTTAGATTGAACCTGCACTGCCCAGCTTGTTGGCATGTTTGGAAGTACACTTGTCCTGGGGTGTCCCTTGGTAAGCTTCCTAGTGTCGTTTGCTGAGTGTCATGCGTGTCCGGCGGGGCAGGGTCCCTCATCCCAGGTGCAGGATGACTGCTGGCAGGAGCCTGAGTGGCTCAGCCCTTGAGGGCGATGCAGAGGGGTGGGTGGTGGTCTGCCTATGCCATGGGCACCTCACTGCACGGCCTGGCCTGCCAGACTTCCTTGGGAACTGGCTCCTGGGTTCCCCTCCCTCCCTGCTCAGCATGTCTAGTCCTGGGGAAGCTTGCACTCTGGCTGGTCCTCCTCCTCGAGCCGTTTGAATCATTTCCTTGGGGGTCTTCCCTGATGCCCTGTGCTGCTCCCAGAGCCTGGGTCAGGTTGTGGGTTGTTGTGTGTGCATCATAAGTTGGTTCTGGGCTCCTGGGCATCTGGGCAGAGCCATCTGTGTAGCCAGCAGTGTCTTGTGCCCATCATGGGCCCTTGGTAGACAGGGAAAGTGGCAGTGGGTAGAGGCTGGCTTCTGGGTAAGGTGTCGAAGAGGCTGTGGGCTGGGTCGGGGCGGGGTGTGAAGGGGGCATGCAGGGGGCTTGGCATCCGCTGTGGCAGGCTGCAGTAGACGAGACCCCCCCCCAGCTCCCAGTTCAGATAGTGACGTGTAGGGGTATCCTGGGGGTGCATGTGGCCTGGACTGGGCATGGGCACCTGGGATGGTCTGGGTTCTCAGGGAGCTGTTCTGAAGAGTGGTCACCTGCAGGGCCATCTCCCCTTGGGGCTGCCTGTGCCTGGGGAGTTGGGGTGGAGGCGTCCATTGCAGGCCGTGGCTCTGTCTCCTGTGCCCTCCAGGCTTCAGTCATGGGGATGCAGGTGGGCACTCCTGCATCAATCATGGGGATGCATGGCCACGGCCCCCAGTGGGCTCCCTTCTGGCAACTGCCCCACTTTCTAGCCTTCTGCTGCCCCCCACTTTCAGATAGGCTGGCTCTATGTGTTGGGTTCCCTTAGGAAAGACTGGGCCCCCTGGGCCTTGTGCCCTGATATCTGACCCTGGGCTTCTGACTTCACGGCCAGGGTCAGAATCAAGGGGATCAGGGTTGGGCTTGAGTGCAGCCCTGGGATACAGCTGGGGCCTGCTTTGCCAGCTCTGCTTCTCTGCATTTCTGGAGGTGGGGGTCTGTGTGCCAAGTGATCTTGAACACAGCTCAGGAGCTCCTCGTGGAGATGGCCTTACGGTCAGGGAACAGGTGCCCATTCCTATTTAGGATGGTCCTGGTTTTAAGTGAATATGGAGGATTTTCAAAGAGGTTTGAATAAAACTCAGGCGCCGTGGTACTTTGTCTAAGCCTGGTTCTCCAACCCCAGACTGTCCCCGTGTTGTCTGAAGCAGACCCCTCAGGTTGGTGAGCAGGGTGCTCTGTGGCCGAGGGCTGGGTGGGCTGGCCTTTGCAGTCATCTCACCATCTTCACGAGCTTCTCTCTCTTCAGTCACGCCGATGATGGAGCTGAAGCCCAACGCAGGTAGCGACCGTGCCTGGGTCTGGAACACCCACGCTGACTTCGCCGACGAGTGCCCCAAGCCAGAGCTGCTGGCCATCCGCTTCCTGAATGCTGAGAGTGAGCCAAGGGCCCTGGGGACCTGCCTGACTTGGGGCTCACCTGCGTGGCAGCGTGGCGGGTTATGTGCAACAAATGCTGTTGCCTTTTGGGGAGAGGGGGCAGTAACTGGGAAGTGTGTCGTGTGGGCTGCCCTGCCCTGCTGTTTGGGGGCCATGCCCAGACTGAAGCCATGAGCAGCGCCTTCCCCCTTAAACTCAAAGCTGTGCCAAGTAGCTGGTGAACAGCAGTGCCCGCTCAGCCGCCTTGTGGCTGGCACTTTGGTTTGCTCTCCAAGCTCCGGTTCCCATTAGTTGTTGCGGAGCCTGAGGCCCAACCCAGGGCTTCCTCCCAGTGCTGATCCTCGTGCCAGGCTTCTGGTTCACTGGGGCCAGGGGCCCCTCATGGTTGCCTGGGTGCCAGCAGGGGCTGGGCAGAGAGATCCACAGGCCCAGGCTGATCTCTTCCCTGCTCAGAGGTCTTTCCAGTCCAGATCGTCCAAGCTGCGTCCAGTGGCTCCTGGAGGAGTCAGTGGGTACTGTGGCCTGGCGCCTGGTAGCTGGCCGTTTGGTGCCAAGTGACCTTGTCCTTGCTGTGGGCGTGGCTGCCCCAGCAGCCTTTCCAACACGGTTGGGAGCCGAGCCTGTGGCAAAGAGGCCCATGCCCCTTGGTTGCCTGAGGGTCCGTGCTCTACCGCTCTGCCCAAATGGGTGCAGTCAGATGAAGGAGACAGAAGGCCAGGGCCGATGTCAGGTGGACCAGTCCTTTCTTAGGTCAGCAATTACCATGAAATGGGTCTTCTGTGAATCCTGACTCTTCAGACCCGGCAGGGCATGTCTCTTCCACTGCTCACAGCTCTTAGGAAGTCTTCGCTCTCCCTTCCACAGATGCACAGAAATTCAAAACAAAGTTTGAAGAATGCAGGAAAGAGATCGAAGAGAGAGAAAAGAAAGGTGACGTGGTGCCATGGGTTGGGGGGCTTCTTTGCAGACTCACTCTGCATCTGACTATACTTCCAGGCGGGTGCTTTTTCTGTCTGCCAGATAAACATTCCAGGGTGCTGTGGCCGCCTCACGTATCCAGAGTGATGCAGCTCCCTGGGGACACAGGTGCTTCCTGGGGAGCCCTGAGCACTTGTCAGTGTTGCTGGCCTCAGTCCAATTGGGCAGGCATTGGAGTCCGGGCACTGCCTGGAGCTCACCAGAAGGTGCTTTATGATGGTCCTCGGTTTGTCTCTCAGAGGGCTTGGTCACCTCTGCCATGAGGCTGGACTGCAGCTGTGGTGGCAAGTGACCAGATGTCACTGAGCAGCCTGACCATGGTCTAGGCAGTGCTTGAGTGCATCCACCTGGCTTCCTTTCGTCACTGAATTTCAAGAAGACAGACTCCAGGAGGCGGCTTGGCCAGGCAGGAGTCTGTCCCGAGGGCGGGCAAGCCGCTGTGGGTGGGTGACGGCACTTGGGACCAGCCTGGCGAGGGCCATGTGCTTGAATGCACCGTGCTTCTGTTTTCTCACTGTGCTGCTTGTGTTTTTAGCAGGATCAGGCAAAAATGATCATGCCGAAAAAGTGGCGGAAAAGCTAGAAGCTCTCTCGGTGAAGGAGGAGACCAAGGAGGATGCTGAGGAGAAGCAATAAATCGTCTTATTTTATTTTCTTTTCCTCTCTTTCCTTTCCTTTTTTTAAAAAATTTTACCCTGCCCCTCTTTTTCGGTTTGTTTTTATTCTTTCATTTTTACAAGGGACGTTATATAAAGAACTGAACTCAACATTCAGGTTGTTTTTTTTTTTTGTTTCTAAGTTTTTGCCCTATTGAAGATGACTTCAGAAAATCCATTCCCCAGTCATGAAAATGTACTGTGCTAACTTTCTTTTCCATAGTGGAAACACTTATTTATAGTCATCAAAAATAGTGAATAAAAAACACATTTGGAACCTGGGCCAGATGGCAGGACTGTGTGTGTACAGGCCCCTGCGCTGTGAGCGCCGCTCGCCTAAGCCTCCCGGGTGTATGTCCAGGCCTGTCCGCAGCACAGGTGGGTGCTGCACCTCACGGTAGCCTGGGTTCCTGGGAGAGACGCCCTGGTGTCTGAGGTCGTGCATGTATCTTGCTGTGGGCCTTGAAGCTGAGGTGTCTGAGCTGGCGCTGGTGAGGGAGCCTGGCCAGGGGTGTCTGGTGCCGGGTGTGGTACTGATGCACGACTGTGGGCTGGGCAGCGTGGGCTCTGCCGAGGCAGGCTCCACTGTGCCTTATGGCCTGAACAGCTACTGCTTTTTTTCTATGGTGAGGAGGGGTGGGCTTTCTGTGTTTTGAGGAGAGAAAGGAAGACCACTGGAGTACCTTGGCTTTGGAGCAGGGAGGCAGTAGCCAACTGAGCAGAGTCTCTAGCATCGGCCAAGGCTGACTTTGGCCCCTGTGGCAGAGTGGCCCCTGTGGAGGGAAAGGCCAGTCTGGTGTGCTGGGGGTGGGGGCTCGGCCCTGTAGCTCTTCTTTTGGAAAGCCTATTGTACCCTGGCCTTGGAGAAAACTGGGGTCTTGGCCTCCTGGACTTGAAGTCCACACTTGGCAGTGTTGGAGTTATGGGCATCTGCAGTAACTTTAAATAAGGAGATATTTTCCAGTACGCCATTGGGGGTTGTCATGTGTAATGGATTGTCTCTGCAAATACCATCTTAAGTGTGTGGTCCCAACTGCCATAACGTGCCCTGTCACCGTTTGTCATGAACACCTACCAGACGTGCTTACTGTGAGGCTGGCTGCCTGCTGCCATCACTTGCTCTTTCGTGCCCTCCACCTGGGCCTGGGCCCTGTTCTCTCTGACCTCCGTGTGCTGTGTCCTGTCTGGTGACTGCCTGCTGGTTTAAACACCAGTCCTTTGTCTCTCTGGGGCAGGGGTCCCCAATCCCTGGCCTGCCGACCGGTACAAGTCTGGCCTGTTAAGAACTGGGCAACACAGCAGGAGGTGAGTGGTGGGCGAGCGAGCTTTACCACCTGAGCGCCTCCCCTCAGATAAGCAGGGCATTAGATTCCTATAGGAGTGCGAACGCTAACGTGAACTACGCATGTGAGGAATCCGTGTTGTGCACTCCTTATGAGAACCTAGTGCCTGATGATCTGGGGTGGACAGTTTCATCCTGAAACCACTCCCCCACCCCTGGTCCATGGAAAAATTGTTTTCCACCAAACTGATCCTTGGTGCCAAAAGGGTTGGGGACTGCTGCTCTGGGGGATGTACTTCCAAAGTCAACTACTCTCAGGTTTGTTTATTTTTACATAAATGGGAACCACTTTATGGTCTCTAGCATCAGCCAAGGCTGACTTTGGTGGGTCCCTGTGGCAGAGTGGCCCCTGCAGAGGAAAAGGCCAGCTCAGGAGAGAAGGCTGTGCCGACTCCTCATGGTTTCCAGTGCCCTACATGTTCAGAGAAACGTCTTTGGTAATGAACTATGGAAATGGTCCCTGAAGGTATGGTCTTTGCTCTAGAAAAAGCCCAACTGATGACTCCTCACTGGCATCTTGACTGTGTTCTGTGAGCTGTGGCCCTCATGCTCATGGACTGCTTGCCTCCAGCAGGTTGGCAGGGGGACAGTGGTGCACTTTGCACCCAAGAAGAGGTGAAGCCTGTGCCCTATGCCCTGTGCCGAGTGAGGTCCTCGTGTTGGGAGGGTGACGCCGTCCACTGCAGATGGTGCCTTGCTGTGCTGCACTCTTGGTGACACCCGGGGCCCCAGGTCGGGTACAGGTGTCAGTTGGAGGCTTTGATGTCTGTGAAAGGGAGGGCCCCTTGCACTGGCTGGAGCTTCCAGGAGAGAAGCCCTTGGCTAGGACAGGCACCCCCCAGCACAGAAAGGATGTTTAGCATTCTGTATTTGATTTGGGGTTCCAATAAAATTCCAGGCTGACTTCCTTCATCTGGGGATGGGAGAAATGTCTCCAAGGGAGAGTCCCCAGCAGTGAGAAGGCCCCTCGGAATGGCTGGGAGACAGTGCCATCCTGTGGTGGGGCTGTGTTGCAGGGTGCATTTGAGGATGCAGCTTGTTGACACTGCAGGATGCGATGGTGCTGCGGGAAGGGAGCTGTGCTGGGAGACAGAATGCGTCCGCGTGCTGGCCCCACGGGACCACAGGGTAGGCTATACAAGGACGCCCATGTGGGCACTCGGGCCAGCCGTCCAGCCCAGTGTGTTTCCATTGGCTTCCCTTTGGCAGACAATGGTGAGCAGAATGGGGTCCTGCCGGTGCTGGGGACTGTGTGAGAATGCAGTGTGCTTCAGCCTTCCATCCCATGTCTGTCTGCCGGGCTGCAGGCTGGGGAGCCTCCTGCTTTCTGCTTCATTTTCCTTTTCCCTGGGATCTTAGCTCTTCTTGAGGAGGAAACTAGGCCATGGGCTTGGCAGCCATGTTGGGTGGGGAGGCCGGTGCCAACCTCGCTTGGTTCTCTGTCTCCAGTAGTGGGTCTGCACTACTTGGGACCCCTCTGCCCAGGCCTCTGTGTTAAGGAAAAGGGATCCCAAGGCCAGATGCAATGGTTGACACCTGTCACCCCAGCACTTTGGGAGGCAAACGTGGGAGGATCACTTCAGGCCAGGAGTTCAAGGCCAGCTTGGGCAACATAGTGAGAGACCCTATCTCTACAAAAAAATATAAAAAAAATAGCCTGGCATGGTGGTGCACGTCTGTGGTCCCAGCTACTTGGGAAGCTGAGGCAGGAGGATCACTTGAACCCTGGAGGTTGAGGCTTCAGTGAGCCATGATTGCACCACTGCACTCCAGCCTGGGTGGCAGAGTGAAACCCTGTGTTAAAAACTCAAGGGAAAAGGGATCTCACCAAGTAGGCCTGATTCCGCTTCTTCCCACTGTCAGCATTTGGCAGTTTACTCCAGGGTTCAGCTGGTGGAGGAAGGTGACAGTCCTGGCACCCTGCACAGAGCATGGGCATGGAGTCAGACCTGGATCCTGAGGGGCTCTGTGGCATGTGCCACTAGAGGAGGCACTTCATGGGGGAAGGTAGGAGCAAGGGCAAGGCTGGAGATGGGCACCAGGTGGCAGGTGTGTTGCCAACTGAGAGGCTCACTTGTGGCCACTGCAGAGCCCAGGTAACGAGCCATCTGCTCCAGTGGTGTCTGCTCTAGGCTCACCATTGTGCCCTGAGACCCCTCCACTGCCTCAGAGCTACCATCAGTGCTTGGGAGCGCTCCAGGCTGCACCTCCTGGAGCAGGGCACCCTGAGAACAGAGCTTACCACTACGGCTGCCTGGGAGAAAGCCCATCACCATTTCTGCTGTGCAGTAGTTAGTTGCATTAAGGGCTGGGTCCCGGCCCCAGTCCTGGGTTCCTCCTTCCAATAGCCACAACCCTGGCCTGCCCACCCTGAGGAGCTGCGGCCGGGTGCTTCCCCAGGGGAGCAGGGGCCTGCAGGCCAAGGAGCCTCATGCCTGTGCCGCAGGGTAGGGCCGCTCGGGGTTCTGGTTGCAGAGGAGCAGACACTCAGGGCTGGGGGCGATGGGTGAGGTCCCCCCACAGATCTCCACCTAGGGAGGGGTCTAATGGGTCTGGGCTTCAGAACAGGGGACGCTCGGGGCATGTTGGCGTGGCCGAGGACAATGACCCTCACTGGGGACGCTCCGGAGCTTGACTGAGGGTCTCCCGCTGGCACCGCCTCCTCTGCCGGCGTGTGTGTGTCTGGGGGGGGGACCCACACGAGGCCCCGCCCCACCCCGCCCACAGCGCCGTCGGCCCCGGCCCGGTCCACCTTAAGCGGCGGCGGGGCGGGTGGGATTTCCTGCGGGAGGAGACGCGCCGGGCCTATCGGGCAGGGCCGGGGCGCCGGGCTTCCCAAAGGGCCCCGCCTCGGGGAGGATGGGGGCTCCAGCCGACCGTCTCTCAAGCCTGCAGCTCGGGCCAGGACGTGGAGGGCCCGGCGCCCGCTGGCCGGGCTCCTCCAGCCCAGTGGCCCGAGGGAGGGCTGCGAGGCGGTCAGAAGGCAAACAGCCACGACGCCGCTGCGGTGTCACACCCGCGCCCCCTCGTGAATTCCAAGGGGCTTCAGACCAGAGGGGTCGTTAGGGAAAGGGCTGCGCCCACAGACGCCCCCGAGGCCACCTGCACGGCTCCGCGGCCCGGGACCAGGGGGGCCTGGCCTTCGCCGTGGTGCCCACCACCCGGGCCGCAGGGGTGCGTGGGTGCCCGGCCCCCGAGAGCCGCGGGCGCCCGCCGGGCTGGGGTCCCCGAGGCCGCGGGGTCCTGCCCCCTCCGAAGGTCCCGCGAACCGGTGGCGGTCCCCGGGCCCCATCAACTCGCCCCGCCCGGTCCCGCCCCGCCGCGGCCCCCAGCGCCCGGTCCACCTTAAGGGGCGCGCTGACATAAGAGCGCAGCAGCCGCCGCCGCCCGTGGGGTGGGATTTCCTCCGCCGCCGCCGCCGCCGCCGCCGCGGGTCCTGCGCCGCGTCCAGCCCGCCCGCCCGACCCCGGCCCGACCCCGGCCGGCCCTGCCCGCCCGGCCCCGGGGAGGGATGCGGCGGCGCGGCGCCCAGGATGCCCCGCAGCCCCGGGACGCGCCTCAAACCCGCCAAGTACATCCCGGTGGCCACGGCCGCCGCGCTGCTGGTCGGCTCCAGCACCCTCTTCTTCGTGTTCACGTGAGTCGGCGCCGCGTCTGGGGGCACGCGGGCAGCGATGGGCAGGGCCCGCACAGCCCGGGCACGGGGGCAGCGGTCGCGGGGGCTGGCGGGGCCCCGGGCAGTGGGCGGGCGGGGCGCCGGCTGCAGGCGATGGCAGTCCCTCTCCACCCGCTGGGGCTGGGGGAGTTGAAGCGGTGTGCCGGCGTCCCGGGCACCGGGGTGAGTCCCTTGTGTGGGGACACCAGTGCGGGCTGGGCACCTCGGGAGTGTCCAGGCAGGCCCTGGCGGGGAGCGCTGGGCCCTGGCAGGGGAGGAGGCCGGGCTGCCCTGGGTGTGGCTGCAGCCCTTCCCTCCCCATGGGACCCCCGAGGGGACGTGGGCCACCCACAACCATGAGTCTTCTCTGCAGGTGGCCGTGGGTGCCTCTCGGGTCTCCTCCTGGCTGCCCGCCCCGGGCCAGAGTCAAGTTGTTCCCACGTAGGTGTGGCCTGGCCTCGTTGCCACGTGCCTGCCCCACAGCCACTGGTGACCCGGGCCTGGCCCTTGGCCTCCTTCTCAGGAAGACCCAGTGGTCATCACAGCTGGAGGGCCCAGGCCAGGCCACACCCAGGGCCCGATGTTAGCACATCACCTCCGTGGGCTGGCCATGGTGCACACCAGGACCCTTGAGGTCCTGTTTCTGGGAGTGAGAGCCCGCGCCTGCAGGACACTGGGCCCCTCCAGCCTCAACTTCTTCACCCAAGATACAGGCTGGCTTAGGACCAGAGAGGCATGCGGACAGCACAGCCTCCCTCTGTGGCTGTGGGGTCACCCCAGGGCTCCTTCAGGCACAAGGAGGGTTGGGGGCTCCAGGCTTCGGTTGCACAGATCTTCAACCACCCACCCCCCTTCCACCAATCTGGGGTTGAGACATAGCCCAGGTGGCACGAACGATGGCCACCTGTTCCAAGGTGGGGCCACCCCTGAGCATGTGAGCCTGGAGAGGGGCAGGTAGGGGCTGCCTGGCGCTCGTCACCTTTGCAAGAGTTTGGGGGGCCCCCACGTGCATCGCAAGGCTGAATCGGGTGCCCGTGGAGGCGAGAGAGTTACCTGCAGGCTGGGGCTGGGTGGGCACCGCAGGCTGCCAAGAGCATGTTTAAAAAAGGCCTGTGTGGACGGGCTTATTTCTGGCTCGGGCAAGCCAGTGTGTTCTTGTCACTTAGTTGCTGCTGGTGTGGGGCAGAGAGAGGTGGGTGGGGGGCAGCCTGGGGAGCCTGGCCTGGGGGGACACATCCCACCAAGGCTTCTGGAGGGGTGGGCCCAGCCCAGTGCTGGTCCCCAGGGCCTCTGTCCTTGGGCGGGGGGTCTGGCTTGGTTCCTTACTCTGTCCATGCAATTCAGTGTCCTTTCTCATGACTTTAAAAGTAATGTGTGGGCCGGGCGCGGTGGCTCATGCCTGTAATCCCAGCACTTTGGGAGGCCAAGGTGGGCAGATCACCTGAGGTCAGGAGTTTGAGACCAGCCTGGCCAACATGGCGAAACCCCGTCTCTACTAAAAGTACAAAAACTAGCCAGGCGTGGTGGTGGGCACCTGTAATCCCAGCTACACAGGAGACTGAAGCAGGAAAATCACTTGAACCCGTAAGGCGGAGTGAGCCGAAATCGCACCACTGCACTCCAGCCTGGGTGACAGAGCAAGACTCTGTCTCAAAAAAAAAAAAAAAAAAAGTATGTTCTTTATGGGGAACTTGTGAAATACAGAAAAAAAAAATGCTAAGAAATTAAAATCAACCCCACACACCCCCCATCTCCTGTCCTCCTTGGAGGGCTCCTCTGTTCCTGGCGCCGCGTCTGCAGCCTGGCTGTGTGGTGGCTGCAGCTGCTGGTTCCCTCACGCGTGATGTCAGAGGGCCCTTTACGTGACTCTGACTGTGAACCTGACCCAGCCCTAGGCATGGAGTGCTTGGGTGGCTCCCACTCTGCTGAGCACCAGTTTCCCCTCCTCTGTTCTGGGGTTCTGGTTTCGGCGACACCAGCAGTCTTGAGGTATGGGGTTCCCTCCTGGGGCAGTGCAGGCCATGCCTGCACCCAACCCTACACCTGGCCTATGCTGACCTCTGCCGGCCCTGCTCCTGGGAGAAGATGCCATGTGTCCCTGTAGCAGGATGGTGGCCTGGGTGCTCACCTGGGTTTGATGTGCAGTGGCCACCTAGCAAGGCTAAGAAGCCCTGCTTGCCCCCTCAGGGCAGGTGAGGCCACACCCCTGGGCTGAATGGCTGTCAGTGATCCTGGCCTCTTCCCCGACCCGCCCCGCCTCTGCTGAACTCCTCCGAGACTGCTCAGTTCCTGAGAAGGGGTTCTGTTGGGTCGGCTGGCCCATTGATGCCACCCATAGCAGCTGTGCTGATTCTGGGTAGGCAGGGGTCCAGGCGGCCCCCTTCTTGGGGCAGGCCACTTGTCTACCCGTTGCCCCACCTCCTGCCCTGTATCTGGTCCAGGCACACAGGAAGGGGAGCAGGTTGCTCTTGTGCCCCGAATCCCTGCCCTTAGTGCCTATACAGGGTTCCCGACTTCACTGTTTGCTCCTCGGACGTTACCAGACAGTGAGTGGCCCCAGCCCCCTCTCTGCACTCAGTAAACATGAGTTGCTGCCGGTGGGGTGGCTTCACCCATGCACCAGGTGGGCAGGAGTTCTGGGTGTCATGTGGTGTGGGGAGCTGGAGGCCTGAGAACCAGGGACCCCTCCCTCAGCCAGATCGCCAAGGGTCTTGGGACCAGCAGGACATTCACACATCTCTCTAGGAGGGTCTGGGCATGGAAGGATGCCCAGTTGTGAAGAGCACCCTCTCAGGATGGGGCACATACAGCAGGGCAGTTTCTCAGAGGCCCTCTTCCTTCAGGAAGCCTTCCTAGGATTTTGTTGTTGTTTGTTTGTTTGAGACAGGGTCTCACTCTGTCACCCAGGCCAGAGTGCAGTGGTGCTACCTCGGCTCACTGCAGTCTCGACCTCCTGGGCGCAAGTGATCATCCCACCTCAGCCTCCTGAGTACCTGGGATGACAGGTGGGCACCCTCACACCTGGCTAATTTATTTATTTTTTGTTTTTTTGTTTTTTTTTAGTAGAGATGGGGTCTCGCTATGTTGCCCAGGCTATTCTCCTGAGCTCAGGTGATCTGCCAGCCTTAGCCTCCCAAAGTGCTGGGATTACATGTGTGATCACTGCTCCCGGCCCCTTCCTATGTTTCTGGGGGTTTTGTATCCCCCTGGGCTTCAGAAGCCCTTTATACCATGGTATAATGCTAGGCTGGGTCAGCTGCTGGCAGAGGGTTCGAAGACCCCTAGGCCAGGCTCCCGACCCTGCCCTGACTTCACTCCAGAGCCACATTGCAGAATGACAGGGACCCTGTGAATGTCCGAGGGCTGGGGCTGCCTGGCAGGCTGCCAGTGCCTGGGGCTGAGCCAGGCTGGCTTATCTCTGTCTGGGGCATCTGGGATGGTGTGGCTGGTCCCTAGATCGTCCTGAGCCCTCTCCTTGCCTGGAGGCCCAGCTCAGGACAGCAGTCAGAACAGGCCCTGGGCCAGACTAGCCTTGGTGGGCCAGGAGGGACTGAACTGCTGACTGGGACCTCATGAGTCTGGGGAACCTGGGAGTGAAAACTCAGTGTGAGCCCCCCTGCTGGGACCCACCGCATGTGGCCTGGGGTATTCCTGGCCCCCGAGCCTCAGTTTCCCCATCTGTCCAGGTGTCTATAGGGATTGGACAGGTAGGTGCAGGTACTTCGAGGCCCAAAGGCCTGGCCTGACAAGGGCGCAGCAGCTTCTGCCCCGCCGGTCCCGAGCGCCCCACGGGCGAGTGCCACTCATACACAAACAGTGCTAATGAAGAACCTGATTTAAATGAAAACGTCTGAGTTAAAATTTTCCATTCCACATTTAGCTGTGGCGGACATTCTGCCCCTAAGCCACCCCTCTTGCTCGGCGGTATCTCCCTGCCAGCCCAGGCGGGACTTGGGGCCTCAGCCCGGGTGGGGCCTATGGTGGTGGTGCATGTCCCTGCCTGTGGCCCTGGAGGAGGGATTGGAACCTCGGGGCTGGGCCCCCTGGACCTGCCCTCCACCCGTAGCTTGGCTGGAGCCAGCCAGGAGGGGCTCAGAGGGACATGGCGGGCCAGACACTCCACCTCCAGCCCAGGCCCAGAGCCTGTCTTTGCCTGGCCCTCCGGCAGGCGAGCCTGGTGTGCACCATCAGGTCTGGGTGGGAGTGGAGCCTCCCCGAGCCTGGACCCAGACTACTGCCTGCTAGGCCCTGCCTGTGGGAATGCGTGTCTTTGAGTGTCCCTGAGCATCCACACATGGCCTCCCCTGTCCCCATGTGTCCTCATGCATCCTTGCATGTCCTTGTGTGTCCTCCCGTGTTCTTGCGCACCCTGAGAGTGCTTGTGTGTCCTCACACTTGCCCTATCCACAGAGGGGCAAAGGGAAGCCCAGAGAGTGGGAGGGCCGTGTCTGAGGCCCAGAGTGAGGGGCAGCCGAGCCGAGGCTGGATAGGGCTGGGTGCAGTGTGAGGAGGCATGTGTCTATGCATGCCTGTGTTCACGCGTGTTCACACATAGGTCTTGGTGGGTGAGTGATGTGCAGGCGTGTCTGCGTTCATGCATGTGCACCAGTGTGTGCACGTGTGCATGTCTGCATGCAAGTGTTCATGCATGTATATGTGTTTTGTATGCAGACATGATTGCATGTGTGCATGTGTGCCTTCTGTGCACCAGAACAGGTTGTCTGTGTGTTTATGTGTGTACATGCCTGTATATTTGTGTGTGTGCACACATACCCATGCACATGTGCCCTGGAGCATGTTTGTGTGTGTGTCCATGTCTTCACACGTGTCTGTAGGTGCCTGCGTGTGCTCCTCATCTTCTCTCCCACTGAGCCCTGAGAGCTCTGGGCCCTGGTGGGTTGGCCTGTGAGCTGGTCCCTGTTAGGCAGGATCTGACCTTGGGGACTACAGAGAGGACAGTTGCCTCACTCTGGAGGACTGGAGGAGTGGGCAGCAGCTCAGGTCCCAGTCAGAGAACCCACAACAAGCCTCCCCAACCCCTGGATTAGGGCCCATATGGGCCCTCACAGGCATGTGGCAGGTACCCGCACTGGGCAGGAGGGACCCGGTCACACTGCAGATTTCCCAAAGTAGCCCCACGGCTGCAAGGCTGCTGTCCAGCCCGCCTGGTGTGGGGGAGTCCAGGCTCAGGGAGGACACAGCAGTACCGCCTGCTTGGGCTGGCAGGGAGCTCAAGTCAGCATGGGGTTCAGGCCCCGCCTGCCTGATGGGCGAACACACCCCCAAGGCCCCCGTTAGGGCCAGGAGGCAGGCTGGCAGCCAGCGCAGGTGCAGAGGGGCCCCGAGGCTTCCATCCTGAGGTCAGCACTGGGAGGACAGAGGCTGCCTCCTTGCAGCCCGAGGGTTGACCAATGGCACTCGCCGCATCCCTTCCCAGAGCAGGCCAGCCCCACGGGCATCATGAGGGCCTGCGTTTGGTTTAATGCTCCGCTGTCAACATCTTGAAATTCTCTGTAATTTTTAAATAAGGGGCCCGCAGTTTCATTTTGCACAGACTATGTAGCCAGCCTTCCCCAGAAGGCTCGTGGAGAGCTCCACAGGCCCTGCCTCTCCCTGGGGGAGCTGCTCACCTGCCTGTGCCCATCTTGTTGGGCCGACCCTGCCTTAGGGGCCTGTGGTCCTGGCTGAATGGCGTTGCATTGGAGGCCAGGCACATGTTTGAGTGCTGCCTGTGTGCCAGGCAGGGCTGGGGAGGGTGGAAGGAAGCCTGGGGGCTGAGCCACTGGGCAGGGACAGGGAGAGCCCTCCCAGCAGAGGGAGGTGTGGCCGCAGCTGTGTCCTCACCCTGGTGTCTACCTCCACGGGCTGGGCCCTGGACAAGAGGAAGGGTAACTTGGGCTCCCAGCCCCGCCGAGGATGGCTGTCGTGGGAAGCGGAGTCTTTAAATAGCCTCTTGCTTTCCACTAAAAATAGTGAAGCTCTGCTGCCGTGGAGGTGGTTGCCGGGGCGGCGGGGCTGGCTCTTGGCCAGGCGGGCGTGGGTGCAGCAGCGTGGCCACGTGCGCTGGAGTGGTAGGCAGCGCGTGGGCCCCATCCACTGCTAGTGGCCATAGAGGTCAGGGCTGCTGTGGGGGATCCCCACTAGCCCCCCGACTATGCAGAGGGCCTGGGTGCAGGGAGGGACGCAAACCCCTGTGTTCCTGTCCCTGCTGCTTGTCACAGCAGCTGTCTCAGGGTGCGCAGGGGAGAGACAAGGAGCCTGAGGCCAGAGGGGCTTCTTGGAAGCTGAGTGGGTGGATTTAGGAACCCGCTGCAGGCCGTGTGGCCCGAGGACCGGCAAGTCTCTTCAGAGGGGACTCGGGCCAGGCCCGTTAAGGGCTGAGGAAGGCGCCTTTCAGGAAGGTGTGTGAGGGCACACCTTATAGGGAAGCTGCAGAGGGCAGCCTGGAGTCCTGGAAAGCTTCCCGGAAGAGGGGGTGGCCTTGGAGCCAAGTGCTGATGGCTGGGAAGATGGGAAGTGGTGGGGGGTGTTGTGCATTCTAGAGTCCCTAAGTGTTCTACTTTGTCATCTGGGGAGGGAGGTGACAAACTAAAAAGAAGGGGCTGTCTGGATGGGGATGTGCCTGACTGGGAAGAGTAGGGGAGACATGCCCCATGCACTTACTGACCAAGGACTGGGGCTCCCCACACCCCAGAATCTGCCTGGTGAGAGGCCCCACTGGGCCAGGGACAGGCCTGGATGAGGCATCGTGGCGCATTTTCCATCTGGGGCTCCCACCTCCAGCCTGTGTACCGCCCCCGCCCCCTACCCCGCCCCAGTCATGGAGCCTAGGTCGCTGGAATGGGGTGACCTTAGGTCTGTGGGCCTCTCTGAGACGGCTGCCCTGAGAGGTTGCCGGGTCAGGGCACGGGTAGCCCACATGCTGTACTGATACGCACAGCCTCTGGCCGTTACTCGAAGGAGCGATGTGGCTGAGGTTTCTTGGCAGGGCTGTGGCAGCCTCCCCACTGCCTCTGAGCTCTGAGGGTGACCTTGCAGGCCCAGCCTGCCGCACCACATAGCTCTGCGCCTGCATCCGCTCTGCACCCCCAGACTCCACTCTCTGCCCCCACTGTCTACTGCAGGTGCCCGTGGTTGACACGAGCTGTGTCCCCAGCTGTTCCCGTCTACAATGGCATCATCTTCCTCTTTGTCCTGGCCAACTTCAGCATGGCCACTTTCATGGACCCTGGTGTTTTCCCCCGAGGTAGGGCCCTGTGCTGCGGCAGCTCCTCTCACTTTCACTAGAGTGTGAGTGGCTAACTTGAGACAGCCTTAGGGATTCCTGGTGGGTGGGCTGGACTTGGGGGAGGGATTCACCTGCCAGGAAAGTCAACTTCCTGCTCACTGCCTGGCTCCTGGTCTGTAGCGGATGAGGATGAGGACAAGGAGGACGACTTCCGGGCTCCGCTGTACAAGAACGTGGATGTGCGAGGTATCCAGGTCCGCATGAAGTGGTGTGCCACGTGCCACTTCTACCGCCCGCCGCGCTGCTCCCACTGCAGCGTCTGTGACAACTGTGTAGAGGTGACCGCCCTGCTGCCCCGCGCTCCCCCAGCCCTGTGCCACATCCCTGCCTGCCATGTGCCCTGATGCACTGCTCCCGCCCAGGACTTTGACCACCACTGCCCCTGGGTCAACAACTGCATCGGGCGTCGAAACTATCGCTACTTCTTCCTGTTCCTGCTGTCACTCAGTGCACACATGGTGGGCGTCGTGGCCTTCGGCCTGGTCTACGTGCTGAACCACGCTGAGGGGCTGGGAGCCGCGCACACCACCATCACGTATCCTTGGTTCCTGTGGGCCTCATTGCAGAGGCGATGTGGACCGGGGACACGTTCACCAGGGAGATTGAGCCTCAGAAGGCTTGGTTCCTGCCCAGGGATCCCCAGTGGGCAGGTGGCCGTCCCTAGGTTGGGAGGAGGTTTGTCCACAGGCACCTGCTCTGTGCTGCTGCGATGGGGTCTGCGGTGTCCTGGCCTGCACCGTTGGCCTTAACGGGCTAGCATGGCTGTCATGTGTGTGGCCGGCCTCTTCTTCATCCCTGTCATTGGCCTCACTGGCTTCCATGTGGTGCTGGTCACTCGGGGGCGCACCACCAACGAGCAGGTGCAGACCCCATGGGGGATGGGTGGCCCCAAAGGGCCGAGAGAGTTGGGGCTGCATGGGGACAGGGTGGGGGCTGGGGCACCCTTGCCTGAGGTAGCTTGTGCAGCTGTGTTGAGACGAGGCTCCAACTCTGAGACCCCCACGTGGGGCTACGCCTGCCCCGTCCCCTGCGCACATCCTGCCTGTGGACACTGTGGCCACCAGTGACCCAGAAATCCCACAGCTCCCTGCAAGTTCAGGCTGGGTAACCTATGTGAGGGGCAGCCCTGGGCTGATCCCACCTAAGCCACTTCCCGCAAGTATCAGCTTCTAAGGAACCCCAGCTCCCTTGCCCAGCCCCCTGCCCACCCTGGCCTGGACCTTGGGAGGCCAGGCTGGCTGAGGGTCCTGCATCCACAGGTGACTGGGAAGTTCCGCGGGGGTGTGAACCCTTTCACCCGAGGCTGCTGTGGGAATGTGGAGCACGTGCTGTGTAGCCCCCTGGCGCCCCGGTGAGGCCCGGCCTGGGCAGGGTGGAGGGGGGCCTCTGCTGGGTGTGGGGCGGGCAGCCTTAGACCCTCTTGGTCCGTTTGGCTCTTGCCAGGTATGGCCAGCCCTGCCCTTGTGTGTTTGTGGCAGGTGGGCTGGCTACTGACCCCTGTGCCCTGGTGCAGGTACGTGGTGGAGCCACCCCGGCTGCCGCTCGCGGTGAGTTTGAAGCCGCCTTTCCTTAGGCCTGAACTCCTGGACCGAGCTGCACCGCTCAAGGTCAAGCTTAGTGACAACGGGCTGAAGGCTGGCCTGGGCCGTAGCAAGGTGGGCGCCTGGGCTTAGGGATGGGCTGGCAGTCAGGCCCTTGGATGGGGAAACAGGCAGGTTGGTGGGGGCCTAGAAGAGGTGGATGGGGCAGACAGAGCCGTAGACAGATTCTTGGGAGGGGGCTAGGTCCCAGGCTGAATCCCTAGTGAAGCCCTGCCCCTCATCCAAGCCCCACACACCACTGACCCCGCTCCCTCCCAGTCCAAGGGCAGCCTGGACCGGCTGGATGAGAAGCCACTGGACTTGGGGCCACCACTGCCCCCCAAGATAGAGGCTGGCACGTTCAGCAGTGACCTGCAGACCCCGCGCCCAGGCAGTGCTGGTGAGGTTGGGGCAGCCACGACTAGGGAGGGATATGGGTTGACCCTCCTCTGACCTCAGTCTGACAGTGGTCTGCATCCCCAGAGAGTGCCCTGTCGGTGCAGAGGACCAGCCCCCCGACACCTGCCATGTACAAGTTTAGGCCGGCTTTCCCCACGGGTCCCAAGGTGCCCTTCTGTGGACCAGGCGAGCAGGTAAGGAGGCCTAGCCTGCCCCCTGGCAGGCCTCGTCCCCCAGGCCCGCCTCTAGGAGCTCGCCCCACAGCCTTCACCCCGTGAAGGCCCCACCTCCAGAGCCCCATCTCTCCAGCAGAGGCCACATCCCCTGAGGCCATGCCCCTCAGGGCTCTGCCTGGGTCACCAAGGGCCTTGTGTGACTGGTAGGACCCTGTCTGTGTGCACCCAGAGCTGGGACCCACAGAGGGGAGCAGGGTGTCCTGGGAGGGGCTGGCGTGGGCCATCCAGGCTTGGCGTCTGTCCCTTGGCCAGCATTGCCCTAGGCCAGGTGGGCGGCTGCCCCCAGGAGCACTGTGTACCAGGATGCCTGGAATTCCACCATTAGTCACTCTGTAAGGCCCACGGGAAGACTTTGGAAGAATTTGAGACGTGCTTGAGAAAGCACATTTCTCTTCCCTGAGTTGCATGAGTGCTCTGTGGTCACTGGAATGGTGGGCAGTGCGGGGCGGTCTGTGCAGTGATCAGGAACACCAAACAGTCCCAGGGTGCCATCCTTCCTTCTGGGCCACCCCGAGAGGCAGGCCTGTGACTGGGCCCTGTGCACCTAGACCAGCCCCATCCCCAGGGACCTCTCCCCTCAGGACTGATGTCTTTCCTGGAGAGAGTCACTGGGTGAAGCAGTGAGTCTGAGCCTCCTTGGCCAAGGGTCTGAGTCTGCAGGCATGTAGGGGCCGTGCCTCGCAGGAGGAGGCATCCCTGTTTGGAGATGAGGGCTCTGGGTATGTCATCTTCCTGGGACTCCTGGGTCCAGTGGGGGATTGGGTCTGGTTGGCCAAGTGCATTGAGCCCACATTTGCCCTGATCCACTTCTGGCTTTGTGGTTCCTGAGGCTCTTGTCCCAAGCCCAAGCCCAAGCCCATGCCTATGTGCCCGTCACAGGGGCTAGACGAGGCTCCTCCTCCCTCTGGCTGCCCTGAGTGGTGGGCCCCTGGGGCTGCATGGCTCCAAGGGCAGAACCCCAGGTGTCTGCAGTAGCCAGCTGTGGCCTCCCTCCTGTTGCAGAGCCCCTGCCCCTCAGCCGTGGATGCTCAGGGACAGGGCCATGGGTCACTATGTGGCTCTTATGGCTCCTTGAGGCCCAGTTCCTGAGGCCACGGTGCCATGTGTGGCCCCCGTGGGTGCTGACTGGCGGCTGCAGGCGGGGTGGCAGGTGGGCAGTGGTGAGAATGCCTTCTCCCTACAGGTTCCAGGCCCTGATTCCCTGACCCTGGGGGACGACAGCATCCGTAGCCTGGACTTTGTGTCCGAGCCGAGCCTGGACCTCCCTGACTATGGGCCAGGGGGCCTGCATGCAGCCTACCCGCCATCCCCACCGCTCAGCGCCTCTGATGCCTTCTCGGGCGCTTTGCGCTCCCTGAGCCTCAAGGCCTCGAGCCGGCGGGGCGGGGATCATGTGGCCCTGCAGCCCCTGCGCTCTGAGGGGGGGCCCCCCACGCCCCACCGTAGCATTTTTGCCCCCCATGCACTGCCCAACCGCAACGGCAGCCTGTCCTATGACAGCCTGCTCAATCCTGGCTCGCCTGGTGGCCACGCCTGCCCTGCCCACCCAGCAGTTGGCGTGGCCGGATACCACTCACCCTACCTGCATCCTGGGGCAACGGGCGACCCGCCACGGCCCCTACCCCGCAGCTTCAGCCCCGTGCTGGGCCCCCGCCCCCGGGAGCCCTCGCCTGTGCGCTACGACAACCTGTCCAGGACCATCATGGCATCCATCCAGGAGCGCAAGGACAGGGAGGAGCGTGAGCGCCTGCTGCGCTCCCAGGCCGACTCACTCTTCGGCGACTCAGGCGTCTATGACGCTCCCAGCTCCTACAGCCTGCAGCAGGCCAGTGTGCTGTCCGAGGGCCCCCGAGGTCCCGCGCTGCGCTATGGCTCCAGAGACGACCTTGTGGCTGGGCCCGGCTTCGGTGGCGCCCGCAACCCTGCCCTGCAGACGTCACTGTCCTCGCTGTCCAGCTCCGTGAGCCGTGCACCGCGGACGTCGTCCTCCTCCCTGCAGGCTGATCAGGCCAGCAGCAACGCCCCGGGGCCCCGGCCCAGCAGTGGCTCACACAGGTCACCTGCACGCCAGGGCCTGCCCTCCCCGCCCGGCACTCCCCACTCACCATCCTACGCGGGCCCCAAAGCTGTCGCCTTCATCCACACGGACCTCCCAGAGCCACCGCCCTCGCTGACCGTGCAGAGGTGGGTGCCGGGAGGTGCGGGTGGGCTTCCTGGCACAGGGCAGCTGTCCAGCCGTCTCCAGGGCCCCTCTTGGCTGGGCACTCATAGGTCATCCCAGGGGCCTGAGTTTTTCTCTGGGGACGGGACAGGGAGGATGCGCCTCACCCTGCCTTGAAGGCCTTGGCTAGCCCGTGTGGCCCAGCTCTGAGGATGTCCTGGGCACGCTCTGGGGACAGGGTATGAGAATTTGTGTCCTGAGCCCGACGACTCGTTCTTCTAGAGCTGGCACAGACCCAGCATGTGGGAGGCCATGGGGCTTTCTCTTTGGGGCCAGTATCATGTGGCAGCCTGGGCCTCCTTTAGGCTGTGGCTCTGGCTTCCTGGGTCACAGTGGCCCTGTCCACCCAGGGCTCTCCCTGGGCCTGCTTGGCTGCATCTCTAGGAGGCTGGGGCTGAGGATATTACCTAGCAGCAGAATGTGCCACCCTGAGTGGCCGGGCCCTGGCCCTCCCTGTAGGACATAGTTCTAGGAAGCAGGGGCTTCCCTGCTCGTAGGTGGGGAAGCTGAGGACTGGAGAAAGCAGGCTGGCTCCAGGCACCCGGCAGGTTGGTGACTGAGAAGGCGGGGTCAGCTGGCTCACAGGCCCAGGTCCAGGTAGGAGAGCTGCACACCTGCTGGGGCCAGGACCCACGCCACAGACGCATGGTGTCCTCACGGCATCTGTCGCCCTGTCCGGGCCTGGAAACCTCAAGCACAGGCGCAGTTGTTTCCCGTCGGCAGATGCAGCCCCAGAGGGAGAGCCCAGCCCAGCCCAGCCCAGGCCACTTGGCCACAAAGGGGCTGAGGGCACAGCAGTCCAGCCCTGAGCGGGTCTCCTCTACCCCACAGGGTGGGACCTGTTCAGCTTTTGTGGAGTTGGGGAGGAGGCTGCCACTGGGAGTGATGAGTGGGGAGCCCGAGACCTAGAAGTGGGCAGCATTGCAGCCAGGCAGGGATCGCAGCCCGGGGACAAAGGGCTCTCGCCTCAAGAAGGTTTAAGTAGCAAAGATACAGCTGCTGTTGGTCAGCGCTGGTGGGCAGGAGGGCAGCCCCTCGTTTTCCTGAGAGAGAGCAGGAATGAGGCCAGGCAGAGTGGCTGGGCTCCCAGTGCAGGGCACGGCAGGGGCTCCATTCAGTGCCCACCTGGCTGCCCCATGCTCTCTGTGGCCAGTGCTGGCTAGGAGGGACCCAGGGACTCGGGAGGGTGGTGGCAGTTCTGACAACATCTGTCTGTCCTGTGACAGCACAGCTGCTCCCCAGGCAGGCTCTGCATCCCTCACCTGCTTTCCAGGTGAACCCTCCAAGCCCAGAGGGCAGGGACTGCACGGGGCCCCACAACTCGGCTGCACTAGTCCACGTCCGCGTCGTCTCTGTCTTGCTGCCTCCTCCGTCCTCTGTCCCCGTGTTCGTGTGTTCACCGTGTGCATGTGTGTATGTGCTTGTTTTGATGCAGGGACCACCCTCAGCTGAAGACTCCCCCAAGTAAGCTTAATGGGCAGTCCCCGGGCCTGGCCCGGCTGGGACCTGCCACCGGCCCCCCAGGGCCCTCTGCCAGCCCTACACGGCACACGCTGGTTAAGAAGGTGTCCGGCGTGGGTGGGACCACCTACGAGATCTCGGTGTGAGGACTGACTGCCACACATCCGCCATGGTGCCACGGGGACCAGGACCCCACAGCGCACCCCCCCTCCCCACCAACTTCTCTGCCCCAGGGACCCGAGGCCACCCCAGCCTGGTGTGGACCCATCGGCGGGAGAGAGTGCCACGCCTCCACAGCTTGCCCCAAGCGCTCTGCCTGCCCGTCCACTCATCTGCCCATGGGGAAGTCGGCTCACTGGGACAAGGGCCACTGGGCTGGTCTGTGTCTGGGCCTGTCCCATGGCTGGGGCAGTGAGGGGGCCCAGTCAGCCTCTTTGGGGCACCCTCTCTCAGCCAGGCTTGGCCCACTGCCATCACCCAGCACCCCAGATCACCGCCAGGCCAGCCCCCAATGGTCCCCTTACGGACAGGTCCCAGAGATGGACAGAGGCACCCAGGGCCCCCACCGTCCTTCTGACACAGCCTGTGGGCTCCCGGACCGAGTGTCCCCCGCCAGGCTACTCCTAACTAACGCGTTGCCTTTCACGGACCCCGCTGGAAGCTTGTAGCTTGGCAAGGCTGATGCTTCTGCCCTGGCCTGCTCTGGGTGGTGGTGGATAGGTGGACAGACGGCCAGCCAGCCAGCTGTGGCCGGGGGCCCGGCTCCATGTGTCCCGTGTCTGTGTGCTGTGCTGCCGCGCCGTGTCTGATGTGTCAGTGCTCCGGCCGCCGCTGTCCCTTTCATCAAAGCCTTAACCTTTGCTTTATGCTCTTGTGGGAGGCGACGGGGGGGCAGGCGGGAGCAGGCACGGGGGTGATGCTGCCACAGGGGGCTGGTGACACCCAGAGCCCCCTCCCCAGCCCTCAGGCCCTCCCTGCCAAACTGGAGAACCCCACCCCAAGGCATGCCACGTCCGCAGCCCCGGCCTGGCTGCGGTGCTCGCGCCGTGGGAAAGCACACTGGGGAGGGGTCAGTGCTTCCCTTGGTGTCAGGGACCTGAGAGTAAGCACATGACAGCGTCTGCTTGCGTTGTGTCTGTTTTATGTTTTTATATCTACATCTATATATCTATAATTTTATTAAAAAAAAGAAAAAGAGTTATTTTGATTCTTTCCTTGGGCAAGGCCAGGGCTATTGCTGCAGGATCCCGAGTTAGGGGAGGGCAGGGGCCGGGCCCCAGAAGAGGGAGTGGCTGCTGTCTGGTGTGCAGGGGTCGGTGGGTTCCTCAGGGGCATTTCTGCCGACTTGGGCTGAGTCAGAGGCTTGGGAAGAGGGGGCGGCCGATGGTCTGTGGCTGGGAAGTGTGAGGGTCTCTCGCCTTGGGTCTGTGTCAGTTCTGGCAGTGACAGGGTGTTTGGGGGAAAGACTTGGGTCTGCCGCTACCCACAGGGGACTCTCAGGAACCCGAGAGCTTGGGGAGATGAAATGGGGGTGCATAGGGGCCACCTGTTGGCTCAGGGCCCTGTGGGGGCCGCTGAACCTGCTGGAACTCTCCTGCCTGCCACATGCCAGGGGCAGGGCTGAGGGAGTGTGAGGGATGCACAGCTGTTCAGGGCTGAGACATTCTGGGCTGGGGCTGTCCCAGCGTGGGAGGCGTGCGGGCTGTAGGGCCCCGAAGCTGACCTCCACCTTTCTGCTTCTCTCTCACGGACGCCGCGGCCCGCAGGGGGCGGATTGGCACCTGCACCCGTGGATGGGGGCGGCGTGGCCAGCCTTGGGTGCCTCCTGGGCTGCACCTGTGCCACCTTGGCCGCCCGGAGGACCGCCCACCACTGCGGGCCCCCTGGAGCCAGGCCGCCGGGGCACCCCCACGCGGGGCCATGTGCCGCCTGCACTTGGCTGCCTCCAGTCTTTTCCCCAGCCTCTCGGGGCCCTAGCAGGATGACAAGTAGGCGGCTCTGGGGCCCAGGACAGCCCAGCTGGGGACCCAGGAGGTCAGACTGCAGTGGACCCTGGGGCAGGGCTGGGGGTGGGCTGGGCTCTCTGCTCCACCAGCCACAGCTTGACAGATTCCCAGCCTGCCAGGGCCTGAGACCCTGTGTCCACATGACCTCAGGGAGTCCCCCACCTGCTGCAGGGGGTCCAGCACCCCACAGGGGGGCAGTCCCAGAGCTGTGGGGACCGGCACGACCTTTGCCCAGCCTCCCTACCCAACCAAGCACTTTAGACTAAGCCACTTCCTCCTCGGGGAGCCCAGGCCTCCGTGGGTTGGGCTGGGTGGGGGGGGGGTCTCAGGTTGCCCCTGAAGGTCTCTGCACTCCTCCTGCCCTTCCCCTGACACATGAACAGATGCCTTAACTTCCTGGAGCCACCAGCCTGGTGAGCCATTGGCCTCTGCCTGCCACCAAGGTCCTGTGGTCTTGGCCAGCTCCGCCTGGGCCCCACTGGGGCTGCCTGCACCCAGAGACGATGCCGGCGGGATCTCAGAGGGCCTGAGGCCCAAGCCCTGTGTCCTCCAGCAGTGGTACGGCCTGCGGCAGGGTGGCACTCCGGCCAGCCCTTCTCCGTCACAGGGTCCCTGTCCCTGGGTCCACCCTGGGCTGTGGCTCTACATCTCCCATTTGGGGACGAGAAAGCCACAAAACCATTCTCTATTGTTCTTAAGGGTACCCCTGCTAATTAATTCCCCAAATAAAATTTTTGGTGTTGATCAGCTCTGTCTACCAATGTGGTCCCCTGGACCGGACAGGGCCCTGGGTTGGGGAGGTGACAGGACCTGGGCAGGGAGGGTGGTGGCCAGGAAGGGAGGGGAGTTGCATGAGGGGCATGAGGTCAGTGGATCAGCAGGTTCAGCGCTGAAAACCTGACCTCTGAGGTCCCTGGGAGGGCCTGGCCCAGGGGGCAAGACCTGAGGACCCCCCAGTCCTTACTGCTGTTGCCTTTCAGTGGAGACCCTCCTAAGACGCCTTGGGGGGTCAGAGCCCCGTGCAGAGGGGCTGCCTTCTGGAGGGCAGGTAGGATGTGGGGTGGGAAGCCGGCCCTGAGCTGGGGTCTCCACCCTGAGGGACCCTCGCTGCAGGATCGCCTGGGCATCCCTCCCCCAATTTCCACAGAGACGTGCTCACCGGCCACTTATGTCATGATTCTATGTCCAGCCACAGGCCCAGCCCTCAGGACAGACCCCACCTCCACCCTTCTCTGCAGCTTCTGGCAAGGATGGTGCACAGTGGTGCCATGTGCAGGGGGCTGGCACGGCCACTGGGCATCCGGGGCAGTGCTGGTCGCCTGGCCTCCTTGCTGGGGCCGCTGGGCCTCTGGCCTAGAAGGGCAGGAAGCCGTCCACTTTGAGGCGCAGGAAGGGGTCCAGCAGGGCCCGGAGCTTCCAGACGGTGGCACGGCTCAGCAGGGGTGGCACCAGCCCCTCGAAAGGTGTGGGGTTCACCACGTACACGTAGGCAGCGGTCCAGACCAGCAGGGCGCCCAGCAGCAGCCTCAGGGTCAGCAGCCTGCGGGCGGCGGTGGTCAGGGGCAGGGGCGCGCGGGGGGCCTGGGGGCTGGGCTCTGCCGTGCAGTCACCTACCAGAGCTGGCCTGCCAGGCCCTTGGAGCTTCCCAGCTTTGGCCTCCCTTTCTGTCGGGGAGGGGCTGGATCAGAGCCCACCCCGAGTGTCCAGGCTGAGGGCAGGGATCCCTGGCTTTGGGAAACCCTCCTCAGACAGGGCTCCCCGCACCGCAGCCCTGGCCCCTTCCTCCTGGACAGGCTCCTGCAGCCACTTTTCCGATGCCCCCTGCCCTGGACCTGCCCTCCTGGAGCCCATTTCTCCCTCTCGCCCAAGCAGGGCCCTGGGTGGGGGGCTGGTCTCCAGACCCAGAGTGGGGCGTGGGGGGCTCACCGACATGCTTGCCATCTGCTTCTCCTTCCTGGCTCGAGTGCGGCACTGGGCCCGCTCCCTGCGGGGGCCTCACTGTCAGGACCCCACACCCTCCACCCCCAGCCTGGCACCCACCCCCTGGCTCGGTGCTGTGGAGGTGGGGGGTCAAGGATGGGTCTGCCCTGTCCTGACCAGGACACCTTCTGAGACCCTGCTCAGCTGGCCCGGCCCCTGCCCCCGTGTTACCTGAGAATCTCCAGCTGGATGTCCTCCATCTGGTCCAGCACGCCCCGGATGTCCTTCTTGAGGTTCTGGGGGCCAGAGGAGGTAAGCACAGCAGGCCCCTCGCCCCGCCCTCCGTGGCCTCTCGCCCGCCGGGCCCCGTCCTTCTGGGTGCTGCCCTGTGGGGACCTACCAGGAGCCCGGTGGCCTGGTTGTTCAGGGCCATGTGCATCTCAGCCACGTTGTCCCACACCTAGGGGGAGGTGGGGTCACGCCTGAGGAGCAGGACCCACTGGGTGGGCCCCCAGCACCCCTCCCCCTCAGCCAGGCGGGCACCTCTGTGATGACCATCTTCTTCCTCTCAAAGCACAGGCGGATCTGCTGCAGCTCGTTCTGAGGGTGGGGCCCAGGATGGGCTTGGGCAGCATCAGCAGGGTGGCCAGTACCTCCCCGCTGGGCCCACTGGCCTACTGCACGAAGACCTCCCTCCCTAATGAATCCCTCAGGCCCACCTGGAGTGCTGTTACGAAGCTTCCTCCCCCCCCACAGCCCCTCCCCCAGGCCCACCTGGGACTGTTGCACGAAAGCCTCTTGCCCCTGGCACAGCTCCCGCCGCAGCAGCTGCAGAGGTGCCCTGTTCCCCAAGGGCTGCGTGCCAGCCGGGTCGGGGGGCTGTGGGAGAGCCCCCAGATCAGCCCTAAGACTGCGGGCTAGAGGGGCGTTGGCTGCATGGGGTCCCTGGGCCCTGTATTTACCCAGGCCAGAGCAGTGCAGCTTGAGTGTTCGGGACACAGGGGCAGGAACTGCTGCCCCGGCCCCAGGAGGGCCCCCAGCTGCTCCCGAAGTTCCTGATTCTGCCTTTTCTGGGGTGGGGGGCAGAGAGAGGGGGCTGCCTGTCATGGCCGCTCCTGCGGCTGGGGCTGGGGCAGGGGCAGGGGCGCCAGGTGGTGGGTGGGGCTGGGGCTGGGGCAGGGGCAGGGGCAGGGGCGCCAGGTGGTGGGTGGGGCTGGGGCTGGGGCAGGGGTACCAGGCGGTGGGTGGGGCTGGGGCTGGGGCTGGGGCGGTGGGTGGGGTGCTCACCAGGCTGTGGTTCTCCTGCTCCAGCTGCAGGAAGGACTGTTCTGCAGAGCCCAGCAGCCCGCACTGAAGCTGGGACAGGGCTACCCTGGGCGAGGCCAGGGCCCCTCCCTCCCGTGACAGGGGTGGGCATGGGCAGGGTCTGGTCCCTGAGCCAATGGATCCCCCCTGCCTGGGAGCCCCCTGGTTCGACCCTGGGTGCAGGGGCCAGCCCCACCCAAGCCCTGCCTCCAGGTCTCCTTGTCTCGGCCCCTCAGTGTCTCTCGCTCTCTGCTCCTGGCTGGACAGAAAGAGCCCGGGAGCCTCGCCCTCCACTGTGGGCCCACTGCCCCCTGCCCCTGGGACTGGGAAAGGTCTCTGGGACTGCACTGAGTGAGCAGAGGAGATGGGGCCCAGGCAGGGCCACCCTACAAATCCCTGGCAGGGCTGGTCCAGGCCTCCTCCATGGCTGCTGGAGGCTGGGGTTGGGGGACACTGGGGGTGGGGGTGGCCGCAGGGGCCCAGGGTTTTCAGCCCCTCCATCCCTCCCTGCAACCCCTTCCTGATCCCAGGTCCAGGCTCTGGCCTGGCCCAACCTGCCACCCTCTTACTGAGGGGGCTGCCCCAGGCAACAGTCACAAAGGCCTGGGTGCAGCCAGGGCGGTCACAATGGGCCCCTCCCACCTGGTCCTGAAGCTGCCCCGCCTGATGACCTCACTGCCTCTGACCCACTGACCCACCATGCGAGTTTTCTTTCTTTCTTTCTTTTATGGGAAGGGGACTTGCTCTGTCACCCAGGCTGGAGTGCAGTGGCACAAGGTGTCTCATTGCAGCCTCCAACTCCTGGGCTCAGGCAATCCTCCCACCTCAGCCTCCCAAGTAGCTAGGACTACAGATGTGTGCAACCATGCCCGGCTAATTTTTAAGTTTTTTGTAGAGATAAGGGTCTCGCTATGTTGCCCAGGCTGGTCACAAACTCCTGGCCTCAAGCGATCCTCTTACCTCAATATCTGAAAGTGTTGGGATTACGGATGTGAGCCACTGCACCCAGCCTAGTTATAAAACAGATAATACACACACTCACAGTGTGGATTCAAAAAGTATCAAACAATAAAAATGGTGTCCAAGCTTTTCCCACCTTTATCTCCTGTCCCTGCAGACAGGAGCTTCCTCTTTAAGCTCCTAGAGGTGGGCTGCCGTCCCCTGCCCCTGGTTCACACAGAAGAGGTCATCCTGTAGCCCAGCTTTGCTTTTCACCTAATATATCTCTGAGGTTTTAAAACATTCTTTTCTAGCTATGTATTGAATATTTACATTATGCCAGATCCAGTACATGCCATTGTTATCCTCTGTTTTTTTTTTTTTTTTTGAGACGGAGTCTTGCTCTGTCGCCCAGGCTGGAGTGCAGTGGCGCAATCTCGGCTCACTGCAAGCTCCGCCTCCCAGGTTCACGCCATTCTCCTGCCTCAGCCTCCCGAGTAGCTGGGACTACAGGCGCCTGTCACCGCGCCCGGCTAATTTTTTTGTATTTTTAGTAGAGACGGGGTTTCACCGTGTTAGCCAGGATGGTCTCGATCTCCTGACCTCATGATCCACCCATCTCCACCTCCCAAAGTGCTGGGATTACAGGCGTGAGCCACCGCGCCTGGCCTGTTATCCTCTGTTTATGGGTGGGAAAGCTGAGGCAGGAAGCCCTTTAGTCACTTGCCGAAGGCCACGCTGTTAACGGTCGGACCAGATTTGGGTGGCGGAAGAGAACTCATCCGACAGTAGGGCCAGATTCACGCCCCAGGCCCGTTCCCTCCTGCTCCCTGGTGCTCCTCACACCATCGGCCCTGCTGCCCCTCACTGCCCCTGAGTCCCTGTGCCCGTGTCCTCCTTCTTGAACCCATCAGCCGTCAGTTAACCCTCAGAAAGCTGGCTCGGAGAAGTCCTCATATGGTAGGAAGAGCCCCGTTCCCTCCTCTCCCGGTGTCCTGGCCCCCCTGCAAGGTGACTTCACCTCCTACATCAAGAGGCGGGTACTGGTCTCCACCTCTGGGCTCTGGGCCGGCCTCGGATGCACTTGGCCAATGGGCTGCTCCTAAGCTGCTGTGGGCAGAGGTTGGCACGACACTTGTGCGCTGGGCCTGGACCTCTCTTGCTTGGCTCTGGGGACTGTCCTCCCTGCAGGAGGCCTGGGCTGGGCTGCAGGATGAGAGGCCATGGGTCAGGAGAGGCTTCTGTCGTCCCAGCCGGTCCCCAGCTGCCTAAAGATGGGTGGACAAGCCCAGCGAGGCCCCCAGAGAACCGGCCCATACGTTAGCCAAGTTGCCGGCCATGTACCATCGAGCCCCGGGCTGTCATGGTGGTTTTGCCACTGAGTTTTGGAGTGTGCTGTGACGTGGGAGGAGACATTGAGAGGCCTCACAAGCCTAGAAGCGTCTTACCCTGACCTCACACCTGCTGGACTTCGGGCTGGGAAGAGAACTGGGGCCGAGGGCGTTTTCCCACAGGACTGGAAGGCCGGTCGTGGTCCTTGGTGGTGAGAGCTGGCCAGGCTGCCAGCCTTCTCCCCGGAAGCCTGCAGGGTCCCCTCTGATCCCTGCGCCTCTGGGGGTCACACCAACTGTGGGTCTTTCCTTCCTCACCACGCTGGGCACTTGGTGAGCACATTCTGCCTTGAGACGGGGCATTTCTTTGATAACATTTCTTCTCATTTCCTGCTTGTTCTGGAACTCCTGTCAGTCAAATGTTGGGCCTTTTGAATTGATCCTGTGAGTCCTTCTTTCTACCTTTGCTTGTAGATAGACTTCCCTGAACCCAAACACAAACACTTTCTCTCTGCTTTTTAAAAAATTGGTTTTGGGGCCGGACGTAGTGGCTCACGCCTGTAGTCGCAGCACTTTGGGAGGCCAAGGCAGGCAGATCACTTGAGGTCAGGAGTTCTAGACCAGCCTAGCCAACATGGTGAAACCCCGTCTCTACTAAAAGTACAAAAATTTGCTGGACGTGGTGGTGTGCGGATGTAATCCCAGCTACTCGGGAGGCTGAGGCAGGAGACTGGCTTGAACCTGGAAGGCGGAGGTTGCAGTGAGCCGAGATCAAGCCACTGCCCTCCAGCCTGGGTGACAGAGCCAGACTCTGTTTTAAAATAAATAAATAAATAAAAATAAAAAATTGGTTTTGGATTTTAGCAGTCCTGTTTTTCATTTCCAAGACATTTCCATTGTTCCCTGAGCTCCCCTCTTCTTGTTCCAGAGAATTCTGTTCTGCTCTTAGGGATAAAGTGGCTTTGGGGGGAGGCGAATCTTTTGCTTTCTGCATTTTCTCTCTTGCGGTTCTTTTTTGTTTGTTTAGTCTTGGAGCTTCACATGAGACTCAGTGCTCAAATGTCTGGCTTTTCTTTCTTTTCAATCCCTGTTTATAGGGGAGACAGGCAGAGCTGCCGGGCACTCCTCTTTCCTTGTTAACTTGAGGAAGCCGGACAGCCAGGTCTTGGAAGGGAGGCCTCCTGCCTCCAGGCGGCATCTCGGGCTGCAGGGCTGTGGTCTGGAGTGCGGACAGTACCAGCTCCCACTGCTGTCCTGCCATGCTTGTTCGCAGTACTCGTCTCCTCACACCAGTGACGAGGCCACTGCTTGCCAGCCGCTTGCCTTCTTCCCGCCAGGCTGTCCTGCTACGTCAGCCTCCGCTCTCCACCTCAAGAAGTGTCTCGAAATATCTTCTCTGCAGATGACCTCTCTCCTGTTCTCAGTGCCACGTGGGGCCTCCCCAGCAGAGGCGGCTGGACACCTGGCCCTGGCTGCTGGAGGTTGTTTAGCTGCCAGAGGGTGGCGGTAGCCTCCAGGACCCTCCCCTGGCCTCTGCCCTGTTCATCCTTTGCCGGAATGTCATGGGTTTCAGGATGTGCTGAGCTCCGAAACCCCATGGGGCAACTTGGGATGGGGGCTAAGGAAGGCCTCTTGGAGGAGCCCTGAGGCGAGGTGGCCCTGGGGTGGGGTGGAGGAGGCCCTGAGCAGCAGGGGAGGGGGTTGCACCCTGCTCTCTGTGTCCCTGAGTGAATGGGGCAGGGGCTGCACCCTGCTCTCTGCGTCTCTGAGTGAGTGGGGCGGGGGCTGCACCCTGCTCTGTGTGTCCCTGAGTGAGTGGGGCAGGGGCTGCCCCCTGCTCTCTGCATCTCTGAGTGGGATGGGGGCTGCCCCCTGCTCTCTGCGTCCCTGAGTGAGTGGGGCGGGGGCTGCCCCCTGCTCTCTGTGTCCCTGAGTGGGGTGGGGGCTGCCCTCTGCTCTCTGTGTCCTTGAGTGAGTGGGGTGGGAGCTGCACCCTGCTCTCTGTGTCCCTGAATGAGTGGGGTGGGGGCTGCACCTGCTCTGTGTGTCCCCAGCCTGCTAAGTGCCCCACAGGGGCCAGGATGCTGAGGAGTGAGAGGTCTTCACAGAGACAGGTGGCTCCTGTAATAAGGAAGACAACACTGGCTTCCTGGGCGAACAGCAGGGCGGGGTCCTTAGGTCCCACTGTAGGTGCCCAGGCCCGGATGAGATTCCCCAGTGGCCCTGAGGGGGCGCCCGGGACACCCTGGATGGCCCAGTGTCCTCCCGTCACCCTCGCCCCTGGGCACCATCCTCCTTGGCCTGGAAACCCCAAGCTCCCTGACGCCCCCGCCCCTCTCCCCGGGCCTGTGCCGGGGAAGGATACTGCTGCTCCGTCAGTCAGCCATAGAGCCCCTCCTCCCCCAGCCCCTCTCACCCCTCCCTGTGGTCCTTGCCAATCGCCCTGAGCCCGAAAAGGTGGGAGATTCTTGGAGAGATGGGGCCCTGGATCCCCGGCCCTGGATCCCCATCCCTGGGGTCCCCCACTCACGGGGTCAGATACGCTAACAAAGGCCAAGCGCCCTGCCAAGCGGTGTCCTGGATTGGGGTGGGCGTGGGGGTTCGCCTCAGGTCCAGGCTCCGGGATGTCGTGCAGGACAGGGCGCGGTTGCGGCGGGGGCACTGGCTGGAAGCCGGAACTCCCGGCCTCGAGGGCGGAAAGTGTGGCCAGCGCAGCGTGCTGGGGGGGCCATGGCCCCGTTGCCAGGCAGCGCCTCCCTGGACGCCAGTTGCCATGGAAGCCGCTTCCTGCCCATGTTGCCAGGGCGTCCAGATGGCCTCGAGGAGCCTGGTTCAGAGGGGCCGCCCTATGCCCTTGCCCCTCCTCCGCTGCCCAGGGATGGGCTGGGAGGACAAAGAGGAGGAGAGGCTGGGACTCCCAGCATGGAGATCCGAGTCCTTCCTGCTGGAGCCAGGCTGCGGCCCAGGGCAGGGGCCAGATGGGGCTGTTCTGCTGTCTGCACCGCGGACTTGATGTTCATACCCCAAGCTCATTTTATTTATTTTCTATTTTTATTAAGAAAGAGTCTCACTCTGTTGCCCAGGCTGGAGTGCAGTGGCGCGATCACAGCTCACTGAAGCCTCCAGTTGGGCTCAAGGGATCCTCCCACCTCAGCCTCCCGTGTATTGGGGACCACAGGTATGTGCCACCATGCCCAGATAATTCTTTATTGTTTTATTTTTGTAGAGACTGGGTCTCGCTATGTTGCCCAGGCTGGTCTTGAACTCCTGGCTCAAGTGATCTGCCCGCCTCAGCCTCTCAAAATGCTAGGATTACAGGTGTGAGACACCTCGCCTGTGCTTGGCTGCTCCCGAGCATATCTCAGAAGCCAGGAAACAGGCCCTGAATGGATGGAGCTCGGGGTCACTGGGCCAGCCACAGCCCTCAGAGGACCCCATCTCTGTGCCCTCTAACCTGGGCTCCTGGCCCACACCCACCCAGGCTGCCTGTCAGGATCTGCTCCCTCTCCAGCCCTCAGAGCTGCCCTATGTGGAGGGTTGGGGGTCCCAGAAAACCTGGGAGAAACGGGTCCTGGAAACAGGGTCGGGGGGAAGGGCAGAGTGCTGGGGATGCTGGGCCCACGACCTCCCTGTCCCTGGGGCTTCCCCATGTCAGAGGTGAGGCTCAGAGAGGTAAGGGCGCACCCTTTGTCTGCCCCCTCCCCAGCATGGCCAAGTCGCTCCCAGGGTGCAGGCGATGGCAGGCCATTTGTCTCCCTCCTGGGTGAGTCTCTGGACATGGATTCTCACATTTTTTATTTAAGAATCAGAGAGATATAAGAATGTCAAGGAAAAATCCTCTCATGGACAATGCAGCCCCAGTAAATGACTGTCAGCCGGCGTGTCCAGGGCTTCAAGGCCCCAGGAAGTGGCCATGCTGGGGCTGCCAGGCCTCTGGCTCCAGGGTCACTGGGGCTGAACTGTCTGCCCAGGCCCGGAGACACCCTGCCCCTGAGGAGCCCACCGGCTTGGCCAGTCCATCTTCTTGGCACTCCCTGACCACCACTTACCTTCTAGTCGGACAGTGGAGCCTGGGGGGACAGCGTGGCAGAGTGCCTGATGGTCGGTGACAAAGTCATCTCCAAAGTCCTTGCTGGGGCCAAGAGCCAGGACTCCTTGCCCGTCCCCGTCACTGCCCTGTGCCCGCCCAGCACCTGCTGGGGACTAGGCTGCCCATTGGAGAAGGAAACACAGTGCTGGGCTGTGAGCTCCTGAAGCCTGTCTCTGTGCCCCAGGACCAGGCTCCTGGGTGGAGGGAGAGACCAGGGGCAGGTGAGGAAAGGCAGGGCCCCCAGAATCCCTCCATGCCTGCCCCTCAGTCTCCAGGACTTATGTGCAGGTACCGTTTGGAGCTGTGGTGCAGTTCCCAGTCTCACCACCAGATGGCACCATGCCCCTGCAGAAGCAGTGCCCAGAGCAGGCCAGGTGGTTCTCGGGGGCTGCGGTGGAGGAATCCACCCAGCCGAAGCTCTGGCAGGGAAGGGGCAGTGCTAGGGGGAGCCCCCTCCCCACTTGGATCCGAAGTTCCCATGGGGCCTAGGGCAGGGGCTTGCCAGGTAGCCAGAAGTTCCCTTGCTGAGTCTAGGGTGTCTATCCCACATTTCACATGGAGACGAATCATCCCAGACACCCCGGCACTGTCCCGGGGCCGTTTGCCACCCCTCCCAAGGGGCAGGGCTCCTGTCTTGGGGCCTTCCCAAGCATAGTAGCCTTCGGGCAGCCCCGGCCTGGCCCCAGGTTGTCCCACTTGTCAGTGGGCAGCTGGGGCTGGGGGAGGGGTCCCAGCTCCTGTCCAAGGTCACCATTGCCCCTGACCAGGGTGTGGCAGCTGCTGTGGCCTGGGTCAGTGAGGCCGTGGACGGAGGGTGGCCTGGGTGTAGGCACTGCTCTCAGCTAAGAGAGAGCCCATCTGGAGGAAGAACCAGGAACCAGAGGGATGGCCGGGTTCCCAGCGTGCAGGAGGCCAGCTTAAGTTCAGTAGGGTCCCCCTGCAGGGACTCCAAGAGGCAAACCACATGGAGAGTCACCTGAGAGGGAATGATGGAGGCTGGGGAGGTGGAGCCCCCACCTCCAACTGCTGCCTCGGCCCCCACAGCAGGGGAGGGCGGGAGGCTGGCACTGGCACTGCCCTGGGAGATGCCACCTGGGCCTTGGTCTGGGGAGGAGGGCTGGCCAGGAGGCTGGGTACGGCTACTGCTCTGGAGTGACCGAACCATTTCCACCCTGCTTGCCTTATTCTTCTCATGAGGGCCTCAAGGGGACACACCAGAGGTTTACTGGGGACATGGCAGGGGAGGGATCTCAGTGCTGGCCTTCTGGGGCCCTGCGTCCACTCCGCCCCTTTCTGACCTGGGCTGGGGCCTCTGCCCTCCCCGGGGCCTGGAGACAGAGCCCTTTTGGAGGCCCTCAGGCTTGACAAGCCTACTTCTTAGAGCCAGGCTGTGGGCTGGGCTGTATCCTGGTGGGATGAGGGATCTGGGGCTTGGGTGGGAGTGGGGCTGGGAGCAGGTGGAAGTTGGTGCCTCAGGCTCTGAGGAATGGGCCTGGGATGGCTGCAAAGTGGAGGAGAGGCTCTCTCAACCCTGGGCTTTGGGGTCTGAGCCCAGCCCTGTCCTCAGGCAGTCTGCCCCTGCAGCCCCGCATTGCCATGTTGGTTGGAGTTGCGATGAGAGGTGCTGGGGCCTCCCTTGCCTCTGCCCAGCACAGCTGAGAAGTTACGTGCTGCTGCCCAACTGTGGGGGTTTCAAACCCCGCTGGAGCCTCCAGGTGGGCCCTTGGGCAGCAGGGCCTTGTGGCGGGAGGAGGGGACCCTGGGAAGTCAGGGACCAGGCGGGGGAGGGAGAGAAGGTGGGAGCACAGTTGTGGGTGTGGGTACCCGCCCCTTCCTGAACTGTGTTCCTCCCGGCCCACCTGACTCTAGTCCTCTGTGCCGGCTGCCAGGGGATACCCGAGGCCACCTGCGTCCCCAAAAGAAGGTCTCACCTTCAGAGCCAGCCTTTGAGGCTCCTGGGTGACCTCAGCCTGTTACCCTTGACCCTGAGTTCACCTAGATCAAGTGGGAGGCCGCTCTTTGGGCCTCAGTTCTCCCATCCTCAGGGAGTAGGTCCTCTGTCCCCTGACAGCACCCCTCCTCGCTGTGCCACCACCACTGCCAGGGTTCTGATCTGTGGATGTTCCCCAGGGGGTGGCTCTGGGCTCTCAGGCAACCGGCTACTGTGGATGGTGGTTTGCACGAGAATAGTGTCACTCTTGGGTCCTTTGCTTGAAGTTGGCTCTGCTGAGTGCAGCCTGCAGACATTTTCAGGAAACTGAATCCACAGGCTGGAGCCTTCTGCTTCCCCACAACCCAAACGGCCCCCAGCCAGCCAAACAGCCACGAGAACCCAGCTGCTAGCAACTGCCAGCAGGAAACCCACTACCAGCCGCTCACAGATGGACAGCCCATCCCAGGAGCTGGCCCCACCTCCCCGCCCCTCTGCTGACCAACCCAGCAGCTCCTTGGGTGGGTGTGGCCACCCTGCTGCCCCAACCTGCTCCCGGACCCTGTGCCAGGAGGTGCTTCGCCTCAGCGGGGCCTTGCCTCCCCCAGAGCCGCTCTGCTGCCTGACCTTGCAATGTCATGGGTCCTCTGGGCACTGGCGCAGTTGGGTGGGATCAGCTTTGGCCAGCAGGTGGGGGGCAGGTGGGTAAATCCTCCCTCTCTGCCATCTCCGCTTCCTTCCTCCTGCCCGGCTTCCCTGCCTTTTTCCTACTCTGGCTCCAGGGTTGCACTGCTCAGAAAGCTGTTGCTGCCTGGCCAGCACGCAGGCCTGATTTTCCTGGGAGCCTGGACTAAGACCCTGACCAGTCCTCCCACCCACCACCCACACCACCACCCAGCTAGCCAGCAGCTAGGCCAGGAGTGATCAGGAGGGGGCCCAACCGACCACCCACCCGGCGTCTCCAGCCGGCCAACTCTGCCCACTCAGGGCCGTGAGCTGGAGGTGCCAGGAGCCTCCCGGGAGGCAGTGTGAGGCATTCTTCTTAGTAAGTCCCGCATCGATGATAAAGGGCAGTATCAGCCCCTCTCTGATGCGCAGTGAGCGGCTCACCATACAGGGGAGGCGTTTAATTTATCTCGGGAACTGGGCGCAAGTTATAAAAATGGTAATTTCTTGGAGATTCAATTACATGTTTTCATTGTTACCCTCGATAATCAAGGAAACGATTTTTTATAAAAGGCTGTGGGATGATACTGATCTCAGGAGAGGATCTGGGCCGGGTGGGGGCTTTGGGGACGAAGAGGAGGGCAGTGTCTGCTGGGGGCAGGCAGGGCAAGTGGAGCTGGGCCGGCCGGCCCACCAGCTCCTGCAGCCCACCAGTTCCTCCAGCTCCTCCAGCCCTCCAGTTCCTCTAGCTCTCCAGCTCCTCCAGCCCACCAGTTCCTCCAGCCCTCCAGCTCCTCCGGCCCTCCAGCTCCTCCAGCCCACCAGCTCCTCTAGCCCTTCAGCTTCTCTGGCCCACCAGTTCCTCCAGCCCTCCAGCTCCTTCAGCCCTCTCTGGCCTCAGTCTTCCCATCTGCCGACGGGCCCATCTCTGGTAGGGAGGGTCTGCGTTTTGGCATGAGGGCTGATGAAGTGAGGCGTGACTCCTGGGCCGTGAGGGTGGCTGCGTCCCTGCCCCTCCCTTCCTGGTGCCCGAGCAGTCTCGTCCATCTCCTGAGGGCTCTGCAGGGAATAGAGAGGGGTTCCTGGTGGAGTGTGGACCTGATTTTTTCCCCAAGTGATGTCTTGGCTCTAAATAACATCTCCAGGATTAATGATGCCGGCCCCCAACAGCACCAGGTGATTGGAAAAAGGGTTTTATGGCCCCGTGGGTGAAATTGAACTTGCATCTGAGGTGTATTTCCAAGATGGGATTTTCCTCCCTGGCAGAGGCGGCACATTTCACGCTAATGATAATGGCAGCTCCTCGACATTCATCACCTATAGTTGGGGGGACACCCGTCTGGGGCACAGGGGCAGGGTGTCCCTGGGGTAACCTCCAGGTCTCCTAATCTCAGCAGACTCTGGGGGGCTGGTTCTAGGAGATGCGCCCTCACCCAGTGCAGGGCCAGGGAAGGGGGAGGCAGGAGCCCCCAGGGGATGAACGAGCTCTAGCTGGGCTGCACCAGGGAGGAGGCTGGAAGGAGGCCCCAGGCTGAGGGTAGGACCCGGCTAGTGCTTGCCCAGGGACCCACAGGCCCCTTGCTGAGCAGACTCCAGCGAGGGGCCTGGCCCATCTTGTTGCAAAGGGCTAGAGTCCTGGGCTGAGCTGGGCAGTTGACCTTGGATCTGACTCTGTCTCCCCTGAAAGCTGTTCCACCCCAATGCAGGCTCCTGCAGCCTAGCACAGCGCCCAGCCAGGATGGGCAGGAGGAAGCCCTTCTTCCGACGGGCTGTCACCGCGCCCTGCCTGAGGGGCCTCAAGCCCCAGGGCTCTTGTCTCAGAACTGGGCCGTGGAGATTCAGGAACTATGGGAGTTTGGGGGATCTTGGTGGCTGAGGGCTGTGCTCATGGAGGACTCCTTGAGTTCAGAAGATGAGGCCCACCTTCTGCATAGCCAATAGGTCATTGTCACAGGGACACTGACCACCAGCACCAACCTCCATCCCCCGGCACCTGCCTTTATCACCCATTTCCCAGGTGAGGACAGGGGCTCAAAGAGGGGCAGGGTTCCTCTGAGGTAACACAGCAGGTGAGCAACAGAGCCAGTGAGGGCCTGGGGGTGTCCTGCCACGGGCTGAGGTGTGCCCACATGCAGGAATCCAGGGGTCCGTGGGCCAGGACACTGCCAAGAGTTGGGGGCTGGGGGAGGGAAGGGGGCATTGCCAATGCTGCAGCCCCTGCCCTGGGGGGTAGGAGGGAGATGCCCCTCCGGGGGCCCAAGGGCAGGGTGGGCCCATGCTGTTCCCTCCCACCTGCCACGGGTGAACCTGACAGGAGTGGGGATGGAGCCTGGCATCCCGAGGGAACCTCCTGGAGTAATCACTCCACATGCTCGCGGTAAATACTGGGCCCTTCTTCCCCTCCCAGTAATTGAACTTATTTACTTTTAACTAAGATTAAATGTTCTCTGCGAGCTCAAGATACTGACTGCCCTGTCAGGCTCAGTCCACGCTCTGCTCTTCCTGCCTCTGGGGACCAACCCCAGGCAGGGAGGGACCAGGCAGCCCTGGAGAAGCACAGAAATTGTTTTTCCAGGAAACTCTGGGTGGATAATCCACTTACATCATCACCACTGTCACCATGAGCATGGCCATAACCACCATCATGGTCAGCTCCACCAGCATCACCACCACCACCACCACCATCACCATCACTGCCACCACCACCGCCACCATGACTACCACCACCATCACCACCACCACCACCATCACTACCACCACCACCATCACTACCACCACCACCACCACGATCACTACCACCACCACCACCATCACCATCACTACCACCACCACCACCATCACCATCACCACCACCATCACTACCACCACCACCACCACCACCATCACCATCACTACCACCACCATCACTACCACCACCACCACCACCACCACCATCACTACAACCACTACCACCACCACCACCATCACTACGACCACCACCATAACCATCACTACCACCATCACCACCACCACCATCACCATCACCACCACCATCACCATCACTACCACCACCACCACCACCACCATCACTACCACCACCACCATCACTACCACCATCACCATCACTACCACCACCACCACCACCACCATCACTACCACCACCACCACCACCATCATCACCACCACCACCACCACCACCACCATCACTACCACCACCACCACCATCACTACCACTACCACCACCATCACTGCCACCACCACCACCACCACCATCACTACCACCACCACCACCATCACTGCCACCACCACCACCACCACCATCACTACCACCACCACCATCACCACCACCACCACCATCACTACCACCACCACCACCACCATCACTACCACCACCACCACCACCATCACTACCACCACCACCATCACCACCACCACCACCATCACTACCACCACCACCACCACCACCATCACTACCACCACCACCACCACCATCACTACCACCACCACCACCATCACTACCACCACCACCACCACCACCATCACTACCACCACCACCACCATCACCATCACTACCACCATCACCACCACCACCACCATCACCACCACCACCATCACCATCACTACCACCACCACCATCACCACCACCACCACCATCACTACCACCACCACCACCACCACCACCATCACTACCACCACCACCACCACCATCACTACCACCACCACCACCATCACTACCACCACCACCACCACCATCACTACCACCACCACCACCATCACCATCACTACCACCATCACCACCACCACCACCATCACCACCACCACCATCACCATCACTACCACCACCACCACCACCATCACTACCACCATCACCACCATCACCACCACCATCACTACAACCACCATCACTACCACCATCACCACTACCACCATCACTACCACCACCACCACCACCATCACCATCACTTCCACCACCACCACCACCACCATCACTACCACCACCACCACCACCATCACCATCACTTCCACCACCACCACCACCACCATCACTACCACCACCACCACCACCATCACCATCACTTCCACCACCACCACCACCACCATCACTACCACCACTACCACCAGGACCACCATCACTACCACCACCACCACCACCATCACTACCACCATCACCACCACCACCACCACCATCACTACCACCACCACCACCACCATCACTACCACCACCACCATCACCATCACCACCACCACCACCACCACCATCACTACCACCACCACCACCATCACCATCACCACCACCACCACCATCACTACCACCACCACCACCACCATCACTACCACCACCACCATCACCATCACTTCCACCACCACCACTGCCATCACTACCACCACCACCACCATCACCATCACTACCACCACCCCACCACTACCACCATCACCACCACCACCACCATCACTACCACCACCACCACCACCATCACTACCACCACCACCATCACCATCACTTCCACCACCACCACTGCCATCACTACCACCACCACCACCATCACCATCACTACCACCACCACCACCACCATCACCATCACTACCACCACCACCACCACCACCATCACTACCACCACCACCACCATCACTACCACCACCACCATCACTACCACCATCACCACCATCACTATCCCCACCATCACTACCACTGCCACCACCACCACCATCACTACCACCACCACCACCATCACTACCACCACTACCACCACCACCACCATCACCACCACCACCACCATCACTACCACCACCACCACCAGCACCACCACCATCACTACCACCATCACCACCACAACCACCATCACCACCACCATCATCAGAACCACCACCATCACCATCACTACCACCACCACCACCATCACCACCACCACCATCACCATCACTATCACCACCACCATCACCATCGTTACCATCACCATCACCATCACCACCACCACCACCATCACCATCACTATCACCACCACCATCACCATCGTTACCATCACCATCACCATCACCATCACCATCACCATCACCACACCTCCATCACTATGGTCGCTGTGACTGAGCCCATCCTCACTACTGTCATCAGCACTGTCACAGCACCATGCTGACAAGCCCACAGTGGGTTTGAGGGCTGCCATTGCTTGGGACTAGTTCCTCAGGCACAGGAGGCTCCACGCTGGTCTGATTGCATTGGAGGGGATGCCTGACAAAGGTCTTTATGGGGTGTGCATTGTGGAGTGGGGAGGGGGAGGCTCAGGGAGGTCTCGAGGACTTCATGCCGTGGGCATTCTCCCCGGCCCCCTTCTGTCTCAGCAGCTCCCCACGCTTCTTGACTGAGCTGGAGCAGAGGAAGCAGGCAGGGGTGGGAGGAGGGGCAGGGGCAGGAGAAGGGGCAGGGGCAGCCACAACCACCTCCACTTAGGTTGGAGCACAGCCTCCTGGCCTCCCTAAAGTGAAGGGCCACCCAGAGGAGGCACCTAACCATTCTCCCCTCCGGACTCCACCCAGTGCTTGGATAGCCAGCGGGGCAGCTTGGGGTCGGGGCTGGGCACTCAGCCAAAGGGGCTGGAGAGCATGCCGTGTGCAGAGCCTGCTCCCATGAGGTGGTGAGAGCCTGCTGCACTGGTCTCCTGCCCCGAGCCTTGGCTTGCTCATCTATGAACGGGTGACGTGGTGCCTGCTGCACAGCAGGCCACAAGAGCAGAGCGACAGGACACAGTGAGGGGCGGTAAGGTGCTGCCTGGTAAGAGAGCTGTGGGCTGGCCTCAAGGGGTAGCCTGTGTCCTCTTGCTGAGAATAGTGGGAAGCGAGCTGCGAGCTTGGGCCCACAGTGGTGGTCTTAGGCTGCCGTGGTCACATAACGCCACCTCCCAGTGCCTGCGGCACCACCCCTGGGCTCCGCAGCCCCAGCCAGCCGTCCATGTGGCCCATCCTGTCCTCTCCAGGCCTGTCTGTGTGCACCCAGTGGAGGGTCTCCTGTCTCCTGTGGCTCCCTGAGGCTGCTGGTCACAGAGCTGATGAGGACACTAGAGACCGCTGCGGGGCTGGGCGGGGGCCCTGTGGGAGCGCAGCAGCCTGGGATCTGCAGCTGGGGCTGACCTAGCACAGCAGGCCACTGATGCCACCTCTCAAGTGGCAGGGGCTTCACAGCCTCCCACTGCAATCCCGGCAGGCCTCGGTGCCAGGGCGGCCCCATCCTGGGGGCCACTGAGGACCTGCATCGGCCACAGGGCTCGTGAGCATGGGCACCCCAGGGCTCAGTGGGGGCAGCTAGAGGGAGGGTTCAGTCACCTAGGCCTGCCCAGAGCCCTGCTCAGGGCCCAGGATGAACTGATGGGGGCAACCTGCAGGCGGTGCCAGCGAGAGTGGGCGCTCCCCACAACAGGGGAGCCACAGCCAGCCTCACCGAGAGCAGGGAGGGAATGTGTGGAGATGCAGGAAACCTCTGCCACGTCCAGGAAATATTATTAACAATTAAAAATTTTAAATCTTGGTAACATTCCCGATGGCCAGATAATTAATATAAGAGCAGATAATAATTACTCAATGATTAATAACTGCACTGAATAGTTTTCAAAGTAATTGTGATAAAGAGAATGTTAAATGAAAACCCATCAAAGTTGCTGATGCCCTGCACAGCGAGGGCACCTTAGTGCTGGGGGTGGCCATGTCGACTGGGCTGAGACTGGCCCCCCGGGCCCACTGTGTCCTGGTGGCACGTATGGAGTGTGAGGACCACCTCCCCAACACACACGGGGTGAGGACCCTGCACGCACATGCAAAGGCAGGGGTCTCTCTTAGTATTGGGGCAGGTGGGCAGAACCTGTCTCTCTTCCTGCCTCACTGGGATTGTGGATGACCATGGGGTTGGCTCAGGAGTCTGCCCTGTGCCTGCAGATGTTCTGGATATCTGGGCTAGTGTTGGGGGGTATTATCTGACCCATGGACCAGTCTCTGGTTCTTCTATTGCCCCAGCCACTCCAGGCCTTTGGTGAACCCCCTCTACCATTCAACTTGACCTGCCATGTTCCTGAGATCTAGCCCAGGGCTACTCCATCCACCAATTCTCACTAAAGTGTGAGTGGTTGCTTGGCACTACCCTAATCTTTGCCGCCTCATGTGTTTATTGGTGTGAAGCCTTCAGCTGCAGGGGGATGAAGAAGGTGATTCCAGGCAGAGCAGGCCTGCTCCCTCCACCCTTAGGCTACTGACTCTGCAGTCCTGGACAGTGGCTGGGAGCTACCAGGAGCCCAGGTTGGGGCAGGACCTGGGGACCTACTGCCCCTCACATAAGCCAGTTTCTCCAATCCTGGTTCCTTGCCCTGTCTGCCATGCCTCCCAGCTGACACCACCGTGCGGCTCCCTCACCTCATCCTCTGAACAGGACCATCCTGAGTTGTCACAGCTTCCAGACCCCCCGAAGCCACCTGGTCCCCTATCAGGCTGAGGCTGTCCAGACATGGCCTGCCACGAGGCCCTGAGTGGATATGCTGGCCTGGACACCAAGGATGAGGGACCCTGGCACTTCGCATCTCAGGGATGCCGGGTGCTCACCCGCAAAGACCCAGAGGAGAGAAGGGGAGAAAAAGTCTGAAGGGCTCGTGACCACCCTGGGGTCCTGATGGGGCCAGGCACGGTGGCCATACTTGTAACCCTAGCAGTTTGGGAGGCTGAGATGGGAGGACTGCTGAAAGCCTGCCTGTGCAACAGGCATAGAAGGCCCTGTCTGTATGAAAAATAATTAGCTGGGTGTGGCAGCAAGTGCCTGTAATCCCAGCTACTCAGGAGGTGAGCCCAGGAATTGGAGGCTGCAGTAAAAGTCATGATTGTGCCACTGCACTCCAGTCTAGGTGACAGAGTGAGAGCCAGTCTCAAAATAAAAAAATAAAAAATAAAAAAAAAGAAGGACTCCTGGATCACCCTGGGGCCGCGCAGGGATGGGTGGGCTCTGGAGGCCACAACTCTATTCTAACCACAGTGGTAATGATGGCTTCGGGCAGGACCACTGATGGCACAGAAATCACCGGGTGAAAGGCTGATGCAGATGGGCCTGTGGCTGAGCTCAGCTTCCCCACAAGATCCTGCTTCCAGAAAGAAGAAGGCGTCCTCCTGGTGGAGAGCCCTCGGAGCTCAGCCCATGAAGGAGGGACATGTGGTGCCCCTGCTGCGGCTGCCGCTCCCCAAGTCACCAGGAAATGCAGACCACTGTCTGCGGCCACTGCATTGCTTCCCTTGTTCAGAGGTCGTCATCCCACAGTGATGGCAAAGATGGCAGTGACCACGGGGCAGGGGAGAGCCCAGTAGGCGATGGGCCAGACAGGTGCGGGCCCGGGCAGGGCAGATGGGGCGCTTAAACTGCTCTTGCTGCTTCTTTGAGAGTTAAATGTTTCAAGGCACAAGACTTTAAAAAGGAGGCACCTGGAGACATGAAGGCCAAGGGTGACAGCCTCGTGGGGAGGGCCGTTGGGGGCCTTCCCGATGCTCGGCACAGATGGGCACTGTGGGCTATGGGCCGGGCAGGTGTGGTCCTGGCCTCAGGTTCCTGTCTCCCACTTCTGGGAGCTCTGCCTCCCTTGTGGCCTCTGTTTCAAGGTCATTTCTGGATGGGCAAACTGAGGCCCCAGTGGCTGGGGTTGTCCAAGGTCCTGAAGGCCAGTGTTGGAGCCTCCGGGCACTTGGCCCCTGCGGCCCCCACGCCGCTACCCCCAGCCCAGGCCCTCAGGTCCAGAACCTCTTGCCCTCCAGCCTGGGGCCACTGTTCTGAGAGTGTGCCCCGAACGACACTCCCTCATTAGCCGAGTCCCAGCTCTGTGTTCTGGGGTTGGAGCTCTGGGGCTGTTGTCCTCTGGGCCTGGCTGCTCACTGAGGCTCCTCCAGGGGCCCTGCCACCCACCTTGTGTGCCTGCAGATGTCCTTCCCATGCGAGCACCAGTGCCACAGCCCTGACCCCCCGCCCTGCCTACCCCATCATGGCTCGCCACCAGCCCAGCTGAGCTGCTACCCCGAGCCCACCACTTCCCTAAGCCCCAGCTTGCTCCTGGCACCTGGCATCAGCCTGGGAGGGGCTGATGATCTTGGGGGAGGATCCTGCGACAACTGCCGGGCCTGGGACAGTGATGGAAGTCCAGGCCTCCAGGGAGGCTAGGAGGCTGGTCCCAGTCCCTGCTCAGCCATTAGGGCTGCCCCTCCCCATGTTGGCCTCAGTTTCCCTGTGCGTAGCATGGGTTTGCGGTAAAGGTGATGCACTGCCATGGCAAGGTTTGTTATTGAGGGTCCTTGGAGCGGGGCCACTGCAGCAGGAAGTCCCCGTGGGGCCCCCTGCGTGGGGTTGGCCTGGCTCAGGAGATGGTCCCGGCTGCTATTTCATGTATCGTGAGGACACCGAATCCTACCCCAAGGCCATGAGGGCAGAAGGCCAAGGCTGTGAGCCTTCCCTACTTGGAGACATTTGCCCTGGGGAGCGGCTGTTCCCAGACCCTACATGCCTCCCCCACGAGTGATCTGCGGACTGGGGAGGGCACTGCCTACATCTGCCCCAAAGGCAGTGGCAGAGGCTTTGTGGGATGAGGGTGGTTTGTGCTCTCAGAGGCACTGGGCTCAGCCAGCGGCTGAGGTAGAGCTGGGGCCCTCCGGGGCAAAACATCAAAAGTCTCTGAGCTCCTGTCCAGGGCTTGGATGAGTTGGGATTGGTGCTGCCCCAGCACCCAGGATTCCCCAATGCACCTGCCACCTGGCAGTCCCTCCCCAGGGCTCAGCACCCACCATGAGTCCTCAAGGATTTGGGTGATTCAGTGGCCTGCCTCGCTGGGCCTCCCCCTTAATAATGCATTCTTGCTAATAACCTTCTTTCCTGTGTGTCATTAAACACATCCTCCTGCTGGTGGGTAGTGGAGCAGCCGGTGGTGGCTGGGGAGGCCCGGGCCCCCAGGAGAGAGGGAACCCTGGGAGGCTGGGGGGTAGGAGGGGACAGGGCTGGTGCACCACCTGAGAATAGGTACAGGGGCTCCAGCTCTGGGCAGCATCATGAGACGCTTGTGGGGTCGGGGGCGGCAGGGCAGAAAACAGCCTACAGGGGCCAGGCTGGGGGCTGCCCTCCTCGTCCTGTGGTCACTGGGCTATGGGAATGGGAATGAGGGCAGGGCAGTGCTAGTGGCCCACAGCCCTGGGGGGCAGCAGCCCAGGGATGGTTACAGGACAAGGTTTGCGTAAAACCAGGCTTGGAGGCCGGTGTGGGGTGATCCCTCTTGGAGGTGAAGGAAGGGAGCAGTGTGGCAACGTCCTGGAAATCATGGTCAGAGGGCCCAGCTGGGGCGTGTGGCCTGGAAAAGGCACTGCCCCCACCCCCACCAGCCAGGGTCTTTCCCTTGCCCCTGCCCCCTCCTCAGGGCCCCGCCCTGTCAGCCCTGCCTGTGGGTTTCAGCCCCATGGGCAGAGCATCAGACTTAGCCCGGGTGGAGGACATGGTCGGTCCTGCGGGCAGGTCGGGGGAGTCCCAGGCCAGGGCCCAAGGCCACCCGGGGGCAGCCCTGCCCACGCCTCATCTGGTGGACCAGGGAGAAGTCCTCCATCAGGCATGGTTACAAAACTTCTCAGACTTAATTAAAGTCAATCTCCAGTTACTCAAATGCCATTGATTTGGATCTCGACTGATGGGGAAAATATGATCATCATCATGGGAAACATCGATAGGAAGGCGCTGAGTACCTGGGCACAGGGCCGATCTGGAGCCAACACAGTCACGGAGCCCCTGCTCTGGGCCCGACCACGGGGCCCTCATGCAGAACCCTTGTCCAGGCCCTTCCGGAAGGGTCTGCCACTTGCTGCCTGGGTGTCCCTGAATTCTCACCCCCTGGCTGAACCCAGGGGCCTCACAGAACCGGGATCCTGCAGGGCTGATGGGAGGCTCAAGGGTGCGTGTCTTGGGGCCGGCAGCAGCCAGCGCTCTGTGGAGACCGTCTACCCTCGTCACGTGGCTGGGGTCCTCTTGATGTTGCACCGGGGACCCTGGGCTGGCAGGACTAAGTCTAACTGGGGATCCAGGGCTCCTGCCTATCAGCCCCCAGTGAGTGAGTGCAAGAGGGAAGGCCCTTTGGCCAGTGCTGCACCTTTTACTTGCGTGGGCTTTGAGGCTTGGACCCAGCCCGAGGCCCATTGGGCAGCAGATGTCAGCACCTCTGTAGAGGGCAGCTGAGGCCAGACTTCTCCATCCAGCCTCAGCAGAGAAGCAAGGGCGGAGAGCAGGTAGAACATCAAGGCGGAAGGAGGTGATGCTGTTCGGGGGCTGGGGAGAAGTGCCTTCAACCAGAGCACCTGAGGTTCTCTTCTGGCCTTGCAGCCTGGAGCCTGGTCTGGGGCTAGGAGGTGTCGCAGCTGTGAGGCCCCAAGTGCAGGCCCAGGCAGAGGAGACCTGGAGGCAGCTAATGTGGGGGAGAGTTGACTGGGGATCGTAATCTAGTTTTCTGTTTTTCCTTGGAAAAAGAAAGACAAAGTCCCCAACTCACCTGCCCTTAAAATAAAAAGTCACAGGCTGGGTGCATTGCCTCATGCCTGGAATCCCAACACTTTGGGAGGCTGAGGCAAGTGGATTGCTTGAGCCCAGGAGTCGAAGACCAGCCTGGGAAACATAGAGAGGGAAACCCCCTCCCTACAAAAAAATAGAAAAATTAGCCAGGCATGGTGTCGCATGCCTGTAGTCCCAGCTACCTGGGGGCCTGAAGTGGGAGGATCCTTTGAGCTCTGGAGGTGGAGGCTTCAGCGAGCTGGGATTGCACCATTGCACTCTAGCCCGGGTGACAGAGTGAGACCCTGTCTCAAAAAACAAAACAAAACAAAAAAAACCACCAAAAACCAAAGTCACATAAAATGTCTTCATAAATACAATAGAGGCAAACCTCATGTGATTTGTGTTCATGGACTTGGAGGGGCCAAAGGCCCAACAGAAGTGAGAGGAGGAGGGAGGGGAGGGGTGCAAGGGCCAAGGGTAGAGGCCGGGAGGGGCCAGCATGGTGGCCTGAGTCCACTGCAGGTGGCACTGCTGGCTTTGGTGTCCTCATTTCATCTCCTGTGACCTCTGCCCTTGGCATGTCCCCAGGTACCTCCTGTGGGCTCCTGGCTGGGGTGGGGTAGGAGGAGGAAGCTGAGGGTGGCCAGGGTCTGTGTCCATCGAGGGGTGTCCAAATTCTAGTGGAGGGAGGGCTGGAGGGGAGTGGGGAGGGGCCTTTGGCCAAAGCCAGGTGCTGGGGTGTGACGGATCTCCACGGTTGCTGGGACCTTGTGGCCATTCCTGGGACATGGCTTTCACCTTAACAAGGGCCCTGGGTGTTCCAGGGGTCCCCATCCCCTGCCCCTGGGGGCTCAGCACACAAAGCCCAGCCTGGGGCCTGGGCCATGGTAGCCAGGGAGGTCAGGGTGTGAGGCCTTGGTGGCCTCCAGGTGGGCGGTGAGCCAGGGGGTGTGGACATGTGGACAGTGCCGGGCCTGGGTCATGCACTTCGTCAACCCTTCACGCCTAGACCACAGCCTCTCTGAGCAGGGCCCAGCTTGCGTTGTGCTGAGTCTTTTGTTACTTTAATTAATGCCCAGCTTCCTGACGCTTAATTAAACTGGAATTGCTCCATGTCCAATAGCCAAGCATCCCATTAGATACAAGTTAATGCAACTGTCGCAGTGGCCATGAAATGAGGCTGGTGCGTCCCCCAGGGAGGGATGCAGAATGCATCTTGGAGGACAGCATGGCCTGACCGGGCAGCTGCACACAGGGCCAAACTGAGCCCGTACTGGACAGCCAGCCCTCAGCCCACCCAGTACTTCCACAAGACCCTTCCCAGGCCCCTCGAGGAGGACTCCCCATGGGGGCCCTGGCCTCCAGCTCCTCTGCACGCCCGAGGGCAGCCTGCTTGCTTCCTGCTGAGGTTTGCTGTTCCAGCTCCATGAGAAACTCATGCTAGTGTATCAACATTTGGAAAATGCAGAAAAATTAGAGAAAGGAAAGTAGGGACTCCCCACCCCAGAAAGGTGCCATCCTCCCATGGGCCTGCGTTTTGGGCTCCGTAGGGGCTACAAGGTGCTCTCTGGGGCCTGCAGTGGGGGCCGGGGCAGGAGCTCTGGGAAGGCGTGGGGGCAGAGGCCACATTGTGAGGAGCCATTGGTTCTTCAGGAGCCGGAAGTTCTAGGATGGGGGGCAGGGCTGGGAGCCAGCGGGGGTGAGGCAGGCTGGGGATGCTGGGGTGATACCTTGCACCCACCAATCTCCAGTGCCAGCCTCTCACCCTGATGGCCCCGTGTCCAAGGCAGCCTCACGGTGCCCTCTGCCAGTGGCCAAAGGCATTGTGCCTGGTTGGTCCATCACCCCAGAGTCTTTTAAAATTAAATTAAATTAAATTAAATTATAATTAATTTTAGAGATAGGGTCTCGATCTGTCACCTAGGCTGAAGAGCAGTGGCACCATCACAGTTCACTGCAGGCTTGAACGCCCACGCTCAAGTGATCTTCCCACCTCAGCCTCCCAAGTAACTGGGACTGCAGGTGTGCACCACCACTCCCGGCTAATATTTAAACACTTATTTATTTATTTATTTATTTATTTGTTTTTAGATGGGGTCTTGCTCTGTCACCCAGACTGGAGTGCAATTGTGTCATCACAGCTCACTGCAACCTTGAACTCTTGGGCTCAAGTGATCCTCCAGCATCAACCTCCCAAGTAGCTGGGACTATAGGTGCAGGCCACCACACCTGGCTAGTTTTTAAAGTTTTTTGTAGCGAGGGGCTTTCACTATGTTGCCTAGACTGGTCTCGAATTCCTGGCCTCAAGCGATCCTCCCACCTTGGCTTCTCAAAGTGCTGGGATCACAGGCCTGGGCCACCACACCCGGCCAGCCCAGACTCTTGGTTCAATCCCCTAGAGGGCTTGAGTGGGGCAAGGAGGTGGCAAAGTGGGCAGCAAGGGGGCCGCCCTGGACAGGTCTCCCTGTCCCCCTACCCGAGGGTACTGAGCGGCCTCTGCATTGGGCTCCCAGGCTGGGCTGGGTGGGTCTGAGGCAGGAGCAGCCTCCCCCTGGAGGCCAGCTCAGGTGGCAGAGGCCCGGTCTGCCCCGGGTCTGCGGAGCCGAGGGCAGGTCTCTGGTGCGTAGGTTGCTGGGCCTGGCTCTCTCTCAAGCTTGTTTGCTGTTTGGGTCCTCCTCTTTGGGGCCAGGGCCACACGCACCTCTGCGACATTAGCTTGGTGCCTGTGAGGGGCTGGGTATCTCAGGAGATCGCAGCAGGTCCTAGCACTACCCTGTTGCATTCTTCAAGGACTCCCCGCAGCCCAGTGTCTGTGGAGTGGGGCGTGAGGTGCTGCCTCCCATGTTGCTGCTTAGAAGGACGCAGCCCTGGAAACCCTCACTGTGGAGTCTCTGAGCCCCTCATCCGCAGAGCAGCAGTTGCTGCTGTTTGCACAGACAGCAAATCCGGGGCATGTTTGTTTAGTAAGATTACCTCTGCTGGGGCCTGGCCCAAGGGACAGGCCAGGCACAGAGGGGTGGGGGCTCTGTGCATACTGAACACCCCCCCGAGAGTGGCTCTGTCTACAGCCGGACCACTCTGGAAGTGACGGCACTGCGGGCCTGGAGGGCTGGGGCAGTCCAATTGGGCACCATGCCCTCACAAACAACACACACACCAGCGGTGGGGTTGCGAGGGGGCGCTGAGGGAGGATCCTGGCTGCCCTGCTTAAGCCCTGCAGCCTGTGGGGCTGTGTCCACCCGGGTCGCATGTTGCTTCTACCTGCACGGTGGCCCCACCACACAAGGTGCCGTCCTGCCCTCCAGTCAACTTCCTGGGGCTCTGAGCAGCCTGTGGTGGCACCTCACCTGGGCAGAGGGTGGGAGGAGCAGCGCCCTTCCTTCTGTGCAGGGAGTCTGATCAGGGTTCTGTCTCACTGTGGGACAGTGGGGGCCGGGGAAGAGCGGCAGGTACCAAGTGCAGACAGCAGATGTAGATGCATGCGGGGGTCCGGGCTGGGGCCAAGAACACAGCCCTGGAGTCAGGGACACCGGCTTCATGTCCTCACTCTGCCATTCAAGAGCTGGGGGACCTCGGGCAGGTGGTGTAGGAACAGGGAGGAGTCTGCCTGCAGCACGCAGAGGAGGGCTGTGCTGGTCAGGGGGTGTTTTGGGGAGAGGACCTCAAAGGGAGGTTGACTTTGGGAAAGGGGTCAGAGTACAGAAAAAGTGGGTCCAAATCCTGCTTCAGCACTGAGACCCTGCCTCGGCAGGGGTCTCCAAGCTTGGCTCCACCCCCTGAGGGGCCAGTTACTGCATACCTCGCCCACCCAGGAGCTGGGGGCCCTGGTCCTGTTTCCCAGGGAGCTGTTGGCACTTGTGGGCTCCTGGCTGGGGTCCAGGTGGGCTCTGCTCCTCTGCCCTGCCCAGCGCTTTGTACTGAGCCCATCCTGCAGAGACTCAACGGGGCCAAACGCACATTCCTTGACCTTCTGTGAGTCTGTCAGTCTTCATCCCTCCCTGGACCTAGGAAGGCCTGGACAGCTTTGACCATTGGTGTTGGGTGGACATGGCGCTGCGCTGCACCCCAGGCCCTCAGAGCCCAGCTGTTCTGCTTTCTGCTTTTGGTCCTGAGCTGCCTTGAAGGAATCTGACCAGCAGGGAGAGCCCACGGAGCGGGAGGGCCTGTGGGGCTCAGCCCTGCAGCCGGTCTGCCGAGGCCAGGCCTGGGGGCACAGCTGGGGCTGAGTACACTGAATGCCCCCTCGATGCCATGCACAGCAGAAGAGCTGCCCACACCGCCCTGCTGGGCCCTGCCCGGGCTCCAGACCCACAGACCAAGCACACAAGAGACTGGGCTGCTTTGTCATGCAGCAGCAGGTAGCCGGACACATGTTTCCCCATTCCCCTGCCATCCTCTGAAATCCTGTGGGGAGAAAGCATGTGAGGTCCAGTGGGGGTTGGGGTGAGGGTCTGACTGGGGGCTTTCTAACCCACGTCTGAGTCCCATCCGGCGCCAGTGCCACAGTGGCGGGTGACTGGTGCTGCTCACACTGGCAAGCTCCTACCTAGACTTTGGAGCCCAACTCCACAAGGCCCCTGAACTACCCCTGTAGGCACCGCAGCCCCCTTGCCTTCCTCTGCTACGACATCAACCACTCTGATGGTATTTGTGGTTTGATGTGTTTAAGTAAAAGGCTTGTTGCAGAGTTTAATTGACCCCATATGTCTGCCTGAGGAGGCCGTGAGCTGCAGAGGGCAGGTGTGAGCTGGGCTCTTTCCTCAGTCCCCATGTCTTGCTGGGTACTCACAGGGCACACACGAGCACGTGCGGCAGGGGCAGGGGCCAGCGGGGGATGGGGAGGCTTGGCGCCCACGGCCCCGCTGCCCCATGTTTCCACTGCAGCCGAGGAGAAAACGAGGACTTTACGGCTGTCACAAACATTTCATCTTGTGCATTTTACAGTCCACGACTGCTGTGAACACTGGGGCTCCTGTCGGAGCTAGAAGATTCATAAAATGCATGTGAATTATTTTATTTTATTTTATTGTTTTGAGATGGAGTCTCACTCTGTCACCCAGGCTGGAGTGCAGTGGCGCGATCTTGGCTCACTGTAACCTCCACCTCCTGGGTTCAAGCAATTCTCCTGCCTCAGCCTCCCAAGTAGCTGGGACTATAGGCGTGCGCCACCACGCCTGGCTAATTTTTTTGTATTTTTAGTAGAGACGGGGTTTCGCCATGTTAGCCAGACTGGTCTCAAACTCCTGACCTCAAGTGATCCTCCCACCTCGGCCTCCCAAAATGCTGGGATCACAGGTGTGAGCCACTGCGCCTGGCCAAATGCATGTGAATTTTTATGTTCAATTATTCCAGGTTCCCTGCTCGGGGCCCATGGGCTTCCCCATGTACAACCCACCGGTAGGTCCCCGCCCAGTCCATGCTCCTCAAAGGCCAGCCTCACACCCATCCCACGTCCTCTTGGCTGGTAAACACTCTCCCCCTTCTTCCTTCTCCCTCCACATCTCAACTGCTGGAAGGGAAGAGCTCCTCAGTCTACTTGGAGTCCCTCCTGCACAAGAGGATCCAGGGTGGTCCAGGAGGGCCAAACCCACCTCTTTGGGTGCACCCCTGGGCAGTGGATTGGGGATCCAGGGCTTGTGGGGGTATGCACCCACCAGGGCAGGTCCCTCAGGCTCACTCTCCCTGCGCCTCAGTTTCCTCTCCTGAAAAATGGGCTTGTGACTAAATGTTGCAGGGAGCTGCTGAGAAAACGCCTGCTGAAAGCTTGGCAGGAGGTCATTGTGACCAGGGATGGGGCTGGGTGCTTCGGTCAGGCCAGGGCTGGAGGCAGGGGCTCACACTGGGGTCAGCAGTGCAGGGGCGTGGCTGGCGTGGCAGGCGCATGGGGATTGGCTCATCAGTTGCGGCCTCACGTCCCTTCGTTATGGCGCCTGCAGAAGATGTTCTCTGATTAGTCTGCTGAATTATGAATTAGGTTCCGGGTCCCTGTGCAGCTGTTCCCGGCTTGTCATCCCCACCACTTTATTTCCCCATCTGTTTATAAAACCAGGAGCGCCGTCCTGCAATAAACACTTCAAACGCTTTTTTTAGGGGCTAATTAATTGTGTTGCATTTCTTCGACACAGCATGCAGGCCGGACCTGCCCCGAATTCCCAATGCGGGTGTGGCTCCTGCTGAGCGCCTGGGGAGGGAGCCAGGCCTGGAGCCTGGGGGGCTGCATGTGGCCGCCCCAAGTTTGTTTTCTCCAAGGCAGCCCTCCACCTTTATGTGGCGGGCTGGGCTGTCTCAGGAATGCGCCGGCCATGTCAGGTTCCCCCTAGATTCCCCCTCCGCACCCTTTGGCTGAAGTCCTCCTGCTCGGACCATAGGACACTCTTGAAATTATCTGTGGCACATCCAAGGTCAAGGTCACGCCCTGCTGCCAGCTACAGTGCTGACCCTGAGGGCTCCACCTCCCAGGCCCACTGAGCATCACGCTGTCTTCCCTGCCTTGCCTGCCCAGAGCACCTCTGCCCTCCAGGACCCCCTCAGCGAGTGCGGTGGGCGAGTGCAGTGGGTGGGTGGCCCATCTAGGCAAGCCAATCTCTCCTCGGATCCGTGCACCTCTTTGGAGAAGGCCTCTGGGAGCCCCAGCCCTGCTGTGCACCCTGAGGCCTCACTCCGTCTGAGGAACCCAGAGAGCATCGCGGAGGAGGCTTAAAACAATGACAATAAGAAAACAAAATCACAATCACCAAGTCACGAAACAGCTCAGAGGCAATTGAGTTAGGCAGCCCCCTGCCAGTGCCCAATGCCGGTAAAGTGGCTCTTTAGGAACTGAGTCCTAATGTGGGCTGCGCAGCGGGTCAGAGGAGGTGTTCAGCCTGTGGCCAGGCATTGGGGCCCCAAGCCAGTCCTCCACTGCGGACAGAACCTTGCCCAGCTGCAGCTGGAGCCTGAAGGCATCCACTGCGTGCATCTGGAGGGGTCGGGGGTTCTTTGTCCCCAAGGCCACTGTGGCTCCTGTGGGCCACCGTCATGTCCACTGGGACTGGTGGGAAACTGGGTCTGGGGACTTGTACCCTCCGCTTCCTCATGTCCTCATCCTCAGGTGCCCTCCCAGCCCTTCAGGGGTCCTGTTTTCCAGCTGTGGGCAGGATGTTGCTCCTCTGCCCTGTCTGTCCACGACTCAGGGTGCCAAGGCTGGTGGAGCCTCCCTGCAGCCCCAAGGGAGGAGGCTGGGGCCAGAGACGCCCTGGGGTGGGGCACGTCTCTTCCCAGTGAACCTCAGATCCCTCGGGCGCCCACGCTCCCCACTGAGGGCCTGGGGCCACAGCACTCTGCCTGTGAGGGGTGGGCCCTTGGAGGCTTGGGGACATGCGCGCCCACAGGCACGTGGGGAGAGCCTGCTGAGCGCTGTCTCAGTGATGGTTCCCCACACTGGCCCCTGACATGGGGCTTGGTGTGGCAGCTTGTTGGGGAGGTGGTGCGTGGAGCAGGATGGGGACCGGGAGGTGGTTGCTGTGGGCTCTGCGGGGCGTGAGGGCCGGTGTTTGCCCCAAGCTCAGTGCCTGCCTGTGACCACACCAGCTCATAAGTGACCTCTGGGTGGCCCAGGGGTGAGCGGAGAGGGGACCTGAGCAGGCAACACGGGCCTGGAGAGGAGCTTTGTCTCTCTAGGAGAAGGCAGCCTGTCCTGCCAGACCTGGTATCACGCCACCCCAAGGCAGGCCCCGCAGAGCCCTCGGGAGCTCCACTCGGAGATGGAGACGCGCTTCCCTGTGTCGGGGCTTCGCTCAGAACATTTTTATGGGCTGTTAATTGTTATGCTTTCATTTAATTCTGGGTGTCATTCCATGTCAGCCAAGCCCGACAGGCTGGGATTTATGCTTCCAAATTATGGGGCTCGGGCTGTTCAGAGGTAAAACAATTACCCATCAATCAGCCACCAACCGGCTTGTGCTGGGGCTGGCAGCCCCATTAGCGGGCGTGGGCAGCCATGGCCCAGCAAGACCCCTTGAGGGACAGGACTGCCTTCGAGGGCAAGGCAGTCTGGGTGAAGTCTCGCCCCAGGTTGGCCCTGTGCTGTGGCAGGGCGCAGCTCTCTGGGGAGGCGGCCGCTCAGGGAAGGACCCCAGGGTCCACATTCACACCCAACTGGCTCCAGTGCTGCAGCCCTCGGCCTCCCATATGATGGTGTGACCCTAGGTGGGCTGAGGGTGACCCGCCGGAAGACGCTGCAGCATCAAGGTGGGGGGACCATGGGTCCCATATGCTGGGGCCTGGGGAGCCTTGGCCAGCCATGGTCACTCAGTGGGAGGGGCAGGGTCACCTGCCTCCTGAGCACCCCATCCCCAGGAGGGAGGGACCAGGTGTGACCCACTTCACAGGGAGGGAAGCCTTGGCTGTCAGAGGGGACACTGCGTCTCTCACTGGGAGGACCTCCCGGCCTGGGCTTGAGGCCCACCTGGATCTGTGCAAACGTAGATGTGGGTAGGGTGGGGCAGGGGAGGGGAGGTGGGCAGGGGAGGTGGAGTGGGCTGGCTGTCAGCTCAGGAGTGGGGGTCGGGGAACCTGGGCCACAGAGCGGATCCTGTCCCACCTTGACCCTGGTATGGTTGAGTCGGCGGCTAAGCCAGGCCCCGTGGTCCTTCACCCAGGGAGAGCCTGTGCCAGGCCAGGCACTGCCAGGCCAGCACACAGCCTTGACTGAGCGCCTCCCCGTCTCAAGTTGTCTCCTGGATGCCCGGCTGGCTGCTCATGGGGACAGGGGCAGGATGGGACAGCGAGAAGAGGTGGGCTCCCCCAGCCCCAGTGACCCTCCAGGCCAGGGATTGGCTTCTCTCCCTGCAGAGATCGCCCTTCCCTGCCCCTCTGCCCAGCTGCCCTGGGACTTGTGTCCCAGCCCTGCCCAGCATTCATCCTGGGTGATCTGCACGTGGGCATGGCGCCTCACCGGGTCAGGGTGGTGTCCAGGTGAGCAGGCGGAGGACTCTCCTCACTGCCCAGCAGTGTCCTGCTCCCCCAGCTGCTCTGACAGCCAAACTGGTCCCCAGCTGGGGCATCTCACGCCCAGACCTGCTGCCCGTTGGTGCAGTGCAGCCCCCGCCAATGCAGACACTGTACCTCGGTCTCCGGGACCCCCTCTGCCCCTGCAATTCGACGCTCTGCTCCTGCCCTGCTGGGATCCCACGTCCCTGGACCCTCCCTATGGCAGTCTCGCCCCGCGACCCTGCTACAGGCCTGCCCTGCCACCCCCGGGCACACTCCCTCATCCAGAGTCTGTGCAGTCACATGTGGACCCCTGAGGCCGGCCTGCGGCTCCCTGCTCACGGGCGGCTAAAAGGGGGCTTTCCAGTCACGCCCTGCCCTGGCCTTCTGCCTAAGGCCCTGGCCCTCATGGGCCAGGCATGGTCCTCAGGCCCTTGGCTCTGCCAAGGCTCTGAGACCCCACCCTAGAGAGACCCTGGCCCACCCAGCCTGGCCCTGCAGCAGTGCCCCAAGTGCCCCCGAGCCCGGCCTGGCTGCTGCCAGGGTGACCACCAGGGGCAGTAGTCAGATAGAGGGCGGTGGCCGGGCCCAGTGTGTCTGGGTGACCGCAGGGCCTGAAGGTGTGGTGGCCCACCCGGGTCAGAGTGAAACTGAACTCCTAGGTCAGGGTCGGGTCCTCCCAGGGTCGTGTCCTCTGGAACTTGGGGCGAGTCACTACGCCTCAGTGTCATCGTGGGCAGAACCTTCCACATGTGGCATTGAAATCTTTCAAATTGAATAGGAAAAGCCCCACGTTTTCTGAGCCCTATATATAGACCAGTACTGTCCTAAGTGTATTCTAGGGAAAGACAGTGGCCAGCCCTGTAGCTCAGTTATTTCTGTTTAAAGTGTGAACGGGCTGGGTGCAGTGCTTGAAAATCAAGCATGAAGTGAAACCCAGTGGGCCGTGCATGGCTCTGACACCCATGAGTCATTCACACGATGCCACTTGCTCATTGCTGTCCCACCCCAAATGCAGCACTGGTGGGCGAGACCCTCTGGGCATATTACCTGCGGGATGTGGCTCCAGCGCCTCACTTCCAGCTCACTGCTGCCTCAAACTCCTGGACTCAAGGAATCCTCCTGCCTCAGCCTTCTGAATAGCTGGGACTACAGGCATGTGCCGCCACACCCGGTGAATTTTTTTTTTGTAGAGAGGGGTTCTCTCTATGTTGCCCAGGCTGGTCTCAAATTCCTGTGCTCAAGCGATCCTCCCACCTTGGCCTCCCAAAGTGCTGGGATTACAGGTGTGAGCCACTGCACCCAGCCTCTTCACCCTTTAAACAGAAACAACAACTGAACATACAGGGCAGACCAGTGTCTGTCCCCAGTGCCTGTGCTGGGGGTGACTTTCCAGCTGGGGCTCAGCATTGCGAGTGGGAAGACCTCCTGGGGCCAACATGGCTTGGATTGTGAGGGCACGTGGGTCGCCGTGGGGCCAGAGTCCAGCAGTGGCAGAGCTGCACAGCAGTGGGGAGGGGCAGGGCAGGGCAGGGAGAGGGCCCCGGCTGGCCCGGCTGGCCCAGCCTGCCCAGGGCTGCACGGTTTCCATCCCTGTCCCCAGCTGCAGTGGGACACCTGCCATGGGGGAGGCTGGGGGAGGCCTGGGGTGGCGCCTTGGGCTCTCAGCCAGGAGTTCGCTCTCTCCAGGTCAGGCTGGCAGAGCAGCCCCAGGGCCCCTGCACCCCCACTGCCCATGCCCACCTTGGGCTCTCTGATGCCCGGCAGGGCCTCTGGGCTTCTCCCTCCCAAGCTTGGGTGGCAACGCTGGCATTTGGAGCCTGGGGAGCTGCTGACAGTGCTGGTCCTGCCCGCGAAGGAGGCGGTGCCAGGCTGTTTGGAAATGTCAGGCTGATGGGTGGTGGCACTGCCCAGCACCCCACCCCCGCTCCCACCCCAAGAGGCTGGACACGGGCTGGGGCCCCGGTGATGGAGCCAGGCCGGGAGCCAGGAGATGCTGCTGAGCAGGGATAGCTGGCTGAGGGCTCCTGGGCGGCAGGGGATCCGAGGCTGATGGACAAGGGGCCTCTCCTTGCCACCGCAGCTGCGGCCTTGGTGGGCCGGTCGATGCGGAAGAGTGATGGTGCACGTGGGGCCGTGGGGTGTCGGAGGGAGGTTTATTGATGTCGGCTGATTTCCCTGGGGGCCCCTTGCTGGCAGCAGCCACCATGCTCCCCGAGAGCTAACCGTATCAGGCCGGAAGGGTGGTGGGCAGTGTGATGGATGGACTCCGGCTGTCGGCTGGCTGGGCCTGGATGGAGCCCCGAGATGGGCACACTGGGCCGTGACAAGAGTGCCGTGGGGTCCCTGGGGGAGCCCAAAGAGGCCTCTGAGAGGGTCTGTGCTGGGAGGTAGACCTGAGAGAGGGGAGACACCATCCCAGGGTGGGCACAGGCATGGGGCAGAGGGCACGTGACGCCAACCTAGGGCCCCAGGGGGTGGGACGGAGGGGCCTGGTTCTGGGGCATTGGGAGAGGCCTGGGACTCTGGACCTGGTCTGTCTTTCTTGTCCCCAGTGTGAGCACCAGCCCTTGCAGCTGAGCCCTGGGAGGCGCCTCCTGCCCACGCAGCAAAGCTCAGAGCTCTGTGGCCTCCTCTGGGCTCCTGCACAGCGGGTTTGCTCCCAGCTGCTCCCCTGACACGGACACCTTCAAGGGCCACGTGACTGCCATCCCCAGGCCTTGGCCCTCGATGAGGAAGGGCCCTTCTCAACCTGTGGCTCTGAAATAGGTCTCATGATGGTGCCAGTTTAATGACAGGAGCAGTGGCTAATCCAGTGGTCATTATTGCATGGGCTGTCATGCCCTTCTCTATCCGTGCTCCCTGAAGAGGCGAGGGTCCACTGCCGGCTGCCACACAGAGAAGCATGGCCACAGAAGGAGGCTCCTCTGCTCTGAGTGGGATGTTGGCTCCTCGGGCCACACTGGGCTGGAGGACAAGGGGAGGCAGGGGTGGGAGGGCCCTGGGCTGGGGTGGATGGGGTGGGCCTCACAGATGGCATGGCCCTGTGGACAGCGAGTGGCTTTTCCTCCCCAGGTCTCGTCCTGAGCCCTGCTCCTCCTCCTGGCCTCCCCTGGCCCCACACCTCTCCCACTGGCTTCCTTTCCTGGCCTCTTTCTCTCTGCTCCTTGTCTCCATCTCTCATTCCTCTGGGCCTTGCTTCACGGAGTCACCAGCCCGTGTGACAATGTCCACTTTCCCTGGCCTCATGTCTCCAACTTAGTGTGGGACCTGCCTTTCCAGGCTCTTTGGCCACATGAGATCATGGAAACACATGGCTGCTGTACCCACGCTGACCTGGCTCAGCCCTGGCTCATGATGCTTCCTGTGCACCCTGGTCCCATCTGTACCTCAGTTTACCCATCTGCCACACAGGGCTGAGGGCATCTGCCTTGTGTGTGGCGGTCAGGCTGGCCCAGTGACCGCCGAGCCATTTTGGCTTCCTCAGGTCTGGCCACTGTGAAGGACATGGCTGTGCCCCCCGTCTGCCCTGTGTGGCCCTGGGCACATTAACCCCTTCCATAAGCCTGGTCTGCAGACGAGCGCCCACCGGGCTGGCAGTGCCTGAAGAGTCTCGGGCGACGTCCACTCACCTCCCAATCTGGTCCCAGCTCTGCTCAAACTCAGACTGGAGGATCCCCCAGGGCAGTGACTCCAGTTCAGAGTCTAGCTGACTGCGTCCCTGGCAGCCAGGCACGGCCCAAGGTCCAGAGCTGGAGACTGACCCCCCTGTGTAGGACCTCTGGGAAGTCCCCAGGACCCAAGACGGCTCAGGGCTAGTGAGGTAGGGACAGGTGGCTATTTCAAGCCCCCAGCGGGCTTCCTGCCTGGGGCACCTGGGCACAGTGGAGAAAGATGGCTCCCGGCAGAACACATGCCCCCATCCTTCGGGGCCAGATGCCTTGGGTTGGGCACGGAGCAGGGCCCCCAGCAGACACAGAGGCCAGGGTGGGAAGGGCCAGGGCACCGCGCAGTCTCTTGCCCTGTGTCAGGGCTCCAGGCCTATGGTGGGGCTGGGCCTACCCACCCTGTCACTTTCCCCATACGGCTTTGGGGTCCCAGGGGTTCAGGGGCCCCTCCTGCCTGACCCAGCCTTAACTTTTTGTTGTTTCTTCTCATTACAAAAGAAGCATGTTCAAAAGAACCCCACAGTCCTCCATGAACCCCACAGTACCCCGTGAACTCCAGAGTCCTCCATGAACCCTACAGACTCTCATGCACCCCACAGTCCCCCATGAACCACATAGTCCCCTATGTACCCCACAAGCTCCCATGTACCCTATAGTCCCCGATGCACCCCACAGTCCCCTATGTACCCCACAAGCCCCCATGCATCCCACAGGCCCTTATGTACCCCACAGGCCCCCATGCACCCCACAGTCCCACATGCACCCCACAGGCTCCCATGAACCCCACAGGCCCCTGTGCACCCCACAGTCCCACATGCACCCCACAGGCCCCCATGAACCCCACAGGCCCCCGTGCACCCCACAGTCCCCTATGTACCCCACAGGCCCCCATGTACCCCACAGTCCCCTATGTACCTACCCCACAGGCCCCCATGCACCGCACAGGCCCCCATGAACCCCACAGTCCCTCACAGCCCCCATGCGGGGAAAGGGCCTCACTTCTGGCCGCTGACTGACTTGCCAGTTTCCTGGAGTTCTTTATCCAACTTTCAAGGTTGCTGAGTCCCGGGAACACCTCAGAAACCTCACGAAACAGTGACAGGTTGTCAATCAAGCAGCAAGGTTGACATGTTTGAGCAACGTTCAGCCTGGGAGGCGCTGGGGCCAATTAGCAGAGACTCCCAGGTAGCAGAGCCCCCGGGCTCATGGCTGGGGGGTGGATGGTCAGCCCTGACGCTGCTGCCCCCACCCGAGGATTTCTCCCCAGCCATGGACTTGGGGCTGAGGGATTCCTGTACCCTCCCGGCCACCTGGACAGGGTCCCCGCCGTGGCCCGGCCTAGGGCGTTGGCTCAGACCACACCTGCCCAAGGATGGAGCCTGACACCCAGGAAGCAGCTCCTTGCAGCGCCCTGGGCCTCCGTGGGGCCCCTCTTGGCAGAGTGACCTGGGGACCAACCCCCTTCTGTGAGGCAGGTGAGGATGCTGCCTTGTGGGCTGAAGGCCAAGGGGAAGAGGCATACTGGGGCCACTCAGGCTGAGCAGTGGTCACAGCGGCCACCCCTCCCTCTCCAAGGCTCTGGCGACCACTGTTCTGTTTAGCCCCTACCCCTCCCCACCTTTTAAAAAGACAGGGTCTCGCTCTGTCACCCAGGCTGGAGTGCAGTGACACAATCAGAGCTCACTGCAGCCTCCAACTCCTGGGCTCAAGCGATCCTCTTGCTTAAGCCTCCGAGTAGCTGGGACAACAGGTGTGTGCCACCATGCTCAGATAATTTTTTTAAAATTATTTTTTGTAGAGATGGCGGTCTCACTTTGTTCCTCAGGCTGGTCTCAAACTCCTGGCCTCAGGCAATCCTCCCTTCTTGGCCTCCCAAAGCCCTGGGATTATGGGAGCCAGGTTCCCAAACACTCTCTGCTCTTCCCTCCACCTGGCATCTCCCTCCCCAAAGCTCTGCCCCATCCTGAAGTCCCCACTGCAGATGCTGCCCCTCCCAGAAGGTAGCTGGGCATGGGCTCTGCAGCTGCAGAGTTATGGACTGGGCCTCCCTGGGCAGCTTCCTGGGAGCTGCACCATGCACGGGTCACGGGACCCTCCTGGGTAGGTTGAACTGGGAGGCGACAGAGACCCTTCTAAAGTCCCTATGCCGGGTGCTGGGCTGTAGTCACATGGTGCCCTCCCCAGGAATCCCTGAGGGGTGGGTGCGTCTCTCTCAGCAGCACCAGCAAGGACCAGCGGGGAGGGGTGAGCATCTTTGTTCTGTCCAAGAGCCTCTTTGGAGCACGAGCACTTGCCACATGCAGGAGAGAGCCATGTTCACTTTCCTTTTATGGCTGAGTTTGAGATGTCTGGATAGAGAGTTATCAGCCAAGGCACTGATAAGGTCTGCGGGGGGAATATACTGTAAAGGGCTGAGCGTGGAGTGGGGGCTACCTCTCCTGCTCGGGCTGGTGTTGGGGGTTGGGGTGGGCTGGGTGAAGCTGCCACTCCTGGCCTGGATATATGGAGCCCTGGGCAGTCCTGCCTGTCCCATGGCTTTGCTGGACACAACAAGAACTGCCAGATGTCATTTGTGTGGGAATCATTTTGCTGTTTGAGCGAAGTTGGATTTGTTAGTGTGCTCACCAGTGTGGATGGATGAGGTCTGACCAGGAGGCTGCCTGTTGTCTGTCTTTCACAGAGGGCCCTCCACACCCAGGGTAGAGCTGGGGAGAAGGAGTCCTGGGGAAATACTGAGTTAAACAAGGCTGATGTATCCTCTGCAGGACTTCTCAGTGCCTTTAGCATGGCGGGTGTAGGTGAGTCTAAGAGATGGCCAGGTAGCCTAGGTGTGGATATCACCAGGCTAGGGCTGCTGTCTGTCTCCTCTGCTCACGCTCCTGTGCAGGGAGGGACTTGAGGGTGGGCCTGGGGAAACTGTGGAAAGTAGGAGTCTCTGTCCCCAGACACTGTCTCTGAACTGGGGCCAAGATTCAGTCATTTCATGTCCCCACTAGGCAGTGCTTACAGATGTTGCCCAGTATCAGCTGCATTGATTAAAGGAAGAGCTTTCTGACCATCAGGTGGGGGCGCTCTCCTGGTGAGTGGGGCTGGGAGGCAGAGCCCTGTCCTCCGCGGTGTGACTGGGACGTAATCCCCTCCTGGGGCTGAGTGGAGCAGGGGCTTGCGCCTCCCGCAGGCCTAGCTGTGTGGGATCTCATGGCACTCTGCTTTTATTCTGTTTGCTCCAATACCTTCTGCTTGCCACCTGCGATGCTTATTTTCCATTTCCAGTGGTGCTGTAAGACTTCCTTTCAAAATATAATCACTTAAGTTAAAAAAGCCCATTCGAAGAAAGCCCTCGAGTAAACAATAGTGGAGCAGGTGGGCAGGTGGAGCTGGCCCTTGGCCGGTGTGTGGGCTGGGGGCAAGTGGGAAGGGACAACGTGGGAAGGAAAGGGGAGCAGGGGGTGTGGGGACCCTCCCTGGGAAACTCCCAGCCCGCCCTGGCCTCTGTTACTGCCTGGCCCTGCTGAGCTCCCTGGGCTGCTGTCTGGTGGCCAACACTGGCGTTGGCTGCCCACATGCCATGGGGTCTGCACACAGCAGGGGCTGGGGGACAGCGTCACAGGAGGAGGAAGGCCACCTGTCACAGGAGAAGGAAGGGCACACAGAGGCTTGTCTGAGCCCCACGTGAGGATTAACAGAGGGGATGCATTGCAGTAAAGAGCACGAAGCTGCTGTGACCTTTGCCTCTGACCGCCCCCCTTGCAGGGCCACGCCTGCACGTAGCCTCTGGGCAGGTGCCATGGGGTCTGCCAAGGCTGGCATTGGCTGCCCAGATGCTGTCCTGCCCTGAGGTTCCATAGTCCTCCGGCCACTGTGGCCTCACACTGTGTCCAGCTATGCTTTTTATTTACCTGTTAACCTCCCAGCATACTTATTCATGATAACAGTGACAGGGAATGGGGCGAAAGTCTGAAGTGTCCTTCACCAGCAAGGGGCTGGTGGAAAAGTGGGACTCCTGTCTGAGGCCACTCTGGGTGGTGTCTGTGTCCCAGGACTCTACAGCCAAACCCAATGCAGCTGGGGGCCTTCCATCCACAGACCCACATGAGCAGTGGTAAGGACCTGCTATATTGAGCCAGCTCCTCACACACGCCCTCTTCCCAGAGGGTAAACTGAGGCCCAGGATGTTGCCTCTTGCCTGAGGCTGCATGGCTGGGTGGAGCCAGGCCCTGACCTCTTTGCTTCTTCACCTGCCCAGGGCAGGTGTTTGGATGTTGAGTCGACTGATGCCCCAGGGCGCCAGGCCCTCCTTCCATCTCACGGTCCCTGCCCCTGAGGCCCGTGTGTTGGGGCTGGGTGGAGGTGGCCCTGTCTCCTTTCCAGGTGAGTGGTGCGCACCCTGGTGAGCAAGGACCCCAGGCCCTGGCTGCAGGGCCTCCCTGTGGCTGGAGGTGTCTTCCACACGGCCAGTGTCCGGCACGAGCACTCTGGGGTCGGACACTTGAGATGGGCTGGAAGGAGGGGGCATAGAGCCTTGCACAGACAGGGGCAGCTCAGGCCTGGGTTTGAATCCTGACCTAGGCACCCTGTGGTGAGGACAGCCACAGGCTGAGGACACTGGTGTCCAGCATGTGCCCAGCTGTCACCTCCACCCTGGGTTTGGCATGGGGCTGGCAGCAGGCCCAGGAGGGATGGGAGTCAGAGTGTCAGGGAAGCAGTGGGAACTCGGGACACTCTGCTGCTCCATGGGAACAGCATTGGCCCTGTGGTGTGGGCAGCCTCAGCAACTGGGCAGGGGCTGTCAGAGCCCAGGGGATGCTCCCAGAAAGTGGGATGGGAGCCCAGAGCCCACAGCCCCTGATATCACTCAGCCTGGGAGCAGGCCCACTGCCTCCACCGTGCAGACGAGGAAACTGAGGAGGGCCCTTGGGTCCCCTGCCCAGGCCTCACAGAGAGCAGGTGACAGCTGGAGCCACCCCAGGCTTGTCCACCCCCCTGAAGGGATCCCCAGGTGCCCACCCTCTTCCTGCCATCTGGGGGCATGACTCCTACTGCTGACTTGAGAGTGAAGCTACCGCCACCGCCTCCCTCCACACCTGGGCCAGCCTGGGCCATGCCAGGGGCATGCCTGCTTCTGGCCCCATGGGCCTACTGGTCTTGACCATTAAAAAGCATGTGTTGGGGCTGGGCGCGGTGGCTCACACCTGTAATCCCAGCATTTTGGGAGGCCGAGGCAGGCAGATCATTTGAGTTCAGGAATTTGAGACCAGCCTGGCCAATAGGAAGAAACCCCGTCTTTACTAAAAATACAAAAATTAGCTGGGCCTGGTGCCTCCCACCTGTAGTCCAGCTACTTGGGAGGTTGAGGCAGGAGAATCGCTTGAACCTGGGAGGTGGAGGTTGCAGTGAGCCGAGACTGCGCCATTGCACTCCAGCCTGGGCGACAAAGTGAGACTCTGTCTCAAACAAACAAACAAACAAACAAACAAAAAAGCACGTATTGGGACTACAGTCAATGATAATTTATTGTGCATTTAAAAATAACTAAAAGAGGCTGGGCACAGTGGCTCACGCCTGTAATCCCAGCGCTTTGGGAGGCCGAGGTGGGCGGATCATGAGGTCATGAGAACGAGACCAACCTGGCTAACACAGTGAAACCCTGTCTCTACTAAAAAAAAAAAAAAAAAAAAAAAAAAAAAAAAAAAAAATTAGCTAGGCTTGGTGGCAGGCACCTGTAGTCCCAGCTACTCCAGAGGCTGAGGCAGGAGAATGGTGTGAACCTGGGAGATAGAGCTTGCAGTGAGCCAAGATGGAGCCACTGCACTCCAGTCTGGGCGACAGAGCAAGACTCCATCTCAAAAAAACAACAAAAAACAAACAGACAGAAAACTAAAAGAGTATAATTGGGGTGTTTGTAACACAAAGAAATGATGAATGCTTGAGATAATGGACACCCCATTTCCCCTGATGTGACACTAACCATTGTATGCCTGTATCAACATATCTCATGTACCCCGTATCTCATGTACCCCATAGATATACCCACCTACTATGGTCCCACAGAAAAGGCATGTATTGGGGCCAGGCCCAATGGCTCACACCTATAATCCCAGCACTGGTTTGGGAGGCCGAGGCAGGAGGATCACTTGAGGCCAGGAGTTCAAAACCAGCCTGGACAACATAGCGAGACCCCCATCTCTACCAAAAACAAACAAAACAAAAAAACTTAGCCAGGTATTGTGGTCTGCACCTATAGTCCCAGCTACTTGGGAGGCTGAGGCAGGATTGTTTAAGTCCAGGAGTTTGAGGCCACAGTGAGGTATGGTTACACCATGGGTGACAGAGCAAGACTATTTCTCTAAAAAACAAACAAAAAACAAAAACAAAACACAAAAAAGCATGTGTTTTCCTGTTCTCCCACCACCCCACGGCAAAGACAGTACTGGCTATTGACACAAAAGGTGTGAAACGCCCACATGCTAAGGAAGACAGAAGCCCCCAGAATCCAACCTGGGGGTGTTTCAGAAGTGCTGAAAGGGAACAGTGTGGTCCCTTTAAATGATACGAAAGAGAGGAAGGGGGCTGGGCGCGGTGGCTCACGCCTGCAATCCCAGCACTTTGGGAGCCTGAGGCGGGCGGATCACCTGACGTCAGGAGTTCGAGACCAGCCTGGCCAACATGGTGAAACCCTGTCTCTAATAAAAATATGAAAATTAGCCGGGCGTGGTGGTGGACTCCTGTAATCCCAGCTACTTGGGAGGCTGAGGCAGGAGAATTGCTTGAACCTGGGAGGCAGAAGTTGCAGTGAGCCGAGATCAGGCCATTGCACTCCAGCCTGGGCAACAGGGCAAGTCTCCATCTCAAAAGAGGGGAAGGAAAGTGCTGGGTAGAGGAAGGCATGGTCCCTGGCTAGGGTTCCACCCCCATGGACCTAGGTGAGGACAGGCATTTCCTGCCCACATGTTGTGGCATTTCCCAAGACTACCCGGGCCTGCCATGCTCCATCTTGTGCCTATAAAAACCCCTGAGACCCTAGTAGGCAGATACTCTAGCGGCTGGACATTGAGAGGAGTGGATCAGTGGAAGAACGCACAAGTGGCTGGACGTCAAGCGGAATCCACAGACAGGCACTGGCAGGCCTGGCATTTGTGAAGCCGGCTGCGGCAGAATGATGTGGAGTTTGGCTGGGGCAGTCGTAGGAGAGCTCAGGCCGCCCAGGGGAAAATCATCTCCCTTCTGGCTCCCCCATCTGCTGAGAGCTACTTCCATTCAATAAAACCTTGCACTCATTCTCCAAGCCCACGTGTGGTCAGATTTACACAAGGCAAGAACCCCAGGATCCAGAAAGCCCTCTGTCCTTGTGATAAGGCAGGGGTCTAGTTGAGCTGGTTAACACAAGCTGCCTATAGATGGCTAAACTAAAAGCACCCTGTAACACGCCCAGTGGGGCTTCACGAGCTGTCAACATCCACCCCTAGACACTGCCGTGGGGTCAACACCCCACAACTTGCCCGTCTGTATGCTCCCCCAGAGGTTTGAGCAGCAGGGCACCGAAGAAGTGAGCCACACCCCCATTGCATGCCCTGCGAAGGGGACAAAGGAACTTTTCCTGTTTCAGGGGAATGGTCCTCACTGCCTCCTCCAGATTTTCTGCCCTGAGTTGTGAGGACAGCACAGCTTGGGCTCTGTCCACAGCTTTTACTGGGAGCCTGAGGCTCCGTCACTCACTCGGCTGCTTTTTCCTGTGCTGGATGAAGCCCAGGAGCTGGCTGTGCAGGTGTGTCTGGGATTTCATGGGCATAGATGACTCCAGGACAGCTCCTTAAACACCAAGCTCAAGCAGGTATTGCCAGCTAAATGAGGTCAATTCCTGGCAGTGGATCTCAGGGCGCCGGCCTTGGACCCCACCTGCTTGCCCACCCCCAGCAGGCAGAGACCTTTCTAGAAGGTCACAGATGCTGCTGCGGGATGGATCGGGTCCCAACCCTGGCTGGGAGTGATGCCCGACAAGCTGCTGTAATTCTCAATTCTGCTCCGGAGGCCTTGGAGATGCTGCAGGCGGGCAGGTGGGGTTGGGGGTCAGCGTCACAGGAGGGGAAGGCCACCCATGGGGGCACATAGGGGCTAGTGTGAGCCCTGCATGAGGATTAACAGGGCATGCATTGCAATACAGAGCACGAAGCTGCTGTGACCTTCCCCTCTGATCGCTGTCACAGGGCCTAGCCTGCACGTAGCCTCCTGGGCAGGCACACCCCTGGACCCCTCCCTGGTGCTCTGCTGGAGGCCACGCTGGGCTCTGGAATCTTACTGCACAGAGCTCCTGGAGACCCACCCTCAACCCTTGGGCCCCCTCTTCCTTCCTGGGTCCTGGAGGGGGCTGTTAGGGGGCATGAGGCCACGCAGCCCTTGAGCACCTACTGTGTGCAAGGGCCTGGCGTTTGTGAAGCAGGCTGCGGCCATCCTGGGTGGGAGTCAGGGAATGGGGGTCCCGGAAGTGCTGGCTTTTCTGGTGGCTGTGGGGGATCAGGGGGCCTTGCTGTGTATCTGTGAGCTGAGCCATCCTCTGAGGGGCTGAGCGCTGGCAGGAACCTATCACGTTTCCCAGGGGCAGGGTTGGGCATGAGAAGCCCTATCCTGCCTCTCAGCTAGGCCATGTTTCATACCCCACAGATGCTTTGGAGGTGACAGATCTGGGTCAAGACTGGCCTTCCTGGTGACCAGCCTTCAGATGGACACTGGGCGGCAGGTGTTCCTGGGCTGCCATGGCTGGTCTCCTGTGCTGGTCCCCAGAGCAGCCTTCCTCTCCCCTCCCCAGACACCCCATCCTCTGCCGAGGCCTGTGAGCACCTGCTGTGTGCCCACCTTTTGCTTAAACCCCAGGACGGCCTTACCCAGATGGGGAGCCTTGGTTGGATTGAAGGGGCTTGCTGGAGGTGCAGGGGGAGGGGAGGTCAGAGCCCACATGCATCCTGAGCTCCCTCATCTTCCACACCCCATGCTCATCCCCCCAACCTGGCCCCGATGCTATCAGCCCTTAGCTGGGGGAGGGCGGACCCCGGGGACCTCAGAGGCAGGGCTCCTGCAAGCACTTTGCTGCACATGTCTCTGTTCCTGAAAATGCCCCAACCCCACCAGGGCAGCAGGCAGCAGGGTCTGTGGGAAAGTCAGGAGCCCCGCTGATGGTCCTGAGGGGCCACCCCAGCCTCAGGAGGAGGACCTGCCCTTCTCAGGGCCCTGCTGTTGCTCCTTCAGCTCGCCTCCTCCATGCTGGCCTCCGGGCTGCTCACACGAGGATTAGAGGCAGGAATGAAGAAAACCAAAGTCAGACCACTACCAGGACCAGGGTACAAGAGACCAGGCCTGGACACCACTTATGGCTGGGGGCCTTGGGCTGGTCAGCGCCTCCCCCTCAAGGCATATACACAGTGGATCGGTAAAGGCTGTCCCATCTGGGGCTGTGTCAGGCCTCTGTGGGAGGAGGCATGTGGCGGGCCCAGCTCAGTTGATGGATTCAGACCCATGCATTTGGCCAGCCCTAGTCAGGGAACATTGCAGCCACTGCCTGCCCAGCACTGGGCAGGAGGAAGTGTCCTTTCTAAGAGTGGAGGGAGCTCCTGCTCTCAGGCCTCAGAAACGAGGTGCTAAGGGGGCTTTCAGGCAGCAGCCTCAGGCAGGAGGAGCTCCCGTGCCATGCGAATGGCTTTGCCCAGACACCGGGTGGCTCAGGCAGGTCACTCTGCCTTCTGTGTCCTCCTCCTTGGTGGGCTGGTGGGCTGAGCCAGGAGTCGGGCTTGGGGCCTGTTCCAGGCTTGCAGGCAGGAACAGGCCCGGGACACCCCAGAGACAATATTGATGCTGTTTCTGCCCAAACAAATGCCAGCTACTAATTCCGGTCTCTGTTGGAAACACAGAAATCAATGCTCACAGAACAGGGAGGCTGGCCCTCGAGGAGCAGTGTGGTGTTGGGTCCCCAGGCAGTGATTACGACAGGACAGGCAGGCAGGAGAACAGAGCTCTCGACCTTAGACACGTCCCATGCGGCCCTCACCTGGCGACCTGGACTCGGCAGCACGTTGGGGGTCAGAACAGTGGGTTCTCAGGGACCTGGCCTCGGGGGGCACCCGTCATCCCTCAGCACCCTCCCCTGCAAAAGGGAAGCAGGGCCTGGACATGACCCCCAACCCTGGCTCCTGCCACATTCCCCTGACTTTATTTACCACCCGAGAGACTCATAAATAATAGTTGAGGGGTCAGTGAGCGAATGAACTAGCCAAAAAACCAGCTGGGGAATGCGTGTGCAGGTGGAGAGAATGGGCGCTGGGCCTGCCTGGGCACAGGTTCACGGGCCTCTGGATGCAGCTCACCCCGTGGGAGCCCACAGCCCTGCAGGCCGGGCAGCCTGAGGGCCAGGACAGCCCCACCCTTCTCTCAAGGTGCTGGTCCAGGGCCTGTTTCCCCATCCATGTAGCATTCTTGATCTCTGGGTCCTACCACGTCCCTTGGATCTCAGGCTCCCAGCCAGGAGGGGCTCCCACCACCATCTCATGACCTTCTGAAACCCCAGCGCTGGGTGTGCACCTTCTTGCCAGGCTCCATGGGCAGCAAGCACCCGCCCCTGGCCTGCTGGGCACTGCACCCAGGAGGTGCCCAGTACTTGCTGGGACAGCTGTCTTCTGCTATGTCCTGGGCTCGTGTCCTGCCTGCAGCTTCCGGGCTGGGGAGCTTGGGCAAGGCTCTTGGCCTCCCCCACCCCCACCTTGGTATCCCTCAACCCATCCCCCTGGACATGGGGTTGGTGCCTCTATTGGAGGAGGTGGTAGGTCAGGCAGCCTCTGGCCCGCAAAGTCGGCCCTGGGTCCACCAGCCGCCCCTCTGCCCTGCCTTTCCCGGGTCCCGCCTTCCCTTTCTAGGGCTATGGCTGCTTGTGGACAAGCGTCTCACGGGTAGGAAACGGGACCTCTGAGAGCTCCTGGCCTGGCTGGGTCCTCAGCATGTGGGTCTGTGAGCCAGGTCCACGCCAGGCAAGGGTTTTTACCTCTCTGAGCCTCGGTTTCCTCGTCTGTAAAAATCAGTGAGGGGATGTCTCCTTGTTGCACACACAGCAGGACTGAGATTAGAGCCACAGCCTGCCCCACCCCAGCCCCTGGTCAGGTGGGGGTGCTGCCATCTCCCAGCAGCCTGCCCAGGCCCCTCCCTCACCTGTTCCGAGACTTCCTGGCCCCACATGGGCACCCGGCATCCTTGTGGGCTCACCACAGCCTGATGCTGCCCACAGCCCATCTGTGTGGCCTGGCAGGGGGCCCCACAGCTTGGAAATGCCGGTATCTCCTTGCAGACCCCAGGTCAACACTGTAGATTCCTCCCTCTTCTGTCATGGACCCCAGGAAGGAGGGTGGGTGGGGCCCTGGGCTGGTGCACCGCCCCAGAAGCCCTCAGCTCCTGGCAGGACCCCCCTCCCCCTGCAGGCCCTCCCCTGGGAGCAGCTGCTTCCCTGTTCATTCCAGGCTGGGTGGGGACCCCCAGGATGGCCCTTTCTCTGCTGTCTGTGGGCCTAGGGTGGGGTGGCCCTGGCCAGGCCCTGTATGGCCTCCCAGGCTTCCCCTTCACCCACTCGTTGTGGGCATGTGACACATTCATTCTAACTACAAACTGACACCCACTCACTGAGGGCATTGAAAAACCGGAGAGCCCCAGGAGCCAGGTCACGTGGTGACCCCGACAGAGACACCCCACAAGGGTGTCCCAGCCAGGTAGAGTGGCCCTGGGTTGGGGAGGCTTTTAGGTTGGATGCTTGGTTAGGCACCTGCCAGGTGAACCTCAGCTGGGGGCAGAGAACCTGGGGCCAAAATCTGGGGGCCGTGGTCCTGGGGCGCTTCCCTGGGCCCCACTGCAGGCACATGCCCTCCCACCACGCGGGGGAGCTCCCCCTGCCCGTGAGCCCTGCTTGCACTTCCTCACCCGTCCTCACCCTGCCCCAGCCTCCAGCCCGCCCTGGAGCAGGCTCTGTCCCTCAGGCCCTCTTGGCCATGGGGTCAGCCTGGTGCCTGCTATTTTGCCCTCAGGACCCCTTTCTCCTGACCCCTGCCAGGAGCCCTCAGCATTCACTGAGTTTTGGAGGAGCTCCCTAAACACAGCTGTGTTCACTCTGGAAGGCTGAGATGTGGGGGCAGGTGCGGGTGGGGTAATGATGTTGGGTGGGCTGGCAGTGGAGCCAGAGAAGGCCCTCCCAGGACGAGGGCGCAGGGGGCTGGAGGGGAGGGCACTCGGGCCCTGCTTGAGATTGAACTCAGTTACTGAGCAGCCAGTCTGCCAAAGTCTGATCTCCCGGCTTTCATTCTACATTAAAAATTGATCTGAGATGGGAGAAGTGAAGGCAGTGGCCATGCCACCGAGAAACACTAGCTGTTCTCTGAGGCTGCTGGAGACACAGCCTCCTCCAGGAAGGCTCCCAGAGGCAGCTCCAGACCACCAGGCCCGCTTCCTCCATGCTCATCTGCCCCACGCTTGCCTCAGACTCCTGGCAGATCACTAACCCCTCTGAGCCCCCAGCCAGGCCTGGATGGGTTTGTGTTTGCATGAGGAGGCCCTGGTCCTCACAGGCTCCCCCTGTAGCCAGGGCAGTCCATCTCATCCTCACCCCCGTCCACTCTGCCGGGGCTCCTCTGTCCCTGAGTTCTGCCTGAGGGGCTGAACCACCAGCCTCGGGGCGGGGGAAGCCCACTGCACACCACCTCCCTGACATCCCGGGACATCTTGCAGAGAAGGAAACTGAGGCTTAAGAGAGGAAACAGTGTCTGCACAGGGCACAAAGCCACAGAGCCGCCTTCTGCACAGCTCCCACCTGCACCTGCGTCTCCAGGGGAGCTGGGATTTTCCAGGAGTAGGTCCTCAACTCTTGGGCATGTGGCTGGGCCCTTCCCGACCCTCAGAGGAGAGCAGGAGCCACGGGACAGGAGTAGACATGAAGAAGCCTCCACAGGGTTGGGCTTGCCCAGGGCAGCCTGTGGCCAGCGCTGGGGGTCACGGCCCCAGTGGCCTTCCGAGGGAATGGACAGGTCTGCCCCATCTCTCGCCTTGGCTCAGGCTCTGTGTGTGCTCACTCAATGCAGCCGCCAGCTGCTGCTCCCCCACGGGGTCTCGCTCACTGCATGCGGGCTCTGCTGCTGCTGTCGGTCCTTGGCCTTGAGAATTCCTCTCTGGGAATGCGTGTTTCTCTCTGTGAACATGTTTTGCCTTCTACAGGCCTCCTTAGCCTCATCAGAGACTCCTGAAATGAGTTTCCCGGTCCTGTGTGGGCCAGGGGCCACCCGCCTCTCCAGACCCCCAGGGCCCATAGTGGCCTGTCCTTTTGTCCTGCGGCCTCGGGCCCCTGGGGTGTGTGGGGGGGTTTCCTGTCCTTCCCCTGAGCCCTGGGGCACGGGGACCCCTGGGTGGATGCCCCTCATCCTCATCCAGTGCGCTTGCTGCCGGCCCCAGGCCCCCCGCGAGGGGCCCTATGGAGTCGAGACAGGAGCCCACCTATAGGCCCTGTGTGGCCTGGAAGGTGGGGATGCCAGGGGAGCTCTCCTGCAACACCCCTGACTTCCAGACTCCCCTGAGGGAGGGACTTCCACAGGGAAATTAACCCCGGACGAGCTTGGTTCCCAGGAACTCACTTCGAGCCTCCAGGAAACAAACAGCCCCAGAGGGCAGGACACTCGGTGTCCGAGGCACAGGAGTGAGCAGGGTCTCCTGGGCACCGGTGACCTCCACCAGCTCATCCTTTGTCCACACCTGGGTGGGCTGTCCCTGGCGGGCTCTCAGGGTAGAGGCGGGGGCTGGGTGGGGGCAGAGCAGGTGCAGAGGCTGGTGAGGCCTGCTGGGTGGGAGGTGGGGGTGACCGCTCTCTGGCTGCCTTGACTCCATTCATCAGCCTGCAGACCCCCCTCTCCAACCCCCAGTCTTTGAAGCCACAATAAATATTGATTTGGGCAAATCGATGCATTTCCGAGGGCCTGGGTCGATAGCAAAGTTACAAGGATCCGGGCAAAGTCATTCACGTGCCCAACTCCAGCTCTGAGAAGAGCCTGGCTAGAGCTAAAAGGTGACTGGCCATGTCCCGGGTGCCAGTGCCACCAGCTGGGCTACCCCAAGGGATGGGCAGTGTGGCCCCTCACTCTCACCTGGCCACAGCCAAGCTGGGGTTGACCGTCAGAGTCCGGCTGCCTGTCTCTGCGTCTCCCCGTGTCTGCCCCCTGCCCAGCTCCTGGCTGCATGGCTGCCTCTCCCCGTCCTGTCTGGGTGTCTTCCCGCCTGGATCCCAGACACTCTTATGGGGCGCTTGGCACTGGGATCTGAGCAGTTCTGCACATGGTAACCACGGGTCCAGGGTAGAGCTGAGGGCCCTCATGCGACGCCTCCCTCGGGCTCTCACAGTGGCCCCTGCCCCTAGATGGGAACTCATTGCTTCCTAAGCTGCCTCTTCCATCTCCACCCGCAGCAGTGCCTCACCCTGACCCTGGGCCACAGAGGGGACATCTCCCCAAATGCACACACCAGCCTTGGCCTGCTTAAGGTCACCTGGCCATCTCCCCGCTCTGGCCTCAGCCTCTGTGTTTCTGCTGTCTTCTCTGACTCCCCGTGGGGTCTGTGGAGACCTGACCACTGCGGCCCCACCTGGGTGCTGTTTCGCACGTGGCTCCCTCTGCTCTGTCCACCGTCCACAGTTCAGCCCTTCATCCAAGCCCCCCAAGTGCCTGAACTGCCCTCTCTAGAGGGCAAGGCTGGGGCCCAGGACCCTGGGAGGAGGTGCCTGTCCTCTGAGTCCTCCTAAGCCAGAGGCTGGGCAGGGATGCGCTCAAGGGCGGTGGGCATCTGGGCTGAGCCCTGCACCCTCTTTTCTCCTGACATCCCTTGCCTCCCCCCACCCCGCCTGGTCTCCCTCCCTCTCTAATCATTTCTCATGGCTCCAACCCACTCTGCCTTTCTTCCTCTCCTCGAACTACAAGGCTGGGTCTGGTGCACTCTGGTGGGGCCACCTTATTTATGAGAATTTGGGAAATGCAGATGTGATGTTTCCAGCTAATAGCCCCAAATCACTTGCACCGCCCCATTAGCGGGGAAACCAGCCTGTGTACATTACATACCACCTAAGTGGGAGCCGAGACAGCGGTTTTATGACCCCATAAAACTTTGGGAGTTTATTGCTATTGAACAAACATGTAATCCGATGCTTCAAGTTCAATATATATAGCCAGCAGCATCTAGAGCCAACCATGGCCGTGGCTCCTACAGCTGGGCCAAGCTGCTGAGACATCTAGGGGATTTGGAGCCGATTGGCAATTGATCTGCTGTAGGACAGGGGCAGGATTTATGGTGGCCTTGCAGGGCTGGTCCTTCTGCATACTAAACAGTCCAGAGGACAGCAAGGGGAGGGCAGCCGCCTGGAGCCCAGGGCAAGTGGCTGCTTGTGGGTTGCTGGGGCAGAGCCTTTAGCAAAGGGGTATCCACCTTGAGGACCTGCCCCTGTAAAAACCCAGCTTCCTTGGAGACTCAGCTGCGGTGGGAGCCATGCAGAAGGTGGCCCTGTGGCTGTGTGCCCTGCCCTTCAAGAGGCACCATTGCCTCCTGAAGCCTGTTTCCTTGTCTGCAAGATGTCCCAGGATGGTTTGTTGCCCAAGAGGTGGCCCAGCAGAGCTCCTGGAAGGAAGGGGCAAACACACAGGCCAGAGCAGCGGTCAAATGGCTAAGCCTTATCCACCAGAGCCCCTCACCCAGCTCCCATTCATCCACTGTCCACCATCCATTCATCTAAACACCCATCTATCTAACCATCCATCCTTCTACCCATTGATCCTTTCACCCATCCACCTGCCACTGATTTATCCATCCATCCCTCCACCCATATACCTATCCATCCATCCATCCATCCATCCATCCTTTCATTCATCCATCCACCTGCCCATCCACCTGCTCACCCATCCATTCATGTGTCCATCCATCTATCCATCCATTTACTCACCTGTCCATCTCTCTATTCATCCACTCACTCATCCATGCATCTATCCACCCATCTGCTAGTCCATCTGCTCATCCGTCCATCCACTCATCTATCCATTCATCCATCCCTCCCACCATTCATTCCTCTATTTGTCCACCTGTCCACCTACCATTCATCCACATAGCCATCTCTCTATGCACCCATCTGTTCATCCCCCATCTACTCACCCATCCATTTTCACCTACTCACTGTCCATCCACCCACCTGTCCATTCACCCACCTATCTGCCCATATACTTGTGTGTCTGTTCACTCATTCATTCACCCTCCATTCATCTGCCCATATACTTGTATGTCTGTTCACTCATTCATTCACCCTCCATCCATCTGCCCATCTGGCCTTCTATCCTTTCCCTCAAAGCTGCCCCTTGTCCAGGGACAGGGCTGTCCTTATAGTCGCAGAGATGATTGGAGCCTGAGAGAGCCAAGGTGACTTATCTCACCTTGCAGAAGGTGCTGGCATTATTGCTTGCTCAGGACACCCGCATCCTCTTGCCCTGGGCTTCACACTCCAGGAATGCCTTTCTCATGTCTGTGCTGCATATACTTATTGTAAGTAAAGGAGAACCTCATGGCCGATGATAGTTTGTTCATTTCCTCCCAGTCTTATTGTGTGCACCTATTCTTTCTTCCAAGTTCACAGTCTCTCTGGGCTTGTATGGCGTGCATTTCACTCACCACAGATGTCTCTTCGGGGCTGGTCCATGGTGTTACTCTCCCAGCATTGACTTAAACATTTCCCCACTGTTGGATAGTGTAGCTGTTTCCACCTCTTTGTGGTTATAAATATGCTGTGGTCATTATCTGAGCTGGCAGAGTGAAGTCCGCCCCTCTACGTGTTTAATTAGCATAGACTCCAAGAGGGGGCATTCATGGGTTAAGCATCTCATGACTTGGGACACCCCTTGTCCGATGACAAAAACCTGGCCCTGTGATCCCTGCCCTCAGTGGAGGAGGGAGGGCCTTCCGTGGTGCCCGGCCGGAGGGGCTGGGATGTGTTCACTGTGAGTCTGGTGGGTCTCACATGTAGGCAGAGTGGGGACAAGGCAGCCTGCTCTGTGGCGTGTCCCATGGCGTCCGGGTTGCCTTGTCTGCAGTTCACTCACATTGCCCTTGGTGTTGCTGCTTCAGATAAGTTCCTGCCGTGTTAATGCTATTAATTTTTTGTCATGTTAGTGTCAAAAATTTACCCGCCTCATTTCTTGTCTTTTAGCTTGATGTTTTCCTTTGAGCCACCTGAGAATTTAGCTTCCACACAGTCAAAGTGAACTCATCCTTCCCTTTATTCTTGGAAAGTTCCTTCTCACCAGGGATTCGGTAAATATTTGCTTCTGTTTACTTCCTGTTCCTTTCAATGGTTTAAGTTATTTTCTGTCAGCATCAACTTATTCCCCAGCCCATATCCGCAGGCCTCACACTCTAATTAAGAGGATGCCCTATGGCCGGGCGCGGTGGCTCACGCCTGTAATCCCAGCACTTTAGGAGCCCGAGGCAGGCTGATCACTTGAGGTCAGGAGTTGGAGACCAGCCTGGCCAACATGGTGAAACCCCGTCTCTACTAAAAATACAAAAATTAGCCGGGCATGGTGGTGTGTGCCTGTGATCCCAGCTACTCAGGAGGCTGAGGTAGGAGAATTGCTTGAACCTGGGAGGTGGAGATTGCAGGGAGCCGAGATCATGCCATCGCACTCCAGCCTGGGCAACAGAGTGAGACTCTGTCTCAAAAAAAAAAAAAAAGTAAAAAATAAGAGGACACCCTGTGTCCCTCCCTCTCTCCCTCCCTACCCTTCCTTCCTTCCTTCCTTCCTTCCTTCCTTCCTTCCTTCCCTCTTCCCTCCCTCCCTCCCTCCCTTCCTTCCTCCCTTTCTGCCTAAACTTTTCTCAATAGCCTCAAGGCTGCAAATAAGACCTGCCCCTGGCCTCAGTGACTTGGTGGCACAGACGTGCAAAGCACAGAACGCAGAAATTCAAGTCAGGGCTGAGGACTGGGGGTGGATGGGGGCCTGCTGGGGGGCTGGGGGAGAGAGTGGCAGGGTGAGCTGGGGACATTGGAAAACTCTTGCAGCTGTGACTGATGATGGTGGGCAGGTGTAAGGGGTGGCTTTTCGGGGGAGGCACATTTTGGCACTGGGTTATGTGCTTCAGCACCAGGAGCAGGGGTGAGGTAGCAGACGGAGGGGAGGAGGCCATACACCTGGGCAGGGGCTGGATGGGACTGGCTGACAGCTGACCTCCCTCCTGTGCCCAGAGAGCCACAGCCTGCTCGGTGGCCCGCATGGGATGAAACCTTTGTGGTCCCAGCTTCTGATCACTGGAGGTGAGAACTAGTTTTTGAGAGACGGGAGCAACTGCTGAAGACCCAGGGGCTGGGGCACGGCCCAGCGTTTGCTTTTGAGAGCTTCGCCATGGCCCGTGTGGAGAGGACAGCAACCACCAGGGAGGGGGCTGGGTGCCCCAGCCTGTCTGCCAGCTTCTGAGCCCCACCTGCGTCTGCACCTACTGGAGACAGCTGGGTGGGCTCTAACCTGGATGGTCCTGGGTGGGAATCCCAGCTCTGCCTCATGTGAGATGAGGGCTGAGCCTCTGCTCATCTTAGAACCTCAGTTTTGTCACCCATACAATGGGATGGTCAGTTAGCAAGGAAACGCGTGTAGGTGCCCCGTGTAGTGCCGGCTGCCTGGGAGGCGCTCCCAGAATGTTTCAGAGGTGATTCTTCTCAAGGACTTCCTGGGCCCCTTGGTCATAAGGCTCTGAATTCCCAGCCTCTGGCCTGAGTGCCACAGACCCTAGAGGGTTCCTGGCCACTCCTGGGGTCTGTGTGGACCTCGCTGCTTAAGGCCCCCCGTGTGCACTGAAGCGCGACACCCCGCACGCAGGGGCCATCAGGTCTTTGGGGATTGATAGAATTAAGCCCATGGAACGTGCATTTGCTTGCTGTGAAGCCGCAACAATCTCGCTGCCACAGGGCAGAGGACGTTCTGAACTGAGTGTCCCCTCGGCTCCCTCACCGGCCTCCTGCACCAGCAGATGGTGCCTGATGTGGTGGCTGGCACTGGTGCCCCTTGCCCTCTGAGCAGCGGTACCATCAAAACCCATCTTCCCAGCAGCTCAGGATCACCGCGGTGGAGTTTCCAGTCGCAGATGCCCTTGGCAGGGGCTGTGGGACTGCAGGGGAGACGGAGGTCTGGGCCCTACCATGTGGGGGCAGCATGCAGGAGGGGCCCATTCCTGCCCCCCGGCAATACAAGAAGCCTACGGGGGTGCCCAGGGGTCAGGGACCTGAGAGATGTGCTCACTGAGACCTAGCATGCTCACCCCCAGCTGCCAGAGGGGGTAGTTCCCAAAGAGGGGCAGGCCCTCAGAGTGAGCTCCTGTCCTGAGATGGGCAAGGGAATATTCCTGGGACACTGCAGAACTGTTACCAAGCCAGGCACAGATGGGGCCAGGCCCCTCGGCCTCTAAGACAAGGCCGGCCCATGGATGGAGCACGATGGCCCTGACCTTGGGCACAGACCCGACGATTGAGTGAGATGGAGACACAGGCTTGGCTTGTCCCCAAGAAGAAAGAGGCACAGAAGCAGCTACAGAGTTTCTTGCTTCCCTGTTTGGGTTGCTGCTGGCTCAGGTACCACAGCTGGCAACAGAAACAGAGGTCAAGGCCCAGAGGGAGGGAGGGGTCGGGTCTGCTTTGTCCAGGGCTGGCTGGCCCCAGGAGGGCCCCGAAGCTGTGGCAGAAGCAGGTACCAGATGGTCAGTGTAGCACTGTGGCTAGCACCCAAAACTGGACATGGGCTGGGAGCAGCCTGAGATGCAGGGCAGAGGACAGCAAGCCACGAGTCTGAATGGCCCCTGTTCTGGAGGCAGTGCTGGGAGGTGGAGGCTGGAGGGGGTGTCTCGCAGAGCCTGGTCTGCTGAGACATAGGCTGGGACAGGCTGCTGGGTGTACTGTCCCTGGGAAGTGCAAGGTGGCGAGTCAGGAAGGCCCCAGGAGCAGGGTTGGGGCAGGAGCCAGTGAGCAGGGCAGGACCCTCATCTGGAGGGGCTGGGGGAGGTCTCCAGTCTGGGATGGGGGTGTTCCCGGCACCAGCCCAGTGTTTCTGGTGCAGCAGCCACGTCATTATGGTTGGAATGTGACCCCATTAGCCCTGGGGCGGGGCTGTTCAACATCCTGAGGATAATTGATCAGAGGGAGGAGGGGCTGCACCGCTTCCTAGCAGGTTGAGTTAATTATCAGCCTGCATTAGCACTTGACCTGTGGCATGTGTCAACTCATTACTGCTAATTGCAGGGACTCAGTGACCTCTCCGAACTTCTGTCACCCCTGTCACGGCCCCTGCCCTGTGGAGGCCTGTGGAATGGGAAGTGGGGAGGGGAAGGAGAAGGGGGCGGAGTCAGCCGGAGCCTCCTGGCCAGGCCTGGAGTCACCCTGTCCTGCCACAGCTCTCATGGGTTTAGAGTGGGCCCTGGGGCAGAGGGTTTGCAAGGATAGGGGTGGGTGGCTCTGCCGAGGGCGGTGTTCTGAGTAGGTCTCATTCCCCAGTCTGCCCAGCCTGGCCCCACCCCAGCTCTGCTGCCCTGTTACTTTGTCCCCCTGTGTTCACCCTCCACTTCCTGCCGGGGACACTCCAAGGCCTGCCAAGGTTGGAGCAGGGGTGGGACTCAGCCATTCAACAAACGCTTCCTTGGTTATGCAGGGCTGGGCATTGGGGTGGGGGGCTGACCTGGACCCTCCAAGACATCAGATTGTCCAACTGCTCAGTTTTCATTGGGGCAAGTGCCTCGCTGAGGGTGAAGGGGGCTGTGAGTGCCCATCAGGGAGCCTGGACAGGTCCCGCCTCTCACAGCTGTCCCACTCTCTGGAGCTGCCTTGGTGGCAGATGGCACTGTCCTAGAAAGGTGAGGCTGGAGCTGTCTCTTCCACCAGGGGTGGCCAAGGACGCTTCCAGGGTCTTCCATGCAGGCCTCCAGGGTCACCCTGGGCGTGGCTGAGGGCATGCAGACCACGCTGTGCTCCCCCCCACCCCCCATGCCCGTCGCTTGCCTGACATGCTCCTCAGCTGTCTTGCCCCGCAGAAGCTGTGTGGTCTCCCCTGTGAGTAGAGTCGGGCTCCATGATCCTCCGGAGCAGCGCCAGGGACTCTCCCCAGGCACAATTTTAAAGGGGGCCCTAGGACCTGCCAGGTCCACGGAAGTGGTCCTTGTAACTCTCTCCCTGGTGGCAGCCTCTGGTGCATTCCGGCAGGGGCAGCCCCTCCTCATCACAGGGACCCTGTGTGCCAGGCCCCAGCTGCGTTGCCGCTGAATTATGGATTTAATAGCAGAGAAGCCTTGCAGGCCGCCTGTGCTGGCTCGGGAAACCGGGGCCCAGCCGGGGCCTGTCACGGTCCTGGTGCCGCCCTGCTTCCTGTCGGCGCCACGGAGCAAGCGGAGAGATTTATCTTCCCGGCTTTAAGAGGTACTAACGGAGGAGGCTGAGAGGCAGGAGCTGAATAATTGATGGCCTTCTCTGGCTCAGGATCTGCTGAAAATGACACGGTGCAAGGCAGAGGGGCTGAGAGTGCTGACCACAAAATGCTGAGAAGCCACTCCAGGGCGGTCACGGCCAGAAGGAGGACCCCCACTCAGGACGGGGTCACAGGCATTTGGGGCGGGTGTCAGAGGCTCCTGCCCTGGGTCATTCCAGGGGGCCAGGATACCCAGAAGCTGGGCCTAGAGGCCCACAGGGCTGGCTCACCCCCACTTCCCTCTCACACGCCTGCCATCACCGGTGCTTCAGCCCAGCAACCCCATGGCTCGTTGGCCCCGTCCACAGCCCCCACTGCCTCCTGTGTGCTGGGCGTGGGCCTCTGAGCTCTACTCTCAGCCTCCTTAGCCCCAGGAGAGGAGTGGAGGACAGGGGTTTAACGTGGGGTGTGGTGCGGAGCGGGGAGGGCTGTGGCGCCCCCTCAGCCCCTCCTTTCCTAACAGCCTCAGCCTCCCCCCTGGAGAATCCCCTACCTGCTGGGCACATCTGGCCTCTCCCCACCATTCTGTCTCCAGCCGGGAGATCTCTACCCAGTGAAACAGTGAAACAGGAAGGGTTCCCTGGTTACCCCGCGCAGGGCGCAGGGCATGCAGCGGGGGAGTGGCTCGCTTCTTCAGTGCCCCACCGCTCACACCTCTAGGGGAGCATACAGACGGGCAGGCTGTGGGGCTCTGACCCCATGGCAGTGTCTGGGGGTGAATGTTTACAGCTCTTGAAACCCCAGTGGGAGTGCGTTACCGGGTGGTCTTTTAGTCTAGCGGTCTGTAGGTGGCTGGTGAGAGTGAGCTCAATTAGACCCCTGCCTTATAACAAGGACAGAGGAATTTCTGTATCCCAGGGTTTCTTGCCTTGGTGTACCAAAAAATTGGATCACACGTGGGCTTGGAGAATGAGTGCAAGGTTTTATTGAGTGGAAGTAGCTCTCAGCAGATGGGGGAGCCAGAGGGGAGATGGTTTTCCCCTGGAGTCAGGCAACATTCTCGGGATGTCCAGCAGCTTGTCTTCTTCCACCAGTGTGTTCCTCTCCCCACACAGAGGCTTCTGTCTCTGCCTTGCTAGGGTCTTGGGTTTTTATAGGCATAGGATGGAGGCATGGCAGGCCAGGGTGGTCTTGGGAAATGCAACATTTGGGCAGGAAATGCCTGTCCTCACCTAGGTTCGTGGGGGTGGAGCCCTAGGCAGGGACCACGCCCTTCTCTACGGAGCACTTCCCGTCCCTCCTCTGTATCATTTAAAGGGACCACGCTTTTCCCTTCTCAGCACTTCCTTTCCGTATCAACAGGAGGCCAGGGACTGGCTGGACCCCTAGGAGCCAGGTCCTACGGATAGGTGAGCCGGCCCCCCAGGGCAAACACCTCCACTGGGCAGACCTGACTGCCCAGAGCTGGATTCTTTACTTGTAAAAGGGGCCATGAGTGACACAGGCTCGGCCTGCTGTGCCTTGAGGAAAGGAGAGGCTAAAAATTCTGCCTTCTCTCCTAAAGCCAGCCGGGCTCTTTATGGTGGGGGAAGGAAGGATTTGTTTATTTGCACTCTTCTGAAATAAAAGTTCTCTATCCTCCCTCCTGGCTGGAGTTGGGAGGGCCCCATGGGTGGGCTCTGAGATGTGGCACACGGTACCCAGGGCAGGGCTGGGAAGGGTGGGGTGCAGGGGCCTCCCTGGCTGCAGGGCCCACCCACCAGGTGCCTGGGCTTGCTGCACTGAGCAGGCATGGGCTCTGGCCCCCCTCACTGTCCCTTCCAGGCCCAGCCTGTGTTCAGGGCCCAGGACAGGGTCTGGCCAGCAGGCCCCAGGCCTCCAAGATGTTCTCAGCCTCTGGAGTGTGTGTGATGATGAGCACTCATGGAGCTTCCTGTATGCTGGGCCCTGGGCTTCTGAGAGGGCCACCGGGTGGCGACTGAGTCACGAGGTGGAGGGCCAGTCCCAGGGACTCCAGGTGACCTCGTGTCGGCACCACGCCCTTCTCCCATGGGCAGTCCTGGGCGCCCCTTCCTGGCCTTGGGCCCAGTGGCCTGTGGCCTGACCCCGTCCACTCCTGCTTGGTTGTCCCAGCAGCAGCAGGAGCCCATGCTGGAGAAGGTGTTATGGGGCAGGTGGAGGGCCCGGCTGACTCAGATGATCCCCCAAGTTTCTTTTCAATGAACACTTGTTTAGTGCAGTTTTTCCTCCTCAAATCCCCCTCACACAGGCAGACACCCTCTTGGCCCAGGGTAATCTGCTGAGCCTTTGCTCAAATATAGCAGCTTTGCTGCTTTCTAAACACAACTAATCCAATTTGGGATTTGGGGATTCGAGGTGGGCAGCACTGGGCCTCAGATGAGCCCCCATCACCCCAGACCCATGCAGGAAGAGCCAGGCAGGGTGGGGCCCTGGGGCCACCTGGTGGGCTCAGGGCCAGGGCATCGCGATGTCCCCATCCTTCACACTACGGGGCTTCCTGGCTGCAGAGTTGGGGACTCAGCTGGGAATGCTGGCCATAGAGGCAGAGAGCCCCCATCCTGCTGGGCCAGCCCTGACCTGGCTTCTCCAGGGTGGCCCAGTGTCCCCTTCTGCCCTTCCCCTGGCTCCCACCGTCCACATCCCTCTATCTGCCCACCCTGGACAACAACCAGCACAGTGCAGTGTGGCCCTGCAGTGACACCACCTGCAGAGAGGTCAGGCCCAGCCTCCCCCGTCTCCTAAAAGGCCAGCAGGTCCCAGGAGCTGGGGGTGGGGCCTGGCTGTGGGGCCTCCATGCCCCAGGGGCCAGGGCAGACCCTCCTTAGCCGGCAACCACTGCAGATTCCTCCCCTGGCCAGCACTCGGGGACCTCCCTGCCCCTGCCCCGTCCCCCTACCTTGCCTGCTGAGACATAGGGCTCCACGGGTCTCTCTCCTGGGGCCGGGCTGACTGTGGCCTGCGAGGGGCAGTCATCGTGTTGGGTTTTCCTGCCAGAGGCAGAAACCACAAAATTACCTGGAACATACACGCCCCAAGTGACAGATTCAATTCAATTCCACAAATATTGACCTCGCGTCTAATCCACTCGTCCTCCAGTGCCAGCTCATTCCTGAGAAGCCCAGCCTGGCAGCCGCAGATCCCATTTAATCCCAGCCCCACAATGTCACCAGCTCGCAGCTTGGGAGCTGGGCTCATCCAGGCCCTGGCAGGTGGGGCCAGAGCTGGGCTCTGACCTCTGTACCCACACTTACCACCATGTAAAGTGCTGGGAAGAGGGGTGGGGAGTCACGGCAAGTTGAGGGTCCAGGCTTGCCCCAGCTCGCCAGATGCTCGCCCTGGCTGCCCTGACCTAGCAGCTAATCTCTGCGGGGCACTGCGGCTACATGGTGACTCCAGCACGGGGACATTTATCAGAAATGGAACTGATGGATTAAAGTGGAACCAAGCGAATTGATTTTTCTCCCTGGGCACTGAAATGCTGCGCTTAATCAAGCGATCAACTCCGTGGGCAGGGTGGCTGTGGGGACGGAGGTGGGGGACAAGGGGATGGTGGCCATGGTGGGGACTGAAAGGTGGCTATGGGGACAGATGAGGTGAGCCAGGTGGCCCTGGGGTCGAGCTCCAGCCCAGCCTCTGGCAAAGAGGCCCTGTGTGCAGAAGTCCGGGTGTGATGCCCTCCCCCCACCGATTGTGTGATACCGGCCAGTCCTGTCCCGGCTGAGCCTCGGTGGCCTTGATGTAACCCTGTGGGGTCTGGTGGCAGGGACTGATTCACTCATTTGCTCATTCATTCATGTGTTTGACACACACTGCAGCAAAGGAAAGGTGAGAGCAGCCACAGGCTGGCCAGGGACGATTCAGACTTCAGAGTGTAGCGTGCCCGCCCCTCCTCTTGTGAGGTCCAGCCTTGGTGTGTGTGGATTCCCAGGCACCCTCCAGGTCCACCCTCCACTCTGCAGTGCCCCGCCCACCTGTCCACATACTCTGTTCTGTGGTTTGATCGCCATCCTTCTGCTCTGCGGCCAACTGGATGGCCCAAGCGGACTGAGTTGGGCAGGGTGGTCATACCTGTGGAGCCTGTGGCTGTGGTTGGAGGCCCCGTGGGCAGCTGAGGCAGCCTGGGTGGGCATGTCCCACTGGGACTTAAGCCCCTAGGTGGGCTGTCCGAAGTGACTCCTGAGTGGCTGGGGTGTGCTGTCCTTCCAGCCTGGCCGTGGTGGCTGGGTGGTGTTGGAAGGCACTGAAGGAAGGGCAGGTGAATTCGTGCTGGACCTGGTCTCAGTGCCATGGGCCCCAGGAGCCCATGACATCACTGGCCTCATGGACTGTGGGGATTAACCCTGTCACTGGACACCCCCAACACACCCCCTCCAAAAGAAAGGTGTTGGCACAAGTGAAACCCCTTGAGTGATGGCTGGGATTTCAAGCTCCAGACTGGTCCCCACTAGGAAGCTCTGGGTCTGGCTGGTGGAGCAATGTGTACCCGCGCCTCTGCGTCTCCCTGCATCTGGCAGCCCTCCCAACAGGGCTCATGTGGGGTGCAGTGAAGCAGCAAAGCCCCCCACCCCACCCCACCCCAGACTAAACACAGGCTGTAGACCTGGCCCAGGGTGAGAAGGGCCCCTGTGGACCACCTACCCAGGTGGTCTGTGGCAGCCTCTCCCAGCTTTCGGTCCAGGTGGCCCAGGGAGGTGGCAGCCCTGACCCTTCCTGGCGATACCCTGATTGATCATAGTGAAACACTGAGCTGGGAGAGCCAGGGGCACCCAGGGCTGAGCTCCCGGGGCAGCTCCCAGGAGCTGCAAGTGGACCTGGCACTAGGAAGGAGCAGTCCACCGAGCACCTAGGCCAGGGCCCGGGACGGTGCCAGGCACCAGCTGAGGCCCTGCCAGGCCAGCCGCATCTTCACATTCAAGACCCCAGGCCCCAGCCACGGCTCTGAGCTCTGGGTGTCTGCAGCCACGGTTGGCAGGGTGGGCCCCACCTTGCCCTGACTGGGCCACGGACTGGTGTGAAGAGCTCTAAATTTCACTTACTCCCCCAAAGTAGAAGTGGCCTAGGACTGTGTGGTGGCTCCTGGTCTCCAGAACCCTGCCAGGCTCCAGGGCAAGCAGGGAAGTCAGGCTTAGCTGCAGGGCAGCACCTGTCTGCACACCCCGTCCTGCCACGCTCCCTGCAGGGACCTCCGCCTGTTGTCCATGGTCCAGCTTGCTGGATGGGGCAGCAGCTCCTACACTCAGAGCTCTGCCATCCCCAGCCCCAGGCCAGGCTCTCCCCACAGCCCGTTAGGCCCTGACGTCCCCTGACAACCAGGAGTTGGACAGGCCTGGCCCCCAGGCTGCCCCACACTGCCATGAGGACCCCAGCTGGCTGAGTCCCATGTCCAGGCTCACTTCCTCTGTCCCTGCAGCAGTGAGCACCTGGGACCATCATGGTGAGCACCACCCACCTTGCCCCTTGGCCCATACTCGGGGACCTGGGTTCCCCAGGTGATCAGGGTGGCCTGCAGGGCCTGAGGTGGCCATGCCAGCCAAACTCCCCCTGCCCCACAACTGGGTCACCTCTTCACCCTCCCGCAGCCCTTGGGAACCCAGTGAGCTCCTCCCCCTTGCTGCTTTGTGAGTGCTGGCAGTCCTGGGTTGCTGTCCTGGAGCTCCAAGACCTCCCTTCTGGAAGGCTGGGGCTTCCTGGTGGAAGATCCCGCTCACCTCAGCTGTGGCGTGGGCCTGGGCTTCAGCCTGGGGCAGCCCTCATGGGCAACTGCTTCAGACTGGACCCCATGTGCTGGGGTGGCCAGGGCTGTGCATGGCAGGTTCAGGGCACAGGGTGCAGGCAAGGGTGTGAGGGTGTGGGAGGGCTTCAGTGGGAGGCCCTGATGCTGAGCAGACACAGTACAGCCTGGTAAACAAGGCTCGTGTGCTGGGCACTCATCGATCTTGGCCATTCGGGCCTGGCCAACAGCCGGTGGGCTCAGGCCTGGGCGGGGGCTGGGGTGGGAGTGAGCTGCCTCAGGCTGGGCCGTGGGCACTGCAGGTGGCTTGTCCGGACAGCCCTTTCCCTGGACCCCTCATGCCCATGGCTCTAGCTGAAAACACAGCTGCTCTTCTCTACAGGCTCGTCCTGGGGTGAGGAGGGTGTGGGAGCTGCCTAGCCCTTCCTTTCCCAAGGGGTTGGGTGCCCCTGGCTGAGGAGGAGACCCTCATGGCTGGAACTTGGTGGTGGTCAGAGCCTCCTGGAAGTTGACCAGCTGAGCTCCAGCAAGTCCATGCCTCCTGGGACACAGCCTGGCCCCGATGAACCCTCAGCTGCCATCATCCTCAAAGTCGCAGCAGGCTGGATGCTGAAGGCACAGGGGGCCGCATGGACTGTGGCTGCAGCTCTCTCATTGTCATGGGGAGGGAATGGCCTGCAGCCCCATCTTGTTCCCTTCTCTTAACAGCCTCTTTCCAAAGATGGCCCGAGCTCCCATCCCCGCCCCCACAGGGCTCTTCCTGCACTTCCCCAGGCATCCTGGGAGGAGAGGTGGGCTGTGGCTGGAATGTGCCGCCCTCTCACCCTCCTGCCAGGACCACTGTGCTGGCTGCCTTGGTGGCCTGGAGGCCTGCAGAGCTGCCCAAGCGGGGGCTCCATGCGCAGCTCCCACTCCATGTTCTGTCCCTGGGGAGGCCCACACAGCACTGCCCCTCTGTCTCATTCCAGGTGCCTGGTCCCCAGCGATCCGCCTTGACCCCAGATGCTCAGACTTGCTAGCCCAGGGCCAGAGGGGCACAGGACAGGGCTTTGGAGAGGGGGCTTCCTAGGCTGGTGCTGGCCCAGCCTGCCCAGCCCTGCCCTGCTCGGCCCCTGCCTGTCTGGGTGCTGGACCTGGCCTGATCCATGAAGCTTCTCCTAGCGAGGTGTTTTCCAGGCCTTTGGAATCTTAGGGATGATTTCGTATGGGGAGGGGCCTTCTCCCCAGCCTGCTGTCTTATTTTTGTGCCGATTCCCCGCAGCCCGAGCTCCTGCCCCCAGCACCTGCCTTTCCAGCCTGTGTCCTGTCTTCCACCAGCGGACTCCAGCCTGGCTCCCACTGCCACGTGGCTGCCTGGCGCATGCTCCACCCCGTGTCCTCCCAGGGTCCCAGTGAGGGCCCAGCCCCGCAGTGCGCAGTCTCCGCAGCCATCGAGTAGGCGGCCAGCTGAGCAGAGGTGCTGGCCGGCTGCCAGCCCAGCACCCGTCCTGCTGAAGTTGCTCCTGGCACGCTTCCGGCCCCAGGCTTCCCTGGGTGGTGGGGCAGACTTTGTGTTGCTGGTGTGCAGGAAGGGCCCACGACCCCCACCCAACATGTGAGAGGGGCATTTGGCAGCCATGGGCAGGACACCACCTTCGACCATCAGCTAGGGGTATGTGCAAAGGGCCTGAGTGAGAAACAAAAGACAAAATGGACCAAATGTGCTTGTGTGGCCGGGTGTGTGAATTGTGTGCAGGTGAGTGTGGAAAGATGTGTGAGCACAAGCCTGTCAGCATACACGTGTGGGCGTGGGCATGTGGGTGAGCATGCAAGTGTGTATACATAAGTGAGTGAGCACGTGTGTGTGGACGTGCATGTTATGTGGATGTGCATGTGTGCATATGAGTGTGTGAGTGCATGTTTGATGAGCATGTATGTGTGGGCACACGTGTGTGTGTCAGCGTGTGCTGACTGCCATGGACGTGCACCTGGCTGAGTGTGGAAATGTGTGTGTGAGTGTACTGGCAGTCCAGGTTTTACACCCACACGGCTTTGCCTCCCCAGGAATCCGTTTTAATAGCAGAGTGGGCTGGAAGGGCTGGCCAGGCCCTGAGGCAGTTTTCAGGCCAGCAGTCCCTGGCTCCTCATATGCGGTGACAGCCCAGGAGGCCGGGGCCCTCAGAGTGCAGTCTTTGGACATGCCTGGTTGATGGATCCGTCATTACCAGCCTGGGAGCTGGGCATGGGCTCCGGGGCTGGAGGACACCCCTTTCCATCCCTGGCCCTGGCGAGCCCGGCCCTCCTCTCGCCCCGTGATAACCTGCAGCCTCATGGGGAAAGGCACGCGGAGGTGGTGCCGCACCCCCAGCCCTCACCCCTGCTTTGCCAATCCTGGATCCTGGCCTCCGCCCGCCAAAGTCCACCATTGGCCACAGGATGTGGGTGCTGTGCTGTGTCCTTGAAAATCTGAAGATGAGGACAGCTCAGTGGGCGGGGGCGTTTCACACATTCGACACATGCCCTCACGCCTGTGGGTGTGTGGCGGGCTGGTTTACAGTTACGTGAGGATTTCAGACCCAAAGTGCAGAGCCTGCAGCTGAGCAGTGCCCAGGGAGGGCTGGGGAGGAAGGTCCCAGCCAGGAAAGTAGGGTGACTCTCATCAGTGGCTGCGGTGTCCAGCTGGGATGATCAGGGCCGTGCCAGCCTGGTGCGCCTGGGGGACCCACAGCAGAGGTCCTGCATGCACTTGGCTGGCACGTGTAGTTCTGAAGGCCCCTGGGGAGGCCTGGCACATGCAGTGTTTGGGGACCCTCTCTGCTGCCTAGACACTGCCACAGACCCCACACCCAACCTTGCTGTTTTTCCCCCAAGTGAGGGGAGCTGCTTTTTCCAACTCGGATAGCCCCCCTGCACTGTGCAGCTCGCCCACCTCCCTCACAGCTATTCCAGCATCTCTGGGCGGGTGCGGGAAGCCGGATGCAGCCAGTACCGTTGCTGTTTTTGGAAAAGAGAGGTTCAAGGCAGGGAGGGCCCAGCCTATGTTCCAGCAGGGTTGTCTGGCTGGGGGGGTCTGCACCTCGCCCCTGCACCCCCAGGTTCCTGGCTCCCCACCCCCGTGCACGAAGCCCTTCTTGCCTGGCAGGCCTGGGGGCCCCCGGCCGCCATGCGCCCCACCGCGGGTGTGATTTGGCAGCAGCGTTCTCCTCGCCAGCTTGTTTCTCACATAGGGGATGTTTCCATTTTTACAGCAGAAAGAAACCGATTCCAAGCGCCTCAGCCACAGCCGGAGCGCGACGGCCCCCAGGGAGCTGCTGCCACGTCAGGTGCTTTGGGGGTGTGGGCTGCTCTGCCAGCCGTGGTCCTAATTGCTGTCACTCAGGGAGCCAGCTCTAGCCTGGGGCAGGCAGGAACCATGAGGGGGGTCTTCGGGGCAGGCACTGGTCCCTGGCGGAATCCGAACCTCTGCCTGGTTCTCCTGGCACCCCCTCCCCAGAGACCTGGAGCACCTCCCGACTTTGGGTGGGATGGGCCTGTGGTTCTGGAACAGGAGCTTTGCCTGTGGGACCCTCCCATGGGGGCGGGGTGTCCTCTCTTAGCCCAGGTGGGTTTGAGCCCCACACTGCTCCTTCCACCGCTCAGATTCCCGCCTGCAGGTCCCTGTCACGGGGCTGCTGAGGACCGACCAAGGTGACTGCCCATAGCCCCACGCCAGCATGGGGCACAGCTGCCTGGCGGCTCTGCCGTCACCCCCCGTGCTCTGACTCTGTGCTGTGGATTTGTGTCACCTGCAGACTTGGGTGGCATTGGGCACAGGGGCACGGTGTCCTCTGTCACTTCCCCACCTTGCTTGGGGCTGGTCTCCCAGGATGCTGAAGCATTGAAGTGCCTCGAGGACTGTTAGAAAGATTTTCTTAGAAAGAAACATTTGCTACCCAGGGCACAGAACAGCTCCTCGAGGTCTCGTAAACCAGTGTGGACTCGGCCCTGCTCCCGAGACTTGGAGGAAAGGCAGAAAGGGCGGCAAGTCACACGCAAGGCAATTTTCAAAGAAAAGGGCACAACTCATAGGAGGCAGGGGAAGGATTCCATTTCACCTACAGTCATGGCCCCGCGTCTTCAGGGAATAGGTGCTGTCTGGTGCATCACATTATTAGTGCTGGAGGGCATCGCAGTCCTGGGGGAGGTCACTGCCAGCATGGCAGCCCATAGGAAGTGGGAGGGTGGGATTCAAGGGCAAGGCGGGTGGTGGGTCCTGGCCCCTGATGAGGCAGGTGGATGGTGGACCTGCCTCCACCCTACCCAGCAGGCTGGCCACCAGGGCGTGTCCACAGACTCCAGACAAGAAGGAGAGAGTAAACTGAGGCATGTGGGGCCCAGGCCCTGGGCGCAAGGCTGGAGGCCTGAGGTGGCATCCCATCAGCTGGAATCAGGATTGCCTCGATCTTTGATTCTTGAGACAGGAGGAGTGTGGCGGTGGCCCCAGCAGGATCCCTGAGATCTTACACAGGTGAGGTGGTTGCAGAAGCACTACACGGGGCTGGGGCCTGAGGGTGCAGTGCTGGGTCTAGGTCTCCCTGAGAGTCCACTGACAGCTGTGGAACCAGGCCTCAGGGGAGCTGGGTGCAAATCCCACCCCTCCACAGAGCAGCCGTGTGACCCGAGGCTGTTTTGCCCTCTCTGCCTCAGTTTCTCTCTGGCAGCCGCTCCTCCCTGGGCCCCGACCTGACCCTTCAGGCTCAGGAGGCTGCTCCAGGTCCAGAACCTGGTGCTGCACTGGGTCCAGCCTCCAGGCCTTTGCTAATGTTGTGGTCTCTGCCTGTGATAACTCCTGCGAGAGCTCCTGATCTCTTATGACCCTCCCCTGCCTGGGCAGATGCTCCTCCTGTCACCGAGGGTCCCATTAGCTGGCAGCTACCCTGCCACTTGGTGGACCCAGGTGATGTGGGTGGGCCTCACTCTTCATCCACAAGTGGGTGAGAAAAGGCAGGAAAGGAGGTGAAGCCAAAGATGGCATGCTCCCCCTGCACAGGGTGACTGTATGGGGGGGTCACGGCGGGGGAGGGAGGGGAGGAGAGTGGTCCATCTAAGGGCCCTGCCAGGGCCCAATGCAATGTCCCATCCTTAGATCCATCTTCAGTCACATCCCCACGCTAGGGGGAGCAGCATTTCCAAAACGCCTGCCCTGGGGGCTCTCAGAATTCAGGGGTTCCCTTTGAGGTCACACAGGCCCCACTGAGGCCAGACACAGCAAGTCCTTGCTCCTTGGCCTAAGCCTGCAACCCCTGAGCCTCAGTTTCCTGCAGTAAGTGGGACATGATGCCTTTCCACTCCTCTAGGCTTCTGCCCATCCTGTGTCACCGTCCCAGCAGATGAGTAGCTGGTCTGGTGGCCTGAGACCTTGCTTCACTGGGGGACAGGGCTGCCATCCTCGAAGGCCAGGGTCTGGGCCTCTGGGCCGGGAGCTCCTCCATCAGCTTGCAGCCCTGGGGGAGGCTTGCAGCCCTGGAGGCCACTCCCTCTAGTGACAGAACCCATACCTCTGGGAACTGCTTCCTCTGCCTGCATGCCCCAAACTTGGACTTGGAGGTTGTAGATGGCCGTGGCAGGGCCCTTGCCTGGCCCCTATCCTCCTGCAGCCTGGCCTAGGCATGGGTGACTTACCCAGTGCCAGCAGGCTGCCTCAGCCCGTGCCCACTAAAAAATTTGTTCCTGGCCGGGCGCAGTGGCTCACGCCTGTGATCCCAGCACTTTGGGAGGCTGAGGCAGGTGGATCGTCTGAGGTCAGGTGTTTGAGACCAGCCTAACCAACATGGTGAAACCCCGTCTCTACTAAAAATACAAAAATTAGCCGGGCGTGATGGCAGGCGCCTGTAATCCCAGCTACTCAGGAAGCTTAGGCAAGAGAATCACTTGAACCTGGGAGGCGGAGGTTGCAGTGAGCGGAGATTGCGCCGCTGCACTCCATCCTGGACAATAGAGCAAGACTCCGTCTCAAAAAAAAAAAAATTGTTCCCATGATATTCCAAATACAGTCATATACCATAATGACATTTCAGTCAACCATGGGCCGTGTATATAGCGGTGGTTCCATAAGATGAGAATACTGTATTTTTACTATACCTTTTCTATGTTTAGATACACAATACCACTGTGTTACGATCCCCTACAGTGTCCAATAGAGTAACACGCTGCACAGGTGTGTAGCCTAGGAGCAAAAGGCCAAACCAAATAGCCCAGGTGTGTAGTGGGCTCTGCCATCTATGCTTGCTTAAGTTACTCTATGATGTTTGCACAATGACGAAATCACCAAACAATGCATTTCTCAGAACATAGCCCCATCATGTAATGGCATGAGAGGACACGGGCAGAATTCTTGGATGCCCATTTTGGGGACAGCCACCATAGTTTGGACATTAATACATTTGGGCACATGCACATGAGCACACACATGCTCACATGCACATGGATGCACACGTATGCGCGTACCACTCACTCCCGGGCACATGCTCATTCCCGGGCACATACACAGTGGGGCGGGGCAGGAAGGCTGGATGGGGCCCAGGGGAGTCAGGTGCTGTGGTGCGCTGGGGCTCAGGCCCTTCCAGCATTCAAACAGAGAGTCTCCTAAGAAAGCAGGGAGCCCACAGGGCATGGGATTTGGAATCTGAGTCAGGGATTTGAATCCCATCTTGTGCCCTGGGCATGCTAAGTCTCCCTCCTAGTGCAGTGGGTGCCTGCTGCCCAGGCTGCAGGAGCGTTTGAGGAGGCTTGTCAGCCTATAGGGAACTGCCTGGCGTCCTGCTCAGTGCTGCAGGCTGCATGAGGGGCCAATTGAGGACCCCCTAAGCCCAGGAGGGGCAGAGGCCAGGGACCAGATGCCACAAGTATCTGTGGGTGGGCTTGGCTGTGATGAGCAGGACAGGGCTCAGCCAATGCCCAGGGGCAGAGCCCCCGAGGCACTGATGACCACAGTGAGGCCAGCGTCAGGCTCTGGGTCTTGGGTCTTGGTGCTGCTCCAGGAGTGGACCCACATGGCCCCTCAGATGCTGCTCTGTGACTCCAGGCCTGGGTCAAGCCGACCTCTCTGCTTGTCCCCCCACCTCCCTCTAGGTAACTAGGCCCCAAGATGTCACAGCATCAGAAATACAGAGAAAAAAAAGCATAGTTAATACTGCTCCTGCTGGGAAGGCCCACAGCAGGGCGGATGGTAGTGCACCCAGCAGGTGTGACAGCCCAGTCTCCCCATCTGCAGGGAAACCCCATGCCCCCTCAACCCTTACTGCCTGTCACCAGCTGGACCCCGGTCTCTCCTGGCTGCTGTCTCACCTGCCTTCACATGGTTTCTGGTTCTTTCATCTTTTCATTATAATTTTTGTTTGGAGAAACTTTAAAAGTAAAAGAATGTGGGCCAAAAATATGTTAACCCATTCCCACCAGACATGCAACACTGGGGGGGCTGTTCCTCCCAGGCTCCTTGGGCCCCCCAGCTGCCCATGACCCCTGGGTGTGCCCAGACAGCAGGGGGGGTGTAGTCCACCCCCACCACGTCCACAGCCCCTGACTCTCGGGTGGGTCTGGGGGCTGCTCGCCCTGGGAGAGAAGCCATCCCCTCCCGGCGGGGCCATCTATCAGGACCTCTCTGACATCAGCATTTTCCTCTGTGGCTCTAGCTTCCTGCCTCCTATCTCTGTCCTCCTGAGAATGTCCCATCTGTCCCATCTTTCCCATTAGCAGCCCTGTCCCTGAGCCCAGTGCAAGCTCCACAGTGGAGAGGCCACTCAGCATTGTAAGTGAATGCTTGTCCTCGTGCCTCCCTCCCCGGGAGCTCTGCCTGGAGCTCCTTCCCGGCTCCGGTGAAGCTGCAGGCAGCATTTCATTGCTTTGACCTGTCCCAGGGCACCTTCCTTCTAGAAGGGCGACTTGAAACCTTTTCATCACAGCACGACATATGCCCGGTCTTGCTTTGGTCATCCAGTTTTATGTGTCCCATTTTATACTCATTTTCTTCCCCTCATGTTTTGTTTTTTTCTTTTAACTAAAACGATCCATTTATTGAGTTAAAAGATTGTATATTCAAGACGTTCACTCAGTATGTGATCCTGCATAGTAAACCTCGGGTGAAACAAAGACAACTATTTTTATATATTTTTAAAAATTTAGTGGCATATAGACTTCTAATATTTTGGGGGGGGGGATATTCTTTTTTTCTTTAATTATGGTAAAATATCCATAATATAAAACTGACCACTCGAATCATTTCTAAGTGAGCAGTTCAGTGGCATTTGGCATACTTACATTGTTGTGCAGCCATCACCCCCATCCATCCACAGAACTTTTTCATCTTCCCAAACTGAAACTCTGTATCCATTAAATAACAAATCCCCACCCTTCCCCGCCCCTGGCAACCACTGTCTACTTTCTGTCTCCATGGATTTGACTACAGTGTGTCTAAGTGGGATCATTCAGCATTTGTCCTTTTGTGACTGGCCTATTTCACCCCTCTGTTTTATACCTTTCTGCTGCGTGGCGCTTTGGCTTTCTATGTTCTGCGGCGGTGGGTGGTAAAGTGGATGTCCTGCTTTTAATTCTGAGGGCTCGCTTCTCAGTTTTCAAAAACACACTTTAATCTCTGATTCTCCAATTATCAAGCATTTGCCATGAAATGATACTTGCTGCTCCCCAGCACTGCAGACTGTGTAAGAGACATCTCAGCCAGCATTTGGATTAAGTCAAACCCCAGGAATCCGCACCTCCTCCACCTCATCACCCAATAAAAAAGGTAACGCTGAGGTATTAGAACATTCACATTAGTTCCATGAGCATGCCCTCTTATGGGCCTGAGAGCACCCAGGCTCTGGTGCAAGCCCCCCACAGCCCAGGGAAGTGTTTCAGGACTGGAGCCCTGCTCAGTGCTGTGGGCTGCACAAGGGGTCAACTGAGGACCCCTAAGCCCAGGAGTGGCAGAGGCTGGGGACCATCCCATGGGCTCCCAGGATGGCCTTGGGGCCACAGGGATTATGGCCAGGCTTGTACTTCCAAAGCCCTTCCAGGGAGGAAGGCGCTCCACTTCCTGCTTTGGCTTAAAAAAGTCCAGGGAAGCACCTGATTGGCCTGGCTCAGGTCACATGACACTCCCTCTGTCCAATCACTGTGGCCAAGAGAATGCGCTATTGTGATTGGCCCAGCCTGGGTCAGAGCCTTCCCCTGCTGCCTGGAGCAGGGTCTGTCTCCAGGAGAGAGGAGTAGGGTTCAGCCATTCCAATGGCGCTGCCGCCTGAAGAGCTGTCAGTCCTACTTTGCAGTTGAGCTGGCTCTGAGAAGAAAGTGCTCTGCCTAGCCCTGTGATTGATCCACAACTTCATGGGGACTCAAACATGGGTTCTTTTATTCCAGGTGGAGAAATTGAGGCCCCAAGCAGGGGCAGACTCACTGGGGTCACATGGTGAGTTGGTGGCATGAATGGGTGCTCCGGTCTACACTGTACCACCTCCTCCAGGAAGCCTTCCTGGCTTGGTCAAGCCAGGCCTGGGGTGGTCACCACCTGATGTCACATCCCCTTGAGACAAAGCCCCCCCCCTCCCCCGCCACCAGGCACCTATCCCCAGTGTCCAGGACATAGCTACTGGATTCAGGCAGCTTCTGCAGATGAGCTCCCAGCCCTATGTCCAGGAGGTTTCTGGAATCGACAGCTCTCCATGCCACAATACCCTCCATGGCTATTTAGGGAACACCCAGTGTGTGCCAGGTTCGGCTGGCCTGGGAGAGTGCACAGTGGACACTGGTCACCAGGAGACACAGGGGGCCAGTCCACACCCTTCCGCAGTCGGGCCTGGGGAATGGGTTGGGTACTGACCTGGAGGAGGGAGGGACAGCAGGAAGGGCTGGCTGGGCCTCAGCTCTCTTGCTTACCTTCCATTCTCTCGATGGCCCTGGCTAGACACATGCTGGCTCGCCCAGGCCCTACTCATGTTTCGGCACAACGACCCTGCTCTGCCTCCGTCCCCAAGACCCTGGGCTGTGCAACCAGGGCCAGACCTGTTCTTCAGCCGCACCAGGGCCTGGCTGTGCCTCTGCCTGTCAGTGGCCAAGCCCTGAGCCTGGAGCCATCCAGAGCCGCACGGAACCCACAGCCTGCAGGGTGGGGCTAGACATGGCTCCTCCTGCCCGCCCGTGGGTCGTACACCAGCTCATTAGAGCCAAAGCAGCATCGATTTTGTGAATGATGAGCATGTGTACGTGTTTTTGGAGCCCTGGTGTGATTTGGCGTGTGCAGCTGATGATTCAGGGGGGTCATGTGCAAACGACACGCCTTATAAATGTGAACCCACCAGAACGCCCCGTTACGGAGATTTACACTGATCCTTAAACATCGTAGATTAATTTTTGGAAAACATCTATAAAATAAGAGATTTATACCTAAAACAATACCCTATGCTGTGACAGGAAGGGATTAGAGTCAATTTATTCCTGTATTAGTCAAAAACTCAATTTCATATATTGTGTGGAAAAATTAAAACCCTTTCTACATTTTATTACAAATTATGCATACTCCATATATGGAGATAAATAATTGATAGCATTACAAATACTTAATCTAGAAAATATTTATTAGGAACAGACAACTCATTTTTCATGTGTTTTGTTGAGAACAATATTGCACACTTTAAAAAATTAATGATGACTCTTTGCAAAAATAAATGTCTACATCCTAATTCTTTTGTTTAGCATTGTGTCCAAGCCAGGCAGACGCAGCCGGGCAGTGGGCAGGTGGCCATGGAGCTGGGATGTCCACTCCCTGGCCCCTGGCTGTGGATGGGTCAGAGGGCTCATGTGCTGTGGCAGTTGGCCAGGGAAGGTGCATTTGGAGAGTGTCAACATACTGTTTGTCTTCTGCTGTGCAAACTCTCCTCGACTTGTAATTTAAAACTAAAAGTGTTTCCGACTTAATTTCTGAGAAAGCACCAAGTAATGGGATTTGTGGATGGACTTGAAGAGCCAAGAAATCAACACTGACTGCCTCTCGACCTGGAGAATTACGGAGCCCATGAATTCTCTGGGCCTCAGCTCTGGTCCCAGGCTCTGTGCACAAAGAGAGGTGGGCCTGGTGGGTGGTGCGGAGCTTGGCCTTGTACTTCGTGGCTGGCTCAGCCTGCCCTCCTGGGACAAGTGGCTCTGCCGGGTTCTGTGTGCCTCCTGGCATCTCTCTGAGGGGAGCTCCCAGCCTCTGCCTAGAATACCTGGGCAGCGTGTTCAGACCTGGGGCCCCCTGCACCATCACCCCATTCCAGGCTGGGAAGCTTGAGGACCCAGGCAGGGAAGCTTGAGGACCCAGGCAGGGCCCCAGTGTGCCACAGGGCTTGGCCACTGTGCAACTGCACTGCAGCTCTGGCCTCTGGCCGGGCCTTGCTTACCGACCTCTGCCCTCTGCCGTGTGTCCTCCACCTTGGCCATGCACAGCGGGGGCTAGGCGGGCACATGGTGGAGGCTGCCAATGGTGCCCTGGCAAGTTCTCTTCGCCCTCGTGCCAGCCACTCCAGGGAGCACCAGGGATTGAATAAATAACTGCCACGTTTATTAAAAAATAAATTTGGTGCCTAACGGAAGTGCTGTTTCTATACATAGAAAAAAATGTTTAAAATAAAAACCAAAACAGTTCTCAAAGGCGCTGTGGCATTAATTATTCATCGCTTGCTAATGAAAACATGGCTTTGCAGGCGTGGCCCCCACCTCCCTCCAAATAAGACTCGGGCTCAGGGAAAGCCTGGCCTTAAGGGCAGGGAGCTGGTGACCCCTGAATAAAATGGGGGTGGCTGTGATATCCTCCATGGGTATTTAGGGAGCACCCAGTGTGTGCCAGGCTCGGCTGGCCTGGGGGAGTGCACAGTGGGCACTGGTCACCAGGCAGGCACAGGGGGCAGTCTGCACCCCTCCTTAGTCAGCCTGGGGAATGGCTTGGGGTCTGACCTGGAGGAGGGAGGGAGCAGCAGGAGGGGCTGGCTGGGCAGCAGAGCCACCTCTTGGAGGAAAGAAATGGGGACAGAGGCCACTCTGGCCAGCACCAGAGGACAGTGGCTACATGTCTGGGCACCCAGGCCAGGGGCCTGGCAAACCCCCACAGGGTGGGTGGGTGAGGCCCTGTTCTAAGTCATTTGATGACCCAGCCACCCTCTCAGATGCTGCTGGATCCCAGACAGAGGGAGAGAGGGAGGCTGCAGGCCTTGCCGGAACCTAGGCGTGCCATGCATGCCCCAGCAGCCAGAACCAGCCATGTGGTGGTGCCACACCAGAAAGGGCCGGCCTGCCAGGCAGTCAGGGGCAGATGGGAGCAACTTGGGAAACAGCAGCAGGAGCCTCCACTCCCTCTGCCTCCACCTCTCCAGCAGACTATATGGCACACCCTGCCCAGCTGTGTGCAGCAGGGAAATTTGTGCCAGGCCTCGGGCACCTGAGCCCACACTGGGCATCGCTGTCCTGTCACTGATCCTGGGCACTGATAGGAACTGTGAACAAAGCTCGGTCCAGGGCCCTGTGGACTGAGCTCCCCATCCTCAGGGCCCGGGAGCCCCTCCTCCTGCAGTCACCTGGGGCAGCCCTATCTCTGTGGGGAGGCCTGGAGCATTTGTTCTTTTGTTCATTCATTCGTTTATTTATCCATAAATGCCCCCGAGCTGGCTGCCTGGTCTCCTGGGGAGAAGGGATGCTGATCCCATCAGTCACCTGCCTGAGCAGGGGGTCTGGGAGGCTGAGAGGAAGCCTCTCTGAGCTGCTGTGGGTGCAGGTGGTATCCAGGGCGACAGCTCCTGGGCAGGAGATGAGCTGTGCCCTGAGGTGGTCAAGTGGAACCCCAGCAGGGGCCTTTGAAGCTCCGCCAGCCCCTGGGGCAGGTCAGGGATGGGGAAGAGGCTGCAGGGGGCGGCAGGAGAGTGAGGCTCCATCTCTGCTGGGTGGCTCCGTCCTGGTTAGCAAGGTCTCTCGCGTCCTGGCCCCTGTGCTGGCTCCTGGGACGTGGAGTGGAACCCGCATCCCTGCTGCCCATGTGTGAGGACCCGGGCTGCCAGGGCTCCAGCTGGGCCCCAGGCTCAGGGTTTGTGTGCTGGAGACCCAGCAAAGCTGGACAGAGCCTGGCGGGACCTGGCTCTGCGATGGCCCAGCTTGGTGTACTCAGAAGGCCTGATGGGAGCTAGCCTGGACACCTTGGCCTGATTTAAGCCTGGGAGCCGCGTAAGGGGAGGCAGTTGGGCCTGCCGCCGAACCGACGCCCCGCTGCCCCCACTTGCCTCTCCCGCCGGTGGGCCTGACCTTGCTGGAAGCATCCCTCAGCCTGGTATGGATTTCCTGTCTTCACCGAGGCCGCAGGGCCAGCCGGGCGCAGGAGCCGAGCGGTGGTCAGGCCCGGGGATGGTTTTTTGTTTGTGGGGGCAGGGGCTGAGGGGACCCAAACCTTCCAGAGCTGGGGGGTTTTCTTCTCACCTGTCACTCCGTGGCTCCCTTTGGTGGCTCTTTGTCTGGCATGGGTGCTGGGCCCACCCTGCGGTGTGGGCAGCTGTCCAGCCTAGAGCCTGCCTCTGACCCTGGTCCTATCCTCAGGGCCCCTTCCAGGGCTGGAGCAACAGGGACACAATTGCTGAGCTCAGCCTGTGTCAGGTGCACAAGTGACCTCACTTGGGAGACAGTGCAACTGCAGTGGGCCTAGAGAGGGCTCTTCAGCTCCCAGTCACACAGCCAGGCCTGGAGAGGTACACATCCTGGTCCCTGATTCCCCCATCGGCACTGGGTGGACTGAGGAGTGGAGTGGGGACCCTGGGTGGGGGAGAGGAAGGAACTGGGCACAGGGGGAGAGCCAGGGACCAGAGGGCATCATGGAGATGAAAGGACAGGCGAGCCCAGGAGGGCACACACCATGGCACGGCAGGCAGACAGACATAGACATAATGCCCATATGGCAGCATGATCTCTCACACACACACATGCTCACATGGGCAGCACACTCACACACACGTGCATATGGACGGCACGCTCACATACACACGCACACATGGGCAGCACGCTCACACACACACGCACACATAGGCAGCACACACACACGCACACATGGACAGCAGGCTCTCACACACGCACACATGGGCAGCATGCTCACACACACACATGCACACATGGGCAGCATGCTCTCAGATACATGCACACATGAACATGGGCAGCACACACGTACACATAAGCAGCATGCTCACACATGCACACATGGGCAGCACGCTCACACACTTGCACACATGGGCAGCACACACACACGCGAGCAACACGCTCACACACACAACATGGGCAGCACACACATGTACACATAAGCAGCACACACAATGCACACATGGGCAGCACACACATGCACACATGGGCAGCACACACATGCACACATGGACAGCACACTCACACGTGTACACATGGGCAGCACGCTCACACACATGCACACATGGGCAGCATGCTCACACATGCACAGATGGGCAGCACACACACACATGCACACATGGACATCACACACGGACATCACACACATGCACACGTGGACAGCATGCTCATACATGCACAGATGAGCGGCACGCTCACACACTATGAGCAACAAGCTCACACACATGCACACATGAGCAACAGACACGCACACAGGCACAACATGGGCAGCACACACACATGCATATGAGCAGCATGCGCACACATATGCACACATGAGCAGCACGCTCACACATGTAAACAGGCAGCACACACACAAGCACACAAGAGCAACACACACACATGCACAACATGGGCAGCACACACATGCACACAAGCAGCATGCTCACACATATGAACACATGGGCAGCACGCTGACACACACATGCACACGTGAGCAGCATGCTCACACACGCACACGTGAGCAGCATGCTCACACATATGCACACATGGGCAGCATGCTCACACACACGCACATAGGAGCAGCACGTTCATACACACATGCATACATGAGCAGCACACTCACATGCACATGTGTGCACATGGACAGCACACAGATACACATGCACATGTGGGCCACACATACACACACATGCACACATTTATGCACATGGGAAGTATACTCACACACATGCATGCACACATGGGCAGCACATTCACATGTGTACATATGTGCATACCTAGGCAGTATGCTCACACACACACACACTCATGTGGGCAGCACACACACGCACACCTGGACAGCATATTTACACATGCATGTGCAGCACACATACACGAGGCAGCATGCTCACAGACACACGTGCACACACACAAGCACACTCAGAACAAGCTGTGGGGCCTGCGGTGAGGACACCAGGCAGGCAAGGCGGCTGCTGCAGAAATAATTAGTCACTGGTAGACAGGCCTGGCTCACCTTCTCCAAAGCCAAAGGGTGGCTACCAGCCCCCAGCTCTGGGAAAGGGCTCTGAGGGCCCGCCCCCACCTTGCAGTGGTTCCTGGGACCTGCAGGGAGCATCCCAAGCACGGCCCGTGGGGTGCGGGACTCTGCCATGTGATCCCTGAGGCTGGGCCTGGCCGGACGTGCCTTGGCCCCTGCAAACCGTGCACATCCCCAGGTCCCCCAGCACAGCAGCAGTGCAGGGAGTGGAGACGTGAAGATGGGGAGTGGAGACGTGAAGATGGGGAAGAAGGAGGTTGGAGGTGCAGGGCCGCCCTGTGTTCTTGTTGGAGTGGGGGTAGGAGCACTCCAGGTCTGGTTGGGCCCTGTGAGGGTGTTGGGGACCCCAGGCCAGGCCTGGGTCGGATCCATCACTCCCTGGAGGAGGCATCTGAGTCCAGGGATGCCGGACAGGCTGGTCCCAGGTCCCCAGGCTGACTGGGCCTCAGGCATATGGGCATCTGCAGCTGTCTGGGGCCAGGCCCAGGCTGAGGGGCAGCCAGCAGGGTGCAGGAACTCCCAGGCCCTCAGCTTGCAGCGCAGAGAAGGGTGACTGCTCTGCTGTTAAAACAATTTATTTTGCTCTTCAAAAAGCTAACAGCTGTTTACAGTCAGCATGTGGGAGCTGCCCCCTGGGTGATGGATTCTGCCAATCCAGCCCTCCCTTGCCTTCCGGCGAGGAGGGGTCATCCCAGGCTTCGGGTCAGGATGGGCAGAGCAGACCACTGGGGGCCAGGCCATGATGTTCCTGGCCACTCCACGTCCCCTCGGCTGCCGTCCTGTGTGCTGCCCTGGGAGAGTGCAAGGAAGGGTGGCCCCCTGAGGCTGATACGAAATGGTACGGTGATGTGAGGGGGTCAGGAGGGAGGACCACTGTGGGAGGCGTGAGGTGCAGTGGAAAGGTCAGGGAGACCTTCTGAGAAGGCCAGCAGGGAGGGCTGCCCAGGGCCTGGAGAGCGTGCATAGCTGGGGGCAGGGTGGGGGCAGCCGGCAAGGGCAAAGCCCAGTGGGTGTGGCGATGCCCTGGGGGATGGGCCCCGATGCCCCTAAACTGGTTCGGCTCTCTAGACCAGACTAGTGTGCTATGTCGGAGCCGAGCAACAGTCCCCCTCAACTGTATGCATGTACAGTAGGCGCTCAACAGACACTTGCTGGATTTGACAATAGCCCTGGACGGAGGACTGAGGCCTGGGCTGCACACATTCTGGGCTCCTGCAAGCCCCTGGCAGCCCTGAGCTGGTTTCTGAGTGCAGAGGGAGGGGCTGTCAAGGGTGGAACCCACACATGCCAAAGCCTGGAGGCCAGTGCAGGGGCAGGGCACCTGCTGCCTCGGGACAGCGCTGAGGTTCAAAGCCACCTGCTGGTTCCCACCTGCCTGGCACAGGACCCTGTGTCGGTGGGGGTGGCCAGATAGGGCAGCTCCTTGTCTCCCTGGAACCTGTACCCTCAGAGGTCCAGGATCCCTGGGGGAGGTTCCGGGGCTGGAGAGACGGCCCCTGTGGCAGGGCAGGGACAGACGGGCTGATTCTATCTAGGATGGGGGCACACAAAGACTTCCTGAGGGGCGCTTCAAGGCCACAGCAATCTAGGTGGGACAGGGACATCAGTCAGAGGTGCCCTGTGGAGACCCCCAGGTCCAGCTCCTGGTACTGTGAGAAGCCAGTTGTTCCCTCGCAGGCCGCCAAGGCACCGCACAGTCCTGGCCTGAGTCGTTGTGGGGTCTTGGGGAGGAGGGTTCTCTGGAAGGACACTGAGCCTGGACTTTGGGGCAAGAGACCCAGAGCCCCTGGATGCTTGCGGCCTCAAGGCCCAACATGCAGCCAAGCAAAAGCTGGGGGCACAGGCAGGGGATCCCCTCTGGGGAGGATGCAGAAGCCGAGCCAGGCTGGGCCGAAGCTCCTTACCTGATCTGGTGTCCTCCTGTGCGATGGTACAAGAGCCTCAGGGCACATCTGGTCTCTGTGACACCCCCCGAGACACCCGGGGAATGTTCCCAATGACCACTGTTGGGCCACTGCCCGACCACGTCACGGTTGCCCCTGCCAGGACTCAGGCAAAACCCAGCTGTCCCTGGCGCTGTCTCCCAACAGCCCTGCAGGGCCCAGTGCTGGACCAGGGCCTTGTCTCCAGCCTCTCCCCCATGGGACTCTGGGGCCTTTGGGGGCCCTTGGGGGCCTTCCTGCACCCTCACACCTACTCATCTCTGGACTCAGCCTCAGTGTGAATGCTCACCTCGGGCTGAGCCAACCCCTCCAGACACGTTCTGCAGCTCGAGGAAGGAACTGCCCTTTGCAGCTGGGATCTGCCCGAGTTTCAGCAGCAGCCTTGAATTGTAATCCCGAGCGGCTGGCGAATAACACAGCACACAGCACTCGAGAGCCCAGGTGAGTCCTAAGTGGGGCTGGGCTATGGGATCTCTGGCTTCTGGGCCTTTCTCAGAACAGACCCTCCAGGCCACTCTCCCCTACATCCCCGGTTGCTGCACTGGGTGCAGGGGTCCAGAGCCAGGTCAGCTGCTGCCCAGGGAGAGGGCCAAGACTGCAGACCCCGCCAAGCCTGGGGGCAGCCTTCCTGACAACAGCACCATTTGCTGCTTGGGATCAGCCAGGCCGGCTCCCCGCAGATGGGAGGGCTGTGAGGTGAGCACCAGCGAGCCCCTGGAGGTGCCAGAAAATGCCAGTGTGGGCACCAGGGGGCTTCCTTGGGCTGGCATGTCAGGGGAAGCCCACTGGGGCGGCTCAGTGCCCATGATGGAAGCTCAAGTCCCACGGTGCTGCCCCAGGAGCTATACCCCAGTGAGGGTCGTTGGCTGGCGATGTGTCTGGCTGGCATGGGCTGCCTGGTAACGAGGGGGGCCCATGTGTGAGGAGCCTTAGGTAAGGATCCAGCTGGCACACCGAAGACCCCAGGCCAGGGGACACAGGCTGGGGGAGGGGGCTACAGAGACATGAACCCAAAAGAGAATGTCTGCTGACATCCCAACCCTGACAGATAACCAGCTGGGTGACAGGTGGGGGCTGTGCTCAGATCACCCTCCTCTGTCCTGTGCACATGTGTGGGTGCATGGGAGTCCATGCGTTGCTCCTGGCTTGCCCCCTCCTCTCCTCGGCCCAGCTTGTGGTGCTGCGCTGTGCATGGAGCTCGGTTTCTTAGCAAGTTCATGCCATGAGCCGCCAGCTAGGCTGAGGAGGAGTGGGTCTGGGTGCCACTGGGGCGGTCTGGGCTTCCCTCAGCTCCAGGGCTCTTGCCCTTGCTAGCATTGCTGTGATTCTCACCATTGCGCCCTGTTACAGAAGAGACAACTGAGGCATGGGGAGGTGATGGGACCCCCAGGGCCACCCGCAGGAGGTGGCCAGCCCAGCAGCCCTGCCCAGTCCCCCGCCGGCCTTGTGCTCCCATCTGGGCCCCTATCTGTAGTTTCCCCAGTTAACAAAATCACAACAGTCATTCCTGGTTGTTCTTGCTGAATTCTCTCCATTTGAGGAGCAGCATTTTGGGGTCTGTGTCCTAAATGGACCCAATCACAGGAGTCACCCAGGGCACTGGCTCAGCCCAAGACAACACCTTCCCCCATGTGGACACACACACATGGGGGAAAGAAAACCTTGCCAACCCGCCCTCTAGCAAAGGGGCCTGGACTCGCATTTTTAACAAGAACCAAGAGATCCCGTGGAGGAGGTAGTCCACAGGGGGAAAAACACCCTTGAGTCTCAAGTCCCCCGTGGCTCCCCAGCTCTGCCAGTGGCTGCATGGCGGGTGAGATGATGGTGGCTCTTGGGTCCCTCTGAGTCTTGCTGCCCAGGCTGGCACCGGCACATTTTGTCTTGGCTCCATGCTGTCGGGCCCTGAGCTGGGCACTGGGCTCCCTGAGTCTCGTGGGAGCTGTCTGGGTCCTGAAGCAAGTGGTGGCCCGAGCAGGGGAGGCGGTCCCCACCCTCGGGGACACTGTCTGCTCCGGCTGTGGGCTCCGGGGGCTGAGAGCTATTTCGGCTGCACTGGCCTCTCCACTCCTGCCAGGCTTCAGTGAGCTAAGATTGTGCCAAAGTCAACAGAACAGAAAAGAGAGGCTATGGCGCTCTGTCAGGGAGAAAGCCCAATTAGGAGGGGCTTGTGGGGGCAGGGCGGGAGTGCAGAGGGAGCCCCGGAACCTAGCCAGCCCACTGTGATGACAGGGCCTTCGACAGCAGCCCAGCACTTGGACTGTGCAGAACTGCGGAGATGGTGCTGTGAGCCTGGGGAGGGTGCCTTTCTCCCCAGGGGCCCGCATGGGGCCAAGTCTACCAGACTTCTGAGCCGGCATGTCTGGGTACAGGACCTGGCCCTGCAGAACTAGCCTGGGCATCAGAGCCCACCAGAGGTGACTGCCAGCGGCCAGGACCCACCACGGAGTCTCAGGGAGCAGCACACGGGTGGGGAGCGGGTGGAGGGCACACAACGCTGGTGGGGCATGGGCCTGGGCACCTCTCCAGCTGGACACTGCACATGACACCCCAGGCCAGGCCAGGGTCCCCTGACTCACAGACCCCAGGCACAGGGACATGCTGTTTTCCTTTTAGTCCAAGTGTACGGGGTGAGGAGCTGCAGCCCCCACCCTGAGGGCCTGCTCTGTTTAGAGGGGGTGCCAGGGTCCTGGGTCCCTCCCTCTGTTAGAGCTGTCTGGAAATCCTGAGTCGGGTAGGTGAGGTAGGAAAGGGAGACCTCCCCACCCACTGCCCTGCCTGAGCGGCTCCCACGGTCTAAACCCTGTCTTGGGGGTGGTTCCCAGGAGGAGGCAGCAGAGCCTGGTGAAAAGAGACCAGACAGTGTGGACCTCCCTGGCCCTGGGATCAACAGCCTCTCCTGGGCCCAGCTTCCCCAGGCCTGAGCTTGGGGTTGGAGGATCGGCAGGAGAGTGAGTCCATGAAGGCACCATCCCCACCCCTCAGCACCCTTTCCCTCCATGTCATCTCGGCCACCCATCTCAGAGCCCAGCTCAGCACCCGGGCCCTACTGGGCCACCCCGTCAGGCCCTGAGTCCCCATGGAGGGTTTGGAGGCTGGAGGCCGGTCAGCTGGGGAGGGGAAGGGCAGAGGAGCAGGGGTGAGCCACTTGGCTCAGGGCTGAGGACCTCTCGCACTCTGGCCACTGCAGAGGGTGTCCGGCTGGGGCAGGAGGGCTGTGGGAGAGAGATCACATCGTGTGTGGGAGGGGACAGTCCCCTCCTGCCCAGTCCCCTCCTGCCCAGTCCCCTCCCCACAAGGCCTTAGGGAAGGGTGGGGGTGCCACACACCATGGGCTGGTGCCCCCATCCTGGCTTTGCCTACCTAAGGCTCTGGGATTGGCAGGCATGGAGTTCCCCAGCCCTGAGCGTGGCAGGGGCAGGATGACAGACCCACGGTCCCCTAAGCCCTCCCTCCTCCACTTACACCCTCGCCCGCCAGACCCCAGTCATTCTCCTGCCCTCAGGGCCTGGATTCAGCCCCACCCCCAGCCTCCTTGTAAGCCCGGCCTTATTAGTGCTGCTTCACCCCGACTTTGCAAGTCAAATTCCGCATTACTGCGCTCCTGCTCTGTTTCCACCTTGATGCATGGAGAGCTGGAGAGCAGCTGGAGCAGAGAAGGCACTGCAATGAGGCGGCAACCCGTGCTGGCCAGGGGCCCCAGGGCCCAGAGCCAGGTGGGGTGGACCCCGAGGCCCTGTCTTTCCACAGGTGTCCAGGGTCACTCCCACCCCACCCTTGGCCTCCTGCTGGCTCAGCCCCACACCCCCACCAAAGGGCCAGGCTCCGGGTGAGTGATCCTCAGGGCCCCCGCACAGGCTGTTCCCTCTGCACACAGGCTATCCCTGCCTTCCTGTCCAGCCAGTGGGTGGGGAGAAGCGAGTCCCTCCTTTCAGGGATTCTCAGGAACCGAGTGGCTATCAGGGTATGCAGCTGTGATGCACGTGGCAGGAGAAGACCTCAGACGCCACAGCCTAGCTCTCTGTGGGGCAAGTGTGTCTCAGCCTCTCTCTGAGGAGAGGAGAGCCCCTGGACTGGAGGGTGCCCTGCTCAGCTCTGCCTGGGTATTCTGTGGCTTGCAGGGTGGAAGGTGAAGGGCTGCAGGCGCTGGCCTTCCCAGGCCCCCCACTGTCTGCCCAGCTTTTCCTTCTTTGGCAGCCCCAGTTCCTTCCTTATACCCAGTGGGACAGCAGGGCCCAGCCCTAGGGGCCGCAGGAGACAGACATGCCCCAACTGAGACAGACAATGGCCAGCATGGCAGGTGGCCCAGTCTCGGCCACCAGGACGTCCTAGGAGGTACGGCCCCTCAGCTAAGCTGGCTGTCCTTAGTGGCCCAGCTCTGGCTCTGGCTGGTCCTGTGAACTCAAGATGGCAGACACTGTTCCTGGTCTCAGGCCAGGTCTTGGGTGAAGAACGTTGGGTGTAGGACCCTGTACCTCTCCTCCTGGAACACCCCCAGTGGATGGCGAGGTCACTGAGGCTCCATCCAACGGGCAGCCTCCAGGGCAGCCCTCGCTCCTCCCTTGCCCTGGAGGTGGGCACGGGTCAGTGGAAGGATGGGACTGAGGGGCTGGGCCCTTCACCGACCCTGGAAGGTGGCTCCCTGTGGCCTTCCCTGCAGTTTCCTGGTCCACTGTGGTTCAGCCTAAGACACAGGTGAAGGCCTGGTTATCACTTGGCTGCTTTTGCCAAAAGAGTGGCTTCCAGTGAAATCCTTTGGCTGCCGAAAGGCAAAGTCACCCTCCCTCCCTGTGGCCCCAACACCTGCAGGGTTTGTCAGCAGAAGGTTTTCACGGTCCACTGGGCATTCGCGGGCCTTTGGCATCCTCGAGGGCCTGCCTTTGATTAGCACACACCCTTTGCTTGACCCAGAGGGTCCAGATGGCACTGGCTCCACGGCATGGCCTTGAGAATTGAGGCCGGCTTCGGCGAGGATGGTCCCACCTACTCTGGCCTTCAGGCCTTCACCAGGAGAGATTCAGGCTGCTGGCCCAGCCAGTCTCTGCAGGGACACCCCGGTGGGCCCAGGGAGGGACTGGGGTCAGCTGGGGCCCTGGACTTACAGTGGATCCCACTTCCCCCACGTCTTGCTTGGTTCTGGGCATAAGGGTCCTAGTTCTTAGGGCCTGGCCTGGCCCTCTCACTGCTCCCGGGAAACCTCGGGAAACATGGCAGGCTGTGTTCCCCATCCTCAGGCTCCCAAGTCGCTTCTGTCCAGTCCTCTGCTGGTATCTGTGACTCAGCACCATGACGGGGCCCTGTCCAGGGCGTCCTGGGCAGAAGGCTGCTCCGAGTGCACAGCGGGCACCCCCATGGACAGGCTGCGTCCATGTGCCACTCCTTGGCCGCCCTCTCTTCATCTGTAGTGATGACACAGTGACCCCCACCTGCAGGCCTGGTGGCACTGCTGTCACCAGGCACAGGGAGCCTGCCCCCAACCTGGGTGGTGTTGTGGGAGTGGCTGGGCAAGGAACGCTGCTATCCCTGCTGAGCTGGGTGGGCACTGATGGGCATGGGGACCTGGAGTGCTGACCCCTAGCCCTACTGTCGGCAGGCCACGCCTGCCCCTCTGGGGAACTGCTGTGTCCCCCTTGGCTGGCCTAGAAGTGCCTAGAAATGTCTTTTATGTGGGGAGTCGGTGGGTGAGGGCCCCACTGTCCCATCCCTTGAGGAAGGGAGGGCTCTGGGCAGGGTCTGCACCAATTCCCCAGTGCCTGCTGAGGCCTGTGGCTGCCTCAGGGACAGTGTCAGTCACCCCTTCACCCTGGCATAGGTGTCCTATTTCCAGAGTGTAGTGCTGGATGCTTCTGTTTGGCTGTGTTAATTGAGACCAGCTTTTACAGAATGAGCCTCTTGGGGTGGGAAAATCTGCACAGCCTTGGTGTTTAGGGTAACCTGAAAGTGGAGAGTGAGCCTGGGGTGCAGTCTCACTCCCCCATGCCCCTGGGCACAGCTACCCACAGGCCCACAGCAGGCAGGCAGGACTGATGCCATCCTCCAGATCCCCCGACCAGGCCCAGAGGTGGGGCCAGGAGAGATCTGGGGAGTTGGTGCCACCAGATTTCCCAACCATGACAGGATGTCGGGGGGTGGGGGGCAACAGCAGGACTGCCCCAGGCTGGGTCCCCACCCAAGTGAGGCTTGGTCGTGGCCTCATGGCCAGTTTGTCCCTCTGCGGATCTGGAGGGGTCCTCGGCTGCAGCAGGGGGCCCAGATGATCCTGACCTGGGGATGGGAAGGCCTCTGTCCGTGGTTCCCCAGCAGAGCGGGGCCTGTTGAGAGGAGCAGGGGATGGTCTGTTGAAGGAGTCGGTGAACGGAGAGGCATGCAGGGATGGATATGGACAGGGCGGGTGCTCAGACCCTACAGTCTGAGGTGGAGGGGTGGGGTTGGAGGCTGGAATGGCCGCGGGGGAGCCTAGAGGGGTAGGGCTGTGGCTCCACCACTGTTGGCTAAGGGACCTCAGGGAGGGCTTCAGAGGCTGGGGCCCTGGCTCCCAAGGCCTCAAGACCCTCCTGCTCCCCCTGAAGGTAGCAGTGACCGCCTCTCAGAAACCCCTGGCATCCCTGGAGGCTGCAGTCCCCCGCCCCGCCTCCACTCTTTCTCTCTGCTCTGTCATTTTTCAAAAATAATTGTGCAGCAGCACCAGGCTGTCTCTGTGCCCCTCCTGTAGGTTGCCCTACCCCACCAGGTCCCTGGCTCGGCGTCCCCAGACTCTGCCAGGCTGGCCTCACCGTGTGTATCGAGGTGTTCTCCCTGCAAGGTCTTCATCATTCCCCAATTGCTCGCATTTATTTTTCTCCTTCCTTGGTGAGTGGCCCTGCCAGCCTCAGCCTTGTCTCTCCTTGGTGAGCGTCATTAATGCAGCTTCCGCGCCACGATCAGAGGGGGCTGCCCCCACCCTGCCGGCCCTGCCGCTTCTCCTCTGCCCGCCTCGGGATGGATGTTCATTTATTGCCCATAAATCTCTGCACAGCCCTTTGTAAAGACAAATTGGAGGCCTCCTGTTCCCCGGTGTTGGTTGGGCCGATCGGTGGTGGGTTTAATTGGCCCTTCCCGTGGAGGCTGCCCCTGCAGGAGAGGCTCGTTGTGGGCTGGGCCAGATGCACTGCGTCTGCAGAAGGGGCCATTCTCTGCCCCTCATTTTGTCTAGCGTCTGAGGCTGGGCCATGTGCAGGGACAAAGTGTGGATCCTCCCTCGGGCTTCCAAAACATGGCCTCCCCGCATTCACGTGGCCTGGCAGCAGCCCAGGCCCAGGCAGGGCCCTCTCTCACCCAGGGGGTGATGCCTGCAGCTTCAACAGCAACCTCCAGGAAGGAGGCGCATGGGTTCGTTGAGGTGATACAGGAGTGGAAGAGCTTGGTCCCTTGAAATGAATGATAGGGAAAAGGGGAAGTGCTGCGTAGAGGAGGGTGTGATCCCTGGCTGGGGCTCCATCCCACAGACCTAGGTGAGGACAGGCATTTTTGCATTTCCCAAGACCACCCTGGCCTGCCACACCCCCATCCTATGACTATAAAAACTCGCGAGACCCTGGCAGGCACGCACAAGCTGCTGGACGTGGAGAGGAGCGGATTGGCAGAGGAGCACTCAGGCGGCTGGACGTCGAGAGGAACGCACTGACGGGCGCCGGCACCCCGGCAGGCTACCAACCGGCAGCAGAATGACCTGGAGTTTGGCTGGGGCAGCCAGAGGAGAGCCCGGGCCCGACTCCAGGGGAAAACCGTCCCACTCCATCTTCTTCTGCCTTCCCCCATCTGCTACCTCCACTCAATAAAACCTTGCACTCATTCTCCGAGCCCACGTGTGGTCCAATTCTTACACCAAGGCAAGAACCTTGGGATGCAGAAAGCCATCTGTCCTTGCGATAAGGCAGGGCTCTAACTGGGGTTTAATTGAGCTGAGTAACAGAAGCCACCGATAGAGTTAAACTAAAACAGCAAAACTAAAAGAGCACCCTGTAACACGCTCACTGGGGCTTCAGCTATAAACATTCACCCCTAGACACTGCCGTGGGGTTGGAGCTCCACAGCCTGCCCGTCTGTATGTTCCCCTAGAGATTTGAGCAGCAGGGCACTGAAGCAAGCCACAACCCCATTGCATGTACTGTGAGGGGAACAAGGGGACTTTTCCTGTTTCACCAGCACACAGCAGGTGCCTAATAAACGCACAGCGAACTGGTCAGAGAGAGAGGGACCCTCCACCGAGCCCAGCCACTGCACAGGCTGGGAGGGCAGGACTCCTGCCGAGCTTGGCACCCTTTCCTGCACCCAGGTGGCTGTGAGCCTGGCCCTGCCCCGGTCAGCAGGCCTGTGCTGACCCCACATGCAATCTGCTGTTGGTGCCAAGGAAGTGCTACCTGTGCAGCTCTCAGAATGTCAGGCTGGGTGCTCCTCCACTGAGGTCAGGGTCAAGAGACCCTAGGCCAGCTCTGGGGGGCCCACAGGGCGTGAGGGGGGTCCAGGCAGCCAGCCCGGCCCAGCCTGGTTCCACTGCTTACTGTGTGGCCTTGGGGGGCTCCCTTGGCTTTCTGGGGCCTGGGGAACCAGGCGCGAGCTTGGTCCTGTGGTCTGAATCCAAGAAGACAGGTTGTGGGTGGGGACATTTGGAGGGAGGGACAGCCTCGGCCTCAGCTTTGGGACCGTGTGGCAGAAGCACCCTGTCTGGCCCTCTATGAGCTCCTCCAGGGCTGGGCCCAAGCAGGGACCTCTTCTTCCATGAGGGTTTACTCATTCCTCAAAACAGGCACAAAAGCAGAGGGCTGTTGAGGGGTAGTGACCTGCCCCTGGCTCTGGCCATGCGGGTCTGGGCACTGTGGATCCACTCCATGGCCACCTGGCTGGGTGAGGACCAGCCTGGAGGATCAGGAAGAGCTTCTTGGAGAAGGGAGTGGTGTCAGAACTGAATACTGAGCAAAGAGGAAGGACCAAGAAGAAGATCCTAAGGAGTTCTGGGGCTGGGGGCTGGGGATTGGGAGCAAAAGGAGAGATGAGGCTGGACAGGTGCCTGTTCCTCCACCCACTGGCTCAGGACTCCAGGCATGGCCCAGCAAGGGTCCCCTGCCCCTGGGAGCAGGACTCCCCTGCAGCAGACAGAGGCAGGTGGGGAGTGCGACGCACCTGGAAGGGGCTTCCGGAGAGGTGTGCCCTGGCAGAGCCCCACCTCCCCCAGGAAAAGACAGTAGCACCAGGCCCCAGCCCTGGAGAAGCCTGACCAACCAGAGAAGTCCCACGGCCTCCTCCATGGAGTTTGGGGCTCCTCCTCTAGACCTGGGATTGGCACTTTGGGGTCAGGCCAGCTGCTGGGGAGCCCTGGGCCCCGACACATGCACCCTCCCAACAGGAGTGGGGCTCCGGGGGCCACTGGGCTCATGCCCATCGCAGCCACTCTCCAAGGCCTTGGCATAATGGGATCCTTGAGCTGCTGTGCCCGGCGGGGTGGGGGGGGATGGGCTGAGATACACCCTTTGCTGACAGTGGCCATTGCACTTTTCCCACCCAGGCCTCATGTGGGGAGCCCTGCCAAGCCCAGGCTGTGGTGTACACAGGGGCTGGGCTGCAGGGCAGGGCTCCGGAGCGGCCTAGCCCAGAGCAGGGTGGGAAAGGAGCCAGCTGGGGTCCAGGCAGAACAGAGGCCAAGGCCACCAGTGAGAAATCTGGGCATGAGGGTGGCCACCAGGCCGGCAACGTGGGGGAAATTGAGTTGAGGGCTGGGCCTCCTCACTGTGGCTGGAGGCGGCCCAAAGGCCAGCTGACCAGACACAGAGCTGCCTCAGTCACAGAGGTGCCACAGCTCAGGGTGCCACCCCGAGTGACATCCCTAGGCTGACTGACACAGTGGAGGGAATTGACACCCAGGGTCTTGTGATGTCCCCGGGCACTGGGATGGAGAAGCAGAGCAGCACTCTGGAGCACAAACACAGTTGGCAGCGAAGGGTCTGCTCCCGCGTGGCCTCGGGCCCAATCCTGCCTGACATGTTGCTTCATGTCTCTGGGCCTCCGTTTCCTCATCTGTGCCCTGGGGACATTAGCAGTGTCTTCCTGCGGGGATGTGAGTGTGAGGTGCCCTACCACCCCAGGGAGGCTGTGAGCTGCAGGCAGCCCGGCAGTGAGGAGCCCCCACCCCTGCCGCCGCCGCAGTGGCCCGCCCCGGGCCCCAGCTCACACCACAAACACTTGCCTCCCTCTCAACTTGTTTCCGGCATGTTCTCAGTCTCGCTGGATGTTAGTTTACCATCGGCTGCTGAACATTCGGCAGCTTCTATTATTTCAGAACTAATTTAAGGATTAAAAAGTAATTCTCCCAATTACTAGGCAAAGCCCTGGGCAGCCAGATAAACAGGGGGCAGGCGCTCCCATCCAAGGACAGGGCTGCTCCTGCAGCCCTGGGCAGACAGGTGTGCAGGGCAGCTCTGGTGCAGCTCAGCCCCCAGGGCCGCAGGGGTGGAGTCGGGGTGGTTGAGAGGAATCCCCAGGAGCAGCCCAGCCTGGGCCCGACATCTGAGGGTTGCTTGCCCCTATCCCCCACCCAGGTCGGCTACAGCCACCTAGTGGTGAGCCCAGCCCCAGCTGTCACCTCCACCAATTGTGCTGGGTGGTGCTGCCCTGGCTAGGCCTGCAACACAGGGACAGGCCCATGAGCTGTGAAGGATTCGGTCCACAGGGCCCCCTGGGGCTGGCCAGGCATCTTTGGACGGGGCCAGGAGAGTCTGTGGTAGACCAGCAGCCCGCATGGGGTGGGGGCCAGGATTTGATACCCTCAAGGCTGATTCACGCAGCTTTAATTAGCTTTCTGCACCTGCTCTGGGGTCTGGGTGATCAAGGCTGGACACCAGCTGCCACCCCCAACCCCTGCCTGGTCCAGCACCTGACCTCAGGGGCCCAGCCGGCCGGGGCTGGTCAGGCAGAGCTGGGGAGTGCCGGGGTCGGCGCAGGAAGGAGCTGAGTCCCTGGGCCCTGGCCCAACGCCCCGCCCACTCCGGGCCCCTCGTCAGCAGCGGCCGGCCGGTGAGCTCATCTCTTCCTGGGCTGTAAATATCACCCAAGTGCTCACGACTCCCAAATGTGTCCTCCAGCCGGGCCCCTCTGCTGAGCTCAGCCTGCACAGCCCACGCGACACCCCCGCCCAGATGTCTCCTGGGCCTCGACAAAGCGGCCGCTCCTCTCGGCGCCCCCACCTCAGGGACGGGCGCCCCGTGCCGGCTGCTCAGGCCTGGGAGCCCTGCCTGCCGCCTCCACCCCATGGGAGCGTCCATGCATCCTGCTGAGTCCAACTTAAAACTCGTCCACTTCCTTCCGGATCCTCTCACCCCGTCCTCAGGTCTGGTTGGACTGTGCCCAACTCCCCACCCCTGCCACTGCACAGGCCCCCACTGTGGCCTGGAGGGGAGGGTGCAGAGCCCTGAGGGCAGCTGGTGGTGACAGTCAGCCCCGAAGCTGGCCTGAGGGCGACAGGTGCCTGCTTCTTAGTTAGGAGTGGGCCCAGCAGAGGTAATGAACTCCTTGTCCTGGGAGGTGTGCAAGCTGAGGCAGGATCTGCTGTCCTTCCACAAGCCATTGAGGGCGCCAGCATCCACTGCAGTTGGGTCACTCAGGTGGGGCTCAAGGCTCTTTGGAAATGGGTGGCTTCGGTTTCCTGGCTCTGACTGCAAGGAGCCCCCAGCCTCAGCTGAGAGCACTAGCCCAGATCCAGCAGTTTAGCTGCCTCTTCTCAGGCATGACAGGGGCCACTTGGGAGAAAAACTGAATAAAACCCTGCCTATGCCAGTGCCCAGGCACAGCCTGGCAGAATCCTGGGCCTGGCTGTGGGGTCACAGAGACTGGGGGTGCCAGGGGTGCTGATGGTAGAGCTCCAGGCACAGGACAGAGACTGCACAACATTTTGACATCAGGCCATCCATGGAGAGGCCTCTGCTGGGGCTGCCAAGGGTCTCCTGGGCCCAGAGGGGCTGCAGAGGGAGCCCTGGGCAAACAGCACCCCACCCCGGCAGGGCTGCCCTGCCTGAGCTGCCCCCAGCCTTGGGGCAAGGCTGCCGGCCCTGGATCTCAGGTGAGCAGAGGGGCAAACTGCAGGTGGAGGTGTGCGCAGCCACACGGGGGGCCTCAGCACCTGTGGGCACAGGCACAGGGTCTCTCAGGAGAGACAGGACATGTGGGAGGACCCTGAGGAGGGTACAGGCCAGACAGGACCACTGCATCCTGGCTCTGCCCTGTGCTTGATGGGAGGGGTCTGAGCCTTGGGCCGCAGCACACGCACAGAGAAGCGGGCGGAGGAGCTGGGGCCTTGGCTGCTAAGCGCGTCCTCCCCGCTTCTTCTCCCTCCTTCTCCTCCCCCCAGGCTTCTGGAGCCCCGGCCGCCCCCACGACCATCTGGCTTCACCAGCAACGCTCCCCCACACCCTCCCCCACGTCACTGTTTTTCTCCCTCTCCCCCTCCCCAGCCACTGCCCTGGCGGGGAGGGGGCCCTTTCCTGGGAAGGCTTCCTGGCCACGTGGCCCTTCCCTTTTGTTTCTGAGTCCTCTTCGGCCCAGGCCGTGGGAAAGCGTGCCTGTGCATATTTCTGCCTGTGCATATTTTTGCCTGGATGCGTGTGCTGCTCTCGAGCCCCCGGTGCCTGCATGTGTGTGGACATGTGTTCCCTGCCCTGCTGTGTGTGCATGCGTGTATGCATACATGGGTGCAGGGACATGCAGACCCACCACGGCCTATGTTTGGGGTGTGGGCATGCTGTAAGTGGGGGTGCCCCAGACACGCATGTGGGGTCTAGTGTGACCACCAGCAGCGGTGTGAGGGTGCATACAGCCCCCACTGGGCCTTGAGGCCAGGCCTGACCCGCCCAACTCTCCTTCAGGGCCTTCCTCTCCTGCCACCCACCAGGGGTAGGAACAGGGTCCCTCATCCTCAGCCTCCTCCTGGGGGCTGCCCGGGCAGCCTGATTGGGGTGGGGGGCCCGAGAGCAACTGTCCCCACAGGGGCTGCTATGTCCAGACCCATGGACCTGGCATGTGCTCCATCAGCCAGGCTCAACGACGTCAGCCACCAAGCATGCTCCATCTGTGCGGCTGGGGGGCCAGGGGCACCTGACATTGGAGCTGCCCTTGGCCAAGGCTGTCCCACCTGTGGTGCCAGGCAACTCCCTTCCTCTGGGGGCCTTGTGATGGGGGAGAGGCTGCCCGTCCAGCACCCACCCCTGCTTCTCACCGCCCACAGCACCCTAGCCTGAGAGGCCACAGCTTAAGAAAAGAGCTCTTTATTCCACGTCGTCCGATATTTTTACACAAGTAAAATAAAATGCATATCTCTATATACCGCGATCTGGGTGGGAGGCGGCGTTCTGGAACAAACGCTGCCGCCGAACCCTGTAAACATGATGGGGTGGAGATGGGGGTGGCGGGCGGCAGGCGTCCATCAGGGAGGACCTGGCCTGGCCTGCCCCACGGGTCGGCCGCCCGGCTGGCTTGGCGGCGTGGAGAGAGACCCCGTATGTACACACACCTGGCTGCTGAGCACGCTCTTGTGTCCGCTGGGGGTCAGCAGGGCCCAAGCACTGTCCACAGCACCAGCGCCAGGCCCAGGGGGGTGAGGCTGCAGGTGAGGCTGGGTAGGGCACCTGAGCCTTCTGAGTCACCAGTCCCGCCACCCCCGCTGCCTGCCTGGCCCAGACGGCAGTGGCTGCGGGTGCGGTTCTTGCGTGAACAGCCTGGCCTCCGGCGAGGGCCCGAGGTGGGGAACCCTGGTGGCTCGGAGCCCTCGGGCCGCACTGCAGTGAGCGGGGGCTCAGCAGAGCCAGGCAGAGTCCCAAAGGGTGAGTCATTGATGTGCCGTGGGCCAGAGCCGTTGCCCGGCGGGCTGTCACCGGGCGGCACGCGTCCCTTCAGCGCATTGCCTGCCGAAGCTGGTCTTCCAGGCTCCAGTACTGAGGCCTTGTCAGCGGCATCTGGCTGGCAGCACTTGGGAAGCCCCAGCGGCTCCTCATCGGTGGCCCTGCCGGTCCAGATGGGATGGTAAGGGCCGGTGGCCACAGCGCAGCCCTGCAGGTCATTGGCAGCTAGGCGTTTGAGGTCACGGCCAGCCAGGCGTTGCGGGAGGCTGCAGGGCACCTCGGAGGAGGAGCCGCGGAACTTCTGCAGCCAGGCCCAGAGTGGGCGTGCCCGGCAGTCACACACCCAGGGGTTGTCGTTGAGCCTCAGGTACTGCAGGGCACGCAGGGGGGCCAGGGCCTCAGTGGGCAGCGCTGATAGATTGTTGGCAAACAGATAGAGTGTCATGAGGCGGCCAAGGTCACGGAAGGCATGCGGGTGCACATGGGCCACGCGGTTCTGGTGCAGTAGGAGACGGTCGAGGCTGTGCAGCCCACGGAAGGCGCGCTCGGGCACGCTGGAGATGCGGTTGCCGTGCAGGAAGAGGTGTGTGAGGTTGCCCAGGTCGCGGAAGGTGTCATCAGGCAGTGCCTGCAGCGCGTTGTCCTGCAGGTAGAGGTACTGCAGGGCAGCCAGGCCGCGGAACAGCCCCGGGCCCAGCTCCTGCAGGCCGCAGCGGTCCAGGTGCAGCGTGTGTAGGCGGCCCAGGCCGTGGAATGTGGCAGGGTCCACAGACCGGAGCTGTGCATTATCGCTGAGGTCCAGCTGCTCCAGGAGGGCCAGGCCAGTGAAGGCAGCCGCATCAATTCGGGCCAGCACATTCGAGTGCAGCCACAGGATGGTGAGGTTGCGGCAGGCACGGAAGCTGGCAGCTGGCACATGCGAGATGCGGTTGCCGTGCAGGAAGATGCGCTGGCTGGCAGCAGGGATGCCCACGGGCACAGCCTGCAGGCCCTGCTGGGGGCAGCTTGTCGTCACCTTGGGCTCATTGTAGCATACGCAGGCACCTGGGCATGGGGCTGCCACCTGCCAGGCCTGCAGCCACAGCACCCATGCCAGCAGCCGGCTCCCTGTGGGCAGAAGACAGAGTGGTTAGCAGGAAGGGCAGGGGTACTGGAGAAGCTGGAGGTTTTGCTAGAGCCAGGTGGGCCCCGGAGATTGGGTCTCAGGAGGACCTGGGGCTGGGTCCAAGATGTGGCCACCACCCCCGGGAATCGCAGTGTTGGGATCCCTGCTTCACAGGCCTCATGGACGATGCTGGGCTAGAACATGCCTTGGAGCCATGCACTCCACCCTGGAAGCCACATCTGCAGACTCCCCATACCACACCCAGGAGCAGCCCACTGGGTCACCAGGGGCACTCACTTGAAGGCCTCCTGGAATGGACACTGGTGACTGCAGGTACCTCCTCAGGACTCCAGTGAACACAGAGCCCGCATTGCAGGAGTCCCCGGGGGGTCCCAGTGGGGGTTCCACCCACAGGGCCTAGGAAACACTGCAATGGGGCTGGGGTCCCTCTGGGCACGTCTATCTCAAAAACGGGCGCCTGGATGCCCGAGGGCGGGGGTGGAGGGCAAGTGTGTCCAGGGCTTAGGAGGAGTCGCGTCCCACAACCACCCAGGCAGCCTGCTCCCTCCTCCACACATCCTCCTTTCAAGCACTTCCTGACTTGGCAGGAACCCTCCTGAAGCCTCCGCCCCCTGGCCTCATTCTCTGCTCCATCTCCTCCCTGGGAGGAGTTCACTCCTCCCCAGCCAACCCCTGCAGTGCCAGCTGCCTGCACCCCTCCCACCCAGACGCCATCAGCAGGGATAGCCTCCCAGTGGGTTCTCCCCCAGCCCCAGGTGCCTGCAACCCCTCCTCCATTACAGGGCCAGATACACCTGGGGCTTCACCAAGGCCCTACATGGGCAGTAGTCCCTCCCGGGGTGCCGCATCCAGAGCTGGTCTCACCAGCGGGGTCACCCACTCCGGAGTAAGCTTTCCTGCCTCTCATTCCACCATTGAGCCCCCACCCCTTTGGAATGCTGAAGATTCTTTCTGCCTTCAGCAGTGAGTCTATTAAAATGTGAATCCCCCTGGGAAGGTTATGGCTTATCAGCTAACACTTGAGTTATCAGCTAACACCTGCGTTGACAGCTAACACCTTCCACGGCAGCTGGCTAAGAGCAGGATTCTGCAGACATGAGGCCGGCTAAGTGCTGGGGTTGGAGCCGGGCAGGAGGAAGGAGTGGACCACAGGCCAGCTTCCCCAACCTAGAACTGTGACCCTGGGGCCCTCCTACCCACATGGGGCCCCTGCCCCACTGGGTCCTCTCTACTTGGGCAGACAGTGCAGTCGCCCTAAACGCAGAGCCCAGCAAGCCCAGCACGCGCAGTGACCGCTGGGCATGTGCGTCCTCCCAGACTCAGGTTCATAGGTCCTCAGACCCCCTCCCCACAGCCTGGGGGCCTCCTCTGCCAAACCCCCTGCCCCAGGGCCATTTGTTGGCTACCAGGGAGATGGCAGCCCAGGGATGGGGGTCCGGAGGCCCCTCCCTGGGTGGGCTGGGTGAGGAAAGCACCTGGCCTCGTGTTCTGTTTAAACTGCGGACACCCTCTCTGCTCTCTTTCTACACACTCTTCCTAGGAAGGTGGGGCCTGACCATGTCAGCTCCCCACTGCTGTCTCACCTGCTGTCACCAGAGGGAAAACTGTGCTATGTAAATGGCACTTCCTGTCCTGGGGCCAGGTGGGGTGGAGGCCCCACATGCTCATGGGGCAGGGTCAGGACTCACTGCCACATTATCGACCACACCACACCACTGACTGTGGGGGTCACCAACTGAGCCTTGTCACCAACCATACCATGCGGCTGACTGCACCCACCAAGACTAGCCACCCATGGTGGCCACGCCCGCCACATTACCACTGAGCCATGCCACCATCCCACCACTGTCCTGTGGCTCCAGGCCCGAAGCTGTGGGCTGTGAGTCTGGCTGTGGTCAGGGCTCAGCTCACTCGCCTTGAACCGAGCCCTGTGCTCATGGATCTCCCTCCCGAAGCAGCTGTGTGTCCACTCTAAACATGCCCCCAGTGAGGTGCCAGAACTGAGCCACACGGTGGTGCGGGGTCGGGGGAGACAGGGGAGGACATGGGGGAGTGGCCACGTGGCGCTCAGTTCTGCCAGGAAGTGGGTATTGGGCGCAAAGACACGGCTCGGTTCCTGCCGAGACAACTGCTTTTCGTAAACCAACTTCTGAGAGTCGGGTGAGGTGGGCTCTCTCCTCGCTGCAGCCATGGTAATTGGCTCCAGCCTGGCCCCCCTTGGGGCCTGCCCGCTGGTCTCCATGGCAACCCCTCTGCTGAGCGAGCAGGAGGGGGCATCTTTTTATGAGATAATCAAACCCAACTTTGCAGCATGGGTTTGTCTTCACAGCCGGGGCCCTGGGATGAGGGAGACGCAGCCAGGTGGGGGGAGGGTGTCCTCTGACCCCATCCCAGGGGCCAGACTGGTGACTCACCAGCCTCCTCCCTGGCCCCATGGTGGACTGCAGCCCCTCCCCACCCCAAAAGACCTCCCTGGCCCGTGGCCCCTGACCTGTCCCCTGGGCTCTGCAGCCTCAAGGCCACAAGGCCTCTCTGGCCCTCTCGCCCACCTTTCTCTCTCCTCTATCTGCCTGGCCAACTCTAATAGGATGCTCTACTGTCCTTCTGGAGATAGCATGGCCTCCCTGCCTGCCATCACCCCACTTTCCACTCTCACCCAGTCTCACCCTGGCCCCAGTTCTCACGGAGCCTCCAGTATGAGCTCTGTCCTTCCTGCCCCTTGCACACGGGGTGAGCAACCAGCCCTGCCATGGCCCCAGCTCTCACAGAGAAACCATGGATAGCGTGCCTGTCCACCGTCCCCACCCAGGTTGGCCCTGCGGCCACCTGAGCCTGCGAGGGCCCCAGAGGGCTCTCCTCAGCCTCCAAGCTGCACACAAACTGGTACATCTGTGCCTCTCCCACCCTCCCAGGCCAATTAACATCTCTTCTTTCCTCCAGGGTCTCCTCCTGGGACCTCCCCGGAGGATGGCCCTGCTGGCTGTCAGGGCTGGGTCATAGCTAGGAGCTCCTGTCTCAGCCCAGGCCTGGCTCAGGAGCCACAGTCAGGGGAGGGCTGGCTCTCCTGCCTGGAAGGCTCTGAGCTTTCCCAGCGGGGACAGTGACCGGATACTGACCCAGAGCCTCTCCCTGCGGCAGCCAGACTGGGCAGGGTAGGACCCAGGATCACCAGGCTGAAGGCCCAGGAGGCTGGGCAGCAAACAGTCCAGGACGCATCCCCCTGACGGGAGCAACAGGCAGCCCAGGTGGGCACCTGCACCATCAGTTCTGGTGAGTGGAGGGCTGTTCACGTTCACTGCAGGAGGGAGTGTGGCGGGGGGAGGAGGAGGTGGGAGGAGAGCGAGGAGGGCAGGAGCAGAGGGGAGGGGTGGAGAAGGGGGATGGGGAGGTGGCGGTGGGAGGCTCTGGGGATATGCCCAGCCATTGGGCAGGCAGGCGGCTGCTGAGGTCAGCAGCTCACCCCAGCAGCCCAGGGAGCTGAGCCGAGCCGAGCAGGGATGGCCTTCTTCATGTGGTCCCTGGCCCCCACTGTTCCTGGGGCCCCGCCCACCTCCGTGCCCTCCCAAGCTTGGGCTGAAGTTCCACAGGGATGCCTTTGCCTCTGCCCAGCGATGCCAGGAGGCAGCACAGGGCAGGCAGCTGTGGAGGCGCCGAGCACCGGCTTTCATCCACGCACAGCTTGGTGCCCTCGGGCCCCAATGCCGCCCCTGGGCTGGGATCACCGGAGGGTCCCATCACCTGCTATAAAAAGTGAGACAGCAATACATTTACAGATTAGGAAACTGAGGCAGTGAGTGGTTAAGCCCTGCCCTGCTCCCACTCCAGACTACCCAGGTGGAGAGGCGGCCAAGGGAGACACTCACAGTGCTGCCCGGAGGGGCCACGAGGCATGTCCTGCCCAAGCAGGAAGGCTGGCGGCCTGGCTAGTAATGGGGGAGGGTGTGGAGGGGCTGGGCTGCAGGCCACGTGCAGAGGGGCAGGCAGCGCCCTCCTGTGTCATGGGTGGCCGGGAGGGGAATCTCCAGGGAGGCTCTGAGCTGCTGCTTCCCAGGGCTGGGGTAAGAGGCTGCAGAGGGCTGGGGCTGGGGGTGGGACCAGCTGTAGCACAGCCGGGACATCAGTCAGCTCAGGATCCTCTCGGACACCAGCCATGTCCCCGTCAGGCGGTCACGTCACAGACCACAGTTATGAGGCAGAACAGGAGGCCACAGCTCAGTGCACCAAGGCCAGAAATAGCTCCAGGCGGGGGTGGCGGGCCTATGTCATCCCCACACCACAGAGGGTCAGGGCACCCCTCCCACGCCTGCTCCCCACTCCTGGCCCTCCACCACTGACTCACTCCCCCCGCCCCCCACCCATCTGTCCCCCGATCCTCGCTTGCTTCTCACATGTACACCCACCCGCCATCCATCCTCAGGCCCACAGACACGTGCAGGGGCAGCCAGAATTCCCATGGTGTTTCCTGTGCCCTTCCAGGGCTCCAGGTGCTGCGGCAGGAGATTGGCAGCAGCTTCTGGTGGGGGCAGTCTGCCCTTGAGGGGTCCTGAGTCTCCTAGGGAAGTGAGTACCAGCCCCTGATGCCCTGGCCCTGGCCCCTGCTCCTTGTTGATCTTGGCTGCAGGGGCAGGGTAGGCAGACCAGGTCAATAACAGGCAAGGACACCTGCCATGGTGAGAGGTCACTGGACCCAGACTGAAGCAGCTCCAGGCCTAGCTAGCTACATGCTGTGGGGGAAACTGAGGCCCAGTGTGGGCAGAGCCTTCAGGACTGGCCTCCTGAGTGTGCCTAGTGCTTCCTCAGCCCCCTCGGCTCCACTCTTTGCCCTGGCCGGCAGGGCTCGTCCCTGCCCCGTGATGCTGGGCTCACCAGAGACAACGAGATGTAGGTAGGTCCAGGGCCAGCAGGCCAGGCCAGAGGCTGGGCCCTTCAATCCAGCAAATTCTCTTGGAGGGGGTGTCAAGTTTATTGACCCATTTTACAAATGAGGAACATAAGAACTGGTGTGGGTATAATCAATAGCAAACACAATCCAAGGTCAAATCCAACCATATGCTACTTACAAGAAACATGCCTAAAAGTACACAAAATCTTGCAATTAAAGATATTATCAGAAAAATAATAACAAGTAAAGCAGGAGAAGCCACAGCCCCAGGGCTAGCGGGCTTCCCAGTCTCATGGCCCCAGGGGTGCGAAAAGGTCTTGCTGGGCAGTAAAGGCTCAGCCACCCCCGCTCCTAACCTGAGCTCCACAGTCCTGTTTCCAGCCAGCAGGGCACCTGAGAGGGTACACCTTTCAAGTCACAGACACTGAAGCTAGCAGAGGATGGCCTGGCCCAGGTGAGAGCTGGCAGCCCTGGATGGCACCCTCACCCCAAGGACACATCAACGTGGGCCACACCGTGCAGGATCATCCACTCGCTTGGCCCTCCCTCCGTACCTTGGCAAGGTGTGAAGTGGCCCCTGTCCCAGGTGCTGTGCTGAGTGCCGCCCATACAAGACCAGGCCGAGGAGCCGGGTCCCAGGCACTCACGGTCCAGGGCCAGCTGACCACGGGCAGCCACCCTGCTGCATGGCAGGTGCCCTATGGGAGAGTTAGGAGCCACAGAGGCCTGAGCCAGCCCCAGGCAGCATGAGGATGTTGGCAGGAGCCCAGGAGCCCACTACCAGCCAAAGGGTCTTGGCAGAGCCCCAAGTGGGCAGGATCCTTGGCCTAGCACCTAGGCCTCGAGGATTCATCTTTGGTCAATGCTGGGCTGCCTGCGTGGAGGGCTCCAGAACCTTGCCCCATCCAGCCCATACACCCCTCACTGGAGGTGCACCCTCCTCGGCTCCCACCCCAGTGAGCCCCACACTGGGGGCCCCTGGAGGCTCTGCCCAGTGGAGGCCTCGCCCAGCCCAGGGCACAGCCAGTGCCCCCTTGCCCCACAGGAGGCTTGAGCCCACCTGCTCCTCCATGCTCCACCAGGAGCCAACAAACACCTGCTGCCTAATTATCTGGAGAATCCTGTCTCCACCAAGGGCTCATCTTGGTCCTGCAGCTAATTCAATCCAGCAGCCAGAGCAAGCTGAGTCCCCAGAGGACACTAATGAGCAAGTGACCGGTGGCCGGCCTGCTCCCACCCTGGGGACGCACTCTGAGCCAGGTCTGGGCCCAGCACTGCCATACACCTGCCTCCCATGCCCATCTGCCTGCCTGACCCTGCCCGCTACCTGGTGCCTAGCCCTGCAGGGCCCACATCCACTCCCATGGGCTAGCATCCAGACCTAAGCCCCAGCCCTCCCACACTCCCCCAGGACCCTGGATCTGCTGCATGCACAAGGCTGACCACTGCCTGTGAGCCCAGAGTGTCGGCCTTGACAGGGCAGGAGGAAGTACAAGAGCACATGCTCAGGGTGCACGAGCCAGGAGCACAGACTCAGTGCATGCAATGGGACCCCTGGGGGTGCACACGATAGGCGTGCATACCGGAAACACACAATAAGAGCCCCCAGGGCTGGTCAGGGCTCAGGCAGAGTCCACTGAGCAGTAGAGGGTTGCTGGGATGCGAGCCCCTCCCAGGAGCCAGGGCCCGGCTGGAGGGTCTGCATGCCGCTGCGGCAGAGGAAGATGTGTAGGCACATCCCCATGTGTTCTCTTGCCCTCAGCATTTGTAAAACATGATCAACCAGGCAGGCGAGCGGCCTCTGTCCGAGCAGAATTTATTCTGCTGTGAAAAGACACGTGTGGGTCCTGAGGCTCTTGCCGGCTTGTTCTCAGCAGCCTTGGATCAGCCTCAGTCAGCAGAACAGCAGCTGGACAGGCTCCCATTGGAGCCATCCCAGGGACTGCCCAGCCCTTCACATTAGAAACTGAGCTGGGGGCAGCAGCTGGCCCACGGCACATAAGCAGTGCCTGCTAAGACCACAGAGAAGCTCAGCCAGGCAGGGCCAGTGGGATCCAGCACTCCCCAGGGGATGAGGAATCTAAGAGGCAGGAGAGGATCCTCCTCAGCCTGGGATGTTCCCATTGGAATTCCCCCAGCCAAGGCCAGAGCTCCGTGTCCGGGGGCCAGAGTGGAACCCTTGTCAGAGCCGACAGGCCTTGGCCTCCTATTCTACTGGCACCTGGCAAACTGGCCCAAGGGCTGGCTGCTGCTTCTGTAAAGGATGTGCTATTGGCAGCCAGCCACACCTATGTGTTCACGCATTGTCCATGGCTGCTTTCCCGCAACAACAGCAGAGCTGAGTTGTTATGACACACTGTGTGGCCCACAAAGCTGGAATTATTTAGTATCACACCATTCACACAAACAGTTTGCCGACCTGGTTTGTGAGCAAGCCGAGTGTGGGTGCTGCCACCTTCACCCTCACAATGGCCCCAGCAGTTCACTCAGACCCCCACTAATGAAAAGGAAACCAAGGGTCAGAGAAGACCACGGTCCTGCTGAAGTCACATAGCCAGGTGAACAGAGCCCAGCAACCTCAGTGCAGGCTCAGCTCTGTGGAGACCTGGGCAAGGTCAGCATCTCACGGAGGCCTAGGGTGAGGGGTTCTAGGCAAGAAAGAGACTCAGAAATACTGAAATACTCTGCAGGTCAAAACAGAAATGATCATTTTTCTAAAGAGGCTGTCAGGAGTCTCACAGTCAAATATGCATAAAATAGGACAACCTAACACAAATAAGTTGGGAGGGGTGGCTCACACCTCAGCCTCCTGAGTAGCTGGGATTACACACACACACATGCATGCACACACACACACACACATACACACAAAGAGAACAAAATGGTTGTAAGGAGAGGGGGACAGCAGAGGAAGTGCTGAATGACACAGTCCGGCTTCGGAGGAAAGGACTTGGGTGGCACTTCAGAGGAGACAAATCCAGTGCAGGTAGTTTTGAAGAGGGCAGCCGTTTAACTGAGGTAGGGGGTCTCTGGGGACAGGGCCCCTCCATGCCAGTCCACCCACCTTGGAACCCTGCAGAGGCTGGGCCGAGGCCTCTCCCTGCACCTTGTATCAGGGACTCTGGCCAGGTCACACCAAGGTGGCTTATGACCCATTAACATCAAGCTGCCTCCCTGGGCTGGACAGGGCCTGGAAAGAGGTGACCTGGGCAGATCCGTGTCGATGTACTTCCCAGGACATCAGGATTCCAGCCTCTGCTAAAGGGATCTTCACAGTTAATAACAAAGAAATATTAAAGATGAGAACACTTGGTGCAGGAAACAAGAGAGGAAAGGGAGTGCGGTCCCTCCTTGCAAACAGGATGCCCTGGACCACCCTCCACGGCCTCAGGCCTGGATGCTCCTGCAGACCCATAGCCAAGATTGTGAAGGAAAAGTAGGCTGTGGAGGCATTTTCTGTCCTTGTTATCATCATTGTAAACATACTCATCATCACCATCACCATCCTCATCACCATCACCACCACTATCACCACCATAATCATCAGCAGCAGCATCATCACCATCATCACCACCACTATCATCATTACCATCCTCATTACCATCACTATCACCACCATCATCTTCATCACCATCCTCATCACCATCACCATCCTCAACACCATCCTCAACACCATCATCACCATCACTATCATCATCACCATCACCATCCTCAACACCATCATCACCATCACTATCACCACCACTATCATCCTCATCACCATCCTCATCACCATCACCAGCCTCAACACCATCATCACCAACACTATCACCATCATTATCATCATCACCATCCTCATCACCCTCACCATCCTCATCACCATCATCACTATCACTATCACCACCATCATCATCACCACTATCCTTATCACCATCATCATCCCCAGGCGACCAGAGCAGCACCATCCTTATCCTCATCACTATCACCATCACCATCACCATCATCACCATCCTCATCCTCATCACCATCATCCCATCACTATCATCACCATCCTCATCACAATCACTATCATCACCATCACCATCCTCATCATCACCATCGTCCTCATCACCATCACCGCCATCAGCATCCTCATCACTATCATCATCACCATCCTCATCCCTGTCACCATCATCGTCTTCATCATCATCACCGTCATCATCACTATCATCACACCAGCTCTGTGCAAGGCCCTTAGATAAAGGGCAGCCTGGGGCTGACCTCACACAAGGATAGGAAGCCCCAGGTGAGCAATGGGTCAGTACTGGGTCGACACCAGATATCCCTGGGCAGAGGCCCTGGCCCAAGGATGGGGAAGGGAAGAGGACAAGGGATGGGGAGTAAGAAATGAGGGCCCCTCGCCTCCCTGGGACAGCCCAAGGTGCAGCCTTTCCTCATTCCTGGAGGTTTCAGGATATCCCTGTGCTGCATCCTCCCATTGTACGGTGAGGGGGTGACTGCCAACCCACTCCTCAGATGAGGCACTGACTGAGGCAAGTGCCTTGCTGGCCACCTTGCAAGGCCAGGAGACAGTGCACACAATCTGGACTCCAAGATCTCTGCCCACCCCCATCTTCATCACCACTATCCTTATCACCATCATCATCCCCAGGCGACCAGAGCAGACCCTGAGCCCCAGGGATGACACAGCAGGGAGGGGCAGCCACTCTGGGCTCCCCAGTCCCCCATGGCACCTCAACCTCAGCCCAGGAGGCTGCCCTCCCAGGGATGGCTGAAAGTGGGCCCTGGGGTCTTGCAGCCCTGGGCTCAGATGTAGCCTCTGCACCCCCTCACAGAGTAGGCAGAGAATCTGCCAGCCCCCTCCAAATCTGTCCCCACACCAGTGATGTGAGGACAATGAGAGGCCAGCACCTACCTCCCCCCAGGACCCCAAAGAAACCCCACCCAGGCCCCCACCCAGCATCCTGCCTCCCCAGAGGCCTGCCAATGTGACCTGGGTCAGCCTCGTCTCAGGTGAGGAGTCCAGGGAGGCAAGGTACAGCTCACAGCGTCCCAGAGCCACACGGACCCCTCTGCTCCAGCGGTCTTGCAAGGCCACTCTGGCCTGGCCTGGCAGTAGCCCTGCTTTATTGAGGAGATATGGCAGGCAGGATCCTGGCTGCATCTGGGCTGGAAGAGGGGGCAGCAGCCAGGCTGTGCTACAAACCCACCTGGAGCCACTTCCTCGCTGCTTCTGCCCATCTCAGCCTCAGCAGAGAAAGAAGGCTTGAGGACAGGCCTGGTGCAGCCTGACTCATCTCATGAGAGACCCGGCCTGTGCTCAGAGTCGAGTTGCTGTGGCTTCTCATGCAACACTGATGGTCCCCCTCCCCTGCTCACCCACCATGTGTTAGACACGGGGATCTGCATGAAAGACACGTGTTCCTCCCCTTCCAGAGACCCACCGAAATGAGGGTGATGCAGAGTGAGGAGTGGGGAGCACAGTGGCAGGCTGCTCCCCTGGAGAAACACCCAGAGAAAGGGGTTCCACCACTGGTATCCAGGAGCACCCAGGGCCGATGGGCAGAAGAAAAGCTCCATCTCAGCAGAGCAGCCAACCAGCTTCCCTCATAAAAGTGACCAGAAAACCAGTGACCACCAGGCATCCGGAAAACATATCAATGCAGAAAAAGAGGGAGAATGATGCTAGAGGAAGCCGACAGTGTGGGAAAAAGACAAAAATTAGGAGAAACATCTAATTTGTGTCTTCCTAGGCATAGATGGGGATTTAAAACAAGAACAGGCTGCTATGAACAAGGAGGCATCAGACAAAAAGAAAGAGTGCCTGGAAATTAAAAATAGAATCACTAAAATTAAAAAAAAAATCAATACAAGTGTTAGAAAACAAGGTCAAAGAAATCTTCCAGAAAGAAAAACAAAGGAGAAAGACAAATGAATGAGATTTGGGAGACAAATATAGGTTGAACATCCAAGGGGAGTTCCAGAAGAGAAAACAAAAAAACTGAGAAAAGCTAGCAAAGAAACAATACCAGAAAACTTCCCAAAGCTGAGTACCCAGTCCTCCACTGGGCATTCACAGTGCACTTTCAGGCCCCCAGGGGTCAAGGGAAGTCTGAAGCTCCAGGAGGAGAAGCTGGTCACAAAGAGGCAACACGAAGCCATGAGCAGCAGTGCACGCCGGTAATCCCAGCACTTTGGGAGACTGAGGTGGGAGGACTGCTTGAGGCCAGGAGTTTGAGACCAGCCTGGGTAACACAGTAAGACCCTGTCTCTACAAAAAATTAAAAAGTTAGCCGGGTGTGGTGATGCATGCCTGTAATCCCAGCTACTTGGGAGGTTGAGGTGGAAGGATTGCTTGAGCCCAGAAGTTTGAGGCTGCAGTGAGCCATGATCATGCCACTGCACTCCAGCCTGGGTGACAGAGTGAGACTTTCTCCAAAAAAACACACAACAAAGAAGATGCACTATGGTATTGGCCTCCTTCATAGCACACTAGATGCCAGGAAACAACAACACTGCAACAGCTTCATAGCTCTGAGGGGAAACTAATTTCAACATGGAATTCTAGACCGAAACAATCCAGCTTGAACATACTTGTAAATACAGGAAGACTTCCGGAATGATTCTTCACCATATCTTCTTTAGAGAGTGAGTCAGGCTTATGTTTCAGCCAAAATGAGGTGCAAACCCAGAAAGAGGAAAACGTGGGGCCCAGGAAGCATTAACTGAAATTTCAACAGGTGGTAAAGGGAAGTTATGGGGCAGCAGGACAAGTGCTTGGGGTGAATCTTTATCCAGGGAAAAAAATGAGACCCCAATAGAAGCCCTGATGTGGGGAAGAGTAAGCCCATGAGGGTGGTGGATGGGTAAAAAACATCAACTGTAAGCCCCAAGGAAAACAAAAGGCCATGAAAGAGAAGGAAGGTCACCCATCCCACGGCAGGATTGAGAAGAACATTTATGGGACCTGGGTTGGGAAACACTGGCTGTGAATTTAACTGATGGCAGCGAGACAGCCATGCTGGGGAGTGTGCTGGAGGAGACAGAGCTGGAGTAGAAGCTGAGGAAATGTGGCGGCAACCACTGGCAAAGCCAGGGAACAGAGGCGACAGTGGCTGCCTCCCAGGAGGACGCGGGGCAGGGGCAGATTGAGCCCATTCTCCAGACCAGCCTCCGAGGCTGGGTGCAGGTGTTAACTCTGCAATATGTTGTTGACCGAATGTTATTATTTTTTAAAACAACTGCATATGTGGCACTAAAATCTCAGAAAACAGATAAATAAAAAGAAAAAAAAGAAAGTGTATCTTCCAGAAGGTGGAGACAAATGTAGGTTAGAAGCAGGTGTCTCCAAGGTGCAGGAGGAGAGCGAGGGACAGTGAGAGCTCAAGAGCACCTGGACATACAGCCCCAGGGCAGCTGGCATCTGGCCAGGGAGGATCCACATGCTGCTTTTTGGTCCCCTGCTCGGCCAAGGGTGGCTGAGGATACATCTGGGTCTCCCAGGACACTATGGGCTCTTGGCCCCAGAGACTCTGCAATCCAGACACCCGAAGGGGCAGCTTCTGGCCTAAAAGCCCAACTCTGTGCTTGGGCCTTCCCTGCAGGCCAGGCAGCTGCTTCCCTGAACCAGCCTCAGAGTTCCTGCCTGCCCACCCAGCCCAGCCCTCACACTGTGATGAAGCCCCACCCCTGGATTCCCCTTACCCCTGCCCGCTCCTGTCCCCTCCTTGTCACAGATCTGAGCCCCCCACTCCAGGCTGGGGCCCCTCAGGAGCCGGGGGTAGGGGTGTGCGGTCAACACCCAGCAGGGGTCGCCTAGCACTGGGGTGGGTGTGCAGCCCCCAGCCTCCTTTCTGACCGTGCACACGGGCTTCTCTCAGCTGCTATGAGAGCCCCCAATGCGTCTCCACAACCAAACCGAGGCACGCACGCAGCGGCGACGTGAATAAGTAATTGCTCTTTTATTAACAAGTGATAAATTATTCCTATATGATTGTGTGTGATAACTCTTCCTTATTTGAAATCAATTTGGGATGGAAACTGTTGTCGGCTTCTCATCCACGAGGGTGGGAGGCCCAGGTGCCGCTGCCTCTTGGAAAACGAGGTCAGTGTATTTCAGCTACTTCCTGAGGCTGATGCGCCGCCCCACTGCGCAGGGCCAGTGGAAGGGGGTCAGCTGCCCTCCGGGAGGCGGGGCAGTCCGGCCTTATTTCCTCAGCATCTCTGTCTGGGACCCACGCCACTGAGCCCAGGGCACAGAGGGGTCCCTCAAGTCCAAGGCCACACTGGGCGTCACCACAGGGTCATCAGGGGTCAGGGGGCCATGCACAGGCCATACTGCATTCATCCCCCCATGTAAGCCCCAAAGACTGGGCAGCCTGACCTTTCATCCCACAGAGGACACTCCAGCACCCAGCTGGTCTCCTGGCCTGCCCGGGCCACCCCACGGTGGCTTCTCAAACCTGCAAAGGCATAAGCCATTCTCCTAAAATTGTCCTGATGATTTTACAACAGCCCTGGCCCCATCCCCTTTTCTTCCTCCCCCAGCCTCACAGAGGAGGGTTCAGGGACTCAGCCTGTTCAGGGCAGCCCCTGGGCCAGGCCTCAGCACCTCTTCTGTTAATGCATATTTAAAACCTTGCAACCCACCGGGCAGCCAGCCAGCCGGTGCCTCCCTCCCAGGCCAGGCCTGCAGGAAGCCATGCCCCGTCCCGCTCACTCCTCCACTGGCTGCTTCTCCGACCCCGATCATGGCTGCAGCAGGCCTGGAGGCCCGGTCACCCCCAGGCCCAGTCACATGGCCCTACTCAGGCACCACCTGTGCTTCTTGGCTGGGTTTCTCATCTGAGAAATGGGAAGGCTGGGTCTGGGTGAGGCACTTCTGTGGGCCCACTCCCACGGTCTCCTTGACACCCCTCCACCTTCTGCCCACTGCCAGGGTGCCCATTCCACTCCACACCTCGCTGGCCCACTTAGCAGGCTTCTGTGTAGCTTGTTTCTGTCGGTTGAGGCACCCTGGGCTTTGGGCTCCACAGGGGCTGGTGACCCGCATACAGGAGGTGCTCCATAAATGTTAGTCATGTGAATGCACTAAATGCTCACCACTAAGGGCAAGTGGCAGGCTTTGTGCAGCTATAGAGACAGCATTCCCCAGGATGTCCAGCCCTGGGAGAGAGCCTTGGCCCACAGCCCATGAGGCAACGGATGTTCCTGGGTTGGGGGCATGGCTCCAGCACCCCAGTGCCAAGGGCACGGTCTCTAAGTAGCAACATGGATAGCTTTACTTCTGTTACAGCTCCATGTCTGCGTCTCCCCCAGATTCACGTGTCGAAGCCCTAACCCCCAGTGTGATGGTATTTGGAGGCGGGGCCTTTGGGAGGTGATTACGGTTAGATAAGGTCACAAGGCTGGGGCCCTCACCATGGCATTAGTGGCCTGGAAGAGAAAGAGACCTCAGAGAGTACATGCCCTCCTCTCTCTCCACCCTTCCATCCCCTACCACGTGAGGGCACGGTAAGGAGGTGGCTACCTGCAAGCCAGGAAGGGAACTTCCACCAGAACCAGCCCATGCTGGCACCCTGATCTCAGACTTCCAGCCTCCAGAACTGTCAGGAAATGTGCTTCCGTTGTTTAGGACACCTTGTCTATCGTATTTTGTCATGGCAGCTTGATCAGACTAATACAACTTCTTTCTTAAAACTTTGGTGTATTTTTCCAGATTTTCTACAATGAACATGACCTCATAAAATCAAGAGTGTTTTTCGTTTGTTCTGTTTGGTCTTATGCTGACACTGGGCCAGGTGGAAGGGTGGGTGAGTCCGTCTTGCAGGTGGCAGGAGCCCCCTCCATGAGCCCCCACACCCCAGGGTCCCTGCCCAACGTGATCGGCCCTGCAGGGCAGTCCTGGAACCAGTTCAGGGCTTGGGGCCCTGGCTCTGCCTAGGGAGGTCTCAGGCAGGCCCCCCAACGTCTCAGAACTGCTTCCCTCAGTTGGAAATGGAGATAATAAGGCCCACCTCATGGCACCCACAAAGAATGGGGCAGCCTGCACCTGGCCTCTCCCTGGAGGACCTTCTCACATCACCCCCGGAGGGACCACCATCCCCACCCCACAGAGGAGAAAGCCCAGCTCCAAGGCCAAGTTGCAGCCAGGAAGTGCTCTGCTGGCATCCTACCTGGCCCTGACGCCAGGCCTGAAGCCAGCACCACCCGGGGCTCTGTTGCTCCAAGGCCATTGCCCCTGCTGGCGTTTGCTCAAGGAGCTCCCCCTCCAGAATGCCCTGCCCTATTCCCAGACACACTTCCTCTGGGGGGCTCTTCTCCCCCAGCCCCACCCCTGCCACCCCTAAGGAGGCTGGCCCCTTCCCAATCCCTTCCTCGTCTGCACCACTGCCTTGCCCAAGGTGTCCATCCTCAGACCCAATGGGGCCACCATGGGAGCCCGGCTGGGTAATGGCCCATAAGCTCCTGCCCATGGAGTACTCAGGCAGGGAGGGGCACAAGCTTGGCTGAGCATGAGTGACAGGCTGGGTGGGTCTCAACCTCACCCTGGGCCTGGGGTAGCCCCTTGCAAGTGAGGATGTTGAACACGGTGGACCCCCAGGCAGAAAGTGAGCCACGGGGGGCTATGCAGGACTGCAGCCCTCCCCTCCCCTCAATTCACTGGTGAGTAGCCTGCTACTCCCCTGGCTCCCAGGGCAGGGCCCTCATCACCTCGAGACCCAGAAGCAGTGATGGAGACCGTCCTGCAACATCAAGCTCCCTGTGATCTGGGGGCCAGGGGATCCTGAGTACCCTGCCTCCTGGAGTGCTCTGCCTGCAGGGGGCAGTAGCAGCACCTTCAGGTGGGGTGGTTGGGGTGGCTTCCCGGAGGAAGTGATAACTCAGCTAGGAGTGGGGCGTGGGGGTGGTCCTGACATGTACCAAGGCTGGGGGTCAAGTGTGCACTGTCTCTCAGCCAGGAGGGTGGAGGCGCTGGACCAAGGCTGGGGGTCAAGTGTGCACCGTCTCTCAGCCAGGAGGGTAGAGGCACTGGACCACTGGGGCCTCAGGTGTCCAGGTCACTTGTCCCTGGAGTCCCTGGCTATGACAGAGGCCCTGGTGGGCAGCTCGGGGTTGGGGACAGGCCAAGGCATAGGGGAGGGCACAAAGGGAGGTTGGTGCCCCACCCATCACCCATCATCCGCCTCAGGCCACCCCAGGGGACCGGCCTCCGCTCCGGCAGCGGGTGAAGAATGGACTCCATTAGGGCCGCCATCTGTCTCAGCCATGACGGGTCCTCGCGGTGACATCCGGGAGGTATGTAGATGGAATATCTTTATGGGGAGAGTTTTTCTTTTGCCAGTTTTCAAATAGGAAGCCAGACACTTGTCACACCTGTCCCTGTGTCAGCCTCTGCCTGACATAAATTGGGGCCGAGGCAGGGAGATGAAAGACAGCCTGGAGGCAGCCGGGTGCGCAGGGCCCATGTGTCAGGCCGAGGGAGCACCAGAGCTGCAGGCAGCCTCCTGCTGGGGCCAAGGAGAGCTCGCCCCGCAGTCCACCTCCGCAGCCTCTGCCCCTCCCTCCACTCCCCTCTGGACCCACAAGTTCTTCACCTGCCCTCCCCCAACCCAGAGCCCTCCAAGCATCTCACCCGGGCAGTGGCCTGTCCTGCAGCCACTGGGCTTCTGTTAGGGGACACTGGAGCCTCCTCAGCCCCCAGGCCAGCAGCTCCAGCTCCTCTTCCAGACCTGGGGCCAGTGTGGCTTTCATGAGCGGTCAATGTGGGAGGCTCAGAGTCCTCAACCTCACCCCCGCTGCCACTCCTAGGGACCTTGTGGGCTTCAGCATGTTTCCCTGGAATCTGGGGGACTTGGGGGTAGAGCATGTCAAGAACCTCAAGGTCCCTGCCGCCCAGCATGGGACTATCTTAGAACTGATGCCAGGAAGAATTTGCTAAGAGAATGAAGGGAGAAGCAAGTGACCCCTGTGGGCCTCCCCTGCATCGGGGACTGGACCAGGGCCCACTGGGAGTGCATCTTGGTGCCTGAAACTGCACCAAGGATGAGGAGGGGAGGACCCTCCCCAGGGGACACTTGGGGTTCACCTGGCAGGCCACACTCAAGTCCACAGTCCCCCATGGCCCCAGCGGGTGGGGCAGGGGACGCACCCAGCTGAGGGAACTGTGGCAGTCCTGCTGTTGTCTCACGTGGCCCTAGGGGGCTCATCTGTAGCCCCCACGGGAGCCCCAAGAAGCCAATCCCTGCTGGGCTCATGGGCTACCACCTCATACAGCCCCATCCCTCGGGAGGCCCTGAGGAGACCCTGGGGCTGGGCAGGGCGTGACCGGCCAGCTCCATGCTTCCTGACAAGGGGGCCTGGATGTCCAGGGAGAGCCAGGAGGGAAGCGGAGACTCAAGTGGAGAGTGTGTGGGAGGGAACGTTGCTGGGCTCCACAAAGGAGGGGGCACCAGGGCTGACTCCCAGGTTCCTGGTGGCATGCGTGGAGGCAGGTGGGGCCAGGAGCACCAGCGCAGCACATCCTGCGTGACCTTGGGCCAGCTCCTCAGCCCTCCCTCGACAGCCGTGCTGGTAGCTGGCCAGGCCCGGGTGAGTGAGTTCCCCAGGTAGGTGGAAGGGGCTTCTGGGGTAGGGGCCACGCCCGGGGGCAGGTGGCCCACCCTCCCAATACCCAGTCCCACCCCGCCCTACCACAACTGAGGACTCTGCCCAAGGACCAGTCAGGGACGAGGCATCCTCTCCAACTGCACTGCAAGGCCAGCACAAGTGAAGGGCGGGACAGAAGCCTCCACACAACAAAGGCAGAGGACCCCATACTTCTCTCTGAGTCAGTGCAGAGGTCCTGCGGCAGAGCTCCTGCTGGAACCCAAACTGCGCCGTAGGCTCCTCACTGAGAACTAGGGACTTCTCCACATGCACCCAGCCTCCCCTCCGGACTCCACAGCTGCTAGCCCTGCCCGGACCCTGTGCACCCCACTCCCACCCCGTCATAGCCTCTCAGCCCCACTGTCATTTGGGCTCCCCTGGCATGAACTAACGTGTCTCTCAGGATGTCCTACGAGGACCCTCACGGCAGAAGGACCGATGGGGAGGAGTGGCCCCAGAGAGCAGTTCCTTCTCTGTACCCACCAGGGTTCAGCAGAGGCTCCTGCTCCAGGCAGTACAGTGGGGCCCACATGCCCATCCTCACTGGCCACATGGGCTGGTCAGAGTCCAGCCTGGATCCCCCCAGGGCAGGACAGGACAGGTAAGAAGGGCTGAAAACCTGGGAGGCCTCCAGGAGGTGAGGGACCTGCCACCCCTTCCCACAAGGCCCTAAGGCCCCAATCACTAGTCTCGATTTCCACAGCTAGTTTAGTCCAGGCCAGGAAAGGGCGTGCAAGGGGCCTGGCCTGGAAGAAGGGGTCCCTGGAGCCAGGTGCACCAGGAGCCTCCAGCTTGCCCAAATCAAGCTGCCACTATGGCCGGGTCCTGTGGGCAGTGCTCACTCACCACCGCTCCAGCTTCACGATAGCCACGTGCGGACAGGGAGGCTCAGAGGGTAGGTGGCTCCCCGGGGGAAACAGAGCAACCCTTGTGCAGCCGGCTGGGCCAACTGATCTGCACCTAACAGCCAGTCTTGAAGGCCACCAACCCTGGGGTCTCCCGGAGCTGACCCAGGGACAGAAGGGCACCAGGCACTGCCCACAAAGGTGCAACTGATCCTCCTCACCGGCGCCTGGGCCCTCCCTCCCTGCCAGTGTGGCTGTCCCACCCTTCATGGCTTTCTGCATCCTCAAGCTAGGCCTGGGCTCTTCAAGTGGAGAGGGGTAGGCAGACACAGGTGCCAGGCACTGGGAACTAGGGACGGGGGCTTCCCTGGTGAGGATGGAAAAGAAGGTTCCTACATGAGACCCTCTAGCCCAGGCCCTGAGAACGAAGGGGCCAAAGCTTCACCTAGGGGCAGCCATGGGGGAGTTTAGGCAGGCAGTGCCTGGCTGGAAACATGTCTTAGGGAAGCACTTGAATCCCGGGGTGGGGAACAAGATGGTAGGCAGGGAGCCGGGGCCGGCTGTGGCCACAGGCCGGGGACAGAGGCCAGGTCTGAGGATGGCCCTCAGTGAGGAGTAAAGGGGATGGACCGGGAGACAGGGTGCAGGTTTGACACTGATTTTGCCTTTGGGGATGGGTCGAGGGAAGAGGCTGAGACTCTGGGCTTGGACGTTGGGTACGGAGGATGTGACACTAGCAGACAGGCTGGATCTGGAGGCCCAAGGTGTGTAGTGTGGGGAGCTGTGTGTGCAGGAGAGATGCAGGGCACTAGGGAGCCTGAACCCCTGCTCCAGTGCACAGGCCGGGCACACGGCAGGGAGGAGGCAGTCACCATTCCCTCACTTGCCGGGACCTGGGAGGCAGGGCAGAGTGGGTGATGGGCCAGGCTGGGGCCTTGGAATGACATCTGGCATGTGGCAGCGGAGGGGGGACATGTAACTGGGGACTGTGGACTCCCAGCTGGAATCCACCTCCACCTTCCACATCCACGCACTGCATTTTGGTCTTTACTGAGCACCTGCTGTGTGCAGGGGCTGCTCTAGCCCCTGGGACCACCAAGGGCCAGCCCTCCACAACCCCAGACCTGCACTCAGCCCCCACCCACTTCCTCCAGAGCCCCACACCCCACACACTGAGGACTCTAGGCATTTTCCCACTCTTGAAGACACTGAGCTGGGAACACCACCTCTGGCTACCAGCCGTGGACTGCAGAGAGGCCTACGGTGACCAGGAAGGGTGGAGCTGCCCAAGGTCACACAGCAAGCCAGCACTGCACAAGCTTACCCATGGCTGCCCAGCCTTGGGGAATGGGGGACTTCTGGCATGTCCCCGAGCTGGGCCCTGGCAGAAGGCAAATAAAGGCAACATCTCAACAAGGTTGTGATAGCCGGGGATCCAGGCAAGCAAGGGACAATCCAGGAAGGCTCCCAGGAGGAGGTGAGGGGCCTGGAGCCCACCCTGGCCTGAGCCCCTCCTTGGCACTCCAGCCTGCCTAGCCCTGCCCCCTTCCTTGACGGGCCCCTCACCCAGCCTCAGCCTTGGCCTGACATTTCCCGTGACATTTGCTGCAAAGAAATAGAGTCATAAATCCAAAGGTTAAATTTGCACATCGCCTCAAATTGCTGGGAGAAGCAGTGGTCCCTCCACCCACTGGGCGCCCCGTGGGTGCGGGGTTTGTGTGGCAGGGTCTACCCATCCCAGGGCCCTTGCTGGAGGCCCACAGGTCTCCTCCTCTGGTCCTCCGGGGCACTTCAACCACTGTTTCCCAAAACAGGTTCCTGGGCACACCAGGCCCTGAGGTACATCGCATAGGGGTGCCTCTCAGAGAAGGTGCTGCCCACCCCTCTCCAAAACAGGGCCCAAGACGCCCTGCGGGAAAGGAGCACCATCAGCACCATTTATTCCAGCAGGTCCCACATTTGACCACAAAGCCCTTATGTGATACCCCCAACATTCCAAAGAATTTCAACTCCATGGACCGTGACCCGTGACAGCCAGCTAAGAATGCCAGGGTGCTGACTGGAGAGCCAAGAGGCACCCGGGGGCCCAGGGCAGGCTGCTCTGAGTGAGGCTGGGTCAGCACCCGACACCTCACTCCCAGATCAGCCCAGCTCCATGTGCCAGGGCCCTGAATGGGGCTTTCCACCTGCCAGGCCTGTGTAGACCTACATGGGGACCCTGGCCTGTGCCCACTCAGCCCCTCCTAAGGCCACTCTCGAGGTGTGCCAACTGCCCTGCCTTTCTTCTCCACCTCCTGGTCTGGCTGCTGTGGGTTGCCTCCATCGGACAGGACACAGCTGCGGAACAGTGTCAGCATCACCCCATGCCCCGCTGCCCTGCTGCCCCGCAGAAGAGGCCCCGCAGGCCATAGCAGGCAAGACCAGAGGCTGTATGAAAGAGGCAGGGGAGAGGTGGCCCCAAGGCACCCACTGCACAAATGGCTGCCCAGACTCTACTCACTCACCATCACCTACCCGGCCAGCCCACGGTTGTCAAAGCCTCAGTGGGCTAGGAGGGGCAGGATCTGGCCCTGCTGCCGAGTCCCCTGAAATCAGCCCAAGCATCGGGGGAGAGGCACGTGACCAGACCCCAGACCTGGTGGGTGCCAGCTGAGGACATGGTGGGGTGGGTGTGCAGAGCTGCATCTCCCAGTGTCCAGCTCCACGGCTGCAGGCAGTGCAGGAGGCCGGTGCAGGTTTGGATAAATAAATGATGGTGCATTCTCAGGAAGGGATTCCACACACACCAGAAAACCCATGATGCACAAGAATAGTTCCCGATGTGCAAAATGTTTAAAATACAGCGATAAAAGAAGAAACGGCAGCACAGAACACCTGGTGTGGGGGAGCCCAGCTGGGCCCCAGGGACAGTGCAGGGAGATTTGTGGGGTGGGGCAGCATGCCCGCCGCTCCGATCGGGCTTCCCTGGGCCACTCTGTGACCTCCTATCCTTTAAAGCATTTAATCCTAGAGATGCCCGATGCCAAGGATCACACCCCTTGATTTGCCTGGCTCAGAAGAGAATCTGACAGGCTAGGAACGAACGAGTGAATGAATGAACAAATGAGAAAGTGAATGGATGGTTGGGGCAAATGCAGCATCTGGGATCTGGCTTTGAGGAGGGTGCCTGTGACCTTGGCCTGGGTGCAGCCAGACCGCAGAGCAGGGACACTGAGGGGTGCAGAGAGGGACCCGAGAGGGCATCTGCACAGCTGCAGAGGCAGCAGGCGGCCAAGCCAGCTCCCGCAGACCCTGAGGCCCAGGCCCTGGGTGGCTGCAGAGGGTCAGGCAGACCAGCCTGGGGGTCAGAGGTCAGGCTCACCAGAATGGGGGCGGGACGGCATGAACCTCATTGATCAGATAGTAGCCAAGTGTCAGGAGCCCTCACTAACCCTGTGCCAGGGCCGGGCGGGGCGCCTGGCTCACACACGCATTTGTTCATTTCCAGGTCATCCTGAAACTCCCCGTGTGCTTCCTGCTCTTGACCCCTTTCCCAGGTGCACAGACCAAGGCTCCCGGTGAGAGGTTCCGGGCCACAGGCCCAGGACAGCAGGAGGGCTCCTCTGCCTCCCGCCCGTCCTGTCCTCACCAGCTGGACCCTCCTGGTGTTGCACCGGCTGCACAGGGCCGTCCGTGCCACAAAGCATGAATTCAAGGCTGGGGCAGGGACGAGGAGAGGGCAATGCTACAAGGCTGCACTGTTCCTGGGCAGAGGGAGGGGGAGAGCACGGTCCCACACACCCTGGCCCTCACAGCCTGCCTGTCACTCACAGCAACAGCAAACAAACCCTGGCCCCTCCACAGGCTGTGGGCCAGTTCCCAGCCTCCCAGGACAGCAGGACCTTCCCCCACCTTCCAGGGCCCCAGCCCCTGTAGGGGTGTCCTCCATGGACCCTCCACAAGCCCTCTGGCTTTCAGAGACGTGCTGGGCCAGGCCCTCCCTCAGCCTCTCCCCTGCTTCTCACTCCATGCAAACCTACGTTTCTGCCAGTCCCAGCAGAAGGACCCTGGCACGGGGAAACTGAGGCTCAGGGGTTCCACAGACCCCCAGGTGAGGAACAGGGGGAGGGCAGGGAGGGAGTGAAGGTACTATGGGAGGGTCTCCCAAGCTGGGCAGCATCCCTGCCCTGTCCCCTCTCCACTCACCTGTGGCCCGAGTTGCCTGACTAGGGGCTTTTATTGTCCCTTCTGCACATGGATGGGGTGAGGGGCCAGCTGGCAGTGCAAAGGTCCCAGGAGGACTCTGCTGAGTGGGGGTGTGGGGAGGTGTTGTGGGCATTCTGAGGCAGAAGCACCAGAGTCAGAACTCCACAGGGAAAGCCGGGCCAATTCCGCCCAGCCTCAGCCTGGAAGTGCCCCGATAATCCCTGACCACTGGCCCATGGTGCAGGTGAGGAAGACTGAGGCAGAGAGGCGACCTGTCACACCCAAGGTCACACCGCCAGCAGGTGGCTGAGCCAGGACCCAAATCCAGGTCACGGTTCTGCCACGGCAGGCCCTGCACGTGCCCCTCTGCCAGGTGGCGTCTAGGTGCTGATGGCCACCCATTCCCACCCCCGGCATGGGAGCTCACTTCCTCCTCACCTCAGTAGAGAAGAACAGGGAACAGTACCCCCTTTATAGATGGGAAGACTGAGGCTTAGAAAAAGAGACTGGCCAGCCCCACTGCTTCAGCTGCCCCTCTGCTAGTATGTTTCACCCTCACACAACCTACAAGGATAACCTGCTGGTCCCCACTCTATAGATGAGCCTCTGGTGGTGGCCAGGGGAGCAGGAGGTGTGGCCTGCCAATCCAAGCCCCAGCCCAGGGCCCTTGCCACAGTGCTAGTGGGCCACCCTTGCCCATCATGCAGCATGGCATCCATCTGCTCAGCACCCTACACAACACCGGAGGTAGGGGAGCCCACCACAGAACCCCTCACCAAGAAGGTCCTCACCATGGAGAAACTGAGGCACTGGAGGCGGGGCCTCTGCAGTCACGCTGGGTCACGTGCTCCAGTCAGCCAAGCTGCAGCGGCCACCAAGGGTGCCCAGGGTCTGGCCTGTTGGTCACAGTGTTGACCTCATGGCCTGAAATGGGTCTTCCCTGCCCAGACAGGTTCCAGCCCACCATCATCTATCTGCCTCAGCCCTGGTGGGTAGGGAGTGGCTGGGAGACCCTGCCCCTCACACCCTGGGCTTTGCGGTATTCAACGAGCCCCCAACACACATTCCAGGGCCTCTGCTCCAGATTAGGCCACAGCCTGTCTAGGCACACAAGGGGCACCCACACCCTGGAGGCAAAGAGACATGCCTATGTGCCCGCAGGCACACATGATCACGCGCACAGACACACGTGCAGATGCATACCAAGTTACACACACGCACACAAGCCCGAGGCGGGGACCCCCAGGACACGGAGGCAGGCAGGCAGAGGTGGGGCCCAGGATGTCTTGCCCCTGTCTGTGGGCCTGGCCTCCCCACTCAACAGACGAGCATGTGGGTGCGGGAGTGGTTATTGCGAAAGGGGCCCCAGCATGTGCCACCCGTGGAGACCACAGCAGGCATGCCGCGTGCATGCATGTGTGGCCGTGGGTGTGCAGGCGGGGGCGAGGACACAGATATGCACCCTCAGAGTCCGTGTGTGCACCCAGTGTTTGTGCATGTGCACACTGGGGCGGCGTTGGCTTGCATGTGCACCAGAGGTGTGCAAGTGTGCAGTCCGTGTAGACAAGTGCACGTGCAAGGAAACGTGTGTGCAGCCTGCGGCACCATGGACATCAGCAGGGCAGCCTGGGTGGGCACCTGGGGAGCACCCTCCAGGCGGGGCATGCCCAACTCACATGGAGCCCACCCTCCCTTGCCCGCACCGCGGGACCTCACAGCCGGTGGGGCGGGGGAGTCCCACGAGGGCTGCTAGGGAGGGGTTGCTGATTGCCCCACCGCCCCTGATTCCCCCAGCCAAGCCTCTCAATGTCCCTCGGGCTGCAGATGGCGGGCGTTGCTGCCTCCTCTCACCGCCCGCCCTGGAGGCAGCGCTGGGACAACCCTGTCCCCCACGCCCTCTACTGCCGCCAACGCCCCCATTCATCCCACTGTGGACTGACCTCGGAGAAACGGGAGGTTCTGAGCCCAGACCGTGAGGCTGGGGTGGAGGCGGCCCGACACCCCCACCCACCCTCGGTACCCACGTTTCTGCAAAAACCCGCTCGTTAACCCCTTGGTGGCCGGGGCGCTCCGAGGCCGGGCCCCGCCCTTCCAGCCCACGGCCCCCGCCCTCGACTTGGCCCAGCATCGGGGACCCTCGGACCGCCACCCTCGGCCCTGCCGAAGCCGTCAACTTTCCCGGGAAGCGGCAACTTTTCCTGCCGCCTCCGGCTCCGCCCTCCCGGGGCCGGGGCGCCAGCGGCCCCAGCCTGGCGCGGCACTGCGGTGGCTTTCCCTGCCGCCCGGCTACGCTTCCCTCGCCTCGGCAGCCCGGGACGGGCCCTGCGGCTCCGGGGAGGGGGCGAGCCGCCCCCCTCCGCGCCCCGCCGCCGGCCGGGCTCGGGTGCAGCGCGGACACTCACCTCCAGCGGACGCCCTCTTCATCGTAGGGGTTGGGCGGGGCGCGTCGGGGACTGAAAGTCGTTTCGGGGCGGGCGCCCGTCTCCCCGCGGCCGGGTCCGCATCCAGGCGCCGCCGCTACGGCCCGGCCCCGGCCCGGCCGCGGGACGAGGCTCGGCGCGCTCCGCTCCGCCCGGCTCTGGCTGGGCTCGGGCCGCGGGTGCGCAGGGCGCGCAGGGCGCACAGGGCGAGGGCGGCGGCGGCGCGGGGGTTGGGGCGTGGGCGGCGCGGCGGGCCGGGGCGCGCAGGCCGGGCCGCAGGAGGCGCTCAGCCCGCCCGGTGCACCGGCGCCGCGCGGTCCCAGACAAAGGCGGCGCATTCCTGAAGAGGCGGCGGCCCCTGCAGGCGGCGGAGGGGATGGCGGCCCGGGCCGGAGCCGGCCGGGGACGCGGGCCCGAGGGTGTGGCGGCCTAGGCTGGCCCGGTCCCCAAGCGGGCAAGGGCTTTGTCCCGAGGCCTAGGAATGGCCTCTGCCTGACCCACTCCCTTCCTGGCCTCACGAAACCCATGAATCCCCCGCCCCCTGCACAGAAGCCCCTTGCTGCAGCACGATCGCCCCCATTTTTCAGTAAGAAACAGGCTCAGGGCTTAAGAGAGTTCTGGGGGCCCTCCTGGGCCTTTGTGGCCCTCTCTGCACCATCCTAGAGAAGGGACCTAGGCCTGATGTTACCCGTAACCCTGCAGGGGTCCCCCACCTCTTCCCTTCTGCGGAATGGGGGCTCCAAACCCAGAAGACGCTCTCCGAGGTCACCTGCTTAGTATCCCCCCACTCTACCAAGCCAGCCCCCCACGGGCGGTGTGAGGCATGGGGCCAGAGAATCCAGTGACGCCCCTGCACACACCACACAGGGGTGCAGGTGTCCCTTCTCAATCTTCTGCTCGGGGCACCTACCGGGCCTCACCGATGAGCTCCTAAGTGCATCCCGGGGTCTTCAGACAACTGCCAGGCTGCCCCTGCACCTGGAGAAGTGCTGGGAGTCAGCTCAGCCGGGCTGGGTCCTCCCCAGGCCCACCCTGCATGAGAGGACCATGCAGATGAGGGTCTTGCAGGCCCACCTGGTGTCAGTCTGTAGGACCCTGACTCAAGGACGGAGTGGGCCAGCCTGATGCCTTGATGGCCCCCCTCAGAGCCCAGGTCCACTGATATGAAGCAGAGAGACCTGGTGACTGGGCACCCCTGTGCCCTCTGCCTGCCCCTGGCCATGGAGGTGGCCCTGAGGGAGATGAGCAGGGCGCAGGGCCGGTGACCTGCCTGCCTTGTGCAGAGGAAGTGAGGACCTCCCAGAGCCCTGGTGCTCCCATCTGATCCCAGTGGCAGGCAGCTTCGCAGGGTGGAGCCATGCTGGGTGGGCCCTCTGCCTGGTGTGGAGGCTGCACTGCCCACATGCCTCTGGCTGCCGCTCTGTGGCCCTCATCACTTTGGCCTGCTTTATCCCTATCACCCTTGTCCCAGCCTAGGCTTATGAGGGCATTGTGGAGTGCATGCCATTCCCAGCCACACAGAAGGTGAGGTGGGGCCCAGACACCCCCAGCCACTCTGTCCCCTGGCCTCCTGAAGGGGTGGGCTGTGCACACACTGCCACCTCCCCAGAGGGTGCTGGCTGCCGAGTGCCACCAGCTCAGCCCCTGAGGTGGCTCAACAGGTCCTCCCAGAGCCACACCAAGACGTCATCACCCATTGCACAGATAGGGAACCTCAGGCGAAGCTCACAGAGCCAGTGGGAGGCTGAGGCCTGACCCCCAGACAAGCATTCTTCTCCAGGGTCCCTGCACACAGCAGCCCCCAGGCTAGGAACTGAGCTCTCTCCACAGGGATGTATCAGACCCTAGATGAGTCACGTGGCACTGACCATCAGTCTGAGGACAGCGCTGGGGTGGACCAGGCTCCAGTCTCGGGCTGCTCTGTGCTTGCAGAAAGGCCTTGAGAGGACACTTGCTTGCTTACTCCGCAGGCGTCTCTTCAATTACCAGTGACCCAGAGCAGCCCACTATAGCTGAAGATTGTGACCCCACACCCTATCTCATAGGTTTAAAGCCCCTCCCACCCCTCCTGCCGCAGCCGAAGTGACCATTCTGGGGCATGGGATGGGCATGGGGTGAAATGGGGAGCAGGGGTGGCCCTGGAGGCTTCTGGCACCAGCACCCTCTCCAGCCACCAACCTGGCTGTTCCCGGTTGCTCTGCGCTGGGACCTGGGCCTCCACCTCCCCACAGGTCTCTGCATGGGAGCAGGGCTGAGGCCTGCAGAGGGAGCGCTGGGGGATGGGCTGGTTTCCTGTGTCCGCCACCTCGGTCAGCACGTTGGCCAGCACCCTCCCCACTGGAAGCTGGGCCCACTCCTGGGTGCTAGCTGGGATGGTTAGGCGTCGGCCAGCGCTGATAGGGAGTTATGGGGGTGCAGAGGCAGAGTTGAGCAGGGCTAGGCAGCCGGTGGGTCTGCTACCAGCAAGGCACAGCCCACTTCTCAGGCTGCGCATGTGGGAGGGTTTGGTAAGCCACATTTTTCAGGGTGTAGCCGGGTGAGGGGTAGCATGGGGAGTGGTGTACTCTTTGGGCAGGCGACCACGGAGCCATCACCCCCCAGGGCCCAACGGGCAAGAAGGGGAGCAGCTGACGGCTGGTGAGGGGCTAGCAGGGAGGGCTTGACAAGGGCTGGAGCCCCTGGTCAAGGGGCACAACCAGTTCTATCGGGTCACCTTGTGGGAGGAGCCAGGGACCCTGTGGGCAGAGCCTGGCCGTCTGCTGCCCGGAGTCTACACCAGTCAGTTCCTAGGAAGCCCCATCAGGGGTGCTGGGAGGACAGGCCATCTGTGCCCAGCTGATGCAAGCTCCCAGGCTTTCTGGACACGTGGCCCTGGGGATCAGGAGTGAGCTGGAGACTGCAGACAGCTGTGCCCTCAGGGCCACACAGACCTGTCACACCCTGCCTGGACTGGGTCAGCAGGGCCACACGGGCATCTGCCCGAATCGTTCCCCACCTCACACCCACCATGTGGGGCACATTCTTTGCCAGCTTCCCCAGCCCACCACCCCTCTACAGTGAGGCCAGGGGCTGTCTCACCTCCCACCCACACCCACACCCAAAATGTGGGGCTCAGCCTCCACGACCAGCATGCCGGTCATGAGGGCCCTGCCCAGCTGTGTGACCTCAGCCCAGTCCCTTGGCCTCGCTGAGCTTGCACAGCATGTGGACGAGGCAGACGCTAATGCCTCAGGTCCTGGTCAGCTGGTCACCATCCCTCCTTTGTTCACCTCGCCTGTCCCCTGAGAGGATCATGCAGGGTTTTCACTCAAAACTCCAGGACTGCCCATAGAAGCCAGCTTGAGATGAGGGGAACTTTCGCGGTGGCCTGTCTTGGGCTGACAGGGACACGGTTCAGCCTCCTTGGAAGGTCACTGCTTCCCAGGGCTTGGGAAGACTCATCTCCTGCCTGGAGAGATAGGCGTGCCATGGCTTTCCTTGGCATGCCTGTGCGGTACTCACGGACATCCAGGCCCTCAGTGTCTCCTGGGGAGGGATGGGGCAGCAAGGAAACTGGGTCTTTGCTCCACACATTCTGGGCCACTCCAGGCCAATGCAAGGAGAGACCAAGAAGGAAGCTAGAAGGTCATGTGGCAAGCACATGCCTGCTGCCCAAGTGTGTCAATGTGACTGACCTTCCCTGCACTCTGAGTGGGCGGCTGGGGATGTGGTCCCAGTGCCAGGGAGCTGGGGGGTGTTGGCCTGCCATCTGCTCTCACCATGGAGGGCGGCTGCATGCCCAAGGCCTAAGAGGACTCTGTGCCAGGCCTGCTGAGTGAGTCATCCCATTCAATCCTACAGTGTAGACACTACTACCACTACCCATTTTCCAGACCAGAGAAGGAGGTCTGGGGAGCTTAGGTGGACCCACATCTTGGCAGCCCCTTTCTGCCCTCTCTTTGTCCACAGCCTCCGCCTCCTCCAGAAGCCTCTCACCATCCCCCATCCCCGGGGCTGCAGAGGGTGTCCTGGCCTTCCCCTATCAGCTCTGCACCCCTGAGGACTCCCATCCCTAGGAGTCCCTCTGCCCAACTTTGGTGCATGTTAAGCCATAATTAATCTGCTTCCTCATCTCTTATTCATCAAAGCCACAGCAGCAGCAAAGGGGGCTGGCACAAGGAAGGGACCGACAACCAAACCCTGGCAGTGGCCCCAAGAATCCCACTGGGCCTGCCCATCTCCAAATGCCTCTGACCCTTCACTAGCGAGGGCCTCCTCCCACAGAATGGCATCCTGGATTGTGCCACACTAGGCAGGCCCCCTGACGGACCATGCGCACCTCCCACCACCTGGAGGCTGCTGGGGACCGTCAATGGGACGTATGCATTGCACAGTGATGGCCCTTACCTCTGCGTCCCCCAGCCCTGGACTGGATCCCTTGTGGCCCATCTCCAGGATGGGAGCCTGAACGGAGATGAAAGGACACTCGGCCAAGTGGGACATGCCAGGCTGGCACCTGGACCCTGGTCCGCCACTCTTCCTGGTGCCTAGAGGAAGGGGTGAGTCCCCAGGGCTCCTGGACCTTGAGATGAGCCTCGGGCCACTTGTGTTTGCCAGCAGATGGGCTCAGGGTCTTCTCTCAGTGGGCACAACCGAGTTGGTGGCCTCTCTCTGGGGAGGCCGGCTGGTGGGGGCTGGGGAGTAGGCGGCTTCTGGTCCCTGAAGGCCCAAATCTGGTGCAGGGGCAGAGCTCCGGAAGGCGGGGGTCCCTGGGCTGTGCCCAAGGCATCCGCTGTGGCTTCACGCCCCTCCCCCGCCCCTGCAGGGAGTGTGGATCCTTCTAGAGCCACCCACCTGGCAGTGACAGCTAAATTGGGAGCCGCTGTTCACACCAGGAGCCCAGCGGGCAGTCAAAACCGGGTCGGGGGGGAGGGGCACCCGCTGAAAACACCCACAAGCTCCCAGTGGGGCAGGGAAGGCAGGGAAGGCATGGTGATAGCTGTCAGCAGGAGTGGGTGGGGAGTGGAAGGCAGGGTAGACCGCCAAACCCATCTTGGGGCCATAGTGAGATGGCCCCTGGGATGCTTCGGCTGGCCAGTGCCCAGCCTTGCTCTTGTAGGAGCTCCCTGGGCCCCTGGGTTCCCCACTCTGGGCCACCACAATCCATGCAGCATGCAGGTTTGTTCCGTTTCCCAGATGGAGAGGCTGAGGGCTTACCACAGGGTTCCGTCAAGGACGCAAAAGGGCCAGCCTGACTCTGAGCTCAGTAGCCCCACCCTCCACAGCCTCCCTTGCCGCCTTCATCTGCTCACTTCCTCAGTCACTCAACAAACACTCTGGGAGGCAGACTGTAACACCCTGCATACCTCTGCTGGACCCCCATTCCACATATCCCCACTGGTTACAGGTGGGGAAACTGAGTGCCTGGGAGGCGGGCCTTGGCCTGAGTCCCCCAGTCAGTGATTCCAGGATAAAGGGCATAGCCATGCCATTTGGTCACTTGAAGCCCACAGGGGTGACTGGGAAGAGCCCACCTAGCACCCCACATTCTGCTAGGGTGACTCAGACCAAGTCCTTGGGGCTCTGCCCCCCAGCCAGTGGCTCTGCCTCTGAGAGCCATGGGACAGGGAGCTGTGCAGGGTGGGGCCAGCAGAGCCTGTGCCCCTGCCTGAGCTAGTCGTGATGGGGCCTGCCCTGACCCCTTCCCAGGCTCATGGGTGCGGAGCAGGGCGGGGCCTTACAGTGAGATGGGGGCCTCTGTGGGCAGTCCTGGAGGCCAGGCCCTGGGGCTGGGACTCACTGGCACAGGGCCTAAGTTTCCTCCTGTGTCCGCAGGCCTTATTGCCTGCAAGGGAGGTGGAGGGGCACAGGGGCGGTGCCCAGCGTGAGGAGGGGGCTCTGAGGAGGCTGCAGCAGCCGGCAGGCCTCTGAGACTGGGATATTTTTAGCCAGGATTCCTGCTGACGGTCCAGGCTGGCCGGGGTTTGCTGCCAGCCTTAGAGGCGCTTCTCCTAGTCTGTGTCCGGACATCTGGGGTCTGCTGGCCCCACCCACCCTCTGCTCAATGCCCCCGCCCCACTGGCCCATCCAGCCAGGCGAGGGGCTCCCAGGAGGCCGGCCATGGTGGGAGCAGAGCCTGGGGCCCTCGGGGTGTGGCTGAGAAGAGGCCACATGGGCTGCTGGGGGCTGCCTGTGTCCTGGGTCTCCAGCTCCCAGCTGCCACTCTTAGCCGACCCGCTTAAGGGGCAGGTTTCTGGAGGCTCCGGTTCATGCCCAGGCTCGAGTTCTGAACTGAGCATTCTCAGTCCGCTGCCTGCTGCCTGCTGGAACGGATGGCTCAGCAGAGCGGCCACAGCTTGGCTCCCTCCTGGGCACTCCTGCCTGCCCTTGCCGCTTAGGTGCTCTGGTCATCAGGCCTCTCTGGCTGGCTCTACCAAGGTGCATGTGTGCAGGGCCTGGGCTTGCAGGGCCTTGTGGCTCAGCCAGGACCACCTCCCTTCCCATGGGCAAGTGAGGACATCCAGAAAGAGGGTCCTCTGCCTCGGCCACTCCCTTGGGACACCCCTCCACCCCAAGGCCTCTCGTGGAAACAGAGTCCAGCACTCAGCGTCATGCCTATGCACTCCACCGGCAGGACTGGCTGAGTCCCGAGGAGCCAGGCCCTGGGGCACAGGCCAATCGGATGGAACCCAGATGAAAGCCCAGTGCTGGGACCCACGGCCCATTCTCTGGCCTGGCTGAAGCCTGATGGCTTGTTCCTTGAATGAATCAGGAGGCCCATCCAGAGCAATTGTGAAGTTCACATGAAAGAATGAACGTACGGAGAGAGATGGGCCATGTCGCATCCTGAAACGCCTTATATTCTAAGACCATGATAATTAACACAGACCCTGGACAGTCACACGATGGGAAAGAGTCCAGAAAGAGGCTCAAATGCAAATATGAGAAGAGGCAGGTCAAATCCAAGAGGAGAGATGGAATATTCAACAAATAATCCCACATATACAATCAACACTTGGCCTTAAGACAACGGAATTGACATATGGAGGAAACATTTGGATTCCTACCTCACTCCTTGACGCTAAAACAAGTTCCAAGTGGAACTAAGATTTAAAAAGTAAAAATGAAACCATAAAACTCCTAGAAGAAAGCATGGATGGCAAAAAACCAATCTTGAGTCACTCTAAGAATTATACAAAACCCAGAAGCCATGAAGTAAAAGATGGGTATATTCAACCTCGTGAAAATAAAAGGCAGATGCATGGAGAGAAAAAAACCACCATAAAATGATAACCAACAAAGGGTAAAAACATCGGCAACTCAGTTCACAAAGGGCCGTTTTTGGTTCTCAATACAAATCAGTAAGAAAAAGAGCAACAGCCCAAGAGAAAAATGGGCAAAGGCATGAAAGGAACCTCCCATCACCCCCTGCTGACCTTCACTCAGAGTGAGAAACATGCGGATCTAAGCTGCAGTGAGATGCTGCCCCTCACCCACAGGGATGGCAGCCGCATCAGGCTGGGGGTTCCCTAGGGGGGCTGCTTAGGGGCTCCCACAGGTCTGGCTGTTGGAGGGCAGGGAGAGGCCTGCGGGTCTGGTGGGGCCGGGGTGAGGCACTCACAGATATGTCTAGTGGGGGTGAGGAGGGGGACCGCCTGCAGGTACAGCTGGGGGTGTCAGGTCGCTGGGGATGGGGTGGAAGGAGAGGATACCCATTCAAAACAGGAAATATATATATTTTAAAGTAAAACAGGCTAAGTGCAGTGACTCACACCTGTGATCCCAGCAGAGCGGGGAGAATCCCTTGAGGCTAGAAGTTCGGGACTAGCCTGGGGAACATAGTGAGTCCCAGTCTCTATAAAAATTAAAAAATAAAATTATCTGGCTGTTACGATGCACGCCTGTAGTCTCCGCTACTTGGGAGCTGAGGCGGGAGGATCACGTTAGCCCAGGAGTTCGAGGCTGCAGTGAGCCATGATTGTGCCACTGCACTTCAGCCTGGGCAACAGAGCAAGACCCTCTAGAAAAATAATTAAAAAAAAATAAAAATAAATATAAAATAAAATAAAAACCAGCTGACATCCATCCTCTCCTTGCCACCACTGACATGGCCGTGGGCCGAGTTCTCATGGCCATCCCACCGCGAGTCCCCAAGCGCTCCTGATGCCTGCTCACCCTTCTTGTCTTTGTTAGCGCCCCGTTAGCAGAGGCCTGCTTAACTTGTCTCTGGTCTTGCTTCTCAGGAGCCGTGTCACATTCAACAGTGGCAGCACAGAGGCCCTGCTCAGCCCCAGTCCCTCACCCTAGGCCTCCACTGCCAGATGTGGTCCTGGTGGTCCTGCGGACTCAAGCTGTCCCCCCCTGCCCAACCTTCACAGGCCACCAGCAAGTCCCAGGCCTCCCACAGGCATGGCTCTGGGCAGTATCTTTACCTTCCCAGCCTCAGTTTCCCTGATGGTGAAACAGGGTGAGATCTACTTCCTAGCAGAGAATCCGGGGGAATGGAGGCCGTGGGAGGAAGAGGACTTGAGGAAAGGAGCATTCCTGAGGGGTCCCAGAGCGGGCTGGGGCTGACAGGACTGAGTTTGCAGGGCCTGGGGACATTCCCTGGGGAGGTGCTAAGATGCCGGTCAGCTAGAGCAGCGGGGAGTGATCCAGGATGGCTGCCCGGATGAGGGGCTGGGTCGCTGGTCCCTGAGTGCCAAGGTGGTCTGTCCATGTCTGCAGGAACACACCCACCCTGCTGCCTCCAGGAGGGGTGCTGGACAGGCCTGAGCTCCAGGATCATAGGAGGCAAGAGCCACTCTCACCAAAGAACAGCAAGTGTGCCTCCCCTGCCAGCAATCTGTCCGGTCCAGCCCCTGCCCAGCTATCTGGGGAAAAGGCCACCTTTTCAGTGGAGGCTGAGCTCAGGGCAGGAAGAGGTTGAGAGGGGAGAAATGGAGTGAGAACTGGAAGGTGAGAGGTGTGAGTGAGAGGTAGGGGTGTGAATTGGGGGTGAGATGTGGTAGGTGAGAGCGGCAGGTGAGAGGTAGGGATGAGAGGTGGGGGTGAGAAGTGGAGGTGGGCAGTCATGGTGATAGCTTGTGGGGTGAGAAGTGGAGGGTGAGAATTGGGGTGGGAGTTGGGGTGTCACCTCCCAAACCCTCTCACCCTCAGATTAAGAAGCCCCTCCTATGGGCCCTGGAGGAACAGGCCTTTGACCCACCCCAACCCCACTGGTGTCTTGGGCAGGGAGATCTCGAGGTGGGGGCCTCAGCTCCCCGTAGGACCGTCTAGCCCTGGACCACCTGACCACAGCTACAGTGGGACAAGGCCCCTGTTGCCTGTCTGCTGGGGGCCGAGCGTGGTATGGAGGAGCCAGCAGCCCCCGCCTTCATCACAGAGGAGGAATCCGAGGCCCAGGAGGGTGTCTCTGGCACCCAACACGTGAGACCCTTTGAAAATCCCCCGAGTGTGTGGGGGGCTGGGATGAACATCTGGGGGCGGCAGCAGCAGGTGGCCCACCTGGCCAAACACACTCCTGTGTCCCCTTGTTTTTGGCAATTTCAATGACCAAAATCAGATCCTGGTATGGAGAAAAAGACATCGGTAAGGACGAAGGAAATGTGAACACTGCATGGACGATGGCTGATAATAGTGTGCCGCTATTGGCTCAGCAACTCTAACCTACCAATGCCAGATGCTCACAACGGTGAAACTGGTGTGTGGTAGATGCGATCTCTCTGTACTGTCTTCTCAATTTTTCAGCAAAGATAAAACTGTTCTAAAGTTGAAAAGTTTATTAAAAAAAAAAAAAGAAAAAAGACGGGCTTATTAGCAAAAATCTGAGATAGAACCAAGCAGTAGGGCCCAGCCCACCCCCCGCTCAGGGCGCACCAGCAGTACCCCTCTCTCAGGGACATGGCCAGGCCTGGGCCACTCCGAAGAGCTCTTCCTGGTGCTGGGGGGCCTGGTGGGTTTATTCCACCTGTCAGTCTCACTGCAAAGTGTGGCAGTGGAGTCTGAGTTAGGCTGACTCTTACCCTGCCAAGGACACCCCTGCACTCAGGACCCAGCCCCGGCCCCCTTGCCCTGTGGGCTGGAGGCGACCCTGTGTGCAGATGGCAGATGGAGGGGCATGGTGCTGTTGCTCTCAGGTCAGGGGCAGCAGCCTCAGCCCTGACCAGCCCTCTCCTGCGTGGTTGTGGTTGGGTCTCCTGGTCTCTGGCCTCCTTTCCATTCCAACCTGTAGAAAACAGTGTGGTGGGGGATGCTCGGCCTGCAGATCAGACAGGCCGGGGTCAAAGCCCCGAACTACCACCTGAACTAGTCCTGGCCGAGTGGCGCTGATGCTCTAGGCCGAGGGCCCCCTTGACAGAACAGCCATCATCTAGCTCCGCCGCAGGGTAGGGGAGGTGGCAGTGTGGGCCGCAGCCCTCGGCTGAAGCGGGGGCCAAGCGGGGCTCTGCCTGGTGCAGGGGGTTTCCTCTATGGGGCAGGGGCTCCCAAATTAGCCCTGGTGACATCTGGAGCTCACCTCTGGGGGCTCTGGGGGCTGAGAGAGCAGGCGGGGCCCAGTTCTATCAATCATCTGCCTTGTTCCTGGGGGATCGCGGTCAGTCCCAGCCTCCCCACAAGTCCTGGGGCGGGGCAGGCCTGCTGGAAACCCAAGATGCAGAGAAGAGCGCCAAGCACCTGAGACAGGGCTCTGAGCACGGAAGGCAAGGACGCCTCCCTCAGCCTCAGCTGGGGAGCCAGTGGCCCTGCATGCACTTTCTCCCGTCTGGGGAGCCTGAGCCCTGACCCAGTCCCGAGGCCCATGTGTGCACAAAAGCCCCCTGCTTTCTCACCCAGGACACTGGCGATCAGTGGGTAGGCGAGCCGGAGCCCAGCTGCTGCGCTCCCTTCCCTGCCAGGACCGGGCCAGCTGCATCCTCATGCCTGGGTTTCAGGGCTTCTCGGGGGATGTGATGGCACTGCCTGAGGATGTGGGATCCTTCCACTGAAAAGGGCCACACGGCTGTCCCCAGCACCCTTCCAGAAGGGACAACCCACTCCTGGGAGGTCTTAATGTAGACATCGAGGTCCCCCGAGCTTCCTCCATGGCCTGGCCACTTCACAACCATATTTCTTTATGTTCCACGCGCCTTGCCTGCTCCACGGCCAGGACCAGGGCCACCATCTTTGCAGCCGGTGAAGGGACAGCTGCCGTGGGCTGGGCTGCTGAGGCAGGACAGGGGTCCGGGCCAGGGAGGGGTGGATGGAGGCCAAGGATGGGCCCCTTGGAGACAGCCTTGGGGTGCAGCCGGCTCTGCCACCTCTCCCTGGCTTCCTTCCCTCCAACCTGTGACTCCTGGGAAGTCCCTGATGGGCCAGCCACTTGGGGCCGGGAAGTAACTGTGGTGTGTGGTGGTCACCCTCACCAGAGTTCATGGGGTGGAGCAAGGGGGAAGAATCTCCCCCAAAATCAGGTGTCTTGTTCCCAGGCCCAGCACAGAGACCTGGCCCCCAGACATCTCTGGACATTTGTTAAGAGTGGACAACTGCTTCCATTACACAGGAGAGGAAACCGAGGCTCTAAGGGGTCCCAGACTTGCCTGGCTGCCACAGTGAGCAGGCAACAAATACCAAGTGGCTGCCGCAATGGGGTAGGTGGGAGGCAGTGGCTGAACCAGAAAGTGCTGCTGTCGATTCTGCTGGTTGCATGAGTCTTAGGAGATCATCAAAGGGCAGATTGTGGGGAGATAAAAAGTATGAGTGGGGAACAGGATTGGGGGGAGCAGAAGAGCCTCAAAGACCCTGCGACATTCTCAACGTCTCGATGGTGACTCAGAGATAGCTCCAACCCGCATGGCGGGCAGAGTGCGGAGGGGACGGCTTTGTGGCTGGATTAGTCATCCCGGTGCAGCTCACCCCAAATCCCGGCTTCCAGCCCTGGGCCGTCCATGCTGGGATGGAGGAAGGGCAGCCTCTCCGCAGGGCCACGTCCTGGAGCCTGATAACCTGGCCAGCACACTGTGCAAATGGTGCATGAGACAGGGAGTTGGCTCTGTGTTCCCCACGGTGGCCAAGGGACCAGCTGTGCCTCAGTTTCCCTTATTCTATCAAACTTTGAAGAAGGTCCCGTAAAAGCGCATCTGTTTCCAGGGTAGGGGCCAGAGTCAGCCACCCACACCAGAGTGAGAATTGGTGGGTGCCCTAGCCCTGGCAGGATCTGGCATTTTGCTGGACGGAGAGAGGAGGCAGCACCCACTGGGGCTCGGGCAACCATCCCGGCTACCCCCGCCCCGGCCCGCCAGGAGAGGAGGGAAGCCTTGAAGTGCCAGGCCTTTGAATCGCCCATCTCCATGGCAACGCGTGGGCACAAAGGGCCGGGCCGGCGAGCAGGCGGCGGCTGCGCAAGCTGGAAGGAGGAAGGGAATCTTTTATTTATGGGGAGGGAGAGTCGGGGAGCCAGGCTGCGCCCACGCTCAGGGCCAGGCCGCAGTCTTGAGGCTGGGCCCCCTGCCCCATAGCCAGGGCCTCTGAGCAGCACCTGCCCACACACCCCTGACCCTCCGTGCCTGGCTGGGTGGACGGAGCATGGGCAAATGGAGGGCAGAATGGAGTGAGTGTCCAGCATGCACCCAACCTGGAGATCGGCCCAGAGGGTCCCTGGGAGCCTGCCATCCTCCATACCCCAGTCTCTGTGATGCGGGCACCCGGGCAGATACCATGCTGAGAGCCAGCTGGGCCTGCAGTGAGGAAACGTAGCCCAAAGCAGACTGCAGAGCTGGAACTCAGGTGGGGCTGCTGCCATAGGCTCTGAAGACAGCGCAGGAGACCGGGAGGGGTCACCAGTGCCAAGGCCCTGAGGCAAGCCAGAGCTGGGAGCATCTGAGGATGGGCATTAGCGTGGGGCTCCAGGGTACAGCCGGTCCACTGCAGGCAGCCTGGCCTCCCCAGAGACCCAGCCACGGCTCCTCACCTTGGACAGGGGGCCCTGGGCCTTGGGCATCAAATGACCTGCTTGCCGCGGTGGAGGCTGCCATACCAGGACGCCGGCCCACGGCCTCCAGCGGCCCGTCCCCACCTTCCCAAGCCCCTCCCCTCATGGCTCACACCCTGTTCCCTGAGCCCCCAAACATGGGAAATGGCACCTGTTGTGCCCCAGCGGGGGAATTCTGACCCCAGACCCTGGGGCCAGTGCAGAAACCACCACTGTATCAGATTTTATTTCATCTAAAAAATATCTGAGCCAGATTGAAAGCAGCGGGGAAAGGGTCCCATGGCTGCTTCCCCCAGCCCCACCCTCCACAGGCCCTGGGCCCTCCCAGCCCCCATTTCCTTTCCTTGAGAAAGTCTAAAGTGGGGCAATATTTTGTGAAATTGGAGGCACCACGTTGGAAATTCCAAACCCGTGTGTACGATGAGCTGCACGCGCGTTTTGAACCTGCCCTGGTTTTGAGCTGAGGGAAGCGGAGGGTGCAGGAGTTGCCCACTCCAGAGGCCCTGGGTGTGCATGAGGAGCCCTGAGGCTGGGCCGAGAGCCGCTTGTGGGAGGCACTGTGCCCCCTGCCCCCGAGATCAGGGCCTGGGTGCCCAGGACACTACAGACCTTTTGGGGATCCTGGGGGTTGGGAAGCCTAGAGCTGGAACCCACAGGCCAGAGTCTGAGCTTTCATCCCCCACCCCCGAAGACGCTCCCCCAGCCACTGCCTGCGCATCGGGGGAGACAAGCTCCCCCCACGCCCACCTTGCCTCCAGCAGGGCTGTTCCTCCCCTCATCTGCTGGCATCAGTTTTTTCTTTAACTGAGCCCCATGCTGGGGAAGGGAGAGCTCCAGGGGACCAGGCAGCAGAGAGGGGAGGAGAGAAGCCATCAAACAGGCCGGGGGCTGGGAGGCCATGCACTCAGCATAGAGCCCCACATGGCAGCAGGGGGCTGGATGGCCGGCTTAGAGCCCATTCTCTCCTGGACACTGTTCTGGAATGGCCCCTGGCCCCTCCGTTCCAAAGATGGGACCCTCCGGTCCCCGGGGACCCGGGATGATGTCCCCCAAACCACCTCTCTTCCCAGACTTCATCAATGGCAATGAATGGTGCATCCTGGCTGGGGCCGCCGCCCCTCACTGTGAGACTTCAGCCCAGACGAGCGCCCAGCCCCTCCTGGGGTCTCAGATAGTCAGAAAGAAAGGCTCACGGCTGCCATGCACTTCCACAGGACTTTGTGGTTCCTCCTGCACCCCCGGTGATGCTTTCATCCCTCTCCAGCACCATTCCAGAGGCCAGAAAACCATGATGTTTGGGGTCAAACAGCTGGGAGAGGCAGTTGGAACTCAGGCCAGGCCTGTCTGACTGGACAGTGCAGAGACTGGGACCATGCTCCCCTACAAGTGCTGTCAGTGCACCCTCGATGCCCCCCAGAGCTTGCCATGCCCCGACAGTCCCTTCATGGCCAAAGTGTTCCCTGGCACAGGATACCCTGGGGTGCCATGTCTGCAAGAGCTCACACCCTTCTCTCCCCAGCTGCTGCTAACTGCTGCCAGAGGTGGGAGTGTGGAGGGCTCGGGGCCTCTTCACCCTCCCTGCACCAACTCAGCTCCAGAACATTCCCAGCAGTGAGAAGAGGGTGGCCACTGTGCTGCAGCCCCAAGGGATGGGCAAGGCCATGCCAGCTGGAGTCATCCATGTCCCCTTGGACATGGTGGCCTCATTCAGAGGGCAGCATGGAGGAAGGTGCAATGAGGGTGGCTACCAGAGACAGTGGAGATGAGGCAGTCAGGAAGCCCAGGGACAGGACTGGAGGGGACACACGGCCAGCCTGGGACAGGGCATGAGGCCTTTGTTCTGCGTGCTGTGGCATACGGTGTTGGCTCTGGCCCTGGCCCATCTTTTGTTAGTGGTAGGAGGGTGCTCCTTTAATCAGCCAACTCTTTGTTTCAAATTGCCCCTGTCCTTGAAAACACTGCTTCAGGGAAGCGTGAGACAAAGCCAGTTCAGTGGGGTGCCTACCTGGCCAGCAGCCCTCATCCGCAGGGGCTGCTCCTGGGGCACGTGCCAGAATCAGACAGTCCCACCGTCATGCAGGTGCTGGGGCCTTCAGTCAGCAGGACCAGGCAGCCCATGTCCTGGGGACCCTTGGGGAGGTGTGGGCATTTGCTGAGTTGGGCTGTCATTTGCTAGACAGGCGCTTGGCGAAGGGGCCCTTTTGTGCATGGATGCCCTGGGCAGGTGTCAGTCCTGAGTCCTGGAGAGGAAGGCAAGCTTTGGAGTTGATGCTGGGTCCTAGGAGGGAGCGTGTGGTTTCGCCAGCTTCTCAAAAGTCACCTGAGACCCTGCCAAGGGACCTCCAGACATTCGGTGCAGGCTCCTGGAGGCTGGACAGAGGGCACCAAAGGGCGACGGGCCCCGAGGACAGAGGTGTGCAGCCAGGTGGGGCCATGGCCAGGCTGGGACCTGCTGGAGCTCTTGTGTGTGAGCCTGGAGGAGCTGCCAGGCTGGGGGAGATCGGGGCTGGGGCTGGGGGCGGGGCTGGGCGTCAGCAGGGTCTGCAGCTCCCATCTTCCCAGCTTATAGACCTGAATATCCAGGTTGAGAATAAACCATTCTCCCAGGGCACCATAGCCTCCAGGAAGCACCTCCTCCTTCCACCATCCGCCTTTCAGGAGGGGCCTCCCTGGGGGGCTGTCTCTGGGACTGCAGAGGCTGCTTGGTGTATCTGGGGCTCTGACATGAGTGAGATTGTTCCGGGGCCTGTGCTGCCCAGCCTCTTCCCCAACAGCTTCCTCTGGAGGCAAGGGGCTTGGCAGGAGCTGCAGGGAGCCAATTATCCCTGAGGCAAGCTGGCTGCAGATAATTGGGAAGACAGGCTTTTCACCAGCAGCCAAGCTCTGGGGCGCACTCGCCACACCAGGACTTGGGACTTGAGGATCCAGAGGTCTGCCAAACCCCACGCCTGATTGGGAGCCCCATGTGCTGCCATCTACCAGGGGAGGTGGCATTTTCTTGGCAACTGAGGGGGGAAGCCAGGTGCTGAGGTGTGGCCCACGGGACGCCTCGCCTGGGGACCTCCCAGCCCTTCTCCTCTGCCTCCTAGGGGCCTCCTCTCCTTACACATGAAAACCTCCAATGTCTAGCCCAGGGCTCCAGATTAGGGGTCAGTGCCGCCCCCAGCCCAACTTCCTCTGGGAAGTGTGGGGTTCTCCCCGGGGCACTCAGGCCTCTTTCTTACAGGGCTTCCCAAGGGGAGGCATCCAGAGGAAGGCAAAGGCTGTGATCAGGTAGAACCCGCTGGACGCCCCCACCATCTCCCTCCATCAACATCAAAAGACAAGCTGACCACCCCCAATGCAAGGTGGACATTAGGGTTAAACCCTGAGTGACCAGCACTCAGCTCCCAGCCTGGCCGGGATGCAGTGGGGTGGGGTGTGGTGGGCTCATGGGGCTGGTGAGAGCCCGGTGGGGTGGGTTTCAGGTGCTGCTTGTCCAGGGCTCAGCTCTGTTCCTTGGGGCTCCCTCAGCCCAAGGGCCCACCTCCCCTCTGGGCAGCCCCGATCGGCGTGTTCTGCCTCGGCCAGCTGTCAGCCACCTGCAGCTCCTCCCTCATTGCACCACCCTGGAGCATCACGGTGCCCAGGGCAGGCCGTGGAGACCTGGCTAGCCCATGGTCTGCTCAGTCCTCACCAGCTGTTGTGACAGAAACAAGTCTGTGCTGATGAGCTGAGCCGACCAGGCTGCAGCCCTCACTTCAGGAGAGGGTCAGGCCCAGCCAGGCCTGGTGAGCAGGTGTGGGGAAGGATGGGTGCTCATGTGCGGGAAGTTTCTCAAGAGTGGTGGAAGGAGGATAGACAACGAGGGCCCAGTGGATAGGGCGGGGAGGCAGGAAGAGGGGACAGAGAGGGGACCAGTGAAGGAGAGTGGAGGGTACTGCCCCCCTGGGGGAAGGATGGGGTGGGGCTGGTGTTAGCTGGGTTGGGTGTGTGGGTCTGGCAGGGAGCCGGGCATGGGAGTGGGTCCCGAGGAATGCTAGGTTGGAGCCAGGACCATGGGCCTCACCAGTCATAGAAGCCTCACCTCAGGGCAGAGGGGGCTGACAGACTGGGCTGACGGGAAGGGGGGCTTCCTGTCACCAGAGAACATAAAGGGACCACTAGTGGCCTGGGCCATGAGGCTCTGTGGCCCTCAAGGTGCTGAGCTCAAGGTGGGCCCAGCCCATGGCTGCCTTTGTGGGGACCCCACAAGGAGATGCTGGCCTCTGAGGATGCTCAGACCTGGTTCAGCATGGCCAGGCCCTGGCCTAGCCCAAGGTCAGCACTGGCCACTACCCTGGGGGCTGAGTCTCCGTCTCGCCCTGTGACATGGTGCCCACACTATGAGCCAGTGTCAACCCTTTGCCCATACACCGGGAGCCTTGTGTGTCCATACTCATGGCTGAGGGCCTGTTTGGGGGTCTCTGTGTTGGGGGAGGTGGGTCCAGGGTGCGTGGCCCCTGGGATTGTTCATCATGAGTGCCACCTGGAAGGTGCTGGAGCCTCACCCGTCCTCCAGAGTGTTTTGGGGAGATCCTGTGCTGGCATCTTGGCTGGGCCAGGATGGTGTCTAGGAGGGACCCTTGGGAGGGAAGCAGGGGCATCAGGGGGCCTGGTGCTGGGGTGGGTGGCAGGAGAGGCCTGGAGGGCGGCGGCCCAAGCCAGTGGCTGGGCAGGTGTCAGGAGGGAGAGGGGTGAGGCCTGGCCTCCCTGCCACAGCTTAGCCAGGGCCTGGGGTGTCTTGGGGTGGGACAAGGCCCAGGGCAGAGGCAGGGCTGCTTGCATGCAGGGTGGCCACATCCCGGCCTGGTGAGTGCCGGCCACTCAGTTCTGTGGCCCTCTGCTGCCCTCTGCCGGCCGCCTCTGTCCCTGCAGGCCCAGCCATCTACCTGCAGGTCTGGACAGACCCTCAGAGCCTAGGCTGGGAGGTCTCAGGAGTCAAGACAGGGTTGAATCCCATTTGAGGGCATCTGAAGGAGTGAGAGCCTATGTCAATCCCCTGCCCAGCCTTGCCTCGGCCAGTGGCTCCCAGGGGACTCTGGTGGGCAGTGGCTAAAGATGACAGAGGGGCTCAGAGAGGCTGAGCTGCTCTGTAAGGTTGCACAGTGAGCAGGGGCCGAGTGGCCTTGGGAGAGGCAACAGCAGGAGGGTCCTCGTCATGGCCACAGCCCAGGGACAGGAAACCCCTGCTGGGTTCCCCCACCAAGTAGCTCCCATTCCCAGCCCTTAGGGTGTCTCAGGAGAGGTTCCGGGGGAGGTCCCACCTGCCTCCTGCCTTCTCCCCCAACCACACCCTAAATGGGTCCCAGCTCCCCAGCCCCTCCCACAAGGGCTCACCCGCCAGAGCTCGGGGAGAGGCCCTGCAGGGCGGCTGTTCCTCCGTGTGCTGCAGTCCTCTGGACACTGAAAGCCAATCCCATCCATCTTAATGGCATTTAATATGCACAGTGAAAGTCAGCAGCCACAGCCACGGGCGTGTGCTCAGGGCAAGGTTTACACGCGGATGCCACCAGGCTTAGCCCATGAGTGGCCTCCTGGGTCCCAGGAGACCTGTGGGGTGGGGGTGCAGCTGGGTGGGCCATGGTAGCAGAGACCTGGGGAGGGGATGTGGGAGGTAGGAACTGGGCTAGGCAGGGACTCAGGGGAGGCTGAGGCCTGGAACAGGGAGACTGAGACCTCAAGGAGGCTGGGACATTGGGAGTCAAGACTTGGGGAAGCTGGAACATGGGCAGGCCGAGACGCAGGGGTTTAAGAATGAGGGTCTGGTGCAGACCTGAGTTGGAGCCCAGCCGCTGCTGGCCCCACGTAGCTGGAGAGTGTGCTGACCCCATGGTGGCTAGAGAATGTGCTGTTGGTAGGGAAGGCAAGTGCTGGGAAGGGAAAAGTGTGGTCCATTTAAATGATACGGAAGCAGGGGAGGGAAGTGCTGGGTAGAGGAGGGCATGGTCCCAGACTAGGGCTCCAACCCCACGGACCTAGGTGAGAACAGGCACTTCCTACCCAAATGTTGCATTTCTCACGACCACCCTAGCCTGCCACGCCCCCATCCTGTGCTTATAAAATCCCCCGAGACCTTAGCAGGCAGACACAGGCAGCTGGACGTGGAGAGGAACACATCAGCGGAGACACACACGGGCGGCTGGATGTCGAGATGAACGCACTGATAGGCACCGGCATGCTGGCAGGCCACTGACTGGCAGAACCACACGGAGTTTGGCTGGGGCAGTTGGAGGACAGCCCGGGTGCACAGCGGCCCCACTCCAGGGGAAAACCTTCCCACTCCACCCCCTTCTAGCTTCCCCTATCTGCTGGGAGCCACCTCCCCTCAATAAAACCTTGCACTCATTCTCCAAGTCCACGTGTGATCTGACTCTTCTGGTACACAAAGGCAAGAACCCCAGGATCCAGAAAGCCCTCTGACTAACACAAGCCACCCTACAGACGACAAACTAAAAAAGCCCCCGTGACACACGCCCACTGGGGCTTCAGCTGTAAACCTTCACCCCTAGACACTGCTGTGGGGTCGGAGCTCCACAGCCTGCCCGTCTGTAAGCTCCCCTAGAGGTTTGGGCAGCAGAGCACTGAAGAAGCGAGCCACTCCCCTTCTCACACACCCTGCTAGGGCAACAAGGGAACTTTTTCCGTTTCACTGGCCCAAGGTGGCTGGACAGTGTGCTGGCCCCACGGTAGCTGGAGAGTGTGTCGCGCTCCCTGGCTTTCCTCCTGATGTATAAAATGAGTTAGCGGGTCCTGGGGGCTGTTCCCACAGTGACGTGGTGGAGGCTGACCCTGACACCCACCCCTGCTGAATGCTCAGTGAATGGTGGTTGCTGTCAGGAAGCATCATTGCTGTCCTCCATCAGTGTCTGTGGGGCTAGGTGACTCTTGGAGGATGCTTCCAGCAACGTTGCACTGCCAAGACAGAGGCCGTCCACCTGCCTCTGGGCTTCCTGGTGTGAACAGATGGATGGATGCGTGGGCCTGCTGCGTGCAGGGAGCTGAGGCTGGGTCTTCACCTATGGGCAGGAGGCTACACAGGGCTCTGGGAGAGACAGCACTGTGGCTGGGACAGAGCCCATGTGATGAGATGCCCTCGGTGCCCCTGGCCTCCCTCCTCGCTCCTGCCCCTCTGGAACATCACCCAGAGCCCCCCTTGCTCTTTTGGGGGATGTCTGGGTGTCTGCGGTTGCTGTCACTCTTGATCCCACCCACCCACCCCTGCAGGTTGCTGGCAGGACAAGTGCAGGAGTCATCTCATGGCTTTCCCTGGGATCTCTGTACCCGCTGAGAGCCGGGAGCTGCACACAGCCTGTCCACCATCCTGGGAACTCACCCTGTTGCTGCCGCTTGTCCTGGGTCATCCTGGGGCTCACTCCTTGCCATTCAGACCCCTGTGAGGAGAGCACTGGCTGTGAGTTGCTCTGTGGCTAGTGATGGCAAGGCAGGGCCTGGAGTAGATCCATCACGAATAGTTCTTTTTTTTTTTTTTTTTTTTGAGATGGAGTCTCGCTCTGTCACCAGGCTGGAGTGTGCGATCTCGGCTCACTGCAACCTCCGACTCCCTGGTTCAAGCAATTCTCCTGCCTCAGCCTCCTGAGTAGCTGGGATTAAAGGCACATGTCCCTATGCCCAGCTAATTTTTGTATTTTTAGTAGAGATGGGGTTTCACCATGTTGGCCAGGACGGTTTCGATCTCCTGACCTCGTGATCCACCTGCCTCAGCCTCCCAAAGTGCTGGGATTACAGGTGTGAGCCACGGTGCCCAGCTGAGAATTCTTAATGAAATGGGAACATGCCTCCCACGAAATGCACAGGGGCCTGCAGTGATAGAGTGGCCTCAGGTATGTGCACAGGTGTGAACACGCCTTCCACAGAGGGCAGTGGACGTGCACATGCCTCACACACACTGTGGCGCAGGGCAAGTGTCCCACATGTGTTCATGCTTGCGCACATGTCAGTGGGCTGGATGTGTGTGTGCACACCTGTGTCATGCCTGCAGAGAAGACAGTGGAGAGAAATATGCCCAAATCTCCCCTCTGGGTCCCTGCCCTGGGTGCTGGGATGTCAGAACAGGTCGATGTCCTTTTATCCTTCCCCATATCCACCACGCTGTCTACCAAAGCACGCTTTAGTTTTATAATCAGAAATGAAATGCACCGTTTCAAGAAAGCCATGGGCCAGCCCCTCTGTGCCCTGGTGTTGGCGGGGGCAGAGGGGTGGGGTGTGTAGGGGGAGATTAGCCTCATGCAGCCGTGGGGCCAGGGAGGCCAAGGTCAGCTTGCTCAGCACCTGGAGGTACAGCGAGTACCAACAACACAGCCTAGCTTGACCGCGGAAGGAAAATCAATGCTGGGCGCAAGGACTGACGGCAGACTCACTGGGAACACTGTCCACCGACGTCAGAGCTGCTCACAGGGCACCGGGAGCTTGCCAGCGAGCTTGGCTGCCTGTGTTTGGAACAACCCTGGTGGGCGAGCACGGGCCCCTCACCTGACTCCACTCAGTGCCCTTCCCAGAGGGGAGACAAAGGCTGTGAACAGCTCTGGAGGCCCTCCCTGCCAGTGCCCCCCAGGCCTGGCTAAAGAAATCTCAAATACCCCGAAGGGCCTGGCTCCAGCGGCCCCTGCTATGGGTCAGCCTCAGGGGGATGCTCATCTTCAATTGACCCTGACTGTTCCACATTACAAGATAAACTGTGGGGTTAACTCAAGGCGGTATTACTTTGTAAAGACTGCTCTTTATACAAGAGCGGTGGATGCAAAAACAAAAACATTGCCATGTAAGACGGGAGTCCTCCGAGTCCTGTCTTCCTCCATTCCGTGTCCTTGCACCCCATCCATGTGTGGCCTGCATGGACAGACAGCTTCACACACTCAGACTCTTCCCTCCCCACGCATCAGAGATGTGTGTCCCTGTTACTGACATGCAGGGAGGGGCTCATCATCTTGGGCACACCCCATGGTGCTCTGAGCCCATCATCACCTATGGTGGACGTTGAAGGAGTTCCCAGGTTTTCCTTTTCAGGAGCCATGGCTCGGGCCAGTGCCTAGGAGGTCAGAGGTTGGGGGCCCAGGGAGAGGTCACTGCCCAACCGTGCCACCTTGGACTCAGAGTGCCGGCCCAGGGAACCAGGCAGGCCCGGCTCTGACCGTGCCGCTGGGCGACCGCTGGCTGAGACCTGGGGCTGAAACACATCCCACATCAGCCAAGGAAACAGGCTCTGCATGAGGCCTGAAGCCCCTGAAGGGCTCTGGGACAGGAGGAGAGCCCAAGCCTTCAGCTGTGATGTGCACAGCACCGTCTGTCCTCCACCCAAGGGAACTCACCTTGGTGACCCTGCTGGAAGGCACAGGTTGCTGACATTCTGACCCCTGACATTCGGACCTCCAGCAGAGCCTGCAGTTTGAGACCTCTGGTTCAGGAGCTGGGACTGATGGGGCCCTTGGGGATTCCCGTGCTGCTGGAGGAAGATGGGGGCATGGGGGTGTCCACAGCAAAGAAGTGAGAAGTAGAGGCCGCCAGCCCCCCGCCCCGACCCTTCCCTGGCTAGAGTGGGGCAGGCTTGGGGGTGAGTCTGGGGTGCTGATTTCACCCTCCTGGGCCAAAGTCTCCCCGTGACTTTATGGACTGTCTCCCTGTGCTCCCTGAGACCCTGGTTCTCCCTCACCAGCCTGGGTCCTTCTTGTCTCAGCTCAGCTGTCACCTCCTCCGGGAAGCCCCCAAGCCCTTGAGTGGGTGCCCAGCAGGCATGGTCAGTGCTGAGGCTACAAGCCCTGCCGGCACCCGGCAGGGAACACAAGGCCAGGTCAGGCTCTGGGGACAGTAGACAAGCTTATCCCTGCACACTGGGGACTGCCCACCTGGGGGAGAGAGCTAGGTCAGGCTGGGGAGACGTCAGGGGATGGCCGGGCACCCCTCCCTGAGGAGAGCTCCACCTGAGCAAGAGTGTCACCAGGCCCACTCCAGACACATGCACTGCCTCAGACGGGCTGGAGAGAGGGTGTGGCCGGGCCATGGGATGAACCATTCTGGGCGGTTGTCCTGGCATCACCAGACATGTGGCTCTATTAAGCATCTCGACTCCACAGGAGCCCATGTGGCATGTCCTCTGACCTCCTGTTCACTTCTGAAAGGGGCGGCCCTCTGAGATTCTGCCTGGAACCTGTCAGCCCTCCTGACAAGGTCTCTGGTTCCCGGCCATCACAGGCACCCAGCCACCCTACAGAGAGGCTCTGGGAGGCTCAGCCTTGCCTGGGGCCCCAAGACTGATGCCAGCTGGGGCATCTCACAGGGAGCACCCCTACCTGTAAACCGCCCAGCTCAAGCCCTGCCTCGACCTCTCCAAGTCAGCAGCCGACCTTCCCCAGGGCCCCTCCCAGCCTGCAGGGGGTCTGAGGCTCTGAGGCTTTTCTGCAGCCTCTCAGTCCCCCACCCTGCTACCTGCTCAGGCAGAGAGATCATGGCTCTGGGTTATTGTGTGCTTAGTGGGTGCTGGAGCTCGTGCTAAACAACTTGGGTGCCCCCTGAATCTTGACAATAATCTGAGGGGGCATTATTATTACTATTCTCACTTCCCCGAGGAAGAAGTCCCAAACCCCGTCTGGCACAAAGCCAGCGCCCCGAGTCTCCCTCTGCAGTCCATGTGCTCCCACGTGGGGCATGCCTGGGACATCACAACATCTGGGGTCAATGCGGCTGCTGTTGTCACTGTGGCATTCAGCTTTCCCAAGGCTCACATCTGCTCCATCCAGCAAAGGGGTCTTGCACCCCAAGCCTGCCTCCCTCTTCACACACACAATCCCACTTCGTCAACCACAAAGATGCATGGGTTTACCCAGCCTCAACCCCATCGGCCCCTCCCCTTCCAGTTGCCGGAGGGCTCGGGCCCCTTCAGCTGGGCTCCCACATTCCTGACCCCTGGCCTGCAGGCCCTCAAGACTATGCCAGCCCGGGCTCACCTGGTGCCAGACACCTGCATCTCCCTGGGGTGGGGGTTGGGGGCAGTAGGCTCCGTGGACCTAGCACACGTATGATTCTTGGAAAATGTAAATGTCTCTGAGGACAGCGATCCCAGCTTCAAATATTGCTGTGGGCTCTCGGGCAAGTCCCTCCTCCTCTCTGAGCTTCAGTTTCCCCCGCATAAAATGGAGCAGTGATCGTAGCTCCTGCATGGGAAGGTTGTGAACACCATGCTTGTCAGCAGAATATACCCTAATTTTGCAAGGAAACAATATGGCAGGGGTGGGGGGGATCTAAATACCTTTCCTTATACACGCATTGAAAATGATTATATAAAGTGGTGAAGTGTGATTGCATTCACATAAACAGTGGCATGTTCTGGGATCTAGCAGACAATCTTAACTTCAGGAAATGCAATCATATTTTACTAGCTTTGAGAAAAGTGAATAAAATGTCATAGCTAAATAGAACTCAAGTAGGATCTGTGAACGGCAGCATGGAGTGGATAAGGGGATAACGTACCGATGAGGGAATTTATATACCCAGCAGCCCAGGTTTGGTGCAGGCTGATAACGGAAAGACAAACTCCAAATTAAATGAATGTGAATGAATTCCTTTGCCTGCGGACAGACCAAAAATATCGGTAAAAGTGGCTACAGGGCAAGCAGAAAAATGCAACAAATTAGAATGAACGCAGGGAACCATGTTTCTGGCAGAGAAACAAATATTTCAGAGTACAGGTAAGAGGCACATGGCAAAAAAAACAACAACCTGACTTTGCCAGAGCTCCAATGTCATGCTCACGGCTGAGGAGAAACAATTATCTCGCTGGGAATGAGTGCAAGTGAGAGAACGGAAGGAGTCCTGAGCACGGTTGACTGCATGTGCCCAGGGGCCCGGACAGGCAGCACAGCGGCCTCTCTACCCTCGAAGGTCTGTTTCTTGTCTGCTTCCTCCTTGAGAGTGGCAGGCCCTGGTAACTGGCCCAACCTCGGGGGCGCCCAGCAGCTGGGTCCCCACCACATGCCCAAGTCTGGCCCTCTCAGATCTGCCTGTCTCCTGAGCTGGAGAACGGAGCCCACCCCTCCATCCCCGACACTCATCTCCCATCCAGTTGATCTCCCTGAGGACCCCCCCACCGACAACTCCCACCTGGATCCCCTGGCCCTGGTGGGGCATCATTCTTTCAAAATAATCCATGACTGTGTTCAGTGGCTCACGCCTGAATCCCAGCACTTTGAAAGGCCAAGGTGGGAGGATTGCTTGAGCCCAGGAGTTTCAGATCAGCCTGGGGTAACACAGCCAGACCCTGTCTCCACAAAAAACTATTTTTTAAAAATTAGCTGGGTGCAGTCCAGCCTATAGTCCCAGCTACTTGGGAGGCTGAGGCAGGGGGATCACAAGCCCAGGAGTTCAAGGCTACAGTGAGCTGTGATCACATCACTGCACTCCAGCCTGGGCAACAGAGACCTTGTCTCTTAAAAAAAAAAAAAAAAAAAAAGCCATCAGCTGGCTCAGGGTAGCCACCTGCCAAGGGTCCCCAGCTGAGCGTAAGACCTGCTTCCTAGGATTTACAGAGCTCCTGTGAAACTCGGTTGTTTCATTGATTGTCACATGGAGCCAGTGACTTTCAGGCCAGCCTTGTTCCCACAGGTGGGCTCTCCCGTGGGCCTGGGCACCCAGCGCTAGGCCTGCCCTGCTATGGTCTGGATGTGAGCAGAGATCTCTGTGATCCCTGTACCCCTCGCTTCTCCCCCTGCCCTCTCTGCAGCCCTGCCCCTGGCAGCCCCTGCCCACCTTCGCCTCTGTGCAGGGCCACAGGCTTCCTTGAAGCAAATGCTAGAACTTTGAGCTCTTTGCTTTTTAAAAAAAGATAACAGCTTTATTGAGATATAATTCATTATACTATTCATTTATTACCTTTTGCATTATACCATGCAATTTTTTCCATTTCAATGGCACAATCGAATGGTTTTTTAGTCTATACACAAGGTTGAGCAGACATCAACACTCTGTAGCCCCAGAGTATTTCCAGACCCCAAAGAAACTCCGTGGGCCTTGGCAGCCCCTCCCACTCCCCCTGTCCTCCACCTCCAGGCCCTTACCAGTGCCACAGTCACCAGGCTACATTATGGGCTTGTCTTCGTGTGACTTCTGTCTCTATGGGTTTGCCTATTCTGAACTCTTCATATAAACTGAACCATAAAACTTGTGGCCGTCTGTGTCTGGCATCTTTCTTTCTTTTCTTAAAAAAATTTCACTTTTATTTTAGAGACAGGGTCTCCTTCCATTGCCCAGGCTGGAGTGCAGTGGCACGATCATAGCTCACTGCAGCCTCAACCTCCTGGGCTCAAGCAATCCCCTCACCTCAGCCTCCTGAGTAGCTGGGATAACAGACATAGACCACCATGCCTGGTTAATTTTGTATTTTTTTATAGAGATGAGGTCTTATTATGTTGCCCAGACTGGTCTAGAACTCTTGGGCTCAAGTGATCCTCCTGCCTTGGCCTCCCAAATTGCTGGGATTACAGGTGTGAGCCACCACACCTGGCTATTTTTATTTTTTAATTGACACATAATAATTGTACATATTCGTGGGGTACGTAGTGATGTTTCTATACATGCAATGTATGGTGATCAGATGAGGGTAATTAGCACACCTATCATCTCAAACATTTATCATTTCTTTGCATTACGAACACTCAATATTCTCTTTCTAGCTAGCTGAAAATACATAATTTTTGTTTTGGTTTGGATTTTGGTTTTTGTTTTTTGTTTTTGAGACAGGGCCTCACTCTGTTGCCCAGGCTGGAGTGCAGTAGCACCATCACGACTCACTGTAGCCTCTACCTCCCAAGGCTCAGGTGATCCTCCTGCCTCAGCAACCCGAGTAGCTGGGACTACAGGCATGTACCACCACACCTGGCTAACTTTTGTATGTTCTGTAGTGATGGGATTTGACCATGTTGCCTAGGCTGGTTGTGAACTGCTGGGCTCAAGCAATTCTACCCCTCTAGGCCTCCCAAAGTGCTGGGATTACAGGCGTGAGCCGTGACACCTGACCCATAATATGTTGTTGTTAACTAGAGTCATCCTACATTGGTGTAGAACACTAGAACTTATTCCTGCCATGTAGCTATAATTTTGTATCCTTCAACACATCTCTCCCTCCCTCTCCCTCCCTTCTTTCCACCCTTCCCAGCCTCTACTATCCTCTGTTCTACTTTTGACTTCTATGAGGCCAGCTTTTTTTAGCTTCCGCATATGAGCAAGAACATGCGGTGTTTAACTTTCTGTTCTGTCTCATTTCACTTAACATAAGTTTCTCCAGTTCCATGCATGTGACTGGCTTCTTCGATTTTGCATACTTTCAAAGTTCATCCATGTCATGGCATGCATTAGTACTTCATTCCTTTTTATAGCTTAATAGTATTCCACTGTATGGATGGATCACGTTTTGTTTGCACCGTTTTGCTGTTGTGAATAGTGCTACTGTGCACCAGGGTTGTATTCCTCTGTGTGCCACTGGGTTGAGGGTTGGGGGATGGTAGGTGCTCCCATAAAGGGGGAAATTGACTGATACTGGCTGAAATGGACCAGGCTCTTCATTAAGCTGGCCTCTGAATGTTGCAAAAGCATTCTGTTGGTTTCCAGGATCACTGCTTAAGACGGTTCCTTTCAGTACCACTGTTGTCCAGGGGAGGGATGGGTTCCCGGAGCTTCCTGATCTGCCACCTTCTCTGATGTCACCCTCAGACCCTCTGCTTTTGAGCCCCAGGCTACAGAGTAAAAGTCTGATGGTAGGATGTGAGGTGAGGGACCTTCCTTGACCCGGCACCCACATGAGGCAGGACTGAGAACACCCTGAGGACTGCCCGGGTGGCTGGGGTGCTGAAGCCAGGCTTGGCCCCTCCACAGGCCATGCATGACAAGGACCACCCTGTCTCTGAGCTTTGCCTTGGCCTTGCCGTGACATTTTCAGGTGTGTTTCAGCTTAGATTCTGCTCTGGGGTTTCCCGTGTAAGAACAGGGATGACGTCTAAGCCCTTGTCTGGCATTTGTCAGGAATATTGGGAGAGGCAATGTGGCAGTGTGAGAAACAAGCTCACCCATCCAAACCTGAAGAATGGACTCAGAGGCACGAGCAGTGAAAGTGAGACTTTTTTTTTTTTTTTTTTGAGACGGAGTCTCGCTCTGTCGCCCAGGCTGGAGTGCAGAGGCGCCATCTCGGCTCACTGCAAGCTCCGCCTCCCGGGTTCACGCCATTCTCCTGCCTCAGCCTCCCGAGTAGCTGGGACTACAGGTGCCCACCACCACACCTGGCTAATTTTTTGTATTTTTAGTAGAGACGGGGTTTCACCGTGTTAGCCAGGATGGTCTGGATCTCCTGACCTGGTGATCCGCCCGCCTCCGCCTCCCAAAGTGCTGGGATTACAGGCGTGAGCCACCATGCCCGGGAAAGTGAGACTTTTAATAGTGGTCTTGCGAGATTGGTGTCTGGTGGATAGGCGCACTCAGGGCAGTCACAGCAAGTAACTTATGCCCTAGCACACAAGTCCCTCCTCCTCATTGGTCGAGTACTATGGGGTTACAATCTTCCAGGACATTGCCTAAGTTTCATTATCCACCTTATAAGGTTATACCCCGTCGCCTTCCCCGCTTAAGTTTCAATTTTCCAATAACGAAACTTTCTTCCCTTTTATGGGCTGACCCTTTTTCTACATTCTGTCTGCTTATTGTGATCTTCTACGTGCATGAGCCGTGCGGTTTGTTACATTCTCAGGCTGGCTGCCAGTACTTAGATTTATCATGCCTTGAAAATGGGCCATTTAAAATGTTTTCTCATGGCGGTAAATCGGTGAGCTGACTGTCATACACTCAGTCATTTTGCCCAAAGTGTGTGTGATGTGGAGGGCTGACAGCCTTCTCCATTACCAGTGCAGTGAGAGGTGGCACAGCTGGTGGGACCCCCTCTCTCTCATGGATATGAGTGCGTTAGAGGGGAGGTCTTGGGCCAGGAGCAGATCAGATCAACAGGATTATCCAGAAAATGGCAGTCATGGCGAGTATTGGCTCCAGATGGGGAGGGTTAGGGTCAGGGTCGGCTCTTCTCACCTTCCTGAGCGAGTCACCAGCGTCGACAAGTTACTCCCAACATACAGGGCCTGGGTGGAGGCTGAGTGCTAGGAACCCAGGCTCCAATTCTGGTAACCAGGTGCAGATGCTCAGGAGAAGAATGCAGCCCAGACAAGCGTGGTGTGCCCTCCAGAGGAGAGGACGTGGCATCAAAGGGCTGTCTTCATGGAGAGCAGGAACAGAGACTTTGGGAAGCCAGGGGGCCTTGGCCTCAGCCCTGCTGGCAGAGGGTCCCCACCATGTAGCTGAAGTGCCAGGGTGCTTGTGAGGACTGGGTGTGGTCCAGGGTGACTCAGGGCAAGGCCTGGGGGATGCATCTCAAATCCACAGTCACCAGCCTAGAAACTGGGGTCACACTTCCCACATGGGTTCCCACATGTGGAAATTTCATTCACTAAATAACGACACATCAAGGCAGCAGTATGGATGGGGCACAGCTGTCAAAGTCACCAGCAACAAGTGCAAGAAGAGAAGAGGGAGTTGCAGCCACATAGGTGCCCAGGTGGGCCCTGGGGGTCAGAGAGGGCCTGCCAGGGGTAGCACCCACCATGCTGACCCTGATGAGGAGAGGAAGGAGGGTGTGGGATGCAGGGGAGGGAAAGGTGCCTGAGAGCAGCATGCAAACAGCCTGGGCTCAGGAAGAGCCGATGGCATGACAGGTGCTGGGGAGAAAGGCGTGATAGGTGTGGACAGGGGCCACAGGAGGAGGGATGGTCCTCAGGAAGGGGAGACTGGTGGCTATGGCCGGCTGCCGAGGCTAGCCTCTCTCCAGCAAAATGAGCCTGGATTCATCCACTCCTTTTGTCTCTCCCCTTTGCTCTGTGGTGCCGGCAGGAGGAAGAGGAGCAGAAAAACTGTTGCTCCATTCATCAGGAAGCCTCTCTCTCTCTCGAGTGGTGGTGATGGTGTCCCCCAGGGGCACCTGGCAATGTCTGGAGACATTTACGGCTGTCCCGACTGTGTATGTCTGTGTGTGTGTGTACTACAGGCCTCTGGTTCCTGGAGGCCAGGGATGCTGATACACAACCTGCAATGCACAGGGCAGCTCCCACAAGGAAATTATTCAGCCTCAAATTTCAACATTGCAGAACAGGTCAGGGAGTGCAAGGTACCTCCTGCTCTTTCCAGCAGGTGCAAGGTGCACAGGGAGAAGCAGGTGGGTGAGGTGGGAGGAGGCTGGAGCCAGACCCAGCGTCTGTGGGGTGCAGGAATATCGTGAGGTGACGAGGGGCCCAGCGGTGAGTGATGGGGAGGGGTGCACTACGGCAGGCCGCCAGGGGCGGTTCCACCAAGAAAGTGACATCTGGGAGGGGCATTGAGGCAAAGGGGCCGCGAGAGGGTAGGTGCTCTAGAGGTGGCCCACGGGCGGGCGGCACTGAGGCCGGGCCTGCAGGGGAGGCGGTGTGGCCAGCGGACTCTTGTTGGGTGGCAAGGGAAGGGAAGAACCACAGGGCTGCACAGGTTCCGAGGGGGCCTAGTGGTCCGCATTTGCCCTTGGGTGGGCGGTGGGACTGGGAGGACAGGAGAGGAGCGCGGGGCAAGCCCCTAAGAGGCCTGAGGGGTGGGAGGGAGAGGACGGCTTCCCATACGCCCATTTAGACCAGAGGAGAAGCGGACCCACTTTGAGGGCTGGATTCTCAGCCGATCCGGCCTCAGCTGTGGGTCCACGCGGCTCAAGGACCAGGGAGGAACCCAGGTGTGCGGCTGCGCTGATCGGCGGGCTCCGGACCCACCTGGCTGGCCTGGGGACCTGGGAAACCCGGTGTGGTGGGGAGACCGCAAGCCTGGTCAGGGGTCCCGCTCCCAATGGGGCGGGTCTCCTGTGAGGAAGGCGGAGCTCAGGGCGGGTAGCCCCGGGGACCGGGTCTCTCGCGGGGGTGTGGCCACGGCCCGGTGGGCGGGGCCTGCTGTGGACGCACAGAGGTCTGCAGCGCGCGGGGCGGAACCTCCCGAGGAGAGGGCGCGGCTGGGAGCGCGGGGCGGGGCCTTCCGAGGAGAGGGCGAGACTGGGAGTGTGAGGCAGGGCTTCCCACGGAATGGGGGCGCGGAGCCGGTCCTCCCGAGGAGCGGGCGCGGCTGGGAAGGCGGGTCGGGTCCTCTCGAGGAGCGGGCGCGGCTGGGAGCGCGGGGCGCGGCCTCAAGAGGAGAAGGGGCGGTGGGTCCTGGGGCGTGCCAGAACCCTTGAGGAAGAAGCGCTGGTGTTCTGGAGTATGACCACCGGAGCCGGCCGGGCCTCGGGTTGGGGCGGGGCCTCAGGGGTGGGGTTGGGACTTCGGGATGGGTTCTCCAGAGGTGAGAGCTGGGGTCGTAGGGTGGACCGGCGTCTGCTGAGGAAAGGGAGCTGCTTGGAGCGCGGGGCGAGGGACTCACGTGGAGAAGGCGTGGGCCCTACGGCGGGCGGGGCGGGGCCTCAAGAGGAGCGGGTGCAGATGCTAGGGAGGGGCGGGGCCCCTGGGATGGGGCGGTGTCTCCCGAGGAGTGGGCGCGGCTCGGAGCGTGGGACTTCTAAGGAGAGAGCGCGGCTAGGGGGCATGCGGGGCGGGGAGGGGCGGGGCGGGACCAATAGCGCATACTTAAGCGGCCCGGGCGGGTACCGGCGTCCCGCCATGGCTCTGCGGCGCGTCTTGCCCGCGCTGCGCCCCTACATTCCCCGCTTCGCGCCGCTGTCCACGGCGCCGGCCGCCAGCGAGCAGCCCGCCGCGGGCCCAGGGGCCGTGCCAGGACGTGGGTCGGCCAGGGCAGTGCGGCCGCTGGTGCCCGCCGTGGACTTCGGCAACGCGTAGGAGGCGTACTGCAGCTGGCGAACCTGGGAGCTGGCGCGCAGCCTGCTGGTGCTGCGCTTCTGCGCCTGGCCCGCGCTGCTGGCGCGCCACGAGCAGGTGCGCGGGGTGCAGCCGGGGCGCGGGGCTTCTGCCCGTCCCGGGAGCCTTTACGGAGTTTCCTGGCGTGAAACGGGTGCCTCCCAAGCATCTCCTGGAGCAAGGGAAGCCAGGAAGGGAGGCGTTTCCTGCAGTCCCTTTCTGATATCGCGAATTTTCCTACTTCTCGATGTCTACCAACTAAAAACAATGGTCGTTTTAATATTTACGATATATACCACTTGTGGGAATACAGAGTTATCACTTGGAATTTAAAATGGAGTATTCTTCATGTTGACACAAGAGAAGCCTGGTGTAGGGCTCATAGCCTGGAACCCCAGAGTTCAATCCCCGGGACCCAGCCGCTTCCCAGACACGGCCACTCTGAGAACACTGTTGGGGAAAAATGGGAAGCCCCTCAAACGCCCAGCTTTGAACTCACCCATGGTAACTTTAAAAAGTGTCAGGGCTTTTGGTGGCGGTGGTGGGGGGCAACAAGCAGAACACTGTTTTAGCCGCATCAGCCTAGGGGTACTAGAGATGACGGTTATCTCCAGGTGACCCTGGGAAGAGTTTGCAAGGTTCCGCTTTTTGGCGCCAGGGTATCTGGTGGTGTTGATTTCTCAGGTGAGACTGTACAGAGGTCGGGGGCTGCACCCCTGGCCTCAACAGGAGGCGGGGGAAGGCGGGGGACGGTGTGAGATGAGAAGCACCGAGCCACACTTGAGCTTAGGTGAGGCCTCGGCGGGTGCGAGGTGAGGGCAGGGATCCACGAACTCAGAGTCAGATGCTGTTGGCCCGAATCCCATGGGGAGCGCCAAGGTCAGCCTAGGACCCGTGGTGGCGGGAGTGCGGAGGATGGTGGAGGAAGAAGGAGCTGAACTGGACAGATGGAGGGCTCTGGGAGGGCACTGCTGTGCTTGTGCACACAAGGATGTCTTAAGGTCAAGTTTTGGCCATAGAGAGCCCCGGCCAAGGAGACAGGAGGGCGAGAAGGGACATCCCAGGTAGAGGAACTGGCAAGGTGAGGGACGGCGATGTGGAGGCTTTGGGGAGTGCCCACATCTAAGGGGCATCCCAAAAGAGGAGCCAGTGCTGGTGGTGCTGCAATAGGAGGAGGAGGCAGCAGGGCAGGAATGCCAGGGGAGGGAGTGGCCAGCCACAGGGCAAGGACGGGCATTCTAGGTGGCAGCTGAGTGGGACAGAGACTAGCCATGCAGAAGCCATGCCCACCTTGTGGCCAGGATGTAGTGGGGGCTAGGAAGGCACCAGGTCAGGTTTCTTTTTTCTTTTTTTTCTTTTTCTTTTCTTTTCTTTTCCTTCCTTCCTTTTCTTTTCTTTTTTTTTTTTTTTATGGAATTCGCTCTGTCACCAGGCTGGAGTGCAGTGGCGCGATCTCTGCTCACTGTGACCTCCACCTCCCTGGTTCAAGCGATTCACCTGCCTCAGTCTCCCGAGTGGCTGGGATTACAGGCACGCGCCACCACACCCAGCTAATTTTTGTATTTTCAGTAGAGACAGGGTTTCATCATGTTGGCCAGGATGGTCTCAATCTCCTGACCTCATGATCTGCTCACCTTGGCCTCCCAAAGTGCTGGGATTACAGGCATGAGCCACTGTGCCCAGGGAGCTGGTGCCGCATCTTCTGCCTGGGAATCCCTTCCTGACACAGCCTCTGGGGGCCAGAGATGGGGGGAGCAGGGCTCCAGGGGTAGAGAAGCCAGAGGTCACTAAGGCCCAGTGTCCTTCCGTGTTAGAAACACCCGACCCTGCACAGCCCCATGCTGGCCCCAGCAGCCCTCCGTCAGGGGCAGCGGGTCCCAGGCCTGTTTATGTTTTTGTTTGTTTGTTTCAAATGAGACTGGGTCTTGCTCTGTTGCCCATGCTGGAGTGCAGTGGTGTGATCATAGCTCACTGCAGCCTAGACCTCCTGAGCTCAAGCCATCCTCCCACCTCAGCCACTTGAGTAGCTGGGTCTACAGGTGCATGCCGCCACACATGGCCAAGTTTTTTTTTTTTTAATTTTTGTAAAGAGGAGGTCTCACAGTTGGGCGTGGTGGCTCATGCCTGTAATTCCAGCACTTTGGGAGGTGAGGCTGGTGGATTGTCTGAACTCAGGAGTTCAAGACCAGCCCGGGCAACAGGGTGAAATCCTGTCTCTAATAAAATACAAAACATTAGCCAGGCATGGCGGCAGGTGCCTGTAATCCCAGCCACTCGGGAGGCTGAGACAGAATTGCTTGAACCCGGGAGGCAGAGGTTGCAGTGAGCCGAGATCACTCCACTGCACTCCAGCCTGGGTGACAGAGTGAGACTCCGTCTCAAAAAAAAAAAAAAAAAAGAAAAAAGATGAGGTGTCACTATGTTACCCTGGTTGGCCTGGAACTCCTGGGCTCAAGTGATCCCCCCACCTTGGCCTCCCAAAGTGCTGGAATTACAGGCGCACACTACCACACCCAGCTAATTTTCATATTTTTTGTAGAGATGGTATTTCACCATGTTGCCCAGGCTGGTATCAAACTCGTGGCCTCAAGTGAACCTTCCACTTTGGCCTCCCAAAGTGCTGGGATGACAGGGCATACCACTGCATCTGGCCCTTCTGAGCAGTGCTTGGAAGCCACCTCCTGACGGGGGCTGGGGGTCAGAGTGGCCAGCTGAATGCTGGGCCATCAGGGTGAGGGGCGTTTTCTCCTCATCCATTGCCTGTTCTCCTGGGGCAGATGTAAGGGGAAGGCCCTGCACTGGGGTGGTGTTAAACAAGATGAGATGGTAAGATCTGCTTTCACTTTAAAGGAACATTTCTGGTTGTTGCTTGGAAAGAAGTGTCAGGGGCAAGAATGCTGCAGGAGGGCTGGCCTGGAGGGCAGGGTGGGACTGCAGGCTGGCTGCACGGGGGCAGGAGCCTGCGCTTGCGTCAGAGGTTCCTGAGAGACTTGGGCTCTGGGGCAGAGGCCTGAGCAAGGGGGCCTCGCTGGGGTGTCTCTGTCTTAGCCACACTCGGTGTTTCTGGGTCCTGTGACCCATGTGTGAGCAGCCTGTGGTGCTGGTGGCACAGGGGAGGAAACCGAGGCAGGGAGCCTGTGGGGGCTGCTCGGCAGGGGACAGGCAGCTCCTGTGCCCACTGCTGTCCCACACCTGCATGGAAACACAAACCCCACCACGGAGCCCCCTCTCATCTCTACAGGGCCTCCAGAGCGCCATGTGCAAGAACTTCATGGGCGGGGTGGGGTGGGGTCAGGAGCCTGCTGTGGGCTGGCCAGGCATGAACACCAAGCTGGAGGTGGCGGTGCTGCAGGTGGGGCAGCCTTCCCCTTCCCCACTCCTGTGGCTTGTGAGGGGGTGGGCACCGTGGGGGCGCACAGGGGGCATGGTGGGCAGTGGTCGGAGGTGGTTTTGGGAACTCACCCAGGGCACGTGGCTCACTCTGCAGCTGCTGGGGTTGGCCTGGTGGGGAGGAGGAGGTCGGAGGGACTCTGAACAGAGAGGGGAGATGCTGGCAGGAGGGCTGGAGACCCAGCCCTGCAGGGCGTGGGCGTGCATCAGCAGCGGGGTGGGAATAGACCTGTCTATGCAGTAGAAACAAACCAGACATGGATCCTGTTCTTACTAACGATGTAATAAAGCCAGAAACAGCACCAGAGGCCAATGGGTGGGGGGAAGAATAAAATGTGAGCGAATGGGGCTGATCCAGGCCTTCTCACTTCTCAAGGAAAGTGTCGCAAAGATGGGCATCGCATCCAGGGCTGAGATTGAGGACTGGTTCACGGCAGAGACCCTGGGAGTGTCTGGGTGAGAGCAGCCCCCAGGCTGAGAGGACACGAGCATCAGCCATGGTTCCAGCCAAGCCCCAGTGACGTCTCCCAGTCCTGGCTGCCCTGCCTGAGAGGGTGGGCCTTGGGATGACAGTGCTGAAGGAACTGCTTTTCACACAGCAGGACTTGATGGCCTCAGGAGTCCCTGAGGCTGGGGCTGGGCTGGGCAGGGGAGACACAGGGCCAGCACAGACCCCATAGAGGGCTCTTTATAGAATTATCTGGGTCCAGAGCAAAGGTGGCACTCTCAGCCCTCCCTGGAGTCCACGCCGGCAGGTGAAGGATCAGAGCCCCATGCCCCATCCTTGGGGCCAGGGGCTGGGACCCAGGTCACCAGGAGCCTCCAGTTGAAGTGGGGAGGTGACTGGGGTGGTGCAGTAGTGAGCCATCCCCTCACACACTGCCAGCCTTGCCCACTGTGTCCTCCCTGGCCGCCCGGAGCTGTGTCCGCCTCCTGCCTGGCTGCCTGTGCTCGGCCCCTCCACAAGCCCAAAACAGCCCTAGGGTACTCAGTGTTTTCAGAGCCGCCTAGATGCAGGACTGTTTGTGTTTTGGTTTTAAATTTTTTTAATTAATTTATTTTTTATAGAGACCAGGTCTCACCATGTTGCCCAGGCTGGTTTCAAACCCCTGGGCTCAAGTGACCTGCCCGCCGCAGCCTCCCAAAGTGCTGGGATTACAGGTTTGAGCTACTGCACGCCACTGGTTTTAAATTTTTAAACAGAAAACAATATTTACATTTCCTCTGTCTTTTTTTTTTTTTTTTTTTTTGAGACGGAGTCTCGCTCTGTCACCCAGGCTGGAGTACAGTGGCGCGATCTCTGCTCACTGCAAGCTCCGCCTCCTGGGTTCATGCCATTCTCCTGCCTCAGCCTTCTCGTCTTTTAAAACTGAACACTGAGGTGGGTTTTGTGGTGGTTGGTGAACGGACAGGTTTGGGCCTGGATCCCCCACCCGACCCTAGCACCCACAGGTGGGGTCGCCAACTCTGCTGATGTGCCTCCTCCCTCAGCACTGTGGACCTGCTGGACTGGAGCAGCCTCATCGACAGCAGGACCAAGCTGTCCAAGCACCTGGTAGTCCCCAATGGACAGGTAACACCTCCGCTCCTCAGTGAGGCCCAGCTCAGCAGGGCGCTGCGCTAAGAAGGGAATTCAGCCTGCCACATGTTTCTCTTGTTGCCTACCCTGGGAACTTAACATGACCAAGATCACTGCACACTATGGCCCCACAGACCCCCTATGGTCCAGGGGGAAAAGAAGACAAACCCACTAGTGTCCACAGAGTGCTTGGTGGGACAGAGACCCACGCGGAGCCTTAAAACACCACAAGGAGAGGGGGTCTGGGGGCCTTCCCCAAGTCATCTGTCTTGTGCATCAGGTCACCCCAAACTTCAGAGGCCTAAAACGGCAGCAGCCACTCTGCTTCTGCCTCATGGTTCTGGGGTTGACAGGGCTCAGCTGGGCAGTCCTCGCTTGGGGTCTCCTGGGTAGCTGTACTCACAGAGTGGTGGCGCTGGGACCTGGGGGAGGCGCCCACTCACATGTCTGGGAGTTGGTGCTGGCTGTGGCTTGGGCTTTTTCCCAACATGGCAGCTGGGCTCTAAGGGCCAGTGTCCCCTGAGACGTGAGAGCCAGGCAGAAGCTGGGTGACCTTTTCCTGCCTCACCTCAGAAGTCACACGGTGTCTTTTCTGGCAAGTTCTGTTTGTTAGAAGCATGTCACCAGGCCAGCCTGTATACTGCGGGGAGAGGAATGAGACTCATCTGCCTGTGGGAGGGGGGCCCAGGACCTGGCTGACTGCTTGAAACCACAACCTAAACTGGAATTCGAAGAAAGAACAGAAGCACCTTCAGAAAACATCCTGCAGAGGCAGCTTTCCATGACACATCTAGCCCCAGTCCACTAAGGGCCCAGCCTCAAACTCAGAGCCCCCGACCCAGAGCCTCGGGGCGCAGTGCGTACAGTGTGGCTGTGCACCAAGGCCACCAGCTGTTGGAGACTTTAGCATGGTGTAGCAAGGGATAGAGTGGTACTGCTTGTGCCCAGTGAGGCAAGGCTGCTGGGGCCAGCAAAGGGGTGAGCGGGAGGCCCTGCGGGATGGGTCCCCACGGCCTCTGAGCACCAGCTCCTTGAAGGCCTCATCCTGGCGGTTGCCCTGGTCCCTGGCTACGTGTCAGCACGTGCTGCACAACTGCCCTGTCTGCCTGTAGCCAGGGGTCTTCCTCCTGGGCCCTCTTCCTGCTCTGGGTGGAGCCCTTCTGTTTGACGATTGGGTGGTCAGTGTTCACTTCCTCAGTGTCACATGGGAGCTGCAGGGGGCCCTCCCACAATGGTGGGGCCTCTGTGAGAACTGGGGAGGCTGTTAGAGTACACACTTCGGAGTGCAGGCCTGGACTGAGCCTGGGGCCCACTGACATGGGCACTGAGCTCCCTCCTGGTACCCCCAGGGCCCGCGTAGGGCAGTGCACTGGCTGCGTTGGAGGTTCCGGGGCTCTGTGCTGCTTGTCCAGGTGGCCCTCCCTCCCGGCCCTGCATGAGAGGGTTCCCGTGGGCTGGGAACACTAAGAGAGGTTTAGCCTGGGCCTCAGGGTGGCACTTCCTGGCCCTTGCTGTGGCCTGACCATGTGCTGTACCCCCAGACAGGACAGCTGGAGCCCCTGCTGTCCCGGTTTGCTGAGGAGGAGGAGCTACAGATGACGAGGATGCTACAGCGGATGGATGTCCTGCCCAAGGCGAGCTGTCCCGCTCGGGCAGAGGGCTGGGGCCTTGGGGACCCGGGACTCATGCAGAAGAGGGCACCTGCCTCACTTGAGCAATAGTTGCTCCCACTCTCCCACCCCCTGCGCCTCTCAGAAAGCCACAGAGATGGGCGTGCGGCTGATGGTGGATGCCGAGCAGACCTACTTCCAGCCGGCCATCAGTCGCCTGACGCTGGAGATGCAGCGGAAGTTCAATGTGGAGAAGCTGCTCATCTTCAACACATACCAGTGCTACCTCAAGGCAAGCCCCCGCTCAGCCCCTCCCTGCCTGCCTTGGGGCTTGGAGACCCCACAGGAGGGGCTCCTCTCATCTGAGCTCCCTGGCATTTGCCTGGTTTTATACTCAGCACCCACCAGGGAGCTCACGGGATGGAGGAGGGAGTGGGCCGTGCCCCCAAGGGGTTGTTGGGGTCTTCTGCAGCACAGCTCACCCAGCGGGCCCCAGGGTCCAGGAAAGAGCCCCTTAGGTGGTGGCCACAGCCAGGCCTGCAGAGGAGGCCGAGGCCAGGGTGACTGCCTCAGAGTAGCAAGAAAGGCCCGCTGCCCGCAGCCTCTCCCCTGGTTCTCAGAACCAGCCAAGAGTGTCTAAGGAGCAAGAGGAAGACAACGATCTTTATGAGGGTCCACTAGATGTACCCGACACCCCAAACTTGGAAGGTGTCACATGACCATTTCCTCCAGCGTGTTTTCAGTTCAGCGCCCCTAAGAACCTCATGAAAGCTTTGGGCCCTCCCCGGAAAGACTCACCCAGGATGTCACATGTATTCAGGGAGCCCATCCTAGCCTGTGGGCCCCAAACTGCTCAGGGATGTTAGCAGGTCCAGAGCTCTCAGGGGTGAGCCGGGTGCCCAGAGGACACAGGGTGGCATGGGGAGGGGGTCCAGGCAGGAGCATGCAGTATGCACCCCTCCTGGTCGGCCTGGGAGTCTGGAGCACATGATGGCTGCTGGCGCCTGGGCTGCCCCCATAGGGCTGTCCACAGGCCACAGAGGAAGCTGCAGATGTCCCCACTGCCATTGCTCCCTGGAGACAGAGGTTGGAGAACCATCCTCACCCACACCTGGTCCAGGTGCCTTGAGCTGCACCTCCCCAGGCAGCTGCTGCCCAGCCCTGGTGACTGCACCTGGGCCCAGGAAGGCCCCATCCTGCTGTCACTTGGGCTTGCCCAGGCTCCCTGTGACTTTTGGCCCTGGCCCCACAGGATGCCTATGACAATGTGACCCTGGACATGGAGCTGGCTCACCGTGAGGGCTGGTGTTTTGGGGCCAAGCCGGTGCGGGGCGCATACCTGGCCCAGGAGCGAGCCTGTGCAGCAGAGATCGGATATGAGGACCCCATCAACCCCATGTACGAGGCCACCAACACCATGTACCACAGGTGCGCAGCTCTCCCACCCCTCTGTCTTCTCAGGGCAGGGCGCCAAGAAACCAGGCCTGAGGGAGAGGCTTGGAGACTGAACTTGTCAGCCACATGTGTCCCCAGGTCAGAACTGGTATTTCCTCAGCTTTTATGTCATGTGTTACTTTTTCAAAAGCATTAAGGTTATTCTTTTATAAATATAGAAAAGCCTATTGAACAAAGTAAAATTGGCCACAGTTCCCTGAGCCTGCTCCTGCAGACACTTAGATCCAGAGATGTGCATGAACACTCGGTCCTCCCCACCCTGCAGGCTCAGCCTGTTTGCTTTTCAGTTCACACAGTGGGATCGCCCATCAGCTGTTCTGCACCTGCTTTTACTGCTCTAGTTTCTTGGTGATCTTTTCATGTAGCACAGGCTGGCCAACCATGGGCTTTTCCTCTTAGAGGCGTGTGTGCATGCTGCAAATTCAGAGAGACCCCAAGTGCCTCCTGGTTGGCTCCAGCTCCCCTCCTGCAGCCGCTGTGCATGTCGTGCCACAGCGCACACATCTCCGCCATTGTTGTTTGCGCTGTAGCGTGTCCTCTGCCCGATGTGTTTTTCATTTCGCGTTCCATCTGGGTCCTCTTGTGTGGGCTTGCAGAGTGGTGCTGTCAACAGCCAGCATGGAGTGCCCGGGGCTATGTGTCCAGCATCTTTGATCTTACTGGTTTTCAGTCTGGTTATTGTAACAGGGACTCGCTGGACATACCGTCACCCTCTGTGGTACACACGGGCCGTCAGGGGTTTTGTGTCTGAGGATGCAGCTGTCCTAGGTTGCTGGAAATGGAATTGCTGGGTCAGAGAGAACGTGCGCGTGGTCAAGCCTGCTGAGTGTCCTCGCTGCAGGAGGGCCGTACTGCTCGGGCTTCCTGGTGCACCGGGATGCCCACCCCCACTGTGCCCTACAGGGACCTGCTTCCCTTTTATTTCCTTTCAGGGCCAGGGGTGCACTGTACGATCCCTCCCCAGACGCAAAGCTGTGTCTGTCATGAGGCTTATGGGCATGTTTGGGCTGGTCCCCAGAGTCACGGCATGTTTGATGCAGGGACGCTGTGCCCCAGCTGGTTCTGTGTGAATTGTCTGGTCCCAGACATCGCTTTTGCTTGGTTGCTGGTCTTTCTTTTTCATGAGGTGCTGGGAGGGGCAGATGCTGCTCCTGTTCCTCCTGATCCTGTGGATACCCTTGGAAAGAGCCAGCTCACTGGATGGATCTGGGTCTGCCTTCGGCCTCCTCTCTGTGCAGCTGGTAATGAGAGGTGCAGGCGACCACAGGCCTGGAACTGGGCTCACATGGCACTCTTCACAGGTGCCTGGACTACGTGCTGGAGGAGCTGAAGCACAACGCCAAGGCCAAGGTGATGGTGGCCTCCCACAATGAGGACACAGTGCGCTTCGCACTGCGCAGGTAGGTGTGCCCCACCCTGCACCGAAACCCCAACCTGAGCCGTTGTCTCCTCCAGCTGGGGAGAGGTGGCAGCAGTGCAGAGCTCAGGGTGGGCAGAGTGACCTGCTGGGTGGTCGGGCATTTGTGGGGAAAGGCTGGTGAAATGAGCTGGAGGGTGGCTTCAGTGGGCAGGCCCAGGCCCGCTGGCATTCTGGACATCGGACTGTGAGAGCACAATGGCTCTTTGCAGTTACGTTGGTTTTTAAAATTAACTTTTTTTTTTAGATAGAATCTCGCTGTCACCTATGCTGGAGTGCAGTGGCGTGGTCTCAGCTCACTGCAACCTCCGCTTCCCAAGTTCAAGCAATTCTTCATGCCTCAGCCTCCCAAGTAGCTGGGATTACAGGCATGTGCCACCACGCCTGGCTAATGTTTTGTATTTTTAGCAGAGACAGGGTTTCACCATGTTGGCCAGGCTGGTCTCAAACTCCTGGCCTCAAGTGATCCTCCCTTCTTGGCCTCCCAAAGTGCTGGGATTACAAGCATCAGCCACTGTACCCAGCCTTTTAAAAATTAACATTTGACTTATTAAACTTCACAATTAAAAAACTAAATTTCATCAGGGTATTCGGATGGCTCCTGAAAGGTACAAATGTAGTGTTGGAGCCCAGTCCCTCAGGAGGCCTCCACAGCGCTGCCTCATTTATAAGCAGTTCCCTTAACATTTTAACTACATCTGGAATGTAACGGTTTGTTTTCTCTTTAAACATTTGTCCCATGGAGCACAACTTCGGTAGAATTCTAACAAGTCAAATGCAGAAGTTAGGTGAAGTCAGTTCTTGGATACTCCTGTACTGTCACCCTGGTCTTATCTCATGCCTTAGCCCAAGCTATGCACACAATGGGGTCCTAGGTCCCCCTCCCCTCCCAGATTCCGCCTTCCCAGGGATGGGACCCCCTAGAACCCTCGGAGGCCTGGGCAGTGGCCTCGCTGGCTCTCGCCTTCCTAGGAGCTGAGCAGGAGCTCCACTCTCAGCAGGGCAGGGTGCCCCAGATCCATGACTTGTGGCACGAAGGGGCTCCCCAAGAAGCTGTGAAGCCACAGGGCCAGGCTTGGGGCCAGGGCTGCAGCCAACAGGACACATCCTGGTGCTGCTCGGGAGCTGACTCACGGCTCTGAAATCATTCAGTGATGTCCACATTCAGCCTTTGTTTACGATGCTGCTACTTTTTCATGGCCTGAAATTGCAGCACACCCATTTTTGTGCCCTGATCCTCTGCTAATTGTCATAGATGTGTCGGTGATGGGACAGACTCACTTTCTCCACACGCACAGGCCTGGTGGCCAGCACTGCCCAGCACTCGGGAGCTGGTGGGGGTTCCTCTCAGCTTGTAATCAGGACTCCCAGCCTCTGGGTGGACTCTCAATGCTGGTGGACTCACAGCCTGACTAGACACATCACCATCCAACTCCGAAAGGACAGCCCGCCCTCAGCAGGGCTTCCTCTCTCCAGCTTAGCCCCGGCACCTGTCTGTCCCTACTATCTTGCTGTGGCAGTGGCTTCCCCAGTGGACACAGCTTCCCCCTCCCGAGTGGCAGCCGGGCTCTCTCCTCTTGGCCCCAAGGGCCCTGTGCCGGGCTCCCCCAGTACCATGCTCACATCCCTGCCTGAGAGGCTGGACCCCTGCAGGCTTCAGCTCTGCCCCTGCTGTGGGTGGCTGGGGAGCTCTGGGGAGCTGGGGTCCCCTCCCATGGGTAAGTGGTTCTAGACTATGGCAGCTGCTCTGTCCTGTGCTGGGCCCAGACTGCCACACCACCCACCCTCAAACAACCCGAGTTGGCTTTGGCCAAGGAACAAACCAGCCCCAAACTTAGAGGCTGGAACAGTGGCATGTTCTGTAGGCCAGGGGTGGGCTGGCTCAGCTGATGCTTCTGCTGCTGGCTGTGCCTGTGTCCCTCCTGCGTCTGTGATCTGGGGCCGGTGGGGCCTAATGAGCTCATTCATGGCTGGTGTAGTAAAGGAGACTACATCCTGGGTCCAGCGTCCCACAGGCCAGCCCAGGCTTGGGCACGTGGTGGGCTCAGGCTTCCAGAAGGCCTGGAGAGGGCAAGCCTCTGCTTGTGTCACCTTTGGTACCTCCCTGTTGGCCAAAGTGCCTCACGAGGCCAAGCCCAGATGCCAGGTGGAGTGAGCCACTGTCCTGTGCTGGGAGGAGCCGCAGTCACATGGCAGAGGCTGTGCACACCAGCAGGGGAGGGGGCAGCCAGCAGTGGCACCCGGCTCTCGGGTTCATGTCCTGGGGTTGAGGAAGACACAAGATGGAAGCCAGGGCGATGTGGCAGAGATGGGTGCCTGCTTTAGACTGGGTGGTCCCGACACTGGAGCCCAGCCCAGGGATGGAGGGAAAGGGCCTCTGGCCGATGGGTACTCTGGGAGCCAGGGCTGGGGCAGATGGAGAACAGGGGAGGTGAGGCCCTCGGGGAGGGAGTGGGAAGCACAGCACAGGCACTGCCAGTCACCCGGGTGATGCGTGAGCAGCAGGCGGAACTCGCCCCAGGCTGGGGGACCCAGTGCTGTGCAGACCAGCGAAGTCGGGATACCTGGATATAGTAAGCTGGAGATGAAACTTGAGAACTGTCACTGCGTGGATATTTCAAACCCTGAGAATCTTTGTAAGACCCTATACGGGGTGGTGTGAAGACAGGACAGAGTGGAGGCCCCACCCCAGTATCTGAGCAGTGCTAATAGATGTATAATGCAAGCCACATCTGTAATTTAAAGTTTTTTGGTAGCTACGTTAAAAGATAAAATGAATTTCAAGAATACATTTTAATTAACCCAAAATATACAAAATATTACTTCAAATTGTATTCAAGTTGATTTTAGAAAAGCAATGCGGCATCGTGCATTTTTCTAGAAAGTCTCCTAAATCCCGTGTGTATTTGACATTTGCAACACATCTCGATTCAGAGCAGCCGCCTTCCGAGGACTCGGGGGCTGGTGGCAGCTGTGTGGGACACAGCAGCTGTGGGGATGGGGCAGAGCAGCAGCCCACAGAGGGCGAGGGCAGGGGCCGGAGACCAGTCATACCACAGAACCCTGGAGGGGCTTGAGGAAGGGATGGCAGGAGAGCTGAGGAGCTTCTCTGCCCTGTGGGGCAGGCTGCTGGGTGGGTCAAAGCCCCAGAAGGGCTGCACCTCCAAGAAGGGAGGTAGAGGAGAGGTGGGAGAGAGGAGGGTAGGGAAGGCAGGAGGGGGGCCTTGTTGGCTAAGGGCTGAGGCCTCCCCAGGGAGAAGAGTAGGGCAGCCCAGCAGAGTCCTGCTGGGAAGAGGCCTCACTGGGAGAGGGCCGGACAGAGCCTATATCCCAACCCCACTTCAAAGGGGATAAAGTCTGGAGAGTGTAGATGGGGGACCTGGGGTGGCAGGACAGGGTCAGAGCTGGGACAGGGGCCCTGTACCCCTGCACCGGGGACAGTGTCCTGGAATTAGCCCTCAGCTCCTGGCTTTACCTGCACAGGATGGAGGAGCTGCGCTTGCATCCTACTGTACTTTGGACAGCTGCTAGGCATGTGTGACCAGATCAGCTTCCCGCTGGGTGAATGGGGCCCTCCCTGGTGCGATGGAGTGTGGTGCTGGGCCTGGGCCTCATGGCATTATCTGCCCCCATGCAGGCCAGGCTGGCTACCCTGTGTACAAGTATAGGGCTGTAGGTGCTGTCATACGTGTCCTGCCACGCCCTGGAGAACAGCAGCCTCGTGAAGGGTGCCCGTCGGGAGCGGCAGCTGCTGTGGCTGGAGCTCTTGAGGTGGCTCCGAACTGGCAACCTCTTCCATTGCCCCACCTAGCACCCCCCCGCCCCCGCCCAGGCCATCACCACAGCTGCAGCCAACCCCATCCTCACACAGATTCACCTTTTTTCACCCCACACTTGCAGAGCTGCTGGAGGTGGAGTCAGGTGCCTCCCAGCCCTGCCAATGGTGGGGGCACTCAGGTGTGGGCTGACCCTGATACCTGCCTGGGATAGCCGCTGGTAACTGTTAGGAACTTTCCTCGGATGTGTGGGCCCAAGGCCCCCACCTCTGTGACCCCCATGTCCTTGGACCTAGAGGATTGTCCACCTTCTCCCAAGGCCAGCCCACATAGCCCGAGCCCCTCGGGGAGCAGTGGCCGGGCTGGGGAGGCCTGCCTGGTCAATAAACCACTGTTCCTGCAGCTGAGAGCCCTTTGCCCTCACACAGGGTCAGCTCTGGGCAACAAAGAGGGAGTGGCTCAGACAGGGTCAGAGAAGTCTCATCCCAAACTCTGGCTTCCAGCATCATCTGTTCCTGGAGGCCAGGCCCTGCGCAGACCTGGCCACCCAGGGTGCTGGACACCCCCAACCCTGACTCCACAAGGACCCAGCAGGGCCCATGGGCCCAGGCCAGCACGGAGGGGACTCATGCAGATGCAGAAGCCAAGCTCCCCAGGTGGCCCTGGCATGCCTCCCCGCAGGGCTCCTCCTCAGGCCATTCCTGCCACCCTGAGTCCTCTATCCCAGTGACCTGCATCAGGCTCCTCCTAGTGGTTCCCACAGGACACTGACCAGGCTGCGGCAGGCGCATACTTGCACTCCGGGCCTTCTCCCATGCTCTCCAGCCCCCAGCCCCACAAAGCAGGCTGGATGTGGTCCTCATGCCCTGGGGCTTGGATGGGGGCCCCTGTACAGATGGCAGTGACAGCATCCTGGGACCAGGGCTGGGGCAGGAAAGGCTGGAGGGTCCCAGTCTCCAGGCAGGGGGAGGGGTGGTGGGCTGGGCACACAGCCCAGGAAGGGGCCCCCAGGTAGAGGCCTCTGCTGCAACAGAGGTGGGGGCCCTACCAGGGCCCCGGTTATGGCAGAACCTGCAGCTATCACACAAGCCACATTTGGGCCACACTGAGGCATCTTTATTTCTCTGGGTCACACAGAGCTTGGGCCTGGGAGCCTCTTCTGCATGGGGGCTGCAGCTGCCAAGGGAGCGGCTGAGACCAGAACAAGCGCTCGGGTGGGCCCCAGTGCAGGTTGGGATGTGCCCGGTGGAGTAAGGTGTGAGAACCCCCAGCCTCACTCTCTGCCTGGTCCTGAAGCAGACAGCAGCAGGCTGGCCCAGCCTCCCCTTTATGAGACTATCCTAGGGTTTGACAGCAAGTCCCAGATGAAGGGTGACAGGCAGCTGGGGTCCACCTGGTCTCTCCTCAGCAGGGGGAACCCCCTGCGGGCAGCTGGGAAGGCAGTGGCCAAAGGTCAAGAAGATGAACTCTGCCCAGACTTCTGCTGCCTGTGGCTATGGTGGGACAGGGCTGCCTTTCTGGTCACACTGGGCAGCAGGCGACTGCCAGGGACCTCCCAGTCCCAGGGCTGCATTCCCTGCCCGGCAGCCCCTCTGCTGCAGCTTTCGGATGAGTTCCAGCAGGTTCATCTGCAGCATCAGCTCCTGGGATACAGAGGGGCCCCATGAAGGCCAGAGTGACCCCCAGGCCCCTTTCATCCCGGCCCAAGGGTGCCAGGCAGTGAGCCCACGGGGGCGACCATCCTGTGAAGCCTGGTCATGGCCTGCCAGGACAGGGTGGAATCTGAGCTTCTGCCCCCAACAGGGCCACTCGGAATCTGAGCCTCTGCCCCCAGCAGGGCCACTCGGAATCTGAGCCTCTGCCCCCAGCAGGGCCACTCGGAATGGCATGCGGGAGGGGAGCAGAAGAGGGCCCTGTGTGGCACAGCAGGCCTGGAGAGGGTGGGCAGTGCCCATGGCTGGCTGGCTCACCCTCCTGTAGGGAATGGGCCTGGCCTCCGTGCTGGGAATGGCACAGAAATCCTTTCCAGAGCCTCAATCCTTCCACTTCACCCCCATACCCTGAGCCTGGCTCCCCAGGGACCAGCAGTAAAACCCCAGATGGAATGGGGCCCCGGGGCACTCGGGCTAGGGCAGAGCAGGCCCAGGCACTGACCTGTGGGTTGGTGGTCACGTAGAAGCCAGCCACCCCCGCCTTCTCCAGTGTGCTCTGCTGGTCAGCCACCTTCCGGTCCAGCTCCAGGATGATCTTCTGGTCCATCGCCCGCTGCTCCTCACGGATCCGGTGTTCCACGGCCTGCCATGGGGCCAGGGCGCGGAGGGGGAGAGGTGAGGGCAGCTCTGCCATCAGGGGGCGGGGAGGTGAGGGCAGCTCAAACACATGCTCCTGCTGCCGTCCCCAGTGGCAGCAGCTCTGACACCACCGGTGCATCCTCACCACACCCAGGCCTCTCCTCGGCCATGTGAACCCCTGAAGGGGGCCCCAAGGGGCTTCCACGAATGCCCTGGCTTGGGACTGCCTTAGGACCACACACACATCTCCACAGGCACACCCTGCCCCACGGCTTGTTGGTTACATGCCAGTCTCTGGTTGTCCCTGTGCTCCCTGGGAGAAGGATGGGCCCCTTCCTGGCCCCAACACCCTACCATTGCCTTTGTACCCCCCTGAGGCCACCTGCTCTGTGGAGGCCCAAACCCACGAGGAGCTGCTATCCAGGGGAGCACTGGTGGGTTCTCAACCTCCACCCAGCCCCAGCACACTTGGTATCCGCAAAGAGGAGCCACCTGGTGGGACTCACTAGGCCTCCAGTGTCCCACTCAGGCCCAGGACAGCCACCCATGCCTGAGCCCCCACACCCCTTCAGCTCAGCCCAGTCAGCAGAGCCAGGTGGTGCCCACAGGAGAGCTGGGCCGGCCACCCTGCCTGCGCCCCCAGTACCTCTAGTTCTCGCTGCTGAGCCGCCTGAACCACAGGCAGGTTGTGGGGCCGGCAGGCCTGCTGGGCTTCCTGGTGCTTCTGCCGCAGCGCCTGCCTGAGCACTGGGAGGGATGAGAGCCCGTCAGCAGGCGGTGGGACTCGGCAGCAGCCCTCACCCATGGGCACCTGCCTTGCCAGCCCAGCAGAGCAGCCAGGCCAAAGGGGTGTCTGCAGTGGGGAGGATGCCAGCCTCCTCCATCCTCCCACCCCACTGTCACCCAGGGCCGGGCCCTTATCTGGTGGCAAGTCTCCAGGGGACTCCAGAAGGTGCGGGGCACTGAAAGAGTGGGGTGGGGAAGACTGGCCAGGTGGGGCCAAAGCTGCAGCCCCAGACCCAGGGCAGCTGGAGGAGGCAGGCGGGAGGGAGGCTGCAGTCTGAGGGCTTCAGGGCCCCCATGGCCACAGGCCATGAGACATCTACTCAAGTGTCAGAGACCACCTCAGGCAAAGGCATGGGAAAGGAGCAGGAGGAGCGGGGTCGCTGACCCTGAGCGTGGGGCCTCTGCCTACCAGGGGTGTGGTCGGGCCCTCCACCCTCAGTGCTGCCCTTCAGGGTAGACAGCCCCTCCCTCATTTGCAGCTCCCAGCCCCCGCACAGCGCCAGAGGGAGAAGGGTGGGCAGACCTGGGAGGCCCAAGTTTGGGATGAGCTTGGGGTGCCATAAGCCTGTGTGGCTCTGAGGGGCTCACCCTCAGCCATCAAGTAAAGCTCCACGGTCCTTGCTAAACTGTGCACAAACACAGATGTGTGCAAACTGTCTGGTCTGAAGGGAATGTACAGAGGAAGCGATCATGGGACATAAACCACCATGAAACAGAACATGCAGCACCCCACAGCTGGCGCCAGTGACCAGTAAGTGCCAAATGGCTACAGCTCCCCAGGAGGGAGGGGTCCCTGGCCAAAAGAAAAGGTGAAACCCAACACTCTGTTCCTGGGAAGAGCCCTGATGTTGCAGCTCTTCTCTGGTGGCCAGTCCCCAGGGAACTCCAGGGCCCCTGAGGCTCCCCTGCAGGTAGCCTGGCTCCCGCTGTGCCTACAGCCTTCCCCGATCTCCTGTCTCTTCACATTCTGTACACACCTCGACGATGGTATTTACCAAAAGCCCCCCTCAAGACAGCTCCATAACACAGGGAAGCAGGGAAATGTCATCTCCTTCACTCTACTGATCAAACATTGCTACAAGTGCCAGGTCCACTACCAGATTCCACTAGATAGACAACCAAAAGGCAAGAAGAGAGCCACGCTGGCTGCCTGGGCAGAAGGGGCCTGGCCTTAGACATGACCAGGGAACACAAAGGAGGCAGGAGCAGCCAGTCGCCCCTGCCAAATCAGCAGGAGAAGCAGAAAGTCAATGCAGGCATGCCTGCTGCTGGTGGAACCAGGGCCTGGCCCAAACCTTCTGAAGCACAAACAGCATTGGGCCCAGGCAGTTACTAAAACTCCCCATCCTGCTATAAGGAACTATAGCTCTGTGGAAAAATGGCCGATTCCAGGACTGAGACACGGAGAAAACAAGAAAAGATGAGCCTGAACACATACCTGAACCAGAAAGCAAGAAAGTGCTCACAGAATGATGGGGCGGCATCTAAAGGTGCCTGGAGCGCCCCCAACTGGCCACACATGGCACAGTCTGGGCATTAAGGAATAATGAGCCATGCGCTTGGGATTAGTAAACTACATACATCTTACAGCTCAATAAAAAATTTTAAAAAGACAATCGCCCAGACATTTAGGGGAAGAAGTAATGCCAATTCTACACAAACTCTTCTGGAAAACTGAAGAGGAGAGAACACTTCGAAACTCATCCTATAAGGCTGGCAAAAACCCTGATACCCAAACCAGATATTACATGAAAACTATAGACCACAGTTTATCATGAACATAGACCAAAAAATTCTTAAGATTTTAGCAAATCAAATCCAGCATACATAAAAAGGATACTACAGCACGACCCAGTAGGATGGAATTCAAGTGACTGTAATTCACTGTAGTAATAGAAAATGATTCACCACGTGATCATCTCAAGAGCTGCCGAAAAGGGAACTGCCAAAATCCAACATCCATTCTTGATAAAAACACACCAATCCTGGAGCAGATGGACACTGCCTGCCTTCTGGGGAAGGGGGCCTTGCACTGCTAGGAGAAATTTTTGCCACATTAAACCTGCTTCTAATCAGGCTTCTACCAGCAGTCCAGTGTACAGGAAACCCAGAGAGTGGAGAAGCAGGTTAAATGCAAGAGGAAGCATTTCGTCTGATAGATCAAGAGCAGGGCATTCTATAAAATTAGAATGCCCTGGACTCTACAAAAAAGTCAATGCCACAATAAATGTTGGGGACTGTTTCAGAAGCAAAGAGACCAAAGTAACCAATTGTAGTACATGAACTTGGACTGGATCCTTACTTATAAAGCAACAATTTGCCACAAGTTAGGTACCATGATGTGGCCGTGCACTGAAAGTCAGGAGACACCCGGAACAGTTAATTTCTCAGGGGGCTACCTTCTGCAGCTGTGTAGGAGACCAGTTTTGTTCTAGAGCACTTGCTCCCAATCCAAGGCCAAGGTTGACCCCACCACCCAGGTTGTCTGGAGGCATTCTTGGTTTTCAGGACTAGGGAGGGTACCCCTGCCATCCTGCAATGCGCAAGACAGCATCTCACCAAAAAGACTTACCCAGCCACAAATGTCAGCATGGCTGGGTTGAAAATCCTGGTCTCCAGGAATGCTGAAGACTCTTGGTGAATGCTATGCTGTCACATGTATATATTTTGGGATGTCAAGAACTAGAGCAAAACGTTAACTATTGAACTTTAGTGAAGAGCACAAGCGTATGCACTATACTATCTTTTCAGCTTTTCTAAATGTTTTAACTTCTAAAATAAGAAGTTTGGGAAAAATAACAAAGGTGGAAACTGATGGTGCAGGGGGACCTGCCCTATATAATTTGCAGGAAAGGGCTCCCAAGCCCACCAAGCAGGCCTGGCTCAAGTGGGAAGCTCTTCGGGTTTGGGAGGGCGCCACAGGAGACAGTGCTTAGGAATTTGATGTGCAACTGGAATGAGGCCCTGCGAGGCCTGAGAGGGAACTGACCCTGAAAGACGCTTGCTGCACAACTGTCAACAGACTTCCAACTACTGAGGGGCAATGCTGCTGCAGTCAGCGCCACCACCAGAGTCTGCCTGCAGGCCAATCAGGCACCGAGGCCTAGGGCCATCCTGTCTGGAAGCGCGTGGGGCACAGGGAAGCCCGAACAGGGAGTTTCTGCTAAGAAGGTGGGTGCTGCGCAACTGAAAACAAAACTGGTTGGACCCACTGATCACCAAAAAGGCGCTGTCTCAGTCTCTGCGCCCGTTGATTTTGTCAATCTTAGAGACCTCTTCCGAACACTTCCAAGGAAGGAGCTGATCTGCACAGATACCAAGAGCTGCCCGGAGGCGCCGACCCGGAGGAGGCGGCACCTCATCCCGCTGCCCCCGCGCACCTCGGTGCTCGTTCTGTAGGCGCAGGCGCTGGTTGTACAGGCTCTTTTCGGTGAGGTGCTGGATCTCCAGTAGCCCCTGCACGATTTCGAACACGGTGCCGTCGAGAAGCGCCAGGGCCAGGTCGCTGAGCGTGGTGTAGGACAGGCGCTGCTGGAAAGAGCTGCGGGTAGGGGGGCGCGGTGAGCCCCGGCGGGAAACGAAGCCGCCTCCGCAGGCCTCCGCCCGCCCCGCCTGCGTACCTGGGCAACTCCTTCACCAGGCTCTGTAGCGCCGACAGCAACTGGTAGTGTCGCTCCTGCTGCCGGGCACCGTCCGCCACCTCCTCCAAGGCGGCCGCGTAGCGCTCCATGGCGCGGACGCCCGCTAGCCGCCGGCGGCGGCGACGAGCTCCCCCAGCTTCACGACATCCCGAGCGCGGCGCGTCCCGCCCCTTTTACGATTGTCCCACGCGCGGCGCGCTCCGCCCCCTTTTACGACAGTCCCGAGAGGGCCTGGCCGCCTGCCCCGCCCTGCCCCGCGCCCCGCCGCCTGCTTATTCAGGAGGCGCGCCCCGCTCCTCTGCGGAGACTCCAAGGAGGGTTTTGCTCAGCCCAGGCTCGCACCTGCCTGCTCCCCGCGCGACATTAAAGGCGAGACTCCGCCGTCTGGATATCGCAGGACCACGGAGAATCCCACCGGCCCTTGCTGAGTCATTGCGGGCCGAGGTCCGGGCTCCGCGCCGGCGCGCCTGCGAGGTGGACTGTCCCGGTCACCGGCCTCCCCAGAGGCAGGGGTCTCGGGCCAGAGCCCACAGGACCTGGGTCTAAGGCACCATCCGCGGCCGAGCAGTGGCGCTGGGGTCTGTCTGCGTCCTCCCCGCCCCCGGGGTGAGACAGACAGGACCGCCCTAGAGCCTCTGGGTCAGGACAGTCGGAGCCAGAGTCCCCATCTGGGCCTCCGTGGCCCCCAGCCCGTGAGCCCAGACTGCGCTCTCCCCGCTCCACAGGCCAGCTGCTGGGCCGGGGCTGGGGGGCTTCTGGTGGCTGGGGCTGAACCGTCTAGGAACAGGCTTTAATAGGAGGGGCTCGGGTGGAGGAATGGCTCCTGCAAAGGCCCTGCCAGAGTCAGGTCAGGTGGGTGGGCGAGAGGACCAGTGTGGCCAGGCTGCGGAAGCCAGCACAGGAGACAAGGGCGGGTGCTGTGCATTACAGAGGCTGCTGGGGGCTTGTCCATAGAGCAGCAGGGGGCACGGAAGGGCTTGGGGACGCAGACACGATCAGACTTGCATTTCATCAGGCACTCTTTAGCTGCCTGCTGGGTGGCTGGGCTGTGTGAGATGACCCTGCTTTGACCAGGTTAGGAATTATGACTGGTTTCCAGAGAGAACATTGGTTAGTAATTGGCTATGGGGAAGAGGGGGCGTTGAGCCAACCAACTGGGGTCCCCCTGAAGTGCCAGCAAAGTGTCTGGTTTTCTCCAGGATCTGTTTCCTCAGTCCCTGGCAGGATTGGCTCCCCTGCACGCCATGTCCTTGTGGTCCCTTCCAGACAGAAACCAGGCATGAATAAAGTGAATAATGACAAGCGCTCAGGCCACTGCCGTGGAGGGCGGTCCACAACCCAGAGCTGGTCATGCGCCGGGCACCCTGGCCTCCAGGTCCCTCAGAATGGCAGGAGCTGGAGGTGGGACTCGAGATTGTGGGAGCTGAGTCTGTAGTGAGTGACCAGGAGCCAGCTGGGGCTGGGCTTGGTCACTGTCACCTCCCCCGGAGGTGGTGAGTGGGATGATTAGCTGGGTGAAGACGCCTGCCTGTTTCACCAGTGTCCCTGCCCTCAGTCCCCCAGTCCATGAAGAGTGTCTGTGTGGAGACTGGGAGGATATAGGGCAGCCCCACGTGATGATATGTCTGTGGCCAGCTGGGCAACACTGTCGCCAGCTCCGGGGTCTGCCAGGTGGGGTGGGGGCTGTGAGCCACAGCAGGAGCAGGCCAGGCCTGGGTTTGGACACCTGCTCCTCTGCCTTGTCCGGGTGCTGATGCAGGAAGGCCCCTTCTCCAACCCTTGGTGCAACGTCTGACCTGAACCAGCTTCCCCAGCCCAGCAACACTGCTCCCCTAATGTGGATGTCAACCTAAAGAAACAAACTGAACCACAGTTCATATAGAGAGTTTGTCTGGGCCAAGGCTGAGAGAGCTGCCCAGGACACACCAAGTTGCCCTGGGAGTGCTTCATTCAGCCTTATTACAAGCAAGTTTTTAAAGACTGAAGGGGACAAGGAGTGGGCTGATATGAAGTCAGCAGGAATTCTGACTGCTTTCCAGAGAGAACCCTTAGTGACTGGCTATAAGGTGTTGGACTACTGGGTAAGAGTTATGGTGTCCAGCGTATGGCTTTTTATGCCTACTTGGTGTCAGTCTGGAACCCACAGAGCAATTGGCTTCAAGAGGTCGTTAGCTCAAGTAGGAGTGGGATGTGACTGCTGTTTCATTCCAGTGCCTCTCTGGGCCAGATAATTAAAGGGAGCTCACATTCCTCAGATAAAAAAGTTCCTTTCGCATTAGGAGAAATACGTAATGTAGATGATAGGTTCATGGGCACAGCAAACCACCATGGCACGTGTATACCTATGTAACAAACCTGCACGTTCTGCACATGTACCCCAGAACTTAAAAGAATATATATATGAATATATATATATACTTTATACATATATATATAAACTTCCATTGTGCGCGCGCGCACACACACACACACACACACACACACACAAAGTTCCTTTTCTTTTTCATGGACATGAGCAGTATGTCACTCAGGCATGGGGACTCCTGGGCCACCTCTGGGTCTTCAGGGAGGGCCTGGTCTGGAAGGAGGGGTCTCATCCTCCAGAGCCCCAGGGATGGGTGATATATGTGTAGGAATGGGGGAGCTGGTTCGCAGACGTGCGTTTCCCCTGTGTGTGTGGACACGATGGGCCCCATGGCTCTTCCCGTCGGGTGGTATCCACCGAAGGCCTTTGCTCTGCGGCCACTGTCCACCTCCACTTGGCCTCCCGAGTCCACCAGGCTGGCTGGTGACACCTTGGGTTAGTGTGGGGTGACTGGTGTGTGTTGGGGAGCTGCAGGTCCCCTGTCTCTGACACAGCTGTGTCTGGGCAAACACCAAGGTTTGAAGGAGTGGGTGCCTGTGTGTGTGTGTGTGTGTGTGTGTGTGTGTGTGCGCGCACGTGTGTCAAAAGGCTTTGCTGCATGCCTTTTGTGTGGCTCTTTGTCACATGTGCCTTTCTGTGTTTCTCTGTGAGTTTTCATGTGTCAGGTTGTATGTCTGTTGTGTGGGCGGAGAAACAGCTCTGCTGTGGGGCCCTGAGCCATTGCAGGATCCCCATAGGCCATGCAGAGGTGCACACAGCACCTGACCTAAGCCTGCTCCTCCCAGAACATCAGGCTGCACCCAGGCCACCGCTCACTCCGTCTGTCTCCCGAGACTGTTCCTCACTTCCTGCCTCACTGGCCCTGGTGAGGGTGAGGCTCCCTGCCCCCGGCCCTCAAAACAGAGCTGCAGATGAGGACGCCACCCAGCTGCAGTGTCAAGGGGCTCCTCCACAGTGGGTGTCCCGCAACGCATGCTCTCTGACCCCTTTTGTTTCAGTGTTGTCCTTTTTAGTGTGTGGCACCAGGACAGCAGGGAGCTGCCACCTCAGGCTTCTCTTATTTTCACTCTGTGAGTAATAAGGTCTGAATGAGAGGGGCTCATTGTGTCTTTACTGTCAAATCAGTCAGGCCTTGGCCTTGGCATGTCTTGCGTGTGCTTGACAAATGTATTGCTCATGGGGTCTGGTGGAGGCACAGCACCCTTTTAGAAGACAGGGTCTGTGCGGACCAGTTACGGGTGACATTTCCTAGGCACAGCTCTTGCCTAAGTGGTGTGGGATGGGAGGAGGGCGGGGCTTCCCACTGTCCCACCAGCAAAATGGGCTGTGTGGCCAGCTCCTCAGGACCCGAGAGCATTTGCTCCAGGTTGATAAAATGTTGCGGTGTTGGGTGGCAAGAGTAGGATTGAAACCAGCCACCCAGTTGGTGCTTTGTTACCATCAGAAGTGTTTGCTGAGTCAAAGCAAATGGCCACTCAAAACTGAGTGGGCTGAGTGTGGTGACTCACACCTGTAATCCCAGCACTTTGGGAGGCCAAGATGGGCAGATGGCTTGAGGCCAGGAGTTCAAGACCAGCCTGGGCAACAGGGTGAGAGCCTGTCTCTACAAAAAGTTTAAAAAATTCGCTGGCATAGTGGCATGTGCCTGAAGTCCCAGCTACTTGCCACTTGGGAGACTGAGGTGGGATCACTTGAGCCCAGGAGGTCCAGGCTGCAGTGAGCTGAGATCACACCACTGTACTGCAGCCTGGGCAACAGAACAAGAATCAAATAATAAATAAGTAAGTAAGTGAGTAAATCCATCCATCCACCCCAGAGTGAGTCAGCTGGGGCTGCTGCATTGCTCCTCCCTCACCCACAGGATTCCCTGGTTCCAGCCAGGAGACGATGGTCAACAGCCACTGCTGTAGTGGTGCCTAGTTAAAACTCTTTGGTTTCTGTCTCTGTAAAAAAAAGTGTCTAATTGCATTTGGGCAAAAAACTTGCAGTGAAGAGAGAAAAAGAGATGAAAGCAACCTGTGAGGGAGGCTCGGGTTGACGTGCGGCATGTGCTGTTTGAGTGTGATGAGTGTGTCGGTTTGCACTGTAGATGCTCAGGAAGTGAGGATATGTGGAGTGCTGACTGTATACATGATGCCTCCACTGGCTGGCTGAGTAGAGTTTCATGAAACAATGTTGGTGGACTCAGCCCTGAATCCCTCAGGCATTCAGAGAGCAACCTCTGTCTTTTTTTTTTTTTTTTTTTTTTTTGAGATGGAGGCTCGCTCTGTTGCCCAGGCTGGAGTGCAGTGGTGCAATCTCGGCTCGCTGCAACCTCTGCCTTCCGGGTTCAAATGTCCTGGCTTTAATTTCACAGATTCTTTCTTCTGTTTCTTCTGTTTGATCAAGTCTGCAATTGAAATTCTCTATTGCATTTTCATTTCATTCATTTATTTATTTTTATATATTTTTGAGACAGAGTCTGTGTCACCCAGGCTTGAATGCAGTGGTGCCATCTTGGCTCACTCCAACTTCCACCTCCCGGTTCAAGCGATTCTCCTGCCTCAGCCTCCCTAGTAGCTAGGATTACAGGCATATGCCACCATGCCTGGCTAATTTTTGTATTTTTAATACAGATGGGGTTTTGGCATGTTGGCCAGGCTGGTCTTGAACTCTTGACCTCAAGTGATCCGCCTGCCTCGGCCTCCCAAAGTGCTGGGATTACAGGAGTCCGCCACGGCACCCAGCTTGCATTTTCATTTTATTCATTGTATTCTTCAGTTCTAGAATTTCTGTTTGGTTCTTATTATTTCTGTATCTTTATTGAACTTTTAGTTTTGTTCATCTACTATTTTCTTGATATTATTGAGTTGATATATACATTCTAGTAAATTTCACTGAGCTGTCTTAAATCAATTATTTTGAATTGTCAGACAATTTGTAGATCTCTATTTTTGGGGGGTTGATTACAGGAGATTTATGAGTTTATTTTGGTAGTGTCATATTTGCTGATTCTTCATGATCTACAGACTTTCATTAATGTCTATGAAGAAGCAAATACCTCTTCTTTTTTTTTTTTTTTTTTTTTTGAGACAGAGTCTTGCTCTGTCACTCAGCTGGAGTGCAGTGGCGTGATCTCAGCTCACTGTAACCTCCACCTCCCAGGTTCAAATGATTCTCCTGCCTCAGCCTCCCAAGCAGCTGGGATCACAGGCATGTGCCACCACGCCTGGCTAATTTTTTTGTATTTTTTGTAGAGACAGAGTTTCACCGTGTTGTCCAGGCTGGTCTCAAACTCCTGGCCTCAAGTGGTCTGCCCGCCTTGGCCTCCCAAAGTGCTGGGATTACAGGTGTGAGCCACCATGCCCAATCTCTTTCTGTCTTTATAGATTGGTTTCAGCAGGTACAAACCTTTTCCTGCTGGATCCCTTGACTGGATCACAGTCAAGTGGGCCTGGAGCCATATCACATGGCTGCTGCCTGGTCTGCAGCTGAATCTCTGATTGGCAGGCCTGCTATCAAGGCATAGGTTAGTGATGCAGTTTCTGCTGGATCCTCAGGAGAACTGGACTGCCTCTGATACCCTGATTGAACAGGACTGGAGCCAGGTCATGGGGCCACTTCTAGTTCTACAGTCAAGTCTTCAGATATCAGGCCTATTACCAAGGGCATGGACTGGTATAGCTCCCTGTGGGTCCCAGATTGAGCTCCTGCTGGTTTACTAGGTAGGTCCATGGGAAGACAGGACTGCCTCCAGACCACAGTAGAGCAGGGCTAGAGCCAAGTCACAGGACAGCTTTGGTGACCACATTTGGGTTCAAGATTGGTGGTCCTCTTATTAGGAGAATGGATGGTATGTCTTTCACCAGGTCCCAGGATGGGCTGGACTGTGCCCAGACGGGCAAAGCAAGACTGGAATGGAGTCACAGGGCTACTTTAGTGTCCATAGCTGACACTGAGATCAGCAGGCCTGTTACCAAGGGCATGTAAAGGCATCACTGAATTCCTGGGCAGGCAAGACTGACTGTGGTAGAGTGGGGCTGAAGCCAGGTCAGGGCTGCTTTAGTTTCTGCAGTCAGGACCATGGTTAGAAGGCCTGTTACTGGGGGCATAAATGGTCATGGTTCCTCCTAGGTGCTTAGTGGATGGGGCTAGTTGCAAGAACATGATCTAGTGGAGCTGGACCCAAGTCCATAGGAGGACAAAGCTGCTTTCAGTCTGCAACTGGGAACCTGTCACTGGTGTGTGGACCTGCCTTCTCAAAGCAGCTCTCCTTGGTTTTGGGCTTTGCTAGAGTTTTGCCACCTCCTGCCTGGATATTAAAACTCTTGCAAAGGCAGTTTTGTCCATGAATGGCTCCAGATCATTGTTTGTGTGGGGAGAGGTGAGTGGAGGGCCTCCTGTTCTGCCATCTTGCTGATGTCACCCTAAGATGATTATTTGAATTCTTTGTCAGGCAATTTGTAGATCTTCATGTCTTTGGAGTCAGCCACTGGAGTTTCATTTTGTTTCTTTGGTGGTGTCATATTTTCTCATGCTTCCTGTTCTTTGAAGACTTAGATTGCTTTCTTCATGTTTGAAGAAGGAGTCATCTTTTCCACTCTTTACTAACTTCAGGAGAGAAAGACCATCAATTAGCTAAGCTATAGATTCTGGGGGTCTCTCAGTCCTTTTCTGTGGGTGGTCCTTCCCTTTTAAGGGGGATGTCTTAGGATTTTGTCCCTTGTCTTCATTTCACAAATGAATAAAACAACCAGACCAGACATAAGTAAAGGAATACAGCACTTGAACAACACCTGAAAAAACAACTAGACCTAACAGACATACACAGGATATTCTACCCAACAACATAATACACATACTTCTCAAGTATACATGGGACATTTTCAGGATAGACCATATAACACATCACAAATTAATTCTCAATAGGGGCTGGGTGCAGTGGCTCACGTCTGTAATCCCAGAGTAATTTGGGAGGCTGAGGCGGGTGGATTGCTTGAAGCCAGGAGCTTGACATCAGCCTGGCCAACACGGTGAAACCCCATCTCTACTAAAAATACAAAAATTAGCTGGGCATGGTGGTGCGTGCCTGTGATCCCAGCTTCTTGGGAGGCTGAAGCGTGAGAATTGCTTAGGAGCCCAGGAGGTTGAAGCTGCAGTGAGCAGAGATTGTACCACTGTACTCCAGCCTGTACTTCATGACAAAGAAAATGTACCATTGTACCACTGACAGAACGAGACCCTGTCCCAAAAAAGGAAAAAAGCTCAGTAGATTTAAAACGATAGACATCATACAAAGTGTCTTCTCTGACCACAACAGGATAAAGTTAGAAATCAATAACAGAAGATTTTAAAAAGTTCACAAATTAGTAGAATTTAAACAACACACTCTCAAACAACCAATGGATCAAAGAAATCACAAAGAAATTATAAAATTCTTAAAGACAAATGAAAATGAAAGCACACTATATCCAAACTTATGGGTTGTGGCCAGTTGTGGTGGCTCACACCTGTAATCCCAGCACTTTGGGAGACTGAGGGAGGTGGATAGCTAGAGGTCAGGAGTTCAAGATCAGCCAGGCCAACATGGTGAAACCCCGTCTCTACTAAAAACACAAAAATTAGCTGGGAGTGGTGGTACGTGCCTGTAGTCCCAGCTACCCAGGAGGCTGAGGCATGAGAATTTCTTGAACCCAGGAGGCAGAGGTTGCACCACTGAGCTAACACCACTGCACTCCAGCCTGGGTGACAGAATGAGACTCTGTCTCAAAAAACAAAGAAACAACAAAAAACCACAACTTATGAGTTGTGGTGAAAGGAGTGCTAGGGAGGAAATTTATAGCTATAAACACATTAAAAAAAGAAACACCTCAATTCAACAACATAAGTTTACACATTAAGAAACTAGAAAAAGAAGAATGAAACTAAACCCAAAGTTAGCAGAAGGAAGGAAACAATAGAGATCAGGGCAGAGATAAATGGAAAAGAGAATAGAAAAACAATAAAAAACAAAACCAAAAGTTGGTTCTTCAAAAAGATTAATAAAACTGACAAGACTACACTTTGGGAGGCCGAGGCGGGCGGATCACGAGGTCAGGAGATCGAGACCATCCCAGCTAAAACGGTGAAACCCCGTCTCTACTAAAAATACAAAAAATTAGCCGGGCATAGTGGCGGGCGCCTGTAGTCCCAGCTACTTGGGAGGCTGAGGCAGGAGAATGGCGTGAACCCGGGAGGCGGAGCTTGCAGTGAGCCGAGATCCCGCCACTGCACTCCAGCCTGGGCGACAGAGCGAGACTCCGTCTCAAAAAAAAAAAAAAAAAACTGACAAGACTAAGGAAAAGGGAAACAATCTAAATTACTTAAAACAGAAATGTATTTGAGAATATCTTTATATATTTCTGTCTGTCTGTCTGTCTGCCTGTCTATGTTTTAGAAACAAGTGTCTGTCTATGTTTTAGAGACAAGGTCTAGCTCCATCGCCCTGGCAACAATCAGATGCAACCACAATCAGTGGCACAATCGGCTCACTGCAGCCTCGAATTCCTGGGCTCGCCACTATGCCAGCTCTTTTTTTTTTTTTTTTTTTTAAGAGACAGGATCTTGCCATGTTATCCAGGCTGATCTTGAACTCCTGGCCTCAAGGAATTTTCCCACCTCGGCCTCCCAAATTGTTGGAATTACAGGCATGACCCACCATTCCCAGCCTAGAAAGGATTATAAAAGATTACTATAAATAATTGTGTGCTCATAAATTGGATAACCCAGATGAAATAGATGAATTCCTAGACACACAAAACCTACCAAGACTCAATTATAAAGAAACAGAAAGTCAGAATAGACCTAACCTAGTAAGGGAATTGAGTCAGTAATAAGACAATCTCATGACAAAGAAAAGTCCTGGACCTGATAGCTTTACTGGTGAGTTCTGCCAAACGTTTAAAGAAGAACTAACACTGATTCTTTTCAAGCATTTCCAAAGAGTGGAAGAGGAGTGAATACCTCTTAACTCTTTCTATGAGGCCAGCATTACCCTGATACCAAAGCCAAAAACACTATAAGAAAATAAAACAACAGATCAATATGCCTCTGATCATTGATGCAAAAACTCTAAAAATACTAGCATACTGGGTGGGGCATGGTGGCTCATGCCTGTAATCCCAGCACTTTGGGAGGCTGAGGTGGGTGGATCACCTGAGGTCAGGAGTTCAAGACCAGCCTGACCAACATGGAGAAACTCTTGTCTCTACTAAAAATACAAAATTAGCCATGTGTGGTGGTGCATGCCTGTAACCTCAGCTACTCGGGAGGCTGAGACAAGAGAATCGCTTGAACCCGGGAGGTGGAGGTTGTGGTGAGCCGAGATCATGCCATTGCACTTCAGCCTAGGCAACAAGAGCAAAACTTTGTCTAAAAAAAAACTATCATACTGAATTCAGCATCATATTAAAAGGATTATACACCATGACCAAGTGGGATTTATTCCTGGAATGCAACGATGTTTCAATATATAAAAATTGATCCATATAAATTCAGACAATTAATTTTAACTGATGTATAGTTTCACATTATATGCACATACCACGATTTACTTTTCCATTTTCCTAGTAATGAGCTTTAAGATTATTTCCAATTTTTAGCTATTACTAATAATGTTTCAACAAACACCTTTGGACATCTCTTCTGCAAATGTGTGTGTATTCTCTTGGAGAAGGTTTACCTTGTGGAATTTCTAGTGTGTATGTGTATGTGTGTGGGTATATATATATACACATATGTATATATTTTCAACTTTACTATATATTTCCAAAAAACTCTTCAAAGTGGCAGATTTAAACTCCCCTTCGCCGTATATAAATTCACGGTTCCTAAAGCCCTTGGCATAGTTTTGTGTTTTTATAGAAAAGGGCATAAAGTCTTATTGCTGTTGAATTGTACCTTGCTCTTTTCAATTGTCTTTTCACAATAATTCACTATTTATCATCTGTTGTGAATATTGTGGAGTAGTTCTTAATCATTTTTTCTACTAAACTATTTTATATCATTAATTTGTAGAAATCCTCTTTATATAATGGATATTATACTTTTCAATTATATATTTTGTAAATATTTTACCCAATTTTCTGGCTTGCATTTAACCTTTATTTAGGATGCCTAGGATTTTTCATTTTAATACAGTCTAATTTATTTTTCTTTTCTTCTTCATGCATTCTGGCATTTGATTAATAAGCCATTTGTTGCCCAACGTCATTAGTTCTCTGTATATACTTTTAAATATCTTAAACATGTAATATTCATAAGTAATTTCACAAGTAGTTTAAGATTTGAGTCTGTAACCTAAATAGATACAGGATTTTGTGATATGCTGTAATATACAGATTTTTATTTATATATGGATAAAAATTTATATGTTTTTTCTGACAGCATTTATTGGATAGTATAATTTTTCTACTGACTTTTAGTATCATATCTTTTATTACAAGTCCAATGTATTCAGCATACCTATGGATCTATTTCTTGGTGCTTCCATTTTTTCCCATTGTTTAACGGTGTATCACTGAGCCAAAGCAAACCATTTTAATTATTATAATTAAAACACATTTAAATATTGATAGGCTATTATTGTTCAAAATAACTTTGGTTCTTCCTTTCCGTTGATTACTTTAATATGACTTTTCCAATCAAGTTCTAAAAAAATACTGGTGGTATATTTATTGAAATAACTTTAATAAAATTAAATGAAAGATCATGTATTTGTTTTCTGAATTAATTCTTAGATACATTAATGTTTTATGTTACCATGAATGTGATATTATAATATAATATTTTTAATTGGTTGCTACTGTTTATAAGAATTTCATTTTCTGTTTACTTTGCCTTCATATCTGAAAACCTTGCTGATTTGATTAGTGCATCCACAAATTTTCTTGGATTTTCTATGGGTAATTACAAATCTCCACACAATGAGGTTGCAGTGAGCCAAGATCACACCACTGTACTCCAGCCTGGGCGACAGAGTGAGACACCATCTCACAAAAACACATAAACAAACAAACAGAAACTCCACACAATGACAACGTATGTGTTTTCTTTTTTTCTTCCTCTTTCTGTAATATTTCTTTGTCCTATCTTAACTGAACTGGCCAGAAACCCCAGGACAATGATAAATACGAGCAGTGTCAACAGACATCTCATTCCCTTTCCTAGCTTTTATAAAAAATAACGATTATGCTTCAACATTACATATGGTGGTGTCGATGGTTTTGTTATAGATAAGCTTATCAGGTTAAGAAATTTGTCTGCTTTTCCTAGTTTGGTATAAAGATTTTAATATAAATGAATGTTGTATTTTACCATCTTATTTTTTTCCTACATCTGCTAAGATAATCCTGTGTTTTCCCTTTTTCAATCTCCTAATGTGGTGAATGACATTAAAATACCTTCTATTGTTAAAATATTCTTGCAACGCTGTATAGAACCAATGCCTTTATTCTGTATTGCTGATGGATTTTTGAAAAATATGTAGGTGGACTTAGTTTTCTAAGGGGAATAGAATTTCTAATATATTTAAAATATTTTGCATGTATGTTCTGAAGGACATTGGTGTGTCATTTCTATACCATCTGGCTACGAGAGGAGCCGACTGAAAGTCACACTGCCGGAGGAGGGGAGAGGTGCTCTTCCGTTTCTGGTGTCTGTAGCCATCTCCAGTGGTAGCTGCAGTGATAATAATGCTGCGGTGCCGACAGTTCTGGAAGGAGCAACAACAGTGATTTCAGCAGCAGCAGTATTGCGGGATCCCCACGATGGAGCAAGGGAAATAATTCTGGAAGCAATGACAATATCAGCTGTGGCTATAGCAGCTGAGATGTGAGTTCTCACGGTGGCAGCTTCAAGGACAGTAGTGATGGTCCAATGGCGCCCAGACCTAGAAATGCACATTTCCTCAGCACCGGCTCCAGATGCTGAGCTTGGACAGCTGACGCCTTGGATCATCTGCCACTGATCTCTGGTCAACATTTTTATCACCCAACACAAAAGAAGCAGAGATTTATCAAGTTACTTAACCTGACCCTTTCATCTTTTGCTACACATACTCTTGTAATTGATCTCTCCATGAATTGTTTTCTGTTTAAAATATCTAGAATGTTTTCTGCTTCCTGACTTGATTCTAATATTGTATAGGTACTAGAAATGGTTCTAGAAATAGATCTTTATAGATGAGAATCTGGAAGTGGTTTGCTGACCTGTTTCAGTCTGAATGAATTCCTGACCTTCTTGTCGGGAGGAGACAGAAACCTGATCATCTGTAGTGTACGGTGGTATCATGATTACTTAAATCATCAAATGTGGTTATTGGGAATGATGTGTTTTTTAAAGTGGTACATGAGAGGTAAAATTGCTATTGTAGTTGACTGTTGCAGTTATAATTTTGTCAACATGGTCTGTAAGAGTGCAATGGCGTCGGCCCGGTGCGGTGGCTCACGCCTGTAATCCCAATACTTTGGGAGGCCAAGGTGGGCCGATCACGAGGTCAGGAGATCCAGACCATCCTGGCTAACACAGTGAGACCCCATCTCTACTAAAAATACAAAAAATTAGCCGTGTGTGGCGGCACACGCCTGTAGTCCCAGCTACTTGGGAGGCTGAGGCAGGAGAATGGCGTGAACCCGGGAGGCAGAGCTTGCAGTGAGCCGAGATCGCGCCACTGCATTCCAGCCTGGGCGACAGAGCAAGACTCCATCTCAAAAAAAAAAAAAAAAAAAAAAAAAAAGAGTGCAATGGAAAGCTGGTAGAAAATGGACATTGTTTAAAGACCAAAACAACCACACTACTTTGCTAATCCCTATCAGCTAAAGACTAGAGAATATATGAGGCATAGATTTACGTGGTGTTTGACTAAGGCATGCAGAATATAATCTTGACATAGGCTAAGTTTATCAACATAGATACATAGAGATTCTAAAGTTAAAGTCTTAGCCCAAGAAGTTAGAAGTGGTGCTCAAGTTTGTTTGTCTGACAGAAACTGTGAATCCACACTGGCCTGCTTATTTTGAGGTTGCGTTGCCAGAGCTTTCCTAGCATAATAAAGAGAGGTGCATACAAAGGAATAGGAATAGTAGGAGGTGGGGGTAAAAATATCAGGTGTGATCCACATGCCAAGCCGACCCCCACTGTGTCCCACAGGAAGCCCCAGAAGATGTTTCTCCAAGAAATTAGGATTCGTTTGTTGGGGAGGGCTGCTGGCATGCTTGAAAAGTACTGTGACGGCTGAATTTTGTGGGCTTGGGGAGATTGCAGGTTCTCTGATTTCAAGGGGAATGATGTGATCCTAGAGTTGCAAAGAACAAGTGACAGTGGAGGCGCTTATGCTTTGTGACTGCACTAGAGACAAGGAAGACACAACTAGAATAATGGGGAGCAGGAATGGAGCGGCCAACAGAATATCTGACTGTTAGGGATCTTTGATGAAGGCTGATTCTCAGGGAGTGAACTAGATCAGTGACCAACTATTTGTCTTTATATAACTGGGTAGTGTGGATGGATTCTAATAAAGGGACTACTTACAGCACAGCAGGAAAGTCACAAAGAAACCAGACAGAAGAGTGTAAGTAGTAAGGGGCCAAGCAGTCATCTGACTAGAGACAGTGCCAGCTTGCCAAAGAAGGCACCAGACAGAAGCTGTGATCTTCAGCAAAGGGACACAGTCTGCCTGTGCTGACCCTGCAGGGGCAGAGGTGGGGGATAAACACACTCTTCTCTCACCTATCTTCTGCCACCCCCTCCATTAGCTGAACCCCAATAAAAGCATGAGGGTAAGGGAGATCTCTGAAGTATCCAATTCAGGTGAGCCTCCTAAGGAACAAAGCAGAATGCAGAAAAATTAAGAGTGGGTCTAGGGAATAAAATAGAGATATGCACCAGAGTATGATGATGTGTCTGGGAAAGAATATACAAATACTTTTAAAATTACTAGACAATAAACCTGAGATGACACTAATACAGGTAAATCTCATTTAATGGTAATATATTCCAAGAAATGCATCATTAGGTGATTTTGTGGCTGTGCAGACACCAAAGAGTGTACTTTATACAAACCTAGACAGCGTAGCCTACTACATACCTAGGCTATATCGTACAGCCTATTGCTCCTGGGCTACACACCTGTGCAGCATGTCACTGTGCTGAATACAGTAGGCCAATGGTCCGCAACACCCAAGCCATGGACCAGCACCGGTTCGTGTCCTGTTAGGAACTGGGCACAAAGCAGTAGATGAGTGGCTGGCCAGCCGAGCATTACTGCCTGAGCTCCGCCTCCTGTCAGATCAGCAGCAGCATTAGACCCTCACAGGAGCGCAAACCCTATTGTGAACTGCCCATAGAAGGGATCTAGGTTATGTTCTCCTTATGAGAATCTAACTAGGCTGGGTGCTGTGGCTCACGCCTGTAATCCCAACACTCTGGGAGGTCGAGGCAGGTGGATCACAAGGTCAAGACAATCCTGGCCAACATGGAAACCCCGTCTCTACTAAAAATACAAAAATTAGCTGGGTGTGGTGGCGCATGCCTGTAGTCCCAGCTACTCGGGGGACTGAGACAGGAGAATCACTTGAACCCGGGAGGCAGAGGTTGCAGTGAGCCGAGATTGTGCCACTGCACTCCAGCCTGGCAACAGTGGGAGACTCAGTCTAAAAAAGAAAAAAAAGAAAAAAAAGAATCTAACTAATGCCTGATGATCTGAGGTGGAAGAGTTTCAGCCCAAAGCCATCCCCACTCCGTGGAAAAATTATCTTTCACAAAACCAGTCCCTGGTGTCAAAACTTTGGGGCCCACTGCTGTAGGCAGTTATATCACAGTAGTAATATCTAAACATGGAAAAGATACAGTAAAAACATAGTACATTGGGAGACCGAGGGGGGCGGATCACCTGAGGTCAGAAGTTCGAGACCAGCCTGACCAACATGGAGAAACTCCGTCTGTACTAAAAATACAAAATTAGCTGGGCATGCTGGCGTGGGGCTGTAATCCCTGCTACTCGTGAGGCTGAGGCAGGAGAATCACTTGAACCCCGGAGGCAGAGGTTGCAGTGAGCCAAGATCGTATCATTGAACTCCAGCCTGGGCAACAAAATAAAACTCCTTCTCAAAAAAAAACAAAGAAAAAAATATATATATATTACAAAATTTAAAGAGAGTGGTACACCAGTAAAGGACACTTAGCATGAACAGAAGTTGCAGGACTGGCAGTTGCTCTGATGAGTCAGTGAGTACTTGGTGAGTGAATGCGAAGGCCTAGGATATTACTGTACATAACTATAGACTTTATATGCACTGTACACTTAGGCTACACTAAATGTATTTAAATTTTTTCTTTCTTTAACAAGTTCATCTTAGCTTATCATGACTTTATAAACTTTTAATTTTTTTAATTTTTTGATTCTTTGGTAATAACACATCTTAAAACAAAAACACATTGAACAGCTGTACAGAAATACTTTATATCCTTATTTGATAAGCTTCATTTATTTTGATTTTTTATGTTTTAAACATTTTTGTTAAAAACTAAGATACAAACACACACACTAGCTTAGCCCTGTAAGGGTCAGGATAATCAATATCACTGTCTTCCATCTCGAAATCTTGTCCAAGTGAAAGGTCTTCAGGGTCTTCAGTGGCAATAACATACATGCAGCTGTCATTTTCTATGATAACAAGGCTTTCTTCTGGAAGAACTCGTGGAAGACCTTCCTGAAGCTGTTTTATAGTTAATTTTTTTTAATGAGTAGCAGTACTACACTCTAAAAATATGAATAAAATCTATAGTATTATACATACTGTTGATCCTTGAACAGTGCAAGGGTTAGGGGACCAGCTCCTCTGCAGTTGAAAATCCATATATAATTCTGGGATATCCCCAAACTTAACTTAATATATGATATATATCATATATAATATATATGATATATATTACATATGATATATATCATATATATTATATATGATATATATTATATATAATATGTATGATATATATTATACACAATATGTATGATATATATTATACACAATATGTATGATATATATTATACACAATATGTATGATATATATTATACACAATATGTATGATATATATTATATACAATAAGTATGATATATATTATATACAATATGTATGATATATATTATATACAACATATGATATATAATATACTATATGATAGAGATTATATACAATATATATGATAGAGATTATATACAATATATATGATACAGATTATATACAATATATATGATACAGATTATATACAATATATATGATACAGATTATATACAATATATATGATAGATTAGATACTATATATGATATAGATTATATACAATATATGATATAGATTATATACAATATATATGATATAGACTATATACTATATATGATATAGATTATATACTATATATGATATAAATGGTATATCATATATGATATAAATGGTATATCATATATGATATATACAATATATCGTATATATGATATAGATGATATATCATCTATAAGATATAGATGATATATCATCTATAAGATATAGATGATATATCATCTATAAGATATAGATGATATATCATCTATAAGATATAGATGATATATCATACCTGATATAGGTGATATATCATATATGATATAGATGATAAATCATATATGATATAGATGATATATATCATATATGATATAGATGATATATATCATATATGATATATCATATATTATATAATAAATGATATATATTATATATAATAAAAGCTATATATTACATAATAAATGATATATATTATGTAAAATATATGATATATATTATATATTATATCTGATATATATTATATATTATATATTATATATTTTATCTGATATATATTATATTTGATATATTATATATTATATTATATATAATTATATTATATTATATTATATTATATATATTTTATATTATATTATATATAATTATATTATATTATATTATATATTATATATAATTTATGATATATATAATGTATTATATATAATTTATGATATATATTATATATTATAAATCATATATCATATATATTATGCTATATTATATATAATATAGCATAATATATCATATATTATATAATATATAATATAATATAATATAATATAATGTAATCATATATAATATATAATATATTATATTATAAAATATATTATATTATGATATACTATATATTACATATTACATTAGATAATATTTTATATAATATATAATATATATTATATATTATACTTTATTATATTACATATATAATTATACATTATATTTCATATATAATTTATAATTATATATAATTATATATTATATTATATAATATTATGTATAATATATTATTAAATATAATATTATATATTATATTAAATATAATATTATATATTATATTAAATATAATATTATATATTATATTAAATATAATATTATATATAAGGATGCAGGATGTAAAAGGAAATTATATATATGTTATATATTATATATATTATATTATATATAATTATATATATATTTGGGGGTGCCCTATTTCCTATCTCATAACTTATTTTAAGAAGCACAGCATAATAATGTGTGGACTTGGGATTCAGTTTTTGAAACGACACACTGAGCCTTCCATGACCTTCCTGTACATGTGAAAGCACACCTGTCTGCATGGCAGCATTTGGACCTCACAGTGTGGATTGTGCCTTCACCCTGGAATGTTTATGCCCTATCGCCATGGTGATGTGATTAGGGATCTGCTGCCCTTGGTCCTAAGTGCCACTATCTGTGCTGAGTTTTTCAAAGGTCAGAGCAGATTGAACCTTTGTGGTTCCATTTTCCCTGATTTTGATTTTTCTTATGGGGAACCTGTGTGGCTGCATTCAAGGTATGTTCATACTGGCCTGTCAAATGCGATCTTTTCAAATTACTAGTTAATGCTTTCAAAATATGTTATTTAAAAAATTAGCCTCTGTATTTTCCATATGCAGTTATAAATATGTTTCATGGTTAGGTTTTATTCCTCAATTTATATATTTGATTCTTATACCAAGCAGAGTACCTTTGAAATTTTTCTTCATTTAAAAAATATGTATCTTGGCTCAAGCCTGTAATCCCAGCACTTTGGGAGGCCAAGGCAAGAGGATCACAAGGTGAGGAGATCAAGACCATCCTGGCCAATACGGTGAAACCCTGTCTCTACTAAAAATACAAAAAATTAGCCAGGCATGATGGCAGCTGGTGTAGTCCCAGTGTGAATTGGGATTCAGTTTATTCCCAAATTCCCAAAATATATATATATATATAATATATATTATATTATATATAATTTTATATATAATATATATTATATTATATATAATTTTATATATATATATTTGTCGGTGCCCTATTTCCCATCTCATAACTTATTTTAAGAAGCCAGCATAATAATGTGTGGGCTTGGGATTCAGTTTTTGAAACAAAACACTGAGCCTTTGATGACCTTCCTGTACTTGTAAAAGCCCACCTGTCTGCATGGCAGCAGTTGGACCTCACAGTGTGGATTGTGCCTTCACCCTGGAATGTTTATGCCCTATCGCCATGGTGATGGGATTAGGGATCTCCTGCCCTTGGTCCTAAGTGCCACTATCTGTGCTGAGTTTTTCAAAGGTCAGAGCAGATTGAACCATTGTGGTTTCATTTTCCCTGATTTTGATTTTTCTTATGGGGAACCTGTCTTGCTGCATTCAAGGTATGTTCATACTGGCCTGTCAAATGCGATCTTTTCAAATTACTAGTTAATGCTTTCAAAATATGTTATTTAAAAAATTAGCCTCTGTATTTTCCATATGCAGTTATAAATATGTTTCATGATTATGTTTTATTCCTCAATTTATATATTTGATTATTGTACCAAGCAGAGTATCTTTGAAATTTTTCTTCATTTAAAAAATATGTATCTTGACTCAGGCCTGTAATCCCAGCACTTTGGGAGGCCAAGGCAAGAGGATCACAAGGTGAGGAGATCAAGACCATCCTGGCCATTACAGTGAAACCCTGTCTCTACTAGAAATACAAAAAATTAGCCAGGCATGGTGGCAGCTGGTGTAGTCCCAGTGTGAATTGGGATTCAGTTTATTCAGTTTATTCCCAAATTCCCAAATTATATATATATATATATATAATTTCCTTTTACATCCTGCATCCTTCAACGTTCCATCCCCCACCCCACAGATTAAGTTATTCCCCAGGGGAGAATATGGCAAAGTCTATTTTAATGCAGTTTTTAACCCAATTAAGAACCTATGAAATCATTACTTTCCAAAACTTTGGAACAAAGCCACAGTAGTATGGATCCGTTGGAGGCTTTTCACACAATAAAATGTACATCTCTTTGTTTTTAACATGTTTTTCCCTTCCTCTCTTCTTTTTTTGTGAAATGTGTATTTACTTTAATATATTTGTAGTAAGTCACTTCCATGCACATATTAATTTTTTAAAGTAATAAGTATGTGTATTGTCTACGTGTGAAAGAAAACACACATTTATTTTTATGCCTTGGAAGTTATCCAGAATCATGGAATTGTCAATCACAGTCAATCACCCAACCTACTCACCTTTCCAGTGTAATCTTAGTCAAATTTTTTTTTTGTTATCCAATGAGATGCAGTATTTCAACTCAGAAAGATAAATAGAGTGAATTTATAGAGACTATTAACTAAGAACATACAGTTTTATTTATACTCAGAAGCAAGTAGATTATGTACATATATATGAAGATAAAAATTAAAAGGATAATTGTGTAAATTTGCATGTAGAGAGCTTTGAAAACCTGTTTACTTGTTAATGCTGTTTTGATGTATTGTGTCTTTGTTCTCCCGACCCATCATCCAGAGCTCTCTGCAGGAGCTAAGTGCTCATCAGTTCCATGATTTGGAAACTGTCTAAGTTTAGAGGCACTTGTATTTGTTAGTAAATAAGGCAAGATGATATTGTTTCACAGGTTTTAGTGCAGAAGACTGAATAGATAAGCTGCTCCACCCAGTACACTGGTGTTCATTTCATGGTCATCTCATCTGTTAACCATGGATATAAAACATTTATCTTCAATGATGGGGTTTTACCATGTTGGTCAGGCTGGTCTCGAACTCCTGACCTCAAATGATCCACCCACCTCCACCTTCCAAACTGCTGGGATTACAGGTGTGAGCCACTATGCCTGACTGATTATTTTCATAACCAAGAAAAGAAATAAATACAATTAATGCTGGTGCATGGTATTAAATCTAGTTTTTAAAACATTCACACATAAACAAGGCAGAACCCTATACCCTCCATGATAAATGCAGTAGCAGTGTATGTGGGTCTGTGGAGGTTGAAAGGGACTTGGTAGATGTCAAGAAGGTAGTGGCAGTCCTGCTGGGCTTTTAAAGGGTCTGAAGAAGTGACAGGATGCTGTGGTTGAATCCTAGCATGTATTTTAGCATTTGTTCATTTGGAGTTGATTATTTCACGTTGCTTTCATTTGCCATTACCTGGAAAGCCAAGGGCTCTACTCTCATTTCCTTGCTGCTCTTTCTTTGCCTTCCTTGGTCCGTGAAGAAGATGGTCCAGGAGAAGCTCATTCCATGCTTGTTAACCAGGCACGCCCCTAAGTTCCAGTCCCTGAGTCATTCATGAGTAGCACTGCCAATGAACTGACAGCAATGCTGTGTCCCTCCACATCCCCTAGGTGACTCGAAGAAGCCTTCCAAAAAGCGTGTGAAAAGGAAGCCCTACTCTACTACCAAGGTAAAGTAGCCTGTCTTTGCCTAAGATGCAAATGTTGTTTTCTTGGATCCTTTATTTTTCAGTTGATATCAGCTATGGGAAAATTATCCACTACATTATAGGTGTTAGATAATATTTCCTTGGGGGTGGAGGAGGTGTATTTTACCAACTGACACCTGATTCCAGAGGACGTGCAAAATTGGCAGTGTCAGATAGTACACTGGGTGCTAAGGGATGTTTTCTTCAGGAACAAGCTTTCCACTTTAGATAAGAATTCTGCAATTTCTACTCAAAAATTACCTAGACAGAAACATTCTTCAAGAAAAGCTCCTGTGCTTTCCTAAGGGAACTCTACTCTAGAGTTGGGGCTTTTGACTTGAACCTTATTTCCAGTCTTGGTTACCCAGAGTTTCCAAGTGAACAAAAGACCTGTGTGAGCCATCCATAGCATAGCCTGATTCTCAGAGTGTTTTCCTTCTCTAATTACAGGTGACTTCAGGGAGCACATTCAATGGTACGTATTCTGGAATCACTCACTGGTTGTTAGAAAAGGATTCTACAGGAAATCTGGAGCTTAACTGCTGGCTTTTGTCTGGAGAGCCTCCATGATCCAAGACATCTGGTGGGAATGAGGATGTAGGGTATAGTAAAAGAAACTGGTTTTCCTGGTGACATACTCTTTTTATCTATGTATAGTTTCTGGGAACATGTTCACATTAGGTTGTGTGTGGGTATGTGTGTATTAGGGCGGGGGTGGGGTGAGGTGGTCTGTGTGCAAGTCTGCATGATTTGCTTGTGAATGTGTGTCTATGTGTGTTTCCCCTACGAAAAAAATGTTGTGTTTACCCAGCACAACTCTCAGTGCCATGTTTCTTAATTTAACAAATCAGACCACATACTTTACTTACATTAGTTCACACCTCATCATCATCATGCCCATATGTTGTGAGCTTGTTTACTGAGCCCACATGCCAGATGGAGAAACTAAGCCACATAAATAAATGTGCCCTGGTTCACTTGCTGCATAGTGAAGAGTCAAAATGTTTACTCATACGGTGCTAATGTTGAAGGCCTGAACTACAACCTCTATTTATCAGCCAGTGAAGAGATCACTATTCACCATGCAAGGGAGTTCCAGCACCCTCTATGCCTGGAATTACCCACACCTGCAGAGATCCCAAACGCCATCCCTCACATAAGAGAACGTCATGATCTCATAATCCAGGTAGCTATGTAGACATCTTCCTGCAGGTGTCACATAGTCCTTAGTGTGAAACCAACATAGAAAGCCCATGTTTCTGATCAAATCACAGGTTCTGAAACACTAAGGGAGGCACTAAGTAGGACAATGTGGTGCCTGCGTGTCATAGCTGGGTCTCCTCAAGACATGGATCAAGTCCAGTAAGAATTGGGGAGATGCTTTAGAGTCTTGATGGAGTTATCACCACAAGCCCTCTGAGCTACACACTTTAGGGATCATGACCATTAAGTACTCAAATTACCATTTGGTTGTTATCCGGGTATCCGTCGTCCTTGTGGCAACCCTCTTGTGAAGCTGGTGTGGACAGCCTCAGTGCTGGAGCTGTGCCTGCCTTCTGAGTGGACCCTTTCTGTGTTAGCAGGTGGGTACAAGCGTGGGGGTCAGCACACTCAGTGGATTTACACACACAGCGTTGAAGAGTAAGGCTGGGCTTCATTATTTATACATTTTCAATAAATGATGATCTTCATAACATAAAATCAATGATGTAGTACACTAGAATACTGTCCCTAGTATTGAATCTTGTCTCTCAGCAAAGGGTTGCTTAAAGTCACGTGACAGATTCCATTCAACTGATGGCACATGCTGTAGCAGCAGTTAAAGCAGTCATTTGAAAAGGCTTTTACTATAAACTTACGTGTGAGCCTGAAGTGGGGGATAAAAGAGGCGATTAGCTCCCCTGTGCCATGTTTCTCTTATGTGCGTGGTGGAGGAAAATTACACAGGAAGGTGATGGAGAGAACAGAGCAAAGGATTGGACAGGTCCATTGAACCCATAAGACTATGGTGAGGTTAGTGAATGAGATTGGTCATTTTAGGTCAAATTTTACCCAGAGCTGGTGCAGCCACTGCCCATTCTTAGCCAGACCTTATTGCAGGCAGCTCTGATCAATAGTCAAGGAGGCAGTGGGGGTTGTAGACTTTACTCATTAAATCACCAAAGCACCAGCCCACACGGCCACTTTTCCAGTTAATTGACAGTAGCTTGCACATTCAGGTTTGATCAGTGGAAGGGAAGTTACTCTTTGCAGACCCATTTTTGACAATCATTTTGCGGTGTCGGAAGGTCTGAGCAGCCTCGGGAGGCAAGCAGTCCCTGGTCCCTCAGTGTAGTCACTGGAGGAGACAGTCACTGAGAGGCAGCTGGCAGGGTGAAGGGAAAGGGGAGGCAGGCCACAGAGATGACAGCCTTTAAGCTGTCATACTGGGAGGTCAAGGATCTGAAAGAGGAAGGAGAATTCTTTATCATTAAGGACCTGTCCTTATCTCAGGCATTTCCTCCAGAGCACCACCTTTGTCCACCCACACACCTTGGGCTAGGAGGACTGGAGAAAGACAGTGAGGGGTCTCTTGGGTCTCTGGCACAGGGCGTGATGAAGAGGTGGCAGTTTTTCAGGAATCTCTCTCTCTAGGGAACCAAATACATTTCCCATCTCAGGTCCTTCACTCAGCGGGGTTGAGGTTCTGCTCGTCACTTATCATCTCTGAATGTCAGCACCCTCAAGTGTAAAATCTCAGCCACAGCCCCTCCTCTGCACCCCCTGCAGGGCTGATGTTCTCTATAAACCATAAGGCGTCATGCCCACGGAAAAGCCGAACAGGAAAGCATGCTCCACTGCCCCGGAGCCATCCAAGTTCCCCCTCCATATTCCGCCACTGCTAAGTGTCCAGCTTATTCCTCCTGGCATGTAGTAAACACTTAGAGAACATTACTGAAGTACCAGTCCTCTCTAAGGTTTTCCTGTATTTAGTGATTTTTTAGCCCTGTACTGTGATACTAAGAAGTAGGGCTTAAATAGGGCCTAAAAAGTATTGCTAAAATTACATTATGACAGTGCAGAGAACTGAGGGCAGAGGGAGGACATGAGCTTGCCAGGTCCACATGGCTTAGTGGAATTTGAATCCGGGCCCCCACTCTGCACCAGCCCTGCACTCACAGTCATCCTGCTGTGTTCCCCTCTCCAGGAAGGCACTGCCCACGCAGTCTGTCTGATAGAGGTGTTGAGTGCTCACTGAACTCCGTGATCTTCCTGAAACCCAACTTTGATTCAGTGGGCTCTGCTTGGAAGCCTGTAAAGAAAAGGATCATAAGTTTAAACTTAGAACAGATTATCACTATTTTCCCTCTGGTCTTCTGTCAGCAAGATGTCAACAGCCCTATCTATTGTCAATGCATTAACCAGCATCTTCTCTGATAGAGAATACAAGAAGATATGCTGTGCACACCAACCAGTGTAGGAGACCTCATGGCTCCCGGGTAAAGAAGAAGAGGTACCCACAAGAAGGTACTGTGGAAGTTCATTAATTAAGTTGATTCAAGAATTGCAGTTGCGGGGAGTATTCAGTGTCCCATATGTAAGAGGAAACTATGAAGAGACTAAGCCATATTTTTTAATGTGTCAGGATTCTAATTTGCCTGGTCAGTAAATATTGCTACCACCACAAAAGTAAATATCTACTTAAAAGTCAATTTTGGTTCATGTTTAATGATAGACAATGTTTCAAGCTAATGTCTAGAACTTACCTGGTTGTTAAACATAAGCATAGATCTCCCTGAAAGAGTGGTGCTATATTATTATTTTTCAATTAATATATTTCTTTAGAGAGTTTTAAATTGACATAAAAACTGAGCATATGGCCGGGCGTGGTGGCTCACACTTATAATCCCAGCACTTTAGGAGGCCAAGGCAGGCAGATCATCTGAGGTCAGGAGTTGGAGACCAGCTTGGCCAACATGGTGAAACCCCATCTCTACTAAAAATCCAAAAAAATTAGCCGGGTGTGGTGGCAGGCGCCTGTAATCCCAGCTACTCAGGAGGCGGAGGCAGGAGAATCGCTTGAACCCAGGAGGCAGAGGTTGCAGTGAGCCAAGATCATGCCATTGCACTCCAGCCTGGGTGACAAGAGTGAAACTCCATCTCAAAATAAATAAATAAATAAATAAATAAATAAATAAAAATTGAGTATATAATACAGGAAGTTCCCATATTATTCTGTCTCCTCACCCTCACTTCCTAATTTCACCTATTAGTAACATCTTACATTACTGTGGTACATTTGCTAGAATAATGAGAAAATATTGACACATTATTATCTGAAGTCTACATTTGCATAATGTTCATTCTTTCTGTTATACATATATATGAATTTTGAAATATTTAAAACATTATGTTCACCCTTATGGTCTCATAAAGAAAATGTTCACTTCCCTAAAAATCCTCTCTTCTCATTAATCTCTGTCCTCTTTCTCCAGAAACCTTGGCAACTATTAATATTTTTACTATCGCTTCAGCTTTGCCTTTTCCAGAATGTCATATAGTTGGAATCATATATTATGTAGTTTTTTCAGATGAATTTATTGCACTAAATTGATGTACGCTTTAGCTGCTTTCATGTCTTTTTTATGCCTTAATGGCAAAAAATGGCACATTAAATCACCAAATAATATTGCATTCAATGAATTTTTGTCTTTTTATTCACCTGTTGAAGAATTCGGTAGATTTCATGAGAGAAACCATCTGGGCCTGGTGCTTTCTTTTTCGGAATGCTCTTAATGTGAATTCAACTTATTTAATAGACATAAGTTTATTCAAATTAGGATCCTAGCATGACCTTGGGAAGATTGCCTTTCAAGGAATTGATACATTTCACTGAGGTTATCAAACTGCGGTCATAGAACTGTTCATGATATTCCTTTTAATGCCTAACAGTTCAGTAGAGATGGCTCCTCTTTTATTTCTGAAATTGGTCATTTGTGTTATCTTCTTTTTCTTGGTTAGCCTGCATATCAATTCATTCATTGTAATGAGCATATCAAAGAACCAGCTTTTGGTTTTATTGATTTTCTGATGATCTCAGTGTTTTAATTTTATTGATTTCTGTGATGTTGTTTATTACTTTTACTTGCTTTCCATTGCATTCCTCTATTTTCTATAGTTCCCTAATTGAAACATGATATTACTGATTTTAGGTCTTGTGATTTTTAGTATATTGCATCCAATGCTATAGATTTCCCTCTAAGGACTGCTTTTGCTACATCCAGAAATCTTGCCAAGTCACATTTTCTTTTAATGTAGTTAAAAGTATTTTTAATTTTCTATTGAGACTTCTTCTTTAACCCATGAGTTATTTAAAAGTGCATTGCTAATTTGCAAATATTTGGGGATTTTGTGGCTCTTTTACAGTTGTTGATTTTTTGTTGTCAGGTGTGTGTTGCAAAAGCAGTCGTCTACCTCATCTTGCCACCACCCAAGATGGCCCAGGATGTGGGCTCTCCCTGAGTGAATCTTTGGCAATCTGCCAACCTGATGTGTTCGGCCTCCTTCTTTAGTCTGAGCTTGCCTTCTGCTTAGAAAGGGCCATTCTCAGTTCTGGCAGGGAGTTTTCCCAACATTGAGAAGGTGGCATTCTTACTCCCCACTGCAGCCTGCACCTCTGACGGGTGGTCAGCAGACAGGACAGAGGTCCTCATTAGACAGAGTTCAGCGGGGTCTCTGACCAAAGTGCATCTTCAGAGTCTGCACCTACCCACTGTGACCACGGGCAGGCTCTGAGTCCTAAAGCAGGAGGAACTGTGCGACCATCCTGATTGGAAATTTGTGAGGATCACCGTGTTACTCAAGTAAGGTCTTTGGAAAGTGTCGTATTACTACTGTTTGTGAACTGCTTGTTGGTGGCCTGGCTGAGCCACACACTTTATGAAAACCAGGACCCCTCAGCTGGTGTGGGTGTCTATGCAGCCTGAGACCCTCATGTGAACAGCCTCGTGGCAGCTGTCTTTGCCCCTTGCCACCATCAGTGCCTCCTTGTTCCTGGGCACTGCTTTCTCTGATGGTGCTCCATTGTTTTCCTGCACCTCAGTGTCTACAGCTGGATGTCTCTTCCGCAATCTAGGCGAGGGGGCATCAATGGCAGTTCTGCTGTGGCACTGCCCTCCTTCTTAGCTTGTCTTGCTCTGTCTTAGGCTCCCTCAAAGATCCCACCCTTCAGGTTCTTCCACAAGTTTCTTATTGAAATCCGAGCAGAAAACTATGACCAATATGACCAATCCTATACCCACTGAAGACATGAATGAAGAATTAAAACAATTCTCCATGGACTCTACCATATAGATCCCTAGAAGTAATTTCTAAAAAAAAAAAAAAAATCAAGGAAGATGTAATAGTTTTCCATAAATTAGAATATCCTACATGTACAATTAAATGAAATGGCTAGTATAGTCTTGAAACCAAAACCAGATAAGGTAAATTAAATTCTGTGATATTTTAAAATACTGTAAATTCTGACTAATGTGAGTTAATCTCAATATATGAAATAGTAGATTAACATTGAAAATGCAATAAATAAAATTAGCTACCTCAAGAGTTTAATGGAAAAAAATGTGATTATTGCAATAGATTCAGGAAATTCATGAATAACATTCACCCTATATTTGTAGGACAACTATCTAACTTTAAGTGACCTGTGACAACCATTTGAATTAATGCTGCTTTCACAGCATATCTCTTGGCTTGTTAAAAACCCGACAAGAATTTCCGTAACATTAATTTATTCTTAACACCTATATTGGGTGTGAACCCACCATAAAGTTTGCCCACTGAAAAGGTCTACAATTTGATGCTTTATTAAATTGATACTGTGTGCACCCATCACCACGATCTAATTTAAATATGTTTCCCTCACCCAAATTCTCTCTTGCGCACTGGCAGTTAATCCCCACTCCCATCTCCAGCCCTAAGCAATACTGCTGTGACATTCCATCTCCATAAATTTCCCATTTGCTTAATAGAAATGGACGTATACATATATTTGGAATCTGACTTCCTTCATTTAGCATACTATGTTTGAAGTTAATTGACGTGTTAGCACGTGCTGGTCATGTGTTTTCCTTCATAGTCTGCTGTGTTTACTCATACAGATAGTGTTTATTCATTTATCAGTTAATGGACATTTAATTGTTTTGTTATTTTCTTTGATGAGTAATGTAGCTTTGAGCATTCATATACAGTCATGTAATGCATAATGACATTTTGGTCAAAAAAAATTTTTTTTTTCTGAGACCCAGGCTGGAGTGCAGTGGCACAATCTCGGCTCACTGGAACCTCCACCTCCCAGGTTTAAGCAATTCTCGTGCCTCAACCTCCCGAGTAGCTGGGACAACTGGCACACGCCACCATGCCTGGATAATTTTTGTATTTTCAGTAGAGACAGGATTTTGCTGTGTTGGTCAGGCTAGTCTCAAACTCCTAGCCTCAGGTGATCCACCCATCTCTGCCTCCCAAAGTGCTGGGATTATAGGCATGAACCACCACACCCAGCCTAATTTTTTTAAGAAACAAGGGAACTATTTTCTAAATTACTTTTGCCAATTTATATTTCTACCATGATGCATAGCACTAATTTCACCGTACAATGTATGGTAGGCCCCAATATGTAAGAAATGATGAAAGTAACACATAAAGATTGGTATAAAACAAATAAGATTATCATTATTGCTATCATCTTTGTCAAATTCTGAAAACAATCTGAGTATATTTTTATATAAATATGCTTGGCAACACAGCTGAAAAACGCATTATCAGTTACATTTATCAGTAACAAAGACATAAATTTGAAGGGGGAAAAACACTTGTACTAACAACGCAATGTCAGAATTAACATAAAAATTCTGCTGGTCACTTTGGAATATTTAATTGCCTGGGGCAGTGTTTAGTAGACAAATGAGCATCTATGGAGCACTCAAAGTAGGGGAATCAACAGAACTTGGGTTTGAAAAGTTATCTGGGTTTAGAGTGTGAAACTTTGTTAGAGGACACACACCTTGCATGAGCGAGGTGCCTTGGTGTGTGTGGATGTACCATTATGCTTGGAGGTACAGCATAATGGTGGCTTCCTCCAGAAAGGGACATTTTGGGTGGATTCATTCCATCTAGACAACACAGCCTGATGTGGCATGGACATGAATGGAGGTGAAATGGTCAATAGTTGAGAGGATCAGTCCTGACAAGGGCTGAGGTGAAAAACCTGGGAACCCCTTCAGGTACAAAGTCTTCAGTTGAAAAAGGAGGTGGTCACAGGAAATACTGAGACAGGACAGCAATGCATGGGAGACAGAGTTCTTGGCCCTGCAGGGTGAGTACTGTGGATTCTCAAATTTTCTCCTCTCTCCATTAATTTCTTTCCCAATACAGATGACTTCCATCATACAGTCTTCAGCAATCTTGAAAGATTGGACAAGCTTCAGCCCACTCTTGAAGGTAAAGGAAGGCAGCTAACAAGACTGGCATCTGGGCTTGGCTGTGCGTGTTTTCTATCGTGGGGAAATATATATAACACAATATTTATCATTTGAACCTTTTAACCAAAGTGTGCACTCCATGGCATTCAATATATTCACAGGGTTGCATAACCAGCACCACTATCTACACCCACAATTTTGATGATTTCTTACGAAACCTTGTCCACAATAAGCAATATAGCACCTTCCCCCTATTTCCAGCCCATGGTGATTCCTATCCCACTTTCTCTTGTATGAATTTGACTATTCTAGGCACTTCATGTAATTACAATTATACAATATATTCCTTTTGTGTCTGGCTTATTTCACTAAGCATAATGTTCTCAATGTCCACCCATGTTGTAGCATCTATCAAAATGATGTTCGTTTTTTACAGATGGATGATGTAGCATTGCATGCAGACCACTTTGCTTTTATTACATTCATTTGTTCACTGATGGTTGGATTATTTCCACCTTTTGGCTCCTGTGAAAAGTGATGCTACAAACATTAGTATACAAACATCTGTTTGATTTCCGTTCTCTATTCTTTGGGGTGCCTAAGAGTAGAGTTCCTGGGTCCAACAGGGGTTCTATATTTAACCTTCTGAGCCACTGCAGACTGTTTTTCACAGTGGCTGCAACTTTATCCATTTCTACCATCAATGTATCAGGGTTACAATTTCTTTACGTCCTTCTTCACACTTATTTTCCTTTAAATCATCCTAGTAGGTGTATATTGGTGGCTGCTTGTGTTTTTCATTTGCATTTCCCTAATGACTAATGATCCTGAGCAGCTTTTCCTGTGCTACTATCTGTGGCTGTATCTTCTTTAGGGAAATATATGTTGAAGTCTTTTGCCCATTTTTAAAGAGTTGTCTGATTTTTATTTAGTTAGTTTGTTGTTGTAGATTTTTGAATATATCTTAAATATATTTAAAATATATTCTAAATTTTAGTCTCTTACAAGATAAATGATTTGCAAATATTTCCACCTTTGTGTAGAACTTTAGATTCACAAACTTCATTAATTTGTATGAAATCCTCGGCAGTTGACCCCAAACAGATAAGACTGAAGCAGTATTTTAGGAATAGTTGAAAGTATGATCACCACAAAACATAAGCGTAATCAAATCCTGCAAGCTACATGTAAGGCACAATGACAAATAAGGCAGCAAAGGGCCATCTGGTGTTTAGTTCACCACACTTGTTGCAACTGTTTGCGCTGCAGAGTTAAAACACACCAGCATTCAACCCATGTCTCCTCTCTTGAAGTAAACTGTCGTATGTTGGCTGGCCTGAACAAGCGTAGATATTCTCCATCCTCAATTAATATGCATGCATGACAAAGAAAAGGAGGCCTGGATGAAAAAATATTGTGTGATTAATAATTATGCTTTAATTAATTTTAAAAGATATAATTTCAGTACTTCTAATTCTCCCATCAGCAGTTATAACAAAGGATTAGTGAATAAATACCATAGACTGTTTTGCCTAGAATCGAATCCAATCTGTCTATTAAACTTTGCTTTTATTCAAGTGCAAAATGCTAAAACACATAATAACTGCAGTGACAGCCACTGTGGATCCTCAGAGGTAAAAGTAGTCTTGGGACATAAATCCTGCAAGCTAATATCGTTTTTACAGGGTTTAGAAAACCATTTAGCTGGGTTTCAAACCTCACAGTGTGAGCAGTGGGACTCTCATCAAACTATAGCATGTGCTTCAGTACCATTTGTAGACTGACTCATTCCCATTGCCTTAAGTTGCCATCAGCAAAATGCCAGGGACTCTATTTCTTGCTCCTTAGCTCCTCGTTCTTGCCTGTCTTTCCACCAGGGAAGATTTTCTAGCAGGAGCTCAAGCTGTGCTTTTAATGAAACACATCCACACACACTGTCCTGTTGTCCACATTGAGCAGAGCTCCCTGAATAACTCATGAACAAAAGCATCTATGACTAACTGTTGCTCTGTGTCCTCTTAGCCTCTGAGGAGTCTCTAGTTCACAAGGACAGAGGAGATGGAGAGAGGCCAGTCAACGTGAGGGTAAGGTTGCCTTGCTTTCTCTGAAATAGAAATGTTCCTTTCTTGGTGTCTTTCTTTTTCAACTGACTTTACATGTGAAAAAATGACAATGTCCATGACAGGTATTAAATGCAGTTTTCTGAGGGGGAGGAAGAAGTGACTCTTAGCAACTGATATGTAATCCAAAATGGCATTTAGCTATGACGGCTTCAGGTTGTGGACTGTATCCTTGGGGTCCTTGTCCTTGGAAGCAATGTCTTCTCCTTGGATTCAGTATTTTGCACTTGCCAACCTACGTGGACCTGAGAGATACACCGTCCAGAAGCTGATGCCTTTTCCAGTGTGTATCCTACCCTTGTTTTGGAGGCCTTGAAGTTGACTACACTTTCTGATCAAGTTTTCAATATTCATTGAGAGAAACACAGCCTTGTGCAAACAATCCACAACGTGACATACCCCTCAAAAAGCTTTGTTTCTGTATTGCAGGTGGTGCAGGTGGCCCCTCTGAGGCATGAATCTAGTAAGTATTCTGGAATCACTTGCCAAGAAAACAATCTGGATGCCAAGAAAGGTGTGGCATCCTTGCCTGGTTTCAATGTGAAGAGCCACCCTGATCCTGGGATTGTGATAGGAATAAGTATAGGGGAAGTGTTTTTTTAAAACCTGAATTCCCCAGGGAAAAATTATGGCCAAATTTTGAGGAAGCAGCTGTGCTCCCTTTTGGGTGGTGCTGAGTTGGGTGCTTGAGGATTGGTGGTGTCTTGTGTGAGGCTGCATCGTGTGGTGTGAATGTGTGTGTTTCTGTACAGGTGAGGCTGTGTGTTTTCTCAGGAGAGATTTCCCACTTATACAACCCAATCACCAGTGTCCACTTCTAACAATAAAATCCACCCCCGCTCTACTCTCTCTGTACAGTGACTCCTCCACCCTCACCAGAGCCATCCCCGGGTCTGCCTTATTATCCCCACTGCTCAGGTGGAGAAACTGAAGGGCCAAGGGAGTGGCCCCAGCTCCCGAGTTCCTGAATGAAAAAGTGAAAACACGAACCCAGGAGTGTGGGCCAGTGCTGACGCTGACATGGCACTTAGTCATGGGGTGTTCACCACCACACAGGGAGTCCAACATTCATGTATAAGCCCTAAAGCACCGAGCCCAAAAGGCCCCAGACACTGCCCATCATCATAAAGTGGGCTCCGTGGTCACACAACCCAAGGCAGTTATAGGCTCATCTCCCCACAGACAGGCATAGTCATCAGTGTGTCAAAAGCACAAAGATCCCCAGGTGTTTGGCTCAGCTCACCAATCCTTTTTTTTTTTTTTTTTTAACTTTTAAGTTCAGGGGTACATGGGCAGGATGTGCAGGTTTGCTACATATATAAATGTGTGTCATGAGAGTTTGTTGTACAGATTATTGCATCACCCATATATTGAGCCTAATATCAGTTATTTTTCCTGATCCTCCCCCTCCTCCCACCTCCCACCCTCCAGTAGGCCCCACGCTCACAAATTCTAAGAGGAGTGGGGGACCACAAAGGCCAGTGTGGCCCACTTCAGTTGTGAAGTTAATTTGCTCAGCAACTGGCCAAAGTCTATAAGGATGGGTGATGTATTTTAGTAGATTTAGTAATACTATCTTCCCAAGCCCTAAAATGCTCAAATCCTGCCAGCCAAAAATGGTGAGGAGGGACAGATAGGAACTCTGTGTGGCACTTGGTTATTAGCCTGGCTTCCATCCCTTAGTGGCAACTCTCTTGTATATGTGGGTTAAAGACCCTCAGCCTCAAGCCAAGCCTCCTCCATGAGGAGCCATCTCACTATTGACCGGCTAGTGCCGGGTATGGCCACCAGCCCAACTGAAACAAAATGTTGCTTTAAAACACGTGTAAATCTCATACATACAACAGGCAAATGCAGAAGCAGTGTGGTCTCGCAAGTTGTAAAGAGGACAGTCGCAATTTTGCTGGACTTCAACCTGGGTAGAAGACATGAGGGAACTCTGTCACTGAATCACGGCAGAGTTCAAGGCCACTTGCAGACTATTTCATGTTATAGAAGGTGGCCTTTAGCTACTAAGCAAAGGCCTCTGTTTCTCATTTCTTTCCTGTTCATCTTCTTCGTCATCCTTCTTCCGCAAGGGAAACGAGCCCAAGCAAAAGACAGTTTCAATATTAATTTGACCGAGGTTTTGTGCAGTTAATTATCATCCAGGTAATCAGGTGCAACCCAGTCTGCCTAGCAGCCCCCCTATCTCTGCTCTGTGTTTTCATTTAATAAACATTTTGGTCTACTTACTATGTGCTAGATTTTCTCGAGACCAAGTAAATGAGATAGAATCTTTATGTTGGCAGCTAAGTTAGATTTAACATAACTGACAAAAATTAAAATTTCTGATTTCTTGTAAAAATATTTTGTATGTGTGAATGCATACTGAATGTAAAGTGGATAAAAAAAATCACACTTGCACTCATGGAAGGCTTTTCATGAATTTGTCAATTTCTATTTTTTTATATTTCCCCATTTCACCGGATAATACATACCTGAACCTGGAAAATGATTCCCACAGCAGAAAGTGTTCTGAGCCACATCCCTTAGCTTCACTAGTGCAGGTCCACCTGGGAGTATGTCCCACCATCAGCTTGACCCATGCTGTAATCAGCCACCTCCATGCATCACACCAAGCAAGCCCCTGGGTGATTCACAGTCTCCAGCACCAGGGCACTGACCTTAACTCTGTGTTCTTCTAGCTCCCTATGAGGACACTGTACACGACATCGCTAATGAGGACGCTGTATATGACATTGCTACTGAGGACGCCATATATGACATCGCTAACGAGGACGCCGTCCAGGGCATCGCAAAGGAGGACGCCGCCCAGGGCATCGCTAACGAGGAAGCCGTCCACGACATCGCTAACGAGGATGCCGCCCACGTAATCGCTAACGAGGACGCCGCCCAGAGCATCGCTAACGAGGACGCGGTCCACGACATCGCTAACGAGGATGCCACCCAGGGCATCGTTAATGAGGACGCCGCCCACAATATCGCTAATGAGGACGCCGCCCACGGCGTCGCTAACGAGGTCGCCGCCCAGGGCGTCGCTAACGAGGACGCCGTCCACTGCATCGCTAACGAGGTCGCCGCCCAGGGCGTCCTTAAAGAGGACGCCGCCCAGGACATCGCAAACGAGGACGCCGCCCAGGGCATCGCTAACGAGGACGCCGCCCACGGCATCGCAAACGAGGACGCAGCCCAGGACATCGCAAACGAGGACGCCGCCCAGGACATCGCAAACGAGGACGCCGCCCAGGGCATCTCTAAGGAGGACGCCGTCCAGGGCATCGCGAACGAGGATGCCGCCCAGGGCATCGCTAAGGAGGACCCCGTCCAGGGCGTCGCTAACGAGGACCCCGTCCAGGGCGTCAATAACGAGGACGCCGTCCAGGGCATCGCTAAGGAGGACCCCGTCCAGGGCGTCGCTAACGAGGACCCCGTCCAGGGCGTCGCTAACGAGGACGCCGTCCAGGGCATCGCTAACGAGGACGCCGTCCACGGCGTCGCTAAAGAGGTCGCCGCCCACGGCGTCGCTAACGAGGATGCCGCCCACGCGATCGCTAAGCCGGACGCCGCCCGCGGCATCGCTAACGAGGTTGCCGCCCAGGGCATCGCTACCGAGGACGTCGCCGACGGCATCGCTAACGAGGACGCCGCCCACGGCGTCGCTAACGAGGTCGCCGCCCAGGGCGTCGCTAACGAGGACGCCGTCGAGGGCGTCGCTAACGAGGACGCCGCCCAGGGCGTCGCTAAAGAGGTCACCGCCCACGGCGTCGCTAACGAGGACGCCGTCCAGGGTGTCGTTAACGAGGACGCCCTCCACGGCGTCGTCGCTAACGAGGATGCCGCCCAAGCGATCGCTAAGCCGGACGCCGCCCATGGCATCGCTAACGAGGTCACCGCGCAGGGCATCGCTAACGAGGTCGCCATCCACAGCATCGCTATCGAGGACACCACACCGTCCAGGGCGTGGCTAACGAGGTCGCTGCCCAGGGCATCGCTACCGAGGATGTCGCCGACGGCATCGCTGAGGACGCCGCCCATGGCATCACTAACAAGGAGGCCGCCCAGGCCATCGCTAAGCAGGATGCCGCCCACGGCATCACTAACGAGGACGCCGTCCAGGGCGTCGCTAACGAGGTCGCCGCCCAGGGCGTCGCTAACGAGGACGCCGCCCACGGCGTCGCTAACGAGGTCGCCGCCCACGGCGTCGCTAACGAGGACGCCGCCCAGGGCGTCGCTAACGAGGTCGCCGCCCAGGGCGTCGCTAACGAGGACGCCGCCCAGGGCGTCGCTAACGAGGACGCCGTCCAGGGCGTCGCTAACGAGGTCGAAGTCCAGGGCATCGCACACAAGGACGCCATCCAGGGCATCGCTAACGAGGATGCCGCCCACGGCATCGCTAACGAGGTCGCCGCCCACGGCATCGCAAACGAGGACGCTGCCCAGGGCATCGCGAACGAGGACGCCGCCCAGGGCATCGCTAACGAGGTCGCCGCCCACGGCATCTCTAAGGAGGACACCGTCCAGGGCATCGCGAACGAGGACGCCGCCCAGGGCATCGCTAAAGAGAACCCCGTCCAGGGCGTCGCTAACGAGGACCCTGTCCAGGGCGTCGCTAACGAGGTTGAAGTCCAGGGCGTCGCACACGAGGACGCCGTCCAGGGCATCGCTAACGAGGACGCCGCCCACGGCATCGCGAACGAGGTCGCTGCCCAGGGCATCGCGAACGAGGACGCCGCCCAGGACATCGCAAAGGAGGATGCCGCCCAGGACATCGCAAACGAGGACGCCGCCCAGGGCATCTCTAAGGAGGACGCCGTCCAGGGCATCGCGAACGAGGACGCCGCCCAGGGCATCGCTAAGGAGGACCCCGTCCAGGGCGTCGCTAACGAGGACGCCGTCCAGGGCGTCGCTAACGAGGTTGAAGTCCAGGGCGTCGCACACGAGGACGCCGTCCAGGGCATCGCTAACGAGGACGCCGCCCACGGCATCACTAACGAGGTCGCCGCCCACGGCATCGCGAACGAGGACGCCGCCCAGGGCATAGCACATGAGGATGCCGTCCAGGGCATCGCTAACGAGGACGCCGTCCACGGCGTCGCTAAAGAGGTCGCCGCCCACGGCGTCGCTAACGAGGATGCCGCCCACGCGATCGCTAAGCCGGATGCCGCCCACGGCATCGCTAACGAGGTCGCCACCCAGGGCATCGCTACCGAGGATGTCGCCGACGGCATCGCTAATGAGGACGCCGCCCACGGCGTCGCTAAAGAGGTCACCGCCCACGGCGTCGCTAACGAGGACGCCGTCCAGGGCGTCGTTAACGAGGACGCCCTCCACGGCGTCGTCGCTAACGAGGATGCCGCCCAAGCGATCGCTAAGCCGGACGCCGCCCATGGCATCGCTAACGAGGTCGCCGCCCACGGCATCGCGAACGAGGACGCCGCCCAGGGCATCGCTAACGAGGTCGCCGCCCACGGCATCTCTAAGGAGGACGCTGTCCAGGGCATCGCGAACGAGGACGCCGCCCAGGGCATCGCGAACGAGGACGCCGCCCAGGGCATCGCACACGAGGACGCCGTCCAGGGCATCGCTAACGAGGACGCCGTCCACGGCGTCGCTAAAGAGGTCGCCGCCCACGGCGTCGCTAACAAGGATGCCGCCCACGCGATCGCTAAGCCGGACGCCGCCCGCGGCATCGCTAACGAGGTTGCCGCCCAGGGCATCGCTACCGAGGATGTCGCCGACGGCATCGCTAACAAGGACGCCGTCCACGGCGTCGCTAACGAGGTCGCCGCCCACGGCGTCGCTAACGAGGATGCCGCCCACGCGATCGCTAAGCCGGATGCCGCCCACGGCATCGCTAACGAGGTCGCCACCCAGGGCATCGCTACCGAGGATGTCGCCGACGGCATCGCTAACGAGGACGCCGCCCACGGCGTCGCTAACGAGGTCGCCGCCCACGGCGTCGCTATCGAGGACGCCGTCCAGGGCGTCGCTAACGAGGACGCCGTCCACGGCGTCGCTAACGAGGACGCCGCCCAGGGCGTCGCTAAAGAGGTCACCGCCCACGGCGTCGCTAACGAGGACGCCGTCCAGGGCGTCGTTAATGAGGACGCCCTCCACAGCGTCTTCGCTAACGAGGATGCCGCCCAAGCGATCGCTAAGCCGGACGCCGCCCATGGCATCGCTAACGAGGTCGCCGCCCACGGCATCGGGAACGAGGACGCTGCCCAGGGCATCGCGAACGAGGACGCCGCCCAGGGCATCGCTAACGAGGTCGCCGCCCACGGCATCTCTAAGGAGGACGCCGTCCAGGGCATCGCGAACGAGGACGCCGCCCAGGGCATCGCGAACGAGGACGCCGCCCAGGGCATCGCACACGAGGACGCCGTCCAGGGCATTGCTAACGAGGACGCCGTCCACGGCGTCGCTAAAGAGGTCGCCGCCCACGGCGTCGCTAACGAGGACCCTGTCCAGGGCGTCGCTAACGAGGACGTCGTCCAGGGCGTCGCTAACGAGGTTGAAGTCCAGGGCATCGCACACGAGGACGCCGTCCAGGGCATCGCTAACGAGGACGCCGCCCACGGCATCGCTAACGAGGTCGCCGCCCACGGCGTCGCGAACGAGGACGCCGCCCAGGGCGTCGCTAACGAGGACGCCGCCCAGGGCGTCGCTAACGAGGACGCCGTCCACGGCGTCGCTAACGAGGACGCCGCCCAGGGCGTCGCTAAAGAGGTCACCGCCCACGGCGTCACTAACGAGGACGCCGTCCAGGGCGTCGTTAACCAGGAGGCCCTCCATGGCGTCGTCGCTAACGAGGATGCCGCCCAAGCGATCGCTAAGCCGGACAGCGCCCATGGCATCGCTAACGAGGTCGCCGCCCAGGGCATCGCTAACGAGGTCGCCGTCCACAGCATCGCTATCGAGGACACCACACCGTCCAGGGCGTGGCTAACGAGGTCGCTGCCCAGGGCATCGCTACCGAGGATGTCGCCGACGGCATCGCTGAGGACGCCGCCCATGGCATCACTAACGAGGAGGCCGCCCAGGCCATCGCTAAGCAGGATGCCGCCCACAGCATCACTAACGAGGATGCCGTCCAGGGCGTCGCTAACGAGGACGCCGCCCACGGCGTCGCTAACGAGGACGCCGCCCAGGGCATCGCTAACGAGGTCGCCACCCATGGCATCTCTAAGGAGGACGCCGTCCAGGGCATCGCGAACGAGGACGCCGCCCAGGGCATCGCGAACGAGGACGCCGCCCAGGGCATCGCACACGAGGACGCCGTCCAGGGCATTGCTAACGAGGACGCCGTCCACGGCGTCGCTAAAGAGGTTGCCGCCCACGGCGTCGCTAACGAGGACCCCGTCCAGGGCGTCGCTAACGAGGACGCCGTCCAGGGCGTCGCTAACGAGGTTGAAGTCCAGGGTGTCGCACACGAGGACGCCGTCCAGGGCATCGCTAACGAGGACGCCGCCCACGGCATCGCTAACGAGGTCGCTGCCCATGGCATCGCGAACGAGGATGCCGCCCAGGGCATCGCGAACGAGGACGCCGCCCAGGGCATCGCACACGAGGACGCCGTCCAGGGCATCGCTAACGAGGACGCCGTCCACGGCATCGCTAAAGAGGTCGCCGCCCACGGCGTCGCTAACGAGGATGCCGCCCACGCGATCGCTAAGCCGGACGCCGCCCGCGGCATCGCTAACGAGGTCGCCACCCAGGGCATCGCTACCCAGGATGTCGCCGACGGCATCGCTAACGAGGACGCCGCCCACGGCGTCGCTAACGAGGTCGCCGCCCACGGCATCGCTAACGAGGTCGCCGTCCACTGCGTCGCTATCGAGGACGCCGCCCAGGGCGTCGCTAAAGAGGTCACCGCCCACGGCGTCGCTAACGAGGACGCCGTCCAGGGCGTCGTTAACGAGTACGCCCTCCACAGCGTCGTCGCTAACGAGGATGCCGCCCAAGCAATCGCTAAGCCGGACGCCGCCCATGGCATCGCTAACGAGGTCGCCGCCCACAGCATCGCGAACGAGGACGCTGCCCAGGGCATCGCGAACGAGGACGCCGCCCAGGGCATCGCTAACGAGGTCGCCGCCCACGGCATCTCTAAGGAGGACGCCGTCCAGGGCATCGCGAACGAGGACGCCGCCCAGGGCATCGCGAACGAGGACGCCGCCCAGGGCATCGCACACGAGGACGCCGTCCAGGGCATTGCTAACGAGGACGCCGTCCACGGCGTCGCTAAAGAGGTCGCCGCCCACGGCGTCGCTAACGAGGACCCCGTCCAGGGCGTCGCTAACGAGGACGCCGTCCAGGGCGTCGCTAACGAGGTTGAAGTCCAGGGCGTCGCACACGAGGACGCCGTCCAGGGCATCGCTAACGAGGACGCCGCCCACGGCATCACTAACGAGGTCGCCGCCCACGGCATCGCGAACGAGGACGCCGCCCAGGGCATCGCGAACGAGGACGCCGCCCAGGGCATCGCACACGAGGACGCCGTCCAGGGCATCGCTAACGAGGACGCCGTCCACAGCGTCGCTAAAGAGGTCGCCGCCCATGGCGTCGCTAACGAGGATGCCGCCCACGCGATCGCTAAGCCGGACGCCGCCCGCGGCATCGCTAACGAGGTTGCCGCCCAGGGCATCGCTACCGAGGATGTCGCCGACGGCATCGCTAACGAGGACGCCGCCCACGGCGTCGCTAACGAGGTCGCCGCCCACGGCATCTCTAAGGAGGACGCCGTCCAGGGCATCGCGAACGAGGACGCCGCCCAGGGCATCGCTAAGGAGGACCCCATCCAGGGCGTCGCTAACGAGGTTGAAGTCCAGGGCGTCGCACACGAGGACGCCGTCCAGGGCATCGCTAACGAGGACGCCGCCCACGGCATCGCCAACGAGGACGCTGCCCAGGGCATCGCGAACGAGGACGCCGCCCAGGACATCGCAAACGAGGACGCCGCCCAGGGCATCGCTAAGGAGGACCCCGTCCAGGGCGTCGCTAACGAGGACCCCGTCCAGGGCGTCGCTAACGAGGACGCCGTCCAGGGCGTCGCTAACGAGGTTGAAGTCCAGGGCGTCGCACACGAGGACGCCGTCCAGGGCATCGCTAACGAGGACGCCGCCCACGGCATCGCTAACGAGGTCGCCGCCCACGGCATCGCGAACGAGGACGCCGCCCAGGGCATCGCGAACGAGGACGCCGCCCAGGGCATTGCACACGAGGACGCCGTCCAGGGCATCGCTAACGAGGACGCCGTCCACGGCGTCGCTAAAGAGGTCGCCGCCCACGGCGTCGCTAACGAGGATGCCGCCCACGCGATCGCTAAGCCGGACGCCGCCCGCGGCATCGCTAACGAGGTCGCCGCCCAGGGCATCGCTACCGAGGATGTCGCCGACGGCATCGCTAACGAGGACGCCGCCCACGGCGTCGCTAACGAGGATGCCGCCCAAGCGATCGCTAAGCCGGACGCCGCCCATGGCATCGCTAATGAGGTCGCCGCCCAGGGCATCGCTAACGAGGTCGCCGTCCACAGCATCGCTATCGAGGACACCACACCGTCCAGGGCGTGGCTAACGAAGTCGCTGCCCAGGGCATTGCTACCGAGGATGTCGCCGACGGCATCGCTGAGGACGCCGTCCAGGGCATCACTAACGAGGAGGCCGCCCAGGCCATCGCTAAGCAGGACGCCGCCCACGGCATCACTAACGAGGACGCCGCCCAGGGCGTCACTAACGAGGTCGCCGCCCAGGGCGTCGCTAACGAGGACGCCGCCCACGGCGTCGCTAACGAGGTCGCCGCCCACGGCGTCGCTAACGAGGACGCCGCCCAGGGCGTCGCTAACGAGGTCGCCGCCCAGGGCGTCGCTAACGAGGACGCCGTCCACGGCGTCGCTAACGAGGACGCCGTCCAGGGCGTCGCTAACGAGGTCGAAGTCCAGGGCATCGCACACAAGGACGCCATCCAGGGCATCGCTAACGAGGACGCCGCCCAGGGCGTCGCTAACGAGGACGCCGCCCAGGGCGTCGCTAACGAGGTCGCCGCCCACGGCGTCGCTAACGAGGATGCCGCCCACGGCGTCGCTAACGAGGTCGCCGCCCAGGGCGTCGCTAACGAGGACGCCGCCCAGGGCGTCGCTAACGAGGTCGCCGTCCACGGCGTCGCTAACGAGGACGCCGCCCGGCACATGGCTAAGGAGGACGCCGCCCAGGACATCGCTAACGAGGACGCCGCCCACGGCATCGCTAACGAGGACGCCGTACACGGCATCGCTAACGAGGACTCCGTATACGGCATCGCTAATGAGGATGCCGTATATGACATCGCTAATGACACCGTACAAGGCACGCTAACGAGGACACTGTACAGGACATCGCTAATGAGGACACCATACAAGGCATCGGTAATGAGGACGCTGTATACGACATCGCTAACGAGGACACCCTACAAGCCGTCGCTAACAAGGACACTGTACACAACATCGCTAATGAGGGCACCATACAAGACATCACCAATGAGGGCGCTTTATACGACATTGCTAATGATACCGACAAGGCACGCTAACGCGGACACTGTACACGACATCGCTAATGAGGACACCGTATAAGACATCGCTAGTAACTATCGCAAGAACAAAAAACCAAACACTGCATATTCTCACTCATAGGTGGGAATTGAACAATGAGATCACATGGACACAGGAAGGGGAATATCACACTCTGGGGACTGTTGTGGGGTGGGGGGGGGAGGGATAGCATCGGGAGATATACCTAATGCTAGATGACGAGTTAGTGCGTGCAGCACACCAGCATGGCACATGTATACATATGTAACTAGCCTGCACAATGTGCACATGTACCCTAAAACTTAAAGTATAATAAAAAAAAAAAGACATTGCTAGTGAGCACACTGTATACGACATCGCTAATGAGGATGCTATATATGACATCGCTGATGAGGACGTTGTACACGACATCACTAATGAGGACACCATACAGATGGCTTGAGCCCAGTAGTTTGAGACAAGCCTGGCAACACAGCGAGACCTCATCTCTACAAACATTTTTTAAAAATATGCCAAGCATTGTGGCGCATGCCTGTAGTCCTGGCTATTCAGGAGGCTGAGGTGGGAGGATCACCTGTGCCCAGGAGTTCAAGGCTGCAGTGAGCTATGATCACACCACAATGCTCCAGCCTGGGCAACAAAGCAAGACTCCATCTCTAAAAATAAAATTAAATTAAAAAAAAAGATCTTCGATGTAAAAGAGGTATGCTCAAATGCAATAAAATCATATAAGAAGGCCGGGTGTGGTGGCTCATGCCTGTAATCCCAGCACTTTGGGAGGCTGAGGCAGGTGGATCATGAGGTCAAGAGACTGAGACCATCCTGGCCAACATCGTGAAACACCGTCTCTACTAAAAATACAAAAAACAATCAGCTGGGCGTGGTGGCACACACCTGTAGTCCCAGCTATTCAGGAGGCTGAGGCAGGAGAATCGCTTGAACCTGGGAGGCGGAGGTTGCAGTGAGCCAAGATTGTGCCACTGCACTCCAGCCCGGCAACAGAGCGAGACTCCGTCAAAAAAAAGAAAAAAAGAAAACCATACAAGAAGCCCCTACGAATCTGGGTGAATCAGCAAAGGCTTCACAGGATAGGAAAAGGCCATGAGTATGAAAACATGAGTGGGGGGTTGGCCTAGATGGTAAACGAGGAGAGGACAATACGGCCAGGAAGTGCATGTGCACAGCAGACGGGAGATGGAGGGCACGGCTGATTGGCAGCTACCTGTACTTTAATATTCCTGGAGTGTGACGTGTGAGGCAAACATGGGGTGGTGGGGTGAGTGCTGGAGATGAGGCAGACAGTGAGCCATCAGCATGTTAGTAACAGGGGAATCCATGGGCGTTTCATGCAGCTCCAAGGACCCTATGTGAGCTCATCAGACTCCAATTACCCAAATCTGTTTCTTACCAGTGGTAGTTAGGATTTCCGTAGGTACACTGGATGTCTTCCCAGGACACCTGGAAGCCAGAAACAAATGGGGTCAAGCAGCCAGCTGACACAAGCACCCACAGAGGACAGGACACTATAATGTGCCCCTCATCCTCCAGACAAGCCCACCCCTAGCAACTCCCAAGAGCCTGGAGCAACAGCAGCAGGATGTCTTGTGCAGTGAAGTATGTTTAGCGCCCTTGTCCCTGTGTTTAAACTTGGTCATGCTTTTCCCAGAGGCCTAACTTACATATTTCTAACTCTCCTTGCTCTCTAGACATTTCCCACAAAGCAGGAAGCTGCAGAGCATGAGCCTAGAGCACCAAAAACTTAGAAGTGAAGTGAATTGAACCCTTGCAGAGGTGCAAACCACATGGGGACTTCAGACCGAAAAAGGCTTGAACCCTCATCAAAGGCCCCACACCCAGACAGCAGGATCACAGTGTGTCTTGATCTCAGAGACCCAGGCAGCCCTGAGCCCAGCATTTGCTAGAGGTGGCCAATCCAGGGCAGGAGGCAATTGTGGATGATGTTTCTTACCAAGCAAATATTGGAGTCATTGAAGCAGAACCATTTTCCATCCACAGCATTCCGGATGTAGACACAGTAATGACCGGAGTCTGCCATTCCCACGTGCGCAATCACAGCAAAAAGCTCATACTGCCCTCCAGACTGGAAAGAGACAGGCACGAGACAGTTCACCCACCACCACAAACACGACTGCCTCACACATTTATACCTGTCCACCCGAGGCCCGACTCTGGGACTTTAGAATATTAGAAAACAGTCCTGACCCACGGCCAGTGGGCACCCTCCAGGAGGGGCTTTCCTGAGTGTGGATCCTGAACTGTGAAGGCTCAGCAGCTTGGCAGGGCAGAGCACACAAGAGATGGAAGGCATGAGGTCATGAGAGAGGCCCCCAAAGCCAAGGCAAGATTAGAACTTTCCCCTGGGAGGGGTGGGGATCATCAGAACACAGTTCTGCTTCTCCACAAGCCCAGGAATGACCCTAACCTGAGCCACCGTACCCAGCCAAAAAAGTCTTTTGTAGGGGGAGGGGAGACAGAGGGCAAGGGCGGCACACGCAAAGCTGAGTCACCCACAGTGGAGGCTGAAATTATCCCTATTTCCATTTGCAGACTTTGTGCAGAACTTTACAAAATGCAGGGCAATATCTGTATCTAAATATTAGTTTACAAGAAATAAAAGGGTTATAGATGATGTTAAAAGATATCAACCAGCCAGTGCTGGCATATGAAAAAAATATTCAACCAAATCAACTGCAAGGAAAAGAAAAGGAGCGGAAATCTAAAAGGAACTTAAGAAAAGAAAGAAACTTAACCAAATGCAAGTGTAGGCGTTGTTTGGATCTAGAGTCAAACAAACCACATAGATTACACAACAGTCAGGAAGTCTGAACGTTAACCAGATATTTGATGCTATTAAGGAATTGCAAGATGGAGATGATTATCTTTTAAGTGCTTATTCTTTAGTGATACATAATGAAGTGTTTATAAATGAAATAGTATGATGTCTGGGATTTGCTTCAAAAAAATCCAGTACAGGGTTGGGTGAAACAAGAGGGTGGGTTATAGGAAAAGCAAGACCTGCCATGCGTTTTGGTAACTGTTACAGCCAAGGATTCACTGTCTAACTCTTCCTTCACTACACACTTTGGTATCTATTTGTAATGTTCCATAACAAAGTCTTTTTTGTTGTTGTTGCAAAGATGGAGTCTTGCTTTGTTGTCCAGCTGGGCTCGACTCCTGGACTCCAGCAATCCTCTTGGCCCCGCAAAGAGCTGGGATTACAGGTGTGACCCACTGCATCCAGCCAAAAAAGTCTTTTTTAAGTGAAAAACAATTTTAAATGTACTTCATCGGGTAGAATCTGCAGGTAGAAATAAAAAGAACTAGAAGGAAAGAAAAAGAGAATCCTATGAAATGTATACGGCCTAAGTAGGGAAAGAAATCATGTTATAATAGGAGCTATTGTAACGTATTATCAGGTCTTAATTTTCTAAATGTCATGGTTCTAGAGCATAAATAGCCAAACAGACCAATAAAACAGAAGAGACACTCCAAAAATAGACCCGTACATATAGAAATACAAAATTTGTTATGTAGCATTTCAAATCTATGGAAAAAAAGATATTTGGGTCCTTTTTTTTTTTTTTTTTTTTTTTTTTTAAGTTTTTCTTGTTTTGTTTTTAGAGACGGGGTCTTGCGCTGTCACCCAGGCTGGAGTACAATGATAGATCATAGCTCACTGCAGCCTCAAACTCCTGGGCTCAAGTGATCCTCCAACTCAGCCTCCCAAGTAGCTGGGACTAAAGGTTTGTGCTACCACACCCAGCTAATTTTTTTTTTTTTTTTGAGAGACGGGGGTCTCATTATGTTGCTGAAGCTGGTCTCGAACTCCTGGGCTCAAGCAATCCTCCTGCCTCAGCCTTTTGAGGTGTGGGATCACAGGCATGAGCCACATCACCTGGCCTTGTGTCTCTTTTTTTCTCAGAATCTCTTGATAAGTTATTATCTCAGGACAAGTGAATTAAACTTTACTCTGATTAAATGTGGTCCAGTCAACTGGCTACTTTATGATTATCCTCAAAGTGGGCACAGGCCATCTGAGGAAGAAAGTTTGGTTGGTACTATGAACCCACAATGACATGTTTGCCTATGCATTTCTATGTATTCCACATTATTTCCAAAGAAGCCTACTGAATTCTGGATTCTGTCCCTCAGTGCTGTGAGGCATATGAACACAAATCCAATATTTAGAAAGAAGAAAGGCTTTTGAGGCTGGGGACAGTCTCTGAGGAACAGGTGGCTCCTAGCAGACTGGGGGTGAAGGAAGGGAAAACAGAAAGGACATGGCATCTGGGGAGAGGCAGGATGGCAAGGAGGTCGGGATCATCCCACCTGCTCCTCAGCATCACAAGACTCTCGCTTCATTGGAAGGATCTGGCTGAAATCCAAGCTCTGGGGGAAGTACAGGGAGTGGCAGATCTTTCTCGTCTGTGAATTCCTGATGGAGAATCGCATGAGGTGGATTGTCAGGGTCTGGGGCAAATGGGTCAGCTTCAAGACCTGAAAAATCAAAATCACTCTGGAGATGAAGTCCACTTGGAATGAGAGAGTCAGAGAAATGTCAGGGCTAGCAACGCGTTCTTCCCAAAAAGAGGGGAGCAGGGCGACATCATGGAGTTCAAGGCTCCTGTTCACTGAATCTGCTGAGCTCCTCTGAGAATAATGCAAAACTTGGCTATTCTACCACCATGTGGCCCCCCACAAGAGGCACAAGGGCACAGGGCTCTGCACAGGTACCAGGACCCAGGGAGCCACCACGTCTGCTCCAGGGAGCTGGTCTCGCCCCGAGGGAAATGCCCTGCCCGCTGCTCTCAGGCCCCCTCCTGCAGTCCCTCTCAGTGATGCGACATGAGAAGCCACATCCACGGCTCCAGATATCAGAACCACAGCGTCCCAGATACTAGCCAGACCCAGATTCCCTTTCTCACCCATCATGGGATGTCCTCGGGGCCTCTGATGATTCTATCAGGAAATCCACGGGGGGCAACCCCAGACTAGTGAAGGACAGATGACCCCTGAACAGCACAGGTTTGGACTGTATGGGTCCGCTTATACACAAATTGTTGTAAATAAATACAGTCTGCCCTCCCCCATAGGCACGAGTTCCACATCTGCAACCAAATGCTCATCAAAAATAAAGTATCCCAGATGCACAACCGCATAGATGAGGGACTGACTTTTCCTATACGTGGGTTCCACAGGGCCGACTGGGTGTGACTTGAGTGTGTGTGGATTTTGGTAAAAGCAGGGGTCCTGGAACAAATCCCCCATATGCACCGAGGGACAGCTGAGTCTGATTTAGGGAATGAGTACCTGTTTCCCACGGGTCTTCTTCCCACAGTTCTCACAGAAGCATTTGCTTTTGCTTGATAACTCCCTGGGCTGGAAGAAGCAGTGCAGGGCGTCCTCCTGTCCCACCCAAGAGAACAGGGAAAAAGCAGCGTTGGTATTTCCCACCTAGAATACTATATTCGTCTGTTCTCACACTGCTGTGAGACAATAGCTGAGACTGGGTAATTTATAAGAAAAGAAGTTTGATTGGCCCATGGTTCTGCAGGCCGACCGGAAGCATGGCAGCATCTGCTTCTAGGGAGGCCGCAGGAAGCTCCCAATCATGGCGGAAGGCCAAGCAGGAGCAGGCGTCTTACCTGGGAGGAGCAGGTGCAAGAGACCAAGTGGGGAGCTGGAGTGCAGGAGCGCGATCTCAGCTCACCGCAACCTCCACCTCCCGGGTTCAAGCGATTCTCCTGCCTCAGCCTCCTAAGTAGCTGGGACTACAGGCTGCACCACCACGCCCAGCTAATTTTTTATGTTTTTAGTAGAGACAGGGTTTTACCATGTTGGCCAGGCTGGTCTCAAATTCCTGACCTCAGGTGATCCACCCACCTCAGCCTCCCAAAGTGCTGGGATTATGGGCGTGAGTTACCACACCCAGCCTGGCTCCACACTTTTAAACAACCAGATCTCATGAGAACTCACTGTCACAAAGACAGTACCACGGGGGATGGTGCCAAACCATTCACGAGAAACACTCCCCCATGATCCAATCTCCTTCCACCAGGCTTTACCTCCAACACTGGGGATTACAATTGAACAGGAGATTTTTGGGCAGGGTCACAGACCCAAACTGTATCAGGTACAGCCTCCCCACACTTTGCAGCTGAGGGTTTCAGCTTTTCTTCTGGTTCTCCTCATATCCCCCTTAATGCCTGGCCTGGTGTGGTCCACTTGGCAGGATCTCAAAGGGCACCTACTGACTGGAGGAACAAAACAGGAGGGGGCTCCTATTAAGGGAGCAGTATGAGGGAAGTGGAGGTAGGAGGGAAAAACATTTTTGCCAAAACAAAGGAGAAATTGGCCAGCGCCGTGAAAATGAAATAAGTGACTTTCCAGAAGCCAGAGATAGATCAAAGAGGCAAGGGGGAATTGGCCACACTGTGCTGTGTGGTGTGATGGTTTGAGGGTTTGTCCTCCCCAAAACCCAGGTTGAAACTGAATCCCCAGTGTGGCTGTATGGAAAGGTGGGGACTTTGAGAGATAATTGGGGAGGGCAAGGTGTCTCATGCCTGTAATCCCAAGGAGGCTGAGGCAGGGGGATCACTTGAAGTCAGGAGTTTCAGATCAGCCTGGCCAACATGGTGAAACCCCATCTCTACTAAAAATACAGAAATTAGCCGGGCATGGTGGTGGGCACCTGTAATCTCAGCTACTTGGGAGGCTGAGGCAGGAGAATCGCTTAACACCGGAGGCGGAGGTTGCAGTGAGCTGAGATTGTGCCACTGCACTTCAGTCTGGGTGACAGAGGAAGAATCTGTCTCCAAAATAAAAGGTAGGGGGGTTATTGCGTCATGAGGGCACAGCCCTCATAAATGAATTAATCCACTCATGGATTAATGGGTTAATCGGTTATCCTGGGAGTGGGACTGGTGGCTTCATATGAAGAGGAAGAGAGACTTGAGCCGGCACATTAGCATGCTCAGCCCCCTCGCCATGTGATGCCCTGCACTGCCTCGCCTCAGGACTCTGAGAGTCCCCACCAGCAAGCAGGTCCTCACCAGGTGCAGCCCCTCAACCTTGACTTCCCAGCCTCCAGAACTGTAAGAAATAAATTACCTAGTCTCAGATATTGAGTTATAACAACAGAAAATGGACTAACACATACAGGTGCAGCAAATACCAAGAGAATCCCCTTACCAGTGTCTTCAGGGGCTTTGAGTCCACATCAAAAAAAGAAAGTCGGAGGGTGAGCATGCTGCTGTTTCTGCTACTCTCCATGGCACAGTCAAGGCAAATCAAGGAGTCCTTCATCCGGATCATATACAGGGCCTGCAGTCTCTCCACCTGCAAGAGGGAGAGCGGAGAGGTGAGATGGGAACACCACCATAAGCCAGGTCAGGCCAACTGCCAGAAGGTGGAGCCAAGAGACAGAAGCTCCTCACAAAGGTGCAAAATAATACCAGTAACAATATTATGAAACTGTGATAAGTGTTTTATGTGGATTAACTCTTTTTTTTTTTTTTTTGAGACAGAGTCTCGCTCTGTCACCCAGGCTGGAGTGCAGTGGCGCGATCTCGGCTCACTGCAAGCTCCACTTCCCGGGTTCACGCCATTCTCCCACCTCAGCCTCCCGAGTAGCTGGGACTACAGGCGCCCGCCACCACGCCCGGCTAATTTTTTGGTATTTTTAGTAGAGACAGGGTTTCACCGTGTTAGCCAGGATGGTCTCGATCTCCTGACCTCGTGATCTGCCTGCCTCAGCCTCCCAAAGTGCTGGGATTACAGGGGATTAACTCTTTTATTCCTCTACACACTACGGGAACAACAGCTGAATGAATGAAATGAGCAGCATCTTAAGCTTCCGAGTGCTCTGGTTCTAGGTTCTTACCAAGTGCACATCAGCGATCTGGTCCTTAATCAGGTTCCAGAGTTTGAGGTACAGTTGGGCAGCATCATGTTGGACAAACACTGGCCACAGAGAAAAGGAACAGCCAATTAGTGAGGTCTTCAGAGTCACTTCTCATGCCCTGGTACTTAGACACACATGAACACTGATCACTTTGTCTCTTCCTAGCCCTCCACCCCACTGCAAGGCTAAGTCGGCACGACAGAAGAAGTGATCAATAAACAAACAGTAAGTTTGGTATTGATTTTTGAGAACGCCTCTTAATACTTAAGCTCCAGTGCCAGATGTAGTGGCTCATGCCTATAATCTTAACACTTCGGGAGGCCAAGGTGGGAGGATCGCTTGAACTCAGGAGTTTGAGACCAGCCTGGGCAACATAGCAAGACTCCGTCTCGATAAAAAATTTAAAAAAGTACTTGAGAGTAGCGGTGCACGCCTGTAGTCAGAGCTACTTGGGAGGCTGAAGCAGGAGGATCACTGGAGCCCAGGATGTTGAGGCTACAGTGAGCTGTGATGTCACCACTGCACTCAGCCTGGGGAATGAGATGTCCACAGGGACTTTGAAAAGCACTGATACATTCCTGAGGATCTAGAAGGCCAGGCGCATGCCCAAGTAAGACCTGAGAGGGCTCCGATCCCTCCCCTCTGGCTGACCACAAGGCCACATGCAAGAAAGCAATGAAGGCGAATACAGAATCATGAACTGCCCAGAAACGATAAAACAGCAACAACAACAAACCCTGCTGTGGGGATCTCTGATGTCCAGTGTTGCCACCTTACATTATCTAAAATGTTCATTTTCCAACAAAAGAGACAAGACCTACAATGAAACAGAAAAGCATGGCCACCCAGGAAAACAGCAATCGTAGAACCTTCCACTGAGAAGCCCTAGATGTTGGCGTTACTAAACAAAGACTTTAGCCGTTATAATATGTTCAAAGAACTAAAGAAAACCATGTCAAAAGATGTAAAAGAAAGTGTGAAAATGCTGCCTCACCAAATAAAAAGTATCAATAAAGAAAAAACTATAAAAGAAGAACCAAGCAGAAATTCTTGAGTTGAGGAGAACCATAACTGAAATGAAAAATGTACTAGAGGAGGTCAATAGCAGATTAGAGCTGGCAAAAGAAAGAATCCATAAACCTGGAGCTAGGTTGGTTGAGGTTCTCCAGACTGAGGACGGAAGGAAAGCTGAACACAGTACCTATGCAGCGAAAAGCTGAGGAGCTGCTCACTGCGTGTAGAGCTCAACTAACTCTGATACAAAAAAAAATGTGATACAAAAGGTTTTATACACAAACGTGAACTTATTCTGAAGCCAGCCTGGGGCAAGGAGCAAGACACATCCTGCCTTTTAATGTGCCATTTCTCCTTTGGAGGAGAGAGGGGCATTTTCATAAGGTGTGTTGTGGGGGTGGGGGGAGTGAGCAATGGCGGTTTTCTACCGGGCAGTTATCAAGTTCCCAGCAGCTGAGTTGGCGCCTTTCCGGGCAGAAAAGTGGCCGAGTGGGCATGCTTTCTCCATGCCTTCCTAGTGGGTGAAAGACAAACCCCTAGAGGGTGGAAGTTTCGAAGCCACCCCCTGGCAGGGAGAGTTCCCTGGTGGGTATGCTTTGGGCTGCAAATCTACTGCCAAGTCTCAGGAAAGATCAGCTGGAAGATCTTGCCCTGTTCTCAATCAAACCTCCATCAGCCTACCTCCATTTACAGATTCTTCCTTTTGCCCAGCAGGGAATGTCTGGAGAGGGGTAGGCGAAAGGTGATATTTGCATTTCTAAAGGGCTAACAGGAAACAGGAAACACGGCCGCGGTGAGGGGTGAGGGATGGGAAGAGGAGAAGTGAAAAGAAAGTAATAAGAAAACTAATATAACTATCTCTTAGAAAATGGGAGTACTCAGTTACACCCAGATGGGTTCACTAGTGAACGATGGGTTCTACCAAACATTTATGGGAAAAATTATACCAATTCCCTACAACCTCTTCCAGAGGACAAAAGCAGAGAGAACACTTCCTAACTCATTCTCTGAGGCCAGCATTATCCTAACACCAAAACCAGACAGACATTGTAAGAAAAAAACCTAAAAACCAGTATCTCCCGTGAACATAAATGCAAAATTCCTCAACAAAATATTAGTGAATCAAATTCAACTATGTATAAAAAGAATCACAGAGGGTGACACAAGCGAGATGGTAGAGAAGGAGGCTCCTGGTGCTCCCCTTCTCCCATGGACACACGGTAAAACTCTCATCTACACACAGATCAACTCCCTCTGAAAGAAACCCAGAAACCAGCTGAGAGAGGCCTGCACAGGGGGCAATGGGGAGAACACCCACATCGCAACCGGTTGGAAAAGCTGAGACACACTCGAACCACAAGCCCCACCCCAGACACAGTACCTTACTGTGAGGAAGGAATCCCTACTCCCAGCTTTCTCCTGGAGAGGGGAGGGTTTGGACCACACATAGGCAGCCCCAGCTTTTGCAGTTCCCACTCAAGGGCTTGGCTGCTGGGTCACCTAGCTCTGGGAGCAGACATGGGTTAGCAGTTATGAATCCTCTGCGACCACAGAGGACAAAGAGGCAGTTTTAAACGGGCACGTGAGCACTTCCAGCAGCTGTGCTCAGCACAGAGCAAACAGGCAGAAATGCCAGGCTCCCAGTTCCTCCCTGGAAGGATATGTCTGCGGGCTCTCCTAGCTGTTGCCCGAGGGATGGGCTTCTATTAATAACTGGCCTGCACCTGGAGCCAATGAGGCAGGTAAACAATAGATTTCCAGGAGTCTGGACAGGCCTGTGGGCAAGTCCCATGCCTTCTCCCACCCCCTGCTGTATGGTAAAATCAGGTCTCTAACTTCACACATTGAGTACACATTTACCCCTCTCAAATGAAGGTCTAGCTCCTCAACCACCGAGCTTTGGGAGCTGACAAGGCTCTGTATTTGTAAGTCCCACAGGGGCACAGAGACCAAAGAACATCCCCCCAGGCCCAGTGCAGCGTGAACAGGCAAAAAGGCCCGGCTCCTACTTTCTCCCTAGAAGGAGTTTGTCTGCACAGTGCAGCTGCTGCCCTGGGGTTTCTATGCATCTGGGAGCTGACAGAGCAGGAAACCAGTGCTCCTCTGAGACCCTGAACAGGCAGGTGAGCACCTCCACAGCTGCTCCCACTGGTTTGCTCAACAGATAGCGTCAAGCTTCCAACTAACCTGTCCGTCTCTAAGCAGAGAACAGCCAGCATTTGCTAGGCCCCTGGGGGTGACAAAGAGTAAAACAATGCATGAAGGAGTGTGCAGTTTAAACTTGAGTGCAGGCACTTGCCACAGATCCTCTCTCCAGCATTTTGCAGAGCGAGTGGCAGATAAACTCATGCTCCCAGCTTTTCCCTGAGGATAGAATAAACTGGAACACACATTTAATGCCCCAACGTCTCCAGCTGCACCTCAAGGGGCTGGTTTCTATCTCCCCTGTCTGGGGCACTGACAGGACATGACACATTCTAATCTCCTGAGGGCCGCTAAGAACATAGATGACAGTTTGGACAACACAAAAGGTCAAGAGGTGCTCCGAGTGTCTGGCAGGGCTAATTGGTAAGTTCGTCTCTTATACAAGGCCCGTGGGACAAGACTGGGAGAGGTATTTTTCTTTTTTTTTTTTGAGACGGAGTCTCGCTCTGTGGCCCAGGCTGGAGTGCAGTGGTTCGATCTCGGCTCACTGCAAACTCCACCTCCCAGGTTCACGCCATTCTCCTGCCTCAGCCTCCCAAGTAGCTGGGACTACAGGCACCCGCCACCACGCCCAGCTAATTTTTTGTATTTTTAGTAGAGACAGGGTTTCACCGTGTTAGCCAGGATGGTCTCCATCTCCTGACCTCATGATCTACCCGCCTCAGCCTCCCAAAGTGCTGGGATTACAGGTGTGAGCCATGATGCCCAGCCTGGGAGAGGTATTTTTCTTAACTAAAGTACAGAAAATAACAGAGAATCAAGAACAATGAAGAAACAGAGAAATCTGTTCCAAGCAAAAGAACAAGATAAATCTCCAGAAAATGCCCCCGGTGAAATGAAGATAAGTGACTTACCTTACAGACAATTCAAAATAATGATCATGAAGATGCTTACCATGTCTAGGACAGCAATGCATGAACAAAGTAAGAATTTCAGCAAAGAGACAGAAAAAAGTTCAAAAGAAATAATAGAGCTGAAGAATACAATAACTGAAATAAGAGCTCAAAAGAGAAGCTCAACAGACTAAATCAAGCAGAAGAAAGGATTAGCAAACTAGAAGATAGGTCACTGGAAATCATTCAGAGGAGCAAAAATGAAAAAGAATGAAAAAGAGTGAAGATATCTTAAGAGAGTTAGGGGACATCAAGCCGACCAAAATAGGCATTATCAGAGTCCCAGAAGGAGGAGAGTGAGAAGAGATGGAAAGCTTATCCAAAGAAATAACAGTCACGAGTTGCAGATCAACATTTCAGTCAATGGCAGACCGCATGAGCACAGTGGCCATAGCATGCAGCCTAGCTGTGTAGTAGGCTGTCCCATCTAAGTTTGTGTAAGTGCACTCCATGATGTCCACACAATGACAAATTCACCTTCTGATGCATTTTCAGAACGTATCCCTGTTGGTAAGCAACGCATACCTATAATGACTGAAAACTTCCCAACCCAGGGAAGGAAATACAAATCCACATCCAGGAAGCCCAAAGGACACCAATAAGACTGATCTAAAGCAACCCACATCAAGACACATCATAATCAATTTCAAAAGTTAAAGACAAAGAATTCTGAAAGCAGCAAGAGAAAAGCAATGTATTATACACAAGGGAAAACCCGTAAGTGTAGGATTTCTTCTGGGGGTGATGAAAATGTTATGAAATTAGATTGTGATGATGGAGGCACAACTCTGTGAATACACTACAAACCTTTGAATTGTATGTTTTTAAATGGATGAATTTTACAGTATGTGATGCACATCCCAATATAGCTATCTAAAAAAAAAACCTGACCTATTTGTGAATTATTTTGTAGAACATGTTTTCTCTTTTTTATTCCTTTATTCTGTTTTCCTGCAGTTCCCTAACTGTGGTGGAATAAGCTTGGAGGAGATGCCTTCACCTACTCTACTGAGAGGCAGAGAAAGGTTAGGTATGGAAGTAAAATGTCCATAAATAATATCAATTCTGCACCTCCAAAGATGTGTGCCTCTTACACAAATGTCTCTATAATCTGAGGGGTCCAGGCTACCTAACTTGCTTCTTGTTGCTTCACTGCCCATTAGTTCCTCTCTTCACTCTCTAAGCTTCCCATCCCCTTTGGATCAGCAGCCAGGAACCCAGTGGGAGGGTATCTTACGGGGCACGTTGTACTTCTGCAGGCAGTAGGCCAGCTCCAGGGGCCACACTGCTTTCTGCCGGCTGTCCTGCATCTTCTCCAGCAGCAGAAGCATCTGGAAAGGGACGCTTCTCCTCTGCTCGTCAGCTCCCCTGGGCACCGTGATCCTGCCACACAAGAACAGCCAGAAACCTCCTTACATGTAGTTCTCAAAGCTAGGTGCACACTGGAATCACCTGGGAGAAATTTTAAATCTTCATATCCAGGCCACTCCCATACAAATTAAACCAGAATTCTGGGTCCGGGGGGCGGGGCGCGGGCAGTTATCAGAATTTTTCAGTTCCTCAGATTATTTCAATGTGTGGTCAAGGTTGAGAAGCACCATGTGAGTGAATCTGCTCTACAGGGGACCCTCTAGAGAGGGGGATCAGCATGACTGCTGCCTTGGCCCCTCTGCACCCTGCCCAGCAATCGTGCTAGAGCAGACGGCAGATGCACGAGGTCCTGGCTCCACATCTCGGGCAAGCAGCAAAATGTCCAGCCTAAAGCTCTCCAGACTGCAGAGGCACATGCTGGGTTAGGTCCTGGGAAGAAAGGCAACATGAAAGGCTGTCCGTGTGGTTTGGCAATGATTCATTTAATCACAGGCATTTTTCGGATGGGAAAAAGGAGAGAGCACAGGGCAGAAAAGGAGTGATAGAGAGAGACAGAGGGAGAGAGTGCATTGTGTGAGTGTTGGTGGAAGGAGGGGTGTGTACTCCCCACTGACTTACTCCTTCTCCGACTTTGGTCTAGTCCCAACTCTGTCTTTTAACCAAGTCAGTGGCTGTCAATCCTGGCTGCATTTAAAATCACCCAAAGAGGGCTTTTAAAAAGTACCAATACCTGGCCGGGCCCAGTGGCTCATGCCTGTAATCACAGAACTTTGGGAAGCTGAGGCGGGCAGATCACCTGAGGTCAGGAGATTGAGACCAGCCTGGCCAACATGGTGAAAACTCGTATCTACTAAACATACAAAAATTATCCAGGTGTGGTGGCGGGCGCCTGTAATCCCAGCTACTTGAGAGGCTGAGGCAGGAGAATCCCTTGAACCTGGGAGGCGGAGGTTCCACTGAGCCGAGATTGCACCATCCCTCTCCAGCCTGGGGACAGAGTGAGGCTTTAGCTCAAAAAAAAAAAAAAAAAAGTACCAATACCTGGGCCGCACCCCAGACCAACCTAAGAAGTTTTAGAAATAATGTGTAGGCCAGAATATGCAGAAGCCGATCTTTCCTCTGCCAGCTTTTGAGAGAAGATCTCAAAAAGTCCAAGTCACTGTGAATAACTGAATATATTAAAAATGAAATAATACAGGCCGGGTGCAGTGGCTCACGCCTGTAATTCCAGCACTTTGGGAGGCTGAGGTGGGTGGATCACGAGGTCAGGAGATCAAGACCATCCTGGCTAACACGGTGAAACCCCGTCTCTACTAAAAATACAAAAAAAATTAGCCAGGCATGGTGGCGGGCTAGTCCCAGCTACTCGGGAGGCTGAAGCAGGAGAATCGCTTGAACCCGGGGGGCAGAGCTTGCAGTGAGCCAAGATCGCGCCACTGCCCTCCAGCCTGGGCAACAGAGCAAGACTCCATCTCAAAAAAAAAGAAAAAGAAATAATACAAACGCTTATCAGCCTGAAGAACAGTCTTACCTCTTCAATATCCTGGCGAAGTCCACATTCATTACAAACACCTGAATCAAGGAGTTAAGGCAGCAGGTCTGTCCAATGTTGTGTAAACCAACCAGGCCTATAAGGGGAAGAGAAAAAAATGCTGAGGGCAAGGCCTAGGTAAAGAAGTTGACAAGGCTGGGCATGGTGGCTCACGCCTGCAATTCCAGTACTTTGGGAGGCCGAGGTGGGCGGATCACCTGAGGTCGGGAGTTCGAGACCAGCCTGGCCAACATGGTAAAACGTGTCTCTACAAAAAAATCCAAAAATCAGCCGGGTGCGGTGGCTCACGCCTGTAATCCCAGCACTTTGGGAGGCCAAGGCAGGTGGATCACCTGAGGTCGGGAGTTCGAGACCAGCCTGATCAACATGGTGAAACCCCGTCTCTACTAAAAAATACAAAACTAGCTGGGCATGGTGGCACATGCCTGTAATCCCAGCTACTCGGGAGGCTGAGGTAGGAGAATCATTTGAAACCAGGAGGTGAAGGTTGTGGTGAGCCGAGATCACACCATTGCACTCCTTTCTGGGCAACAATAGTGAAACTCCATCAAAAAAAAAAAGAAGAAGAGAACTTACAGCAGGGTGTGGCGTTTCACACCTGTAATCCTAGCACTTTGAAAGGCCAAGGTGGGCAGATCACCTGAGGTCAGGAGTTCAAGACCAGCCTGGGCAACAGGGCAAAACCCTGTCTCTACTAAAAATACAAAAGCTAGCCAGGCATGGTGGCAGGTGTCTATAATCCCAGCTTCTTGGGAGGCTAAGGCAGAAGAATCATTGGACCTAATTTATTGATTTTTTTGAACTTGGAATATGGTGTCATGACAAAATCATGCCACTGCACTCAATCCTGGATGACAGAGCAAGACTCTGTCTCAAAAAAAAAAAGGTTACTTTTTATTTCCTGAAAAGCTTGACTTCCTGACAATGAAAGTCCTAAGGAGCGAGTGGCAGAAGACAGCTGGCAGCTGGCAGTCATTGGTGGGGCAAAGGCAGAGATACCACTGCTGACTCTACTGGGCCTCGGGCCTCAGCGCTCATGGGAAGGGACCCTCTTTCAAGCTTTTGGAGGGGTAAGGGAGGGCCAGGTAACAGTGCCTACATCTTAGGCACCGAAAACAACTGGAGCTGCTTCATGCAGTCAAGAATCCCCTGAAGAAGGAAGGCAGTTACCTCCCTATTCTCCAGATCTCTTCAGCTGGCCTGGCTCTCATCCTTTCCAAGACCTGGCTGTTTGCTTTGCATTTAGTTATATGAGCTAATTCATATGCTTCTAATAAATGCCTTTCATCCTTCTCCAAAGTTAGCCCTAGAGTATATTGCTGTTGTTTACAATCAAAAAGCCCCAGAGGTGTACTCTCCAATTCTCTTAATAACCTCATTTTTCTGTCATTACCCCTGTTTTAGTACAAGTAGCTGAGCTTCAGAGAAGTTAAAAGATGTGCCCAAGGTCGCACAGCTAATGAGTGTCACAGTCAGAATCTGAACCCAAGTCTGTCTGATGTGGGGTCATGACAAGAGCATGGGTTTTCTTGGGAGAAAAAAATGACTTCAAATCCCCACTTCCCGCATAAAAATGCACAATGGGTGTAGCAATGCCGAAGCCACAGAGCTATTGAGGATGGATGGAGGTGACGCATAGGAAAGCACATGGCCTAGGGTATGTATTCCCAACACTTTGGGAGGCCGAGGTGGGCAGATCACCTGAGGCCGGGAGTTCAAGACCAACCTGACCAACATGGAGAAACCCTGTCTCTACTAAAAATACAAGATAAGCTGAGTGTGGTGGTGCATGCCTGTAATCCCAACTACTTGGGAGGCTGAGGCAGGAGAATAGCTTGAACCCAGGAGGCAGAGGTTGTGGTGAACCAAGATCATGCCATTGCAGTCCAGACTGGGTGAAAAGAACAAAACTCCATCTCAAAAAAAAAAAAAAAAGAATTAAGAAAAAATATTTGAACACTTCTTTTTATCCCTAATTTATTCATGTTTTTGAACTTGGAATAGGAACACTACTGCCAACAAAAGTAATTAGAGAATATAGATGTTAAATCTATTCTCTAAATGAATTATTGCTTATTTTAAAATTGCATATTAATTAATTACAGGAAATTTGGAAAGTAAGAGACATATGAAGAAAAAAAGGTAAAAATGATTTGTAATCCCTCTGAGAGTTACCCTTTAATGCCATTTTTGGTATATTTCCTCTCAGTTCTTTCCCCCTCCACCACCAGTATGTGTGAGTAGTTTATGTTTTATAAAGCTGGGTTCATACAATATGATTTCTTGGCTGGTGTGGTGGCTCATGCCTGTAATTCTAGCACTTTGGGAGGCTGAGGCAGGCATATTGCTTGAGCCCAGGAGTTCCAGACCAGCCTAGGCAACACAGTGAGACCCCATCTTTACAAAAAGTAAAAAATTAGGTGGTGGATATGGTGGCACTTGCCTGTAGTCCCAGCTACTTGGGAGGCTGAGACCAGAGGATCACTTGAACGGAGGAGGAGTCTGCAGTGAGCCTAGATTGTGCCACTGCACTCCAGCCTGGGTGACAGAGTGAGACCCTGTCTCAAAAAACCCAAAAAAGATTTCTCTATAATTTCTTTTTTTATTCAGTAAAATATTGTAGTTTTCTCTATCTTGATTAAACAGTCTAAAATGGTTTTAATGTCACCATAGTATTCCATTTTATAAATTTGTCAAAATTTATTTAACCCTTATTGTTACATTTCCATTTTTTAAAATAGTGCTGCAGCTGTTGATTTGAAAAGATACTTTTTTCAGGTAGTTGACAACCAAAATATCCCCTTGATGGGTTCCAGCATACCCCATGCCTCAGTATCACACAGTATACCTTTGTAACTAACCTGCATGGTACCCCCGATTCTAAAATAAAAGTTGAAAAAAAATCATCTAGTGTTTTAAAACAAATTATGTATTATTTTTGGGCCAAGCGTGGTGGCTCACACCTGTAATCCCAGTTCTTTCAGAGGTTGAGGTGGGAGGATCACACAAGAGGATCCACTGAGACCAGGAGTTTGAGACCAGCCTGGGCAACATAGTGAGACCCCCATCTCTACAGTAATTAAAAAAAAAATTAGCTGGGCATGATGGCATGCACTTGCAGTCCCAGCTACTTAGGAGGCTGAGGTGAGAGGATTGCTTGAGCCCAGAAGTTTGAGGTTACAGGGAGCTATGATGATGCCACTGCACTCCAGCCTGGGTGACAGAGCGAGACTCTGTCTCAAAAAAATATACTATTTTAAATTTATAAATGACAATTGAATTACATTTATATAGTACAATGTGATGTGTGATGTATGTATACTGTTAAAGAGAAAAGCCTTTGACTAAATTTGACAGAGTTTAGTTGAACAGAAAAAAGATTCATGAACCAGGTAGCACTGAGAACCAAAAGTGGTTCAGAGATCTCTGCTCCACAGGTGGGCAGGGAATATTTATAGCCAGAAAACGTAAGTTTCATTGAGAAATAGCCTGTTGGTTACAGCTCTGCAGTTGCCTTGTTTGAACATGTTTTTGGCAGCTTGCAGCCTGTGAAGGGCTGAGAGCTCAGCTGCTGTGATTGGCTGAGACTGGGCTACTTATTCCAAGGGCATATTCTCAGGTTAGGTTGCAGTTTGTTTTGTTTACCTATGTGAACCCCCAATAGCTGAGACAGGTCTCAGTTAATTTAGAAGGTTTATTTGCCAAGGTTGGTGACATGCACCCATAACACAGCCTCAGGAGGTCCTGACATGTGCCCAAGGTGGTCAGAGCACAGTTTGGTTTTATACATTTTAAGGAGACATGAGACATCAATCAACATATGTAAGATGAACATTGGTTCGGTCCAGAAAGGCAGGACAGCTCGAAGCAAAGGTGGGACAACTCGAGGTGGGGAGGGGGCTTCCAAGTCTTAGATAGATAAGAGACAAATGGTTGCATTCTTTTGAGTTTCTGATGAGCCTCTCCAAAGGAGGCAATCAGATATGCATTTATCTCAGTGAGCAGAGGGGAGACTTTCAATAGAATGGGAGGCAGGTTTGCCCAAAGCAGTTCCCAGCTTGACTTTTCCCTTTAGCTTCTTGGGGCCCCAAGATTTATTGTCCTTTCACATCTATTAAGTTAGATTACAGTGTGCTATATATGGAGGCAGCTTTATTTTATTTTAATTAATTAATTAATTTATTTGTTGGTGATGTTGATTTCTCTTGTTTTAAAATCAACATTATAGGCTGGGCATGGTGGCTCATATCTGTAATCCCTGCACTTTGGGAGGCCGAGGCGGGTGGATCACTTGAGGTCAGAAGTTCAAGACCAGCATGGCCAACTTGGCAAAACTCTGTGCCTACTAAAATATATGAAGATTAGCTGGTCACGGTGATGCACACCTGAAATTCCAGCTACTCAGGAAGCTGAGGCAGGAGAATCACTTGAACCCAGGAGGCAGAGGTTGCAGTGAGCTGAGATTGCACGATTGCACTCCAGCCTGGGTGATAGAGTGAGACTCCAACTCAAAAATAAATAAATAAATAAATTAATTAATTAAATAAAATCAACTTTACGGAGAAAAATTTACATTCAAGAAAATACGCCCATTTTAAGTGTCCAGCTGGATGAATTTTCAGAAATGTGTGTACCCTCATGACCACTTCCTCAATCATGATACAGAACATTCCCATAACCTGGAAATCCCTGTGGCCCTTTGCTGGCAGTTTCCCCACCCAGCCCCAGGCAACCCCTGATCTGCCCTCTGTCACTGTAGACTAGTTTTGCCTTTTCTAGAATCTCATATAGAGGGAGTCATGCAGTATGTACTCTCTTGTAGCTAATGTTTTTGAGGTTCCTTGGTGTTACTGCATTGTTTTCTATTGCTGAGTAGTATTCCGTTCTACTCAGTACCATAATTTGCTCATCTACTCTTCTGTGGCTGGACTTTCCAGTTTGGCGCTAATATGAATTGTGGAGGCAGTTTTAGACCAAATTTAACTTAACAATACAATATGAAAAGATTAAGTCAAGCTAATGAACATACCTGTTACCTCACTTACTTGGCATTCTTTTAAGTTGATGCACTAGAAATTTTCTCTCTTAGACCGGGCACAGTGGCTCACACCTGTAATCCCAGCACTTTGGGAGGCCGAGGCGGGGGGATCATGAGATCAGGAGATCGACACCATCCTGGCTAACACAGTGAGACCCCGCCTCTACTAAAAATACAAAAAATTAGCTGGGCGTGGTGGCAGGCGCCTGTAGTCCCAGCTACTTGGGAGGCTGAGGCAGGAGAATGGCATGAACCCAGGAGGCAGAGCTTGCAGTGAGCCGAGATCACACCACTGCACTCCAGCCTGAAAGACAGAGACTCCGTCTCAAAAAAAAAAAAATTTCCTTAGTTATTTTGAAATATTCATTATTATTGACTATAGTCTCCTGCTGTGCAATAGACCTCAAAACTTTTTTCTCCTGCTTGGCTGAAACTTTGTACCTTTTGAAGAGGAAGTCTCCATTCCCTTGTTCTGCCACCTCGCCAGCTCTGGTAACCATTATTCTTCTACTGAATGAATTCAACTTTTTTTTTTTTTTTTTGAGATGTCTCACTCTGTCACCCAGGCTGGAGTGCAGTGGCACAATCTCAGCTCACTGCAACCTCCGTCTCCCAGGTTTAAGCGATTCTCCTGCCTCAGCCTCCCAAGTAGCTGGGATTACAGGCGCCTGCCACCATGCCCAGCTAATGTTTGTATTTTTAGTAGAGACAGGGTTTCACCATGTTCGCCAGGCTGGTCTCAAACTGCTGACCTCAAGTGATCCACCTGCCTCAGCTTCCCAAAATGCTGGGATTACCAGCATGAGCCAGGGCGCCTGGCCCAAATTCAACTTTTTTTTTTTTTTTATGAGTGAGCAGCAGCAAGATTTATTGCGAAGAGCGAAAGAACAAAGCTCCCACAGTGTGGAAGGGGACCCGAGTGGGTAGCTCCCAAATTCAACTTTTAAAAGATTCCACGGGCATGTGAGATTATGTGGTATTTGTCTTTCTGTGGTATTTGTATTTCACTTAGCAGTATGTCCTCTAGATTTATTCGTGTCATTCCCAATGACAGAGTTTTGTTCTTTTTTATTTTTTTGGAGATGGAGTTTCATTCTTGTTGCCCAGGCTAGAGTGTAATGGCATGATCTCGGCTCACCACAACCTCCACCTCCCGGGTTCAAGTGATTCTCCTGCTTCAGCCTCCCAAGTAGCTGGAATTACAGGAATGTGCCACCACACCTGGCTAATTTTGTATTTTTTTTTAATAGAGATGGGGCTTCACCATGTTGGTCAGGCTGGTCTTGAACTGCCGACCTCAGGTGATCTGCCCACCTGGGCCTCCCAAAGTGCTGGGATTACAGGCATGAGCCACTGCTCCCGGCTGAGTTTTGTTCTTTTTAAGGCTGAATAGTACTTCGTTGTATGCGTGCACCGCCTTTTCTGTACGCATTCATCTTAGGCTGATTGACTTAGGCAGATTCCACATCTTGGCTACTGTAAATGGGGCCGCAGTGAACATGGGAGTGCAGACATCCCTGAACACACTGATTTCAATTCCCTTGGATATATTCCCAGAAGTGGGATTGCTGGCTCACATGATAGTTCTATGTTTAGTGTTTTGAGGAACCTCCATGCCATTTTCCATCGCGGCTGTACTACACACCGGCAGTATACTAGGATTCCCCTTTCTCCACATCCTGGCCAAAACTTACCTTCCATCTTTTTCATAAAACTTGTTCTGATGAGAGGGAGATGTTATGTCACGGTGGTTTTAATTTGCATTTTCCTAAAGATTTAGGTTGCCACTGGTCAGCTCCAGGCCCCAGAGCTTCTTCAACTGAAGAAGTACTTGCTGTCTATAGTAAGCATCTCAAACTTTAACGTGCATGTGGATCACCTGGGAATCTTGTCAAATGCAGCTTCCAGGTAAGTGGGTCTGCAGTGGGGCCTGATATTTTGCCTTTTGAACAAACTCCCAGATAATACTGATGTTACTGGTCCCAGGACCTGCCTTTGAGGTAGCATTTTTTCATGAACCTATTGGCTGTTTGTATGTCTACTTTTGAAAAATGTGTTTGGTTCCTTTATTCATTCTTACATTGGCTTATTGGTTCTTTTGCTGTTGAGTTGATTGAGTTCCTCATATATTTTGGATATTAGCCCCTTTTCTAATGTATGGTTAGCAGATATTTTTTCTCACGACGTGGGTTATCTCTTTGTTACTTGTTCCTTTTGCTGTGCAGAAGCTTTTCAGTTTGATGCCATCCTGTTTCTATTTTTGCTTTTATTGCCTGTGCTTTTGGGGACATACCCAAAAAATCATTGCCCAGATCAGTGTCATGGAGCTTTTCCTCTGTGTTTTCTTATAGTAATTTTACAGTTTCCGGCATAATGTTAAAGTCTTTGATCCATTTTGGGTTGATTTTGGGGCATGGTGTAAGATAAGGGTCTAATTTTATTTTCTGCATATGAATAGCCACTTTTCCCAGCACCATTTATTGAATAGAGTGTTCTTACCCCTTGGCGTGTTCTTTGTGCCTTTGTCAAAAGTCAATAGACAGTCAGCTGGGCACGGTGGCTCACGCCTGTAATCCCGCACTTTGGGAGGCCAAGGCAGGTGGATCACCTGAGGTCAGGAGTTCAAGACCAGCCTGGCCAACATGGTGAAACCCCATCTCTAATAAAAATACAAAAAATTAGCCGGGTGTGGTGGCAGGCACCTGTAATCTCAGCTACTCGGGAGGCTAAGGCAGGACAATCGCATGAACCCAGGAGGCAGAGGTTGTAGTGAGCCGAGATCACTCCACTGCACTCCGTCCAGCCTGGGCAACATTCCTTCTGTGTTCTGGGATATATATTCTTGAGGGTATTCCCATCTGTGGATAGTTGCCAGTTAGATTTCTGTGGTGGGGAAGTGGAGCTAGAGTATTCTTTTCCTTTTTTTTTGAGACAGCATCTCACTCTGTCATCCACGCTGCAGTGCAGTGGCATTAACATGGCTTCATTGATCTCTTGAGCTCAAGTGATCCTCCCACCTGAGTCTCCTGAAAAGCTAGGGCTACAGGCATGCATCAGCATGCCCGGCTAATTTTTAATTGTTTTGTAGACATGGGTTCTTGCTGTGTTGCCTAGGTTGGTCTCGAACTCCTGGACTCAAGCAGTCCTCCTGCCTTGGCCTCCCAAAGTGCTGGGATTACAGGCGTGAGCCACTGCTCCTGGTCTGTTTCTTTTGTTTAGTATTTTTGTTTGCTTTGTTTCATGAGCTGCTATTTTGACTACAGTTTTAATATTTTTAGCAATTTTTTGGATATGCAGAAATTTAATTCTTATTCATCAAATATATTTTAGTATTTTGTGTGTTTTTTAGATTTCCTTTTTTAGGAGTCTTTCCAACCATAAACTGCCAAATAGAAATACACACACACACATACACAGAGGCTATGAATAGACAACTAATTGAAACAGAAAAAAATTGATTAATTAAAGCACCTATGGGATTTTTCTCCAGCCAAATTAGCATTTTTATTTAAAAAAATCTTTTAGTGTTATTTAGCCTACATAGGAAGAGGCTTACTTATGTAGTTGATAAGAGTGTGAATTGATCAACTTTTTGGAAAATAATCTGCCAGTATAATTAAAATTATAATTAAAATGTATCATAGGTCAGTTACACCACTTTGAGAATCCTATACTACAGAAAAGAAGAAATATAAAACAAAAACATCAGTGGGATCCATGTATATTGATGATTATTGTAGTCATCAGTGGTGGGAATTTTTAAAAACAACCTTAATATCCATCTAATAGGGAATAAAGAAATCAGAACTTATCTACAATGCGCATTACTACACAGAAATTCAAATGATACATTTGATCTACATTAGCTGGAATTAGTAATGTCCATGTACTCTAATGGGAGAAAGAAAATTACTAAATAATGTAAGATTTGAGCACGTTCTTTAAACAAAACAAATCAATAAAGCCCTAAAAGGACATACTATTGAAAGCAAGTCACAAAATCCAGAAATGGCAGGGAAAATGTTCAACAATTTGACTATGTAAAAATGAAAGTTTCTTCAAAACAAAGATAATATAAACAAAATAAAAGTTATGATACAGACCTTAAGAAACAAACTTGCTAATTATATGGAATTAATAAATGTGCAGAATATATAAAGAATATCATTACATGAATTAGAAAACTAGTAAATCATAATGAAATTCTCAGCGAGAAATACAATTGGCCAGTAAACATATGCAAAAATGCACAATCTCTCTAATAAGTGGAGAAATCCAAATTAAAAATGGAAATATTTCTTAATCATAAAATTGGCCAAGGTTAGCATTGGTCATTTCCTCTGTAACTAAGGGTGTGTGGAAATAGGAACTCTCATATACTGATGGTGGGAGTATAATATCATTAAATTTTTTTGAAACACAGATTTTTAATTTTTTATCAAAATATGGCCAGGTGCAGTGGCTCACGCCTGCAATCCCAGCACTGTGGGAGGCCAAGGCAGGCAGATCATGAGGTCAGGAGATCGAGACCATCCTGGCTAACATGGTGAAACCCCGTGTTATTTGTAAAAATACAAAAACAAAATTAGCTGGGTGTGGTGGTGGGCACCTGTAGTCCCAGCTACTTGAGAGGCTAAGGCAGGAGAATGGCATGAACCTGGGAGGCTGAGCTTGCAGTGAGCCAAGATCACACCACTGCACTCCAGCCTGGGCAACAGAACGAGACTCTGTCTCAAAAAAATAATAATAATATTAAAAATTTATACTTTGCCTCAGTATTTTATTTTTAGAAATCAATCATAAAAGAAAAAACCCACCTAACTAAGGTACCAAAAAGATGAATATACAGGTATGCCCAGGATAGTGTAGGTAACGGTAACAAATAACTGAATCCAACATAAAAATTCCACAGTGAAAAAGTGACCAAATTATGGTCAGATACCCTGTTGAATAATGATGCAACTATAAATAAGAATGAGAGAGACCTATATGCACTCATAAGCAATGATCACCACATTCTATTTTATATGGAAAAGCCAGTTAGGGAACAACACACAAAGCAGGATTACGTTATGTAAAAACATGGGCATGTCTATCTGTGTGTAAGTGGATGTAGACGACTGAGTGGGCTGGGAGCTGGCGGTGACACATTTCATTCTACAGACCTAAGCAGTATTTGAATTTTTATAACAATAGCATATGTGTTTCTTATGTGATTTACTAGAAACAATTTAATTTCTTCAGTTGTAAAAGGTGTATTTTAAACCTATATAAAGGTACATGGAGATCGTCATTCAGAATAACAAAATAAAAAGCAATATAAAGACACAAATAGATATAGTACAATATTAAATACTACAATATTCAAGATGATATTAAAATTATATATATCTACATCTATATGCATGTAAGGATCTCAGTAAATGATATTGTCTAAAATTAAACTGTGGTAATTTTTGCAGACCTCTGTGAATATATTAGAAACCATTGAATTGTGTGTACACTGTGTGTGGGTGAAATTTATTGTATTTGAATTATATCTCAAAGTTCTGTTAAAAAATGAATGGCTTGATATTCTAGTGCTAAGGGATGGTTTTATTTAAAACATAAACTAATAGTTTCCAGCAGAGTCCCTTAAAAATATTACAGCAGGGATTTCCAGATCACACTCACTCCCACCTTTTTAGAATTTTTGACTATTTTCCAAAGTATTGAATTCAATGAGGTGCAGGTGGAAGAAAGCGTTTACAAAGTCAGTGGGTTACGGGAGAGCTGGTGTGGGTTGAGGCAGAGTGGGGAGAGAGGCTCCTTTCAAATGGAAGCCTCTGGAACCCACAGACGGCAAGCGTAAGGCAGGGCAATCTTCTGGAGACCTACCAGAGAAAGGCTTTAGACCCAACACTCCCATTCACAAACATGGACAGGGGCATCTCAGTGTTTCCTTAACTTCACTCTTTCTATATTGACACAAGGAAATAATTAAAAGGGGGTAATTCTGGTTTAGTTTATTTCATTAAATTATCAACAAACAACTTTTGAAACAAAAACTATTAAAGTGGAACTCAATAAAATTACTAGGTTTAATAATCTGTATCTGTGACTCAGATACAGATCAGGCAAACCAGCTGTGGATGAAGCTCCCAGCTGTGGATGATGCCCCCAGACATGGATGAAGCCCCCAGCTGTGGATGATGCCCCCAGATGTAGATGAAGCCACAAATGATGCCTGTGTGGACAGACAGAATGATGGACAGGCAGATGAATGTGAGGGTTTTATGTGAAACAAGTCCACTTGGTTGTTGACAAGATGCTGTTTTAAAGTTTCATTTTGCCATACTTTGAATAGCTTTTCATTAGCTAAATTTAGCCACATGTAAAATCACTAAGGCAGACACCTGGAGTTCCCATATGAAAATCAAATGTAAACCAGCAGTGACCTACTTCAATGTGATCATCGGAAGTCAGAAGTTGAGCTCATTTTTGATGTTTAAAGCCTGCATAATATTCACTGTGTTATTATTCAGTGTATTACTATTTCCTTCATGATGGAAATTTGGTTTGCCCCAACTTTCTATTCTATCAAAACACTGCTACATAGAAAATCCCCATGCACATATTTCTCCTAATTGTGGAAATATTTTACATAAAAGACTCTAGACATGGGATGAAATTCCCAGGTTATTGGAATTTTAAAATAGATAGGTACTCCCAAATTGCCGTCTTACAAATTATATGAATTCGTAAGCTTCCAACTGTTATGGAGTTACCCATTTTGAGAAATCTGTGCTAAAAGGACCCAAACAATGCTGATGACAATGATCAGGATAATAAGTACGCTGGGAAGACAACAAAATGATTTAAATCTTAGACAAGTCATTCTAGGTGTCTCCACTGTTTCAGTTCTTGCATTCATTCTTGTGGTATCTTTTCCCTTTTACCAATAAAAAAGCTCCCTGACATCACATTGTGGCAGTCCCCATGGTTTGCCGCAGTTACTGCGGGACTGAACGAAGGAGGACGAATGAAGAAATGAAAACCAAGGAAAAAAGGAGCTGTTTAAAGAAGGGTCCAGGGAAGAAGAAGAGGGCTCCCAGCTTCTAGTGAGCAAGGGCAGCAGCCCTGAGCTTCTACAGCCCTTCATATTTATTGAGTAGAAAGAGCAGGGAGCAGGAGGTAATGATTGGTCAGCTTCTCAATTGATCACAGGTTCACATTATTGCTAACAGGTTTCAGATGTGCCTAATCTCAAGAAACGCCGCGCCTGGGGCATGACTGCCCTCAGCATTCCCTCTGGGTGGCAGACGCAGTTTGCCAACATTCTGCATTCATGAGAACAGTTTACTGTTTACTCATATAACCTCCAGTGGTACACCGAGTTGATCATGACCCTCCCTCTTTCGGCCTGCAACATCACATGAATCCAATGAGTATTGGTTAGTAAAATGCCTATGACTAGTCATCTTCATCTATGCAATTAAATATTAATTCATCAAACACTTCAAATGTAAGCAATTAATAATTAGTGAATGAAAAATACATAATACATCAATTAGAAAAAAACTCTATTAAAAAGACATTTGTGTGATAAAAGAGATTGCCATTTTTGTATTTTTCTACAAAGTTAAAGAAAACTAAGTCAGCTTATATAAGTGAATTTTAAAAGCCTTTAGGCCAGGCATGGTGGTTCATGCCTGTAATCCCAGCACTTTGGGAGGCCAAGGTAGGCAGATCACCTGAAGTCAGGAGTTCGAGACCAGCTTGGCCAACATAGTGAAACCCATCTCTACCAAAAATACAAAAATTAGCCAGGCGTGGTGGCAGGTGCCTGTAGTTCCAGCTACTAGGGAGGCTGAGGCAGGAGAATTGCTTGAACCCGGGAGACGGAGATTGCAGTGAGCCGAGATGGTACCACTGCACTCCAGCCTGGGCAACAGAGTGAGACTCCATCTCAGGAAAAAAAAAAAAGGGCATATATATCCATTATTTCACTGGGCCTTCACACAGCCCTGCTAGTCAACCCTCGAGAATTGAGGAATCAGAGAACTTAGGAACAAGAACATGACCTGGGACTTCTTATGTAAGTGAGAATCTTAGGCTAAATTGTCTTGCGGTAAATGCCTTTCCCATCCTCAGAAGTCTATAGTGAGCAGAAAGCAGTAACAGCATCCTCCCTTCCACTCTTCCCTTCAGGCTGAACACATCCCTGTCCCTACAGCCTTTGCAGAGACACAGGTGACAGAGCACTCAATATAGAATCCCTGGGCTCACACTGGCTTTCCTACAGACACAGGGGATCCATGAGGCCCACAGTGACATACACATGTACACAAGGATGCACGTACTGACACTGATGAGCCCTGGAAGTCAACACAGAGTGGCATACAGAAGAACACATGCAGGCACACACACAGCCACAACTGGACCTGCGAGGTCTACAGCCCCACAAATGAAAAGAGGTGCATACCATCTCACAACAAACTAGAACTTTGAGAGAACCACACACACACACAGGTCTACAAATTCACCTGAACAAGACGCCGTCCATAGTCACTGGCGTAAGGCATCTACTCACTATCACACAGAACACACTCAGGCAAGCAGACATAGATGATACATCCACAATCTACAGAGATGAACTGCAGAGTTACATGCACAGATATGCCAGTCATACATTCAGATCTGTGTAAACAGTGAGGCACACACACACATACACATGTGCACTTATACAGAAAGACTCAGACCCAGCCAGGCATGGTGGCTCAGGCCTGTAATCCTAGCACTTTGGGAGGTCGAGGCGGGTGGATCACGAGGTCAAGAGATTGAGACCATCCTGGCTAACATGGTGAAACCCCATCTCTACTAAAATTACAAAAAAATTAGCCGGGTGTGATGGCGGGCACCTGTAGTCCCAGCTACTCAGAAGGCAGAGATTGCAGTGAGCTGAGATTGCGCCACTGCACTCCAGCCTGGACAACAGAGCGCGACTCCATCTCAAAAACAAAAAAAGAAAGACTCAGACCTGACCTGTTAGTCAACAGCCAGATGCCAACAGATAATCACATTAGACTCATCAGCAAGCACACCGTGCACACAAGTTCCACTCCCATGTACAGGTTCCTGTCCCATGTACACAAGCCTGCACACAAACACGTATCCAGACTCCAGAACTGTTGAGACAGTGCCCACATACACACTCATAGAGTCACCTGTGCACAGGTGCACGTACACATTGTTTCACAGAGGCACACCAGGACAGAAACACATAAGAAATGTGAGGCAAAAGCGGACCCACACCTACACCTGTAAGATACACAGAGAAACAAACACATACACAAACTTACACATAGACTCATGCACTGTGTAATCAACAGTTCTATACCCCACCAAGGCTCTTGTCCTGGTGTGTCCAGAATTGGTGGGTTCTTGGTTTCACTGACTTCAAGAATGAAGCCACAGACCCTCGTGGTGAGTGTCACAGTTCTTAAACGCAGCGTGCGCGGAGTTTCTTCCTTCTGGTGCGTTCGTGGTCTCGCTAGCTTCAGAAGTGAAGCTACAGACCTTCGCAGTGTTAACAGCTCATAAAGGCAGCGTGGACCCAAAGAGCTAGACACAAAAGTTCTCCACGTCCCCACTAGATTAGCTAGATACAGAGTGTCCACTGGTGCATTCACAAACCCTGAGCTAGACACAGAGTGCTGATTGGTGCATTTACAAACCTTGGGCTAGATACAGAGTGCCAATTGGTGTATTTACAATCCCTTAGCTAGACATAAAGGTTCTCCAAGTCCCCACCAGAGTAGCTAGATACAGTGTTGATTGATGCATTCACAAACCCTGAGCTAGACACAGAGTGCTGATTGGTGTGTTTACAAACCTTGAGCTAGATACAGAGTGCCGATTGGTGTATTTTCAACCCCTTAGCTAGACATAAAGGTTCTCCAAGTCCCCAGCAGAGTAGCTAGATACAGTGTCGATTGATGCATTCACAAACCCTGAGCTAGACACAGGGTGCTGATTGGTGTGTTTACAAACCTTAAGCTAGACACAGAGTGCCCACTGGTGTATTTACAATCCCTTAGCTAGACATAAAGGTTCTCCAAGTCCCCACCAGACTCAGAAGCCCAGCTGGCTTCACCCAGTGGATCCCGCACCGGGGCCGCAGGTGGAGCTGCCTTCCAGTCCCGCGCCGTGCGCCCGCACTCCTCAGCCCTTGGGTGGTCGATGGGACTGGGCGCCGTGGAGCAGGGGGCGGCGCTTGTCGGGGAGGCTTGGGCCGCGCAGGAGCCCACGGCGGTGGGTAGGCTCAGGCATGGCGGGCTGCAGGTCCCGAGCCCTGCCCCGCGGGGAGGCAACGAAGGCCCGGCGAGAAGTCGAGCACAGCAGCTGCTGGCCCAGGTGCTAAGCCCCTCACTGCCCGGGTCCGGCTGGCAGCTCCGAGTGCGGGGCCCGCTGAGCCCACGCCCACCCGGAACTCGTGCTGGCCCGCAAGCGCTGCGCGCAGTCCCGGTTCCCGCCCGCGCCTCTCCCTCCACACCTCTCGGCAAGCTGAGGGAGCCGGCTCCGGCCGCAGCCAGCCCAGGAAGGGGCTCCCACAGTGCAGCGGTGGGCTGAAGGGCTCCTCAAGCGCGGCCAGAGTGGGCGCCAAGGCCGACTAGGCGCCGAGAGCGAGCAAGGGCTGTGAGGACTGCCAGCACGCTGTCCCCTCTCACTGGGTTGCTATTAAAAATGGGCGCTGAATATAAAAATTAACCGGGCGTGGTGGTGCATGTCTGTAAGTCCCAGCTACTCCGGAGGCTGAGGTGGGAGAATAGTTTGAGCCCGAGAGACTGAGGCTACGGTGAGCCGTGATTGTGCAACTGCACTCCAGCCTGGGCGACAGAGTGAGACCCAGTCTCAAAACAAAATCAAACACGGGCGCTGCCCTGGGCAGGGGAGGTCTGGGCACAGCTGTGCTGATGTGGGCAGTGGACAGGTGTCACGTGAGAGCCTGTGGCCAAGCCTAAGCTGCGGTTAAGGTGGGAGGCTGAAGGGTTTGGAGTGTGCACCACCCCGGACCACCTCTCAGTAGGAATGTGGCAATGCACTTCGGTGCTGGATTCCTACTTCTGGCTGTGTGATTTGCGACACGTTACCCCACGCACCTGTACCACAACTTCCTCATCTCCCAAATGGGATGACAGTAGTTAGCAAACCTCCCTGGACTGCTGTGAGCATTCTGCCAGAAAAATGTACTCCAAGCTCTTGAAGTAGGCCTGGCGTTTGGTTGGTGCTCAGTACATATTCAATGTTTCTGTCGCTGGCGTCATCACTGTGTTCATGGCAGAGCTCTGTGCCGCCAGGACTGGGCCGCCACCCAGACCTTCCTTTCCCGCCCCAGGGGTGAACTGTGGACAGGACCCTCTGGGGGGACTAGGCCAAGGCTCTCCCACCTCTGGGGACCCGCGCCCATGGGCCTCAGATATGTGGCTCGAGAAGGGGGAGTGGGGGCAGGGCCCCTGGAAAACCCCTCGAGGCCAGACCCACCACTCCCAATATCCGTAAGACCAGGGGCTTGAGTCTTTCCTGCAGACAGATGTGGGCAGGAACCCACCCGACTCCCAGCTACGTGGGGACGTGGACGAACTAACAGGACAAATTCTAGTTCCTGGACACCGCCCTCCCAGTATCCTCGCAATTAGACACCCATGCAGCGGCACTACACTGATCCGCACACGGAGATACACAGCGACATCCGCCCGCAAGAGCATGGTGGGTGCCGGAGCTCCCGGCTGTGGGCCCAGGAACTACATTTCCTAGAAGGATGTGCTAGATACTCGTTCGCGTCGGGACGCAAGCACCGGCCCGAACTCGCTCTAGGAAATGGAGTCTGACGCCTGCGCGGCGCAAACGCTCCCGGGAGGTGTAGTTTGCGCCTATTTCGCGCAGGCGCGCTTTCCCGCAGCGGCCGCCTGCTGCTCTTTGTGGCAGTCGCAGTCCTTTTGTGGGAGTCCGGTCTGTCCACTTGCCGGTCCCTCAGACCGTCGGCGGTCTCTGTCCGCTTCGGGACCTGTCCGCTGGTCGCTCCGCGTCCGATGGCTCCTGGCCGCGGAACCTTAGGCCTGGCCCTGGTCTCCGAGCGCGGGTTCGCCGGGAGGAGCGTGTGGCGGGGGTGTGCCGGGGCGTGAGTGCGCCGAGCATGGGGCTGAGCCTGGTGTGGGGAGTGGGTATCTGCGGAGCCGGCCTGAACCCCACCTCAGCCGGGCGCGGGGAGGGGGCTCCGTGCGTGTGATCGTGCAGCTGTGAGCGCGTGGCCGCCCCGCGGGGCTCCGCTGCAGGCCCCTCAGCCCCAGGAGCAGTACTCGCTCTTCAGGGCCTGCCCTGGATCCTGGAGGCTACACAGCTGCCCACTCCTCCTGGGGAGGCTGCCGTGGAGGCCATGGAGATCCCTGCCCCGGAGCCCGAGAAGACAGGTACAGCTTCACTCTTGTAGTCAGTATGTCTGTGGATTTGCACTTGAGGATATTGACACTCAGAGAGATCAGGCCAGTTTCCCAGAAGCATCCAGCATCTTTTTTTTTTTTTTTAAATGGAATCTCACTCTGTCACCCAGGCGGGAGTGGTGCAATGGCTTGATCTCCGCTCACTGCAACCTCTGCTTCCCGGGTTCAAACTATTCTCCCGCCTCAACCTCCCAAGTAGTTGGGATTGCAGGCGCGCGCCACCACGCCCGGCTAATGTTTGTATTTTTAGTAGAGACGGGGTTTTGCCATGTTTCCCAGGCTGGTCTTAAGCTCAAGCGATCCGCCCGCCTCGGCCTCCCAAAGTGCTGGGATTACAGGCGTGAGCCATCGCTCCTGGCCTCCTGCTTCTTTCTTCCCCGCGCCCAATCATTTGTTCCCACTCAGACGTGCTTGATTGGGGGTAGCAGCTCTTTTCGTCATGAATTGGAGTGTCTGAGACACAGGCAGATTATTCCTCGATGCTGTTTCTGTTGGTGCTAGCTACTGGGGCTCGTTCCCCACCTGGCCTTGCTGGCAGGTTCTGCCTCCTCTCTGATTCTCACTTGTGCCACGACAGGTGGGCTTTAAGCTCAGCCGTGAGCCTGGTAGCCGTGACCTTGACTCATTTCTCCTTCGCCAGCTCTTTCCTCTCAGGATCCTGCTCTTTCCCTGAAAGAGAATCTCGAGGATATATCGGGTTGGGGTCTTCCCGAAGCCAGGTCCAAGGTGAGTGGCTGTGTGTTCTTCCTTCTTTATGAAGAGGGTTGGCACATTCCCTCCCCAGCCCTGGATCGTCAGCCTTCCACAGACCTTCACCCGGGTACCTGCTGGCCAGTCCTCAGGAAGCTCTGGGCAGTGGGAACAGCTCCAAGTGAAGAGTCCAGATGTTGCCCGAGGTGTGCCCTCGAGATGTGCTCTATTGAATGTCTCGCCCAGTCCAATTCAGTGGGTCAGTTGCTGGGGATCTCTCTGCCCAGCGCTGTGCTGGGAGCTCTGAGGAGTGGTTTTAGTGGAATCTGAGAAAGTAGTTGACGGCTCACATGGGGTCGCTTTGCCTATCCACGTGCTGGCCAGGGGTTGGTGCAGGATGTTTGCACGGTTGGTTTACTGGGACTGGAATCAGACAGGGGCACGTGGAGCAGCTCAGGAAGGGCTGGATTGCAGCACTTGGTTAAGAGTGGCGGTAGGGGACACATCCCTGTGTGCTTTCCTCTGTACCCAGCCCCTGGCATGGGGCCTTCATGGAGAGTCCTGGAGATTTAGAGAATCTGGGGGCTCAGCAAGGAATTGGCCCTGGGAACTTCTGCAGCCAAATGGGACCCAGATCCCTCCTTTTACAGACTGTGAACTCTGTTCCTCATTTTGTTTTTCTACCGCAACCACCTCACCCCATGGTTGTATTTAGAAGGGTGCAGTTGACAAAGAGAGCACAGTAGAGTGAAAGATGTGGAGGAATAAGGGGTCTTTGGGTTTTTGTTTTTTTTTTAGCATTTTGTGATTTTGTCAGTCTGCCACTCAAAAGAGGTGATGGCAGATTATAGCCAGCTAGAAACAGCTGCAAAACGTGTATTGTGAGCTGTGCCTCACTTCTGTAGTGTGTCACAATGCTTTATAGTCCTCAAGAAACTTGACAGTCAAATGCAATGCATGTTCCTTGCTTAGGGGATAGATCCAAAAAAATTGATAAAGGGCAGTTTGGGACAAGAGGAAATTTGAAAATGGGCTGTATCTTAGGTCATATTGTATCAATATGAAATTTATTGCATGTGATAATAGTACTGTGATTATGTAAGAGAATATCCACAGGAGATACAAGCTGAAGACTGTAGAGTGAGACATCATGATGTCTGCAACTTACCTTCAAATGGTTCAGCAAAAAAAAATGTGTGTGCATGTATGTATGTCTGTATGTGTCTGTGCAGCTCCGTCTAGGTGGTAGGGCCCTCATGCATGTGTTATTCCTATTCCTAAAATATTAGCTTGTTAGATCTTTGAATAACCAGTTGACTCTCCTGAGTACACATCAGCTTTGGCATTTTCTCTTGACAGTCTCATTCTCACTCACAGTTCAAGTTGTTCTGTCTCCTGGGACATCTTGTGTGGTCTGTTCTGACTTCTCTGCTAGTGTCATTACCACATCAGCATCTGATTCCAATGCATACTGTCTGGGTTTTTTATTCCTTTCCCTGCAGAATGATGACACATTAGACATGGACTTCTCCCAGTGGCCAGAAATACCCATCAAAAAGGCCTGTGCGGGCCTCAGACCCTACCCTACTCTTGCTGGTTTTGCTCCCCACACTGAAGCCATGTAGCCTCTGACAGCCTCACTGGCCAACACCATATTCTGATACCTGTGGAGCTATTTTTTTGTTTTTCTTTCTTTTTCTTTTTTTTTTTTTGAGACAGAGTCTTGCTCTGTCGCCCAGGCTGGAGTGCAGTGGCACAATCATAGCTCACTGCAGCCTTCAACTCCTGGGCTCAAGCAAATCCCCCACCTCGGCCTCCTAAGTAGTTGGGACCAACGTGTGTGCCCCCACACCTGGCTTGGAGCCTTGTTTCAGCCCATTTTCTCCTTCCCTCGGCTATCGTCATCCTTCATGCCTGCATGCCTCAGTTAGGGGTGTGTTCTCAGCATTTGTCCTCATCTCTACCTCCTCATCTGAAATCCAGTGTTTTGGGGGGTAAGGTTTTATTGAGGTGTAATTTATATACAGCACAGTTGTACAATTTTAAGTATACAATTTGATGAGGTTGAGCAAACGTATACAGTTGTGTAACCAGCACCACAATCATGATATGGGACGTTTCCATGACCCAAAAATGTCCTCATGCCCCTGTGCATTCAGTGGTCTCCCCTCTCCCCTTGGTAACCACTATAGTTTTGCTGTAGATTTTCCTCTTTAAGGATTTCATATGGAATTTATATTATGTGGTCTTTTGTCTCTGCTTTATTTCGCTTAGCATATGCTTTTGAGTTTATCCATATTGTTGTGTGAATCAGTAGTTTGTTCCTTTTTATTGGTGAGTAATATTCCATTTGTATTAGTCTGCTAGGGTTGCCATACAAAGTATGGCAGGAGGGCTTAAATGACAGAAATGTATTTCCTCACAGTTCCAGAGGCAAGAAATCTGAAATCAAGGTGTCAGCAGGGTTGATTTCTTCTGAGGCTTCTCCTTGGCTTGTAGATGGCCACCTTTTCCCCGCATCTTCACATGGTCTTACCTCTTCTATGTCTGTGTCCAAATTTCCTCTTCTTATGAGGACACCAGTTATATTGGATCAAGGCCCACTGCATTGAATTCATTTTAACTGAATTACTTCTTTAAAGAACCTCTCTCCAGGCCGGGTGCAGTGGCTCACGCCTGTAACCCCAGCATTTTGGGAGGCTGAGGTGGGTGGAACACTTGAGGTCAGGAGTTCAAGACCAGCCGGCCAACATGGTGAAACCCTGTCTCTACTAAAAATACAAAAATTTAGCTGGGCGTTAGTTCTCGCCTGTAGTCCTAGCTACTCAGGAGGCTGAGGCAGGAGAATCTCTTGAACCCAGGAGGCAGAGGTTGCAGTGAGCTGAGATTGCACCACTGTACTCCAGCCTGGGTGACAGAGTGAGACCATGTCTCAAAAAAAAAAAAAAAAAAAAAAAACCTCTCTCGGAGTTACCAAGCATTGAGACATAAGAATTTGAGGTGAGGGGTATACATTTCATCCCATTGCTCCATTGGATGGAGCAAACTGCTCCGCAGTTTGCTTATCCATTCACCAGCCGATGGACATTTAGGTTACTCATAGGCTTTTGCTATTACAAATAAACCCGCTATAAATATTTGAGTACACGTATGGCTGTGCATTTTAATTTCTCTTGCATAAATACCTAGGTGTGAAATTGCTGAGCCATATAGTAAATATATGTTTGTCAATTTTATTGATCTTTTCAAAAAACAATTTTTTTGTTTTATTGATTTTTCTCTATTTTCTGTTTTCCATTTCAGAGATTTCTGATCCTTATTATCTCCTTGGTGTCTTAAGATTGAAACTTACTTTACTTACTTTAGTGTCTTAAGATTGAAACATAGATATTGATTTGATACCTTTTTTCCTCATATAGCATTCAGCGTTGTAAATTTCTAAGCACTGCCTCAACTATATCCTACAACTTTTGTTATGTCACATTTTCACTTTTATTCAGCTCAAAATAGCTTCTAATTTCCCTAGTGATGTATTCTTCAGCCATATGTTATTTCAGAATGTGTTGTTTCATTTCCTAATATTTAGGGCATTTTCCAGATAACTTTCTATTATGGATTTCTGATTTAATTCTATTGTCATCAAAGAATGAACTTTGTGTGATTTAAAGTCTTTCAAGTCTACCAAGATTTATTTTATTTCCCAGAGTGTGGTTTATCTTGGTAAATGTTCCACATGCCCTTGAAAAAATATGTATTATGCCTTTGTTGGTTAGAGTGTTATGTAAATATCAGTTAAGTCAAGTTGAATGATGGTGTTTTTTAATTGTTCTGTCAGTTTTTGCATTATGTATTTTGAAGCTCTTTTAGTAGATACATTTATATTTAGGATTGCTATGAGTTCTTAATGAATTAACTGTTTTATCATTATGTAATATTCTCTTTGTCTCTGATAGTCCTCTCTCTGAAATCTACTTTGCTATTACTATAGGCACTTGAGCTTTTTTTTTTTAAATTAGTATTTGCAGGGTTTATCTTTTTCTATCCTATCACTTTTAACCTATCTTTGTATGTAAAGTGGGTTTCTGTAGCTTGCTTTTTGAATTCAGTTTGACAATCTCCACCTTTTAATTGGAGTGTTTAAACTATTCGCATTTAGTGTAATTATTAATATGGTTGGATTTACATGTCCTTTTTTTTTTTTTCTTTTGACAGAGTTTGGCTCTTGTCACCCAGGCTGGAGTGCAGTGGCGCAATCTTGGCTCACTGCAACCTCCACCTCTTGGGTTCAAGCAATTCTCCTGACCTCAGGTGATCTGCCACCTTGGCCTCCCAAGTGCTGGGATTATAGGCGTGAGCCACCCCACCCGGCCTTGCTATTAGTTTTCTATGTCTTATGTCTTTTTTGTTTCTCATTTCCTCCCTTAATGACTTCTTTTGAGGTAAACACATACTGTTCTAATATACTCTTAATTCCTCTGATTTCATTAATATTTTTCACCTTTTAGTTATTTGATTGGATGCTGGACATTGTGAATTTTACTTTGTTGAGTAGGTTTTTGGAATTCCTTGTTTCTGGGATTTGTTCTGGGATGCAGTGAAATTACTTGGCATCTATTTGATCCTTTCAAGGATCAAAGCAAGTCTGGAGTTGGGTGGTGGCCAGGATGCCCAGGCCCAGGGGGAGCAGGCAGGAAGGATTGGAAGGCAGTCAGGTGAGGACTGCAGGTAGCCTCTCTTAGTCCCTTGGGGCACAGAACTTGCTGATATATACAAGGTTTCCTTCCTTAGAGTGTAATAACAGTTTCTAGTCTGGGATCGGATCCTTTTGCGTTACTGAGCTTTGAATAGAGTTGCTGGGATTTTTGTACTATTAATATTCTCTCAAATTTTTAAGTTTGAAATTCTTGACTCCAGGAAGCATAGCATCTCACCCAGGACTTAGAGCCTGATACAACAGCCATGTACAGCCCCTGGGTCCCACCGCAAGTTGCCAGGGCCCTGTGGTGTCTATTCAGACCTGCTTTCCCAATCTAGAAGGTGGTGTGGGAATGCATGCCAATTCCCAGCCCCCCTCCCTGCCCCTGGTCCCCGAATTCAGTCATGGTCAGTGTCTACAGCACAACCTTCTGGCATGGGAGAAGGTCACCTGAGGTTAACCCTTTACTTGTAGGGTCCTTAATCAATCTCTGGCTCCTTTGGAACCATGGACACAGAATCAGTCCTGGGTGAGAACCTATATGTCATTTCAGGAATCGGTGAGTTTCAAGGATGTGGCTGTGGACTTCACCCAGGAGGAGTGGGGTCAACTAGACTCCCCTCAGAGGGCCTTGTACCGGGATGTGATGTTGGAGAACTACCAGAACCTTCTTGCCCTAGGTAAAATCCCCCCAGCCCCAGGCTGGGCGTCGGCTGTCAGCCTTCTTCTACATGGTAGATATTAAGGAGAATCCCTTCAGTGCCGGCCCTGGTGCCAGATATATCATGGGGTGGGAAGCAAGGCCTGTGCCTTGGGGCACTCATGGCCAGGGGCCTCGGCCACGCCAGAAGTCCCCAAGGGACAGCGTGGGAGCTGGTAGCATCCTTGCTTGGTGTTTCCCCTGGTCCTGGGATAGGGGCAGGGAGAGAAGAGAAGAAGGTGGGACCCTGGAGCCCAGCTGGCTCTGGAACAGTCCTCAAGCAATGAAGTAAGGACGTCAGCACACGTGGGGTCTTCAGAGTATACACTGGGATTTGGGTTCCAGTCTGAGACCCTCACTGCTTTTGGCCCAGAGGACCTCCTGTTCCCAGAGAGGGTGTCCACTTCACAGGCATTGTCCTTGTTAGGGGGCGGCCTGTAAGGTCGACTGGGCCTGGAGAGCTGCAGCATGCCCAGCCCACTTTCTCTCCACGAGCAGGACCTCCACTGCACAAGCCAGATGTGATCTCTCATCTGGAACGAGGCGAGGAGCCATGGAGCATGCAGAGGGAAGTCCCCAGAGGGCCCTGTCCAGGTGAGCAGAGGCACAGGTGGAAGGGTGCCAGCCCCAGCACCCCTGGTGGCACCTCCTCCTATGGCCCCTATTTTCCTCCCTCAGTTTGCCCCGGCTCCATCTCCCCTTTTCAGGTCCCCCGCCAGACCCTCCTGCCTGCCTCCCTTCAGCACGTACTGAGCACTGCCTGTGTGCTGAGACCTGTTCTGGGATACAACAGGGAACAAACCTGGCCACTGGGACCAAATGGTCACCTGCTGATGGGGATGGGGAGGCAGGAATAGAAATATTGAGCCATTGGTGTTGGCTGGGCAGCCGGGGGTGTGGGATTGGGGGCAGGGGGCCACCAGGGAAGGGGCAGCTGGCGTTGGTCAGTGTCAGGGTCAGCATGAGCATCAGCATCAGGGCCAGCGTCAGCGTCAGGGTCAGAGCCAGCATCAGTGTCAGGGCCAGCGTGAGCATCAGCATCAGGGCCAGTGTGAGCATCAGTGTCAGGGCCATCATCAGCGTCAGGGTCAGAGTCAGCATCAGCATTAGGGTCAGCATCAGCGTCAGGGTCAGGGTCAACGTCAGCGAGGGCTTCCAGGCTGTGGCCAAGATGGCAGCCCTCCGTAAGGGAAAGGGGACTGGGGTGGGTGTTGAGCAGAAGGTAGTCTGCTTTTCTTCTCCAACATTCTTTTTGTAGACTTCTCTTCTGAGTTGGTTGATAAATAAGTGGTAAATTCGGCTTAATTTATTGGACAGTGACTGCTGAGCATGTTAGGTGTCTAGAAAGCTCGAGAAACACCTTTCTGTGGGAAAGGCAGCCGATAAGCTGTGGAGCACAGAACACGGGGGTCGGGGAAGGCAGCCCCTCCTCCATCCCCCTCCACTGCCACATACCACCCAGCCCCAACCTGCAACAGTGGCTGCAGCCCCAGCTTTCTGGTCTTTATTTCTCACCCCAGCCTCTGATGCTTGCTTTGTCCTCTTTAACAAGATTACAGGTTTCAAAAAATTCATATTTTTGTTTGATTCATATATGAATATACTGAAAATGAGGCTGAAAGGTTACTGAAATCCTGCATAATCTTTCCACCCAGAGATGACGGTTCTCTAATAACTGACCATGTCACTGATTCCTCTGGGCCCTTCCTCTGTGTGCGGATAGACTTCTAAAGCTACATGTGGCCAGGCGTGATGGCTCACACCTGTAATCCCAACACTTTGGGAGGCCGAGGCAGGCAGATCACCTGAGGTCAGGAGTTCGAGACCAGCCTGACCAACATAGAGAAACCCTGTCTCTACTAAAATTACAAAATTAGCTGGGCATGGTGGTGCATGCCTGTAATCCCAGCTACTTGGGAGGCTGAGGCAGGAGAATCGCTTGAACCCAGGAGGCAGAGGTTGCGGTGAGCTGAGATCGTGCCATTGCACTCCAGTCTGGGTAACAAGAGTGAAATTCCATCTCAAAAAAAAAAAAAAAAAAAAATTAGCTGGGCGTGGTGGTGAGCACCTGTAATCCCAGCTACTCTGGAGGCTTAGGCAGGAGAATTGCTTGAACCCGGGAGGCAGAGGTTGCAGTGAGCCATGATCGCACCATTGCACTCCAGCCTGTGTGACAGAGCTAAACTCCATCTCAAACAAATAAATAAATAAAGCCTTATGCACCCTCGGAAGCACAGCACTCACGCCGGAGTCTGGCTACCACACTGGCCATGGCATAGTGAGCGTCCTCACGTGATGTTTACTGATTGCACAGTATCCCTTAGATGAATGTGCCCTGCTGTGTTGTTGGCCCTATTGCTGCCAAAACAACTTTTTTCTGGCCTGGGCCTCTTCTCTCTGCTCTGTGCAACTTCCCTAGACTCTTACCTCTCACTTGGTGTGGATGTGGTCTACACTATAGCAACACCAGCTGAGCTGCAGCCCTGTGTCACTGACCATCTCGTGGGCCTCTGCTTGCATGTCTAAAACCAGACTTGGAACTGGCCCTTCCTCCTCCTTTATAAAAGCTTCCACCATCCACCCAGGCTTGGGTGTTTGCTGAGGTCTCATCCTCTCCCCCATTTCCTCTCTTGCCACCTTCAGTCAACAGCTAGGGCCATCAGTTTTAGCACCTAAATGGCTCTTAGATCTGCTGCTTCCTGTTCATTTTCACAGCCTTGGTTCCAGTCTGAAGTTGCCATTTTTCACCTGAATTATTCAGATGGCCTCCCTAACTGGCCTCCCTAACTGCTGGCTCCAACCACCTTACACACCACCAAAGCCACCTTCAAGACAAACCATTATGCCAGGCACAGGGACTCACACATCTAATCCCAGCACTTTGGGAGGCCAAGGCAGGAGGACCACTTGAGCCCAGGAGTTGGAGGCTGCAGCGAGCTGTGATTGCACCCCTGCACTGCAGCCTGGACAACAGAGCGAGACTGTGTCCCCGCCCTCTGCTTCCCCCGCCCCCCGTCAAGACACCATATGATCACATCACCCTCTGTGCAAAAGGCCTTTCTTCCCCGGCTGCCCTCTGAGTCAGGCATCTGGTCACCTCGAACCCATCCACCTTGCCAGGGTCACCTCTCAGCCTTCCTGCCTCTGCGTGTCTTGTCTTCATCTTACTGTCTCACCTCTGAGCTTCTGCACATGCTGTTCACTCTCCACCTGGCTACCTGCCATGTGTGCCATGGCCAGTTCCACTTGCCCTGCTCTTCTGCATGTGTTGGGGCCACAGGCAGCACCACCATGCAGCTCTGCCCGCTGCACTAGACTGCTCCCTTTTAAGCCTGGGGAGGACAGAATTAGAAATAAAATCTCCTGCCAGCTCAGAAAACCTTGCTATAGAGATAGAAAAGAAAGAAAGCCTTCTTATTGAATAAGTGTTTAACCAGATGTGGTGTACAGGAGAGAAAGAAACCTCCCCCTTTGACAGAGGAGACACATCCAACCCAGCACACAGGGCAACTGTCTTCACCTAAAGGAAGAGTACAGCTTTTTGGGTTTTGTTTGTTTGTTTGTTTTTTGAGACAGGGTATCCCTCTATTGCCCAGGCTGGGGTGCGGTTGCATGATCATAGCTCGAAGCCTCAACCTCCCTAGGCTCAGGTGATCCTCCCACCTCAGCCTCCTGAGTAGCTGGGACTATAGACAGGTACCATCATTCCTGGCTAATTTTGTATTTTTTGTAGAGGGGTCTCACTGTGTTACCCAGGCTGGTCTTGATCTGGGCTCAAGTGATCCGCCACCTTGACCTCCCAAAGTGCTGGGATTACAGGTATGAGCCACCGCGCCCAGCCTCTTGTAGCTTTTTGACAAGCAGGAAGTTACATCTTGGACTCGACTCTTGGACTAGGCTCATTTTGCTTCTGAAAAGGTTTGCATGCGTCTCGAGACAGAGAAAGCATTTGCAATTCCCAGTGTTCTAAAGGGAAGCGCTGGGGTGTGGGGAGCCCTTTTTTCCTTTTGGCACCACAGACAATTTTTAATTCATTTGTTAGTCCTAGCTACTCGGGAGGCTGAGGCCGGAGAATGGCGTGAACCTGGGAGGCGGAGCTTGCAGTGAGCCGAGATCGCGCCACTGCACTCCGGCCTGGGCGACAGAGCGAGACTCGGTCTCAAAACAAACAAACAAACAAAAAACATGTATTTGTCCTGTGTATTGCGAGCACCTGCCATGGTATTGATACAGAGCAGTCGGTCAGCCGACGTGTCCGTGAATGAGTGTAATCCTCATCAACAGCTCCCAAGCTTGCCCCTTTCTCAGCCCCCTTGGTGCTTGTAGCTGTTCCTTCCGGGATTCCTTTGGCTTCTCCGCCTCTCCCGGTCTTTGCTCTCTGGTAGCTCCTTCCGTGTTCTTCCTCTCCCTTCTTCCCGCTCTTGCTTGCCCATCTCATCCTGGGCGCTCCCTTCTCTCTGCCTGCACCTTCCAGCCTTGGCCCTGGTGGCCTCTCCTCTCTTTTCTGGGCTTATCTGCATCTCCAGGCCAATTCTCAAATCTGAATTCTAGGCCAGGTTTCCGCTTGCTCACAGAAAATCATTTTCAATATCTTACAGAATGGGAGCTGAAGGCGGTGCCCTCTCAACAGCAGGGCATTTGCAAAGAAGAACCGGCCCAGGAGCCCATCATGGAGCGGCCCCTCGGCGGGGCGCAGGCGTGGGGGCGCCAGGCAGGTGCTCTGCAGAGGAGTCAGGCTGCGCCCTGGGCGCCCGCACCTGCCATGGTCTGGGACGTCCCTGTAGAGGAATTCCCCCTCAGGTGTCCCCTCTTCGCCCAGCAACGCGTTCCCGAGGGGGGACCCTTGCTGGACACACGCAAGAACGTCCAGGCCACTGAGGGCAGAACCAAGGCCCCCGCGAGACTGTGTGCAGGGGAAAACGCCTCCACGCCAAGTGAGCCAGAAAAGTTCCCCCAGGTGCGCCGGCAGCGCGGGGCGGGCGCCGGGGAGGGCGAGTTCGTGTGCGGCGAGTGCGGGAAGGCGTTCCGCCAGAGCTCCTCCCTCACGCTGCACCGGCGCTGGCACAGCCGGGAGAAGGCTTACAAGTGCGATGAATGCGGCAAGGCCTTCACCTGGAGCACCAACCTTCTGGAGCACCGGCGCATCCACACCGGCGAGAAGCCCTTCTTCTGCGGCGAGTGCGGGAAGGCCTTCAGCTGCCACTCGTCCCTCAACGTGCACCAGCGCATCCACACGGGCGAGCGGCCCTACAAGTGCAGCGCCTGCGAGAAGGCCTTCAGCTGCAGCTCGCTGCTCAGCATGCACCTGCGGGTGCACACCGGCGAGAAGCCCTACCGGTGCGGCGAGTGCGGCAAGGCCTTCAACCAGCGTACACACCTCACACGCCACCACCGCATCCACACGGGCGAGAAGCCCTACCAGTGCGGCTCCTGCGGCAAGGCCTTCACCTGCCACTCATCCCTCACCGTGCATGAGAAGATCCACAGCGGGGACAAGCCGTTCAAGTGCAGCGACTGCGAGAAGGCCTTCAACAGCCGCTCGCGCCTCACCCTCCACCAGAGGACGCACACGGGCGAGAAGCCCTTCAAGTGCGCCGACTGCGGGAAGGGCTTCAGCTGCCACGCGTACCTGCTCGTGCACCGGCGCATCCACAGCGGCGAGAAGCCCTTCAAGTGCAACGAGTGCGGCAAAGCCTTCAGCTCCCACGCCTACCTCATCGTGCACCGGCGCATCCACACAGGCGAGAAGCCCTTCGACTGCAGCCAGTGTTGGAAGGCCTTCAGCTGCCACTCGTCCCTCATCGTGCACCAGCGCATCCACACCGGTGAGAAGCCCTACAAGTGCAGCGAGTGCGGCAGAGCCTTCAGCCAGAACCACTGTCTCATTAAACATCAGAAAATCCACTCCGGGGAGAAGTCGTTTAAGTGTGAGAAATGTGGGGAGATGTTCAACTGGAGCTCGCACCTCACTGAGCACCAGAGGCTGCACAGCGAGGGGAAGCCCTTGGCCATCCAGTTCAACAAACACCTGCTCAGCACATACTACGTGCCTGGCAGCCTGCTGGGTGCAGGGGATGCTGGACTGAGGGACGTGGATCCCATCGACGCGCTGGATGTGGCAAAGCTCTTGTGCGTGGTTCCCCCCAGAGCTGGCAGGAATTTCTCCCTGGGGAGCAAACCTCGAAACTAACATGATGTGCTTTGGTGTCAGTAGCTGCTTTCTGAGCTACTCAACAAGGAAAGCACCCTGGTCCTCCCTGGCTCCTAGATCCAGACCACCTTCCTCCAGGTGTGGGAGCCTTGCCTTATCACCCCCATCAGGTCTGCATGCCAGGGTGCCTCCTCTAGTTAAAGTCAGTCACCTCCCCAGAAGGGCCACACTCCAGGAGGAGTGTTGAGAGTCATTTGAGGTAGTCTTGCCACCTGTTTTCCTTGATGGGCCTGGAAGTTGTTGACAAGGGGAAAGATCTTTCTTGCCAATAAAAAGAAGGGATATCGTTGGGTGCCATGGCTCACACCTGTAATCTTAACACTGTGGGAGGCCAAGGCAAGGGGATCACTTGAGCCCAGGAGTCTAGGACCAGCCTGGACAACATGGTGAGACCTCGTCTCTACAAAAAATGCAAAAATTAGCCAGATGTGGCGGCATGTCCCTGTGGTCCCAGCTACTCAGGAGGCTGAGGTGGGAGGATCATTTGAGCCTAGGAGGTCAAGGCTGCAGTGAGCCATGATTCACAGCACTGCACTGCAGCCTGGGTGACAAAGCAAGACCCTGTGTGAAATTAAAAGGAGGTATATCAACTGTTGTATCCTCGGACGGGCTCCTGACACGGCTTTAATCAGGAGTTTCCTCCATAAACTATTATTTTCAGAATAATAATAAAACAAGAATTATGACTAGCATCACTTTCCAGTGAACATTATTATATTGCTAGAGAGGAGAATAATCTTGGGTGGTGGGCATTTGGAAAAAGTGAATTTCCTGGACTTAACTCATGTAAATAGCTCTACTGCAGAGCTGTGTGTTTAGTGACAGTGCAGTCAGGGGCATTCCCACAGCTGTCACAGCACGGCCCAGCATCATTGTAGCCAGATCCTAACATGCCAACATCACCTCTTGCCATTTAGCCCCTAGTGAGAAATTGGGAGCTACCAGGCAGGTGCCCAGTGCATTCAGGGAAGATGGGCACAACATCAGGATGGGTGTGTCTGGAAGCTCCTCTTCACTGACCAGGGCTGGGCAGGGCCACCCTGGGCTGGTGAGGCTGCCCTGCAGGGCTTCTCACTATGTAGCACCAGTCACCAGCCCAGGTCACAGAAGAAGCCCCTCCCAGCACCCACTGGAGAGGGGAAGCTGAAGCCCAGGGAGACGGGCTCCATGGTGGTCCCACATGGAGCTGTTTTGCAAACCCTGGAAAAGGCGGCTCTCCCTGTCCCAACACTCTTCAGAGACAGGAAGACAGAGTTAATCTTGAATGAATGTTATTTCTACTTAGTCCTAAGCAAGAATAAGCTGCCCTCTTGGTGATCATACTTTATACGGAGTGCTATCGTTTATGAAATGCTTTCAGTATGCTTTTTAAATTATGCAGGCAAAATAACCACACTTCAGAAAATGTGGACTTCTGAAAAATAAAATCCCCATAATTCTTAATAAAACTGCCTTTTGCACTTTGATACATTACCCTCTGCTTTGTTCATGTAGAACTTTGCATTATTTTCAACACAGTGTATCTATAGTTTTTATCTTTTTTCCCTCTTTAGCTTTGTAGCAGATTTTTTTTTCAAGCATCTAAACTGTCCTCGTTATACTTCTTTTTTTTTTAAATTATACTGTAAGTTCTAGGGTACGTATGCACAACGTGCAGGTTAGTTACATATGTATACATGTGTCATGTTGGTGTGCTGCACCCAGTAACTCGTCATTTAACATTAGGTATATCTCCAAATGCTATCCCTCCCGCCTCCCCCCACCCCACAACAGGCCCTGGTGTGTGATGTTCCCCTTCCTGTGTCCATTGTTCAATTCCAACCTATGAGTGAGAACATGCGATATTTGGTTTTTTGTCCTTGCGATAGTGTGCTGAGAATGATGGTTTCCAGCTTCATCCATGTCCTTGTTATACTTCTAAACAGAGGCACAGTGTTCTCTCTGGTCTCTTAGATACTCTTTTGTTGGATGTTGAAGTTATTTCCATGGTGCAGTGGTGTGATCACAGCTCACTGAAACCTCAACCTCCCTGGCTCAGGTGATCCTCCCACCTCAACCTCCTGAGTGGTTGGGACTTTGGGACTACAGGTGTGCGCCACCACGCCCAGCTAAATTTTTGGGGGGGGCAGGGGGTCTCGCTGTGTTGCTCAGGCTGGTATTGAACTCCTGGTCTCAAGCGATCCTCCCACCTCAGCCTCTCAAAGTGTTGGGGTTACAGGCATGAGCCACTGCACCCAGTCTATTGATCTTTCTTTTTGAAAAATATTTGAATATGCCCTTTGTCCCTCTTTATATTGGAGTCTTGATGTTTTTCTTTTATGTATGTAAAAACTTTTCCCTGATTATGAATATTATATGTATACTGCAGAAAATTTTTAAAAATCACAAAATCATAATAAAAATGACCCTCAGGTTCCAGCTCAGTGGCTCATGCCTGTACTTTGAGAGGCCAAGGCAAGATTGCTTGAGCCCAGGAGTTCAAGACCAGCCTGGGCAACATAGGGAGATCCCATCTCTACAAAAAATACAAAAAAAAAAAAAAAATTAGCTGGGCATGGCGGTGCGTGCCTGTAGTCACAGCTACTCTGGAGGCTATGGTGGGAGGATCACTTGAGCCCAGGAGGTCAAGGCTGTAGTGAGTCATAATGGCACCACTGCACTCCAGCCTGGGTGACAGAGCAAGACTGTCTCAAAACAAACACCTTCAGAATCAGTTCATGGATCATTACCATTATTAACATTTAGATGCGTTTTCTTGCAGTTGTTTTCTATGCATGTATACATATCTTTTTTCTTTTAAAAGAAAATTAGGCTGGGTGCGGTGGCTCACGCCTGTAATCCCAGCACTTTGGGAAGCCGAGGTGGGCAGATCACCTGAGGTCAGGAGTTTGAGACCAGCCTGGCCAACATGGTGAAACCCCTGTCTCTACTAAAAATACAAAAATTAGCCGGGTATGGTGGCCGGTGCCTGTAATCACAGCTAGTCAGGAGCCTGAGGCGGGAGAATCGCTTGAACCTGGGAGGTGGAGGTTGCAGTGAGGCCAGATTGTGCCATTGCACTCCAGCCTGGTCAACAAACAAGAGCGAAACCCTGTCTCAGAAAAAAAAAAAATTAGATTCATATTCTACATATTATTTTTATCATTTTCCATTTAACATTTTATGATAAGCATTTTCTATGTTATAAAATATTTTCAGACATAATTGGCCACATCATTTTCTGTCTTACAGTTGTATCTTAATTTATCTATTCCCTTACTATTGAACATCAAGATTGTTTGTGCCTATAAATAATTATTTAACATAGGCCTCTGTTCCCATCTTTGATCATTTCCTCTGAGTACGTTCTGAGAAATGCAGTTAACTGGTGAAGGTTATGAACACTGAAGCTCGTTGGTGTTCCTGGGTGGAATCTGATCTGGTGGACCTGCTGTGAGCTGTTCCCATCGGCTCTGACATGACGCTGTGAGCTGTTCCTCCCTGGACGAACATGTTCCTCCCATGACGCTGTCACCACTCCCTGGCCAGCATGGGGTCGTTCCGGCCTTGATTTTTATATCTGCCATTTTGAGGCTTTAAGAATGTTATTTGTCCCTGCTTGTTGGCCGTTTGTTTTTCTCTTCATATGTGTGGTCTGTTCTTGTCTTTTGTCCACTATTCTCTTTGGTTTATTTCACACACACACATACACAGAGAGACACACAGATGCATAAATGACATACACATACACACATAAACAGATGCATAAGCACAGACACACACACACACATATATATCCCCTTGGCATGTACATTTTCTGTCTTTGTTACAGCATTTTTAATGCCCAGAGGTTTTCTTTTTCTTTTTTCTTTTCTTTTCTTTTTTTTTTTTTTTTTATGAGATGGAGTCTCCCTCTGTTGCCCAGGCTGGAGTGCAGTGGTGTGATCTCGGCTCACTGCAAGCTCCGCCTCCCGGGTTCACGCCATTCTCCTGCCTCAGCCTCCCAAGTAGCTGGGACTACAGGCACCTGCCACCACGCCCAGCTAATTTTTTGTATTTTTAGTAGAGGCGGGGTTTCACCGTGTTAGCCAGGATGGTCTCGATCTCCTGACCTTGTGATCCGCCTGCCTCGGCCTGCCAAAGTGCTGGGATTACAGGCGTGAGCCACCGTGCCCGGCCAAAAAGGACTCTTAAAACTCAACAATAAGAACATGAACGGCTGGGCACAGCCGTTCATGACACAGATGGCTGTGTCATGGGCCATAGAATAATTTAAAAAACAATAAAAGTCTCAGCTGGGCACAGTGGCTCATGCCTATAAACACAGCATTTTGGGAGGCTGAGGTGGGAAGATCACTTGAGGCCAGGAGCTCGAGACCAACATGGACAACATAGCAAGACTCCATCTCTACCAAAAAAACAAAAAAAATTAGTTGGGCATGGTAATATGCACCTGTAATCCCAGCTGCTTGGAGACTTAGGCAGGAGGATTGCTTGAGCCCAGGAGTTCAAGTCTAGTGAGCTATGATTGTGCCACTGCACTTTAGCCTGGGCGACAGAGCAAGACCTTGTCTCAAAAAAAAAATTCTATTTTTTAATAAATGGACCTGAATATTTTACCGTAGGTCTTCCCAAAGGGTCCAGGGATGCCATCACCCGATTGCATAGCTAGAAAGCGGATGGACTTTTTAGTAAGTGTGGGTTCTAGTAAGTGTTGCCGCACTGAAGAACATCTCTGGCCAGGCGCGGTGGCTCACGCCTGTAATCCCAGCACTTTGGGAGGCCAAGGTGGGTGGATCACTTGAGGTCAGGAGTTCAAGACCATTCTGGCCAACATGGTGAAACACTTCCTCTACTAAAAGTACAAAAATTAGCTGGGCATGGTGGTGGGTGCCTGTAGTCCCAGCTACTTGGGAGGCTGAGGCAGGAGAATCGCTTGAACCCAGGAGGTGGAGCTTGCAGTGAGCCGAGATCATGCCACCGCACTCCAGCCTGGGCAACAGAGCAAGACTCCGTCTCGAAAAACTAAAAAAGAAGAAGAACATCTCTGCTCTCAGCTTAGGTCCTGGGCCCCTAAAGTCAGCGAGGCAGCCATTGTCCTAGGGTGATACGATGACATGGATTTGGGACTCCCTGGAGGAGGCCACACACACACAAAATGCAACTCTACAAGGGGAGGGAACAGAAACTGAAACAGGTATCTGCAATGTGCCTGGATCCGAATTTCAAAATGTGTTGAAGAATTATGGATTTACACCATGAGAAAAGCACTGGTTGGCTTTTGTGCCTGCTTCACTTTGGCTCTGAGTTAACTTCAAACACTGCCAAACACAATGCTAGCACATGGTGACCCTCAAACTAATAATTTATAAGATGGGATCCACTTCCCCGGTGGAAGTGGCCACATGCTGCCCTCTCCCCACCCCCACGGCATACTTGGGCATGACCTGCAGCCTTTTGTTGCCATCCAGGTTCGTGTTCATTCTGCTGGTGCAGTAAATCAACCACTATGACATGGTTTTGCAAAAAAGAAAAGATTTATTCACAAGGGCACTGATCGGGGAGGTGGATCCTTTTTAAGTCCTTAAGTCTTTCGTCCCCCGAAGATAAGTAACAGCTTCCTTCTGTGTGAGCATGGCTGGAGTTCATGGCATTTCACAAGACACGTGTACAGAAGAGGGTAGCATTAGCATTTTCCAAAGGCGGAGTTTTTGGCCCTCCAGTGTCAAAAGGCCACCTTTCGGGCACTTGTGCAGGCCCAATTGAAGGGTTGGTGGTCTCAACCAGTTTGAACTGGACAGGAGCTGGCCCAAGTTCCTGAAAAACAACTGAAGAAGCCGGCACCATGGTGACTTATGCATGTTATCTATACAGTAGCCAGGGAAGGTTAAGTTTCAGCATTCAGCGGCAAGGCTTTCAGCTACTGTGGCCCTTAAGCTTCACAGAAAAAGGAGAAAAAAAAATTAAAAACCAAATGACCCAAAAGCAAGCAGAGCAGGCAGACCTGGCCAAATTAACCCTTCAGTTTCACTTTCCCTTGCTCTGTTGGGCATTTGTGGCTTGGAAAATGGCCCCCTCCTGCCGCAGACAGACCCTTTACTGCTGACACCAATCATTACATTGATCTGTCGTGGTTCAGTGCACCACTGCACTCCAGCCTGGGCAACAGAGTGAGACCCTGTCAAAAAGGAAAGGAAAGGATAGGAAAAGGGAAGAGAAGAGAAAGGGGAAGGGGCAAGGGAAGGGGAAGGGGAAGGGGAAGGGGAGGAGGGAGGGAAAGAAAGGAAGAAAATAAAAGAAAGAAAAGAGAAAAGAAAAGAAAAAGAAAAAAAGAAAAGAAAAGAAAATGCACAGTGAGTTAGATTTGGCCTGGAGGCTGTAGCTTGCCAACTCCTCCTCTGGATTCATGGATTAGAGTTTAAGGAAGAGATGGAGAAGTATGGCAGAAGAACTGGAGTGAGGCCGAACCCCGTGGTGTTCTAGAAGAAAGGCTCTTGACACAAGCATCTGGCAGTTATTTTTCAGGGGAGAACCTACAAATTATAAGGCTGTGCAGCTCCCCTTACTAGTCAAGTGATTACACTTTTGTTTTCTTTTATTTTTTTTTAGAGACAGGATCTCCCTCTGTCACCCAGGCTGGAGTGTGGTGCCGCAGTCACAGCTCACTGCAGCCTCGAACTTGTGGGCTCAAGTGATCCTGCCTCAGCCTCCTGAGTAGCTGGGACTACAGACACACTCCACCATGCCTGGGTAATTGTTTCTAGTTTTGTAGAGATGAGGTCTCCTTGTGTTGCCCAGAATGGTCTTGAACTCCTCGCCTCAAGCAATCCTCCCACCTTGGCCTCCCAAAGTGCTGGGATTATAGGTATGAACCACCATGCCCGGCCTCATGTGACTACTCCTACAGAGGCCCTCGATGGCCTGGAATGATTGATTCCAGGACCCTGTCTTCTCATCCCAAAGCACCAAACCCTACTGACAAGGAAAGAGCCCCCATTTCAGAACTTCCATGGCCACCCCCCAACCCTGGGATTGGCAACTTTGCAACCTGGGCTTCTCCGATAATCAGATTTACGGTAAGACCCCAAAGAGGTCCAGGCGCTTCTAAAACAAGTTAGACAGAGAATCCAAACCCAAATCCTCAAGATGTGAGCCCACATCACATCCCCCAAAATAGAGCATCCGTGACCACTCCAGCCTTGCTAGGGACACAGCATACTCCTTGACCCTCACCAAAGGACAATTGCTCTCACAAACACGGGGATCCACTGGTTCCCACGCACTAAGCAAACTTTTATGGCCTTAATTGACACTGTTTCCCCAGAGACCCCACTAAATGTAAGGGAGGAACCCTCTCTGTTCCCTGGGACATAAGATTGAAGGCAAACAAGTCCGCCTTAGCCTGATCACTGGTGCAATAGCTTTGCAGAATATTCCAGTGGTCTCAGTTCTTTCTGCTCTTGAATTTCTATCACTGGGACAGATGCTCCAATTGGAATAAAACCCACACTTTGTCCCTTACTGTTGGTCTTGGCAGATGAGACCCTGAGGACCTGCCCAAGCCATTAAAATCATTAATATGACCCAAAATAAATTAAAACAGGGACTTCAAGGATTGAGAGAAGGGGTGACCATCCCCTCTGTTTCTCCATTTAACAGCCCAATTTGACGTGTTCTTCAAATGGAAAAGAACAAATGACATCTCACAGTCGATGCTGAAACCTTAACCCAGGGGGCCATGGGGGCCCCAGCCCCTGCAGACTGAAAGGATGGAGCCCATTCAGTCTTTTGCTGGCCGATATTTTGCTATTTTTGCTTCCTTGCAGTGTTCCACAGTACCTAATTCAACAGGCTCTCAGCCTCTACTCCCATTCTATTTATTGTGGTAAAATATATAACAAAATTTACCGTTTTAACCTTTTTCTTTCTTTTTTTTTTTTTTTGAAACAGGGTCTCACTCTGTCACCCAGGCTGGAGTACAGTGGTGCCATTGCAGATCACTGCAGCCTCAACCTCCTGGGTTCAAGTGATCCTCCCACCTCAGCCTCCTGAGTAATTAGGATTACAGGCTTAAGCCACCATGCCCAGCCTACTTTAATCATTTTTTAATTTTAATTTTATTTATTTTTTTAAATTTTACTTTAAGTTCTGAGATTCATGTGCAGAACGTGCAGGTTTGTTACATAGGTATACACATGTCATAGTGGTTTGCCGCAGCTGTCAACCCGTCATCTAGGTTTTAAGCCCTGCATGCCTTAGGTATTTCTCCTAATGCTGCCCCTCCCGCAGCCCCCCATCCTCAGACAGGCCCCGGTGTGTGATACTCCCCTCCCTGTGTCCATGTGTTCTCATTGCTCAACTGCCACTTATAAGTGAGAACATGCAGTGTTTGGTTTTCTGTTCCTGTGTTAGTTTGCTGAAAATGATGGCTTCCAGCTTCATCCGTGTCCCTGCAAAAGACATGAGTTCATTATTTTTTATGGCTGCATAGTATTCCATGGTGTATATATGCCACATTTTCTTTATCCAGTCTATCACTGATGGGCATTTGGGTTGGTTCCAAGTCTTTGCTATTGTAAATAGTGCTGCAATAAACATATGTGTACAGGTGTCTTTACAGTAGAATGATTTATAATCCTTTGGGTATGTACCCAGTAATGGGATCACTGGGTCAAATGGTATTTCTGGTTCTAGATCCTTGAGGAATCGCCACAATGTCTTCCACAATGGCTGAACTAATTTACACTCCCACCAACAGTGTAAAAGCGTTCCTATTTCTCCACAGCCTTGCCAGCATCTGTTGTTTTCTGACTTTTTAATAATCGCCATTCTAACTGGTGTGAGATGGTATCTCATTGTGGTTTTGATTTGCATGTCTCTAATGACCAGTGATGATGAGCGTTTCTTCATATGTTTGTTGGCTACATAAATATCTTCTTTTGAGAAGTGTCTGTTCATATCCTTTGCCCACTTTTTGATGGGGTTGTTTTTTTCTTGTAAATTTGTTTAAGTTCCTTGTAGATTCTGGATATTAGACCTTTGTCAGATGGGTAGCTTGCAAAAGTTTTCTCCCATTCTGTAGGTTGCCTGTTCACTCTGATGATAGTTTCATTTGCTGTGCAGAAGCTCTTTAGTTTGATTAGATTCCATGCGTCAATTTTGGCTTTTGTTGCCATTGCTTTTGGTGTTTTAGTCATGAAGTCTTTGCCCATGCTTATGTTCTGAATGGTATTGCCTAGGTTTTCTTCTAGGGTTTTTACGGTTTTTGGGTTTTACATTTAAGTCTTTAATCTATTTTGAGTTAATTTTTGTATAAGGTATAAGGAAGGGGTCCAGTTTCTGTTTTCTGCTTGTGGCTAGCCGGTTTTCCCAGCACCATTATTAAACAGGGAATCCTTTTTCCATTTCTTGTTTTTGTCAGGTTTGTCAAAGATCAGATGGTTGTAGATATGTGGTGTTATTTCTGAGGTCCCTGTTCTGTTCCATTGGTCTATATATCTGTTTAAAAATATGGAACACTTTGGCTGGGTGCGGTGGCTCACACCTGTAATCCCAGCACTTTGGGAGGCCGAGGCGGGTGGATCATGAGGTCAGGAGATCAAGACCATGGTGAAACCCCGTCTCTACTAAAAATACAAAAAATTAGCCGGGCGTGGTGGCGGGCGCCTGTAGTCCCAGCTACTCGGGAGGCTGAGGCAGGAGAATGGCATGACCCTCGGAGGCAGAGCTTGCAGTGAGCCGAGATTGTGCTACTGCACTCCAGCCTGGGTGACAGAGCGAGACTCCGTCTCAAAATAAATAAATAAATAAATAATAAAAAATAAAAATAAAAATATGGAACGCTTCACACATTTGCGTGTCACCCTTGGGCAGAGGCCATGAGAAACTTCTATCGTTCTGATTTTAGTATATGTGCTGCCGAAGCGAGCACTATTTTAATCATTTTTAAGTGCACGGTTTAGTGACATTAAGTACATTCACTGCCATCTATTTCTAGAATCTTTTCATCACCCGAAACTGAAACTCTGCATTCCTATTAAACACTAATTCCCATACCTCCCAGCCCGTGGTAACCACGGTTCCACCTTCTGTTTCTACAGAATTTTTTTTCTTTTTTTTTTTTTTTTTTGAGATGGAGTCTTGCTCTGTCGCCCAGGCTGGAGTGCAGTGGCGTGATCTCGGCTCACTGCAACCTCTGCCTCCCGGGTTCAAACGATTCTCCTGCCTCAGCCTCCCAAGTAGCTGGGACTACAGGCACACATCACCATGCCCTGCTAATTTTTTTGTTTTGTTTTGTTTTTGTTCATTTGTTTTCTTTGAGGCAAAGTTTTGCTCGTCACCCAGGCTGGAGTGCAGTGCCGTGGCAGTGGCGCAATCTTGGTTCACCGCTACTCTGTCTCCCGGGTCCAAGTGATTCTCTTCCCTCAGCCTCCCAAGTAGCTAGGATTACAGGCACACACGACCACATACGGCTAATTTTTGTATTTTTGGTAAATTTTGTATTTTTGGTATTTTTGCCAGGCTGGTGTCAAACTCCTGACCTCAGGTGGTTCACTCACCTCCGCCTCCCAAAGTGCTGGGATTACAGGCGTGAGGCACCTCGCCCCGCCTGTCTCTACGAATTTGACTCCTCTAGATACTCCACATACATGGAACTGCACAGTATTTGTCGCTGACTTCTGGCTGTCCTCACCTGGCTATGCCTACTTTGGGGGATAATCTGGGCCTGGGACACCACATCCCCGTAGCAGGCCCCACCGGGCCGCACAAACAGAACTGCGCCGAAGTTCCCCCAGGCTGTTACCCCCACTTGTTTAGGCTCTTCAAAGATGCTACCGGCCGGGCGTGGTGGCTCATGCCTGTAATCCCAGCACTTCGGTGGGCCGAGGTGGTCAGATCACTTGAGGTCAGGAGATCGAGACCAGCCTGGCCAACATGGTGAAACCCCGTCTCTACTAAAAATACAAAAATTAGTCGGGCTTGGTGGTACGCGCTTGTAATCCCAGCTACTCTGTAGGCTAAGGCAGGAGAATCGCTTGAACCTGGGAGGCAGAGGTTGCAGTGAGCCAAGATTGCGCCACTGCACTCCAGCCTGGGCGATAAAGTGGATACTCTGTTTCAAAAGAAAAAAAAAAGGTGGCACCGGCCCGGTGCGGTGGCTCACACCTGTAATCTCAGCACTTTCGGAGGCTGAGATGGAAGGATGTCTTGGGCCCGGGGGATGGAGGCTGCAGTGAGCGGTTATTGAGTGACTGCGTCCAGCCTGGGCCTCAGAGTGAGGCCGTGCCTCAAAAAGAAGAAAAAAAAAAAAAAAAAAAGCAGCAGCTACCCATCCAGCCGCCAGATGGCAGCACGATTCCATGGCCCCCACTAGCCGCTGGCTGCCTGGTGCCGGATGCAGTCCGAAAGGCGGTTCTGAGCTCCAAGGGCCGGCGCCGCGCGTGCCTGCGGTCCCAGCTGCTCGGGAGGCCCAGGCAGGAGAATCGCGTGACCGGGAGTTCTGCGCTGCAGTGCGCTGTGCCGATCCAGGTCCTCACTGAAGCCGGCATCAGTATGGTGGCCTCTGCCACCAGGCCGCCTAGGGAGGGGCGAGGCAGCCCCAGTTGGAAACGGAGCGCGTCAGTAGTGGCATCGCGCCTGGGAATAGCCTCTGCGCTCCAGCCGGGTCGACCTGCCGAGACTCCGCCTCTAAAACCAGCAAATACCGGGAGGCTGAGGGACGAGGACCGCTGGAGCCCGGGAGGCGGAGGTTGCAGTGAGTAGCTGGGATTACAGGCAGGCGCCACCACGCCCGGGTAATTTTTGTGTTATTAGTAGAGACGGGGTTCCACCATGTTGACCAGGCAGGTCTTGAACTCCTGACCTCAAGTGATCCACCCTCCTTGGCCTCCCAAAGTGCTGGGATTACAGGCGTGAGCCATTGCGCCTGGCCAAATAAGTAATTTAAGCAATTTTTTTTGTTTCAGAAAAAAAATTAACTCATAAAGGAGCCCCCCCGACACACACACACACACACACACACACACACACACACACACACACACGGGAAGCAGCAGTGTAATTGGAATGCCCACTGCTGAGGCTCTCGAATGAGTGTCATGTGTGCACATTTTGCCCCTCACAATGCACGTCAGACTATTAATAGGAAGCAGCCGCTGGAATACCTCTGGTGGGGTGTGTGCAGCAGGCAGCTTTGGAATTACGGTATCCCCAATGTGACAGCAGGACAATGGCTTCTTCACTGGCACTGTCCAACCACAGTGCTGTGGTTATGTCTCGAGGTCCATTATTGGGCGAAGGTCACTGCAGACTCAGGGAGGCCCAGGAGCTCACCCCAACCAGCTTCTTTACCAGGTGAGTGACCTCAGCCCTGCAGCTGGACTCATGGAGACAATGACCTCACCCGAAGATAGATGACCCCTGTCCACCGTCCACACAACAACTGAACTGGCCCCAGGTTGACTCCTCTACACCCTGCTTCCTACTGTACCCCTGTCAAAGGCCTTCCTCCCACCCTTCCCACTCCTCTTCCTCCCTGGCAGCCCAACCACCACAAATTCACTAACTTGTTTTCAACTCTTACAGGCTGCCCTCCTAACCCTAGCCCTGACCTCTGCCCTCCTAACCCCAGCCCTGACCCCACCGCCCTCTCAGGAGGCTTTACCAATCCTCTGCATGTTAGCCCCACCCAAGGAACAGGCCTATTTTCAAGCATACTAACTGTTGGGTGTGTCGCTTACCTATGCATATGACAGCCAATCCAACCTACCTAAATGACAGCACAGCTCCATCCATGGATGTGGCTGATCACATCTCCAAACCATCTTCCCACTGGGGACAAATTCTTGGATTTTTTAGAGACAGGTTCTCACTCTGTCACCCAGGCTGGAGTACAGTGGTGAGCCTCAGACTCCTGGGCTCAAGGGATCCTCCCACCTCAACCTCTGGAGTAGCTGGGACTACAGGTGCACACCACCACCGTGCCTGGCTAAATTTTTAATTTTTTTTTTTTTTTTTTTTTTTTTAGAGATGGGGGTTGCTATGTTTTCCAGGCTGGTTTTGAACTCCTATCCTCAAGTGATCCTCCCACCTCAGCCTCCCAAAGCACTGGGATTATAGATGTGAGCCACCAATCTTAGCCCAAATTTTTAACTAAACTCAATTAAACAAATGAACAAACAGAAAAGACTCTCAAACCACACACTGTCGTCTCTCACCCAACAGAGACAAGACGTCTATAAACCACCAATCTGTTTAAAGAGACCACCAAATGTTCAGACCATGAAACTGAAAGAATCAAAATAAAGTTGTCACTATGCCACCAACGGACAAAAGCCAGGAGCACACAACCAGGGGTCATACTCACTGAAGGTCCCCCACCCTGATGGCCAGTCAGGGGCGGCTTGCGGGTCTCAGAGAGGGCTCACCACCTGCTTGCAGTCATTGGGGATGGGAAGGTAAGTCCAACCCATGCCAGGTCAAGGCACAAAGACTGTGGGGGGAATGCACCAGACACATAAAGAGATGACTTTATTCAGGCTACTGCTATGGGAAGAAAACTCACTAATGAGGAAGGAGGGGCCTGGTAAATAAGAGACTCATGTGGAAGGCTGGAGGCGGGGTCTTAGAATGGACAAGGGCAAAGTGCTCCTTCTGGTCTCACTATTTCTCAGAACGCAAAGGAAGAGGCAATTTCTCAGTGAGCACCATTTCCCTGGAACCCAGGGCTGAGATGAATTTCAGTACTGCCAGCGGCCTCCGCGTTCTCCTGTGTGTGTAGGAGTTTGTGTGTTCCAGTGTGCGTGTTCCCACTGTGTCTTGGTGTTTCTGTGTGCCTGGTGGCATGTCTGTGTGTGTATCTGCAGGGTGAAAGACCACAGATACTATCCGAATTCCCGTGCTCAAGTGCGCCTCCTGCCTTGGCTTTCCTGAGTGTGGGGATGACAGGCGTGAGCCACCACGCTGGGCCTCATGATCTGTTTCTAGTGCAGTGAGTGCATCTTAGGGTGGGTGCCCGCCTCCATGCTTAGTAGGGCATGGATGCTGTGTATGCCATCTGTCGGTAGGATGGTTACACTTCTGTGTGTTGGCTGATGTGTGTGTCTCAGTATTTAGTCGGCTCTGGTGGCACATGTGTGTGTTGCAGGTTGTATAAGTTGCTGTTTCTCTGTGTCTGGTGGAAGGTGTCTATGGTTGCAGAGTGAGGGTCTCTTGGTGTTTCTGTGTGTCAGAGGGTGTGTGTGTGTGTGTGTGTGTGTGTTTTGCAGGATGAGGTGTGTTCTGTGAGTGTGATGTGGGGGGTGCAGGGTGCATATCTGTGTCTACATTTCTTTTTTTTCTTCTTCTTCTTTTTTTTGAGACAGAGTCTCGCTCTGTCGCCCAGGCTGGAGCGCAGTGATGCGATCTCCACTCACTGCAAACACTGCCTCCCAGGTTTAAGCAATTCTCCCAGCTCAGCCTCCCAAGTAGCTGAGATTACAGGCGCATGCCACCACGCCCGGCTAATTTTTTGTATTTTTAGTAGAGATGCGGTCTCACCATGTTGGCCAGGCTGGTCTTAAACTCCTGATCTCAAGTGATCTGCCTGCCTCGGCCTCCCAAAGTGCTGGGATTAACAGGCGTGAGTCACTGCACCCAGCCTGTCTGCATTTCTGTCTGGTGGTGAGCTATGTGCTGCAGGTAGTGTGTTTAATGTGTTTCTCTCATGTTTCCGTGTATCTGGTGGAAGATGTGTGTCTGCAGGATGAGTGTCTCTTTTGTCGGTGTATCATGGATTGTGTGTTTGTGTGTGTTGCAGGGAATGTGTTTGTCTCAGTATCTGAGTGTGTCGGGTCGTGTGCAGGTGTGTGTTTTTTTGTGTGTTTGTTTGTTTGAAACAGAGTCTCACTCTGTCGCCAGGCTGGAGTGCAGTGGTGTGATCTCAGCTCACCTGCAACCTCCGCCTCCCGGGTTCAATCGATTCTTCTGCCTCAGCCTCCTGAGTGGCTGGGATTACAGGCGTCTGCCACCACACCCAGCTAATTTTTTGTATTTTTAGTGGAGACAGGGTTTCACCATGTTGGCCAGGCTAGTCTTGAACTCCTGATCTCAAGTGAACCGCCTGCCTCGTCCTCCCAAAGTGCTAGAATTACAGGCGTGAGCCACCGTACCCGGCCGCACGTGTATTTTGTATGATATATATCTGCTTCTGACTTTGGTGAAGTGTGTGTGTCGCAGGGTTGTGTCTATCTTGTGGTTTCTATGTGGCCTATGGTGTGTGTGCTGCAATGAGTCTCTGTCTTGGTGTTTCTGTGTCTGGTGATACATGTTGTATGTTGCAGAGTGAGTCTTTTTTTCCATTTTTATGTGCGTGGTGTGGGTTGAGTGTCCTCCATAGTAGTGGGCTGGCTGTGTGTGTGTCACAGCGCGTCTGTCTCTGTGAGCGGTGGGTTGTGTGTGTGTGTTGGAGAGTGAGTGTTTCTGTCTGATGGAGTGTCGTGTGTGTGTGTGTGTTGGCAGGTGAGTGGCTGTGTTCCTCTGGGCCCAGTGCTGTGTGGGCGTCTGTTGCAGTGTGTGTGCCGTCTCTGTGTTTCTGAGATTCTGCTGGCTTTGTGTGTGCATGTCTGCGTTTCGGGCTGTGTGTCTGTGTTGGTGTTTCTGAGTCTAGAGGAGCGTGCATGCGGCGTAGGGTTAGTGTCTGCAGGCCTCTGTGTGCTGTGGCCTGCGTCTGCTTGTAACCACCAGGCTGGGCCTGGTCCCCACATTCCTCCCACTCCATTGTGCTCTGTGCTACAAAAAATATTTGCGTTTTCCACCACTCATAATTTTTCCTCCTCAATCGCTACCAGATGTGGGTCCTGTGGTCCCCATCCCCATGGCAACGGAGGTTCCAGCAGCCGCGGTTCCCTTTTGTGGCGCCTGCCCTGGGAGCTGGCACTGCTGTGAGCCCCGAGGGGGTGGGGAGAAGCGGGTGGTGGGAGGCAGGAGGCTGGAGGGGTCCCAGCAGCTCCCTTCCCAGCAGCCACTGGAACCCTCCTGGGGGGAAGGGAAGGCTGGTGGTAGGTTGGGGGGGGTCCCCTGTTTTGTGAGGCACCCACAGGTAGAGTCTTCGACACCTAGGGGGCTTCCCAGAGAAGGGCAAGGAGAGGTCCCCAGAAAGGCCTGGTCACTGGGACATCCCTGTTCTCTCCAAATCGTGCTGGTCCAGGCTGGGGGAGGAGAAATAGCAAGAGCTGAGGGCTTGGGGGTTCAGGGAACAGCAGTGTGGCATCCTCATCGTTCTGGGGGGTGGGCACCGCCTAGACAAGAATGTGGTCTGAGCCCCTGCACTGCCCACCCCTCACCCACACGCAGGCACTGCCCTGCCCTCGCGGAGCCCGGCTGGGCATCTGCCCTCTTGGCCTTAACCCCAGCAGCCCGCATGGCGCAGTGCCCAAACAGAGCAGAGGCTTTCCAGCCACAGGGCCATGGCTGGGAGGGTGCCCAGCTGGCTCCAGGGAAGCAGTATGGCCCAGAGGCAGGGATCCCACATTCCACGTGCTGCCTGTTTGTGTCCTGCCAGCTGCTCTGGACGGCCGACCCAGGGCAGGACGCAGTCTCCACTCAGATGGCTGGGCCTTCTGAGATGGGTGACCCCTCTAAGATGGGTGACCAAAGTTGACCTCCGTGGGGCATCTGGTCAGAGGATGAGAGTGTGCCCAGGACGAGAGCCCCAAGTTGCCAGCGTGAGACCAATGAGTGCTGTGTGGCGGCTGCAGGGTGATCAGAAGATCCTGGCAGCAGGGGAAGACTTTGAGCTGGGCATCAAAAGATGAGATGCAGGAGAACAAGAAGAGGCCTGCCGGGCAGAGGCAGGAGGTGGGAGGAGAACAGACAGGCAGGAGCTGGGGGAACTTAGTGTGGGGACAGCAGGGGCCATGGAAGGTGAGGGTCTGCGGCTTAGGAGGGTCACTTAGGAGGCCTGCCCGGGAGGGTAGGCGGGTCAGGAGCAGCGAGGCCGTAGGGCACAGATGGTCACAGATAGCCAGGCAGCCGGGTCTGGCTTGGGGGCAGGGGATCTGCCCCGGGCGCTCCCTCCGTCTCCCTCAACCTTCCGCAGTAGCAGGCGGGGCTGGCAGGCAGGAGAGTTTCCGGCTGAGGACAAGGAACCCGTTGAGGCAGACAGCAGGGCTCTGTGCAGCAGGAGACCGGCTTGTTTGTGCTGGAGGAGGCCCGGCTGGAGTAAGCGCCCGCGGCCCCCTGGCCGCAGCCTCTGCACCCCCCGCAAGCTGCCACCAACAGCTCTGAGGCCCAAGTTTAACAGCAGCGGCCAGGGGAAAAGGCCGGGATCCGAGGCAGGCCCATCGCCTGTCCCTTTCAGTCAGGGACTCTGCCTGATCTGCCCCCACCCAACCTTCCTCCCCGTGACCAGTCCAGAATGGGGCAGGCCAGATCGGGGCCGCATAAACTTGATAAACAAACGAAGCCTGTGGGTTGACACAGCCCACTTCCACCATGGTCCCGGGAGACCCACGCCTGGGCTCCAGGGCTCCCCGCTGAGATAAGGGGTGGGGGAGAGTGCAGGACAGGTCGTCACATAAAGTTACTTCTGGGGGGCATCTTTGGCCGAAGCCTGCAAACAGGAAGTGATCAGAGCATGAGGGGAAAGGCATTTTATTAAGAAAGCTTTGGCCAAGCCCCCGCCGGGAGGAGCCCATCCTGGGGCACCGGCCGAGGGGGGAGCAGCCCTGCTGGGGGCCTATAAATACATCTCCTCAGGCCACTAGAGTCGCCCCTGGAGGTCCCGCGGCGTGTGGGGCAGTGGGAGGCCATCAAAACCAGCTGACAGCTGAGGGGCCTGGGCCCGGGGCGCCAGGGAAGGGAAGGGGTGGGACGGACTAAGCCCCTGAGGAGCGGAGACCAGCCCTCCTCCCCAGGCTGGGGTCAACCAGATGCCCGGGAGCCTGGCCAGTGGAAGTAGCCCCGGGCTCTATTGGGACGGCCAAGGGAGGGAGCCTCCAGCCAGAGGCACCAGGCCCTAGCGGGGGAGAGGCAGCCCGGGCAGAAGTGCCTCTGGCTGCAACCAATGAGAAGGTAGCCCTAACCAAGTCCACTCCTGGCCAGTAAGAGGCGGTCTTTAAGCGGAACCCTCCCATCTTTGGCCAATGAGACGCTGTCTGGTCGGAGCGCTCCATAACTCGGCCAATGGGGAGGGAGTCGCCCGCTAAGCGCCTGTCAGGCCTCGACCAACGGGATGGGCCCTTCCCGCCAGAGCACACTGCTCCAATCCAGGAGCGGCTGCAGGACCTGAGCCAATGAGACGCAACCTCCGCTAGCCGCGCGGTGCCCGGCCAATAGGAGGCCGCCCGTGCCCGGTAGCGTGGGAGGTGTGGGGTGGCGGGCGGCGCTGCGAAGCTGAGGGAGCTGCGCGCGGACGAGCCACAGCCTGCTACAGGGTGGGTGCGCCCGCCCTGCCCAGCTCGCCCGCCGCCTCCCGGCTCTTCTTGCGCGGCGGCTTCTGGATGGGGGTCTTCTTCCGGGGGGTCTCAGGCGCGGGCAAGTCGGTCGCCGCCTTCTCAGGCCCCGGGGTTTCGGTCGCTGGGGGCGCGCGGGCGGGCGAGGCTGGCGGCACGGAGCGCTTGGCTTTCTGTGGGGGCGCCGGCTTTTCCCTGGGGCCCTGCGCGCCCAGGGCCACCTCGGCGCGGCCCAGGCTGCGAGTCTTGCCGCGCAGCTCAGCGGCCAACATGGAGGCAGCCTCGGGCGCGCTTCGCGGGGGACCGCCGGCGTCCGTGGGCTCCAAGAGGCCGGGGCCGCGGCCCCGCGCTCGGGCCCTGGGCGGCGAGGGCGCAGCGAGGGCTGTCGCCTCCTCGGGCAGCCCGGGGGGCCGCGGCGTTGGGTCGCGGGTCCGGGGGCTGCCGTGTTCGACCGTATGCGCCGATTTGTCGCTGGGCGTCCGTTTCCTCTTGCTGGGGCTGGGCGCGGCCTCGGAGCCTGGCGGCGGTGGTGAGGGCGCACGGCCAGCTGCAGCGGCGCTGTGCTTGCCGTGGATCCAGGACACCTTAGGCTTGGTGGCGGGGTCAGGTGGCGGCGGTTTCCTGCGCTCGGGCGATGGCGACAGCGACAGGCCCCCAATCTCGCCCCGGGCCCGGGCCGGCCGGGCCTCGCGTCGGGCCACGCGCGCGTACAGAGCCCCTCCGGGCCCCTCCACGCTGGACGCCGACCGCTCGCTGTCGGAGGACGCGGGGAGGGGTATCGCCTCCTCGGCGGAGGCTGGCGTGGTCAAGGGCACAGGGGACGGCGCCGGCGCCTCGGCAGGGACAGTGGGGACTTCGGGGTCCCGGCTCTCCGCTGGTGCCTCTGGCAAGGGAAGAGCAGGGCGGTCACAGCCTTCAGGAATACCTTTAGGGGCTCCAACCTCCAGGCGCAAACCTTCACCTTTCCTCCTCTACCCACGCCCTTGGCACTGTGTCACCCTGGCATCTAGACGTGCCTGGCACAGAGCACCAACCACACATGTGTACTTCAGAGCCTCAGGCTATGCGGCTGACTCTGAACTCAGGCTGTGCAAGGAGTGATGGGCGCATTCCCGCGACTGAAGCCCAACCTTGGCCTGGCCTGGCAGCCCTGCCCCAACACCCCTCCAGCCTTGGGCGCCTGCATCATCGAATTTGAGGCTGGAACATCCCCACAGGGGTTCCATTATCCTTCTTTAAGAGAGAAGGCTTCTAGCTGGGCGTGGTGGCTCACGCCTGTAATCCCAGCACTTTGGGAGGCTGCGGTCACCTGAGGTCAGGAGTTTGAGACCAGCCTGGCCAATATGGTGAAACCCTGTCTCTACTAAAAATACAAAAATTAGCTGGGCGTGGTCGTGGGCGCCTGTAATCCCAGCTACTCGGGAGGCTGAGGCAGGAGAATTGCTTGAACCCAGGAGGCAGAGGTTGCAGTGACTGGAGATCATGCCACTGCACTCCAGCCTGGGTGACAGAGGCAGACTCCGTCTCAAAAAAAAAAAAAGAGCGATAAGGCTTCTGAGGCTCTGAGTTGGTCACCTGCCCGTGGCATCTGGGGGCACAGTCAAGGGAGGAGACAGGGCAGAATCCCAGACCATCAGGCTCCTTTCTGCTATCTGTGGATCAAAGGCTGTGTGTGGATCCAACTCCCATACTCTGTGGATCCCTTCCTCCTGTCTCCTCTGCCACCCCCTACCTAAGCCCAGAAACTTCTCTCTGCCTACTTTCCCCCAGGAGCAACCCTGGGCTGTGGCCTACCCATCTCCCCACACCTGTCTCCGGTACTGAGCAGCAGAGTCCAGCTCTATGGCCTCAGCTCTGTGGGCAACCCTCAGGTACCAGCATGGCCAAGGCCTTCCTCTCCATGCTGCCTGCCCTTCTCCTGTGTCCCACCCAGAACACAGCTTTTCCATGGGAACATTTCACTGGGCTGGAGTGATGCCCAGGTAGGGCCTTACTTACCCTCATGGGGTACACAGTACACAGGGCCTTCATCAGTGGTGTCAAACGAGGAGAAGGAGGCCCGAGAGGACCAGGATGGTGAGGGCTGCTCCAGCCCTGAGGGTGGCTCCAGGAAGCTGCAGTTGAGTGTGTTATCCAGGTCGTGGTGGGCCACTGGGGAAGGATGAGGCAGAGCTGCCAGGGGTCCACTCTGCCCCAGCCGGTGCCCTCATTAGCCCCTGCTGTGACAAATGTTGATGGGGTGACCAAGACCAGCCCTATTCTTGGACTGCAGGGGGCACAGGCAACTCAACAGGTACAGTGACACTGGGCCAGGACTGGAGAATGGGTAGAGGTGAACCCAGAAAAGAAACATGGGCACAACATGTGTTAAGGTGCAAGGCAAGTGTGTGCATCCAGGGAGCTGGAAAAGGTTGGGCTGACGTGTTGAGAAAAGGCCAGAAAGGTGGGAGACGGGGCTGAAGAAGACACCTGGCTGGGACAGGCCACCAAGGCCTCCAAGCTCTGTTTTAGGCCCTGCCTTGTGCGAATAAGGAAGCCTTGGAGCACTTCTGAGCCCAAATGCGCAGTGGCAGGGCTGCCCTTTGGCTCAGCCCATCTCAGCAAGCTGCACCCTAGGCCTGGCCTCCAGAGATGCAGACCCCACAACAGGGGGCCCCAGAAGCTGGCTAGCCTGGCCTCCATTCCACAGAGGGATGTGGGGTCCACTCCCCACACCTATGTCCCCAGATGCCATGCTGCTAGGTGGGCCAAGGGGTTTTCTCTCTCTTGCTTGCTTGCTTTTTCTTTTCTTTCGACAGTTTTGGGGTTTCTCCTCCCTCCCTCCCTCCCTCCCTCCCTTCCTTCTCTTTCTTCTTTTCTCTTCTCTTCTCTTCTCCTCTCCTCTCCTCTCTTCTCTTCTCTTTTTTCTTGACAGTTTTGCTCTTGTTGCCCAGGCTGGAGTGCAATGGTGCGATCTCGGCTCACTGCAACCTCTGCCTCCCTGCAACCTCTGCCTCCCAGGTTCAAGTGATTCTCTTGCCTCAGCCTCCAGAGTAGCTGGGATTATAGGCATGCGCCACCACACCCGGCTACTTTCGTATTTTTAGTAGAGACCGGGTTTCTCCATGTTGGTCAGGCTGGTCTTGAACTCCAGGCCTCAGGTGATCCACCTGCCTCGGCCTCCCAAAGTGCTGAGATTACAGGCATGAGCCACCATGCCCGGCTTGGCTAAGGGGTTTTCTCAGCTGTTTCCTTCATCTCCCAAGAGTCTGAGCCCCCTTCCCCTCCATCTTTAGAAATAAGTGGGAAAGAGAGGAAGAGAGGGTCCACCCAGGTGCAAGTCAGCATGGAGAGAAGCGGCACACCCCACCCCCCTATCCTGTTGGTGGGTGGGGACCAGCCTGCCCACTTTCCAGGAGGATCTCTGGGTACTGCTGGGGATGTAGGCAGGAGGGTGGGTCCTCTCCGTGGGGCAGGGCACTCCCGTGGCCACGCATTCCCCCAGCAGCTCTGGCCGGGATATACAGCATTCTCCTACAGACTGGGGGAGCCTGCGGGACCCAGATGTCCACACACCCCTGATGCGATCACTCTCAGGGCCAACGTTTCTGACATATGCCCACATCAGCCGGCGCACCTAGGACTCCTGCCTTCCTACCTTGCCTCGCCCTCAGCAGCTGCCACACCTCTTACCTTCCCTCTGGTCGCACCTCCTCGCGCCCACGCACATCAACACTCAAGGTCCCCCATTTCCTCACTGAGATCTGGACCCCCTCACACCCATTTCCCAGCAGCTTCCTGCGTCGAGAGGTGTTTCTCCCAGATACCCCGCGCTGTCATCCTTACCTACGACTTTGGGTAGTTTCTGCCTCCGGAGCGGGATCCGGGGCAGCTTCATGCTGATGCGACTGAAGCGCCCGCATAGTCGGTGCGGCGCCTTCTTCCTCCCAAGCGAAAGCTCCCTGCGGGGGCGGGGTCTGAGCGGAGGGGCGGGGCCGGGGCGGGGCCCAGGGGCGATTAGATCTCGGCCGGAGCCAAGCACAGAAGGGGCGGGGCCACGTCCGGGGCAGGGGCGCGGAAGGGTTGGATCTGGGTCCGGTGGCACCCAGAGGGTGCGGCCTGAACCCAGGCGAAAGCGGGGCAGTATCTGGGCTCACCGGCGCGTAGGGTCCTTGCCGCGGCAAGCGCAGCAGCAGCCGAGCAGCGAGAGCAGCAGGCAGACGAGCAGGACGAGCAGCGCGCCCGCGCCCATCACGCCCTTGCGCTGGTTGGTTTCTGTAGGGGGTTATGGGGTCAGCGCGGTTTCTGGCACCCCCTGCATTCCTTAACGGGACGCCCCTCATCCACTTACCTAGGTGGCAGGCACCAGTGACCGGGTCGCACGTGTCCTCGTGGCAGCTGCAGGCCTGAGCACAGTCCGCGCCGTGGAGTCCGGGCGGGCACGTCACGTTACAGCTGCCGGGACATAGGGTCAAGGCATGCCACAGCCGCCCCCCTAGGATGCCCCCTACCCTCACCCCTCACCCGCGGCCAGGGCCCAGGGTCCAGGGTCCCAGAACCGGGCTCTCTCTCGCTGCATTCGTCGTCTAGGGATTGAAGCCCCGCCCCGCCCGTGGCACATATTGGGTAGTGGATGTTTTGGAAACGAATGTTGCACAACACTAGTGGGGGGGCCTGGGGGATAGGACCCGTGGTGGCCGCGCCGCAGCGCCCACTGCTGGGGCTGACTCGGCTAGGTGGGAAGAGGGGCTGCTGAACCAGACCCTTGGCTGTAAGTGGAGGTCCCTGGTCCTTCTGTACCAACTCGGGGTCACCTTAAGAGCCCACTGACACAGGCTGGACTGGTCACCAGATCCTGCGCTGAACGTGAGCTCCCCGACATCCAGGCAGGAAACTGCCCCCAAAGAGCCTACTGTCACTCCCTAGCTGGGGTAAGGGACCAAGGCTGAGGTGATAACCCAGCTCAGGGTGGAGAGGCCACCTCGTCGGCTGGACCCCCCTCTGTGGCAGGTACAAGCCCCCAACCCCCTCCCGGTCCCGGGGCACTCACTGGGGCCCGTGGACGCCAGGGCTGCACAGGCAGCGCCCCGACTGGAAGTCGCAGTGTCCGCTGCCGCAGTCGGCGCACACGAAGGCGCAGTCCTCGCCGTAAGTGCCATTGCTACACTTGGTCTCGCACCTTGGAAAGAGGGGAGGAGGCGTCAGCAGAAATGGAGGCAAACGGACCACAGCGCCCTCGACATTGGGGCCTTTGTTAGGGAGGCAGGGCGGGGGACTGCGTGTCTGGGCCGACGCAGGCAGGGCTGCTCACCGGTCGCCGATCCAGCCCGCGTTGCAGCGCGTACACTTGCCGGTGACATGGTTACAGGCATGCCCGTCGCGGCATGGCGGACAGCGGTGGCTGCAGCCCTCGCCATAGAAACCGGTGGCGCAAGGCTGGTCGCACTTGGTTCCGTTCCAGCCGGGCTCGCACGTCAAGCAGCGGCCCTCGGCCACCGTGCACGGCTGCTGGCCCTTGCACTGGCCACACCTGGGGGAGGGGTCGGAGGCTAGGGAAGGCTGGGACCCGCCTCACCCCTGTCCCCATCGGCGGCCCGCCCTTCCACCTCCTCCCTCCCTGGCCGAGAGACCGCGCTTACCGGCGGCGACAGCCCAAGCCGTAGAAGCCGGCGGGGCACGGCTCGCGACAGTACTTGCCGCGGTAGCCCGGCTCGCAGGCACACGTGCCGTCCACAGGGTGGCAGCGGCCGCGGAAGCACTGGCAGTAGCGATCGCAGCGCGCGCCGAACGTACGCTCGCGGCACTGACAGCGGCCGCTCTGCTGCTCGCAGGGAGACGAGTTGCAGGCGCACTGGTTGTTGCAGCTGCGGCCCCACCAGCCTGCGTGGCACAGGCAGGCGCCGGTCTGTGGGTCGCAGCGCGACGTGGCGCTGCAGTAGCACGCGCTGGCGCACTGCGCGCCCCACCAGCCGGGCTCACAGCGGCACGCGCCGCTCCGCGGGTGGCACGTGCCGTGCTGGCACTGGCACGCATGCTCGCAGCGCGCGCCCCAGCGCCGCGCGTGACAAGTACACTGGCCTGTCACGTCCTCGCACTGCCCGTGTGGGTGGCAGCTACACAGCTCCTTGCAGTCGGGGCCCCAGAACTGGCGCGGGCACTCTGCAGGGGAGGAGCGGAGGGGGTGGAAGGCCCCGGTGCTTGAGTAGGTGCCCCCAGCCAGCCGGAACCTGCCCGCGTCCCGCACTCCAGCCGCCACCTCTGGGGACCCGCCCCGAAGGCGGATCCGACCCCGCCCCACCTTGGACCCCGCCCCATCTCTCCAGGATTCCGCCCCACCGACCAATACCGGCCCGACCCCACGCTCACTGGTGTCGCAGTTGGCACCGAAGTAGCCGTGGCGGCAGCGGCACTCGCCAGGCCTCACGCACACCTCGTTCTCTGAGCACGTGGAGTTGCCTTCGCACACCGCTGTGGACGAGACAGGCCAGAGCTGCTGCGCGTCCTAGCCCCGCCCCCTCCCCCGCCCCAGGTCCCCGGGATGACCCACTCACCAATCCCACACTCGTCCCCTTGCTGCCTCCAGCCAGCGCAGCACGTGGGCACCTGGGAGCTGCGAGCAGAGGGAGGACATCTAAGCCCGATGCCCCTCCCCCAGCCCCCATCTGCTCCGGGCTCCTCCGCAGCCTCCGCACAGCCTCCCTGCCTCTGCAGTTGCGCTCCTGTCCTAGGGGGGTGGTTAATGAGGTCCTGCCAGGCAGTCGTCTGGCGGTGGAGGATTGCCACAAACAGACCTCACCGCCAAGAACTTTCCAGCCCAGAACCACCCACCCCATCTCACCTAACTCCTTTGTGTCCTCCTCCCACAGCCATTAGGCCTGAGAAAAGTGGCCTTGGAGTCCCAGGAAGGACAGCAGTGAGGCAGCAGCCAGGGAGAAGACCATGGGCCTCAGGACCTGCCCAAATGTGAGGGTCTAGGGCATCCCTCCAAGTGGAGGGCCCAGCCTAATGGGTGTCATGGATCCAGATGTCATGTGATGTGACATGATGAGGACGGCACTAGGACTAGCTGGGCCACAGGGACACACCTAGATGCCCAGTTGGGGTTGAGCTCCAGTGGGGAGGGGCAGCCTCTGGACAGGGGGACGGGGGGTGGCATGTAGACACAGTGAGGTGACCACTTGGCAGAGGGGCTTCTGGAGGGAGGTGGGGTGAGGCCCACCCAGCCACTAGGGAAGGAGCAGGCACATGGGGAGTCCTCCACGTGCAGGAGGAAAGTCAAACTGTGGCAAAAGGGCTCAGGGACCAGGGTGGAGGAAGGAGCTATTAGAGCATCTGTTTATGCCTTTGTTGTTGGTTTTGAAACAGTCTCGCTCTGTTGCCCAGGCTGGAGTGCAGTGGCACGATCTCGGCTCACTGCAACTTCCACCTCCCAGGTTCAAGCAATTCTCCTGCCTCAAACCTCTCAAGTAGCTGGAATTACAGGCACGTGCCACCACACATGGCTAATTTTTGTATTTTTACTAGAGACAGGGTTTCGCCATGTTGGCCAGGCTGGTCTTGAACTCTGACCTCAGGTGATCCGCCCGCCTCGGCCTCCCAAAGTGCTGGGATTACAGGCATGAGCCAGCGTGCCCGGCCTGTTTATGCTGATTGTCTTCCACTTGTTCCATTTGATTTGGCTTTACAGAGTACACAATGCTACCGCAGCACTTCAGGAGAGCACAACCTCTAAAACCCTGGGTGGATGGGGTGTGTGAGCACAAAGGTTTGGAGGCCCTGCCTGAGTGAAGCCATGATGGCTAGAGAGGGTTCGTAGGGGATGAGCTGGGGTTAGCCCACATTCAGGGGCAGAGGAGGCTGAGAAGGAAGAGCCACCAAGGCTGCGGGATCCTAGGTTCCCAGCCGACCCAGAACTTCGCCTCGATCCTAAAGGCATGTAACAGCCATTCGCACTTTAGAGAAAAGGAGCACGCTTCTTCACAAGCAGGCTTGGATTCAGTATCTGAATCTAGAACCGGAAGGTGGTGGGGGGCGGAGTTTGGGAGGAAGCCTGAAGACCCTAGCGGGATGGGATAGACTGGCCCTACACCATGCATTTCAGGATAGTACATGCCTGGCATGCTCCTGCCCAGGCTTCCGAGGATGCCCCAGCCATTCCCCAGCTAGACAGAATACCACCCCTTGTACAGAGCACCTAGGCCTCGAGGCCCCTCCTCCTGAACAAGGCTTGGTTCTCCTTCAGGCCAAAGATGGGACCTGGCGAACAGGACCATAAAATCTCAAACTTTGGGGAATTGGTCCAGTGTATTTTCCACAATAAAACTGGAAACCAGAGACAGGAATACAAAGGCCTGGCTTTTCCTGGCCCCTGCCCCCACTGTCTCCACCCACCCAGCCCTGACCCAGGGGGCACCAAGGTGCCCATCTGCAGGGAGACCCAGGTCTGCTGGCCATCACCCACCCACTTGTGTCTGCTTCTGAACCATGTTCACTGGATGGAGAGCCTCTGCAGGTGTCCCTCCTGTGGGGAGCTTTGCCAGGTGGCCTGCTGGAATTGCCCCGGAAGCACTAACCCCCTTCTGCCCTGGACATAAGGCTCTGTGGCTAGGACCCTCGTTTTAGGGCCACACTCAGCTGGGTTTGATGTCTGGGTTTGCCACTTGCTGTGTGACCTCAGGCATGCAGCTTAAGCTCTTTGAGCTTCAGGCTCCTTAGCTATATAGTAGGGCTCTACTGTAGAAAGATTAAGAGAGCCAAGATGTTTTTTTGCCGGGCGTGCTGGCATGTACCTATAATCCCAGCTACTCAGGAAGCTGAGGCAAGAGGATTGCTTGAGCCCAAGGAGTTTGAGGCTGCAGTGAGCTGTGATGGCACCACTGCTCTCCAGCCTGGGCAACAGAGTGAAACCCTGTCTCAAAAAGAGAGATAGAGATAGGAGAGAGAGAGAGACAGAGAAAGACGACAGAGAGAAAGAGAGCGCGCGCCAAGACCTATGAAGTGGTTTGGCACATACTAAGCACAAAGGATCCTGAGCACAGGCTGCAGTGCCTCTGAGTGCACTCGGTCATCTCTGGTTTAGCGGGCACCCAGGCCTAACCCCAGCAGAGCTAATGCCCACCAGCAGGACAGAGTCCATTTGGGTTCACTGAGAACAAGATGCTTTCCTTCTTGGAAGGGCTGGCAGAAAAGGCCGGGTGGTGGTGGCAAGCCCACTCTCTGAAGATCTTACAAAGACGGGTGGGGAAAGATGGCCTGCTGCAGGGCTGCTCCCACGCTTGCCCTGTAAGTCGGCAAGACCCTCAGAAGCCAGGCCATAGGCTGGGCCCAGGCCCCTCAGCAAGCAAGACATGCCGTAGGCTTCTCCCTCGTAGAGCATTAGTTCTGTGATTCAAACCCACTGTGAGTTCTTACATCTTCAAGTTGGCTCATGGGGTCCATACCTGTCCATGTTCTCCCCCAAATCCAGGCAGAAAAGCTTCTCTGCCTGCCACACCCTTCAGACCCCACACCAGCCCGACCCTCCTGCTGCCCCGCCTGGACACCTCTCCTCTGGTTTCTGTCCCCATCCTCAGATCTCTCTTGTGTCCACACTAGCTCCCTCGGGAAGCTCACTGAACACTGACAACACCTTGGACCCTCCAGCAGGGCTCTCCCCATCAATGCTAGACTTGCAAATCCAACTGCCCAATAGATGATGTCACCAGAAGGAGACCTCATGGGCCTCATGCCCAACCAGCCCAAACCTGAACTCTTGACCTCCTTGCACCCTGAGTCTTCCCTGCCTCAGATAACCCTGCCTGTCCTTTCAGGCTGGGAAGCTGAGACCTGGAGAAGCATCTCTGACTCTTCTTTCTTGTCTACACCAGATCCATTGAGAAAAAAGACGCTGAGCTCTAGCTTCTAAACGATATCTAAAATGGGATCACTTCCTCCTTCCCTATCCCAGCCTTGTGAGAGCCACCCTCCATCTCCCTGGCTTTTTGTAACTGGCCCCAGCTTCCACCCCCTGCCCCCCAGGGTGCGAAGTGTTTGCCACCTGGCAGCCAATCCTGGTCAGATCCCACCCTTTCTCTGTACAAAGCCCCCAGGGGGTCCCATGGCCCTCAGAAGAAAAGCCCAAGTCTTCTGAGCAGTGGCAGCCCACGGTGGCCTGCCCACCCTCACTCTCTGGCAGCTCCTCCGCCAGCCCCTCCTGGACTCTGCCCAGCCTCCTGGATCCTTCCTGTACTTCCACAGGCCCTCTGCCTTGGGAACCTTGCCCCAGACACCCACAGGGCCTCCGTGCTCTTCTGCAGGCCTGTGCTCACTCACCACCTTCTCAGCCGTTCTCCTCAGAACACCCTAAAGGAAACAGCACTCCCCAACCCAACACCTCCCAGCTCTTGCTAGATGTCTAGACACACTTGCTTTTCTGGACTGTGTCTCCTCTGCCACAGGGTCAGGGTCTCCACTGCAGCTTCCCTACACCAATACAGGCCTGGCACAGTGTAGGTGCATAGGATTTTACTGGCTTTGCACTCTCCTCTCCCCATCCTCCTGCCTCCCAGGAAAGGGAAGGGCTGATGGAAGCCTTGCAAGATGTGGGAGGACAACAAAGACATGACCCAGACCCCAGGTGGGCAGTGCCCAGAGTGGCTGTCCTTCCCATCGACCCTTGCCACTCATGACCACAGCGATCTCCACTTAGCCCCATGAGGGGGTTGTGATCACTATCCCATTTTACAGAGGTGGAGACAGGCCCAGAGAGGTCAAATGACTTGCCCAGGTCCACACAGCTGGGTAGGGTGGCACCAGGATGGGAACCCAAACCCAGGCTCGGTTCCTGGAGCAGGCGCCTCCTGGGAGGTCTGCAGACCAGGGGAGCGGGAGCAAAGGGCTCTCAGGCTCCGGACAGCTAGAGCCTGGCACCGGACCCCCATTCCTGGTCCCGGGCCTGTCTGGGAAAGAGGGCTGGAGTGAGTAGACAGAGACCACGGCGATCGCGCCCTCCCCCTCTCCAGGCACCGCCCCGCCCGCCGCCGCCGCTGCATTCCTGGGGCCGGGGAGGCCCGGGAGTCCGCGGCGGCGGCATCGATGCGAAGCAGATGGCGGGCCAGGCCGGCCCCCGCCCCGGAGGCGGGGCTCGCAGCGGGGAGGGGTCTGCGCGCCTCCGGACCAGAGTTCGGAAACCCCGCGCTGCCCCCTCGCAGCCCCTTGTCTCTGGCGCCGAGCCCCTGGACTCGGCTTGCCCCGGGTCCGTGGCTCAGGCGCCCCGACGCGACCCAGCTCGGAGCCCGGCGGCCGCCTCTGCGGCTGCCAGCCCGTGCGGCGTCTCCAATCCGCGCCAAGGCGCCCCCACACGCCCGCTCCTCACCCCTGCGTGGAGATGCCCTTGACCTTGTGGCCTTTGGCCAGCCCACCGGCTCCCCCGACCCCAGCTCCTAACTCCTGGCGTCCGGGGCTCACCTCTCTGCCCTCCGTGCAAACTCCCGGACTCGCCCCCCCACCGGCCGGGCCTGTCGCCTGCCTGTCCCACACTGGCTTCCCCAGCCGGCGCCCCACATTTGCGCGGCCCCTTCTTGCACCCAGAATCCCCACCTGGTTGTCGCCAGGGTTCCCACATCCTCCGGTCCCCTGTGCCTGTCATAGTCCTTCCGCCTCCCGCTTCTGGTCCACTTCGAGCGCCGGCTCCTCGACGCTCGCCTGGGTCACCACCCTCCCACCCGCGCCCGCTCTAAGACGCGAATCTGTCTTTCCAAGTCTGGCTTGCTCCAGGACCTCCCCGGCTAGCACCGCTCCTCCTCCCCTGACCTTCCTCCTCACTCCCACTCCCGGCTCCAGTCGGACTAGTGCGGGGCTTTAGCACATGCAGTTCCTTTGGCTTGAATGCCCTTCCCCAGCTTTTCCCCGTGGACTTCACAACTCGGTCAAGGGTCCCTTTTTCCAGGTCTTTCCTGATATCCCGGACAACGCGTGTCATCCCCTGGGTGCCCACGGCACTCCATCCTCCCCTCAGGTGACTTCTCGTCCAGGGTTCCCTGGGATGCACTGTCGTGGCCCATGGCCGAGGCTGGGCCTGGAACGGAGCCGCGCTGGCTAGGGAGCCGAAGGGGCCCACACTTGGCGTAGGAAGGTTCCGGTAGCCCCCTCCCAATGCCCGGCGCCGCCACACCACTGCCCAGAGCGTCCCTCTCGCCCCCTCCCCCAGCCAGGCCGGCTCCTACCCGGGAGCACGGCACACGTTGCGGCCGCGAGGGTTCAGTTCCTGAGGCGCCACGGTGTCCGGCAGCATCCAGAGCAGCAGCAGCAGCAGCAGCGACGGCAGCAGCGGTGACGGCGGCCCCCCGGCTCCCCGGCGCCGCGCCGGCCCGGCCCCCCGGGGCCCTGCGCCCTCCATGAGGCGCGGGGCAGGCGCGGGGCGGGCACGGGCGCGGGTGCGGCCGCAGCGAGAGCGGCCGGAAGCGGAGTGCGAGGCCGGGCGGGGGGCGGCAGGAGGGGCGCCGAGCCGGGCAGGAAATTCCACATCGGCTCCCTGATCCCGGGCCAGCCGCGGCCGGCCAGGCGGCAGCGCCCGCCCCGCGCTCCAGACCCCACCCTCCGGCCTAGCCACCGCCCCTCCGCGCAGCCCCCGCCCCCATTTGGCCGCTCGCAAACTTGGGGGCGAACTTGGAGGAGGCCCGCCGAGCGCTGGTGGAGGGAGGGTCCGCCCGAGGAATCCCCGGTTCCCGCGCCTTTCCCTCCGCTCCCTAGACATCTACCGAAGCAGCCGCCCCTGCGCGCCCACTGCGTAGGCCAGGCCCGGGACGGGAAGGCGGATCGGGGACACGGACGCGACTCCGCAAGCCCACCCCCGCTCCCAGCGCCTCGGAACCGGCCAAGGGAGTGGGGCCCGCAGACAGCCCAGGTCGAGGCCGAAAGCCAACTCCACAGCACCCCACCGCGAAGTCCTTGTAGTGCTGGGGTGTGCGGTCAGCTCCCCCTGCGCACTCCTGCGCACTCAGAGCTCGCAAGGGGCGGACCGAGCAGGATGCTTGAGGCCTGTGGTAGACTCGGTCCGGACCAGAGGCCTGGGGGAAGGGGTCTCCGTAGGGACGGATGGGAGAGATACAGAGGAAGTAGAATGGCCAGGCTGTGGACTGCGGTAGGAAGTAGAGGTAAAGACAGAAGGAGACCCCCGGGATGGAAACCCTGCAGTCCTAGTTGAGGAGTGAAGGGGGCTGGGGGAGCCTGGGCGGTGGATTCTGCTGGCTGTCGGATTTCCAGGAGAGGCTGGGGCTAGAGAGTGGGAACTCCTGCATCAGGTAAGGTGGGTAACAGCACAGAGCAGAAGGAAGGTGTGGGAAGGGAGCAAGACAGAGGGACAGGCCCTAGGGAGCCAGCGGGGAAGCTGGACTTGGACTGGGAGGCAGCAGGGTGCGGGTCCCCGGGGGGCAACTGGGGCAGACCGACTCTGGAAGTTGGGCAGGGAGCACAAATGTCCCGTGTGTAGCCAGGTCCTAGTGAGGATGTTTGTCTTTTGGGGACTTGAGAGCTGGCAGAAGGCCTAAGCAGGGAGCGGGCACCTCCGTTCTTTGGGGAGCAGGCCACATGCGGCCCACAGGCTCACTGAGGGAGGGCAGGCAGACTCTGTCCAGGTGTGGCCAGATAGCCCCGAAGGGTGGGGCTGGAGGAGGGGGCTTGGAGGAGGAGCCACTGAAAGGCCCAAGGCCATGGGCATCACCAGGCTGGCACAGGCAGAGAGTGGGATGGGGAGGAGCAGGCCCCTCACTCAGCCATGCTGGTGCAGGAGGGAGGTGGGGTGGGCTGAAAGAGAAGTGGAACTAGTGTGGACACGAATGCAACTACCTGGGGACAAATAAACAGGCCAACCACTTCTGGGCAGCTCAGCCTGGGCACAGCCCTGACCTCAGCAATGCCCTCCCAGTGCTGGGGCCCCTCCCACGGAGGATCCGGATTGCGGCTCCCAATAGAGGCCAGCAGAGGTCCCAGTGGCTGCAAGGTCTGTCCCAGCCCAGCTCCTGGCTTTAGAGGCACTGACCCCCTGGGCTGGAGGGGACACTCACCTCAGCTGGATGGAGGTCATGAATAGGCATATCAAATTCCATCACCTTTCTCCTTCCCCCAGACCTGTCCAGGGAGGGCACCACCTGGATGGTGCCCCCCAATCCCCCAGGACCTCCTAAATGTCTTAGATCTCTGCCCACCCCTGTCTGCCACCCAGAGTAGTCTTTTTAATCTCACATGTGGCTATCCACCACTGCTCTCAGGATGAGGACCATCCCCAGTCTCACCTCACGACCCGGTACATACATCCCTTGCAGTAGATGGCAACTTTGGGTGTCATGGGCAGAGCCCTCATTTCTCCCAACCACCACTGCACCCCTAGGGGAAGACTGAGAAGTATGGGAGGAATGAAGGATCATCCACATGGCACTAGGATGTAGAAGGAACCCACAGACAATTGACCACCACGCAGGCAAACTGCTGGAGCCCGGAGCCCTGGCCTGCTGGTTTTGGCCAGGATGGCTGCCAGAAGGAAGTGGACTTTGAAGGCTGAGGAGGGTTTTGCATGAAAGCAGGGACCAAGAGCCTAGCCACACTGGAGAGCACAAGTTGGGCTGCCTCAGCTCCGGGGTATCAGGTGTAACCCTTAGAAACCCAGCTTAGCCCCAAGGCTGACAGTGGCAGGGCCAGGCTGCGCCCAACTCCAAGGCACTCTCCACCCCTCCCCAGGCTGTGCAGGACCTCAGTGAGCCCTTCCTGCCCCTGCAGACCAGAGGCCTCCTGCAAACCTGTGGCTGTGGCTGGTGGCTCAGGTGAGATGTTGCCAGCCAGCATGTTGTCAGGACGCACTGGAGAGTGGTGGGGCATGTCTGGTGCTCCTCCTTTCCAGAAACCTCTGAGGTCTGCAGGAGCTATTGCCCTGGCCTGCCAGGTGGTAGCAGAGACACAGGAAGTGCTGGGTCTGAGACCCACAGAGTGGGGTTCCTACTCTGAACCCATGCTCTTGCGCCTCACCCTCAGGAGAAAGGGAGATGACACTGGAGTGTATAGCCATCCCGCCCCACTAGGGCTCAACACTGGGTCTGCCACCCCAAGGCAATGTCATGTTTCCTCAGGGGTACTCAGGGCCCAGGACAGTGAGGAAGGTCTTCAGGTTACACACACACCCACATACCACAGCCCTGGGGGCACAGGCCAACTCTGAGGGCTTTGTCTCTACCCTCAAGAATCCTTGGGGTATCCATTTAGGAGAGCCCAGAGTGACTGATAGTCCCCCGTCCCCATCCCCTCTCCTCCCATCAAGGAGCACACACTGCCCCCTTCTCTTCCGGGACAGGATGCCAGCAGGAACACATGGCTGTCCCCATGCTCTGCCCAGTCAACTGGGAAAGGATGGGGCCTTGGCAAGTTACAGCCCTGTCTGCGGGATGGCTCTGGGCACAAGGCTCATAGTAGGAGTCTGCAGGTGCAGACCCTATGAGGGCATCAGGATGGAAGAAAGCTTCGTGTGGTGCAGCCCTGCAGTGAGGCTGGTGTGGGCTCACAGCCCATCCATGCAGGGTGCAGGCTAAGCCTGGCAGTCTCAAGAGGGCAAGAAAAGCATGGGGACAGGTGAACAGGGGAGGGTCCCAGCTGCTGTGCCAGTGTGGTCCTTGAGACTGGGTGCCTAAGGGTTACCTGGCAAACCTGTAGCACATGCAGCTCCCCTCCCCAGCACACTCAGCTTCAGGAGGTTGGGAGGAGCCGGGCACAGGCCAGAGGGGCCCCCCCCACCGACCCCCTGATGCTGCCCCGCTCCCAGGTGCTGAAGCTCTGGTTCCCTGACCCTCAGGCTGAGAGACTCCTAACGAGCTGGGCTGAAACTCTGCGTGCTGCCCTGGTTGGGAGACAAGTTCCACACCAGAGAAGACACTCAAGTGGCTGCACAACCACCTGTCACCAGACCAGGGCGAGTTCCAGCTTTCCCACTGAGTGCCCTGTTAGCTTGTGGAGTTTACTGTGCTTCCCTCTCAGGCAGGGTCTTCCCAGTGCCACTTGGCTTCTGGCCTGGGCTTCCACAGCCTCTCCCAGATGGCAGCTCTGACCCCAGAAGCCACGCTTCCTGGGGACGCAGCTTGGGTGCACTGTGGAAAGGAACTGAGGCTGTGGCTACAGAAAAACAGTTAACACCTTCTGTAAGATGCTTTATTTCATTGACCAACAACATGGGGTCTGAAAACCCAGCGGGAGGGGTCTTTTTATCACAGAGCCAGTCCCAGGCGAGCTGATGCATCTCTGCTCCTCTGCCCCTCAGGAGCTCTCATCCTCCAACCCCAGCTGCCCCCACAGCCCCACCCCATTCACAGAAAGAGGGCTACCACGTGCCTCAGCCCCCCTGCCCAGGCTGCCAGCTCCCAGGTCCTTTTGGAGAAGGACTGATCTAGGCAGGGAGGAGAGAAGGCCAACCCCTCCAGGGCTCACTGAGGAAGGCCAAAGCCTTTCAGAAGCAGTTCCTGCAGTGACGTAATCCACAGCCTGGGATCTGCATGGCCCTGAGATGCCTGCGGCAGGCTGGCCAAGGGGCTGGTGTGAAGAAAGAGGGCAGGGCCCATAAGCTGTGGCCAACAGGGGCAGGGGCCCTGCCTGGAGTAAAGTGCTCTGGCCTAGGCTGCGTGGGTTTCACTGCCCTGCAGCCCCAGCCTCCCTTCCCTCTGATGCCAGGCACAGGGAGCCTAGTCCTCACTGGAGTTGTCAAACTCCTCCCAGTCAGACACACTCATCACCTCAGAGGCAAAGTCCGGGTCGGCCTGGCTGCGGTCAGGGGTCCCGCGGGGCGGCTCAAGGAGCAGGGAGCGGGGCAGGGTGAGCACACAGGCCGCCAGGCCTGAGATGGAGTTGTCCAGCTGGGGCCCTTCCTCCCAGCAGTCCTTCTCCACATCGTAAATGTGCACGTAGCCTGTGCGGCTGCCGCGGTTGTGTGAGCGGCCACCTAACACATAGATCCTGTTGTCCAGCACAGCAATGCCAGGCTCACCGTGCCCAGCAGGGAGTGGGCAGACAGATGACCACTGTCCAGACGTGCAGCTGTAGCAGGCCACCTGCAAAGCCAAGGCTAGAATAAAGCCCAGCACCCACTGGGACGAGGCTGCCAGCTCCCCCACAAGCCCACTGACCAAGGTGGCAACAGTTACCCACCATTCTGACAGGTCAGGCCCCCTGGAAGGATGGCACAGGGCCAGTGTTGAAACATCCTGTCCATGGGCCAGGCTGCTGCTTTCTCACCCAGGGATGGCCGAGTCTGCAGGAGGCTGTCTTTTGGGCCCTCCCCTAGAATGATCCTATTCTCTCTGGCTTTGCTCCAGCCCAGCCCTTCCTCTAGGCCACCCGGCCCTAAGCCAGTCTCTGCCCCCGAGTGTGTGGCTGTGCCCCCATCAGCATGTGGTCATTCCCCATGTCTGAGGGCACTGCTTCTCTCCCCTCCAGGAAACGAAGCTGCCTGAGAGACATGGACTCCACTGAAATGTCTTCAACCTCCTTCTGCAGCACTCAACACAGGCAGTAGGACAGGGGGAGGAGACAGAAAGTGGAAGTAATTCCTTGCGGAGTAGTCAACATCAATATTCTCTTGTCTTCAAAATTGTCCAAACAGTAAACAAAGACATGGAAAAATGTTCAACCTACTAGTAATTCAAGAAACGCAAAATCAAAACATCAGAGACAAATTTTTCAACTAGCAACCACTGCAGAGAAGGAAAATCACAAAACCCAATGCTGTTGAGGGTGTGGTAAAGCCATACTACTATGTATCTGTCTGACATGCCAGAAAAGGAATTTGGCAATAAGTATTAAGAGCCATAAAAATCTTACCTTCTTGACTGATTAGCCGTTTTTGGTTCTCTAGCTATGGTGGGCAGAATAGTGGCCCCCAAAGATGTCTAGTTCCTAATCTCCAGAATATGCTACCTTAAGCAGCCAAAGGGGCTTTGCAGATAGGATCAAGGGTACAAGAATACAAAAAAAAAAAGGATTAAGGGTGCAGACCCTGAGATGGGGCAGTTTTCCTGGATTTTCCAGGTGATCCATCCAATTGCATGAGCCCTTAAAAGTGGAAGGGGAGAGGCCGGGCGTGGTGGCTCACGCCTGTAATCCCAGCACTTTGGGAGGCCAAGGCGGGCTGATCACAAGGTCAAGAGATCAAGACCATCCTGGCCAACATGGTGAAACCTCGTCTCTACTAAAAATACAAAAATCAGCTGGGCATGGTGGCACATGCCTGTAACCCCAGCTACTCGGGAGGCTGAGGCAGGAGAATCACTTGAACCCAGGAGGCAAAGGGTGCAGTGAGCCAAGAGCACCACTGCACTCCAGCCTGGCGACAGAGCGAGACTCTGTCTCAAACAAACAAACAAAAAAAGTGGAAGGGGAGGCCGGGGGTGGTGGCTCACGCCTGTAATCCTAGCACTTTGGGAGGCTGAGGTGCGTGGATCACCTGAGGTCAGGAGTTTGAGACCAGCCTGGCCGACATGGCAAAACCCCGTCTCTACTAAAAATAGAAAAATTAGCTAGGTGTGGTGGCGAACACCTGTAGTCCTCCTAGCTACTCCGGAGGCTGAAGCAGGAGAATCGCTTAAACCCAGGAGGCAGAGGTTGCAGTGAGCTGAGACTGCACCAGTGCCCCCCAGCCTGGGTGACAAAGCAAGACTCCATCTCATAAAAAAAAAAAAAAGAAAAAAAGGAAGGGTAAAGCCAGACAAGAGAGCTGAGAAGTGAGGAGGACTCAACCTGCCATTGCTGGCTTTGAAGACGAAGTGTCCCCAAGCCAGGAAAAGTGGGGACCTCTAGAAGCCAAGAAGGCCCTCAACTGACAGCTAGCAAGGAAATGGGACTGCAACTGCCAGGGACTGAATTCTTCTAACCAGAGTGAGCAGGGAGGCAGATCCCCACTAGGGTCTCCACAAAGGAAAGATGCCCTGACCGCACCCTGGTTTTAGCCTGGCAAGGCCCATGTCAGAGGACTTATGAATGCAGAATAAATTTATCTTAAGTTGCTATGTTTGTGGTGATAGGTTACTGAAGCAATAGAAAACTAATGTGCTGGCCCAGAGGATCTCACAAGCAGAGGACCTGTTAAAAGCCAGATCGCCAAGACCCACCCTCAGGGCTTCCGAATCAGTGGGTCTGAGGTGCCTCGTAACACAGCGTTCCCAGGTGATGCAGACTCTGTTAGTCTGAGAATCACACTTTGAGAACTGTTGCATGAACCTAAGGAAATAATCCAAAATACCTGAAAAGCTCAACAAAGCAACTATTACTTGTCATGTTATTTGGAATAGTTAAAACTTAGACACAAGAGGGGATGATGAAGATTGAGTGTTAATCTGGAAAATGCCCAGGACAAAAGTCACTGAGAGAAGCAGAATGGGATATGGGATGCTCTTTTTTGTTTGTTTGTTTGTTTGTTTGAGACAAGGTCTCGCTCTGTTGCCCAGGCTGGAGTGCAGTGGCACCATCACGGTTCACTGCAGCCTCAACCTCCTGGGCTCAGTTGATTCTCCCTCAGCCTCCCAAGTAGCTGGGACCACAGGTGCAAGCCACCATGCCTGGCTAATTTTTTTTTGTATTTTTAGTAGAGATGGAGTTTCACCATGTTGCCCAGGCTGGTATCAGTTCCTGGACTCAAGCCATCCACCTGCCTTGGCTTCCCAAAATGCAGGGATTACGGGTGTGAGCCACTGTGCCCAGCTCAGAATGGGATGCTCTTTGACTACAATCAGGCAGAAAACATACACGGTCAATGCTGAAAATGGTCATACTGAAAAACAGTACTGCAGGGGCCTGATTATGAATGCTTTTCCTCACCCTTCTCTATTTTTTTTTTTTTTTTGAGATGGAGTCTTGCTCTGTTGCCCAGGCTGGAGTGCAGTCGTGTGATCTCAGCTCACTGCAACCTCTGCCTCCCGGGTTCCAGCGATTCTCCTGCCTCAGTCTTCCCAAGTAACTGGGATTACAGGCGCCCATCACCGCACCTGGCTAATTTTTGTATTTTTAGTAGAGATGGAGTTTCACCATCTTGGCCAAGCTGGTCTTGAACTCCTGACCTCGTGATCCACCTGCCTCAACCTCCCAAAGTGCTGGGATTACAGGCGTGAGCCACCGCGCCCGGCCACCCATCTCTATTTTTTAAAGTTCCGGCAATGTGGTTATATTAACTTTATAATAAAAGTTTTGTTCTGTTGTTTTGTTTTATTTTGTTTTGAATAGAGACAGGGTCTCATTCTGTCACCTAGGCTGGGGAACAGCGGTGTGATCATAGCTCAGTGAAGCCTCCAACTCTGGGCTGAAACAATCCTCCCACTTCAGCCTCCTGAGTAGCTGGGACTACAGGTATGTGCTGCCAGCCTGGATCTAAAAGTTTTGTTGTTGTTTTTTTTTGTTTTTTTTGAGACAAGGCCTGGCTCTGTCGCCCAGGCTGGAGTGCAGTGGCGTGATCTCAGCTTACTGAAACCTCTGCCTCCTGGGCTCAAGCCATCCCCCAACCTCAGCCTCCCAAGTAGCTGAGAGTACAGGCATGCAACCACACCTGGCTAATTTTTGTATTTTTGTAGAGATGGGGTTTTGCCATGATGCCCAGGCTGGTCTCAAGCTCCTGAGCTCAAGTGATCCTCTCGCCTTGGCTTCCCAAACTGCTTGGATTACAGGCATGTGCCACCACATCCGGCCTAAAAGTTTTTAAGAGTAATAAGCAAAGGTAGATGTGTATGTGTGTGATACTGTCATGGTGACATTTGTCCAAACCTATAGAATGTGCCAAGAGTGAACACTGTGGACTCTGGTTGATGGTGATGCATCAATGCAGTTTCAACAACTGTGACACATCCACCCCTCTGGAGCGAGAGGTCTGCAGTGGGGAGGCTATATGTGTATGGGGGGAAAAGGGGGTGTATGGAAACTGTACCTTCCACTTAATTTTGCTGTGAACCTAAAACTGCTCTAAAAAATAGTCTATTTTTAAAAGGCACATGATTCAATTACATTTTCCATCAATAACAACTGAGAGGCTTGGGAATGATGACGGGTGTGGACTGCCCCGGGCCCCACTCACCTGGTGCACGTCCCTCCTGTATCCGGCATCGTTGTTGCTGCCCCCGATCACATACAGCTTGTTGAGGAGGGTTGCCATGCCGTGCCAGGCGCGCCGCACAGGCCCATCAGCCAGTGTGTGCCAAGTGTTGCTGCCTGGATCGTAGCAGTGTGTCTCTTTCAGGTAATCCTCCCCTCTGCGGCCGCAGGTGATATACATCTTCCCCTCCAGCGTCGCGCCTGCGTGGGCATACACCTGTGTGGAGCCACCAGGAGAAATGGCGTGAGAGGGCAGTGAGGAAGGGTGGCTGGGTACTCTGTCAAGGCCAATCACCACCCCACACCTGCCTGACAACGCTGTGAGGCTTCACCACTTCCCACTCACATACAGACAAGAATCCTCCCTCGATTCTCATGGGACATACTGTCCTAGTCATTGACCTCTAACCTCTTCCCAATAGCGGATACATCTATAGACTCAGAAATGAAATGTAGCCTTTGTCTTTCCTTTGCTCCTAAAGTTAACATCTGCATGGGGGAACTCCAAGAAAATAAAAGCATTTTTTCCAAGCCAGTCTGGAAGAAGCCACAGAACCCTGGGGACCGCTGACCCACCCTCAGTGGCCTCCACCCCTCCCCCACTCCCACTGGACATGCAATCCTCCGGGCCTGCTGACCCTGCTTTTAAAATGTTTGTAAATAATATCTGACACTAAACTCATGATGTGGGGAGAAAAATACACATGGTTCTTGATTCTGGTCCTGAACCTTCTGTGGGCTTTTTACCCTCCCTCTGTTGGGCTATCTCCATAGGGCCCAGCCTGCCCCCATCATGGGCACCTCTTACCCTGGCCCTACCACTTCCGGAACCCACCCACTCACACCCAGCAGGCCAACAGAAGGCCCCAAGGCAAGGCCCTGGGTGTTTTGAGGGTAGAGGAGCCCCTCAGGGTGTGGAGGCTCCAGAGCTATGTTACTGGGCAAGTCACTAACACTGAGGCCATGCGGGTGGCAAAAACACAAGAGTCTAGAGAGGTGGACGGAGCAGTGGGGAGGAAGAACACACACCAAGGGTTTGGTTTGGGTCTTCTCCTATCACCAGTAGGGGTCTGGGGAGGTTTTTCTTTTTTTTTTTTTTTTTGAGACGGAGTCTCGCTCTGTCACCAGGCCGGAGTGCAGTGGCACGATCTCGGCTCACTGCAATCTCCGCCTCCCGGGTTCGAATGATTCTCCTGCCTCAGCTTCCCGAGTAGCTGGGATTATAGGCGCCCGCCACCATACCCAGCTAACTTTTGTATTTTTAATAGAGACAGGGTTTCACCATGTTGGCCAGGATGGTCTCGATCTCCTGACCTCGTGACCCACCTGCCTCGGCCTTCCAAAGTGCTAGGATTATAGGCATGAGCCACCACGCCCAGCCGAGGTTTTTCTTTTTAATTAAACTTTTCATTTTGAGATAAGTGTAGTCACGTGTAGTTGGAAGTAAAAATACAGAGGTCTCACGTGCCTTCTTTCCCCCATGGTAGGAGCCTGTGTCACTATATCACAGGGTCACCAGGATGCTGACGTGGACACAGCCACAGAACTGTCCTATCACCACCAGGATCCCGAGGGGCTGCCCTTTAGGGTGACATCCACTCACCTCCCTTACCCTAATCCCTTCCTTAAGCCCTGGAAACCACCAATCTCTTCTCTATTTCTACAGTTTTGTAACTTCAAGAGTGTTGTCTGAATTAAATCAGTATACAACCTTTTGACATTGGCTTTCTACCCCAACCCAGGTTCTACCAGGTTGTTGCATGTACAGGTTGAGTACCTCCAAAATCTGAGACTTTTTGAGCACAAACACGGCACTCAAAGGAAATGCATTTCAGACTTTTGGATAAGAAATGCTGAACCAGTAACTATAATGCAAAGATTCCAAAATCTGAAAAAATCTGAAATCCAAAACACTTCTGGTCCCCAGCATTTCAGATAAAGGGTACTCAACATGTACCAATAGTTGGTTCCTTTTCTATTGCTCAGTAGTATTCCATGGGTATCTACCACAGCTTGTTTAACCATTCACTGTTGAAAACACCTGATTTGTTTCCAGTTTCTGGCTATTACCAATAAAGCTACTATTAACATTCATGTACAGATAAGTTATTTTTTATTTTTTTGAGACAGGGTCTTGGTCTATTGCCCATGCTGGAATATAGTGGCACAATCTTGGCTCACTGCAACCTCTGCCTCCCGGGTTCAAGCAATTCTTGTGCCTCAGCCTCCGGAGTAGCTGGGATTACAGGCACGCATCACCATGCCTGGCTAACGTATACAGAGTAGTTTTCATTTCTCTGGGATAAATACCCAGGATGGTAACTGCCAGATCTGTTTTCCAGAGTGGCTGTACCATTTCACATTCCTATCAGCAATCCATGAGCATAGTTTCCCTGCACAGTCACCAGTATTTCGTATTTTCACTACTTTTTATTTTAGTCATCCTGAGGTAGTTCTCTCACTGTGGCTTTAATTTGCATTTCCCTGATAGCTAATAATGTTACATATCTCCTTATATGCTTATTTGCCATCTATACATCCTCTTCAGTGAAATGTTTCTTCAACTCTTTTGCCTTCTGTTTTTTGTTTTGTTTTGTTTTGTTTTGTTTGTTTTTTTTTGAGACAGAGTCTTGCCGTGTCGCCCAGGCTGGAGTGCAGTGGCACAATCTCAGCTCACTGCACCCTCTGCCTCCTGGGTTCACACCATTCTCCTGCCTCAGCCTCCCAAGTAGCTGGGACTATAGACGTCCGCCACCACATCCAGCTAATTTTTTGTATTTTTAGTAGAGATGGGGTTTCACCGTGTTAGCCAGGATGGTCTCAATCTCCTGACCTCGTGATCCACCCACCTTGGCCTCCCAAAGTGCTGGGATTACAGGTGTGAGCCACCGTGCCCGGCTTCTTTTGCCCTCTTTTTAATGGGGTTATTTGCAGTATTTTGCCAAGGTTTTTTGTTTTTGAGATGGAGTCTCACTCTGTCGCCCAGGCTGGAGTGCAAAGGCACGGTCTCGGCTCACTGCAACCTCTGCCTCCCAGGTTCAAGCAATTCTCCTGCCTCAGCCTCCCAAGTAGCTGGGATTACAGGCGTGTGCCACCGCGCCCAACTAATTTTTGTAGTTTTAGTAGAGATGGGGTTTCACCATGTTGGCCAGGCTGGTCTCTGGTCTCGAACTCCTGACCTCGTGATCCGCTCACTTCAGCCTTTCAAAGTGCTGGGATTACAGGTGTGAGCCACCACACCTGGCCGTTTATTGAGTTTTAAGAGTTGTTTATATATGTATTTATTTAATACTAGTCCTTTGTCAGATAGGTGGTTTGCAAATATTTTTTAATTTTGATGAAGTCCAGCTTATCAATTTTTCTTTTTATGGCTCATGCTTTTGGGGTCAAGTCTAAGAATTCCTTGCCTAGCCCTAGCTAGATCCTCAAGATTTTCTTCTGGTCATCACGTCGCGTGGCCGCAGGGAGCAGACCCGGACAGCTCCAGAGCCTCCGGGCCGGGGCGGCGGCGGCGACGCTTCGGCTCCTCCTGAGCCACCTGCTGGACCCGCACCCCACTCCATCCCCACAGGCTGGGGACAGGCCCTGGCGCGGCTGTGTGGGATCAGAAGCAGAGTTGCAGAATCCAAGGACCTATTTTTGTTCTTTCTCCGCACTGCTTTATGGGAGGCATTATGGCCCCCAAAGACATAATGACAAATACTCATGCTAAATCAATCCTCAGTTCAATGAACTCCGTTGGGAAGAGCAATACCTTCTGTGATGTGACATTGAGTAGAGCAGAAAGACTTTCCTGCCCATGAGATTGTGCTGGCTGCCTGTAGTGATTACTTCTGTGCCATGTTCACTAGTGACCTTTATAGAAGGGGAAACCCTATGTTGACATCCAAGGTTTGACTGCCTCTACCATGGAAATTTTATTGGACTTTGTGTACACGGAAACAGTACATGTGACATGGAGAATGTACAGGAACTGCTTCCTGCAGCCTGTCTGCTTCAGTTGAAAGGTGTGAAACAAGCCTGCTGTGAGTTCTTAGAAAGTCAGTTGGACCCTTCTAATTGCCTGGGTATTAGGGATTTTGCTGAAACCCACAATTGTGTTGACCTGACACAAGCAGCTGAGGTTTTTAGCCAGAAGAATTTTCCTGAAGTGGTACAGCATGAAGAGTTCATTCTTCTGAGGCAAGGAGAGGTGGAAAAGCTAATCAAGTGCGATGAAATTCAGGTGGATCCTGAAGAACCAGTCTTTGAGGCTGTCATCAGTTGGGTGAAGCATGCCAAGAAAGAGCAGAAAGACTCCTTGCCCAGCCTGCTACAGTATATGCAGATGCCCCTGCTAACCCTCAGGTATATCACAGATGTAATAGATGCTGAGCCTTTCATCCACTATGGTTTACAATGCAGGGATCTGGTTGATGAAGCAAAGAAGTTTCATCTGAGGCCTGAACTTCAGAGTCAGATGCAGGGACCCAGGACAAGGGCTCGCCTAGGAGCCAATGAAGTGCTTTTGGTGGCTGGGGGCTTCGGAAGCCAGCAGTCTCCCATCGATGCAGTAGAGAAATATGACCCCAAGACTCAGGAGTGGAGCTTTTTGCCAAGCATCACTTGTAAGAGATGTTATGTGGCCTCAGTGTCCCTACATGACCAGATCTACGTCATTGGTGGCTGTGATGGTCGTTCCAGCCTTAGTTCAGTGGAATGTCTAGACTACACAGCAGATGAGGATGGGGTCTGGTATTCTGTGGCCCCTATGAATGTCTGATGAGGTCTTGCTGGAGCCACCACCCTGGGAGATTTGATCTATGTCTCTGGAGGCTTTGATGGAAGCAGGCGTCACACCAGTATGGAGCGGTATGATCCAAACATTGACCAGAGGAGCATGCTGGGAGATATGCAGACAGCCCGGGAAGGTGCCGGACTCGTAGTGGCCAGTGGAGTGATCCACTGTCTAGGAGGATATGACGGCTTGAATATCTTAAATTCAGTTGAGAAATATGACCCTCATACAGGACACTGGACTAATGTTACACCAATGGCCACCAAGCGTTCTGGTGCAGGAGTAGCCCTGCTGAATGACCGTATTTATGTGGTGGGGAGATTTGATGGTACAGCCCACCTTTCTTCCGTTGAAGCATACAACATTCGCACTGATTCCCGGACAACTGCCACCAGTATGACCACTCCACGATGCTATGTAGGGGCCACAGTGCTTCGGGGGAGACTCTATGCAATTGCAGGATATGAAGGTAAGTCCCTGCTAAGTAGCATTGAATGTTACAACCCTATCATCAACAGCTGGGAAGTCGTGACATCCATGGGAACCCAGCGCTGTGATGCTGGTGTGTGTGTTCTCCACAAGAAGTGACCATTGTTGGAGCACCATCCAGAGCTAGTGACCAGTCCAGTGGACAGTTAGTGGGAGAATCAAGAATCCTTTCTAGAATGTCTGTTTCTCACTATGTGCACAGGGTGATTACAGGCACCAGTGCAGTGATGATTGTACTTATTTGACACATACTCCCCCTCGTCCTGGTTGTTGTTCCTGAGAAGGGTGGGTAACAGATACTCCAGGGAAAAGAATGCACATTGAATGGATGTGAGAGACCACATTACCTCTCCCACTACTTTGGGGAGCACTTTCCTGTCATTTCTAACTTACCACGTGCTTGGTGTACTATATGTATGTTGTGCCTCATATGTTGCAAAGAACTAAGGTGAGTATAGCCTACTAGATGTGAGCAATATCCAGCCTAGATGATTGGAAAGATACCAATTTAAGTAAACTTGGTAAAATCCAAGTCTTTTTTTTTTCCAGGAACAAATACATTTTCTAATCTACAGGTAGCTAGGGGCAACACAGTTCCATTCTAAAGGGAAACAAAAGGGAGAGCCCCACAAAACTTTGGGGGCAAGGGAGAGATACTCATCTGACACTTCTTTTGGAGGTCAGGGTTTGTATATCAGAATTGAAGTTAGAATCAGTGAATTAAACTGAATTTGATGGAATGTGAGTGAACCTAGAACAGCACTGAAGTATTACATAACCTGGAAGACTGAGAAGGGTATATTCTTTGAATGATCTTTTTATTTCCCCAAGGTCTTTCACACTGGAGACAGCATAAAAGAGTGAACCAATGTTGGGATGAGAGAAGATGACATAAATGTGGGAGTTCAGTATAACTGGGGATAAACTAGAAGTACCTGTGATTTTACAGTCATCTTATTGCCTGCCAGGGGTCATCTAGCCATGGCAGTGTTAACCTTGAATGGGGGTGAAAGCCTTTCTTTGTTGAATCAAATACTACTACACTATTACACTTCCACACTATTTATTTGGGGATGGACTGGGAGTGACAGTAGCCTAGTAGTTCAGCTACCTGATTACTGCCCCATTCTTTTAGAAGCACACTTCTGCCAAGGAGTGGTTTGTACTGCTGTGATTGGTACATTTAGTCTTTTTTCTGCTATAAGTTTTCCTTACCTGTCCTTTAGTGTAGATTTTATTCATTACAGGACAGAATAATCAAGGACAACCAAAATCCTTTTGTTAGTTTCAGTACCTCAGCTATCAACATTTCTGAGCTATCATTCAATGTTCCTCTGTGTCATGGAGTGAAATTCTTGTTTTATGGGTATTGGGAGTGTGGGAATGTGATAACCTAAACAACCTTTGCTCTGAAATTCCATTTTTCCCTCTTTCCCTGAAGTGTACTGACCTGTACTACAGAGTTAATTTCTTTTGTATTTTTTTAAGAAAATATTAAAAATCAATGGTCTCAAAAAAAAAAGATTTTCTTCTTCTTTTTTTCTAGAAGTTTTATGGTTTTACATTTAACTCCATAAACCATTTTGAATTCATTTTGGTATATGGTATGAGACTTGGGTTGATATCCATTTTTTTGCCGACGCATGTCTAATTGCTCCAGTACTATTTGCTGAAAGATATCTTTCCTCCACTCAATTGTTTCTGCACCTTTGTCCAAAATCATGTGTAACATGACTGGGCATATTTACTCAGGTCTGTGGGTTTTCCATTCTGTTTCACTGATCTATGTGTCTATCACTGTATCCATACCACAGCCTTGATTACTGTAGCTATGTAGTAATCTTGAAATTGGGCAGACTCCTCCCATCTTATCGTTCTTTTTCAAAATTATTTGAGCTATTCTAGTTCCTTTGCCTTTATATATACATTTCAGAATAATCTCATTTACATCTAATGTCACAAGTAAAATCAAATCAAAATTAAAAAATTTATTTTATTTATTTTGAAATTTATTTTATTATTATTTTTTGAGACAGTCTCACTCTGTCGCCCAGGCTGGAGTGCAGTGGCGCAATCTCGGCTCATTGCAACCTCTGCCTCCTGGGTTCAATCCATTCTTGTGCCTCAGCCTCCCCAGTAGCTGGGATTACAGGTGTGTGCCACCACACCCAGCTAATATTTGTATTTTTAGTAGAGATGGGGTTTCACCATGTTGGCCAGGCTGGTCTTGAACTCCTGACCTCAAGCGATACACCATCCTCGGCCTCCCAAAGTGCTGGGATTACAGACGTGAGCCACTGCGACCAGCAATAAAAAAAAATTTTAGGCTGGATGTGATGGCTCACTTCTCTAATCCCTGCACTTTGGCCGAGGCAGACAGATCCCTTGAGACCAGGGGTTCAAGAACAGCCTGGGCAATATGGTGAAACCTTCATGATACTAAAAATATAAATATTAGCTGGGCATGGTGGTGCTCACCTGTAATCCCAGCTACTTGGGAGGCTGAGGCAGGAGGATCACTTGAACCAGGGAGGCAGAGGTTGCAGTGAGCCGGGGTCATGCCACTGCACTCCAGCCTGGGTGACAGAGCGAGACTCTGTCTCAAAAAAAATAAAAATAAAAAAATTTTTAAAAAGCTTATTGTGCATGTAAAAGAAGAGTTCATGAACCAGGAAACCCCAAACTGGAAGTGGTATGAAGCCCCAATTCACAGCAGTTACAACACAGTTTATAAAGCATGAATGAGGAAGAATATTGTTCCCTACTGTGCATGTGGAGCTGCATAAGCTTTCTTTGTAAAGCTATCACACTGAGGGAGGAAAGCTTAAGTTTCAGTTACATGGCTACAGGCAGTTGGCCTAGGGGTATATCCAAACCTCAGCTTCAATTTTCATTTTCCCTTAATAGTACAAAAAACCTTCCTGAAATTTTGATAGGAATACTAGTATTCCTGTATTAATACTATATCAATATGAGGAATTCTGTATTAATATATGTATTATTAATTGGGTTGGGAAAGAACTGACATTCTTACTATTCTTACTCTTCCAATCCATGGACTTGGTATGTCTCTCCATCTATTCACATCTTCTTTTATTTCTTTCATCGGCTTTTTGTAATATTCAGTGTACCAATCCTGTGAGGTTTTTTGTTTGTTTGTTTTGAGACGGAGTCTTGGCAGAGTCTTGCTCTGTTGCCCAGGCTGGAATGCAGTGGTGTGATCTCAGCTCACTACAACCTCTGCCTCCCGGGTTCACGCCATTCTCCTGCCTCAGCCTCCTGAGTAGCTGGGACTATAGGCGCCTGCCACCATGCTCAGCTAATTTTTGTATTTTTAGTAGAGATGGGGTTTTACCATGTTGGCCAGGCTGGTCTTGAACTCCTGACCTCAGGTGATCCCCCCCGCCTGGGCCTCCCAAAGTGCTGGGATTACAGACGTGAGCCACCGCGCCCTGCCAACATGACCTATCCTTTTTCATTCCCCAACATCTGATCCATCAGCAAGCCTGATCAGTTTACCTCCACGCTACACTCTGAACCCTCCCATCTCCCTCCAGCTCCACAGCTGTGTGCCAGCACAGGCTACTGCTGTCTTCAGCCCAGACCACGCAATGACCCAGGGCCAGCCTCGCTTGCTCTGCTCTTGATCCTTGGGCTTCCTTCTTCTACAAGCATGCCCCATGCTTCCTCTCCTGCTCAGGAAAAGCTGTGAGCCCCTCTCCTGCCCTGGAAGGTCCTTCTGCTAGACTAGGCAGATGGTTAGATATGAGCAGGGAAGTGGACTCCAGGTTGGCCTCAGCCCCTAGCATGGCCAGAGGGACTATGACCTCTGAGACATGTTAACCACACCTGGGGTTTCAAAAGTCCCAACCCCTCTTTCAGTTAAGCTTATCCAGCTCAAGTAGGAACTAACCCCACAAGGAACTTTCCACCCCCGGGAGCCTGTGTTGTATAGTTTGCCCCAGTTTTGCTTGCTTCGAAAGTAACCTTTTGTTCACTGCAGTGGTAAAAAACACACCTCCTGGGTGAAGATTTAAGATGCTAATGAGACATGCGATAAATACACTAGCACGTAGAGCCACAGTGCATGCGCTGCTAGAAGACCACCCAAACAAAACATGCTTATGAGTAACACCTCTTCCCGCCCATTTATGAATAATCATGTAAGCCTCCTGTAAGGGAGGTTTCCCATGCCAGTTGGGGCGATCTTATTCTGGAGCAGCCTGCTCTGACTCGGCCTTCAGAATGTACCTTCACTTTTGCAATAAACTGCCTTACACTTATCTTCGTTAATGCATGTCTCTTGCTTAAAGTCTTAACCAAGAAGACAAGAACCGAGGACACATTCCCAGTAACATTTCCTCCCTCTGTAAATGGCAGGTCTAATTGACATCTCCTCAGATGGACATTCCCCAAAAAGTCCCTCTAGATTCATCCTACCAGAGCCCCCTCCCTGGAAATCCTCCAGTTCAGCCCCCTCTTCATTTCACTTACCATAATTGTAACCACTTTACTGATCTGTTTTCTGGTTAAGAGTGGTTTCTCCTACAAGGCTGTAAACACCATGGAGTGGGGAGTCTTTCTCATTTCTTGTCACCACTGGATTCCCAGGACTTGGTACATGGTGCTTAGTAGTTGCGGAATGAATGCGTGCATGAAGGAACACCGGCAGCCACGATGCAGCTGGTTGAAAGCCAAGGCTGCCCCTCTGTGGCCAAGCTGGAGAACTGCTGCTTCCCCAGCTGCCGCAGACAAAGAAACTGCTAAGCCCCTCCCACAACACCCACCTAGGAGGCTTCCCCCAACACCCTTCCTGGAACAGAACCCAAGAGCCCTCCTTGTCCACTTGGTCTCAAGGACCTCCTGATCTTCTCCATGCAAAATCTGCTCCTTTCCCCAGGATGGGGGTACGGAGTGTCCTTCCAAAGAGGCTTCCTTCTCCCCAAAGAAGCTGAGAGCAAGGAGCAGGCCACAGCTTGCAGCTCACAGCTGCCCAAGAGACAGAAATCTGTGTGGGCTGTGTGAATGACCTGGATAAAGAAGAGCTGGATCCATTGAGGAGACACTAGCCCTGACCCCTGAAGTCAAAGTCTAAGTCCCTGGGGGAATTGGGGGTCATGAGAGATACTGGAAAGAGGCTTACAAAGGCCAGAGCTCTTGCTAAACTCCCTGAGGCAGTGCAGGTAGAACCTGCCCCCCATACCATCCTCTGCCTCTCAGGTGCTCGGTTATCCCCAAAGGTGTACCTGGCCCATAGCAGGTGCTCCACAAATGCTATGCCAGTACTAGCGGGGTGCCCTGCTAGGGTACCCCTAGTACTGCTAGGGTATGCCCTGTTCTCGGAGGCTGAGACCCAGGAAGTAGGGGGCCAGCAAGGCCTGTTCCTTCCCTGGGATCCCATGTCTGGTTGTTACACCAGGCCTGAGTACCCCAAAGTCGTAAGATAAAAGAGAGGCACCTCCCTAAAACATCATTTTTCCATAATGAACATAATTTTAAACATCTTCAAATTGGAATAAACCAAGGTATTATATAGGATGCACGTGATTTTTTTTTCAAGTTGTCCCAATATTCAAACATAGGATTTAATATAAAAAATAAAACCTTAGAGTGTTTCTTGGCTCTGGAAGGCGCCACCCTTCAGGGGACCTAGAGGGAAGAGGTCTGAGGATAGGCCAGTGAGCTCTCAGGGTCCCTTCCTGTTTAACATCTCTGGAAGTGTCCCAGCTCGTCTCAGCTGCACAAAGAGCAAATGTTCTATCCACATTTGAACTACAAGGTTTAAGCAGCTTGCCAGGGCCAAGGTGGTGTGACAAGGTCTCAGCATGTAAGACTCACAAGTGGGGCACAATTCTGAGCAATGGGGTCTGGATCCTTGATGAGCCTCCCCAGGTGGACTGGCTGAACCTCATGGGGCCTCATCAATGCATTCAATGCAGGGTCTCTGGAGAAGCATGGATTCTGCTCACTGAGCCTGTTTCTCTGACCTGGGACAGGCCTTGACACCTAGGCCTCTCACTCTTTGCACATCCTGGGGAAGGAAATTAGGCAGGAGAAGGCCCCTCTTCGAGGGCTTCCTTACCTCCCTCTTGAGTGGGGCCACGTATGCCCAGGAGTTGGTGGCAGGGTCGTAGCGCTCCACAGCATTCAGGTCATTGTGGTAGTCACGGCCCGCCACAGCGTAGATGTACCTGCCTACAACACACACGGACAGGTCGGCGTGCTCCTGCTGCAGGGACTGGATCTGGAACCAGCGGTTGTGCCGTGGGTCATACCTGTGCCGAGACATGAGGAAAGCACAGCACTGACTAGGCAGGGAGGCTGCTCCGCAGGCTTGCACCTCTTGTTCTGGTCCCATTTCTGCTTTGCCTCAGCCCAGCCTGAACCCTCCCCAACTACCCCACATACCAGTGCACACCGATCTACAGCCAGGCCCACAGGCTGTTACACACCTGAGCACAGGTGCTCCCCACCACACAGCATGGAAGGAATGGCCAGGAGCCTCCTGTGTTTCCACCTAACTGTCCACCTGGGCTGTCCAATGGCTCTTTTTTTTTTTTTTTTTTTTTTTTTGTGGAGAGAGGTCTCTCTGTCCCCTAGGCTGAAGTGCAGTGGCACAATCATGGCTCACTGTAGCCTCGACCTCCTGGGCTTAAGTGATCCTACCACCTCAGTCTCCTAAGTAGCTGGGACTACAGGTGCGCACCACAACGCCCGCTATTTTTTTTTTTTTTTTTTTTTTTGATAGAGACAAGGTCTTGACACCTGGGATATGGACTTAGGCAATCCTCCTGCCTCAGCCTCAATGGCTGTTCGTACAGCCACTTCCATCTCACTTACCTCATCTCATCATCCACATAGCCTTGCTCCCACTCAGGAGGGCCTCCAAATACAGCCTCTCCACTGGATGGGTGCCATCAGCCCCCTCATTGGCCTCCAAGCCTTGAACTTCCCCCAGCACTCCATCAGGAGTGGTCTTCTCAGGCACGCCCTGCACACAGCACCCATCATACCCTCAGCTTTGTCAACAGCCGCACACACAAGGCTCTGGTCATCGTACTTTCACCTCCTCCCACCATGCTGCCAGCCCCGCGTTTCCTGACCTCCCCTCCACTCAAGGTCTCCCTCTCTGGGAAAGTGGAAAGGGTTAACTCCCACCCTGGACTGCAGGCTCTGTAAGGGCAGGGTGTGTGAGATTCCAGGGACCCCCATGGGAGAAAAGGCACTAGACTGGTTGCGGCAGGCCCACGAGGGTGGAGGAGTCTGGCCAGGACCCAAGGAGGGCTCCTGGGCTGAGCACCAACAGGGAGCATGGCCTGCAATGTGGAGCAGAGATGATCACAGAGCCATGAGGGGCCAGGACCCAGTGAGCTCAAAGCCAGTATCTGAAGTGTCCTTGCCCAACAGCCCACAGATAGTTACAGCCTCTTTCAGACAAGTGTTTTTATTTCTGCAGAGGAAGACCTATTCCAAAGAGAACAAGTCTAACTTCAACTGGCTCACAAGAGAGTAACCAAAGTTTTCTTTGGCCTGTGCCCTATGCTGGTTAGTGAAAAGATCAGTTTCATCCTTTGCTTCCTGCAGCCCCTGCAGTGTGGCCAGCCCCTCCCCGCCGCCTACCAGGAATGCAGCAAACAGGAGCCTCAGAAGGCAGGGCCAACAAGAGAGGGAACACACACCTGGGTCTCCCTGACCTGGTGTGAATCCTGGGCTCTTCCCTGTCTAGCTGGGTGTGCCTGGGCATCAGTTTTAATCTCTTGGGATTCGCTCAGTTCTGCACCTGTCCAATGAGGTGATATCACCTGCCTAGAAAAGCTATCAAGAAGAATCATAAAAGACGAGCATGAAAAGTGTCCTTGTTAACTTGGGGGTTCTGATGGATCATGGTTCATTTCTATATTCCTAGACCTCAGTGTAGCCTCTGGCTCAGGACAGATTATGTTCTGTCTGCTGAATGAATTAAACAAAGGAGTAAGATTACCAGCAATGAATCATTCATTCACTCTACCAACATTCCCAGGTCTCCCACTGTGGATGGGGCACAGTGCTCAGCACTACATCCAGAGGGAGCCTCAAGAGGTCAGGGCCCTGCCTTCCCCTGCAGAATGGAAACAGGCTAACCAGAGCAAATGAGTGCTTAATATAATGACAGACACTGTGAAAGAAAGAAAGGGAGGTAAGAAGATGAGTGACCTGCTGGTCAGCGGGGCCTGGGGAGGGCAGAGCTCCCTTGCAGTGATCAGGAAAGGCCTCCTGAGAAGGCAGGGTCTGAGACCTGCATGACCTGGGGCACAAGCCAGAAGAAGGTCTGGCAGGGGACCAGCAGTCCAGGATTGGGGCACAGCACTCACAGGGGCCCCGTCAACTGGCTGGGATGGTGCTGTTCACTGCCTTTCCTGTGCGCCTTCCTCCTTTATATACAAGTCTCTCCTCTCTTGTGTTCAGTCTGGCTCAATCACCATCTGCACCCCAAGTGTCTGCAACCAGAGTGAGATAGGACCCTCCATGTGCTCCTGTTTGCTCCTTCGAGTCTATTGTCCTCACAGCTTTTTAAGCTGAGTTCATGTGGATTTGTGGCTTCAAATTTAAAGACACACACAGGGCCGGGCGTGGTGGCTCACGCCTGTAATCCCAGAACTTTGGGAGGCTGAGGCGGGTGGATCACGAGGTCAGGAGTTCAAGACCAGACTGTCCAATATGGTGAAACCCCGTCTCCACTAAAAATATAAAAAAATTAGCCAGGCATGGTGGTGTGTGGCTGTAGTTCCAGCTACTCGGGAGGCTGAGGCAGGAGAATCACTTGAACCCGGGAGGCAGAAGTTGCAGTGAGCTGAGATCATGCCATTGCACTCCAGCCTGGGCGACAGAGTGAAACTCCATCCCCCAAAAAAAAAAAAAAAAAAAAAAAAAAAAAAAAAAAAAGACACCAACAGTGATACCATATGTCAATAATTTAGACATAGCCAAAGTTACACTGATTTCTTATTTCCCTGTTGTGTCCTGTATCCCTCTTCTTCTTTATTGAATTAATTTTCTACTTTATGAGAATAAGTCCTCAAGTAATATTTTTCTAATAAAAATAAGCTTTATTTTTGCATATAAAGATATAAACAATTTTACTTATTGCTATGGACTAGATGTTTGGATTCCCCCAAAACCCCTATGTTGAAGGCCTAACCCCCATTGTGATGGTAGTGGGAGGCATGGCCTTTGGGAGGTGATCAGGTCATGAGGGTGGAGCCCCATGATGGGCTTAGTGCCCGAGGCTACAGCTCTTTCTCTCCACCATGTGAGAACACAGACGGAAAGGACCTTACCGGGACTAAACTGGCCAATACCATGATCTTGGACTTCCCAGTATCCAGACAGTGAGAAATAGAGGTATGTTGTTTAAGTCACTCCATCTATAGTATTTGTTATAGCAGCTGAAACTGACTAGGAGAGTCACTTTAACTCAGATTTGTATCATCCTATTGTAAACTCAGACATGAACCCTAGAGTTGGTACAAAAATATTCTGGAATTCTTGTTAAATTCATTAGACTGTGGCCAGGCACGGTGGCTCACGCCTGTAATCCCAGCACTTTGGGAGGCTAAGGCGGGAGGATCATGAGGTCAGGAGATCAAGACCATCCTGGCTAACACGGTGAAACCCCGTCTCTACTAAAAATACAAAAAATTAGCCAGGCGTGGTGGTGGGCGCTTGTAGTCCCACCTACTCGGGAGGCTGAGGCAGGAGAATGGTGTGAACCCAGGAGGTGGAGCTTGCAGTGAGCTGAGATCACGCCACTGCACTCCAGCCTGGGTGACAGAGAGACTCCAACTCAAAAAAAAAAAAAAAAAAAAAAAAATTCAGTAGACTGTTTTTCTTCTATATTTCCATGACTTAAGTATTTTCATGACTATTAATGTTTTAATGTCTATTAAATTTTTTAAATAAATTAAATGTACTGACCGGGCACGGTGGGTGGCTCATGCCTGTAATCCCAGCACTTTGGGAGGCTGAGGCAGGCGGATCACCTGAAGTCAGGAGTTCAAGACCAACTTGGTCAACATGGTGAAACTCCATCTCTACTAAAAATACAAAAAAATGGCCGGGCGTGGTGGCTCACACCTGTAATCCCAGCACTTTGGGAGGCCCAGGTGGGCAGATCACCTGAGGTCAGGAGTTCAAGACCAGCTTGGCCAACATGGTGAAACCCTATCTCTACTAAAAATACAAAATTAGCCAGGCATGGTGGCGTACACCGGTAATCTCAGCCACTCGGGAGGCTGAGGCAGGAGAATTGCTTGAACCTCAGAGGCGGAGGTTGTGGTGAGCCAAGATTGCACCATTGCACTCCAGCCTGGGCAGAAAACAGCGAGACTCCATCTCAAAACAAAAAAACAAAAAAACAAAAAAATTAGCTGGGCGTGGTGGTCGGCGCCTGTAATCCCAGCTATTCAGGAGGCTGAGGCAGGAGAATGGCTTGAACCCGGGAGGCAGAGGTTGCAGTGAGCCGAGATCGTGCCACTGCACTCCAGCCTGGGCGACAGAACGAGACTCTGTCTCAAAAAAAAAAAAAAAAAAATTAAATTTACTTTAAAATATTAGCAGCCATGAAATGCCGAAGGAAAAATTACATTATTATTTAAAAAATTTTTTTTAGAGACAGGGTCTCACTCTGTTGCCCAGGCTACAGTACAGGGGCATGATCATAGTTCACCGAAGTCTAAAACTCCTGGACTCAAGCGATCCTCCTGCCTCAGCCTTCCAAGTAGCCAGGGCTGCAAGCACGTACCATCAGGCCCAGCTAATTTTTTTTTTTTTTTTTTGGTAGAGACGAGGTCTCGCTTTGTTGCCCAGGCTGATCTTGAACTCCTGGGCTCAAAAGATCCTGCTGCCTCAGCATCCCAAAGTGCTGGGATTATTGACATGATCTGCACATAGCCTAAATTATTATTTTAAGTAGGGTCAGGGCACATAGCAACATGTAACCAGCTACTACTAGGTATACCATGTAGTTGGTGTTCAGTAATCCACAGGGCTATGGCTATGGGAAAGGTACAAGGAATGATGCAGATAATATAGATGCAAAGAAAGAAGGAATGAAAGAGAAAAAGTAGTATATTGGAGACAAACACCATTTGCTCCAAGAGAGGAAAGGTTTTTAAATATGCGGTTTCTGCACCAATGCTTTAAGATATAACCTGGTAAGTAATAACTCCTCAAAATGCAAAGCCTAATTTACTGCAAAATCTTGTTTCCTTATATTCTAAAAGCCTATAGCTTTTAGAATTCACCAGTTCTAAGGCTGATGAAATGAGAAAGCAGAGAAAGAACCAAATCTTAGAATATTCAAATTAAGGATTCATCTGGAAGTTTTGAGTCCACTGGAAGGTTAATGATGCCTTCATTCTGGAGAGATGATACATCCCTGGGTTAACCAGTAGGGCTGTGGTCCTTCCTGCCACCTCCACTCTGTGGATACCTACTCTCTCAAGGCAGGTCTTGCCGACCCCACTTGCCATTGTGATCCTACTCTCAGACAGGAGTTTGGGACTGGTTATTGGTTACAGGGTCTAATATTAGCATTACCCAGAGTTCAGCTTTGGTCTCACACCCCTTCACAAGGGGAAATTCAGACTCCTACTTTAAGTGAAAGTGAGATCAATGGCCCATAGCAGGTGGACAGAGGACAGGGGCAGGCAGAATCCCAAGCTGTCACCCCCCTAGGGACAGCTCTGTGGAAACATCCAGCATTACTGCCAAGCACACAGCTGTCTCTACCTTCTGCTAAGGGCCAGAAGCCAAAACACTCTGGAGAGATTGGCTTTGCAGGTCTGTAGGTTACTCTCAGCAGGGTGGTCTGGCCTTGGCCCCCCAACTGGGAAACCGAGCCCCCTAAAAAAGAAGGTTTAAGGTTTGGCCAAAGGGAAGTCTAAACCTAGTGTGGCCACACCCACTGGGGGCACAACTTTGTTTAGAGAGGAAATGAAGGTAGCTGTTTCCTTTTTTCTGAAACCTGCCCTTCCTCATATTTAACCACAATGTGTTATTGCCAACCTCTGAGTCTCATCAGCTTAACAAAGGAGATCACTTCCTGGGGCCAGCAGTAGAGAGGTCGCTGAGAAATGGCCTTCTCCTCCTTGGCCAGGATCACTATGCTTGATTCCAAGTGGCATGGCCAGGCCAGGCCCTACCCCACCCTGACCCCAGAAAATAGAAACATGAACATGAACTCAGTCAGCATCTAGCTCATGGCTGCTGGAAATAGTTGGCAATCTCTCTCTCTCCAACACAGCTCCATCTTTCAGCATGAAGGGTAGGGAGATTTCTCACATGCACCAAGGTAAGGTGGAGGGGTCCCTGGAAATCTAATGGTAGCTGAGTCTTGTGGGCCTGAACCACTGTCCCTTGCTCTGCCCAGAAATGGATTTGTGAGATCACAGCCTAAGTGACTGATGGAGCCAGGCGCATCCTACGGACCACAGCAGTCCACAAAACTCTCTCTTGGGAAAACTGCCTCTTCCCAGGGGAAATTGTGCCAAGTGCGTGGCAGACTGCAGGGCAGAGCGGAAATGTAGCATGAGGCTCGGTGATGCTTGTTGGCCTTTACCACGCCCCTGGGCTGAAGACCGCATGCTGCTCAGGCACAGCAGCAGGAAGCCTGTTCCACCATTAGCAAGCAGGTAAGAGAGAAGAGCAAAGCTGACTGGTGAAGGGAAACTGAAACAACATGCATCAAAGCTCAGAGAGAGCATGATGGAGGGCGAGGCTGCTCAGCTGGCACTGCTCCTAGGTCCTCTCCATCCCAGTCCGACTGCCTTTCCTGCTGTGGGCTCCTCTCCCCTCCCGTCTCCTCCTGCACAATGCACTCGCAACCTAGCCTACCCCAAAGAGGCTGAGCAAGGGTCCAGGGTAAGTGGGTTTCTGAGGAGTAGGGGACATGCAGGAAAGAAGGCGATCCACATGTCCCCTTCTCTTATCTCACTGCTGTCCACCTTCTCTGAATTCACCTAGACTTCATTCCACAATGGCAAGTGATGCTCATGTGAAAGGCTGGGGGGAACCTGACCAGCTCTCTCAGCCCATGACTTCCACACCCTCTCATCACCTGAAGACAAAGGGACCAGCTAGCACCCTGTCCTACCTCCAGCATCGGGACTCTGCTCGAAATCCTTGGACATTGTTGTCCCCTCCAATCAAGTATACGAAGTTGTTGAGCACCGCGATGCCCTGGTTGGACATGCGGGGGGCCAGGGAGGCAGTGAAGTGCTTCCACTCTCCCAGTAAGGGGTTTAGATACTTGGCCTGGTCGCTGAGGACAGTGGACGGCGTGGAGTGAATGCCCCCGAAGCCCACAACGCACTGGAAGTCCGACCGCAGCTCCGTTTGCGGGCTCTGCAGGCTGGGCTGTAGGCTCTCGTTCCGGTGGTACATGAGGGCGCTGGCCACTGTGTCCCTCAAAGGGCTGGGGTCCAGCTTGTCATGCAGCCGCTGCAGGACCTCAGCTTCCATCAGCGGAAACCGCACTGTCTCAAGGAGCTTTGGGGGCTCGTGCAGCGAGATCTGGTCAGCCTGCACCTGCTCCAGGCTATAATGGTAGAGAAGGGCCCCCTCATATACCTCGGTCTCGCAGGAGACCTCCAGGCGATTGCTGCTGAGGAGGGAGTAGACCTTCTCCAATGGAAGCTGGCGGTACTTGTCAGTCCGAGAGAAGGCCACAAAGTTTTTGAGGATATAGGTGTCCAGTTGCTCAGTCAGGCGGCTCAAGTCAAACAGCTCTGCCAGCCGGTAGACATCGAGAATGTTCTCTTCGTCCACCCAGGACATGAGGAAATCACAGCAGAAATGGATAATTTCTGGGATCTGCAGAGAGAATGACACCCATTCAAGCCTGGGCTGGTGAACAGCATCTGGGGGTGGGAGAGAGAATGATGGCAGAAATACGGGCTGTTGTGGGCCAGGCAAAGCAGAAGGGAAGTCCTCCTTAATTGTCCCCGACCTTTTCTGACACACTGGAGACTGGGGCTTACTGCAGACTAGGTTTAAGTCCTGGTTTGGAAACATACTGGGTGACAGGATATACAGCATGTTTTTTTTTGGTTTTGTTTTGCTTTTCTTTGAGACAAAGTTTCGCTCTTGTTGCCCAGAATGGAGTGCAGTGGCAGAATCTCGGCTCACTAACACCTCCCCCTCCCGGGTTGAAATGATTCTCCTGCCTCAGCCTCCCGTACAGAATGTTTTTAACCTCTCTAAGCCTCAGTCTCCTCATCTATAAAACGGGGATCATTAAAGTGAAGAGGAACATGATGAAAATGAGAGAGCACATAGGAGTGGACCCTTGATATATGTCAGTTCCCTCTTAGATCAAAAGTACTGGCTCGGCCGGGTGCGGTGGCTCATGCCTATAATCCCAGCACTTTGGGAGGACAAGGTGGGTGTATCACGAGGTCAGGAGTTTGAGACCAGCCTGACCAACATGGTGAAACACCGTCTCTACTAGAAATACAAAAATTAGCTGGGCGTGGTGGCGCGCGCCTGTAATCCCAGCTACTCAGGAGGCTGAGGCAGGAGAATCGCTGGAACCCAGGAGGCGGAGGTTGCAGTGAGCCGAGATCGCGCCATTGCACTCCAACCTGGGTGACAGAGCGAGACTCCGTCTAAAAAAAAAAAAAAAAAAAAAAAAAGAAGTACTGGCTCTCCAGAAAAGCAGGAAGCAGCACAAATGGTCACTGTGTCATATATCTGTGGTTTGGAAAGGACCTAAGACCATCCCCATCCCTACCCTAGGATTCTCTGGAAGAGCCTGCCTCTCCAAAAGCGCTGGGACCAGAAACAAACCTGGCTTTTTCCCCCGCCAGAACATCCACCCTGGTTCCCTAGAAGTGCTCAGAGCCTCTCAGACACCTAACCAATACCCACCCAGGAACCTGATTTAGAATTATTTTTCTTTTTTCTTTTTAAAATTTGAGACAGGGTCTTGCTCTGTTGCCCAGGCTGCAGTGCCATGGCAAGATCATAGCTCACCGAAGTCTCAAGCTTCTGGGCTCAAGTGATCCCTGACTCAGGGTTCTTGAGGTTCCCAGCTGGGTCAAGACCCACTTGACTCCAGTAAGTGCAGGGGCTCCCAGGTGGCCATATCAACCCTTCCCAGCCATGGGGAAGCACTAGTGGTTTGAAAGGACGGCAAGAGAGAGAATGACACTGGAGGGAGGTGGGAACAAGGCCACAACCAGCAGGCTGTTAAAGGCCACCCTGTGAACAGACAACCAAATCTTGGGAGAATAGGAGACAAAGGGAAGGGCCCTAGGGAAAACTGCCTGGGAGAACAAACCAGGTGTTGATAAATTATTTAGGAAAGCAGGATTTTAGAGTTTCAGTGGGGCCCCCCAGTGCCCACCTCCTTTCTTTCCATGTTCAGATTGAAAATGACGAGTACCTTGACCTCTCTGTGACCCAGACAGCTGCAGGTTCTCCCAGCAGGCTTGAACCCAAACCAGGCCCTTGAACATTCCCAGGCACTGATAAAGGCATCAAGGTTGTTACCCAAAACACTGAAGGAAAAACTGGTTCTGGCCCTGAGACAAATTCCTTAAACCCTCATAGAAACTCCATACACTAACCCACTCTGTGGGCAAGCCTGGGTAAAGCCTCTCTTTTCCCTTGTCTGTCTTGAGGACATGCTACATCACTCTATACATAAGTTCCCCTAATAAACGCTCTGGCCAGATCACCCTGGTGTTTGATGCTTCTTTCTTTGGAATCCCAAAACGGCTCCATTTCAGGATGCTGTGGGGTCCCCTCTTGTGGGAACCCCCTTGCTACCAACTCCAGCCATGTGTTCAATGCAATAAATCAGTTTCTCTAAAAATGGGAATACCTGGCTTATCCAGGATCATCAATAAATTAACCATTACACATGGAATAATTCTGCTGGTATTTATGTATTTATTTATTTATTATTTTGAGATGGGGTCTCACTCTGTTGCCCAGGCTGGAGTGCAGTGGCACGATCTCGGCTCACTGCAAGCTCCGCCTCCCGGGTTCACGCCATTCTCCCACCTCAGCCTCCCAAGTAGCTGGGACAACAGACGCCCGCCACCACGCCCGGCTAATTTTTTGTATTTTTAGTAGAGACGGGGTTTCATCGTGTTAGCCAGGATGGTCTCGATCTCCTGACCTCGTGATCTGCCCGCCTAGGCCTCCCAAAGTGCTGGGATTACAGGCGTGAGCCACGGCGCCCGGCCAAGGTATTTAAAGCTTATCAATAAACACTAACTATAACTTTTTTAAAATTCAAAAGACATCTAATATTGCTTGCAAGGTGACATGCTAAGAGCTGGATGAGACCTACCAAATGTCAGGCAGGTATGTGCCCTACATGAGGTATCCCCATGGTGCTTTGCTAGGCCCTGACCAGCTTCACTTGACCTTCTTTTTTCCCTTTTTGCCAGTCTTCTGCTTTGCCACTTCTTCCCAAACTACTAGGTTTTCCTAAAATTCTGGTTTGTCATGGGCCAGGGTCCTGAAGACCAAGTTTTGGGCAGAATGTGAGCACAAACAGCCCTGAAGAAGCCTGGGCAGCAGCAGCTCCTTGAGAGGACCCTGCTGACTCTCCTTTCAGTCCTATTTTTAGAGCAGTGGGCCTTCTGTTCAGTGAAATCTCACAGAGGAACCAGCCTGGGCTCAGGATGTGCAAAAGCCCCATACGAGGCTCACAGAAGGGACTGCATTTGCTTGGGGTAACCCAATAGGACAGTGTTACTGGGAATCAGACTCAGGCCTCTGGGGACACCGTGAAGAATCTGGTCCCAGGCCTACTGCAGGGCACAACACATGGGGGAAGCCTCCAAAAGTCACTAGCTATGTGAACATACATGATTCTACAGGCCTATGGACTTGACATGGTTATGCCAAGTAAAACCTGCTATAAAACAATATTGTGAAGAAGCCTGTTTTTTTTTGTTTGTTTGTTTTTTGTTTTGAGATAAGCTGGCATGTAGTGGTGTGGTGATCACAGCTTACTGAAGCCTCCACCTCCTGGGCTCAAGTGATTCTCCCACCTCAGCCTCCCGAGTAGCTGGAACTACAGGTGCATGCCACCATGCCCGGCTATTTTTAAAGTGCTTCTGTAGAGGTCTCGCTTTGTTGCCCAGGCTGATCTCAAACTCCTGGCCTCAAGCAATCCTCTCACCTTGGCCTCCAAAAGTGCTGGGATTACAGGCATGAACCTCCAAGCCTGGCCCAGAAGCCTGATATGTTAAAAAACTAAGATAGGCTGCTGCCTCTGAGATGACCTCTGAGGCACTGGGGGAGATGACCCAGGGCTGTCGGGAGCACTGGCCAAACCAACAGAGAGAGACTGCAGGCCTCCAAGCTGACTGGTGAGAGAGGGAAAGTGATGTTAGAAAGATGATCTGGTTTCAGTGTGTGTGATCACTGCAGGGAGAAGAAAGAAATGGCAGAAACATACAGATGGAGGCCAGGCAAAAGGGAAGGAAATGGAAACACAGAACAGAGATGGCTACAAGCAATACCGAGAAGGATGACCTGTCCTCACATGGACGCAGGGAATTAAGAAGGTGGACGGGCTCAAGGAGCCACTGAGGTTGAGCCCAGGGAACTGGCAGGATGGTCACAGGACACACAGAGCAGGGGGACTGACAGGGGAGCTCCGGGAGAGTGGCAGGTGTGGAGGAGGAGATAGGACAGCTGGACCTGAGCCATGCTGGGGGAGATGTTTCAGAGGCAGCTGAATCAGGAGTTAACTGCTGCCAGGGTGGAGAATTGGATGAGGGTTCCCAAAGCAACAATGACAGGGATGTGGGGACAGAAGAGATCTCTAAATAAAAGAACAGGGGGAAATTCTTTTGTTGTAAAAGCCAACTCCATCTACTCACCATGCAGGTATGGTGAGACAAGTCAGTCATCTCAGATCAACCCACCCAGCATCCAGGTCCTATCCACCAATCTGAGAACAGGGCACAGGGAGGCTGCCAGGGCCCTGTCACATGGGGTGGCACCTCCACATGCCCCCGAACAGGTTGGTTTTCCTGTGACTTGAGTTGTTTTTTTTTAATTGCGTCAAACCTGCTCTCATGGGAAGAAAGGTCAGAATGATGAACTTAGCATAGCATTTTGTTTCACTTTTAAGAAATGTGGGAAGAGGTGACTGTCAACTCCTATCAGGCCTCTGCCTGATAGCTCAAAGGCACCTGCAGGCCCAGTCCCGTGTAACTGCACCCACACCACTGAGAATAATCATCCAAAACATAAGTCACACTGTCAAAGCCTCAGAAAACTTTTTGAATTCTGCAGGAAAACAAGTACTTAAAGTTCAATAACAGGTTGGGTACAGAGGCTCACACCTGTAATCCCAGAACTTTGGGAAGCCAAGGTGGGAGTATCACCTGAGGCCAGGAGCTTGAGACCAGCCTGGGCAACATAACAAGGCCCCATTCCTATAAAAAAATATATATATATATAATATCAGCTAGGCACAATGGCACGCATCTTTAGTCCCAGCTACTCAGAAGGCTGAGGCGGGAGGACCACTTGAGCCTAGGAGGTGGAGGCTACAGTGAACTATGATCATGCCATTGCATTACAGCCTGGGTAACAGAGTGAGACCCTGTCTTTAAAAAAAAAAAAAAAATAGGCCAGGCGCAGTGGCTCACACCTGTAATCGCAACACTTTGGAAGGCTGAGGTGGATCACTTGAGGCCAGGGGTTCAAGACTAGCCTAAGCAACAAAGCAAGCCTCTATCTCTATAAAAATAATTTAAAAATTAGCCAGGTGTAGTGGCACATGCCTATAGGTCCTAGCTATTTGGGAGGCTGAGGCAGAAGGATTGCTGGAGCCCAGGAGGTTGAGGCTGCAGTGAGCTGTGATCGTGCCACTGCACTCCAGCCTGGGCAAGAGAGAGAGAGCTTGTCTCCAATAAATTGAATGAGTGGATGGATGGATGGGTGGATGGATGGATGGATGGATGGATGGATGGATGCATGCATGGATGGATGGATGGATGGATGGATGCCTGCCACCATGGATGGATGCATGCATGGATGGATGGATAGATGGATGGATGGATGGATGGATGGATGGATGGATGGATGGATGCATGCATGCATGGATGGATGGATGGATGCGTGCATGCATGGATGGATGGATGGATGGACAGACAAATAGATAGATAAAGTTCAGTAACAAAACACATAAGTTTTCAAGAGACTGAAGTGGCCCAGTGAGGGGACAGGCAGGAAGGGCCCTGGCAGCAATGCTGGTGGATGCTCCCCATTGCCAGACCCCAGAGCACACAGGACGTCCACATGCAGCCTCGGGTCAGCCTACCTGCTTATGTGCAGGATGCTTTCAATGACAGGGAGACTCAGACAGTGGGGAAACAACCAGCAATAGAGAAGAGGGCAAAGGCAGAGGCCTGGGGTGTCTAGAGCGGCTCTGCTTGAGCTCCAGGAACAACTCCAGAGTCTTCCCCACTTCATGGCCTTCGTCACTGCTTGGTCTCCTCACATTCCTGACCCATCTTCAAGCCAATGCTAGTGCCCGGCAGGCATCATGGGCATCTCAGGGAACCCCACCTGGGTGTGGGTCTGCCTTGCTAGATGAGACATGCCTCACCTGAAGCTGGCAGGCAGCCACCAGTGTCTCTTGTACATTGCTCAGGCTGAGCTCCAGCTCGGAGGTGTATATGAAATGTAGGATTTGGCACATAGCATTGTAGGACACACCGTGGATCAGGACCTCTTCCTGTTCCATCTCCTTCAATCCCCCAGCAAACATTCCTCTGCAAAGTGAAGACACAAGAAAATGGAGTTATACCAACAGGGACTTAAGCCCATGTTGCCAAGAGTGACAGCATTCAGAGAAGAACCTGGCGCTGGTGGCAGGGCCCTGGTAGTGGGCTGACCCACTCTGTGCTCTGAGTGAACTGTGTGCATGCATGAGCCATCCCACAAAAGGATCCTGACGAAGTCTGGGCAGCCATCCTGGAAATTGTCCTGTTTCCCTTTTCATGGGCCCAAGGAGTCCCATGTGAGCTTCGGGAGGTGAGGCCACAAGCAGCTTGCTTCTGCTGTGTTCATCAGTGCAGTTCCTGGATCGGAGCAGTAGCAACTCCAGAGCACATTTCAAAGCAATGAATTAATTAATGGGAAACTAATAAAAGTCATTTCATTCAATGTATATTTATGGAGTTCCTACCAAATGCCAAGTATCATTCAAAGAGCAGAAGGAGGCCAGGCACGGTGACTCACACCTGTAATCCCAGCACTTTGGGAGGCCAAGGCAGGCAAATCACTTCAGGTCAGGAATTCGAGACCAGCCTGGCCCACATGGTGAAACCGCGTCTCTACTAAAAATACAAATATTAGCCGGGCATGATGTTGTGCATCTGTAGTCCCAGCTACTTTGGTGGCTGCGGCACAAGAATTGATTGAACCTGGGAGACGGAGGGTGCCATGAGCCAAGATTGCACCACTGCACTCCAGCCTGGGCAACAAAGCAAGACTGTCTCAAAAAGCAAAACAAAACAAAAAACAAAGAGCAAAAGGAGTTATAGTGAAGTAAACTGGTAAAATAGCTGGGCGCGGTGGCTCACGCCTCTAATCCCAACCCTCTGGGAGGCCAAGGCAGGCAGATCCCTTGAGCCTAGGAGTTCAAGACCAGCCTAGGCAACACGGTGAAATCCTGTCTCTACAAAAATTACAAAAATTGGCCGGGCGTGGTGGCTCACGCCTATAATCTCAGCACTTTGGGAGGGCAAGGCGGGCAGATCACCTGAGGTCAGGAGTTCAAGACCAGCCTGGCCAACATGGTGAAACCCCGTCTCTACTAAAAATACAAAAATTAGCTGGGTGTGGTGGCGGGCGCCTATCATCCCAGCTACTCAGGAGGCTGAGGCAGGAGAATCGCTTGAACCCGGGAGGCGGAGGTTGCAGTGAGCCGAGATCACACCACTGCGATCCAGCCTGGGTGACACAGCAAGACTCTGTCTCAAAAAACATATATACATATATAAATAAATGCTAAGAAGGAACCCAGCAGGGCATCTGACCTGAGAGTCACTGGTTAGAAGAGGGGTAGGTGGAATGATGAGAAGGAGCAGGGAAAGCCCCATCTGAGGAACTGAGACCTAAGGATAAGGCTGAGAGGGTGTAGGCAGCCGGGGAGGGAGTTCCAGGTGAAGGAGACAGGTGTACAAGTTCTGGGGCAAGGCAGAGCTTGGCATGCAAGGCAGCCAAGATGATGACGAAGTGAGCAGAAAGTGGGATGGGCAGGCAGGCCTTGGAGCCAGGTCCCCCTACCTCTAGGGTAGGTACAGTCCAGATTGAAATCTGAGCATTATGGGATGCTCTTGAGGAATTTACCCACAGAGTGATGTGAACTGACTGGCTTTCCGACTCAGGTGCTGGAGGAGGAGCCCCTGGAAGACCAATTAGGCCTGAGATTCCTGTGGGCCTGGAGGCCAAGGGTGACCCTGGCCCTGGGGAGGGCATTGCAGCTAGAAAGCAGTAGCTGAGACTACCCTGGGACACGGCACAGAGAACCTACTGACAGACTGAATCTAGGAGGACCTGGGAGGACTCAAGGCCCTCTGCTGGGCCGAAGAGGACCCTTTACTGATGGAAGAAAATCTGGACAGCTGGGAGTCCCGTGATTGTGTGATCAGTGTGAGATACCTGTGAAACCTCCAAGTGTAGACACTGATTAGGTGTTTGGAGGTAAGAGGCTGGCAACTGGGGCTGAAGTTTAAATATGACAGCAACATGAAGATTATAAGAGAAGCTATTTTTACATTTTATTTATTTTTTTGACTAGGTAATACATATACATGCTACCAGATTTAAAATACAGTATAGGTTAGGCCGGGCACAGTGGCTCACGCCTGTAATCCCAGGACTTTGGGAGGCCGAGGCAGGCCGATCATCTGAGGTTGGGAGTTCGACACCAGCCTGACCAACATGGAGAAACCCCATCTCTACCAAAAATACAAAATTAGCTGGTCATGGTGGCACATGCCTGTAATCCCAGCTACTCAGGAGGCTGAGGCAGGAGAATTGCTTGAACCCAAGAGGCGGAGGTTGCAGTGGGCCAAGATCGTGCCATTGCACTCCAGCCTGGGCAACAAGAGTGAAACTCTGTCACACACACAAAAAAAATACAGTATAGGTTGTGGTGAAAGTCCCCTTGCCTCTGCTCCCAGACCATCAGTCAGTTCCCCTCCCAGGGCCACACTATCCTCAGGGCAGTCATATTCCACATCTCACTTGGCTTTTTTCTTTTTTTTGAGACGAAGTCTCACTCTGTTGCCTGGGCTGGAGTGCAGTGGTGCGATCTTGGCTCAGTGCAACCTCCGCCTCCTGAGTTCAACTGATTCTCCTGCCTTGGCCTCCCAAGTAGCTGGGACTACAGGTGCCCCCCACCACGCCCAGCTAATTTTTTGTATTTTTAGTAGAGACCGGGTTTCACCGTGTTAGCCAGAATGGTCTTGATCTCCTGACCTCGTGATCTGCCTGCCTCGGCCTCCCAAAGGGCTGGGATTACAGGCGTGAGCCACTGCACCCAGCCCGGTTTTTACTTAACAATATAGCTTGGAGACTGATCCATGCCCATGTACGCAAGACTGCCTCACTCTTTGCAAAGGCTGTCTCACTTTTTTTATTTTATTTTATTTTTTTAAGATGGAGTTTCGCTCTTGTCGCCCAGGCTGGAGAGCAATGGTGCAATCTCGGCTCACTGCAACCTCCGCCTCCCGGGTTCAAGCAATTCTCCAAACTCAGCCTCCCGGGTAGCTGGGATTACAGTCCTGCGCCACCATGCCCGGCTAATTTTTGTATTTTTAGTAGAGATGGGGTTTCACCACGTTGGCCAGGCTGGTCTCAAACTCCTGACCTCAGGTGATCCACCCGCCTCAGCCTCCCACAGTGCTGGGATTACAGGCATGAGCCACCGCGCCCAGCCAGCTGTCTCACTTCTTTAACCCATTTCTACAGGGGTATATTTAGGTTACTTGTAATTTCCAGTTATTTCACATGATGAACATCCTCACCCTTACAACATGCTGAGTATGCATATGCCAGGATTAAGTCCCACAAATACAGTTGCTGGGTCGAAGGGTTTACATACATTTATACTTTGATAGTATTGTCAAGTTGCTGTTTTTATATCATTCCTGATAGCAGGGCCTGGTGCCTGCACCCTCTACCCCCAACCCAGGAAGACACCAGCTCTAACTCACCACCACAAAAGGGAAAAACCTTATCACATAAGGTACAGAAAATCTCCTTATATGTTAAAGAGCCATTTCCATTTTCTTTTCTGAACAGTTCAGATTCTTAGTCAGTTTTCTGTTAGACTGTCTTATCAATTTGAAGAAATCTGCCCTTTCTTTGATGAGGAGTTTCCCCGATCTTTTGATTTTGTATTGCTTTTTTGCCATGCAGAAATTTGTCTTTTTTTTTTTTTTTTTTAAACAAGTCTAGTCAACTGCAGTAGTGAGAAGGTGAAAAAGTAGAACCTGGAGTTGGATCTGTGACTGTGAACAATCAACTGAGGTAACTCACACTACCTTCGGACCAACCTATCTTCGTTTTCAATGTTGTCAAATTTACCATTTACTTGCCTCTGAGTTTTGTGTCAAACTTAGAAAGGCTTTTTCTTTCTGAGATTATTCAGAAAACATTTCCGATATTTTCCTCTAGTGTTTTTATTATTGAATCTTTCACATTTAAAACTGTTGATCCACCTGTAATTTATTTTGGTATAAGGTATGAAGCAAGGGTCCAACTTTGTTTTTCTAGATGGCAACTCTGTCGTCTTCCCTCCTTCCTCTAATTTTTTTTTTTTTTTAAGACGAAGTCTCACTCTGTTGCCCAAGCTGGAGTGCAGCAGCGCGATCTCGGCTCACCACAACCTCCACTTCCCGGGTTCAGGAGATTCTCCTGCCTCCCAGCCTCCCGAGTGGCTGGGATTACAGGCATGTACCACCACACCCGGCTAATTTTGTATTTTCAGTAGAGATGGGGTTATCACTATGTTGGCCAGGCTGGTCTTGAACTCCTGACCTTGTAATCCGCCTGCCTTGGGCTCCCAAAGTGCTGGGATTACAGGCGTGAGTCACCGCACCCAGCCCCTTCCTCTAATTTTTGAGGCTATCTTTATCACATAGGACAGGAATAGTCTCCTTTCGTTACTTTTGTTTTCGACAATTTCCTGGCCACTGCTAGCTTTTTACATTTGAATTTTAGAATCAAGTTTCTGTAATTGCCCCAAATAAACCCTCTTGGTATTTTAGGGGGTTATGTTAAACATCTAGGTTAATGTAGAGATAAATAGCATTTTTATAATGGACACAGTGGATCTTTTTAACTGTCCAGCCATCCTCTGGGTCCATTTGGAAGTCTTATAAGTCATCTTCCTACAGATCTGGCACATATTTGTTACATTTATTCCCAGACATTTCACTCCATGCATGGCCAAGCCCTCGGGGCACTTTCCCATGCTCTTTACAGTGGTCTGTCTGGCTCTCCTGGACTTTCCAGGACTGTGCTCGTGCATGTACTTCTGTCTGATTCTTCTGCTGGCACCTCTGGGACTATATTGGCAGCAGTGGAGATGGCAACATTTCAAGCACTGCCCGCCCTGAGCAGGGTGTGGGTGCTTGGATTGACACAGATTTTTTTTTTTTTTTTTTTTTTTTTTTGAGACGAAGTCTTGCTGTTGCCCAGGCTGGAGTGCAGTGGCGCGATCTCGGCTCACTGCAGGTTCCGCCCCCCGGGGTTCACACCATTCTCCTGCCTCAGCCTCCCGAGTAGCTGGGACTACAGGTGCCCGCCACGTCGCCCGGCTAATTTTTTGTATTTTTAGTAGAGACGGGGTTTCACCATGTTAGCCAGGATGGTCTCGATCTCCTGACCTCATGATCCGCCCGCCTCGGCCTCCCAAAGTGCTGGTATTACAGGCGTGAGCCACCACGCCCGGCCTTTTTTTTTTTTTGTGACAGAGTCTCGCTCTTGTTGCCCAGGCTGGAGTGCAATGGCGCAATCTCGGCTCACTGCAACCTCCGCCTACCACGTTCAAGCGATTCTCCTGCCTCAGCCTCCCAAGTAGCTGGAATTATAGGCATGTGCCACCACGCCTGGCTATTTTGTATTTTTAGTAGAGACAGGGTTTCACCATGTTGGTCAGACTGGTCTCGAACTCCTGACCTGATGTGATCCACCCACCTCGGCCTCCCATAGTGCTGGATTACAGGTGTGAGCCACCACGTCTGGCCGGACACAAACTTTTACCATTTTAAGAAAAAAAAAAATCTTATAATCCTTTCGGGGGCCAAGGCAGGAAGACTGCTTGAGGCCAGGACTTTAAGATTAGACTGGGCAGCCAGGCACCATGGCTCACACCTGTAATCCCAGCACTTTGGGAGGCCGAGGTGGGCAGATCACTTGAGGCCAAGAGTTCGAGACCAGTCTGGCCAACATGGTGAAACCTCATCTCTACTAAAAGTACAAAAATTAGCTGCATGGTGGTGCACACCTGTAATCTCAGCTACTTGGGTGGTTGAGGCATGAGAATCACTTGAACCTGGGAGGCGGAGGTTGCAGTGAGCTGATATCGCACCACTACTCTGTGACAGAGCAACACTGTGCCTCAAAAGAAAAAGAAAAAGAAGGGAAAAAAAAAGACCAGATGGGGCAACACAGAAAGACCCCATCTCTTAAAAAAAATTAGCTGGGCATGGTGGCACGCATCCATAATTCCATCAATTTGAAATGCTGAGGTGGGAGTGTTGCTTGAGCCCAGTATTTTGAGGCTGCAGTGAGCTATGATGACACCATTGCCCAGCCTGGGCAAAAAAGTGAGACTCTGTCTCTTAAAAAACAAAACAACACAAAAAAGTTCACTGCATGGATCATGAATGGAGGGAGGAGAAAGAAGATATGAGACATTGTGGGTGCAATTAGGAAAATCTGAACGTGGACTCAATGTCAGATGAAATTATAGAATGATTACACATTTCTTTTTCATTTTTATGTTTTTAGAGACAGGGTTGCTACGTTGCTCAAGTTGGACTTAAACTCCTGTGCTCAAGTGATCCTCCCACCTCAGCCTCCCAAATAGCTGGGACTAAAAGCACTCGCCATGGAACATGGCTCAATCATAAATTTTCTTATATCATGATAGTATTACAGGTATGTCAAAGAATCTCCTCATCCTTAGAGAGGCGAACTGAAGTTGTTAGAGATAAATTGTCATGATATCTATAACTTACTCTGAAGTGAATATGCAAAATGTTAACTGATGAATTTAAGCCAAGAGCACAGTTGTTCACTATACTTAACTTTCAACTTTTCTGTAGGATTTAAATATTTCAAAATAAAAATCAGAGAGAAAAAAGAGCCCAAAAGAAAAATAAAATATATAGTCACTCCTTTTTATTGTTTTTCTTTTTCACCAAAAATTTTACCAAATTTAATTTTTTTTTTTTTTTCTGAGGCAGAGTTTCACTCTTGTTGCCCAGGCTGGAGTGCAATGGCGCAATCTCGGCTCACCACAACCTCCAGCTCCCAGGTTCAAGCAATTATCCTACCTCAGTCTCCCGAGTAGCTGGGATTACAGGCATGCGCCACCACACCCGGCTAATTTTGTATTTTTAGAAGAGATGGGGTTTCTCCATGTTGGCCAGGCTGGTCTTGAACTCCCGACCTCAGGTGATCCACCCTCTTCAGCCTCCCAAAGTGCTGGGATTGAGCCACCAAGCCCGCCCCAAACTTAATTCTTTTTTTTTTTTTTTTTTTTTTTTGAGATGGAGTCTTGCTTTGTCACCCAGGCTGGAGTGCAGTGGCATGATCTCGGTTCACTGCAAGCTCCGCCTCCCAGGTTCACGCCTTTCTCCTGTCTCAGCCTCCCGAGTAGCTGGGACTATAGGCGCCCGCCACCACGCCTAGCTAATTTTTTGTATTTTTAGTAGAGACGGGGTTTCACAGTGTTAGCCAGGATGGTCTCGATCTCCTGACCTCGTGATCCTCCCGCCTCGGCCTCCCAAAGTGCTGGGATTACAGGCGTGAGCCACCATGCCCAGCCTCCCAAACTTAATTCTTTAAACATTCATTTTTGGGGCTGGGCGCGGTGGCTCATGCCTGTATCCCAGCACTTTGGGAGGCCGAGGTGGGCGGATCACCTGAGGTCAGGAGTTCGAGACCAACTTGGCCAACATGGTGAAACCCCGTCTCTAGTAAAAATACAAAAATTAGCTGGGTGTGGTGGCAGGCGCCTGTAATTCCAGCTACTTGGGAGGCTGAGGAACAAGAATTGCTTGAACCTGGGAGGTGGAGGTTGCAGTGAGCCGAGATGATGCCACTGCACTCCAGCCTGGGCGACAGAGTGAGATTCTGTCTCAAAAAAAAAAAATTCATTTTTGGCTCACGGCAGCCTCAACCTCCTGGGCTCAAGTGATGCTTCTGCCTCAACCTCCCAAGTAGTTGGGACTATAGGCATGCACCATCATGCCTGGCCAATTTTTAAAAAAATATATTAAAAAAAAATTATTACTACTTTTCTGTAAGTCAGGAATTATGTCAAAATAAAGACTTAAAAGTTTTAAAAAGTTGTTCACACCTCATATCCATTAGGATGACCACTATAAAAAAACAACAAAACAAACAAACAAAAAGTAGGCCGGATATGGTGGTTCACATCTATAATCTCATGTCCATAATCCCAGCACTTTGGGAGGCTGAGGTGGGAGGATTGCTTGAGCCCAGGAGTTTGAGACCAGCCTGGGAAACATAGTAAGATTCTGTCTCTACAAATAATTTTTTTAAAAAACTGGCCAGGCATGGTGGTGCATGCCTATAGTCCCAGCTACTTGGGAGGCTGAGGCAGAAGCATTGCTTGAGCCCAGGAGGTGGAGCCATGATGGTGCCCCTGAACTCCAGCCTAGGTGACAGAGCAAAATCCTGTCTCAAAAAACAAAACAAACAAAAAACCAGAAAATAACAAGCTTTAGCAAGGATGTGGAGAAACTATAACCCTTGTGCACTGTTGGTGGGAATGAAAAGTGGTGCAACTGCTATGTTCCTCAGAAAATTGTCAATAGAATGATCTAGCAATTCCACTTCTGGGAATATAGCCAAAGAACTGAAAGCAGAGTCTCAGACATTTGCACACCCATGTTCATAGCAGCATTATACACAATAGACAAGAGATGGAAGCAAACCAAGTATCCCTTGATAGGTGAATAGACAAACAAAATGTGGTATATCCATAAAATGGCACACTATTCAGCCTTCAAAATGAAGGAAATCAGGTCACATGTTATAACACACATGAACCTTAAGGACACGATGCCAAATGAAATAAGCAAGTGATAAAGGGCTAATGCTGTATGATTCTACTTATGAGGTACTTAGAATAGTTTAATTCATAGAGACAGAAAGTAGAATGGTAGCTGCCAGGGCCTGGGGGTAAAGGAGAAAAGGGAGTTGTGGTTTAGTGGGTATAGAGTTTCAGATTTGTAAGATAAAAAAGTTCTGGAGATCTGTTTCGTAATAATGTGAATAATCGTAATATTACTGAACTAGATGGTAAGTGTTATTTGTGTTTATTATTTTAGAACCACAATTTTAAAAAATTGTTCACCAAGTACCCAGTAGCAGGGGAATGACCAAATAAATAGAGGACATCGACAGCACGGAACACTCCACAGCACAGAGAGTGAGGGCCATCTCTACTGCTGGTGCCTGGGACCTCCAGGATGTCACAGGTACAGAATGGCAAACCAGTATGCTGCCTCTGGTGTGAGATGGGGGAGAAAAATATTTCTTGGGTCAGCTTGTTCAGGTCCTCGATCCCTTGTCCAAACTCTTTAAATCAAGTGTATTTTAGAATTCAGAAGGTTCCAACGTGAGAAATACTGTACACATGCCACATAGGATCTTATATCCCACGGGATCTGGGTCGGTGCCTCCTCTTCAAACACCTTAATATGCCCCCCAAAAAAGTATAAAGACTCACACTAGGATAAAAAATATAATTAGCCTCGAAAATAATTTTGAGTTTTGGGTGGGTTCCGTGGCTTAATGAGTTTACGCCAAACTTTTTTTTTTTTTTTTTTTTTTGAGACGGAGTCTTGCTCTGTCGCCCAGGCTGGAATGCAGTGGCGCGATCTCGGCTCACTGCGAGCTCCGCCTCCTGGGTTCACGCCATTCTCCTGCCTCAACCTCCCGAGTAGCTGGGACTACAGGCACCCGCCACCATGCCCGGCTAATTTTTTGTATTTTTAGTAGAGACGGGGTTTCACCATGTTAGCCAGGATGGTCTCGATCTCCTGACCTCGTGATCCGCCTGCCTCGGCCTCCCAAAGTACTGGGATTACACGCGTTGGCCACCGCGCCCGGCCTACGCCAAACATTTCTTTAAGACGTTTGGCTGGGCCAAAGTTAGCTGAGTTATTTCAGTTGATTGTTCATAGTCAGTAACAGATCAAACTCATTCGTCTCTGTCCCCCCTTCTCACTACTGCACTTAACTAGTCTAAAAAATAATAATAGATAAAAATAGGCCGGGCACGGTGGCTCACGCCTATAATCCCAGCACTTTGGGAGGCCAAGGTGGGTGGATCACCTGTGGTCAGGAGTTCAAGACCAGCCTGGCCGACATGGTGAAACCCTGTCTCTTTCAAAAAATACAAAAATTAGCCGGGTGTGGTGGCATGCACCTGTACTCACAGCTACTCAGGAAGCTGAGGTGGGAGAATCACTTGAACCTGGTAGGCGGAGGTTGCAGTGAGCAGGGATCATGCCACTGCACTCCCGCCCGGGCGACAGAGAGAGACTCCATCTCAAAATAAAAAAAAATTAAAAAAAAATTTTTTTTTCTTTTGTAAACGGAGTCTTGCTCTGTCGCGCAAGCTGGACTGTAGTGGGACCATCTTGGCTTGGCTCGGCTCACTGCAGCTTCAACCTCCAGGCTCAAGCAATCCTCTCACCTCAGCCTCCCAAGTAGTGGGGACTACAGGTGTGTGCCACTGTGCCCAGCTAATATTTGTATTTTTTGTAGAGATAGGGTTTTGCCATGTTGCCTAGGCTAATCTCAAACTCCAGGACTGAACTGATCTGCCCACCCCAGTCTCCCAAGGTGCTAGGGTTATAGGTGTGAGCCACCCTGCCCAGCCCCAAAAGTTTTTTGGTTTTTGTTTGTTTTTGAGAGATGGACCCTTGCTATGGTGTCCAGGCTGCAGTGCAGTGACATGATCCCACTACTCAACAGCATGGGAGTTTTGACCTGGTCCATTTCCATCCTGGGCCGGTTCACACCTCTTTTTAGGCAACCCTGCTCCAGGAAGGTCACCATATTGATGCCAAATTTAGTGTGGATACCCTGTTGGCATGGCACACTGCAACCCAGAACTTCTGGGCTCAAGCAATCCTCCGGCCTATTCTCCCAAGTAGCTGAGACTATAGGTTTGAGCCACCACGCCCTGCTCAAAAAACTTTTTAACTGTGAGAATGGATGCTGAATGTTATCACATGCCTGCTCACCATGTCTGCAGATATGCTATATAGACACGTATGCAGATATGTTGGGTTGTCATGAATTGATGGAATGCCATGATTCCCTGGCATGTAACTAGTAAGACAGATTCCCTAGCATGAAACCAATTTTTTTTTTTTGAGACAAGGTCTTGCTGTGTCACCCAGGCTGGAGTGCAGTGGCACACTCACAACTCATGGCTCACTGTAGCCTTGACCTCCCCAGGTTTAAGTGATCCTCCCACCTCGGCCTCCCCAGAAGCTGAGACTACAGGCATGCCTGGCTAATTTATGTTTTGTTTTGTTTGTTTGTTTTTCTTTTTTTTTTTGAGACGGAGTCTCACTCTGTCGCCCAGGCTGGTGTGCAGTGGTGCGATCTCGGCTCACTGCAACCTCCGCCTCCCAGGTTCAAGCGGTACTTCTGCCTCAGCCTCCCAAGTAGCTGGGATTACAGGCATGCACCACAACACCTGGCTAATTTTTGTATTTTTTTTTGACCTCTGAACTTTTTATTGGCCTCCTGCTCCCCAAAGGATACCCTGCTTCTGGTGGCTTAATGTCTCAGAACTTTGGTGTCATTGGTCTCAGACACCACTTTGCCATCCATTATCTGGCAGGTGGTGGTCTTTTGGATGGTTTGCATGGAGTTGCTGCTGTCCAGGGCATCACCAAGACTGAAGTCCTCGCCATCTTCCAGCAGGCGGCAGTAGGTGGTGATCTTAGCCTCCAGCTTGACCTTAACGTTCACCAGGGCGTCCTACTCCTAGGCCTGGCACTGTCCCTCTGCCCGGATTTGTGCCACCTCTGACTCCAGGTGCAGCAGGATCCCATTGAGCTGCTCCATCTACAGGGCATAGAAGGCCTCCACCTCCCTGAGGCTGTTCTACAAGCTGGCCTTCAGATTTCTCAAGGAGTCCAGGTTGATCTCCAAGGACTGGACGTACGTCTCAACTCCGTGATTGTCATCTCAGCAGTTCCAACCTCAGTGGACTGCATGGTGACCACTGTGGTGCTCTCCTCAATCTGCTGAGACCAGTACTTGTCCAGCTCCTGTCGTTTCTTCCGAGCCAGCTCATCATATTGAGCCTGGATGTCTGCCACGATCTTGGCAAGGTCCTGAGATTTGGGGGCATCTACCTCCACAGTCAACCCAGAGCTGGCAATCTGGTCTTGTAGGCCTTTTACTTCCTCTTCATGGTTCTTCTTCATGAAGAGCAGCTCCTCCTTGAGAGCTTCGATCTCTGTCTCCAGCTACAGCTGAGGGACATTGGTGTCATCAATCACTTTGCGAAGCCCATGTATGTCGCTCTCCACAGACTAGTGCATGGGCAGTTCTGTCTCATACTTGACTCTAAAGTCATCAGCAGCAAGACGGGCATTGTCGATCTACAGAAAGATACGGGCGTTGTCCACAGTATTTGCAAAGATCTGAGCCCTCAGGTCCTCGATGGTCTTGAAGTAATGCCTCCAGTCTCTGATCTGGGTCCCTTCTTCTCCAAGTGCTTCTGGATTTTGCTCTCCAGCTTCCGGTTCTCGGTCTCCAGGCTCCTCGCTCTGTCCAGGTAGGAGGCCAGGCGGTCATTCAGGCTTTGTATGGTCTCCTTCTCATTCTGGATGCTTCCCATTCCTGCCAGATCCCCAGCCATCCCCGCGGCCAGGCCCCCAGACCCCATGCAGCCCTGGAAGCTGGTGGAGCGGGACACGAAGATCCAGGAACCAGAGCCCTCGGTGCCTGCATAGACGCTGGCCACGCTGCTGACCAGCCAGGCGCCATAGCTGGGAGCCTGGACAGAGCCCAGGGACCAGTAGTTGGTGGAGAAGGTAGAGCGAGTGGTGAAGCTCATGCTGTCCGGGGAGGAGAGCAAGAGGACAGGACTCAGGCTTTGCTGATGACCTAATTTTTGTATTTTTAGTAGAGACGGGGTTTCGCCATGTTGGCCAGGCTGGTCTCCAACTCTGGACCTCAGGTGATCCACCCGCCTCAGCCTCCCAAAGTGCTAGGATTACAGGCATGAGCCACCGTGCCCAGCTTTGTTTGTTTTTTGCTTTTTGAGGCAGAATCTCACTCTCTCATCCAGTCTGGAGTGCAGTGACGCGATCTCAGCTCACTACAACCTCCACCTCCCAGGCTCAAGCGATTCTTGAGCCTCACCCTCCTGAGTAGCTAGAATTACAGGTGTGCACCACTACGCCCAGCTAATTTTTGTATTTTTAGTAGAGATGGGTTTTTGCCATGTTGGCCACACTGGTCTTGAACTCCTGGCCTCAAGTGATCTGCCGGCCTTGGGCACCCATTGTGCTGGGATTACATGCATGAGCCACTGTGACCAGCTCTAATTTTTGTATTTTTTGTAAACATGGGGTTTCGTCACGTTGCCCAGGCTGGTCTCGAACTCTTGGGCTCAAACAATCTGCCCACCTTGGCCTTGCAAAACGCTGGGATTATAGGTGTGAGCCACTGTGCTCAGCCTTTTTTTTTTTTTTTTTACGAGAAAAGAGGTCTCTTACTTTGTCATCCAAGCGAGAGTGCAGTGGCATGATCATGGCTCACTGCAGCCTCAACCTCTCAAGCTCAAGCTATCCTCCCTCCTCAGCCTCCCAAGTAGCTGGGACTATAGGCCACGCCACCATGCCCAGCTAATTAAAAAAAATTTTTTTTTCTTTTTCTGAAACTGCTCTGAAAAAATTTAAATGGCATTGGAGTCTTTTCATAAAAGGCACACCTACCCTGGAAAACATCTGGGCTTTGTGTTTTGTGGGGAATACAACTTTCTCTCTCTTTTGGGGATAAAGTGCTATTAATTTTTTAAAAATAAAATCATCAATTGTATCCAAACTTTTAAAGTAACAGACATTGAGTTCAGCTAAGCAGTCTTTTATAATTCACAGATGGAATGAAAACTAAGGGAGGGACGAGGTGACCCATGGAGGTTGTATAAAAAGGACAGAGCCTTTGGGCTCTTCAGACTATAAGGGTCCAGGAGGAGAGGAGAAACCACCTCAGAAGCATACAAGGTTAAAGCATACAAGGTGGGTGTAGGGTCAGGGGAGCCAAAGTAAGTGTGCAATGAAAAGTTATTAACAAAAGTCAAAAAAAGAAAATGCAGTCTGGCCATCCAATTCCTAAACCATGTACAGAGTACACAGAAAGAGCACAGGAGGCTTCCTGCAGCAGGGCAGTACAGCTCTCTGCCCTTCAGGAAAACTGAGATTCCTCCACCTGGGAAACAGCAAGGGACAATTAGGGAAAGCTCTCCAGAGGAGGAGGCATCTCAGGTGGGCCAAAGAAGAAAAATTTCCACAGGACAGAAAAGGCAGAGAAGAGGCCAGGCATGGTGGCTCACGTCTGTAATCCGAACACTTTGGGAGGCCAAGGCAGGCGGATCACCTGAGGTCAGGAGTTGGAGACCAGCCTGGCCAACATGGCAAAACCCCGCCTCTACTAAAAATACAAAAATTAGCCGGGTTTGGTGGCACACGTCTGTAATCCCAGCTACTCAGGAGGCTGAGGCAGGAGAATCACTTGAACCCGGGAGGCAGAGGTTGCAGTGAGCCGAGATTGCCCCACTGCACTTCAGCCTGGGGGACAGGGCGAGACTCCATCTCAAAACAAACAAACAAAAGGCTGGGCGTGGTGTGGCTCACACCTGTCATCCCAGCACTTTGGGAGGCCAAGGAGGGCAAATCACAAGGTCAGGAGTTCGAGATCAGCCTGGCCAACATGGTGAAACCCTGTCTCTACTAAAAATACAAAAAATTAGCCGGGCGTGGTGGCGCACACCTGTAGTCCCAGCTACTCGAGAGGCTGAGGCAGGAGAATTGCTTGAACCCGGAGGCAGAGGTTGCAGTGAGCCGAGATCACACCACTGCACTCCAGCCTGGGTGACAGAGTGAGATTCCGTCTCAAAAAAAAAAAAAAAAAAAGAAATTTATGTTCTTTGTAAAATAATTCAGACAATGCAGTAAACAGAAGAAATTCAGCCTCCCTCTCCCTTTGCCCTTTGCTGAGTCCCCACGGTGCAGCAAGATCCTTCCAGATCTTCATGGTTGGGATCATCTTCCACCAGGTCCTGAGGTTTTTCACTCCCTATCAGTAGACACACCACACTGCCCAGTTTGCAAGTAGCTCCATTGGATAACACAGAAAGGCTCTGTCCTGCACCATGTCTCAGCACTGGGTGCATCGTCCCACAGGAATGACACCTAGACACCCAACATACAACTGCAGGGCCCTAAACTATGGGCCAGCCCACCCCTAAATGCCCTTCTCTCTACCCTTGCCCATATCAAATATTACAAGCCTCTCACACATATTTACCAGTCATACTGGGAAAAAAATAGTCCTTTATCATTTTAACATTTCACAAGTAACTAAAACAAATAATAAACATGCTAACACTTGGGAATGGTCTATTTCTTTTCTTTTTTTTTTTTTTTGAGACGGAGTTTCATTCTTGTTGCCCAGGCTGGAATGCAGTGGCGCAATCTCGGCTCACTGCAACCTCCGCCTCCCGGGTTCAAGCAATTCTCCTGCTTCAGCCTCCTGAGTAGCTGGGATTACAGGCATGTGCTACCACGCCCAGCTAATTTTGTATTTTTAGTAGAGACAGGGTATTGCCATGTGGGTCAGGCTGGTCTCCAACTCCTGACCTCAAGTTATCCGCCCTCCTTGGCCTCCCGAAGTGCTGGAATTATAGGAGTGAGCCACCAAGCCTGGCCTCTTTCTAGGCTCACTGCAACCTCCGCCTCCTGGGTTCAAGTGATTCTCCTGCCTCAGCCTCCCAAGTAACTGGGATTACAGGCATGTGCCACCACGCCCCGCTAGTTTTTGTATTTTTAGCAGAGACGGAGTTTCACTATGTTGGCCAGGCTGGTCTCGAACTACTAATCTCAGGTGATCCACCCGCCTCGGCCTCCCAAAGTTCTAGGATTACAGGCGTGAGCCACTACATCCAGCCTCTTTTTTGTTTTTTTGAAACAGGGTCTTGCTCTGTCACCCAGGCTGGAATGCAGTGGCACAATCTCGGCTCACTGCAACCTCCGCATCCTGTGTTCAAGCAACTCTCCTGCCTCAGCCTCCCAAGTAGCTGGGATTACAGGCGCCCACCACTACACCCAGCTAATTTTTTTTTTTTTTTTTAGTAGAGACAGGGTTTCACCATGTTGGCCAGGCTAGTCTCAAACTCCTGGCCTCAAGTGATCCACCTGCCTTGGCCTCCCAAAGTGCTGGGATTACAGGTGTGAGCCACCGTGACTGGCCTCTATTTCTTATTTATACATACACACACACACCCCCCTGTGAAATGACTCTGGGCTCTTCCAATAATGTTGCCACTCTCCCGCTCCCCTTCCCAATGGAAGTGGAGGGATGCAGGGGGTGTTAGTGATGCATTGTAATCATCCCGGAGAGCAGGACACCTCTCATAAGAGGTTTACCCAAGGGGGGCTGTGGAAAGGGCTAGAAATTGCTCCTGGAGGACGTGGAAAGCCACATAAGGTTTTTGACAGATTAGCGAAAGGCTGCCTACACTGTCATCTTCAGAAAGAGTGGTATGACACTAAATCAAGAAGGGCTGAGAGGGTGAGCCCAGGGGATCCCATAGGCTCCACAGCCTCTGGCCATCCTCTCCTATACAGGTCCTAAGTCCCCTGCAGGGGGCCCTCAGCTCCTCTACCCTACCCACTGTCCTGTATGTTATCTTAATGCTTATTAAAGGCCTCAGCTGAATTTCCCTGGTGAACTGAAAGAATTCTGCTGCTCCTGGACACATCTGCACCAAGCCACCACTGGGTCACATTCTCCAAAACTCCTTTTGGAGACAGAAGGCACTTAAACCATACATATTTTGCTTGATAGTTCCTAATTAAAAAAATAGAGAGAGATAAAGAGAAAGAGAGAGAGAGAGAACTACAACTAAGCCTTGAAGACAAAATGATTGAACAGAATCAGAGCTAGAATGGAACACCTCAGGCTTGGAGTCCCATGACAACCTTGCTGGGGACCACGAGTGGCCCTCAGTCCTTCTCAGGCTCATGCCACCTATGTGAAATAAGGGTGGTGACACCCACCTCCTTGAGTGCAGAGCAGTGCAGACAACAGGGCAAATGGTGTATTGATCTGCTATCTGTGTACATAAATTTATTCATTTAAGCCATGGGTATTGTTTGAATATGTGAAAACCATGTCAGGTGCTAGGGATAAGAGACAGATTCCAACCCAGTGGAAAAGACAGATAAGCCAGTGGTTCCTCACACTGTGCCAAGTGCTGGGATGGGGTCACGAAGGAGGCCATAAGAAACCCCAGAGGGGCCACAGAGCTCACTGGGAGGGCCAGAGGCTAACACCTGAGGGATGAGAGGTGTGAGCCAGAAGGTGATGCATACACAGCAATAATTACTGACGGAGGGGAGGAATGGTAAGGGAGGGGAGGAGAGAAAGGAGGAAAGAAAAGAGAAAAGAAAAGAGAGAGAAAAGGAAAAGAAAAGGAAGAGAAGAGAGGGAAGAGAAGAGGAGGCAAAGCCCAAGAAACAGGATCACTGAATGAAAAATGAACTCTAAGACCCCCTTCTGTCTCTCACACTTGTTGACTAAGTCATAGCCACAAGGAGTAGGGGAGGCTCTGAGGTGAGCAGGAGACCAGCCACTGTCACCGCCAGTACCTTTACTAGCAGAGCCAGGATTACCTTTGTTATTCTTCTTACAAACAGCTCTAGTGAACTCACCTGAAGTAATCGCAGGACGCAGCCAGCAGGATGCGATGGGCCTCGATGTGTCTGCCCTCCACCACCAGCACAACATCGAAGAGGATTCCGCTGTCCCGGAGAGCCAGCAGCCCTCGGAGCAGAGCCTGGGAGTGCTGTGCGCTGCGGTAGGTGTTGTTCACGCAGTGTGGGTGTGAGGGCTGTGCAGGCAACTTGCAGAGCTGGGTGAACTCCTGCTCCTCTGCCATCCTGACAGCCACAAGATCCCTTACAACTGTGGCCTGACAGTTGGCAAAACAGGGGACAGGGGTGAGCAGGCAGGCATCAGCCCCACCACACACAGACTGGCCAGCTCTGTTGCTCCCCTTGCTCCTGTGCCTCCCTCAGGCTCACCTGTTTTCCCTCTATTTCCAAATCCCCTAATTCCTTCTCCCCTCCCACCTCTAGTCCAACTTCCTGATGGCCTTCTTCCTGATGACCTGTGTGCCATCATGCCCAAGACTCTTCATCTCATTGTATCTTCTTCAGCGGCAAAGTCAAACAGAAGGGTTTTGGGAAACAGACTGACCTGGGTTGGAGCCCAACTCCACAGGGACTTACAACATGACCAAACTGAGCCTCGAGCTCCCCAATTTTAAAAAGAGAGATAAAAGTACCTACCCCATTGGGGTATTCTAAAATTGGTAAAACAATGAACATGAAGCATAAGCACACACCAGGTTCTCAAGAGCTCTTCCTCCCTCCCATTGAATGAACAAAATTGGGTTCTTCCTCATAGTAATGGATGCATAAAAATGGCAAGACCTGAGTAGTGGTCAGGAGACACACAGCCAGGAGTCTGGGAGGTGGGTGCCAAGGGGGTGGCATTTCCAGGGCCTACTTTCCTTTACTGAAATTCTGAGAGTCAAGCACAGTAACTGTGATTGAACCTGATGCATTTAAATTCATCTGCATTGCCTTTTAAATTAAAGATTATCTTCTAATAATTGAGTCAGTACGTTCAAAAACCGCAAACTGATTTGAATTGGAGCCTCTAAAACCTAATCAGTAAAATGAACCTACTGCAAATGCACTTTTGCCATGGAGCAACCAAAAGTGACTGTGGATAGCCAGCTGTTCAGGTCAGGGAGTGGCCAGTCCCACACTGTGAGGCATGGCCAAGCTGCAGGCTCTGTAGGCACAGCACAGTCAGCTACAAGATGTGAACATCTGTCTTCTCCACCTCACTTCATCCTACTTTCCTCTCCCCAAAATATGTTTATTCTCCAATTACCTCCAGTCATGCATCACTTAATGTTGGGGATACATTCTGAGACTTATATCGCTGGAGGCAATTTCCTCAGTGTGTGAACATCAAAGGGTACACCTACACAAACCTAGGTGGTAGAGACTACTACACATCTAGGCCATAAGGTACAGCCAATTGCTCCTAAGCTACATACTTGTACAGCATGTTACTGTAGTTCTGAATGAAAAAAACACACTGTTTTTCCTCTCCTCTTATACCACAACAACAAACACAGGAGACTTCTGTGACCAAATGTGTGAGGGTTTTTCCCCATTAACAAGCAAGCAATCAATTCTGCCACAGATACCAGCTGGGTGTCTTCTAATTCAGCAGTCCCCAATCTTTTTGGCACTAGGGACCACTTTCTTGGAAGACAATTTTTCCACGGGGTCGGGGAATGGTTTCGGGATCAAACTGTTCCACCTCAGATTATCAGGCATTAGCTAGATTCTCTTTCGGAGCACACAATCTGGACCCCTCACATGCATGGTTCACAACAGGGTTTGTGCTCCTATGAGAATCTGATGCCACCTCTGATCTGACAGGAGGTGGAGCTCAGGTGGTAATGCTGGATCACCCTCCACTCACCTCCTGTTGTGCCACCTGGTTCCTAACCAGCCACAGACTGATACAGGTCTGAGGCCTGGGGGTTGCGGACCCCTGCTCTAATTCAACTCTAACACTACCTGGAGACAGTGTCTGATCCCACAGGTTGAGGGCTGAGTCTCCCAGGTTGTTTCACCTGTGCTTCTGACCAATAGGCTATAAATTGGGTTCCCAAGATCCCCTTCTTGGGTTCAACTAATTTGTTAGAGCGACTCACAGAACTCAGGAAAATACTCATGTCTACTGGTTTGTTATAAAGGGTATTGCAAAGGATACAGATGAAGAGATGCATGGGGCCAGACATGTGGGAAGTGGTGCAGAGCTTCCAGGCCCTCTCCAGGAACATCACTCTTTAGGAGCCTCCATGTGTTCAACTATCCAGAAGTTTTCCAAACCCAGTCATTCAGAATTTTTATGGAAGCTTCATTATGTAGGCATGACTGATTAAATCACTGGCCATTGGTGATGAACTTAATCTTCAGCCTGTCTCCCCTCTCCGGAGGTTGAGAGGTGAGGCTGAAAGTCCCAACCCTCTTATGCCTGCCTTGGCCTTTCCTGTCACCAGCCCCCATCCTGAAGCTACCTAGGGGCTGCTGGCCAGCATACAAAAAGGCATCACTCTGGAAAGTCCAAAGATTTTAGAAGTTGTATGCCAAGAAATGAGACAAGACCAAATATATATTTCACAATATCACAGTACTGAATACTATAGGCAACTGTAACACAATGGAATTTGTGTATCTAAACACAGACAAGGTACAGTAAAAATATGGGACCACCATCCTTCATGTGGTCTGGTCTGTCATTGACGGAAACATCACTGTGTGGCACATGATTATATATCTTTAAAAGAAAAAATGAAAAATATATGCTGATATAAAACTTGCCAAAAAGAAGAGGTCTCTCTCTTCACTACTGAGGCTCAGGGCCACCCCCAACCCCATCCCCTGGATGCTCTACTGCTTCCCATCAAACACACTCAGTTATCTGTGCCTGCCCCTGAGTCTGCCTCCAGGACCTGGGACCTCTATCCAGCCACCCACCCATTCCTTTCCCCCTCCTGGGCTGGCTCATCTTTCTCACCAAGGCCCCAGAGATGGCCACAGCCAAGGTGTATACCCCATGACCACCTCTCACTTAGGATTCTCTTGCCTGGAAACTCTGCTCTATGATAATTCTCCCTTTTCTGACCTCTCTCTTTCATCCCACACACCCTGCTCGAGCCCATCCTTCTTTCCCAGTGGTTCACATTCCCAGTTTCACCTACAGCTCAGTGCCTAATCTAGCTAGTAGCCCTCCAACTTGTCTAATTTTACTATCAAAGCTACCATTTCCATCTTGGAAACCTCACTGTTTTAATATTTTTCCTTTCTAACCCATGTGCCCTATGAACCTACTAGTTCTGATTCCTTCACCTCTCCTCCATCTCAGACAGCCACCCTCCACTCCTCCAGGGCCACCACTCTGGGTCAGACCACAGCAGTGATGCCCCTACCAGTTTCCCTACCTCTTGTCTCATCCTCCCCAGGCTGCTCTCCTTCAAGCCTTACCTACTCAGCCCCATCAGCAGTCCTTAGTCCAAAAGGGATACCTGTCATCCCCTGAACACCTTTAGTCACCCATCTAGGCCATTCTGTCTCTCATAGTCCCATATTGGTCAAGGTCTAGCTCGATTACTTCTCCCTCTATCATTGTACAGAGAACATGACAAATATGCCCCACCATTCAAACCTGCCCTTTTTTTTTTTTTTAGACGGAGTCTCGCTCTGTCACCCAGGCTAGAGTGCAGTGGTGTGATCTTGGCTCACTGCAACCTCTGCCTCTCAGGTTCAAGTGATTCTCCTGCCTCAGCCTCCCCAGTAGCTGGGATTACAGGCGTGCACCACCACACCCAGCTAATTTTCTTGCATTTTTAGCAGAAATGGGGTTTCACCATGTTGGTCAGGCTGGTCTCGCATTCCTGACCTCAGGTGATCCATCTGCCTTGACCTCCCAAAGTGCTGGGATTACAGGCATGAGCCACCGCGCCCGGCCCAAACCTGCCTATTTACCCACGACAAGGAGATTCCGGCTTCTTGAGGGGTGAGGTTTTATCTCACAAACATCTCAAAAGCCCCCATGGCTGGCTGTACCACTTGCTAATGACAGACTCTGGGCACTTGTCTCATATACCCACGCCTCAGCTTTCTCATCACCACCATGACCACCGCAGAGTCAAGAGGGCCTCCTTCTCTGAGGGTGACCTCCACAACTACCCCAATAGACATCAAGCCCCCAGGTGGATCCTCACCTTCCGTGAGCATAGTAGTGCCTCTGCTCTCTTGGGAAGGGATAAATGGCAGCTACTCCCTAAACCCATACTGCAAAAACAAGTACGGTAAAACAGAAAGACATCTTCCATGGGCAGGCAAAGCACATTTACCAAGTCCAATTTAAGAAACTTAGCTAGGGGCTAAGGGGGATATGCTGAAAAATGAATCAATTCTCTGCTGGGAAGGAGCACAGCACAGGGTGCAACATTTAAAACATTTAAAACCACATCTATACGGTTTTAAATCACCAAAACGTCCACCCTCAGGAGAACAGATGTCATGGCACAGTGATCTGACAGAACATTAGGCAACAGTCAAAATGCGCAAAGTGGCCGGGCGCAGTGGCTCACGCCTGTAATCCCAACACTTCGGGAGGCTGAGGCGGATGAATCACGAGGTCAGGAGTTCAAGACCAGCCTGGCCAACATAGTGAAACCCCATCTCTACTAAAAATACAAAAAAATTAGCCGGGCATGGTGGTAGGTGCCTATAATCCCAGCTACTTGGGAGGCTGAGGCAGGAGAATCACGCCACTGCATTCCAGCCTGCATGACAGTGCGAGACTCCGTCTCAAAAACAAAAAAACAAACAAAAAAACAATGTGCAAAGTAGGCTGGGCACAGTGGCTCATGCCTGTAATCCCAGCACTTTGGGAGGCCAACGTGGGAGGATCACCTGAGGTCAGGAGTTCAAGACCAGCCTGGCCAACATGAGGAAGCCCCATCTCTACTAAAAATACAAAAATTAGTGGGGCGTGGTGGCGCATGCCTGTTATCCCAGCTACTGGGAAGGCTGAGGAAGGGGGAAGCTGAGGCAGGAGAATCGATTGAACCCAGGAGGTGGAGGTTGCAGTGAGCCAAGATTGTGCCATTGCACTCCAGCCTGGGCGACAGAGCCAGACTTTGCCCCCCCCCCAAAAAAAAAAGTGCAAAGTAGGCTGGGCATGGTGGCTCATGCCTGTAATCCCAGTGCCTTGGGAGGTCCAGGTAGGTGGAGTTCAAGACCACCTTGGGCAATATAGCGCGACCCTTTCTCTACAAAAAATTTAAAAATTAACTAGGCATGGTGGTGTACACCTGTAGTCCTGGCTATCTGGGGTGAGACAGCTTGGGGTTCACTGCAGTCTCAAGCTCCCAGGTTCAAGTGATCCTCCCACCTCAGCTTCCTCAGAAGCTGGAACAACAGGAGCTCACCACTGCGCCCGGCTAATTTTTCAAATTTTCTTTGTAGAGAAGAGGTTTCACTATATGGTGTAGGCTAGAGTGCAGTGGTAGGGTCTTGGCTCACTGCAGCCTTCATCTCCTGGGTTCAAGCGATTCTCCTACCTCAGCCTCCCGAGTAGCTGGGATTACAAGCACGTGTCACCACACCCAGCTAATTTTTGTATTTTTAGTAGAGACGGGGTTTCACCATGTTGGCCAGGCTAGTCTCTCCTGACCTCAGGTGATCTGCCAGCCTTGGCCTCCCAAAGTGCTGGGATTACAGGCATGAGCCACCGCGCCCGCCCCCAGTCTCATATCCCCAATTTTAGTCATCACAAGCCAAGTTCCCCGTTTTGTACTGTTCGAAGTTTCAGTGGGGAGAAGAAAGGAAGCTTAATGTGCCACATAGCTACAAACTGAAGGATACAAGATGAATTTTTATGAAGTGATGGATGGCAGAGTCAAAATCATTTCAGAGGAACTTTCAGTTCGGTACGATTTTACTGAGTAGATACCCTCAGCCTTCTGTAGGGCCCCCGAACGAGCAGTATCCCCTCAAAGAAACTCAATCCTTGGCAGCATGAAGCAAGGTCGGCCACAAAGGCAAAGGGGGCGGCTGCGGTAGAGGAGAGGGAGTGGGTGCTGATTCCCAGCGGGGCAGCCTTCCAAAGGGTGCGCTCTGGAAGAATCTCCCAGGGAGCCGTCTTGGAGGCACTCGGCCCCGCGGAGGGCCGGAGCGAGGGCGCCCAGTGAGGAGCCCAGGCGGAAGGTGGCGGTGCCCCGCTGCCCGCCCCAGATCCACTCGGCTCGGCCCGCACCGGATCTAAAATGGTCAGAACTGGCAGCCGACGCTTCGCGCTCTGGTGATTTTGCACTGACAGCGCGATCTCCGGCTCCTCTCAGGAAACCGGGAGAGCTGGCAAGGCTGGGCTCCTACGGCTGCAGTCCCCGGGCCCGATCGAGGGAACTGAGGCTCGTCAGGCCGGCCCCAAATCGCCCGCCTGTTGCAAGGCCGCCCGCTCCAGCGCGGAGGGTCGCGGCCAGGAAGGCCGCATTCGGACCTGCCGCAGGCAACAGGGCCCGCCCGGGTGCCAGGAGGCCGGCGCGCCAGCAGCCGCGCTGAGGAGGCCTCGCACCCTGGCCCCTGGCCGAGCGCCAGATCCCGGCCCCTACGCGCCCGCGCCCGGGGATCCCGCCGGCCGCGTCCCCGCCACGTCAGGCCGCGGGCTCTCCTCAGGTCGCCGCCCCCGAGCCTCCGGCCCGCGCCCGCCCCCGCGCCCCTCGGACTCCGCGCCGCTAGCTTGTCCCCGGCCCAGCGATGCCTGCTTGCCGCCCGACCCCCGCGTTCGCTGCCGCCCGGCCCGTTCGGCTCACGCCTCGCAGCTGACCTGGTGCCGCCGCCAGCCGAGGCCGCACTCGCAGCTGGAGGGAGGCGGGAGGCGGGAGGCGGGAGGCGCGAGGCGGGAGGCTGGGCGAGAGGAGCCGGCGGGGCGGGGGCCTGGGCCGTCACGTGGGTGCGCCGCGCAGGCGCCGGGCGGGCCAGACGTAGGCCCGGGGGTTCCCGGCCTGGCCGGGTAGCAGCGCGGGGGCGGCCCTGGGGCGGGGAGACAGGGGGCGGCTCCACTCCGGCGCTCTGCGGAGGACAGCAGCGATCGCCAAGGCTCAGTGAGTCCCCGCACTAGCGCGGCACCTGGCACTTGGCGGGGCCGAACCAACGAATGAGCGAATTTGCCGAGAGTCGCCCCGTCTGAATCCATTGACTCTTTCCTTGCCTCGGTCCTACCCTCATTCCTCGACTCACTTCCTCCTGCCCTTCCTCACTATCTCCCTCCCCGCTCATATCCTCCCTCTCCTTTCCTCATTCCCTTCTTCACTCTCTTCTCTCCTCTCTTACTCCCCCCCTCTCATTCCCTCCCTCCTTCACTCTCTCATTCCTTCCCTTCCTATCTTACCCACCATTCCCTTCCTCCCTCACTCATTCACTCCCTCCCTGTCTCCCCCTCTCATCCCCTCCCTCTCTCATTCCCTTTCCCTCCCTCCTTAACTCTCGTTCTCTCCTCCCTCTCTCATTCCTTCCCTCCCTGTCTCATTTCCCCCCTTCTTTCCCTCCCTCCCTCTCCTCTTCTCCCATTGCCTCCCTCCCTCTTTGATTCCCTTCTTTCCTCCTCTCCTCCACTTGTTCCCTTCGTCACGCGCTCATTCCCTCCCTCCCGCGGCCTGCTCCTTCCCCGCTCCCTCCGCGGTCGGTGCCGCTGACCGTAGCGCGCCCCCTGCGGGATATCGGGGAGAATCGCTTAACACCGCCAGAGTGAACAGGTGCTAGTTTGTGTGCCCGTTCCTTTACTGAGATTTTGCAGTAAATCTAATTCCCAGTCTTAAAGCCTGGTCCCAGAGGTCCGTGCGCGGGTCTTGGCATTCATTGTTCTCCACCTCACCTTCGAGCAGGTCCCATCCTCCGAGGCGTATCCGTAATGGCTGCGCCCAGAGCTTGGAGCCACAGAGCCTCCTGATGGGATAAGGTTGGAGTGTCCCACACTGTGGTTTTGAGAGGGACTGTGAAGGGTGGAGAGAGTGGTAGGGGGAGGATGTGGCTGGAGATGGCTCATGGTTAAAAAGAAAGGTGGGGCCGGGCTTGGTGGCTGGCGCCTGTAATCCCAACACTTTGGGAGGCCGAGACGGGCGGATCACGAGGTCAGGAGATGGAAACCATCCTGGCCAACATGGTGAAACCCCATCTCTACCAAAACACACACAAAAAAACTAGCCGGTCGTGGTGGCGCGCACCTGTAGTCCCAGCTACTCGGGAGCCTGAGGCAGGAGAATCGCTTGAACCCGGGAGGCAGAGGTTGCAGTGAGCCGAGATCACGCGCCACTGCACTCCAGCCTGGTGACAGAGCGAGACTCCGTCTCAAAAAAAAAAAAAAAAAAAAAAAAAAAAATTGGTGGAAGGGGAATGTAAAAGGAGGAAAATACACGGAAGAGAATTGCTGTCCTGGCTGAGTCCAGAGAGATAACTGAGGGTCCCAGACAAGGATCAAGAGAACGGGATTGGCCTCCAGAGGCAGAGGTTCCAAATGGGAGTGGGCTTCCTCCTAGAAAGACTTTCTGGAGGAGACCCCCCTACTGTGTAACAGAGGAGGACTTTGGGATTAAGAAAAGCATTCCAGGAAGCCGACAGTGTCAGCAAACGTGGAGGTGAGATCCTTCAAAGTGAGTGGTGTGGAGGTTTCCAGAATTTTCTGAGCCTGAAGGGAAGGTTGGAGAGCAGACCCTGCCCTTTGGAGGCTTGACTTAGCCCTGAGGGCACCCTGTAGCCAGGGTGGGCAGATGCCAATATGGTAGAGACGAAGACTGAGTAGGGAGCCAGCCACAGTGCTGTGGTCTCAGGCAGGGAGTGAAGACCAGAGTGGAGCAGGCTAGAAACCTGGGAAGGAAGCAGGTTCCCCAGTATAAGCCCAGTGATGTGTGAAGAATGAGCCCAGGAGATGGGTGGGGAAGTAGGCCCACCCTGCCTACAGGGGAGCCAGAGCAAGAGCAGGTCTGGGGGAAGATGAGGCCCCCCTTGGCTCCAGGTAGGGGAAGACTGACCTCCAAGGCCCAATGGGACCAGGTGTACGGGTGGACCCAGAGAGGAGAGGAAAAGGAATCCTGGGGCAGCAACAAGAAGGCCACTGTGGTCTGAATGTCGGTACCCCCAAAATTCATATGTTGGAACTGAATCCTCAGTGCGATACTATTATAAAGTAGGGCCTTTGGGAGGGGTTTAGGTCATGAGGGTGAAGTCCTCACCATGGGATCAGTGTATAAAAGAGGTTCGAAGGAGCTCATCCCCCACTTTTGCCAGGTGAGGACACTGTAATAAGCACCATCTTCAAGGCAGAGAATCGGCTGGGCGCAGTGGCTCACGCCTGTAATCCCAGCACTTTGGGAAGCCGAGGTGGGAGGATCATGAGGTCAGGAGATCAAGACCATCCTGGCTAACATGGTGAAACCCCATCTCTACTAAAAATACAAAAAATTAGCCAGGCATGGTGGTGGGCGCCTGTAGTCCCAGCTACTTGGGAGGCTGAGGCAGGAGAATGGCGTGAACCCGGGAGGCAGAGCTTGCAGTGAGCTGAGATCGCGCCACTGCACTCCAGCCTGGGTGACAGAGCAAGACTCCGTCTCAAAAAAAAAAAGCAGAGAACGGACCCCTCACTAGACACTGGGGCTTTTTTCTGAAGGCTACTGTGTCATATAAAATTTATATTAAATAAATTGATATGCTTTTCTCTTGTTAATCTGTCCTTTGTTAGAGGGGTGTCAACCAGGAACCTTGTGATGCGTGAGGAAAAAATATTACCTTTTCCCCCTACTCTTTCTGGCACCCAACAAACAAGTGGGGTGGCAAAGACACCCCACTTGGGACAACTGGCAAAAGGTAAGCATTCTTACCAAGGTTAACTGTCCCATATCACTGCCTGTAGTACTCAGCTGAGAGTGGAAGGTAAAAACTTCTTGTCCCTTCCTTTCCAAATTCAAATTAGCAGAAGAAAACATTGTGTCTGGATTGTGACTCTTGCTTAAATTTGGTTGAGGGGTAACTGTTTGTTATTGATCCTTTCCTCCCAGGCACAGCTACCTCTTTCCTGTTTGTTTTATTTGTGTCCTGAGAGCTTGGCTTTATGACCAGTGAGAATATTCTCCCTGATCTCTGAATAGCCAGTGGGTGCAAGTGACAGCTTGCTTTAGGACAGCTTGCGTTAGGGTTGCAAGTAACAGCTTGCATTATTACAAACTCCTCTGTCCCGGTCAGAAAAAGAGAAAGTTTGGTTTTTGTTTGTTTGTTTGTTTTTTGTTTTGTTTTAATAGTCTTGCTCTTTCGCCCAGGCTGGAGTGCAGTGGCATGGTGGCATGATCTTGGCTCACTGCAACTGCTGCATCCTGGGCTCAACTGATTCTTCTGCCTCAGCCTCCTGAGTAGCTGGGACTACAGGCACACACTACCACGTCCAGGTAATTTTTTTTGTATTTTTAGTAAAGAGGGGGATTCATCATGTTGCGCAGGGTGATTTTTTTTTTTTTTTTTTAATTCTTTTCTGAGACGGAGTCTTGCTCTGTCACCCAGGCTGGAGTGCAATGGCGGGATCTCGGCTCAGCCTCCTGAGTAGCTGGGATTACAGGCACCTGCCACTACGCCAGCTAATTTCTGTATTTTTAGTAGAGACAGGGTTTCACCATGTTAGTCAGGCTGGTCTCGAACTCCTGACCTCGGGTGATCTGCCCACCTCGGCCTCCCAAAGTGCTGGGATTACAGGCATGAGCCACCGTGGCTGGCCTCTTTTATTTTTAAGATACAGGGTCTCACCCAAGCTGGTCAGGAACTCCTGGCCTCAGTCCACCTGTCTCAGCCTCCCAAAGTGCTAGGATTACAGGCATGAGGGACCACGCCCGGCCAAAGAGAAGGTTCTGAACCTTCTCTTTTTCTGACCATGACAGAGGAGTTTGTAAGTGGGCCAAGTCTATAAGGGGTTTTTGTTGTCTCAGTATTCATTGGTGTGATAGATGAGCCAGTCCATGACTGGAGACGTGACAGTGTTCTGTACAAGATGACATCCTTAGTCACCTGTGTCAACAAAGGTGCCTTCTGGCTAGGCACGGTGGCTCACGCCTATAATCCTAGCACTTTAGGAGGCTGAGCCAGGCAAATCACGAGGTCAGGAGTTAGAGACCAGCCTGACCAACATGGTGAAACCCTGTCTCTACTAAAAATACAAAAAAATTAGCCAGGTGTGGTGGCGCATGCCTGTAATCCTAGCTATTCGGGAGGCTGAGGCAGGAGAATGGGTTGAATCTAGGAGGCAGAGGTTGCAGTGAGCCAAGATCGCGCCACTGTACTCTAGCCTGGGTGACAGAGCGAGACTCCGTCTCAAAAAAAAAAAAAAAACCCAAAGGTGCCTTCTTTCTTTTGACTGTCTTTGCAAGGGGTCTGGATTTGAGAGTGCTGAATCTTTGTGCACCCTCTTTGGAGTGTGTCTTTCTCTCTCTCTCTCTCTCTTTTTTAAGAGACAGAGTCTCACCCAGACTGATCAGGAACTCCTGGCCTCAGGTGGTCCTCCCACCTTGACTTCCCAGAGTGCTGAGATTACAGGCATGAGCCATTGTGCCCAGCCTTGAGGATGTCTCTTTTGTCCATGGTTAAGTCATAAAATGCTTATTGGTCTTGGTTCTGAGTTGCTTGGTAGGTACCTTTGGTTTACAAGAAGAAAAGTGGTGGGTGGGCAGGGTGGTAGTAGGGAAGAGTGTTCAGTACTGCCAGGAATATGTACTATCTGTTCTGGCTGAAAACTGACAATGAGATATTTGAAAGGATTTTTTTTTTTTTTACAGCTCTATGATCAGAAGATGGCATAAGTGGGGCTGGGCACAGTGGCTCAGTGCCCAGCTGGGATTACGCCTGTAATACCAGCACTTTGGGAGGCCAAGGTGAGTGGATCACGAGGTCAGGAGTTGAAGACCAGCCTGGCCAACATGGAGAAACCCCGTCTCTACTAAAAATACAAAAAATTAGCCGGGCGCGGTGGCAGGTGCCTGTAATCCCAGCTACTCGGGAGGCTGAGGCAGGAGAATAGCTTGAACTCAGAGGGCGGAGGTTGCAGTGAGCCAAGGTTGCGCCACTGCACTCCAGCCTGGGCGACAGAGTGAGACTCCGTCTCTAAAAAACAAAAAAGAAGATGGCGTAATCAGAAGTTGATATTCTGTCTATTGGATCCTGCTTCTCCCCTGGGGTCTTCTTGGTTCCCTGAAGCCCCTCTTCCGGAGTCCCTGCCCTCTATCGGCTCTGCCTCCTGCTTCTTTTCTGTATTGCCATGATTTTTGCTAAGGATAAAGGACAACTTCATTGGCTTCTTTGGGAAACTTGCAATCTCCCCAAACAGGCCCCTCTGAGATTTCTCCTTTCCATTTGCTTCTGCTCCCCCTTCCTCCTTTTGCCACCTTCGATATTTTCTCCAGTTTCCTTGATTCCTTTGATACGTCCCCATTCAGGCCACTCTGGCCCTCCATCCAACCTGCCAGAACTTTTTCCACTTCAGCACTTCAGTCACTTAAACATTAGGGCTCCCTGCCCTAAAGGGACTCAAAATCCTGCAAAAACAACCACCTAAGGATAAAAAGAGAAAAAATGAAACTGTTTGGAAACTGGGCAAATGAATACTCTTTTAAAAGTCTTTTTCTGGGGGCCAGGTGTGGTGGCTCACGCCTGTAATCCCAGCACTTTGGGAGGCCGAGGCGGGCAGATCACAAGGTCAGGAGTTCAAGACCAGCCTGGCCAATATGGTGAAACCCCGTCTCTCCTAATGATACAAAAAAAATTAGCCAGGTGTGGTGGCATTCGCCTGTAGTCCCAGCTACTTGGGAGGCTGAGGAAGGAGAATCGCTTGAACCCGGGAGGCGGAGGTTGCAGTGAGCCAAGATTGCACCACTGCACCAGCCTGGCGACAGAGCAAGAAGACTCCATCTCGAAAAATATATATGTATGTATATATACGTATTTACGTGTATATATGTATGCATACATATATATATATATAGAGAGAGAGAGAAACCAGTGAGTTTGTATTACTGTGTTTTACTGACTCACGACTACCATTTTGGAATGAAAGCTATAAGATCTTTGTGTTTTTACGTTTATGTGTTTATATTTGTGTATATCTATGTATGTATGTTTGAATATTATATATAATATTTTTTCTATCTCCATATTCAGTATTACTAACTGAATTTTTTTTTTTTTTTGAGATGGAGTCTCACTCTGTCACCAGGCTGGAGTGCAGTGGCATGATCTCGGCTCACTGCAACCTCCGCCTCCCAGGTTCAAACAATTCTCCTGCCTCAGTCTCCTGAGTAGCTGGGACTACAGGTGCGAGCCACCATGCCCAGCTAATTTTTGTATTTTTAGTAGAGACGAGGTTTCACCATGTTGGCCAGCATGGCCTCTATCTCTTGACCTAGTGATCCACCCACCTCGGCCTCCCAAAGTCCTGGGATTACAGGCATGAGTCACCACGCCCAGCCTAAATTTTTTAAATCCCTTAAAGGAGTTATATTCAAATTGTACCCTCCTTTGAAGATGTCTCTTTTGTCTGTGGTGTCTTAAAAGGATTATTGGTCTTAGAGGGAGGTAAATAAGCATTCATACAAGCTAAATATTACCAAAAATTTAAGAAAAATAGAAACTAATCCAACTGCTTTTTAGTTTACATGATCTGGAATATTCTTTAGTAAATAAAGCTAGTTTGAAAATTGATGGACTACGCCGGGTGCAGTGGCTCAGGCCTGTAGTCCCAGCACTTTGGGAGGCCAAGGCGGGCGGATCACGAGGTCAGGAGATCAAGACCATCCTGACTAACACGGTGAAACCCTGTCTCTACTAAAAATACAAAAAATTAGCCAGGTGTGGCAGCATGGGCCTGTAGTCCCCAGCTACTTGGGAGGCTGAGGCAGGAGAATGGCGTGAACCCAGGAGGCGGAGCTTGCAGTGAGCTGAGATCACGCCACTGTACTCCAGCCTGGGCAACAAAGCAAGACTCCGTTTCAAAAAAGAAAATTGATGGACTAGTCAAACAAGTTTTATGTTATCACTACTGAATGGTAAAGATAATAAAACTATCAATCCAACCTAAGAGCAAAATGTGCAATAAAAATGAATTGCGGCTGGGCTCACCCCTGTAGTCCCAGCAGTTTGGGAGGCCGAGGCGGGCGGATCACCTGAGGTCAGGAGTTTAAGACCAGCCTGGCCAATATGGTGAAACCTGGTCTCTACTAAAAATAAAAAGTAAGGCCAGGTGTGGTGGCGGGACCTACCTGTAATCCCAGCTACTTGGGAGGCTGGGGCAGGAGAATCGCTTGAACCTGGGAGGTGGAGGTTGCAGTGAGCCGAGATCGTGCCACTGCACTCCAGCCTGGGAGACAGTGCGAGACTCCATCTCAAAAAAAAAAAAAAAAATTGGGCACGGTGGTACAAGCCTGTAATCCCAGCTACTTGGGAGTCTGAGGCAGGAGAATTGCTTCAACCTGGGAGGCGGAGGTTGCAATGAGCCAAGATCGTGCTGCTGCACTCCAGCCCAGGCAACAGAGTGAGACTTTGTCTCAAAAAAAAAATGAATTGCATGGCTTGGCGCGGTGGCCCATGCCTGTAATCCAGCACTTTGGGAGACTGAGGCAGGTGGATATTTGAGGTCAGGAGTTCGAGACCAGCCTAGCCAACATGGTGAAACCCCATCTCTACTAAAAATACAAAAAATTAGCCAAGTATGGTGGCGTGCGCCTGTAATCCCAGTTACCTGGGAGGCTGAGGCAGAATTGCTTGAACCCAGGAGCTGGAGGTTGCAATGAGCCAAGATTGCACCACTGCACTCCAGCCTGGGCAACAGAGTGAGACTCCATCTCAAAAAAAAAAAAAAAAGAAACAATAACCACTCCCTCCCTACCTCCACATACATAAGTGATTACAGGCTCCAGGCCAAACACACAGAGGAGTTACATCTGGCTGGTGCTAGGATGGAAGGTGGGGCAGGTCACCACCTCCCAGGGACTGAGTGCCAAAGCAAGGAGGAAGATTGGAGGTGAGGCTGTATGGAGACAGCCACAGGCTCACAGAGCTTGTGCTGAGCTCTCTAGGGGGAAGCTTGATCTGCCTGGGAAGCTTCCAGCTCCTACCTCCTGCAGAGCCCAGAATGGTGTCCAGGAAATATGTGGCCATTGAGTGGAACCAGCCTTGGCATGGTAGCCTGCAGGAACCCGCAGGCTAGAGACATGGCCACATGAGCAGTGAGGATCTCCCCCGAGATGAGGATCCCCAGAACATAGTGTGGGATGCAGGTCTGGCCTCTGCATACCCTCGGCTTCCTCCATCACTTATTCTCAGACATCTAAACCACTAACATCCAGACTGGGGATCCCAGGAGGGTCTACAGTGTCAAGAGAGGGCAAGTCCACTTCAGGATCAACCTTCCTGTGGCCCCTTACTTTCCTTGGTCCACCTTTCCAGGTCACCCATCCAGACTGTCACCAGGGATCACTGCCCTGGGCACCAACCCAATGCGGGGACAAGTAGAAAAAGAGCTCTGGGGAAAATACCAAAGGGAATAGTCACTCAATTTTACTGTGATGATAAACTCCTGGCAAAGTTCCAGGCCTCTCTCTGTCTGTGTCTGTGAATTATGTGTCTGTGTCTCCATCAACCATAGTGCAGAAGGGGGAGGGTTGTCCTAAGTATCCTATTAACATGTTTGTTTGTTTGTTTGTTTGAGACAGAGTTTCGCTCTTGTTGCCCAGGCTGCAGTGCAATGGCATAATCTCAGCTCACTGCAACCTCCACCTCCTGGGTTCAAGTGATTCTCGTGCCTCAGCCTCCTGAGTAGCTGGGATTACAGGCACACACCACCATGCCTGGCTACTTTTGTATTTTTAGTAGAGACGGGGTTTCACTATGTTGGCCAAGCTGGTCTCGAACTCCTGACCTCAGGTGATCCACCTGCCTCAGCTTCCCAAAGTGCTGGGATTATAGGCGTGAGCCACCATGCCCAGCCAGAACACAGGACTTTCAAAACTTAAACCTGGGGCTGGGCACGGTGGCTCACACCTGTAATCCCAGCACTTTGGGAGGCCGAGGCAGGCGGATCACCTGTCAGGAGTTCAAGACCAGCCTGGGCAACATGGTGAAACCCCATCTTTACTAAAAATAAAATAAAATAAAATACAAAAATGAGTCGGGCGTGGTGGCGCACTGTAGTCCCAGCTACTGGGGAGGCTGAGGCACGAGAATCACTTGAACCCCGGATGGCGGGGACTGCAGTAAGCGATCACGCCACTGCACTCAAGCCTGGCAGACCTAGCGAGACTCTGTCTCAAAAAAAAAGAAAACAAGGCTGGGCGTGGTGGCTCACGCCTGTAATCCCAACACTTTGGGAGGCCAAGGCGGGTGGATCGCCAGGTCAGGAGATTGAGAACATCCTGGCCAACATGGTGAAACCCTGTCTCCACCAAAAATACAAAAATTAGCCAGATGTGGTGCCAGGTGCTTGTAGTCCCAGCTACTCAGGAGGCTGAGGCAGGAGAATCACTTGAACCTGAGAGGCGGAGGATGCAGTGAGCTGAGATTGCGCCACTGCACTCCAGCTTGGGCGACAGAGTGAGACTCTGTCTCAAAAAAAAAAAAAAAAAAAAAAAAAAAAAAACCAAGGGCCGGGCGCGGTGGCTCACGCCTGTAATCCCAGCAATTTGGGAGGCCGAGGCAGGCGGATCATGAGGTCAGGAGATCGAGACCATCCTGGCTAACACGGTGAAACCCTGTCTCTACTAAAAATACAAAAAAATTAGCTGGGCGTGGTGGCGGGCGCCTGTAGTCCCAGCTACTTGGGAGGCTGAGGCAGGAGAATGGCGTGAACCCGGGAGGCGGAGCTTGCAGTGAGCCAAGATTGTGCCACTGCACTCCAGCCTGGGCAACAGAGCAAGACTCCATCTCAAAAAACAAACAAACAAACAACAACAACAAAATAAAACAAGGAAAAAAACACTAAAACCTTGGATGTCCTGGGCAACCCCGGTCAAGATGATCACTCTAGATAGAGTTTTTAAAAATTAGTTTTCAGCCTGGCCAAGATGGTGAAACCCTGTCTCTACTAAGGATACAAAAAATTAGCTGGGCTTCGTAGCAGGCACCTGTAATCCCAGCTACTTGGGAGGCTGAGGCAGGAGAATCACTTGAACCCGGGAGGCAGAGGTTGCAGTGAGCCGAGATGTCACCACAGCACTCCAGTCTGGGCAACAGGGCGAGACTCCATCTCAAAAAAAAAAAATTAGTTTTGCCACCGGGCACGGTGGCTCATGCCTGTAATCCCAGCACTTTGGGAGGCCGAGGTAGGTGGATCACCTGAGGTCAGGAGTTCGAGACCAGCCTGGCCAACGTGGTGAAACCCTGTCTCTACTAAAAATACAAAAATTAGCCAGGCATGGTGGGGTACGCTTGTAATCCCAGCTACTGGGGAAGCTGAGGTGGGAGAATTGCGTGAACCCGGGAGACAGAGGTTGCAGTGAGCCGAGATGGCACCACTGCACTCCAGCCTGGCCAACAAGGGCTAAATTCTATCCCCCCCCCCTCAAAAAAAACAATAACGATTTTGGGAGTATTAGAGCAGAAAACGTTTGAAAACATGAACAGCTCTCACATCAACACAAGACATGAAACTCTGTTGGCAAGAGAGGCCTCTTTGGGGAGAGTGCTCACTCCTCTCCCACCCACTCTCTACCACCTTCAACCTCCTGTCTGGGGCACAGTAACAAGGGGTGTAAGGGGTGTACAGTGCCTAGCAGGGGCCTGGCACTTAGGCTTCAGTAGGTGCCAGTCCACAGTCTCCTGAGGCCCATGTTGGTTGGTGTCCACCTGGTGCTTATTGACCACTTGGGCTCCAGATTTTCCTCACGTCACCTCCCTCCCCAGGGTAGCAGATAAAGGCCCCATAGTTCCAAGGAGGCAGAACTTTTACATTCCTAAAAGCATTCTCAGGCCCCCATAACCCCTCATCCCACCTTCAGCTCGCTCACCTTCACCTATCAAATTCGTTTGACATCTGGCCTCCAGCAACTAGCTAGGCTGAGTTCTCCATGAAGGGGACGTGGCTGCTGGTCAAAAGGGAAAGCCCATGTCTAAAAATTAATTAACGTGGTTTAGGGGCCTCACATTCCCAACCCCCAAATACAGCCATTGTGAGATGTGAGATTCAAAAAATCGAAGAGTGAAGCGGTGATGAGAGTCCATCTGGTCGCTCTTCGGATGCGGCGCTAGCAGGCAGTTGCATGAAAGCAGATCCCAGATCACGTTGCACTGGCACACAGTAGGTACCCACACATATTTGATAAATAAACACTCTCTCCCTAGCATTACTATAGATAGCTGGCAGCTTGGCCTGGCATCCCGGAGGGGTCTGGATCTCAGGGACTAGATAAGGCCAGCACACTGAAGAGTTGCAGAAAATGCAGGCGGTCAGGCGCAGGTCTGCTGCGGGAGCACCTGCCGTGTCCGACAGCTGCACTGGAAGAGGGGCGTGTGTCTCCCAGCCGGGCGGAACCGAGACCGCTTCGTCCCCGGCGGGGAACTTCATTTCCCACAAGCCTGTGCGCGAGACTCCATTTCCCACAAGCCCTCCTTCACTTCCGGCTCGGCCGAGGCACTGCGGACGGCTTCCGGGTTTGGGCCTGGCTCTGTGACTGAGGCGGCGGCGGTGGCGGCCAAGCGGGATACGGGCGGCGGGAGCTGGGGAACAGGCATGGACGTTTCCGGGCAAGAGACCGACTGGCGGAGCACCGCCTTCCGGCAGAAGCTGGTCAGTCAAATGTGAGTAGTGGTCGGGGCAGGGGGCTGGATTGTGGGACCTTCCTCCTTAGCGTGGCGGGCGAGGCCAGGGCCGGACCCGTGAGAAACCTACGGCGCCGGGAGACAGAAGGCGCCGGGGACTTGCGTGGGTCCCAGGGCTCGGGCCCCCCCGTCTGTCCCCTCCGTTCCCGACATGGACTGCTCGTTTGCTTTCCTGGGGCCGAGCTCTGCAAACCAACGAGCCCTGGCTTATGAATCATCGTCTTGAGCTTTCTCATTCGTCATTTGTGTGCTTTGGGTGCAGACTTTCCCCCGCTTTTTGAACCACACTGAATAGGGAAAGGGAGAGAAGCAGCCGGCTGTAGTGGGTTTAGCAGGGCTGGGTGCTTCATGGTTTCTCTTCCAGAAAAGCGCATCAACGGTGAAAGAAAGTGATGGGAGGAGGGTGGATGTAAGATGAGATTGGGAAGGTAGTTGTTTGGGGTGTGGGCGGTGGGACGGAGGATCTGAGGGTGACCCCCCGAAGGAATGTGGACTTTGCCGAAGGATGGCAGGAAGCCGCTGTCAGGAAGCGATCGTCGTTTCTGGAGGAGAGCGTGAAGAGCTGGGGTCAGTGGCCCCGCTCAGAGGAACTCTAGCCCCTCACCACCGACTGCTTGTTTCTGTTAGCAGTTTTTTTCATGCGCGTCCGTGTGAAGAGACCACCAAACAGGCTTTGTGTGAGCAATAAAGCTGTTTATTTCACCTGGGTGCAGGTGGGCTGAGTCCGAAAAGAGAGTCAGCGAAGGGAGATAGGGGTGGGGTCGTTTTATAGGATTTGGGAAGGTAATGGAAAATTAGTCAATTGTTCTCTGGTGGGCAGGGATGGATCTCACAAAGTACATTCTCAAGGGTGGGGAGAATTACAAAGAACCTTCTTAAGGGTGGGGGAGATTACAAAGTACATTGATCAGTTAGGGTGGGGCAGGAACAAATCACAATGGTGGAATGTCATCAGTTACGGCTGTTTTTACTTCTTTTGTGGATCTTCAGTTACTTCAGGCCATCTGGATGTATACGTGCAAGTCACAGGGGATGCGATGGCCTGGCCTGGGCTCAGAGGCCTGACAGTTTTTAACTGAGCTTATTGGCGTGTTGTGCTCGCCACAGATTTGCCTGAGACACAGCCCCTTTCCTGAGGGATGGTAAAGGAACCGTCACAGCGCAGTCTTGTCAGTCTGTAATGTGTATACTGCAGGGGTTTCTTGCGAAGCGGCGGTTAACTTGAGCAGACCAGGGGCAGTCTAGTGAGTAGGTGACGAATAAATTGAGTCCTAGAAAGACAAGTAGGAGTGTGAATAGCCACCATTCCAAGCTGAGGAGTTAGGAAACATGAGCATTTACTGCGTGGAGGGAGGATCTTGTAGGCTGAGAGTTCTGGGGCTCGAGGAGTAAGAGAGCCCAGGAGATGATGGAATGAGGGTGAGCAGGTACTAGCACTTTAGTGGGGGTGTTGTGCCAAGGAATTGAGCCTGTGTTTGGCATGTGGCATTCTTTGGAGTAGTGAAATGCCAGTGTTGGGAATATGCCTAGAGTCCCTGTCCCTGGAGATGGATGCAGGGCAGAGAAGAGAGACCAGTTAAGCTATTAAGAGAGTTTGAACATTTGGAGGGAGTAGGGAACCTGTCCTTTTTCATCCTTATATTCTCACTGCTAGCTCACTGCCTGCCACATTGCTCCGTAAAATGATTGTGGCATGACCTAGTCGGGCGGGAGATTATAAAGGCCTGCATTAGACAGTGGTAGAAACTGAAAGAGGAAGACAGATTCCAGAGGAGGGGGAACGTAGACAATTCTTGATGACTAACTGGATGGAGGGGGGTGGGGTGTGGGGTGAAGCATTGTGGAAGGAAGGAAGCCGGGCTGAATGCTGGGAAACCTTTCAGTACAGTGGAAAGAGTAGGGACTGTAGAGTTAGTAGCTATGGGCTTTGGGAAGAATAGCCTTGGGATATTTCTGGGGATATTGCACAATCAGTGAACAGTGTTTTACTGATAAAATATAGTTATCTGTAGGTGAAAACTTGAGAGATATCCCACTTCAGGGTTCCTGCAAGAAAAGTCCCCAGGGCAAGGGTTCTTCTCTGGGAAAGCCCAGAATTAAGAACTGGAAGGGTGAGTTGTCATCAAAGAAAATGGGGGTAGGGGAAGTGTTAAGAGGGCTGGGAGGGTGATTGAAGAGTTTATGGGTGTTGAGTGACTGGATACTTCATAACTCAGCTTTATTTTGCTTCCGGGAGAATTGAGTTCTTTATTTTTTTCGATATTGCTGTTTGTGTGTTTTTCTGTTGCCGCTCTAACAAATTACCACAAGTTTAGCATCTTAAAACAACACACCTTTAGCCAGGTGTGGTGGCTCACGCCTGTAATCCCAGCACTTTGGGAGACTGAGGCAGGCGGATCACGAGGTCAAGAGACTGAGACCCATCCTGGCCAACACGGTGAAACCCTATCTCTACTAAAAATCCAAAAATTAGCTGGGTGTGATGGCGCACACCTGTAGTCCCAGCTACTCAAGAGTCTGAGGCAGGAGAATTGCTTGAACCCGGGAGGCGGAGGTTGCAGTGAGCCGAGATCGCACCACTGCTATCCCGCCTAGTGACAGAGCGAGACTCCATCTCAAAAACAAACAAACAAAAAACACACATTTATCATTTGGTAGTTTCTGTAGGTCAGAGGTCCAAGTAGGTTCCACTAGGTCTCCTGCTATCAAGGCCTATCAAGGCTGAAATCAAGACGTTGGCAGGGTGCATTTCTTACTGAATGCCTTGGGGTGGAACTTGCTTGCAAGCCCATTTATGCTGTTGGCCATATTCAGTTCCTTGAGCTTGTAGGACTGAGGTGCCCTCTTTCCTTACTGGCTGTTAGCCAGGAGTCAGTCTTTGTTCCCAGAAGCTGCCCGAATTCCTTCTCATGCTTTTTATGTGTCTCCCTCCAGCGAGGGCCAGTTCTTCTGCCACATCTCTCTGATTTCAGCTAGAGAAAATATCCTGCTTTTCAGGGCTCAGATTAGATTTAGTGCACACAGAGAAGCCAGGATAATCTCTTTATTTTAAAGTTTGTAATTTTAATTACATCTGCAGAATTCCTTTTGACATGTAATGTAGCATATTCACAAGTTCTAGGGATTAGGCACGAGATGGGCATTCTCCTACCACAGCCGGGAAGAGCAGTTTCAGAGGTTGCCTTCCCTAGGTGATGTGGGTGTTCTCAGTTCTCAAATTTGTCTGTTTTCTCTCTAGGGTTCACTTTCTCTCTAGGGTTCACGTTGAAAGTCGTGATTCTTGGTGCCTTGATTTATTGTGCTCATAGGGTTAAAAAAAGATTTGCATTAGAATTCTAGACATACCTTTAACTCTTAACTTCCTCCCATGTTTTTACACTGTTGTTTAAATTTGGCCATTTTGGGAAATGCTTTATACCCAAGTAATTTATAGTTGATGAAGGGATAGAGAAAGTGTCTTGCTTGTGGCACCGTGACTCACACCTGTAATCCCAGCACCCTGGGAGGCTGAGATCTGGGACTACTTGAGTCCAGGAGTTTGAGACCAGCCTAGGTAACATAAACAAATACAACAATCAGCTGGGTGTGGTGGCGTGCACTCGTAGTCCCAGCTACTCTGGAGGCTGAGGTGGGGGGATCGCTTGAGCCTGGGAGGTCGAGGCTGCAGTGAGCTACGTTCACACCACTGCACTCCAACCTGGGCCACAGAGCAAGACCCTTCTCAAAAAAAGAAAAAAAAAAAGCATTCTGAGTTTTGACAGAGAAGAAAACATTTGATGGTTACTTATCTGTCTCTACCAAGAGCCTAGGGAACAATGCCCCAGAGCATGAGCTGGTATATAGTCTAGTCTCCTGGCTCCCACTGAGAAAAAGGGATTTTGAGTTGAGGCTGGCTATGACTAGACAGCCATTGCAGGGACTCTCCAGTTCAGCCTCTTAGCCCTCCACTGCCTCCACCTCATCTGGGCCCATTCTGGGCTGTGGTCTCCTGCTCTCTTCCCAGTCCCATCCTTCTTCCCCCAACAGCACAAGTGAGGGTGAGGCCTAAAGTGTAGCCACTGCCCTGCTGCAGAACAATCAGTGACTTTTCTTAGCATTAGAATAAAACTCCAGATGTCCCACCCTCCCAGCCCCTCACCCTGACCTGGTATAGTCATCTCTTCTCCTACCCCCACCGTGTTCTGACCTCTCTGGTCTTTCAGCTTCTTGAACATTCTAAGCTTTTTTTTTTTTTTTTTGGAGACAAGATCTTGCTCTGTGGCCCAGGTTAGAGTGCAGTGGTACGATGATAGCTCACTGCAGCCTTGACCTCCCAGGGTCAAACGATCCTCCCACTGTAGCCTTCTGAGTAGCTGGGACTACAGGCACACACCACCACGCCTGACTGATTTTTATATTTTTTGTAGAGATGAGGTTTCACCATGTTGCCCAGACTGGTCTTGAACTCCTGGGTTCAGATGATCCTCCCTACTAGCCTTCCAAAGCACTGGGATTACAGATGTGAGCTACTATGCCTGGCCCCTGAGCTCTTTCTTTTTAACCAATTTATTATCAAGTGTTTAAGGTATTGAAAAATGAGTAGACTCCTCCCCACCACTGTATTCATGACTAGCTCCTTCTTTTAGGTGTCTGCTCAGTATCAGATACTCAGAGGATCCTTCCCTGCTTGATCTAAAGTTGGTCACCGCCTCTGATATGTTTTATCTCAGCCCTTTTTAGTTTCCCATAGGACCTCATACCTATGAAGCTTGGTACCTGGTATACAAAACACTTGTTGAGGAGTGGAATAGTATTTTCTTGGGGGCTGTGTGAGTCACCTCTTTTTTTTTTTTTTTTTTTTTTGAGGTGGAGTCTCGCTCTGTTGCCCAGGCTGGAGTGCAGTGTCACAATCTCAGCTCACTGCAAGCTCCGCCTCCCAGGTTCACGCCATTCTCCTGCCTCAGCCTCCTGAGTAGCTGGGACTACAGGCGCCCGCCACCACGCCCAGCTAATTTTTTTTTTTTTTGAGACAGAGTCTCACTCTGGAGTGCAATGGTGTGATCTCGGTTCCTTCAACCTCTGCCTCCCGGGTTCAAGCGATTCTCCTGCCTCAGCCTCCCGAATAGCTGGGGTTACAGGCATGCGCCACCAGGCCCAGCTAATTTTTGTATTTTTAGTAGAGACGGGGTTTCACCATGTTGGTCAGGCTGGTCTCGAACTCCTGACCTCGTGATCCACCCGCCTCGGCCTCCCAAAGTGCTGAGATTACAGACATGAGCCACCACGCCCGGCCGGGTCACCTCTTGTATTACAGTGGTATTCTTTATTTTTTTATTTTTTTAAGAGACAGGGTCTTGCTTTGTCACTTGGGCTGGAGTGCAGTTGGTATGATCATAGCTCACTGCAGCCTCAAACTCCTGGACTCAAGTGATTCTCCAGTGCAGTGGTATTCTTTACCTGAACCAGTGTACATTGTGAAGCTCTGGAGCCCCTGCTTTCTCCACTTGTTACACTTGTTAGCCTTTCTTTTTCTTTCTTTTTTTTTTTTTTTGAGACGGAGTCTCGCCCTGTGGCCCAGGCTGGAGTGCATTGGTGCGATCTCAGCTCACTGCAACCTCTGCCTCCCGGGTTCAAGCAGTTCTCTGCCTCAGCCTCCAGAGTAGCTGGGATTACAGGCACCCGCCACCACTCCTGGCTAATTTTTGTATTTTTAGTAGAGACGGGGTTTCACCATCTTGGTCAGGCTGGTCTTGAACTCCCAACCTCATGACCCACCTGCCTCGGCCTCCCAAAGTGTTGGGATTACAGGCGTGAGCCACTGCACCTGGCCTAGCCTTTCTTAATCGTGTCCCTCATCAATGAAATGGTAGAAAGCCAATCTGTTTTACAGGTGTGGTAGAAGGGAAAAATGAAGAGACCTCTGTACAAGCCTTTGCAGAGGTCTTGGGACTCAGTGGTGAGCTCCCTGCCACCACCTCCTGTGCCCTTGCAGGAGTAGGAGATCTATAGTCTTGGAGAATAAGGGTGATACCCCAATACCCCAAGCCTGGTTAGGGAAATTGATGACCCTTATTGGAGCCTGTGGGGAGGTAGTTGGGAAATTGTTAGTAGCTTCATGTTGGCATTTTCTTTTTTGAAACAGAATCTTGCTCTCTCCTCCAGGTTGGAGTGCAGTGGCATGATCTTGGCCCACTGCAACCTCTGGCTCCCAGGCTTAAGCGATCCTCCCACCTCAGCATTCCCAAGTAGCTGGTACTACAGACGCATGCCACCAGGCCCAGCTAATTTTTGTATTTTGTGTAAGAGACAGGGTTTCACCATGTCTCCCAGGCTGGTCTTGATCTCCTGGGCTCAAGTGATCCACCTGCCTCAGCCTCCCAAAGGGCTAGGATTACAGGTGTGAGCCACCGTGCTTGCCTTTGTTGACTCTTTATTGAACATCTACTCTCCCTGCAGAAACTGCAGGATAAGCCACCCTTAGAACCAATTTAACTGGCCTTTTTGGGGCTTGGACCTTCCTCATGGGATTGCTGGGTTAATGTTGAGCCTGTCTCTGGGCTATAGGCTCTCAGAGAACAAGAGTGCATCTGCAATGACTAGTGCTGCACCTGTCATACAGGTTTGTAGAAAATATTTAAGCTGTGAATGAACAAAAGGACCTTATCAGCTATTTTCTTTCAATTCTTTTTGGTTTTTCTGTGATCCTATTCTTGAGACTTTTATCCCTCCCACCCCTCTGTACAGCAGATTGCACATATAAAGATGAAATAAATAGATGTCCATTGGGCAAAACAATACAGAGAGGAGGTGACACAGCTGGGGAAGGACAGTCCAGTATCTGATGAAGTGCCAGAAGGGGCTTAGGGGGAGCATGGAATGGAGCTGGAACTGCCAGGTCAGCCACCTCTTCTAGTGAAGCCTCCAGAGAGACGTGAGCTCCAAGTAAGACAACACAAGGAACAAAACATACAACTGAACAGCAACTTCCAAGGGTCTGGAGAGGTCTTCAGAAGGATAGGGAGTGCCCTTAAACTTGCAAGCCCAGATTCTGCCTGTGGGTCATGGTCGTGCCATAGGCAGAAGCCAGTGAGTCAGCCTTGGCGGAGCTTTTTCTGTGGCTTTTCCCACTCACAGCTCTGTGCCCTTCTGGTGCAGCTCCAGCCCTTGTTTTCCAGCTTCATAGCCTGGTTGTCACATAAATGGCTGCACTGGCTTACAGGTGTCTGTGTATAACCTATTGCTAGAATGTCCATTCCTTGAGGCTAGGGGCCCTGTCTGTCCCTCTCTTCACTTTCATAGCCCCAGTGCCCCATAGGGCTGCTCCTGATGGGCAAATAGGAAGTGGTTGTTGAGCCTCTAGGCCAGTCGTGACAGTGACCTGAGGGGACTTGAGCCCTCAGTCATCTGCTCAGGAGTTCAGGGCTTTCTCAACAGCAGCTGACGTGCGGCAGGCATGCTATGCCAAGCCCTGTTGCAGGAGTTGACAGATGTTGACTCATCCCCTCTTCATGCTTTCTTTGTCAGTAGATGTACATGTTACTCACATTTATAAGATGAGGAAAATGAGACCTAGAGGAGAGGCCACTGCTGCTTAGAGTTACTCTACATGTTGTAAATCAGGGGTGTCCAGTCTTTTGGCTTCCCTGGGCCATGTAGGAAGAAGAATTGTTTTGGGCCACACATAAGATACACTAACACTAATGATAGCTGACGAGCTAAAAAAAAAAAATTGCCAAAAAATCTCATAATAAAGTTTACGAAGGCTGGGCGTAGTGGCTCACGCCTATAATCCTAGCACTTTGGGAGGCTAAGGTGGGTGGATTGCTTGAGGTCAGGAGTTTGAGACCAGTCTGGGCAACATGGTGAAACCCCATTTCTACTAAAAATACAAAAATTAGCTGGGCATGGTGGCGGGCACCTGTAGTCCCGGTGGGGAGGCTGAGGCAGGAGAATCGCTTAAACCCGGGAGGCAGAGGTTGCAATGAGCCAAGGTCGCGCCACTGCACTCCAGCCTGGCGACAGAGTGAGACTCAGTCTCAAAAAAAAAAAATATATAGACCAACCTGGCCAAGATAATAAAACCTCGTCTCTACTAAAAATACAAAAATTAGCCAGGCATAGTGGTGCACACCTGTAGTCCCAGCTACTTGGGAGGCTGAGGTAGGAGAATCGCTTGAACCTGAGAGGCGGAGGTTGCAGTGAGTCAAGATCACGCCACTTCACTCTAGCCGGTGACAGAGCAAGACTCTGTCTCAAAACAAACAAAAAAAATTAAAAATAAATAAGTAGGTTGGGCGCGGTGGCTCACACCTGTAATCCCAGCACTTTGGGAGGCTGAGGCGGGCGGATCACCTGAGGTCAGGAGTTCTAGACCAGCCTCAACATGGAGAAACCCTGTCTCTACTAAAAATACAAAATTAGCTGGGCATGGTGGTACATGCCTGTAATCCCAGCTACTCAGGAGGCTGAGGCAGGAGAATTGCTTGAACCTGGGAGGCGGAGGTTGCAGTGAGCCGAGATCACGCCATTGCACTCCAGCCTGGGCAACAAGAGCGAAACTCCGTCTCAATAAATAATAATAATAATAATAATAATAAATAAGTAAATAAATGAATGGTTGCTGAACCACAGCAGGACAAGACAGACAAACCCCTTTTATTTGTTTTTGTTTTTTGGACCCTAACAGCAGAGGAAGAGCCAGCCAGCAAGCCCCTTTTGATCTTTGGCCTCTGCCAACCAGTACCCCCCAGACCTTAACCCCCAGCCCTACCAGGTCCCTTTTGTAAGTGACCCCACATGCCTACCACAGTTGCAGGCCCTGACATCCACCCTGACCAGAGGTCTTCCAGCTATTACTGGTGTTTGTGATGCTGTGGCTGTGGCCAGTCAAGGACCCATGCTGGGCATCCCGAGGTAGGAAGGACCATGACCACGTGATTATCTCCCTGCCACTATCATGGCAGGGCTGTGGGGTACTAGCCTCCTTTAAAGCATTCCTTAGGACAGTAATTTCTGTTAAATATCTGGAGGGCAAACATTTTAAGGAATTTTAATGAATTTTTAAAAATTCAAAATGAAAAATTTAAATCATAAAACCAAATAGAAGAAAGACCCCTATGTCCATATACGCACCACTCTGCTTCAGTGATTATCAACTCTTGTCTCATGTACTTGACCTCCACACAATTATTATTACTATTTTTTGAGAAAGGGTCTTGTTATGTTGCCCAGGCTGGAGTGCAGCAGTACAATCATAGCTCACTGCAGCCAACTCCTGGGCTTAAGTGATCTTCCTGCCTTAGCTTCCCAAGTAGCTGGGACTAAGGGTAGGCGCCACCATGCTGGCTAATTTTCTTATTTTTTTTTTTTTTGGTAGAGACCAGGTCTTGGTTTGTTGCCCAGGCTGGTCTTGAACTCTTGGCCTCAAGTGAGCCTCCTGCCTTTGCCTCCCAAAGTGTTGGATTACAGGCATGAGCCACTACGCCTGGCCATCCCCAGTTATTTTGATGCCCAGACTGTTTTAGTGGCTGCCCACTGTCTGTGGATTCTGTTCTTAGTCTTGATCCTTCGTGCAGTGTCTGCACCTGCCTGCCAGTTCCTTGACCTGTGCTCCATCATACCAAGCTGGCAGTGGATCCTCAGACAATCTCAGTTCTTACTCCCTGCTCTGTGTCCAGTTTGTTTGCCTACCTAAAAGATCCTTCCTTTTCGTGGCTGAGCAGTGCAGCCGTTCTCCAAGGAGACTGGGCCTTCTGCTGCCCCCACCACCCTGCTCTTTTCACTGCCCCCACCCCGCTGCTCTTTTCACAGGCTTGGTGAGGAGTTTCCAGGTTGCACTTGGTTTGTTTGAAGGCTTATCTCCTCCTAGTCTGAACTCGTCAGGGCAGGAGCTTGAATCAATCATTTCCTGCCTCTCAGGACTGCTGTAGCAGGGGGATTCCTAGATCTGTCCAGTGCCAGTTTCCTGAGTACTGCTGCAGGCCCATTTCAGCTGCTATGGTGATGGGGGCTGTCCTGAGGGGACATTCACCTCAGGTAGAGATGGCAGAAACACCACAGGAAGATGCAACCAGTCAGCTCAGCTGGGGGCACTTAAATTAGATCCATTTTTTTTCTGGAAGGCCTTTTGGCAATACTGTTTATCCCAGTACCTTAAAAATGTCGATTTCCTCCAAGGGCGCAATCAGGAAAGTATTCAAAGCCTGATGGTGATGAGGGTGCTCATTGCCGCATCATTGTCTCAGGAGTGGGATTTGTGAAACAGACCAACAGTGGGAGCTTGGTTAGAGTTGTAGCTGCAGGTGATGGGCTCTGTGCTGCTGTTGACATTGACGTGAGGGACTGCCATAATGCGTCAACATCGACAAGCGCTTGTTACCAAGCAGGATGCGTGGTACAGGCTGAGTTTTATTAAACAGATGTCTTTAACTGGTATGAATGATTTTAATTTTTTCTTTGTTTGAGATGGAGTCTCGCCCTGTCGCCCAGGCTTGCGTGCCTGGTGACTTCTCTCACCTGGGCCCTCAATGCCAGACCAGCCTTCCCAGGATGATTCCATCCTTTCCATCCCTGCAAGGGAGCTTGAGGCCCTTTCCCTTTCAGTTTGATACTGTCCTTCCAAGTTACCTTTCTTCATGTTGGCACGAGAGCTTTGTGCCACACCATGCCCTTTCTGGATGCTGTAGTGTCTGGCTCTTCCTCTGTCTCTGTGACCCTCTTCCCTGGTGAAGCTTTGACCTTGGCTTCATCCCCTCCAGATGACCCCTGATGGTTAGCTCAGCCTGTGGTGGCTCCAGAGCCCTCATTGAGTGCATCCTGACACGAACTGAACAGATTAACTATTTTTTGCCTTGCCAACAGCATTGGAAATTCCTTGAGTGTGGGACCTGGACTCATAGCTCTATGTCTCTTATAGTTCTTAGCACAATATCTTGGCCTAGATGAAGTACATAATAATTATATGTAGGGTTGTGGAAAGCAGTGCTGGCTTTAATTAAAGCCTGCCATGGTTTTGTCCATCAGTGCTGCCTAAACCGTTCTGAACTTCTCATTTTGAACTTTTTTCCCTCACAGCTTGTGATGGTTGATTTTCTTTTTGAGACATTCATTTATTTGTTTGTTTATTTGGCAGGGTCTCACTCTGTCACTCAGGCTGAAGTGCAGTGGCGTGATTGTGGCTCACTGCAACCTCCACCTCCTGGGCTCAAGCGATCCTCCCACGTCAGCCTCCCAAGTAGCTGGGACCACAGGTGTGTGCCTCCATGCCCGGCTAATTTGTGTAATTTTTTGTAGAGTAAGGGTTTTGCCATGTTGTCCAGGCTGGTCTCCAACTCCTGGGCTCAAGCGATCTGCTGCCTCCGCCTCCCAAAGTGCTGGGATTACAGGTGTGAGCCACTGTGCCTGGCCCTGAGACATTTATTTAAAGACAAAGGGGAGTACAGGCTAGAGAACAGAGGGGAATAGAATAGCAGCCAAGGCATAATTACCTCTAAACCATCACCCCATAAGGGAGATGTTCGCCTCAACTTTAGTAATGACTCTCTTTCTAGTCTAGGTGCAGGGCTGTTAATAGAGGCCCTGTGATTGGGTTAAGGGCTTGAGGTACAATAACTCTGTTATTTAGGGCAGTGAGTCCTTGGAGAAGATGCTTTACCTTCTTTCCAAGCCCCATGTCTCCTTATTTTGAGGGTGTTTTTTTTTTTTTTTCTTGAGACAGTCTTGCTCTGTTGCCCAGGCTGGAGTGCAGTGGCCTGACCTCGGCTCACTGGCCTGACCTTGGCTCACTGCAACCTCCGCCTTCCGAGTTCAAGTGATTCTTGTGCCTCAGCCTTCTGAGTGGCTGGGATTACAGGCCTGCACCACCACACCTGGCTAATTTTTGTATTTTTATTAGAGATGGGGCTTCACCATATTGGCCAAGCTGGTCTCAAACTTCTGACCTCAGGTGATCTGCCTGCCGCATCCTCCCACAGTGCTGGGATTACAGGCGTGAGCCATTGCATCCGGCCTGAGGTTTTTATTTTGAGAATATTTCAAATGTACAGAGAGTTGCAAGGACAGTAAAAGCACTCAGGCATCCTCTTCCCTGGGATTCACCAGCTCATTCTCACTTTTACCATCTTCCCATACTCCCTGGGGGCCTCCTCCTTCTGGGCTTCGTTTCCTTTTATTTGTTTCTGTCTTTTTAATTTTAATTTTTTTTTAACTAGCCCTTCTCTTTGGCAGGATTTGTTCACTTTTAATCCTTGGCCCCAGCAGCTTCTCTGAGCTCTGCCTATGAATCTGGGGGAGAGATAGGGGCTCACACAAGAGTGAAGTGTGAGCTGGAGGGCTGAAGGGGAATGAGGGACATCTGGGCCAAAGGCAGGGGACCAGCAAGGCCCCCACCCCTGGAACTTCTGTTCTTCCCAGCCTACGTACCCCTTGCTTCTTCTTATGTTGGTGGGCTCTGGGGGCTGGGTGAAAGCAGTGCTTGTAGGTTAAGAAGTGACTCATCCCACGTGCCCGCTGCCCTTCTCTTCTGTTCTTTGCTCTTTCCAAGCTTCCTTTCAGTCCTCCTCATCAGACATGACCTTTGAGGAAGTGATGAGTCTGCTATGTGTGAGACAGAGCCCCTGTTGTGAAGTAGAACTCAGGGTTCGTCCTCAGAAGCCTCGGTGGGTCACCATACGTCCTGCAAGTGCTGTCAGTCTGCTTTGATTCGTGTGAGGGAGAAGTCCCTGCCAAGTGCTCTGTAGTAGGCATTCAGGCCAACCAAAGAACAGGGCAGGGTCCTGAGGCACAGGCTCAGAGCTCTTGCTTATTTCATGGGGTGTTTAAATTGAGGTATAATCCCTATCACAGTGAACGACACGCATACTTCCAATCTTGAGTGTGCCACCAGAGAACTGTTGATACTCCCCAGATCTGCACCCAGCCAGGGCAAACTGTGCACCACTCTTCTGACTTCCATGGCCAGCCGAGACATTTGGAATCTCTGTGCAATCACACTCTGTGCCATCTTTTTTTCGAGACAGGGTCTCGCCCTGTTGCCCAGGGTAGAGTGCAGTGGTACAATCTCGGCTAACTGCAGTCTCGACCTCCTGTGGGCTCAAGCAATCTTCCCACCTCAGCCTCCCAAGTAGCTGGTACTACAGGTGCTCACCACCATGCCCTGCTAATTTTTGTGTTTTTTGTAGAGATGGGGTTTTGCCATGTTTCCCAGGCTGGTCTCGAACTCCTGGGCTCAAGCAATCCACCTGCTTCAGCCTCCCAGAGTGCTGGGATTACAGTCCTCTGTGCAATTGTGTGCATCATGTGTGAAATTTATCCTCATTTATCCTCACAGGCAGCAGTTGTTCTATTTTTTTTTTTTTTTTTTTTTTTTTTGAGATGGAGTCTCACTCTGTTACCCAGGCTGGAGTGCAGTAGCACAATCTTGGCTCCCTGCAACCTCTGCCTCCTAGGTTCCGGCAGTTCTCCTGCCTCAGCCTCCCGATTAGCTGGGATTACAGGCACGTACCACCATGCCTAGCTAATTTTTATATTTTTAGTAGAGACTGGGTTTTGCCATGTTGGCCAGGCTGGTCTCGAACTCCTGACCTCAGGGGATCCACCCACCTCGGCCTCCCAAAGTGCTGGGATTACAGGCATGAGCCACCATGCCCAGCCTGTGTTTTTGTTTTTTTTGAGACTGAGTCTCACTCTGTCGCCTAGGCTGGAGTACAGTGGCGTGATCTTGGCTCACTGCAAGCTCTGCCTCCCGGGTTCACACCATTCTCCTGAGTAGCTGGGACTACAGGCGCCCATCACCACACCCGGCTAATTTTTTTTTTTTTTTTGTATTTTTTTTAGTAGAGATGGGGTTTCACCATGTTAGCCAGGATGGTCTCCATCTCCTGACCCCGTGATCCCCCTACCTCGGCCTCCCAAAATGCTGGGATTACAGGCGTGAGCCACTGCGCCTGGCCTTATTTATTTATTTATTTATTTATTTATTTATTTATTTATGTATTTCTGAGACAGAGTCTTTCTCTGTTGCCTAGGCTGGAGTGTGGTGGCTCAATCTCACCTCACTGCAGCCTCTGCCTCCAGGGTTCACATGATTCTCCCACCTCGGCCTCCAGAGTAGCTGGGACTACAGGCGTGCACCACCATGCCTGGCTAATTTTTGTATTTTTAGTAGAGATGGGGTTTCGCCATGTTGGGCAGGCTGGTGTTGAACTCCTGACCTGACCTCAGGTGATCCACCCGCCTTGGCCTCCCAAAATACTGGGATTATAGGCGTGAGCCACCGTGACCAGCCTGTTCTTGTTTATGACGTGTTATTCCATGGAGGACTCTGTTCCAGATAACTCTTTTATTTTGTGCCTAATGAACTTTGGTGTTAGTTCCAGATGTTGGCTACATGAAGGCAACCCCAGGAATGGCTTTGGTCATGTCTTCTGGTAAATATATGCACTTAATTCTCTGGGCTGTGCACCTAGAAGTTAAATAAAGGACTGGGTCAGAGGATGTGTCTCTTAGCATGTTCTGCTGAACAGTGTTCCCAAGTGGTACCAGTTTACGTTCCCACCAGCAAAATGTGAGGGAGTTCCACTTGCTGGACATCCTTGCCAACACCTGGTATTGTCAAGGAACCTGTCTGTAACAGGCACTCTCGTTGATTTTGAATGCACGCTGAAATTTACTGGGTGCAGTGACAGTAGGAAGGGAAAGGATGATTAAAAAAAGAAAAAAGGAATGGAAAGGCTGATCTAGGAGGGAGGAAGCTCATAAGGAAATAAGTGGTAGGATTTGGTGATTCCATGTGTGAATGCTCGTATTCCGTGTGCATGCGTATATGAGCTTGCAGGAGAAAGGGAGGAGGGAGGCACTGGTATGCACTCCACCAGTTCTCCTGCCACAGCCTCTCTACTGATCTGAGGGCTGGGTGTAAGGTGATGATGTGGGGAGTGGGTGTGGGTGAAATTTCCAACAGTCAGTGGGAGATGGGGGAAGCAAACCTGGGAAGAGCAGCCTGCTGCAGGAGCAAGTGGGTGGGCCGTCCTGGAGGCTGGATGAAACCTGTCTGCCTAGGTGGGGATGGCAGAAGTGGCAGAGCAGAGAACTCCAGAGCAGGGCTGTGGTGGGCAGAGCAGATGTGAAGGAAGACTGTGGGATGAGAGGATGGGGCACGGTGGAGCCCCATCAGCCTCCAGTCACAGCAGCCCCGGTCCCGTCTCTCCCTCCTGTTTTGGTCAGTACCTTCAGGACTTGTGGGTGTAGTACTTCGTTCCATTCCGGATAACATTGTAGAAGACTGAAAAACAGGAAGGTGTTTTCCATACTCTCTCCAGAGCTGGCTGTTACTGACATATTGATATATTTCCACCAGTCTTGTGTGTGCTTATAGCTTGATATGTATGCATTTTAAATATGTAAATATATATACACATGTATTTTTAAAGTGAAACTAGGCTGAGACTGTGAGTTCAGTTTTGAGTTATAGGTTTCCCATGGCTTAGGTTGTGTTCTCTCCCTGGATGGAGTCTGGCTGGGACCTGCATGCTCACAGCCCAGGTTCACATGAGGTGTGGATCATGCACAATCATCCCACGGGCTTGAGATAAGCATTTGACTTCCTTTTTTTTTAAAAAAAAAGTTCATTATGGACTTTTTCAAGTGTTCCCAGAAGTAGAGATAATAGAAAAGTGGTCTCCCAACTACTTTGAGAGTTAGCAACATATGGCCAGTGTTGCTTCACCCACCCTTCCTCATCACCTCCTGGACTATTTTAAATCACATCCCAGACACCAGATGATTTCAACTGTGAGTACTTGAGTGCAGATCTCTAAAAGATCGAGCTTCCCCACCCCCACCAAATACCACAGAGCCATGTGAGATCAGCATTTGGGTTGGCAGATCTCCTCCTTGCCACATGCTTGCCTGGTGGTGAATGGGACACTTTCAGGCGAGACCTAGGGGAGCCCCAGGCCAGCACCAGGACAGAGATCTCGAGGCCTTTCCAACTCTGCTGGTTCTTCAGAAGTCAAACCAACAGATTGGAGTATGTGAAGGAAGCTCGTGTATTCTTCTGAACTAGCTTAGACAACAGTACACAGTTTGAAGGGCAGCAGCCTTTTCTGCAGGTTAGTTCTTTCAATGATCTTGTTTACTGGGAGTTGAGAGACCTTGAGGATAGAGGCAAGAAAGCGTCATCAAGCAGCCCAGAGGGGTGTACAGTGTTTGAAGTCTCCTGTATTGGTATGATTCGAGATTTTCATTCTGCAGGACCAAAATACCCATTCCTACATGTGGGTGGAGAGTTAAATTCTGAAGTATATATTTTTATCTTGTTAAAAAAACACTTTTATGTTTCTTTAAAAAGTAAAAGAACCAGAATGTAGAAGTTTCAGTAAAGGAAAAAGTTACAGTTTGTTTGGGATACAGTTTGACAAATGTGCTCCCAGCTGCCTGAGAGATAGAGAGGCCAGATGTTTGCTTTGGTTACATTGATGACTGAACAATCGGTATCTCATCATTTCCTGCCTTAGAGATGAAAGCACCTGGGCACTGGGGCAGTAAATTGGTTGCAGGATTGGAAGAAGTCCAAGGACAGTGTGGGATGCCACCCTGTAGCTGTCTAGAGACCTAGTGAAGGTCAGAAGGCTGGGTGAGAACAAGCCCTGCACTGATGGAGGACAGGGAAGGGGCTTTTCTGGCTGGGAGTGTGGTGAGGCATTTGAGCTGCAGCCAGAAGGCACCTCTCAGATTGGTGGGGCTTGGGGTGGGGGTGGGAGGAACTGCTTTGCCTGTGCCGTTGGCCTCACTCATCCTGAGGTCCCTTCAAACTCCATCCATACTCTGACTGTGGGGCCACTTGCAGAAGGAATATGTGGCAGGTTTTTTTTGTTTTGTTTTGTTTTTTGTTTTGAGACGGAGTCTAGCTCTGTCACCCAGGCTGGAGTGCAGTGGCACGATCTCGGCTGACTGCAACCTCCGCCTCCCGGGTTCAGGCGATTCTCCTGCCTCAGCTTTTGGAGTCGCTGGGCTTACAGGCGCCTGCCACCATGCCCAGCTAACTTTTGTAATTTTAGTAGAGACGGGATTTAGTAGAGACGGGATTTCGAACTCCTGACCTCGTGATCCGCCTGCCTTGGCCTCCCAAAGTCCTGGGATTATAAGTGTGAGCCACTGTTCCCTGGCCTGTGGCAATTTTTTGAGACGCTCCTGGGGGTCCAAATTGCTAATAGAGGAGAAACTTACTGTCCCTGTGTTGACTGAGACAGGAAGGTTTAGATAGGTGAAAGTGGTCTGGGCGCAGTTGCTCACACCTATAATCCAGCACTTTGGGAGGCCAAGGTGGGAGAATCGCTTGATGCCAGGAGTTCAAGACTAGCTTGGGCAACATAGTGAGATCCTGTCTCTATAAAAAATAATTTTAAAAAATTAGCTAGGCCTGTAGTCCCAGCTACTCGGGAGACTGAGGAGGGAGGATTGCTTGAGCCTAGGAGTCGGAGGCTGCAGTGAGCTGATTGCGCCACCATACTCCACCCTGGGCAACACAGAGAGCCTGTCTCAAAAACAAAAGAAAGGTGAACATGAGTTTTTTTGTTTTTTTTTTGACATAGTTTTGCCCTGTCCCACAGGCGTGGGCCACCACGCCCAGCTAATTTTTGTATTTTTAGTGGAGATGGGGTTTCGCCATGTTGGCCAGGCTGGTCTTGAACTCCTGGCCTCTCAAGTGATCCACCCACCTCGGTCTCCCAAAGTTTTGGGATTACAGACATGAGCCATTGAGCCTGGCCAAACATGACCTTTCTCTTTTTTTTTTTTTTTTTTTTTTTGAGACGGAGTTTCACTCTTGTTGCCCAGGCTGGAGTACAGTGGCACGATCTCAGCTCACTGCAAACTCCACCTCCCGGGTTCAAGTGATTCTCCTGCCTCAGCCTCCTGAGTAGCAGAGATTACAGGCATGCACCACCACGCCTGGCTAATTTTGTATTTTTAGTAGAGACGGGGTTTCTCCATGTTGGTCAGGGTGGTCTCAAACTCCCCACCTCAGGTGATCCACCTATCTCAGCCTCCCGAAGTGTTGGGATTACAGGTGTGAGCCCCTGCACCCGGCCACGTGACCCTTCTTAATAGCTATTGTTCGCTGAGTATTTCTCTACGACACTCTTTATGTGCATTTTGTCATTTAATTTTAATTTTAATTTTCTTTTTTTTTTTGAGACAGGGTCTTACTCTTTCACCCAGGCTGTAGTGTAGTGGCACGATTTTGGCTCGCTGCAGCTTCCGCCTCCTGGGCTCAAGAAATCCTCCCACCTCAGCCCCCGAGTTTCTGGGACTACAGGCATGCACCACTATGACTGGCTAAGTTTTTGTATTTTTTGTAGAGATGGGGTTTCACTATATTGCCCAGGCCAATCTTGAATCTTGAATTCCTGGGCTCAAGCATGAGCCACCACACTCGGCCTCATTTAATTTTTAATTACTTTAAATTTTATCAACATAATATATCACATAAACTGTAAAAAGACAAGAAACTACTGTGGTTCCCATTCTGCCAGTTCTCCCCAGAGGTAGCAACTGCCTTTACATCTGAGCTTTCTTCCGGCATATACCTCTGATTCTAGGTAATAGGCACATGCTGCTTTTGCAACTTGGCGTTTTACAAATTATGTTGGCTTGCTCTGTAGCTCCCTTCCATCGCCATTATCTCTGCTTCTCCTCCCTCATTCTTCCAGTATTCTACTTTCTGCATAAATCGGTAATGAATGTTTACATTTTCTGCCTACACAAATGATATTCACAGCTGAGCATAGTGGTGTACTGCAATTGCTTGTTATTTTTTTCCTAGGAAAGAATTGCCTTTTCAACACTATGCCCAGTTTTCTGTGTATCTATTCTTATTCTTCCTTTATTTTCCGGTTGCCTCTCAGTACAGTTATCTTCAGGCTCAGTGCTAGTGAGCTGTCAGTTTCAGTTCAAACCCCTGGCCTCAAGTGATCCATCCACCTCGGCCTCCCAAAGGAGGTGGGCGGTGACCCTCTTGGACCTCCCTTCTGGAACCCTCTAGGCAGTGGCCGCAGGTGTGGTGTGACAGCCCTCAGCGTGCTTGTCTGCCCAGACTGGGACTGTTGTCTTCCTTTGTTGGGTCCCTTGTTTTCTATATCCTGTGTCTCATCCTTTGTGATTTATTCCCTCATTCTGCCAGCTTCCTGAGAAGGGACTCCTGGGAATTAACTTTCTGGAGACCATGCCAGTTTGAGTGCATCTAGGCCCCCTGGTGGGACATGCTAACTGGGGAATTTAAAATGATGTTACACTGCGCTGCCCTTGTGCTGGCTTGTGCTTCTGTCTCCTGAGGTGCTAGCTCTCAGCCTCATATGACTTGTCTTGATCCCTAAACCCAAGTCCTGCTCTACTTGGGAAGTTCCTTTGAGTCATTTCAGGGGAATCTCACTCCCTACACTTCCTGTGCTGGAGTGTTTAATGTTCACTCTTTGGGCCTCTAGTTTTATCTTTTATCTCCTGTTTTCTATCTCTTTTACTTTTAGCTCTCCTCTCTAAGTGATTTCCTCAATTTTTTCTTTGACCTTTCACTGCTAACATGCTTTTATTTCCAAGAACTCCTTCTTTTTCCTTTTTTGTAATCTGACTTTTCCCTTTTTATAGCACCCATTCCTGTTAAATGGATACAATGTAGTATAATATTTATATATATTATAATAAATTCTACCGTTTTTTTTGATAAATTTTCACTTTATTGCCCAGGCTGGAATGCAGTGATGTGTTCATGGCTCACTATGGCCTCGAACTCCTGGGCTCAAGTGATCCTCCCACCTCAGCCTCCCAAGTAGCTGGGACTGCAGGCATGCACCACCACTCCTGGCAAATATTTTTGTTTTTCGTAGAGATGGGATCTTGTGATGTTGCCCAGGCTGGTCTCAAACTCCTGACTTCAGCTGGACGCAGTGGCTCACACCTGTAATCCTAGCACTTTTGGGAGGCCGAGGGCAGGCGGATCACAAGGTCAGGAGTTCGAGACTAGCCTGGTCAATATGGTGAAACCCCATCTCTACTAAAAATCAAAAATTAGCTGGGCATGGTGGCGCGCGCCTGTAGTCCCAGCTACTCGGGAGGCTGAGGCAGAAGAATCACTTGAACGTGGGAGGCAGAGGTTGCAGTGAGCCGAGATCGTGCCACTGGACTCCAGCCTGGGCGACAGAGCTAGACTCCGTCTCAAAAAAAAAAAAAAAAAAAATCAAACTCCTGACCTCAAGTCATCCTCTCGCCTCAGCCTCTGAAAGTACTGAGATTACAGGTGCGAACCACTGCACCTGGCCTAATAAATTCTACATTTCCTTCTTCTTGCTGAATTTCTGTTACCGCTAAATTACTCTTTTCTTGTGGGGTCTTTATTGGCCATGTTATGGCGTCTGGCTGCCCTTGGCTGGTTGCTCACTCTGAGAGGGACCCTCCAAAGCCTAGGAGTCTCTTCCAGCACGTGGAGCTTGTCGACTGGGAACTTCATTGAAGGCTCATCTGGCTGCAGATTCTGAGTCCTTCCTCCAGAACAATGGTCCCCAACCTTTTTAGCACCAGGGACCGGTTTCACAGAAGACAATTTTTCTACAGACCGGCAGATGAGGATGGTTTCAGGATGAAATTGTTCCACCTCAGATCATCAGGCATTAGATTCTCATAAGGAGCATGCGACCTGGATCCCTCACATGCACAGTTTACAGTGGGGTTCGTGCTCCTATGAGAATCTGATGCCACCACTTATCTGACAGGAGGCAGAGCTCAGGCAGTAATGCTTGCACACCCTCTGCTCACCTACTGCTGTGAGGCCTGGTTCCTAACAGCCCACAGACCTGTACTGGTCTGTGGCCCAGGGCTTGGGGACCCTGCCCTAGAGCATGGTCTTCCAGACACTGGGCTGTGGGTGAAGACCTGGCTGCCAGCATGCTGCTCACTGCGATGGAGGAGGCTGATGGGCCAGTGGGTCTCGGCAGTTAGCGTGCATCGATCTAGTCACTTAGACCAGAGCACAGATGACCACACAACCCACCTCTCTCAGTGTCCTACCTGTGCCTTTTCAACTGGGTGGGTTGGCCCCCTAGTCCAGTGACTATCCGTTTCATGCTTTTCCAGAGAGTAAACCTCCTGTGGTCACCTGGTGCTGGAGTAGCTACCCACAGTGTAAAGTTGGGGAGTGAGGGATGCAGGGATATCTTTCACCCTCTGTCCCAGAGCACTTGGTGCAGCCTGGCCTCAACCTGGCAAAGACCTAGGGCTGTCACTGGGTGGGCGCACCCCCTCCTCACTGTTACTTAGGACTCTGGTTTCTTGGTCCTCTTGCTGTGTACGTTACCACTGGGCCATCAGCTTTCCAGCTTCTAAAAGGCTGTTGAGGCCACCATTTCCATTCTTCCTGGTTTTTTTTTCTGTGGTTTTAGTCAGGTTTTAAGATGGAAGGGAATTAAATGTGCAGGCTTTGTTCCTCATTTCAACTTGGAGGTTCATATCTGTTATTTATTTATTTATTTAGAGACAGAGTCTCACTCTGTTACCCAGGCTGGAGTGCAGTGGTGCTACCTTGGCTCACTGCAACCTCCACCTCCCTGGTTCAAGCGATTCTCTTGCCTCAGCTTCCCAAGTAGCTGGGATTATGGCCGCACACCACCATGCCCAGCTAATTTTTATATTTACGTATATATTTTTTTGAGACAGAGTTTTACTCTTGTCACCCAGGCTGGAGTGCAATGGCTTGATCTTGGCTCACTGCAACCTTCACCTCCCAGGTTCAAGTGATTCTCCTGCCTCGGCCTCCCGAGTAACTGGGATTATAATGCACGCCACCATGCCTGGCTAATTTTTGTATTTTTATTTTTTATTTTTGAGACAGAGTTTCACTCTTGTTGCTCAGGCTGGAGTGCAGTGGTGGGATCTTGGCTCATTGCAACCTTTGCCTCCCGGGTTCAAGCCATCCTCCTACCTCAGCCTCCCGAGTAGCTGGGATTGCAGCGCCCACCACCTTGCCCTTTTGTATTTTTAGTAGGGATGGGGTTTCACCATGTTGGCCAGTCTGGTCTCGAACTCCGGACCTCAGGTGATCCACCTGCCTTGGCCTCCCAAAGTGCTGGGATTACAGGCGTGAGCCACTGTGCTCAGCTAATTTTTGTATTTTTAGTAGAGACGTTTCACCATGTTGGCCAGGCTGGTCTCGAACTCCTGACCTCAAGTGATCCACCTACCTCCGCCTCCCAGAGTGCTGGGATTACAGGCGTGAACCACCACACCTAGTCCAAATCTTTTTTTTAATATGGGAAAATCTTTTTTCCTTTATAGTGTCTGCTTCTGGTGACATGCTTAGGAAACCATCATCCTGATATTGTATAACTCTCCTTCTGTTGTCTTGTGGTCCTCTGTGATTTAGGTTTTTAAACACATAGGGTAAAGGGTCCCACATACAAGCTGTGGGCTCCTGTCCCAGGTGGGCAAGCAGGCTGCACACACAGGCAGCAATTTACTGGGAGGCTTCTTGGGTGGGGTGAAGTGGAGCTGCCAAAAATTTATTCTGCCCTATGAGAGTTCACTTGATTGATAGATGTTGTGTTTCTCAAAATTAGAAAATTAGAAGAAACTCACAGAAGTTTCCTTCGAGCAGAACATAAATCGGCTGAGAGGAATCATCCTGCCCCCCTGAGGTCAGGAGGGTGAATCTGTGCCCCAGGGAGGAACGCACCTTCCTGCTTTAGACACCAGCAGAGGACAGAGAAGCTGGCTGTCCTGGGAATTCATGCCCTCATTCAGCAATGGGAAAGCAGTTGGACCAGGGAAGGGGGCCTGGCAGTGTGGCAGGGGGAGCAGTGGTAAAGAGGGTGGGGTCAGGGGAGAGGCCTCACTGAGAGGGGAGAGGGTCCTTGGTGGGAACCAGGGCGGTTGTGGAAGGAAGAGTCAGGGCGTGGAGCAGAGCAGAGCGGGAGTTGGGGTGGGGAGGCCAGTTCATGCCTCATCAACATGCCTGTGTGAGTGTCCTTCTTGCGGGCGGTGGAGCTGGCCTCAGGGTACACTGCAGGTGACTCAGAGCTCCAATGGGAGGGTGGCTCTGCCTGAGGGAGCTGCACATGCTCATTGGGCCATCGTCTGCTGAGGAGGGGGCAACAATAACCTCAACACATGGCGGAGGTGTTTTGGGATGCATCCTATTGCACATTTGGGCAGGTTGTTGCCTGACTTATTTCTTTAACGCATACCTAGCACTTCCTGTATGTCCAGTGCCTTATAATATTAACTACTATCATCCTCAGGGCTACCCGTGAGGTCGGCACTGTCCCCACCCTTTGTGCAAAGGAAGGATAGGGAGGCGCTGCCAGATGGGTTGAGGGCAGACCGGGGCAGCTTGCCTCAGGCCTCCCTGGCCTTAGCAGGCTTTAAGTTTGATGCCCTGTGCTCCTTCCCTAGGAAGCTCAGTTTGCCAGTTTTTTGCTTTATCTTAGTCTCATTCAGATTACAAGGACTGGGACTGGACTCCTGTTGCCAGTTTCTCAATTTGGAATAGGAAGGAGGTGAGGAACAACAGGCCCATGCTGGGCAGAAGCCCTGCAGACCAGGCCAACAGTGGGCCTCTCCTCACTGCCTGGCCCTGTCTGTGCACCTTCGTCCTGGCCACAGCCTCTCAGAGCCCCTCCTTTATGAAGAGGTTACGCTTTAGGGGAGGGAGTGCCTCTCCCAAGACCCAGAGCTGGTGAGTGGCTAGGTTGGAATTTGAGCCCAGGTCCCTCCTCCCCTGTCTGCTTCCTGCCAGGCCCAGCTGCCTGCCCCAGCACACGCCTTCTCCCAGGCACCCTGGCCTCCACTGCCAGGACGTGCCTGTTTGAGGCCTGGATTCCCCCATGGCTGCCACGCTGATTCTCCGTTCTGCACGTCGTGTCCCATCAAAATGCATGACAGTACCACTCCTTGTGTTAAAAAGAGCCAGTTATTGTGCCTGGCAGTGATGACTGCCCACTGCACACAAAAGTGGACGCCGTTGTCTCTGCTCTCAGGGTGTTCTTAGTATAGTGGGGCTGGCACACAGAAACCAGAGATTCCTCCAGGAAGTGCCACAGACATGGGTGAGGTGGCTACAGGGTTTCTGTGCAGCCGACAGCAGGGGTGCCTGGGTGGAAGCAGGGTGGGAGGCCCTAACAGGCCTGATGGGATAGTCAGGCAATGTGCCAGGTAGTAGGTCATCATCCCTGGGGCCCTGGGGAGAGTGTGTGGGGCAGGCGCAGGAGCAGGCTCCTCAGTGGGCTCCTGGACAGGCTGCCTGCTCTGCTGGTGAGGAGCGAGGCTCAAAGCAAGCAGGGGCCTGGGTTGCTTCCCACACTCAGTGGCAGTTGCTCACTGGCAGTCATGTGACCTGGGGAGCTGGCGAGGGCGTGGGGGTAGGAATGGGAACGGGAGACAGAGGCCCTTTGGGAGGAATTGCCACAGATGCAGTGGGAGTTGGGGCAAAGATTTGAACTTTGGAGAATTAAAGGTGGCAGTCAGAAAGTGAAGGGAGTTCCCAAGTTTCTGGGATGGGCACTTGGTGCTGGGAGATGAAGACACGAAGAGCTTTTCTTGATGTATCCCTGCTGGCTGCTCAGGCAGGGTCGGGCAATGCCATTAAGACACACTGTGTTCTGGGAACAGTTCTGGACAGTAAGGACATCCTCAGACCCCTTAGTGGGGGAGCTCCAAGGGCCTGTAATGATGAATCGGTCCCCTGGGAGGCTTCAGTCTAAGCTAGATACCAGTTGAACCCTGACTGAGTACACAGACATAGCTATGGCAACCAGCTAGACCATGGCCAAAGGCAGAGCATTGGAGCCCAGTTCACAGCAAGGGACTGTGTGCTCTGAGCCGGTAACAGTCCTTGTGTTCAGAGGTCTGGCTGGTCGCAACCAGGGAGTGGCCCCCAGCCCCCTTCCTCAGCTAGAGCGAGCACCACCCAGGCAGCCTTGGGTTCTTTGGTGGCCGCCTCATAGGCCTGTACTGTTTGTGAACCTGTTGCTTATGTTGGACAGGACTGTGGCAGGACAGCCATCAAGGGTCTTCCCTTGTGAGCTGACACCAGTCTGCTCTTTGTCCTCCTCTGGCTGGACAGGCCCTCGTCTTCCCGGCTTGCTTGTGTGGGGGAAGAGCTCACTGTGACATGTGGGTTCTCTGTTCTTTGTCTCAGGCTGTGCTCCTTACTCCATGTTGGGGGCTGTCTCCTTGTGTGATAGTTTCCTTTCATTTCGTGACAGTGGCTCGAAGGGTTTTGTTTTCAGGAGACAGAGACTGAGGAGTAGCCATTCGGGTCTGGCTGCTCAGGAAGGCATGCTGGGGATGGCAGCAGAGCCCAGCTCAGGGAGATCAGAAGGGGGCTTTGGGAGCAGCCAGTGCTGTTCTGAAGGTGGGCCTGGGTCCTGCCTGCAGCCTCCCGCAGCGGGTGTGTTAGGTCTAAGGGAGGAAGGAAGGGGACTTGACCTCAGCAGGAGTGTGAAATGGGTACCCTCCTGGAGTCAATGTCCAGGCAGGGGATGCCTCTGAAAAGCGCCAGGCCAGCTGGAGAGGAAAGGGCAGGCATCTGCAGGGAAGTGTGGGGGATTAGCTGCAGAGTTCCTGGGTTCTTTTTCGCTTTGTCTCTATTTTGTGACACTTGATCTTCAAACTAGAAACAGGAGCAAAGACATTTTCAAAAATACAGTTGTCAGAACTGCAAAACCACACAGGGTCTGTTACTGGCCACCAAACCTGCTGGGCCTCCCTGGGTGGATGCTGTGGGAGAGATGTGGGAGTGACATGGCACAGTGCTGCTGTTCTGAGCGGTAGCCTTGCTGGAGGAGCGCCTTGCCGGAGGAGCACCTTGCTCCTTGGCCCCACTCTGACCCTCCGAAGCTCATGTGGAACTGGACATTTACCCCAACTCGGTTTCCTGGTGTTGGCCTGTCAAGACTTGCCTGTTTCTGGCCTCCAGCTTGGTCCATGCTCCTCAGGCTCTGAGTAGCTGACGGTGCCCACAGTGTCCATGTCATCTGTGACATTACCCAGGACAGGACAGGGCCCGTCTGCCAGTACATCCCCTGGTGTATGGTGCCACCTTGCCTTCAGCTCACCAAGCATATTTCTTCAACCTGGTCATCCCACCACCTCAGAGCTATTGCACTAAGCTGTGTTTCTAGATCTTGTCTCTCTGACTGTGCCAGGTGTCTCTGCTGCACCAAGACAGTGTCTGTCTGGGGCCTGCCAGTCTGCTGACACTCTCAAAAACGGCCAGTAGCAGCTCAAAAGGACTGCTTTTGTATCAAAGCCTGGCTTTGCTCTCTGATCGCTGCTGGTGGGCACAGAGCCCATCTGTGTAACTGGTTGTCACTCCCCAGACTCTTCTGCACCCTTCTTCCTCTCTGACTCCTGGCCACATCTGCCACCCACAGCCTCCCCACTCCTTACACAGCCAGCCTCCAGGCCGTCCTGCTTGGCCTGCAAATGCTCCCCTGCTGTTTCTACTGCTCTTCCCTGAGTCTCCCTATTGGTCCCAGTGCTTTGGGAGGCCAAGGTGGAGGATCACTTAAGGCCAGGAGTTTGAGACCAGCCTGGGCAACAAAGCAAGACCCTGTCTCTACAAAAAAAGTAAAAAATAAAAAAATTAGCCAGGCGTGGTGGCGCATGCCTGTAGTCCCAGCTATTTGGGAGGCTGAGGTGAGAGGATACTTGAGCCCAGGAGTTTGAAGCTGCAGTGAGCTGTGTTTGCCCCACTGCGCTGCACCTGTGAGAGAGTGAGACATTGTCTCAAAAAACAAAAGAAGAAAAAGAAAAAAGGAAGGTGGGAAGAACAAGTATGCCTTTGAAGGGCATACCTGCCTTGAGGGGCACAGATGAGGCAACCTTCAGAAAACAGGCCTGTGCAGCCACTTCTATCAGAAATGCTCACTGACTTCTTGGGGCCTAGCAGCTATCGTCTCAGCCTCTGGGTGTGGAGACCCTGCCCCATGCTAACCTGAGAGCATGAGTACAGGGTCCTCCCAGCCCACCCATGCCTCGCTTCCCCAGGACTCTGACCCAGTGCCGCGCGTGAGTTGGTTGTCATTATCCTCCTGGATTGTTAACTCTCTCATCTTTTGTGGCCCTGGTGACCTTTCTTACTTGTCTGTTCCACACCTGGATGCCTTGTGAGCAGAAACCCCTTGCTGCCTCCTCGCCTCCCTTCAGGCTTCAGGAAGCAGACAGGGAGGTAGGAACTCCAAGAGTGCAGGAGTCTCATTCTGTCGCCCAGGCTGGAGTGCAGTAGTGCCATCTTGGCTCACTGCAACCTCTGCCTCCAGGGTTCAAGCGATTCTCCTGCCTCAGCCTCCCGAGTAGCTGGGACCACAGGTGCCTGCCACCACACCCGACTAATTTTTGTATTTTTAGTGGAGACAGGGTTTCACCACGTTAGCCAGGCTGGTCTCAAACTCCTGACCTCAGGTGATCCACCTGCCTCGGCCTCCCAAAGTGCTGGGATTACAGACCTGAGCCATCGTGCCCAGCCCAAGAGTGCTTTTTGAATCTAGCAGGGTGGTAGGTCAATGTCATTTTGTTTTTCTTTTTACATTAAGACAGATGTATGCACCTCTCAGCATTAAACCTCCTTTCTGTGATGTCTTTAAGAATCACAGTCATATTGCTGTAGCCCCGTCTGTACATTCCTTCAGTTTCCTGAGGTTGGCTGGTTGCTGTTTGGAGTGGTCAGAATGCTTTCTAGCACGAGCTGGACTGGGCCTATTCAATTCACTCAGAGGCAAGGCCCCAGAGCCCTGACATGTTTGCTTGTTTCTTTTTTCTTTTGCTTTCTTTCTTTTTTTTTTTTTTGAGACGGAGTCTCGCACTGTTGCCCAGGCTGAAGTGCAGTGGCGCAATCTCCGCTCACTGCCAGCTCCGCCTCCCGGGTTCATGCCATTCTCCTGCCTCAGCCTCCCGAGTAGCTGGGACTACAGGCGCCTGCCACCATGCCCAGCTAATTTTTTGTATTTTTAGTAGAGACAGGGTTTCACTGTGTTAGCCAGGATGGTCGTGCTCGCCTGACCTCGTGATCTGCCCGCCTTGGCCTCCCAAAGTGCTGGGACTACAGGCGTGAGCCACCGTGCTCAGCCTGCTTCTTTCTTTCTTTTTTTTTTTTTTTTTTTTTTTGAGATGGAGTTTCGCTCTGTCACCCAGGCTGGAGTGCAGTGGCGCAATCTCGGCTCACTGCAACCTCCACCTCCCGGTTCAAGCGATTCTCCTGCCTCAGCCTCCTTTGTAGCTGAGATTACAGGCATGCGCAACCACACCCTGCTAATTTTGTATTTTTAGTAGAGACAGGGTTTCACCATGTTGGTCAGGTTGGTCTTGAACTCCTGACCTCAGATGATCCACCCGCCTCGGCCTCCCAAAGTGTTGGGATTACAGGCGTGTGGCACTGCACCTGGCCACTTGTTTCTTTATCAGCAAGCCCAGGGTGGGAGGCCAGGCAAGGAAGAGACCCATCCCACTGGCAAGAAGGCAGGCAGTGAGCACACCAGAGCAGTCCACCCCTGGGAGCCACAGGCCAGGCCTTTCTAACAGATTCACACTTGTTTTTGTCTTTCTGTGTGTGAGTGTGGGAGGTGGGGGTGGGGGTGGGTGGGGCAGCATGTGCTGCATTCGAGGGGTCTCCACCTTAACTGATGTACATGGCTCTTTATCCCCGTGGAGCAGCAGTGTGATGAAAAACTCTTCATAGGATTCTATCTCTTAGTACAAAATTGTTGGTAAATGGGTTTTTAAAGATATTTTTCACATTTATGTGGTCTTTCTCTTCTTGTCTCTAGCTAGAAGTGAAGTTGGAGCTTGTCTCTTTGATCCCACATATAGGACCTGCATTGTCCCACATAGGGACAGACCCTTGCCTTGGGAGGGACTGAGAGATGACTTCATGTGGCCCCTTCATTTTATAGGAGTAATCGAGTCTAGAACCAGGGTGCTACCATCTGGCAGAGTTCATGGGGAACGCAGGCCACTCAGAGAGCAGGAAATAGAGGCCAGCTGGCCACCCAGTAGTCTAATGCGTACTTCCTTGATCCTGAACTGGTTGTGAGCCATCCCTAGGGGCAACCCCTCCCCCGCCCCGTCCCTTCATGCCAGGGCTCTCTCTTTGCTTCATGGCGACCACCTTTCCTGTCCCTTTTTTCTGATCACCCTGCTCAGTGGCCTGTCATTGCTCTCTGTTGAGTGCCCCTTCCCATATGCCTCTCCTGGACCTCAGCCAGGCTGGTGTGCTGGCGATAGCACCTTGTCACCAGGGGCAGCTGCTATGCAGGGCCTGTTGGCCAGGGCCCTGCAGCGGTGGAGTCACTGGTGTGTGCAAACGTCTCTTCTCCTTTTGTGTTTCAGCGAGGATGCCATGAGGAAAGCTGGTGTGGCACACAGTAAATCCAGCAAGGATATGGAGAGCCATGTTTTCCTGAAGGCCAAGACCCGGGTAAGGCCCTAGTAAGTGGAGCCACTCTGGCAGAGAGACTTGGAGAGGAGAGCATCACAGACTCTGGAACCCCTCTGTTGGGTGTCCTAGGGTGTAGGGGTGGGGTGGTTGCTCATCGATTGATCACAGGCACAGTTGGTTTTGCCTGCAGCAGTCTGGGTCCTCCTGTGTGTCCATGGTACAGGGAGGGCACTTGGGTTGCAGGCCCAGCCTCTGGCCCCAGACCTCACTGCCGTCACCTTCCATCTGTGGTCAGCCCCTGTGAATCCTACAGGAAGCTTGCTCAGGCCCCTAGCTGGTCCTGTGGAAGGGATCAATGCCGTGAGCAAGAACCTGGTTTGTCCTCAGCCCCTCCTAGGGGTCCTTACCTAAGCCCTACAGGGCCCTGAGGCATGGGCCCAGAAGCATTCCTGTCCCCTTTTGCTAAGTGAAGAAGGTGATGCTTATCTAGAACTCGCCACAGGTGGAGTGGAGAAGAAGGATTTCCACTATATGTGGGCTTTCTCCCTGGGTGGGGCACCACACTGAGGGCTTTATGTGACCACCTCCTTTAATCTGTGTGTGCTCCCTGGGACAGAACCGTTTTACTAGAAATGAACAAAACACATATTCACTTGTGTGCACGTGTGTGTGCAAGGCAGAGCTGCAAGAGCACAGGGACTGAGGTGGGGTAGAGTGGGCTCTGTACTATGGACACGTGTGACTGAAGTGGGATAGAGTGGGCTCTGTATTATGGATACGTGTCACTGAGGTGGGGTAGAGTGGGCTCTGTACTACGGATACGTTTGATAAGCTTTTTCTTTTTCTTTAAGAGCTTTATACGGTTCACCCTTTAAAGTTTACATTTCAGTGGTCTTTAGGATATTCACAGAGTTGTGTGGCCATCACCAAAATCTAATTTTGGAACATTCATTAATAAATAAAAAGAGGTGCAGCTTCCCTGTGTTGCCCAGGCTGGTTTCAAACTTTTGGCCCTACGCCATCCTCTTGCCTAGGCCTCCCAAAGTGCTGGGGTCACAGGTGCGAGCCACCAAGCCTGGCCTAATTTTAGAACTTTTTTTTTTGAGACAGGGTCTCACTCTGTACCCAGGCTGGAGTGCAGTGGCGTGATCTCAGCCTGCTGCAGCCTCAATCTCCCGGGCTTAGGCGATCCTCCTTTCTCAGTCTTCTGAGTAGCTGGGACTACAGGCATGTGCCACCACACCCGGCTAAGTTTTTTATTTTTTGTGGAGACGAGGTCCCACTATGTTGCCCAGGCTAGTCTTGAACTCCTGATCTCAAGCTATCCCCACGCCTTGCCCTCCCTAAATGCTGGGATTACAAGTGTGAGCCACCATGCCCAGCCTTCAACATTTTTTAAAGAAACTTTATACCTGTTAGCAGTCACACTCCCTTTTCCTTCAACCCTCAGCTACCACTTATACTTTCTACTGCTGTAGATTTGCCTATTCGGAATTTTCCATATAAATATAATTGTACAACATATGGGTTTTTTTTGTTTGTGCGTGTGTGTGTGTGACAGTTTTCCTCTTGTGCCCAGGTTGGAGTGCAGTGGCACAATCTCAGCTCACTGCAACCTCCGCCTACCAGGTTCAAGCGATTCTTCCGCCTCAGCCTCCCAAGTAGCCAGGATTACAGGTGCGCACCACCACACCCGACTAATTTTTTGTATTTTTAGTAGAGACTGGGTTTCATCATGTTGGCCAGGCTGGTCTCAAACTCCTGAGCTCAGGTGATCCGCCCGCCTCAGCCTCCCAAAGTGCAGGGATTACAGGCATGAGCCACCGCACCCAGCCACGTACAATATATGTTTTTATTTTGCAGCTGGCTTATTTCACTTAGCATAATATTTTCAAGGTTCAAGGTCCATGAACCATGTTTGGTATATACTTTATTCCTCTTTTGTTTTTTTTAGATGGAGTCTCGCTCTGTCACCCAGGCTGGAGTGCAATGGCACGATCTCGGCTCACTGCAACCTCCACCCACTGGGTTCAAGCAAGTCTCCTGTCTCAGCCTCCTTAGTAGCTGGGATTACAGGTGTGTGCCACCATGCCTGGCTAATTTTCGTATTTTTAGTAGAGATGGGTTTTGCATTGGTCTGGGGCTATGTTGGCCAGGCTGGTCTCAAACTCCTGACCTCAGGTGATCCACCTGCCTTGGCCTCCCAAAGTACTGGGATTACAGACGTGAGCCACCGTGCCTGGCCAACTTTATTCCTTTTTATTGTCAAATATTCCATTTCTGGATGGCCATATCACATATTTTATAGCCATTCGTTAGTTGGTGGACATTTACATAGTTTCTACTTTTTGGTTATTATGAGTAAGCAGAACAATAGTTAATGTATAAATTTTTGTGTGGGCTGTGTTTTCATTTCTCTTGGGTATATACCTAGGGGTAGAGTTGCTGGGTCATACCCTACCTCTGTATTTGACCTTTTGAGGAATTGCCAGATGTTTCCCAAAGCAACTGTACTATTTTAAATTCTCACCAGCAGCTTAAATGAGGTTTCAATTTCTCCTCATCCTCTCCAATACTTGTTATTGTCTATTTTAATTGTAGCCATTATAATGGGTGTGATTTGCATTGTTTTGATCTGCATTTGCCTAGTGACTAATGATGTTGAGCATCTTTTTCATGTGCTTTTTGGCCATTTGTATATTTTCTTTGGAGTAATGTCTATTCAGATCCTCTGTCCATTTTTAAATTGGGTTGTTAGTCTTTTTATTGTTGGGTTGTAATAGTTCTTTATGCATTTGGATATAAGTCTGTTATTAAATATATAATTTGCAAATATATAGGGGGGATTTTATTTATTTATTTTTATTTTTGTTTTTTTGAGACAGTCTCGCTCTGTCGGCCAGGCTGGAGTGCAGTGGAAGTGGAGGGATGCAGGGGGTGTTAGTGATGCATTGTAATCATCCCGGAGAGCAGGACACCTCTCATAAGAGGTTTACCCAAGGGGGGCTGTGGAAAGGGCTAGAAATTGCTCCTGGAGGACGTGGAAAGCCACATAAGGTTTTTGACAGATTAGGGAAAAGGCTGTGCCACTCTTTCTGAAGATGACAGTGTAGGCAGCCTTTCCATTTTGTGCCAAAAATAAAATTTTAAATACATAAATCACAGTAGTTTCTAGGACAACTGGGTAACTACATACAAAATATTGAGGTTGAGCCCCAACTTCATACCCTATACAAAACTTAACTCAAAATAAAAAACACCAGCCAGGCATGGTGGCGCGTGCCTGTAGTCCTGCCTAATCGACAGGCTGAGGCTGGAGGGTCACTTGATCCCAGGAGTTTGAGATTACAGTAAGCTATGATTGTACCAACATGTTCCAGCCTGGGTGACAGAGTGAGACTCTGTCTCTAAAAAACTTTTTAAAAAATTAACTCAAAATGGGTCAAAAACCTAAATTTACAAGCTAAAACTATAAATATCTTAGAAGAAAGCAGAGGCGTACATCTTCATGACCTTGGATTAGGCAGTAGTTTCTTAGATATGATGCCAAAAAAGCACAAGCTACAAAAAACGTAGATAAATTTGACTTCATCAAAATTAAAAACTTGTACATCATAGGACACTGTCATAAGAGGGAAAAACAACCCATGGGATGGGAGAAAATATTTGCAAATCACATATCAGGTAAGGGTTTAATATCCAGAATACATAAAGAACTCCTACAACTCAACAACAACAACAACAACAACAACAAAAAGCAACTAAAAAATAGGCAAAATACAGCCAGGCGCGGTGGCTCACACCTGTAATCCCAGCACTTTGGGAGGCCGAGGTGGGCAGATCACGAGGTCAGGAGATTGAGACCATCCTGGCTAACATGGTGAAACCCTGTCTCTACTTAAAATACAAAAAAAGGAAAAAAAATTAGCCAGGCGTGGTGGTGGGCGCCTGTAGTCCCAGCTACTCAGGAGGCTGAGGCAGGAGAATGGCGTGAACCCGGGAGGTGGAGCTTGCAGTGAGCCAAGATCATGCCACTGCACTCCAGACTGGGTGACAGAGTGAGACTCCGTCTCAAAAAATAAATACATAAATAAAATAAATAAAAATAAATGAAATAAAAAATAGGCAAAATACTTGAATAAACCTATCTCCAAAGAAGAGATACAAATGGCCAACAACCATGTGAAAAGATGCTCAACATCACTAGTCATTAGGGGATTGCAAATAAAAACCACAATGAGATGCCACTTCATTTCCATTATAATGGCTATGATTTTTAAAAAAGACAATAATAAGCGTTGGCAAAGATGTAGAGAAATTGGAATTCTCTTTCTTTTTGAGACAGTCTCGCTCTGTCGCCCAGGCTAGAGTGCAGTGGCACAATCTCGTCTCACTACAGCCTTCGCCTCCCAAATTCCGGTGATTTTCCTGCCTCAGCCTCCTGGGTAGCTGGGACTATAGGCACACACCATCACACCCAGCTAATTTTTTTTTTTTTTTTTTGAGATGGAGTCTCGCTCTGTCGCCAGGCTAGAGTGCAGTGGCGGGATCTCGGCTCAACGCAACCTCCGCCTCCCAGGTTCAAACAATTACCCTGCCTCAGCCTCCCAAGTAGCTGGGACTACAGGCATGTGCCACCATGCCCAGCTAATTTTTGTATTTTTAGTAGAGACAGGGTTTCACCATGTTGGCCAGGATGGTCTCGATCTCTTGACTTTGTGATCCACCCACCTAGGCCTCCCAAAGTGCTGGGATTACAGGTGTGAGCCGCTGCACCCAGCCAATGCCCGGCTAACTTTTGTATTTTTAGTAGAGACAGGGTCTCATCATGTTGGCCATGCTGGTCTTGAACTCCTGACCTCAGGTGGTCTACCCATCTTGGCCTCCCCAAAGTGCTGGGATTACAGGGGTGAGCCACCGTGCCTGGCAGAGAAATTAGAATTCTCATACATTGCTGGAGAGAATGTGAAATGGTGCTGTGGAAAACAGTATGACAGTTCATCAAAAAATTGAATGTAGAGTTACCATACGACCCAGAAGTTTCACTCCCAGGTATATATCCAAGAGAAAAGAAAACATGTCCACACAAAAATATATACACAAATGTTTATAGCATCATTATAACATCATAAATAGCCAAAAATGGAAACAACCCAAATGTCTACCAGCTGATGAATGGATAAACAGAATGTAGAATATCCATACAATGAATATCATGTGGCCACACGAAGCAATGAAGGGCTGATACATGCTACAACATGGATGAAGCTAAAAACATTACATAAATGAAGCAGTCACAAAGGATGACATGTTGCATTTTTATAAAATGTCCAGAGAATACGAAGATCTATAGAGATAGTGTATTAGTTTCCCATGGCTGCCATAACAAGTTACCATAAAGTTGGAGGCTCCTATCTCTGGGTCCATGGCTCTGACTTCTGAGCCCATGTCTCTGCCCTCACTTTCTTAAAGGGTAGCACATGTTTGAGGCTGCGTAGTTTTATCAGCCTATTCCTGCTTCTAAAATTTTGGGAGTTCTTCTTTGATTTTGCCTAGTCTATAAACTTTCTACTCCAAGCTGGCAGTGTTTCTGCTGGTAGAACATTCTCAAAATCCTTGTGGAACTTCTACATATATGATGGAATTCATAGTATTAGATGAGGTTTCTCCACAGATCTTTCCTAGATAATTTCATCTCTCTTCCTCACTTCTGTGAGATGATTGAGGGGATTCATGAGTCCCATGTTTAATCTCTTTGGCACTAGAAAAATTTGGAAGATATGCCACACCCTTGGCATTCTCTACAGAACACACTTTCCTAACAGTAAATCTCCTAGTTTTAGCATTTTGGTTTTTTCCAATCTAAATAGCCTGAGAATTTCCCAAATCATTAAGTCTAGATTCCTTTCTGCTTAACAGTTCTTCCCTCAATTTCTCTCTCTTCTTTGTGTGTGTGTGTGTGTGTGTGTGTGTGTGTGTGTGTGTGTATTTTTAAAATTCTTTTTATTGTACCCTTAATTTATCTCTTTCATGTTGCTTTTTTTTTTTTTTTTTTTTTTTTTTGGAGACGGAGTCTCACTCTCTCGCCCAGGCTGGAGTGCAGTGGCGTGATCTCAGGTCATTGCAACCTCCGCCTCCTGGGTTCAGGTGATTATCCTGCCTCAGCCTCCCAAGTGGCTGGGATTATAGGTGCCCACCACCACACCCAGCTAATTTTTGTATTTTTAGTAGAGACAGGGTTTCACCATGTTGGCCAGGCTGGTCTTGAGCTCCTGACCTCAAGTGATCTGCCTGCCTTGGCCTCCCAAAGTGCTGGGATTATAGACGTGAGCCACCATGCCCGGCCTCCTCTTGCATTTTACTACAAGCAGAAAGAAGAAACCAAGCTGAGTCCTTTTTTTTATTTTTTTGAGACTGAGTCTCACTCTGTCGCCCAGGCTGGAGTGCAGTAGCGCGATCTCGGCTCATTGCAACCCCCACCTCCCAGGTTCAAGTGATTCTCCTGCCTCAGCCTCCCAAGTAGCTGGGATTACAGGTGCCCACCACCACGCCCGGCTAATTTTTGTATTTTTAGTAAAGATGGGATTTCACCATGTTGGCCAGGCTGGTCTTGAACTCCTGACCTCAGGTGATCTGCCTGCCTCAGCCTCCCAAAGTGCTGGGATTATAGGCATGAGTCACTGTGCCCGGCCCAAGCTGAGTCTTGAATGCTTTGATTGGAAGTCTGCTCAGCTAAATGTGCAAACTTATTGCTTATGATTCTGCCTTCCACACAGCTACAGGACACAATCCAGCTAAACTTTTTGCCATTATATTACAAAGATCACCTTTGCTCTAGTTTCCAGTAACATGTTCCTTGTTTCCTTTGTTTCTTTAGAATCACCTTTAATTTTCATGTTTCTAACAACATTCTGTTTTTGATAGTATATGTATTCTTGAAGATAATACAGACTTTCTGTATCAAGTTCGTCATTTCCTTTAAGGCAGAGTCTGGGTGACAGTCTTTAACATCCGCATTTCTACCCACAGCCTGTTCAAGGAAACCTAGGCCTTTTCTATCATGCTTCTCACAATTCTACTAGCCCTCCTTTGTTATTGAGTTACAAAGCCACTGCCATATTTTTAGGCACCCTACTCCTGGTAACAAAATTCGTATGTTTCCTGTGGCTGCTATAACACGTTACTACAAGCTTGGTGGCTTAAAAGAACAGAAATTTAGGCCGGGTGCGGTGGCTCACGCCTGTAATCCCAGCACTTTGGGAGGCTGAGGCGGGCAGATCACAAGATCAGGAGATCGCAACCATCCTGGCTAACATGGTGAAACCCCCGTCTCTACTAAAAATACAAAACAACTAGCCAGGCGTGGTGGCGGGCGCCTGGAGTCCCAGCTACTCGGGAGGCTGAGGCAGGAGAATGGCTGAACCCGGGAGGTGGAGCTTGCAGTGAGCCGAGATCGCGGCACTGCACACCAGCCTGGGTGACAGAGTGAGACTCTGTCTCAAAAAAACAAACAAACAAACAAATTTAATCTCACAGTTTTCAAGGCCAGATGTTCAAAGTCAGTACCATGGGTAAAAATCGCAGTGGCAGCAGGGAGGCTATAGGAGAGGAACCTGTTTCTTGCATCTTTTAGCTTTTGGTCACTGCTGGTACTCCTTGGCTTGTGGCTGTATCACTCCAGTCTTCAAGTCCAGCATCACGAGGTAAATACATTCTCTGTATTCCATCTTCACGTCGCCTTCTCTGTGTGTGTGAACTTTCCTTCTGCCTCCCTCTTAGGAGGATACATGCAATTGCACTTGGGGTCCACCCGCATAACCCAGGATAGCCCTCCATCTCAAGATGTTTAACTTCATCATATCTGCAAAGACCTTTTTCTCAAATAAGGTAACATTTACAGGTTCCAGGGAATAGGACCTGATTTAAGGACTGTTATTTAGCCTGCCACAGACAGAAAGTTGATTATTGATTGCCAAGGGTGCTGTAGGGAAATGGAGTTTTCATTTGGAGTGAAGATGATGTTCTAAAATTAGGCCAGGCACGGTGGCCCATGCCTGTAATCCCAACACTTTGGAGGCCAAGGCCAGTGGATCACTTGAGGCCAAGAGTTTGAGACCAGCCTGGCCAACATGGTGAAATCCTGCCTCTACTAAAAATACAAAAATCAGTAGGGGGTGACAGCGCATACCTGTAGTCCCAGCTACTTGGGAGGGTGAGGCAGGAGAATCACTTGAACCCAGGAAGTGGAGGTTGCAGTGAGCTGAGATGGTGCCACTTCAGCCTGTGTGACAGAGCGAGACTCCACCTCAAAAAAAAAAAAAAAAAAAAGAAACAAAATGCTTTAAAATTGATTTTGGTAATGCTGCAGAACTCTGAATGTAGTACCAAAAACCATTGAATGGCATGTTTTAAATGGGTGAATTGTATCTCAGCCAGCCTATTACATATATTTTTAATGGAACGAGTGAAAATGATGAATAACAGGTCTGTTTTCCCTTGGTGGCCAGGTCAGGGCCGTGTGGTTTCCTTGGGTGGGGGGCACTGCTGGGGCTGCCTTGTCCCTACTTGGTTTCTGATGGTGTGTCCTGTGGGCTGGGGCCAAGGTCCCATGGGGCTATGGATACTATCATGGAACCACTCTTTCTGGAATTTGATGGTATTTCAAAATCTATTAGGAAAACTCTGAGACATGAAAGCACAGAGGCGTCATATTCCTCTAATCTGGAGTCAGCAGTTGCTGTGGTTTGGTGACTTTTCCCTTGGCTGTCTCTGTGTCCCTCCTGAAGTGTCGAGGGCACATCCCCACCCTCAGGGTTGTATCTCTGCTGAGCATCTCCACACTGGCCTGTGCTAGGGCCCCACCTGACAATCACATGGAGTCACTATTGTCATCAATGGGAAGGCCTCTTTCAAGTTTCAACGCTTTTTTCCTAATAGTTGGCTTCTTTGAATCAGGATCCAAACGAGGGTCTTTTCTCCCCTCTGGCCCCTCCCAGCCTGGTGAAGGAGCAGCCCAGCTGTCCTGCAGCCCTCCCCATGGGCTCTGATGTCTCCCAAGCTGCTGATTCATCCTGCCTGCCCCCTCCTTCTTATGAACTGGGTGCTAAATCGGAGAGCAGAGAGGGTGCCGTGGTCTTTTAGCAAAAATATATCCGAAGTATTGCCTTAATTTGTATTTCTGGGCATCTTGATATTCCCATAAGACCACAATTTGGAGGTTTGGAGAGCAACAACAGCCTGACCCTTGTAAAGCTCCTATTATCTTTCCGATGGTTTCATCATTTAATTAGGGCTTGTAGACTAATTCTGGCTTTTCTCCCACATTCGTTACATGGAGTTTTTTTTGTTTTTTTTTTTTTGTCAAGAAAGGTTTTCTTTCGTCAGCCAGGGCTAGATGATTGTTTGAAACCCTGTGTGTTCAGGACCTCCAGGAATGCTGTTTTTCTGATCTTTCCAGTCTAAGGAGTCCCCCCAAGGGCCACAGATGGGTTCTCTTTGAGTGACATTTTGAGCTCAGGGCTGTGTATCTGGGGTGTTCTGGTCCATTGCTGTCATTCATTTTGATGCTTAGATGGTCCCATCCTCATCTAGCAGGAGCTCCTGTGTCTCTTGGGGCCCTCACACAACCTCTTTAGTTTTTCTTAGTCTGCTGGCATTTAGACCCAGATTGGCTGCTCCTCTAGGGAGTGAACCCTGGGGACTTCTGCCGGTAAAGTGGCATTTGGAGCATGCTACGTGGGCGCTGGTCTGTTCATTGCTTTGGGCCTTTCAGTGAACAGAACTAAGAAAAAACATGTTTTTGAAATAACAGCAACAACAAAAACCCATAATTTTACACTAATATTTCTAATTCAAATTTAAACTTATATATAGGGTTTTTACTTCTTTCATTTTAAACATGTGTCTTTTCTGTTACTATGAATATCTTGGTTTCTAATATTATTAGCATACTTGGTTGCTTTACTTTAAAATCATTTCAGAATAAACAGTTTATATTACCACTGATAACAAAAGGTAGACTAAACATTTAAGATTACCTTGAAGTTCTAATTGTCCTTAAAATGTATCCCTTTTATTGAGAACATTTTGCTTTTTGTTTCATTTTTTTAAAAAGCCTCTCAAAAGATTTCTTTTCTCTATATGATTCTGCCACCAACTTAATATTCAGCTCATTTGTTTTAGTTTATTTGGAATGTTTAGGAATTGGACCTTTTTCTTTAGATTTGCTATACTTTTCATTTTAGAAAAATATTTTAGGCTGGCTACAGTGACTCACACCTGTAATCCCAACACTTTTGGAGGTTGGGGACTGAGCAAAAGACAAGCCGGCCAACATGGCAAAACCGTGTCTCTCCAAAAAATACAAAAAATTGGCCAGGCGTGGTGGCTCACGCTTGTAATGTCAGCACTTTGGGAGGCTGAGGTGGGCGGATCAGAAGGTCAGGAGATCGAGACCATCCTGGCTAACACAGTGAAACCCCGTCTCCACTAAAAAATACAAAAAATTAGCCAGACGTGGTGGCAGGCGCCTGTAGTGCCAGCTACTTGGGAGGCTGAGGCAGGAGAATAGCTTGCACCACCCGGGAGGCGGAGCTTGCAGTGAACTGAGATTGCACCACTGCACTCCAGCTTGGGCCACAGAGTGAGACTCCATCTAAAAAATAAAAATAAATAAATAAATAAATTAGCTGGACATGGTACTGCATGCATGTAGTCCCAGCTGCTCAGGAGGCTGAGGTGGGGAGGCTCACTTGAGCCCAGGAAGTTGAAACTGCAGTGAGCGATGATCGCGTCACTGCACTCCAGCCAGGGCGACAGAGTGAGACCCCATCTCAAAAAATATATATATTTTTTAGAGAAATAAAATTCACTGAGTTGCCCCTGAGTTGCCCAGGCTGAACTCCTGGGTGTAAGCAATACTCCTACTTTATCCTTCCAAGTAGCTGGGATTACAAGACTGTGCCACTGTGCCTAGCTTTGATTTGTTTTTTTTGTTTTTTGTTTTTTGTTTTGAGACAGAGTTTTCACTCTTGTTGCCCAGGCTGGAGTGCAGTGGCGTGATCGCGGCTCACTGCAACCTCTGCCTCCTGGGTTCAAGCAATTCTCCTGCCTCAGCCTCCCAAGTAGCTGGGATTACCGGCATGCGCCACCAGGCCTGGCTAATTTTTTTTGTATTTTTAGTAGAGATGGAGTTTCACCATGTTGGCCAGGCTGGTCTTGAATTCCTGTCCTCAGGTGATCCTCCTGTCTTGGCCTCCCAAAGTGCTGGGATTACAGGTGTGAGCCAAGGTGCCCGACTTGATTTGGCTTTATCTTCTCAATAGTAAAAGATTTATGTGCTTCTGAAGTGAAAACCCATAACACTGTGGATTTAGAGAGGGCACATTTCCAGCCCAGTTCCTGATACTTGCTGGGTTGTCGATTTTCAATTTTGGTGTATCTTTCCAGTGTTTCTCATGGCAGATTTAAGCAAATATGTGTGTTTACGTTCCACAGGTCTTATATAAAAGGTGTATGTCATGCAGTGTATGTGGCACGGAGCACGTGTTTCTATCCTTTCTCCTTCCTTGTGTTCACTCCACAATATGTTGTGAGGCACTTGTGCAAGATTTCCACATGTCAAGCAAGTGTGGAAATTCTATGAAGCTTTTAACTTTTTGAGGTGGGGTCTCACTCTGTCGCCCAAGCTGGAGTGCAGTGGAGTGGTCACAGCTCATTGCAGCATTGATCTCCCAGGCTCAAGCCTCAGCCTCCCACTTTGAGGCCACTGGCGTGTGCTACCACACCAGGGTAATGTTTGTTTGTTTGTTTGTTTTGTAGAGATGGTGTCTTACTATGTTGCCCAGGCTGGTCTTAAACTCCTGGCCTCAAGGGACCCTCCTGCCTTGGCTTCCCAAAATGTTGGAATAATAGATGTGAGCCTCCACGATTGGCCTCTATGGAGTTTTTTAAGGTTTCTGTTTTCTTATCTGTAAACTGGATGTGTTAGTAGTACCTGCCTCTGGGTGGTTGGGAGAAATCAAGGCGATAATGCATGTGAATTGATGACTCCTGTGTCTGGCACTGTAAAGTGCCAAGTGCTAGCTGTTACTGTCATGATGTTCATTGTTTATGGTTTGTAATACTCAGCCTCAGGTACAGCTGGACACTTATATTTTGATAGCCAGCAGGGGAGCTGGAGCAGACCAAGTGAAGATAGGGAGTTTCCTGACTCTTTAGCCCTTTTTTCTGCAGCAGTTCTAGGGGAGTTGGTGTGCTTTGGAGCAGAAAGGGGCATAATAATCTGTCCATCTGGATGGGGGTGGGGGTGGATGGTGAGGAGTCAGGAGTGAAAGAGCCCAGCCAGGGGGATCAGAGGCGCAGTTTCAGATCCAGGGCTTTCTCCCCTGGAAAGGAGTTGTTGTGGTTGACCCATTGCGTTCAGCCCCTAGATGTTCCTAGATAAACCTGCCTTTGGGGGAATGTAGGAAGTATCATCGCCCACAAGAAAGCTCCTTGGCTGGCAGCATGACAGCTTCCTGTGCTTGTTTCTCACATCAGGCGTCCCCTCCCTCCCCGCTCCCCACTAAGCCTCCTCACGCTGGTCTGGTAGCAGAGCTGGAGCAGATGGCAGTGGCTGCGCCTACTGTGGGTCAGGAGTGGTGCTGGGCACTGCAGGATGATGATGCCTGCCCACTGCATTCCAGGTGCTGGGCTGGCAGTGGGTCTTGCTCAGCCCTGGTGTTATGCAGAAGGGCTTTGGTGACATGGTCCTGAGCCTTGTTTGAGTGTCTTATGTCTAAGTAAAAGTATCTTGTTGCTTTTGAAACCTACTTCCCCTTGTTTTACCTTTTATGGATGTGGAGAAAACAAATTCATTTAAAGTATCGCAGACCTAAAAAATGGTCCAGGGCCTTAGGAGCTGTGAGGTGTTGACCTGGCTGGCCCCCAGGCCCTTCTCCCCTCATACATGGCCACCTTGCTTCTGTTCCTGAGTGTCCTCAGGTTCCCACACCTCCATTGCCCCCATTCTCATACCACTGTCCTTCAGGGACAGGCTGCCTGTGGGCCCCCTTCACACGCACATCAGCTTTCCTATCAGTAATTGATGGGGATAGCCGGAAGCTGGGCGTGTTGACAGAACTGCCTTGGTGTCCCCTTGTTCTGGCCAGGCCTCGCTGCTTATCCCAGCTTTTCCTCTCCCCTGGGCCTTTCTTCTTCATGTTGTCCTGTGCTAATTCCCCGAGCTGAAAAAAAGAAGTGGGGTAGAGTTTGGAGATAGATGTGGGATGATAAAGATTTCAAAAGTGTCTTTGTATTTTTACACTCATCTGAGACCACTTTTCATCATCCTTCCCTCTGCCCTGCCATCTTATGAGTGTAGTGGATGGACTCTGAGTGTCACAGTGACTCAGGAGGAAGGTTGGGTGAGCAGGGCACGGAGCCGGGGCTTTGCCCCTTCCAGGCTGCCCTGCCAGAAGGATGGGCACTTCAGCAGAAGACAAGGATGCTTCTCTGAAATAAGACTTTACCTCAGACATCCGTGTATTGACCACAAGACCAACTCACAGTAGTGATTTCCCTGAAACACTTGGGAGTGAGTGTCCTTGGGGCCAAAGAGGACAATGGGTGGGAGGCAGCCCCTGCCAGACAATCTCAGAAACACAGCAGCTTGCATATAGCGGGCCTTGGCAGCCAGTGGCCTTCACCTCACCTGAGAGTGGGCTTCACCCTCTGCCTTGCCTGTGCGTAAATGGAGATGAACACAGATTCTCCCGGAAAGCGCAGCCAGGGGAGGGCCGCCCAGATTTTCAGCAGATACTGCGTCATCAGTGAAAAGGCAGCAACAGGCTGGGCTGAGAAATGAAAGCCCTTCTTTACAGATAGTGCAAAGACACAGCGGCCCACCCACGGCTGCCTCTGACAGGCCTTGTGCCCTCAGGCCAGCGCCTCATCACCCCCAACCTGCCTGTCCCCTTTGTGATGAAGAGAGGGCACTCAAGATGGCTCCCAGCTCTCTCAGCTGAGTGCCTTTCCATCAGGGGAGAGGAGTGGCCGTTGGAGGCTCTCTGTCCCCTTCTTGTTTCTTTGTGCCTGTTATTGGCCAGCCTAGCTGAGCACTGACGGCTCTCTTCCGAGAGGCGGATTCCAGAGGAGGCCGAGCAAGCGTCTGAATCTGCCTTGCAGGATGGGCTTCAGCTCGGTGCCAGCAGGCGAGGGGGCGGGAAGGGGGAGTCCGATGACTGCGCTTCTTCATCTGGTATTAAACTGCTTCCTGTTTTTACTTTTAGGACGAATACCTTTCTCTCGTGGCCAGGCTCATTATCCATTTTCGAGACATTCGTAAGTAAGATTTTGCATTTCTGGGTTGTTGAGATCTCTGTGAGAGGCCAGCCCTGACGCTGCCTCGGCAGAGCTTTCTGGGCAGGCCGTGGTGCCTGAGTCAGAAGGTCTGTGTCACCTCACTTGCTTCTGGGAAGTTCTTCACTGCCTTGCATTTGACTCCAGATCCCTCCATCCTCCCAGAGCCTTGGCCTCAAAAATGCTGATTCTAGCATCATGGAAATGCTGTCCTCAAAGTGGTCTAAACGGGTTGCTGCTTCACTTGCTCACTTAATCTCCCTTTTCATAGGGCTGTTGTTTTTACTTCTGGGAAGTTCTGTTTACCCTGGAACAGAAACTCTCTTCCCTAAAAGTTGATTTTATTGACCCATGGAGGCCAGAGACACTTAGGCATATTTTCCCTCCAGACTAGAAGCTTCTGAGGAGGACCTCCTGAGTCTGCACCCTGGCTCCCTGCTGTGCTGAGGGCCCCCGTGTTAACCTCACGTTGTGCCTCCTCTGATTCAGAGGGCCCAGTGTGGTTCTGTCAGCCAGGCAGTGGCCCCAGCTCTACAGAAATGAGTTGTCATTGCATCCTAGGGCCAGGGTCTTCGTGCTTGTGTGTGTTACGTGGAAGTATGTGGACACCAAGTGTTCCTGGATGGCCACAGCCTGCGAAGGAAACTGGGGCCAGCAGCTGCTCTGTGTTTTCAGCCAACAATGGCTCCTGCCCACTGCCGCTGCATAACCACCAGAGGCAGGCTTCTCTTGACACAGGCCTGTCGTTGGAGCATGTGCCTGGCGAGTCCTATTTCTATTCCCCTGTGGGTTAGGGACAGGCAGCTGTACCTTCAGTGTGTTGCTGGGTCAAAGGGAGACATTGAGCACTCCAGAGCCTGGTAGGTTTTGCTTCTTTCCACACTAACTTTTCACCAGAATGGCCAGCAAAGTGAACTTCACTGATCTCACTCTCTGTGGTGTTGGAAAGTCACTGGGATGTGTAAGAGGAGAAGGAGCAGCCCAGATGATCTGGCCCAGATGCGCTGGCAGACTCCGCATGTTCTGCTTTCAGGGACAGTGGCCTGGCTGGTGCACACAGTCCTGTGGGGCTCATGAGGTCATGGGAAGCAGCCGAGCAGGAGGCTCAGGGCCCCATGACTGCTACAGAAGTTCTCCGCTGGGCACTGGGGTCAGCTGGACTGGCTTCCAGCTGGCCGTGGACAGCCTCAGTTTCCTCATCTAGGTAACAGAGACACTGCCTCACCAGAGTGGGCTGCAAAGGGAGGCAGTGTCAAGTCTTGGCACCACTCCAGCCCCGCCGTGGGTTCCTGTAGTGTTCTATTATTTGTTTGCTCAGGGCTGAGCTGAGACTCTGGACCTGGGAAAAAGGAAAGCCAGAGTAGGCCCAGGGTCCCCAACCCCAGAGTGCTTCAGCCTTGGGGGCAGCTCCCTAAGGCCCCAGGTTGACCCTGGAGCTACTCTGCACCCTCTGCCCCCAGGTCTCTTGTGGGGTCAGCGCTGCCAAGAGTAGAAACACTTCCCCCAGTAGTGGGGAGTACTAGGAGCTCCGTGGGGATTAAGGCTTGGGCAAATGCCTACAGAACTGACCTACCCATGGAAATATGTGGTTATATAAAACTATGTTTACTTTCGTTTTTTTGTTTGTGTTTTCATATAGATAACAAGAAATCTCAAGCTTCCGTCAGTGGTAAGAGTTTTCCCTTTTGAGTTAAAGTTTCTCCCAACTTTGGATTTGAGGTGGCAAGAATGACATAGTGCATGCCTCATGTGCCTGGGTTAACCTGTCACTAGAGGAGAATGCTTGCGGAGAGAACTCTGGAGGGAGGAGGCTGACCAGCTGTGCCCTGACCTCTCCAGCCTTCGTCTTCCTGCAGACTGTGAAGTCGCATGATCCTCCCCATCCCGTTTCACACAAATGCTGCCTTTGCCCAGCAAAAAGATAAACACTCACAAAGCTATTAAGACATTATCCAAAAGTGTTGAGCTCTCTGGTAGAGAATTATTATGCTGTTTTCAGTGTAATAATATGTAGTAGCATTTCTGAGAAAATGCTGTGAATTCACTTTTTTAAGTTACAAAGTTTCTTTGTAAATTTAGAAATCTGGCTGGGTGCTGTGGCTCATGCCTGTAATCCCAACACTGTGGGAGGCTGAGGCAGGCAGATCAGTTGAGGTCAGGAGTTCAAGACCAGCCTGGCCAACATGGTAAAACCCCATCTCTACTAAAAATACAAAAATAGCCGGGTGTGGTGGCATGCGTTGTAGTCCCAACTACTCAGGAGGCTGAGGCATGAGAATCGCTTGAACCTGGGAGGCTGAGGTTGCAGTGAGTTGAGATCGTGCCACTGCACTCCAACCTGGATGACTGAGTGAGACTCCATCTCAAAAAAAAAGTTTAGAAATCCATATTTTTAAATTTCAGCGTTTATCACATGAGGGGAATTCTGTCAATTCAGCCTTGGTCTCTGCTGACTAAGCTGCAAGGGAAGGGGTTTAACAGATCCAGGCTGGCCAACTGCATTCTGCCATTGGGAAGGGAGTGCACTGACCTCACAGGCTGCACGCCACTGTCTGCCCTGCCCTAGACAGTAGAGCTGTACATGCCAGCTGTCTCTGCCCATGTGGGTCTCACCTCTCAGCCAGGACAGGGATTCTTGGCCAACTGGGGCTGAGCGGCAGCAAGGGCATGTGGCCAGAACATCTGGGCCCCTTGGCATTGGAGCATGGGGTCCTGGGTACCACCCAGTTGTGTGGCATGGCGGTCCTGCCAGGACATACCTGTCTGTGGGTAGCTGTTTGCTGTGAAGTCCACACTGTTGTGACAATGGCATCCTTGTCCTTGGTTGTGGCATTGCTCACTGAGCTGCTGACCTGGTGGGCTTGGGACATTTCTCCTCAGTGCTCTGTGGAGCCCTCCTCTGCACCCCTAAGCTGTTCTGGCATGGTGGCCCTGCACACAGGGGCCCAGGCTGAGTTGGACTCTGCAACAGCACGAGTGGAGCTGTGTGTGCCTGTGGACTTGTGCCCTCCCTGGGAGAGCGTCCCCTGGCCACTGTGTTACCGCTTGCTCAGAAGGGCCCATCGTGCTTTGTACGCTCACCCAGCAGGAGGGCTGGACAGCCAGGAGAGGCAGGGGTTGCCACCTGCCCTCAAGGCCTCAGCCCATCTTTAGTGTATCTGCAGGCATCAGAGAGGTCATTTGTCCCTTAACATTAGGACTCTGGTCCAGGCCAGGCTAGAGGTATGGGTCATGCAGTGACCAACACACCTGGCGTCCTAGCCATTCATATTTGGGAGTCTCCAGGAGCCTAGTCTCTTACTGCTTGGGGCTGTGAGGGGATTGAGCCTGTAGGTAGGCGAGATCTGTGCTCTGTGAGCCTTACGCCCTTTGAGCCATGGTCAGTCTGGTAGGCCCTTTCCTGAGAAGCTCTGCCCTTGTGTTCCCACAGATCCTATGAATGCACTCCAGAGCCTGACTGGCGGACCTGCTGCGGGAGCCGCTGGAATTGGCATGCCTCCTCGGGGCCCGGGACAGTCTCTGGGCGGGATGGGTAGCCTTGGTGCCATGGGACAGCCAATGTCTCTCTCAGGGCAGCCGCCTCCTGGGACCTCGGGGATGGCCCCTCACAGCATGGCTGTCGTGTCTACGGCAACTCCACAGAGTGAGTACCACACTTCTTGGAGGATTTGCCGCTTTCCTTGCAAACGACAACACATTTTATTCCTGTGCTTATGATGGTATCAAGAAAAGCATGGAGAAGCTCCAAATCGCTCTGGTTTTTTTGTTTTTTAAATCTTTGTTGTATGTGGAGAGAAAAGGCTTCCAATTTTCGTTGAGCTCCCAGAAGGGTTAAGTGATGCTGGGCCCTCCTCCTCCTCCTAGCCCTGGGCAGGAGGGTGGGGATGGCCTGAGACTCCATCCAAAGGTTTGTGTTTTGTGGCTGAAATAGATACAGTGTGTTTCAGAGGGTTCTCAGCTACAAGGCAGGGCTGAGTGCCAGCAACCACAACTCCACTGTCTGCCCGAGCTCTGGGCACCATCTCTTCTAGTGCTGCCCTTGCCCCTTGGTCACCATGGGTGTGGCTTGCAGCCATATTATCTTCTGGCTTCCTTTCTGTGAAGGAGACTCTGTGTCCTCTCCACACGGCTGCTGTGGTGGGAAACTGGGCTGTGATCAGGTGTTATAGGTGAACCAAAGCTGCTCTAAAGGGGAGGCAAAGAACCTCCCTCTTCTTTCCAGGACCTGTCTTTTGAGACGGGGTCTCGCTCTGTGGGCCACATTGGAGTGCAGTGGCACAATCACGGCTCACTGCAGCCTGGACATCCTGGGCTCAGGTGATCCTCACACCACAGCCTCCAAAGTAGCTGGGACTATAGGCTCACAGCACCGCGCCCGGCTAATATTTTGTATTTTTTGTAGAGATGGGACTTCACCATGTTGCCCAGGCTTATCTTGAACTCCTGGGCTCAAGCGATCTGCTCACCTCGGCCTCCCAAAGTGTTGGGATTACAGGCGTGAGCCAACGCGCCTGCCCTTAGGACCTATCTTGATGTATCCTTGAGTCCCATCAACATTTCTTAGAGTGTGCTGTGCCCACTGCAAAGTGCTTTAGTGTTTTTTTCCCCTTTCATGTAACTTTTTATTTTTAAAATAGGAGTCACAGGAAGTTGTGGAATAGCATAGAGAGTTCCCACATGCCCTTTACCCAGCTCTCCCCAATAATAGTATCTTACATAGAACATTGTCAAAACCAAGAAATTAATGTTGAGGCAGTGTAATCACCTCAGTTAGAGACTTAGCTTGGACTTCATCAGTTTTTTTTTTTTTTTTGAGACAGAGTTTCACTCTTGTTGCCCAGGCTGGAGTGCAGTGGTGTGATCTCAGCTCACTGCAACTTCTGCCTTCCGAGTTCAAGCAGTTCTCTTGCCTCAGCCTCCGACTACCTGGGACTACAGGCGCCTGCCACCATGCCCAGCTAATTTTATATTTTTAGTGGAGATGGGGTTTCACCATGTTGGCCAGGCTGGTCTCAAACTCCTGACCTCAAGTGATCTTCTCTCCTGAGCCTCCCAAAGTGCTGGGATTACAGACGTGAGCCATCACGCCCAGCCGACTTCATCAGTTTTTTTACACTCATTCTTGGGCTACATATATGGGTATGTGTAGGTCTGTGAGATTTTACCACGTGTCAAATCAAGTAGCCATCACCACAATTGGCATGCGGAGCCGTTCCATTACCACCAACCAACTCTCTTGTGTTACCTCTCAGAGATCGCGCCCTCCCTCCAGCCTTAAGCAGTGACAATTGCTGATCTGTTGTGTGTCTCTGTAGTTCTGTCCCTTTGTGAATGTTGTATAAATGGAATCATACCATATGTGACTTTTTGAGATTGGCTTTTTAAATTCAATCTGATACCCTTGAGACCCAGCCAGGTTTTATCAGTAATTCATTCCTTTTCATCACTAAGTAGTGTTCCATGGAACGGATTTTCCACAGTTTGCTTATTCATTCACCCATGAAGGACATTTGGGTTGTTTCCTGCTTTTGCTTACTATTATGCAAACAAAGCTGCTGTGGATATCTGTGTACAGGCTTCAGTGCTTCAATATATTTTTGTCACACATCCCTCATGATAACCCTATGAAGAGGGCAGCATCGCCCCCTCTGCTTTGTCAGTGTAGCAGCTGCTAAGGAGAACTGGAGTCACACCCCAGGCCAAGAGCTGGGATCGAAGCTGCTGCCTGACCCCATCCTCACACTCCTACCCTATCCTGTGTCAGGTTTCCTCTTCTTTGGGGCCATAGGCATCCTCATTTCTACCCACTCCTGCTCTGGAATCTTCCTCCATCCCAAGCCACCTTCCCTTCTCATACCTTAATTCTCCTCTTACTTCCTGTTGTCTAACTCTCAGCACGTGCTGGTTTCCTCATCCTAGAACAATCTGCCTGGTTCTTCGTCCCAAGCTCTCATTACCTCACTATTTTTAGCACATCAGATAAGTACACCAGCTGGGTTTAGGGAGGACCCACAGAAGTGCCGGCTCAAGTTCCTTGTCACGTTCTACTCTTGTGTACTTGGTGCATTTTTTTTTTAATCATGAGCTTATACTTGATAATAAATTGTTTTTAAATGTATGAGTTTAGAATGCTCACATGAGTTGCCTTGTCATCCCACTTCAGAGACTTTGTCTTAAACCAGTTCTTTGTCAGAAGTTCAGTGGTGAAGCTTGATATCCTGCCCACGCCCTCCCCAGTCTGGCCTTGGCCCCCACATCCTGTTTTTAGCTTCCAAGGGGACTGGTCTTCTGTGTGGCACTAGTTGAAAGTTACAGTGGGGGCTGGGCACGGTGGCTCACGCCTGTAATCCCAGCACTTTGGGAGGCTGAGGCGGGCGGATCACGAGGTCAGGAGATCGAGACCATCCTGGCTAACACGGTGAGACCCCGTCTCTACTAAAAATACAAAAAATTAGCCGGGCGTAGTGGTGGGTGCCTGTAGTCCCAGCTACTCGGGAGACTAAGGCAGGAGAATGGCATGAACCTGGGAGGCGGAGCTTGCAGGGGGCGAGATCGTGCCACTGCACTCCAGCCTGGGCAACAGAGCGAGACTCTGTCTCAAAAGAAAAAAGAAAAAGTTACAGTGGATTCTCTACTTCAGGATCTTGTTACCACCTTTGTCAGAGGCCAACTCTCCCTGCCCTTCACCACTTGCCTCCCTGGTCTCCCTGAAACTAGTAGTGTTGTCTGATGGGCATTTGATACCCCTTCCTGACACCTTTCCCAAAGACTACTGCATGATTAAGGCCCTTTCAGATCTTCATCTAGTGCCACCAAGAGGACAGAGCCTGGGTCAGAGGTTTTGCCAGGGACTCTCAAAGGGTAGGCCAGGGGACATTGTGATAGTTTTCAGGTGACCCAGGTTAGTCGGAAAAGGCTGAAACTGCTGGTTGTTCCTATGGCTGGGGCTGCAGTACAGAGTTGGAAGCAAAGCTTTTCACTCTGCGCATTTTTGTTTCTCATGAGTTTTATATGACGTGCATGTAAAGCCGACTTTAAAAATAATTTCTACTGCCAGTTGTGTGATGGACTGGGGTGCTGAGGACATGTTCTCCTCCTGGATAACTAGGTTCTGGTTAGGATGCACTTTGGAATGCTGGCCTGCAGCAGTTGGGGAGGCTTTGTCCTCCTGAGCCTCAGCTGCTGCAAGGTGGGGGAAGAAAGCTTGGGATTCCTGTAGTCAGCCAGGATTTGTGCTGGGTCCTGTGTCACCCCCCATACCCCCCAGAAGCAGGTGCAGATTGGAGCAGGTGCGGATTGGAGGAACATGTCCCCAGTGTAAGACCTGTGACAGTTGCACATTAAGGTCAAGCAATCAGCATACAAAGATCACCAGCCTTGAAGGGAAGGAGAGACACCATGAAGGTGAACAGAAAAAATAGACACATGTAGGCATGCCCAGTGACCACACACACAGGAACTGTTAGTTATGGGCCATGGGGTATATAAAGAAATAAAGTGGAGAGCCGGGCACAGTGGCTCACGACTACACTCCTGGCTACTCGGGAGGCTAAGGCAGGGGGATTGCTTGAGGCCAGGAGTTTGAGGCTATGGTGAACTATCATTGCACCACTGCACTCCAGCCTGGGGGATAGAACGAGACACCATCTCTGAAAAAATAGAAAACAAAAAGGAAAAGAAAGAGCAGAAATTCAAATGAAAAAGCATCATCAGGAGCAATGAAGCAGATTTGAAACGGAACCAAATGAAAGCTGTAGAAATGAGCAATATAATTATTGAACGAAGAAAGTGGATGAATGAACAGCGCATTAGATACAGCTGAAGAAAGAATTTGTGTAATAGAAGCTACATTTGAAGAAATTATCTAGAATGTAGCACAGAGAAGAGCACATGGAAAATGTGAAAGCAAGGGTAAGAAATGAGGATAAGATCAGAAATTCTAATTGGCATCCAAGCAAAGCCCCGGAAGGATCAAATGGAGAGAATGGAAGAAAACAATATGTGAGGGGATAACTACTGAGAAAAGCCCATCTGGCCCCAACCAAGTTAGCCATCTCATCTGCTGTGAGACTGCAGAGCACCAAAGGCCAGAGGAATGTCTTAGAAATAGGCAGTTCCTGCAAAGGAGCAATGAGTACACTCAGCAGTAGAGTCAGAAAGGTAATAGAATATTGTTAAAGCATTGAGAATAGAGCTGCCAGTCACATTTGTATGCCAGCAAGACTCAAGGATGTGGAAAGCAAGCCATTTTTAGATAAACCTAGCCTTAGAGACCATCACTAAAAGATTTTCTAAAGGATATATCTTTTTTTATCCTTTTTCCAATAAGCCTTTTGCACTCTTAGATATATTCTTTTGTTTATCCTTTCCTCTTCCCTCTCAGGTGATACAAGGTAAAATGGGAAAAGAAACGTTGAGCATAGGTGATAGTAAATGTGTATAAATCTAAAGCAGTGATTCTCACCCAGGGTGACATTCCACCACAGGGGATATTTGACAATGTCTGGAGACATTTTGGGATGTCACTACTGTGGGGGTGCTGCTGGTGCGTAATGGGTGGAGACCAGAGGTGCTGCTAACCATCTTACAAATACAGGTCAGTCCCCCCAACAACATAGAATCATCTGGGTCAAGTGTCAGTAGTGAAAAGGTTGAAAATCGCTGGTGTAAATAAAAATTTACCTCTGTAAAATAAAACAGTCAGGCTAACCTCCATACAGACTTGCCACATTCCAAGCACTATTTCATTTCTTTTCTATTATTATTATTATTATTATTAAGATGGAATCTCGCTCTGTCAACAGGCTGGAGTGCAGTGGTGCAATGTCGGCCCACTGCAACCTCGACCTCCCAGGTTCAAGCGATTCTCCTGCCTCAGCCTCCCAAGTAGCTGGGACTACAGGCGCGCGCCACTACGCCCAGCTAATTTTTGTATCTTTAGTAGAGACGGGGTTTCACCATGTTGGCCAGGATGTTCTCGATCTCCAGACCTTGTGATCTGCCCTCCTTGGCCTCCCAAAGTGCTGGGATTACAGGCATGAGCCTCCGCGCCTGGCCTATTATTATTATTTATAGAGCTAGGGTCTCCTTATGTTGCCCAGGCTGGTCTTGAATTGCTGGGCTCAGGCGATCTGCTCTGCCTTGGCTATCCAAAGTGTGAGATTACGGGCATGAGCCACAGCACCCAACCCCAGGGACTATTTTGAGTGTTTTACTTACATAATAGATTATTTAATTCTTAGTCCAGTGTGTGGAGTAGGTACTATTATTGCATTTTCTAACAGGGAAAACTAAGGCAATGAGCAGTGACAGAGTTGAGGTTTTGAGTCCAGGCAGCCTAGCTTGGAGGCTGTATCCCTAGCCTCAAATCCATCCAGCCTCTTAATAGAATGTCTGCTGTGAAGAGTTAAAATAGATCAACAAAATATGAAATAAATGCAAGTCAGCAGGGAGATAGAGCGTGAATATCGGTTCTGTCGGGTACATATAAAACCTACTTTAAAAAGTAGTAAATTTGGGAAATGCTAAAATATTGATGAGGTTTATACTTTAAGTTAAATATGCATGATAAAATTGAAAAATTATTGCTAAAACAATGGAAATAATTCATAAAATTTAAGATCAATAGAAAAAATAGGATAAGGCAGAAATCCAGATAATACAAAGTTCAATCCAATCATCCAACAAAAATGCAATCAAAAAAGACAAAGAAGCTTAGAAAAGGAAAGACAAAGGCCGGGCGCGGTGGCTCAGGCCTGTAATCGCAGCACTTTGGGAGGCTCAGTCAGGCAGATCACGAGGTCAGGAGATTGAGGCGATCCTGGCCAACATGGTGAAACGCCGTCTCTCCTAAAAATACAAAAAGTTAGCTGGGCATGGTGGCGCATGCCTGTAATCCCAGCTACTTGGGAGGCTGAGGCAGGAGAATCGCTAGAACCCGGGAGGCGGAGGTTGCAGTGAACCGAGATCACGCCACTGCACTCCAGTCTGGCGACAGAGTGAGATTCCATCTCAAAAAAAAAAAGGAAAGGAAAGACAAATATTAATAGAAAATAAGTTTAAAAATATAAGTAATCATAATAAATGTGAGTGGACTAAACTTTTCTGCTGAAAGATAGGAAATGTGAGAACAAATGGAAATGAAACAGCACAGTTGTTTTATTGTTAGAAGAAACACACACCTACAATAAAACATGCGGAAGGATTTAAAAATAAAAGATGAAGAAAGGCCAAGTGCAGTGGCTCACGTCTGTAATCCCAGCACTTGGAGAAGCTGAGGTGGGAGGATCACTTGAGCCCAGGAGTTCAAGACCAACCTCGGCAAAATAGGAGACCCCCATCTCTACATAAAATTTAAAAATTACCTGTAGGTACACTTGAGATGCTGAGGTAAGAGGATCACTTGAGCCCAGGAGGTCAAGGCTGCAGTGAGCCATGATTGCACTATTGCATTCCAGCCTGGGCTGCAGTGAGACCCAATCTCAATCAATCAGTCAATAAAATTAGCTGAGTGTGGTGGTACACACCTGTAGTCCCATCTACTTGTGAGGCTGAGGTGAGAGGATCGCTTGCTTGAGCCTGGAACGCTGAGTCTGCAATGAGCCACGATGGAGACACTGCATTCCAGCCTGGGTGACAGAGCAAAATCCCGTCTCAAAAAAGAAACAAACAAAAAAAAGGATGAAGAAAGATGTATTGGGCAATTACTTCAATTACATCTCTTTGTTATTGATAAACAGACCAAAAAATTCATTTACAGAAAATTTGAACAATGTAATGAACAACTTAATTTAAGCATATGATGGAACAATATGTTTATAAAAATAAATCATAAAGCAAGCTTCAACAATTTCAGAAAATTTAAAAGTATTGTCATACTTTTTGTTGTTGTTGTTTTGAGACAGAGTCTCACTCTGTCACCCAGGCTGGAGTGCAGTGGCGCGATCTCGGCTCACTGCAACCTCTGCCTCCCGGGTTCAAGCAATTCTCCTGCCTCAGCCTCCTGAGTAGCTGGGATTACAGGCACGTGCCACCATGCCCGCTAATTTTTGTATTTTTAGTAGAGATGGGTTTTTGCCATGTTGGCCAAGCTGGTCTCAAACTCGACCTCAAGTGATCCTCCTGCCTGAGCCTCCCGAAGTGCTGGGATTAGAGGTGAGAACCACCGCGACCCGCCGGTCATACATGTTTTATGAATGTCAAATAAAGTTAGAAATCTGTCACAAAATAAATTAAAAATTTTTTACACTTGGCCAGGCACAGTGACCCACGCCTATAATCTCAACACTTTGTGAGGTCGAGGCAGGAGGATCACTTGAACCCAGGAGTTTGAGATCAGCCTGGGCAACAAAGTGAGACTGTCTCTATAAAAATTTTACAAATTAGTTGGGTGTGGTGGCATGCACCTGTAGTTCCAGCTACTCGGGAGGCTGAGGCAGGAGGGTCACTTAAGCCCAGGAGGTCAAGGGTGCAGTGAGCCACGATGGTACCACTTCAGTCCAGACTGGGCAACAGAGTGAGACCCCACCTCAAAAAAAAAAAATCTTACACCCATCAGAATTGCTAAAATGAATAGTGACAGCCTCAAGTGTTGGTGACAGAGAAACTGAATCACTCATATATTGCTGGTGAGAATGTAAAGTGGTTTTACCTTCTTTCAAAATGAAATATGCAACTCAGCAGTTACACTCTTGGGTATTTTTCCTAGAGAAATGAAAACCTCGCATAAAAACCCATGCACGAATTTTAACAGCAGCTTTATTTGTGGTAGCCCAAATCTACAGTTACCCAAATGTCCTTCATGTAGACGGTTAAACACACTGTGAGGTGCTTGTACCATGGAATACCCTGGCAGTACTGTTGCTAGAACTACAACCTGTATGCTGAATGTAAAAAGCCGATCCCAAAAAGGTTCATACTGTATGGTTCCATTTTTGAAATATTATGTATAATTTTGAAATGACAAAATTTTAGAAATGGAGGATGCTGCAGTGGTTGCCAGAGTTTGCGGGTCAGGGTTGCTGAGAGAGGTGGCAACACGAGGGATCCTTGTGGTGTGGGGACTGTGTAGTGTATTGACTGGTGGTGACTGAACCCACCCAGGTGGTTAAATTGTCCAGAACTTAGTACACACACCCACACAAGTGAGCACACATCGTGGTTGTGATACCTTGTAAGTTTGTAGAATGTTACCATTGGAGGAAACTGGGCAAAGTATACAAAGGATCTCTCTATATTTCTTTAATACAGCTTTATTGAGACATAATTCTCATTAGCATACAATTCACCCATCTGAAGTGCTCCACTCGGTAGGTTTTAGTGTAATCCACAGAGTTGTGCAGCCATCAGCACAATTTTAGAACATTTTTATGTTCACCCCAAAAGAAACCTCACCTCAGAAAATCTTGTAATTGACTGTTCATATAAGCAGTTTTCATAATAGCCACAAAGTAGAAGCAGCGCAAATGTTCATCACAGGAAATCGGTGTAGTAGAATATTATTTGGCGATAAAAATAACACAGAAAAACTGATAACATGCCACGACATGGGCGAACTCGTAAATATTATGCTAAAGAAGCTAGTCACAAAAGAGCACATGTTCGATGCCATTCGTACAAAGAGTCCGGAAGTGGCCAATCCATAGAGACAGAGAGGAGATTACTGATTGCCAGAGTCTAGGCTTCTTATTTATCCAAAAGACTTAGTTGTCCCTTTTCTTTTGTCTTTGGTTATTATAGAGTAACTCATGATAGGAAATCCCAAAATCAACACAAATGCTACTTCGTATTCTATCTTTCTGTCTGTGGTAAATGGAACGTTCAGATTCCAGCGGCAGCCGTGGCAGTGGGGCTTTTGCTGGCTGTTTTGTCCCTTGCTGTGCAGCCCTGCAGCGTTTCTGGGAATCTGCCCTGTGGACTGACTGGCGACTCTGGTCTTTTCTCAGCCCAGCTGCAGCTCCAGCAGGTGGCGCTGCAGCAGCAGCAGCAACAGCAGCAGTTCCAGCAGCAGCAGCAGGCGGCGCTACAGCAGCAGCAGCAGCAGCAGCAACAGCAGCAGTTCCAGGCTCAGCAGAGTGCCATGCAGCAGCAGTTCCAAGCAGTAGTGCAGCAGCAGCAGCAGCTCCAGCAGCAGCAGCAGCAGCAGCAGCATCTAATTAAATTGCATCATCAAAATCAGCAACAGGTACCAGGTCCCCTGTTCCTGCTCTTGGCCTCCCTCCTGCAGCGTGAGCCCTGGGCTGGCATCAGCCACAATGCTGGGTGCAGTGCCCGGAGCCAGCCGAGGGTTCTCTTGACACGTGTGCCTGCCCTTTTCCATGGGCTTCTCAAAAAGTCTGGGACAAGGCCGGGCCCAGTGGCTCATGCCTGTAATCCCAGCACTTTGGGAGGCCAAGGCAGGCGGATCATCAGGAGTTCAAGACCAGCCTGGCCAGCATGGTGAAACCCCATCTCTACTAAAAATACAAAAAATTAGCTGGACATGGTGGCGTACACCTATAATCCCAGCTATTTGAGAGGCTGAGGCAGGAGAATCGCTAGAACCTGGGAGGCGGAGGTTGCAGTGAGCCGAGATCGCGCCGCTGCGCTCCAGCCTGGGCAGCAGTGAGACTCCGTCTCAAAAAAAATAAAAATAAAAAAGGAAAACAAAAGTCTGGGACAGGCAGGAGAAACAGGCCCTGACTCACTAGGAAGGTTCTGTGATCGAGCCCTTCCATTTGGGCTTGGGCATCTGGCGGTGGGCCTCCTGTGTAGTTCAGGGGCTGCGAGGGATTCAAACAAGAGTGAGCTGAAGCAAGAAGTGAGACGAACACTCTGAGGCTTGGGACTACTTGAGCCATTGTGGGCCATTTTGGCTGAGGACACATGTGCCTCCTGTTTACCTCTGTGTCTTGGGTTCTGGGCTCAGTGTTAGTCGACCTCCAGCTGGTGTTGCATGAGGTGATGGTGATGTCATGTTAGCAGCACTGCTTCTCAGAAGTTGTTCAGCTTCCCATGGTTTCCATAGAGAGTCTAGACGTGTTAAACATCTGCCCTCACAGCAGGTCTTGGTTGGGAGAGGAAAGCCCCAAAGGGCCCCACCACCCTCCCACCCCTTCAGGCCTCAGCTAGCTGGGCTTCTCTGGATCTTGGCACCCCTCTCCCAGAGCTGACAGTGCATCTGCAGCCACACTTTTCCTTCTCCTGCTGACAAGCAGACCTTGACCGTCACCGTGAGGCTCATGCCACTGACCTATAGGGGCAAAGCAAGCATCGTTGCAGAGGCTTCAGAAATCTGCAGTTGCCCCAGCTTTTATCCTAGCTTCCATGGAGCTGTACCTATTCCTTGTCATCTTTTGCTGAAGTTTCTAGGTATGCCCTTTGAACCATCCTAGTGGAATGGTAGACCAGAGCCCAGGCACACACTTGGTGCCTCCCCGGTGTCAGGAAGGCAGCTGGTGTTGGCCTCGGGGGGCCCAGAGCCTTTCTGTGGGAGATGTGCCCCTCCCCGTGTGAGTGAGAGGTCAGCCTGTCAGCCCAGGAAGGCCTTTTTTTTTTTTTTTTTTTTGAGACTTTTTTTTGCCTCTTACTCTGTTGCCCAGGCTGGAGTGCAGTGGTGTGATCTCGGCTCACTGCAACCTCTGCCCCACCAGTTTAAGTGATTCTCCTGCCTCAGCCTCCCAAGTAGCTGGGATTACAGGTGTGAGCCACCATGCCTGGCTAATTTTTGTATTATTAGTAGAGACGGGGTTTCGCCAGGTTGTCCAGGCTGGTCTCGAACTCCTGACCTCAGGTGATCTGCCCGCCTCGGCCTCCCAAAGTGCTGGGATTACAGGCGTGAGCCACTGCACCCAGCCAGGAAGGCTTTCTTGATGGCTCTGCAGATGGCCACCTGGGCTTCCTGAGGCCCAGACTGTCACAGGGAGGAGCTGGTGCCACAGAGGCAGATGAGTGATAACCGAGTGCTGCTTGTTCTGTCTCTAGATACAGCAGCAGCAACAGCAGCTGCAGCGAATAGCACAGCTGCAGCTCCAACAACAGCAACAGCAGCAGCAGCAGCAGCAGCAGCAGCAGCAGCAGGCTTTGCAGGCCCAGCCACCAATTCAGCAGCCACCGATGCAGCAGCCACAGCCTCCGCCCTCCCAGGCTCTGCCCCAGCAGCTGCAGCAGATGCATCACACACAGCACCACCAGCCGCCACCACAGCCCCAGCAGCCTCCAGTTGCTCAGAACCAACCATCACAACTCCCGCCACAGTCGCAGACCCAGCCTTTGGTGTCACAGGCGCAAGCTCTCCCTGGACAAATGTTGTATACCCAACCACCACTGAAATTTGTGAGTACCTGTGGCCCACAGTGGAGCACATGCAGCCCGTGGCTCTGTCAGCAGTAGTTTCTAGGCTCTTTGGCTAGAGATAGCATATCCTATTCTTCAAGTGCTGAGACTTCAGGCAGCCCCCACCCCTTGCCAGCCCTGCCGACTCTAGCATGGCTCAGCAGGGAAGCATGTGTTTTGCATTTTGTGTTCTGAGAGCTGCTTCTGCACCCCGCACAGGGTACTGCTGCTGCTACTGGGGCACCAAGTCGCATTCCAAGCAGTGTGGCTGATTGCAGCAGTTCTGTGGGCCCTTTCAGGGTGTGAGCACTTCGACTGATGAGCACCACATGAAAGGATGTGCCAGCTCCGTCAGTGTCTGGTGGTTTGCCAACTACTCAGAGTTAATGTTCTAAGCAAATATCTTTTTTTTTCCTTTACACTCTGCCAAGTCTCAGGAGAACAAAGTTCATTACTATATTTTTGAGAGGAGTATTAATATAAAATACTGTTATTCCTAGTTTCATTTTGTATCTCTGCACAAAGCCAGTCTACTCAGTGACAGGCACAGAGGACAGAGTATGATCACCAGGATGAAGGTAGCTGCATCAAGGGGCCATTTGGACAACTCTTTGGCTCCCTTGGTTTTTGTGGCCTTTTCTGTTTGTGATTCATGAGTGGAATGGGGCCTGAGGCAAGTGTGGGGGTGAACAAGAGGCCTCATAGGCAGACTGGAAGTCTAGGAGAGTTGTGAGGAGCAGATATGCTCACTCATCTGTCACCTGGGAGTCGACACACTGCCTGACCCCGGGGACTGTGCAGACTGAAACCCTTGTGTGCTGCATGGTGGAATGTGCCCTGGCAGGGTTTGCCCTAGTGGCTTGGAGATGTCTAAGGAAGAGCCCGCTGCATGTTGGAATGTGCCCTGGCAGGGTTTGCCCTGGTGACTTGGAGATGTCTAAGGAAGAGCCCCCTGCATGGTGGCGCGGGCCTGTCTCGTCCTTCTGGAGGCCCCTCCATGCAGTGGCTCCACAGTTGCCCCTTTTGCCCAAGTTTGCCCCCCACCCCCACTTTTTTCTTTTGAAGACAGGGTCTCTGTTTTCCAGGCTGGAGTGCACTGATGTGATCAGACCTCCCTGCTCAAGCGATTCTCCCACCTCAGCCTCCCAAGTAGCTGGGGCTGCAGGTGTGCATCCCCACACCTAGCCAAATTTTTGTATATTTTGTAGATATGGGGTTTGGCCGTGTTGCCCAGGCTAGTCTTGATCTCCTGGGCTTAAGCGATCCACTGGCCTTGGCCTCCCAGAATGCTGAGAATACAGACAGGAGCTACTACGCCCTGCCCTCTGCTGGCCGGCTAACCCAGCTTTCCTTCAAGGAATCAGGCTGAGTGAAGCTCTTGTGGACCATCAGCATGCTTGGCCCAGAGGATGAGCAGGCTAGGCTGTAAGCTCTGCATTGGAAGTCGTCAGTGCTTGTGATAGCTGGTGCTGAGGGATGTGTGGAGACATCCCAGTGGGAGGGCCACATTGCCACTTGCCAGAATTGGATTTGAGCTAATGGGATCCTAGATGGCCAGTAAGGTGACATCACAGCACATGAGGTCATGAAAGTCCCATTCCTCACCTCAAGAAAGGCTCCATTTCCTAAGCTTCCACAGGAAGACTAGGCTCTGCTCTCTGACCCAGGTGGTTCCAAATCACATTCTCTCTTTCTCCCTCAAGGTCCGAGCTCCGATGGTGGTGCAGCAGCCCCCAGTGCAGCCCCAGGTGCAGCAGCAGCAGACAGCAGTACAGACAGCTCAGGCTGCCCAGATGGTGGCTCCCGGAGTCCAGGTGAGGGCCTGGGGGTGGAGGGCTCCATAGTCATCAGCAGGTGCATGTTCACCTGCGCATGTAGTGCTACAGTGAGGGTTCTGGTTGGATTAGGGGCTGGGGGCTAAGTTGGTAAAGCAGGGGCTTCTCTCCCCCTTGCACTCTGCAAGACACCCCTGGAGTCCTTGGGGTGGGCAGCTGTGCTTGGTCATGTCTAGGACCCACCAGCCGCATAGTGCGTGTCGTTTCCAGCTTTGCTCGGGCATCCTTCATTATCCCTCTTCCTTGCCACTCTGAGTGACTCTGGGAACATGTATCAGAGAGTAGAAGGCTGCAGTTTTCTCCTCACCTCTCATCTTCCATTTGAGAGTCTGAGTACAGAGCTGACCAGGGTGGAGGGCAGCTTTCTAGACACTCGGAAGCAGATGGGAGCCACATGCAGCAGGAGCGTGGGAGAAGGCATCCTGGTGCTCGCCTGCACTCAGGGACTCCGGCGCTGTGTGGTGAGAAGCGTGCCACTCCCACATTGCTGAGCTTGCTGGTGTGTCACATGTGTGGAATGTGTGTGTGTCTCTGTGTGTCACGTGTTAGTGGAATGCAGATGGCCTTGTCTGGCCTCCTAGTGTCCTGGGATTGGAGGCCCAGGGTTTCTGTACCTTTTCCTATAACCCCTCCTCTCCTTCTTGTGGGGAGACGTACAGTCTGGGGCTTCAGTTTTTCCTCTTTTCACATGATGGTGGAAACACTGTTGGTCCTGACTCGGAAGGGGCGTTGGCTTTAGAAAGAGTCAGAATGTGCTAGTTGATGTGGTAAGACTGTGGCTGGGTCCCAGCCCACAGCTGGCAGTGCGCCTGCACTTTGCTGTCGTCTTAAGGGTACCTGGCCTTGTGGTTTTCTGCAGGCCTGCTGGGCGCAGCGCCTGGGTGCACAGTGCCTCGTGGCAGGCTTCATCTCACGCTTGGGGGGTGCTCAGTAATGTCCTTCATGGTGCCTGCTACCTCTTTTAAGTCCCTGGGAAGCTGCCTGAGGAGGGAATCTGAGGTATTTGGCTGCAGCTGAGGTTAGCATCCTACCTTGGCAGGGCACCAAATGACTTGGGGCCAGGGTCCCCATGTCACATTCTTACTTAGATGGAGCCCTGTATGAAACACACCACAGAACTCACATTTACTTACAGCTGGGGGAGGCTGACCACTTCGTGTGATGAGGTTGGAGGTCTCTGCCACCTCCCTGTGTGTCTCGGCATGTCCTCAGGCCTCGTGGGGGGGCTCCCTTGTCCTGGTCTCATGCAGAGGAAGGACGTGGTGTGTTCAGAGTCAGCTTAGTGGTGGCACATAGTGACTGCCCACCCAGTGGAAGCTGCTACCTTTGCCTCTTTGGACCATCGATCCTCTGTTCAGGACCTCACTTCCTGGAAACTTTTTTTATTTTTTGAGATGGAGTCTTGCTCTGTTGCCAGGCTGGAGTACAGTGGCACGATCTTGGCTCACTGCAACCTCTGCCTCCTGGGTTCAAGTGATTCTCCTGCCTCAGGTTCCCGAGTAGCTGGAACTACAGGCGCGTGCCATCACACCTGGCTAATTTTTGTATTTTTAGTAGAGACATGGTTTCATCATGTTGGCCAGGATGGTCTCCATCTCTTGACCTCGTGATCTGCCGGCCTTGGCCTCCCAAAGTGCTGAGATTACAGGCATGAGCCAATGCGCCCGGCTGGAAACTTCTGTACCGCAGGTCAAGCCCAGCAGGAAAGTGAGAACTGCTCTTTTCTTTATTTCTTTCTGTCTTTTTTTTTTTTTTTTGAGACAGAGTCTGACTCTGTCATCCAGGCTGGATTGCAGTTTTGCGATCTCGGCTCACTGCAACTTCTGCCTCCTGGGTTCAGGCGATTCTTGTGCCTCAGCCTCCCAAGTAGCTGGGACTACAGTTGCACACCACCACACCTGGCTAATTTTTGTATTTTTAGTAGAGATAGGGTTTCACCATGTTGGCCAGGCTGGTTCGAACTCCTGACCTCAAGTGATTCACCCGCCTCAGCCTCCCAAAGTGCTGGGATTATAGGCATGAGCCATCGCACCCAGCCTAGAACTTCTCTTCTCTTCTCTTTTTTCTCTTTTCTTTTCTTTCTTTCTTTCTTTCTTTTTTTTTTTTTTTTTTTTTTTTTTTTTTGACAGAGTCTTGCTCTCTCACCTAGGCTAGAGTGGCTGGAGTGCAGTGGTGCAATCTTGGCTCACTGCAACCTCTGTCTCCCAGGTTCAAGTGATTGTCCTGCCTTTGCTCCCAAGTAGCTGGGACTACAGGCATGCGCCACTATATCCAGCTAATTTTTTTTTCCTCTTGTATTTTTAGTAGAGATGGGCCAGGCTGGTCTTAAGCTCCTGACTTCAAGTGATCCACCTGCCTCAGCCTCCCTAAGTGTTGGGATTACAGGCGTGAGCCACTGTGCCCAGCCGAACTTTCCTTTTCTTTCCATTTCTTGGTATTTGGAAAGTGAATAGCCATGGAGCAGCCAGTGTTTTCAGCTGGTGCAGGCCCAGCTGGTATGTTCGTTAGGCTTCTAGCTCAAGGAAGTGTCCACTCTGCAGTCTCACTGGCATCCCATCACCGTCCAGAAGCAGGATGCCAGCTGTGTGTGCTCATGGCCCATGCTGAGCCTGTCCTTGGGCCACTGGTCTTCCTGTCGGTTTCTCCACCCCTTGTTTCAGGTGGAGGTCCCCGCCCGACTGGCACAGGAAGGAGGATGGAGAGTGGTTACCACTGTGGTTCGTTGCTGAGTGAGTTTGATGTTTTAAGGATCATTGCCCACCTGCCCTGTGGCACCATGTGCTGCCATGCAGGGGATTCCCAAGTGCTAGTGGCAGAGGAGCCTTGTAGTTTCTCAAAGTCCAGCAGTGGGTAGGGCGTATCTATGAGGTGCTTCTCAGTCCAGATGTGGCACCTTGAAATTCTGTAACCCGCATTCTGCTGGTTTTCTCTCAGAGCTTGGTCTTGCCTTGTTGCAAGCAGTGCAGTTTCTTGGGGGCTAATTGGGCACCCTCACTGCCTTGTTCCACCAATAGCAGCGCCCCCTGCTGGGGGATGGGGAGGGTTGGGCACAGCAAGCCCTCTGAGGGGCCATCTGGATTCATGATCTTCTTTTGAAACTTGAATTGGCACAGTGACCAGCTGAGGCTACGGTACTCTGATCTAAAAACTTTAAAAGTATGTGTGGTAACTGTAGAACCCAGAAAGTGGAGAGGAACAGAAGTAAGAGAACCATTCCATGAGAGAGAAGGTCTGGTGTCCTTTCTGGTTGTTTCCCATAGTCAAGGTCATGCTATCCTGGGGTTTTTTGTGCAGCATCTTCCACATCAATAGGGGATGAAATGTTCTCCTTTAATTAGAAAGCCCTGGTCGGCACGAAGGAACTCTTGTCATACCCCTCTGTGAATGTCTCTTGCCATCCTCAGTTACCATCTTGTTCTTGGACCTTGTAATAATTTCCGATTTTTTGCTATTACCAGTGACACATATCTTGATGTCTTAGATTGTTCCTGGAGCTGATGGAGGTGAGTGAATGGTTCACTTTGAGGGCCTTCAGATCTGATCAGCCACCCTCTAACCAGGAGGTCAGAGATGCAGATTGGAGCTCCCCTTGTGTTGTTCACACAGTGGACATCAGGACGTGGTGACCACGTGTTGCAGCTTTGTATGTATGAGCTGCCGCGTGCTGCGGAAACAGGCCTCTTGAGTTCATGAATGAAATTCTGGGATTGGGGGCCCCCATGCAGGCAGCCCTCCATGCCCTGTCTCTCAAGCCCATCTTAGAGCCGAAGAGAGGCGCCCTGTCAGGCCCTTGCAGTACTGTGGTGTTGGATGTGGTAAAGGGTAGCCTGGGACTGAGTATTCTAGAAAAATTGCTCAGCCTTGTGCTGTGCACACCTGGTTCTCTTTCCAGTGTTATTTATGTAGCTGAGAAGGGCAATGTCACCCACAAGGGGATTTAGCAGGACACAGCAGACTTCTTTTTCTCCCCTATAAAACCAAGACATGCAGGCACAGTGGCTCATGCCTGTAATCCCAACGTTTTGGGAAGCCAAGGTGAGAGGATCACTTGAGACCAGGAGTTCAAAACTATCCTGGGCAACACAGCGAGACCCTGTCTCTACAAAAAAATAAAAATAAAAAGTTAGCTGGGCGGAGTGGTGCGTGTCTGCAGTCCCTGCTACTCGGGAGGCCGAGTTGGGAGGATCGTGCAAGCCCAGGGGTTTGAGGCTGCAGTGAGCTGTGATGACAGCATTACACTCTAGCCTGGGAGACAGAGCAAAACTCTTGTCTCTTTAAAAAAGCAAGAAACAGGACAGAATGCATCTCATTTTCTTTTTTTTTTTTTTTTTAAAGACAGAGTCTCTTGCTCTGTCACCCAGGCTGGAGTGCAATGGTACAGTCTCAGCTCACTGCAGTCTCCACCTCCTGGGTTCAAGGGATTCTCCTGCCTCAGCCTCCCAAGTACCTGGGATTACAGGCATGTGCCACCATGCCTGGCTAATTTTGTATTTTTAGTAGAGACGGGGTTTTGTCATGTTGGCCAGGCTGGTCTTGAACTCCTCGCCTTAAGAGATGTGCCCGCTTTGGCCTCCCAAAGTGCTGGAATTACAGGCGTAAGCCACTGTGCCTGGCCATGCATCTCATTTTCAAACAGTCCCTATACCTTTGTCATTTAACGTTCTATTCTTTTAGTATGTGAAAACCAAACTCTAATTTACAAGTCACAAAGAATTATCCAAGACAGACTCCCATTGTGGACATGTATGTGGCATTGCTGATTCACAGCTACTGTACTGAAGCCTTGGCCACCCTGGAGGACCCTCTCTCTTTTTGCTGGACCCTTCTGCACAGTGACTGCAGTAGGGAGAGTCAGACCTGGGGGTGGGGGAGAGGTTTTTTGGATTCCTCTCTGGGTAGATGTGTGTTGGGAAGTAGTGAAATGTTGATAGCTGCCTGGCTCATCTGATCCAGTAAACATAACTGGTGCGTTTGGGTTGAAAGAAATTGGGCTTTCCTTATCAGTTCTCAGTTATAAGAACATCAGTCAGCAGTACATTAGACTTAAGCTTTGCATTCCTTGCGTTTTTTTGTTTGTTTTTCTCTTCCTGGAAAAAAGTTTGCTTCTCTCATACCATCTGACTTACTTCCAGGCTTTTCTCCCTTGTGGAACGAGTGCCGTTGAGCCCTGCTGCACTCTCAGACGGGCTCCTCCGAAGTGCCGCAGGTGGTGGTAAATCGACTCTCACCCACTGGGGTCGCTCCTTCGTGTCTCCCCCCGGTCGGTTCATCTGTTGCTCTGGCTGCAGGAGGAACGAGTGAGCTTCTGGTCGGCGTCTGCCATGCCGTGTCACCCCGGCTTCTGGCACCTCCTGTGCGTGCCCAGGATTGTGAATGTGGGCCGTGTGTGTGAGGCCACGGGTCTCCCTGCAGCCACTCTCCTGCTGGAGCTCTGTTACTGGCACCTGTCGCTGCCTGCACCGAAGGCTGGCAGCACCTCCTGGAGCTTGGGACCCAGAGCACAGCCTCCCACCATGAGATGTGTTGTTTTTCTGTGGATCAGTCCTCCTTTCTTTCTGAGCCTGGCGTGTTTTGTTCTAGTTTGTTACCGTCCTAAGTGCCTGTAGGCCCTGCTCTCCAGGGACGAGACTCGGGCTCTACCCCCAACTCAGAACCCAGAGCAAGAGTGGTCGGGCCCGGGCCCACAACAGTGCTCAGCTGTCCTGCTGCCTTTGTAGTTCAAGAAGTGTCCATTGATGAGGGGAATGGTCCTGGCTCATGCTGGAGTTCCTGACTCGCATCCCTGTGGAGATGAACTTCCTCGTCAGGGCGGAGGCCTGCCAAGCAGTCCCCCCAGGCTTCTCTTGCTCACCTTTGCCCATTTTTATTACGAAAGAAAACCAGTTCCTTGATAGATACCAGGACCATCAGCCTCAGGCCTGGAGGAGGAGAGGAGGATGATTTGGGTTCGGGCTGTAAGAGGTGTGCCACTGAGAAGGAGGGATGCTGTGAGCAGGCTTAACTGAGCTCATGGTTCAGTGGGAGTTGAGTGTTCTCATCACAGGCTTTGGTGGAATGTACTCTTGACATCTGTCCCCAGGAGCCTGGTCTCCAGAAACACCAGCTCAGGCCCTCAAGGTCTGGCTCTGATGGTTCTGTGGGCTATAGGATTCTGATCTGTTAGCGAGGTGTGTTCAGAAGTGTGTTGAGGACACCAGTGCAGGAGAGCAACCAGTAGAACAGAAAGGTCTGGAAGCAGCATTCTTGGCAAATCTTCTAGATTCCCAATGCCCAGACAGACCTGGAGGTGCTGTGGGCTTGAACATGTGGGTGGCCTCCCCTCCCAGGCTGCCCCGAGCTGCCCAAGCTTTCCTTGCCCTGGTGCTCCTTCTTGCAGAGGCTACACGTGCCCTCTCCACCTGCCCAGGCACTGAGTTTCTTTGTTGCGATCACCTTGTCTGTTGTCCCTCTGTCCTCAAAGATGATCACGGAAGCCTTGGCCCAAGGTGGGATGCACATAAGAGCCCGGTTCCCGCCTACCACCGCTGTGTCCGCCATCCCGTCAAGCTCCATCCCTTTGGGCAGACAGCCCATGGCACAGGTATTTACGGGGCAGCGCCCAGGGCACGGCTGGGAGCTCGGGGCGTCCTCTGAGCGCCTTTGTAAAGCGCACCTGTCATTATCATCGCCGGTGACTTCTTTTATGGTGGCTTTCAGAGTGCCAAACCCACAGTCCCTTTTTTTTTTTTTTTAAATGAAGCCAAGCCCAGCTTGTGCTTGTTGAGAGGATATGAATAAATATCTGGGTCTTTTCAGCTTAAAATAGTTATACTGTACGCATTTTCATGGTAAAAATAAAACAGCAGCTAAGCAAAAGTTTTGCTTTCTAGAGCTGTGCTATCTAATAGTGTAGCCACTAAGCATGTGTGGCTGTTTACATTTAAATTGACTAAAATTAGGCCGGGCACAGGGGCTTATGGCTATAATCTCAACACCTCAGGAGGCCGAGATGGGAGGATCACTTGAGGCCAGGAGTTTGAGACCAGCCTGGTTCACATAGCGACATACTATCTCCAATTAATTATATACATTTTTTAATGGAAAATATATATATAAATGTATATATATTTTAAAAACAAAAAAAAAACCTAAAAGTCAACTAAAATTAAATAAAATGAAAAAATGCAGTTCTTCAGTCGCACCAAATAAATTTTAAGCCCTCATTTGCCCACAGGGAAGCTAGTGGCTGCTGCAGTGGACAGCACAGACTCCAGAACGTGGCCAATGTGGCCAAAGTGGTATTGGGCCATGCTGTTGTAGAGTTTGATGTGTAGAGTGTGTAATTTGTAACACAGATCCCCTTTCTAGGTAGAGGTAGACTTCTGTGTACATTATGCTTTTCAGAGACAGGAATTCCCGGCTTCTTTTATTGTATGAAATTTGGAATTACTCCATGGCATAGTCATTTTTTTAACAAATAGTTACCACATGCATTCTGTGTGCCAGGCACTATGCTAAGATTCTGAGAATAAAATTATGCTGAAGTTCTCTCATCATACAGGCTTTCCATTTTAGTGGGTTTGTCGTGAAAACATCAAATTTGCCAAAAGAACTTTACAATTCAGTTTCTGTTTTAGGGGAAATGCCTCTATAATCCTAGCAGACAGTGGTCCCTGTCCATCCCTGAACGCCCAGGTGCAGGCACTGCCACCACCCTGGCTTGTGCAGTGGCGTCTCTGCAGCTCTGTTCTACACAGGAAGAAGTGGAGGCTGAGCCAGGATGGCCCTTGGTCCATGTGGCCCCAAGCCTGGTGCCACACACCACACACTGCCAAGAAAGTGGCCTGGGCCCCCACTGGGGCATGTTTAGCTTTTGCCTTCCCTGCATACTAACCCCCTGGGTTACCCCAGATGTGCCATTCACATAGTTACTGACTGGAACTTAGTTTCTTTGGCAGGGACTTCCTTTTTAGTAGTTGTTGAATTACAGCGGGAGGAAGTGCCTGGAATCTGCTGGTAGAAAGGCTTTGGTGAAAGAGCTCTCCAGAGGAGCGGAAGTTGGGGGTCAGGAATTAGGTTGTGTGGCTGTGGTGGAAAGGAGGCCAGTGTGGGCAGAAGCCAGGGTGCAGTTCCCCATGGCCTGGAGGCTGTGAGTTCCACGACCTGCTCACATGCTGCTGGTGTCTCCTTGACTAGACCCCTTTGGGTTCTGCACTCTTGTCTGCTAAAACTGCTTCTCCTCCTTTCCCATAGCCTCTGGCACAGTATCCACTGGGTTCACAGAATCAGGTTGGGTTGCTGTATGTGGAGGAATGACTTTAGTAGCAGCATGTAGGACTGATTTTTATAAACACAAAAAGTCCCCAATGTTTTCAGTGTGCGATATGTGCCAGGCCTTGAGCTAAGCTCTTTGTGTACAGAGCCTCACTGTTTCTTGTTGTAGCAGGTCATAGTTTGAGCATTTAGCCCCTTTTACAGACTAAGAGTGCCCCCAGGGAGCCACCAAGTCAGGATCGAGGGCTCAAGTGAAACCCTTATGCCTTGGCCTCTCAGCAGGATTCTTCTGGAAACTCCTCACTCCCCTTCCTGCTGGGCTGATGACCTGGCTTCTCCTTCTTGTTTACTGGGCACTCCTGGGTGGGCTCCCTCCATGCCCCCACAAGACCAGGCTCTGTCCTGGGCTTTGGCTTGCCCATACTCTGTTGTGGGCTGGCCACTCCCCACACCCAGCTGCTGGTGTTTCCACCTAGACTTCTCACAGGCAGCCCCTCCCTCCCTCCCTCCCTCCTTCCCACCAGTTCCCAAACCCACTCAGTCTTTCCCTCCCCAGCCTTCCCTGGCCCTTAGATTAAGTCTGCCCTGAGTTATGCCAGCTAATAGGTCTCTCTCTCTCTAGAAGCTTCCAACCCCCAAAGGCAAGGAGGTAAGGTGGAGCAGAGGAAGGATAGAGAAATATATGATGAAGCTGAAAAAGTTATTGCCTTGGAATAAATGCCATGGAGAATTCTGGTTTGTCCTCATTGCACTGTGTGGGGTGAGAGCGCTCTCATGGGAAGATGCTGGCTAACTGCACACAGATTTAATCACCAGGCCCCGCCCATTCGCACTGGCAGTGAGAGGCACACCCCTGAACCTTTGGGGTTGTTCACTGAGGACAAACGCGGCAGCATTTAGAAAGTATTCCTCGTCCCGGCAGTAGACAAAAGCCACAGGATTTATGGAAAGAGGAAGGAAGGCACAGAACTGGGGCAAGGTTCTGGTTTTGTTCTGTTATTTTGTTGTCATTGTTACTGTTTGTTTTTCTTTTTTTGAGACAGAGTCTCGCACTTGTCCCCCAGGCAGGAGTGCAATGGCGCACTCCTGGCTCACTGCAACCTCCACCTCCCAGCTTCAAGCGATTCTCCTGCCTCAGCCTCTCGAGTAGCTGGGACTACAGGCGCCTGCCACCACATCTGGCTAATTTTTGTATTTTTAGTAGAGATGGGGTTTCACCATGTTGGCCAGGCTGGTCTTGAACTCCTAACCTTAGGTGATCCGCCCGCCTCGGTCTCCAAAACTGTTGAGATTACAGGTGTGAACCACTGCGCCCAGCCTTGTACTGTGTTTTTAAAGCAGGTTTGTTCATGCTTGTTAGCTGCAAGAAAGGAAACTGGAAGGAGTTGAGGGAGGGAGAAAAGCGAATAGAGGGACACCCTGGAGTGGAAGCCTCCCTACTGCCCAGGCAGCTGCTCTGCAGCCCTCTCTGGTCCTGGCCTTCCCCGCAGAGGGCCCTCCCCAGCTCAGCCCTCTACGTCCGGCTGCAGTACCAGGCTCTTGGTACAGTCTCCCACACCTGGCTGTGGGCCAGCCTTGGGGACGTGAGGCATGCTGGGCCCCGTGTACCAAGGGCATTCACCTGACCACACCAGGTGGCTCCAGAGGTGTGCCTCTGCTTTTGTGTCAGTATCTTTCAATCCAGTCCCTTCCGAGAAAAAGAGAGCTTATCTCAGGAACGTATCTGTTGATCTCACCAGGAATTGCCCCACTGTGTCCCATCTGAGCTCTCAGGGGCCAGAACCTGCTGTCTCCAGTGTGTCCAGATGGCCACTCTGTGGCCACTGTCCCTCCAGCCACTTGCCCTCAGCAGTCAGCAGGACACAGTCTGGAGACTACACTGCCCATTTGCTCTTGCTCTTTCCTTGTGGCAACAAATTAGGTCCAAGAAAACAGGTGGAGCTGAAAGAGGGAATGTACGTGCCCCATGGGCTCTTCTCCAGAGGGCAGGGCCCAGGCTCCCTCCCTCTGTCTTGACGGCTCATGGCTGCATCTTCCTGTTACGGTGGGCATGCCTCACGGACTCAGGCTACCAGGTCAAGCAGGATTCTGTGCTGGGTGCATTCTGGACACAGTGCTCAGCACGGGGGCCCAGGGGGTGGCATGGCCCATGCCACAATCCTCCCTTGGCAGATGTAAGCAGGCAGTGTCTTTCTCACTAGGGGCTTGTCCTTTGACTAGAGAGGCACTGTTGCCTCCCTGTTCCCTGCTCCAATCCCAGACCTGACATGAGACCAAGGACTGGGAGGTTTCTTTCTCGCCTCTCTGGCTGCCTCCCCAGAGCCTAGAGCCTGTCTTTGGATGAGTCTTTGCAGGGGCTGCTTCTCATCCCAGGTGCTGGACTTGGACTGCCCACCACTGACACCTGGGCACAGGGCCTGGCTTCCTGCTCTCGTGCTCTTGGAAATGAATGGGTGCCCTTCATTTGTTTTTCTTCCCACTAGAAATCTCCCTGCCTCCCATCCTCTGGGCTCTGCTGGCTGCCAGCTGCCAGGGTGAGACCCGTGTTCCACTGCACCCTGGGGAGTGCCTCCAGGGGACACACTGAGTGCCGGAGCCAGGAGCAAGGAACGGTTCCCAGTATGTGGGGGCGGGGGTGGGGATCGCGCAGTGCCGCCAGCCTTGCCTGAGGGTTCCTCTGTGAGATGGAGCTCCCTGGACCAGCCTTTTTGCCCTCCCACCTCCTCTCTGGCCCACTCGGTGTCCACCTGCCTTCAGCTCCAGGCTGCTGTGTGGGTCCCTTTCCCAGAAATGCAGTTCAGGCCATTGTTGCTGGGGTGGTGGTGTTGCTGGGGTGTTGATGTTTAGCGTGCCTGAGCTCCCTTCATCACTAGGATGACCTTGAGCAAGTCACTTCCCTCTGAGCTCCCTGTTCCCAACCTGTGACACACAGGTGACAGGTGGTGTGCACTCAGAAACTCCTTCCCTAGGATGTGTGACATTCTTGTCCTGGGGCCTTTGCTAGCTGTGACACACCGGCGCCCGACCTCTCTGGCTGCCTCCCTAATGCCAGTTGTGTCTTCAGATGAGTCTTTGGGGGGCTGCTTCTCATCCCAGGTGCTGGACTTGGACTGTCCACCACTGACACCTGGGCACAGGGCCTGGCTTTCTGCTCTTGTGCTCTTGGAAATGAAAGGGTGCCCCTCGTTTGTTTTTCTTCCCACTAGAAATCTCCCTGTCTCCCATCCTGTAGGCTCTGCTGGCCACCAGCTGCCCTGACCTGGGGCAGCTGAAGAACTGAGATAGACCTAAGTTCTGGGTGGGTGCTTGGAGGCCCCACGGGCGTGGCTGGTGAGATTGCCGCTTCAGGGCCAAAGTGGGTGCCGGGCTTCCTGAGGTTCGAGAGCAGATGAGAACTCTTGAGTGGCAATGAGGGCTGTGTGGTGGCCTTCTCTGCTTGGCAGCCTCTGCCCAGCCTGCAGCTGCCTTGCTCCTCAGAGAAGCGCTGAGCTTTAGGCCACAGAAAAGAGCTGACCATCTTCTAGAAGGGACAGCTGCTCAGGCACAGGCGCCTCTCTGGAAGAGGCAGTCAGGTAGAGGCAAGGGGAGGGGCCCTGACCTTCAAGCAGGAAGAGAGGTGAGCTTGTGAGACAGCTTTCTGGGGTGCAGGTAGAGAGTAGCAGCAAGTCAAGCATGGGTCAGAAAAGGCAGAGTTGGGCTGAGCATGGGGCCCAGAGTCTTTGCTTCCCACTCCTCGGTGCCGTCTGTGGTTCTCTGTATGGAATTTTCTGGCCTTGGGATTTTGTTGACACCTGGATAAGTCTAGAACATGTGTTCCGGTGTCTGGGACATGCCCTTACTCCTCTTCAGCTAGGGCTCTGTGCACCCCAGCACCGTGAATGCACAGGACTTTGGTGGGAGAAATCTCTGTACTTGTTCAACTCAGCATTTAGCAAATGAAGTCACATCAGTCCCCGTTTCTGACCTTGCTAACCTTTGCGAGAATCACCGCGAGCCATTTTGCTCCATTAGGTAGAGTGATGAGGCCCGGCAGGCCGAGGCTGGGGCTCCTGCACTCTGTCCCTCCTCTCCCAGGCAGAGGTGTCTTGACCACAAAGCAGTGGGAACAGTCCATTCCATCGGTTGATGTCCCACTGGGCCAGTGGCTTTGGATAGGGACCTCTGACCCAGCTGTGCTGGAAGTACCCTGTTGTGGTCACGCTCTGTGCCTTAGCCCCCCACCCCCTGGTCTCCCAGCACACGTGGTTCAGGAACGGCCTGCACCCAGCATCCCTTGCAGCACTGTCAGGCACAGCCCATGGAACAGGCAGGACAGAAAGAGCATTTCGCTCCAGGAGCTTGGTCCACGTGGTGCTGAAAGGGCAGTGCCACCCTGCCCTCTGCTGCCTGGTGGGGTGGTGAGGAGGGCAGCATTCTGTTTGTGGGCTCTGGGCCTGGTCCCCAATTTAAGGAGCTTAGAAAGCAGCTGTCCTATCCCAGTACTCACAGCACTGTGGTGGAAGTGCTTGGGGGGTGGTGTGAGCCGTGGCCCGAGACAGGCGTTCATGGCCAGAGTGCCCCAGGAGAAGCACTGAGTTGGTCTACAGAAATGGATGGTCCAGGGGCCTGGCTCCTAGGCAGACTGTGAGGGGATGCTTGGCATGCAGGGGGTTGACTAGGGTGTGGGAAATGTAGCAGGGCCTTCAGGGTTCCCCCAGTGTGACAAGGCATCCCTCTTTGCTGAGAGTCCCTCTAGGGGAGGCCAGACGCCCAGGGCTGGCAGGCAGCTGTTCTCCCCATCAAAGCAGCCATCTGTGCTCCACCCCAGGAAGGTGTGGGTGTTTTACATATGCTTATCCCTGATGCCTGGGTGGTGTGGTTTCATCCCTAGAGTTTACGGATGAAGACAGTGGTGTCCCTGGTGCAGACACTGGGGTGATTGATCTTATTTGTGTCGTGGCCAGCAAGGCCTGGGGAGCAGAGCAACAGCCTTGCTTTGCATACACACAGGGCCTCAGAGGACTCAGGTGCACACCTGCATGGCAGAACCAGGCTCTGGGCCCAGGTGTCTGACACTGAGTAGCTCGCCTCTCCCAGGGGCGCTGGTGTGGGCCGATGCAAGTGCCACCATGGGTGTGTGTGTGGCTCCCTGGGCCACCTCACTCCAATTAAGCAGGTCCAGGTGGGACAGCCTGGGACCAGCCCTGCAGCAGCATGTGTTAACCACAACAGATGGCTGTAGCCACCAGGCTTGTCCTTGGTGCAGTCAGCCTGGGGGCTGCGGGGGCTTGTGGAAGCATGTGGGAAGACGGTCCCACTGGTCAGCAGAGCAGGGTCCTCACCGACCCACAGAGGAGCATGTCACAGGACAGGCAGGCGTGTCAGGGAAGGCCAGGCTAGTGCCAGCCAAGGGCATTGCCTCCCAGACTGCCCTTTTCCTCACACTCCCACGACACAGCCCTCAAAGCCTGTGCCCCTGTGGGTCCCTGGCCAAGGAGCAAGGGCTGCCCTGCCTGGGCCCCCCCCGCCAGCCCCTTGGTCACCTCATGCTGTGTGCCAGGCTGGGGGAGTGTGCCTGTGTGTATGTCCAGGTGGCATTTGGATGAAGACACAGGTGTGTGGTGAGGCTGTGCGGGAGGATGGGCCTATGCGTGCGGTGGGCAGGTGGTGTGGAGGCAGGCGGGCGGGCGTGTGGCAGCGCGCCGGCTGAGCCCCTCCACTTCCAGGTCAGCCAGAGCAGCCTCCCCATGCTGTCCTCGCCGTCACCGGGCCAGCAGGTGCAGACCCCGCAGTCGATGCCCCCTCCCCCCCAGCCGTCCCCGCAGCCCGGCCAGCCCAGCTCACAGCCCAACTCCAACGTCAGGTAGGCCTGGCCTGGGGTGCCCCTCCCCACCTGGCCCTCGAGGCTGGCCCTGCCTGGACCCCGGCTCACATGTTTCTCTCACTTGGCTGCAGCTCTGGCCCTGCCCCATCTCCCAGTAGCTTCCTGCCCAGCCCCTCACCGCAGCCCTCCCAGAGCCCAGTGACGGCGCGGACCCCACAGAACTTCAGTGTCCCCTCACCTGGACCTTTAAACACACCTGGTAAGTTGGGCCTGAGGTGCTAAGGTCACTCCTCACCTTTATGAGGCCTCAGCTCATACTGGGTGTGCGAGCTCTGGGGCCCTCAGAGCTCAAGTTCCCCACCCGAGGGTCGAGGGCTGTGGCCTCACCCGCCTGTGTCCTGCAGTGAACCCCAGCTCTGTCATGAGCCCAGCTGGCTCCAGCCAGGCTGAGGAGCAGCAGTACCTGGACAAGCTGAAGCAGCTGTCGAAGTACATCGAGCCCCTGCGCCGCATGATCAACAAGATCGACAAGAACGAAGGTAGGCTGCAGCCAGGGCAGGGGCCTGCACCCTGGGGACACCACCAGGCTTGTGTCTTAGTGTGTACCCTCTTCTGTCCCAGACAGAAAAAAGGACCTGAGTAAGATGAAGAGCCTTCTGGACATTCTGACAGACCCCTCGAAGCGGTGAGCTTTGCCCACAGCCCACGGAGGGTCCACAAGGGCACAGATAGCCCAGCCATGGATGGGCACTTGGTGATGATGTGGGTTTAACAAAGGCACCAGGCAGCTCTTTGGACCCTGGCCAGAGGCCTCCAAGGCTCCACTCTGGTGTGTGCTGGGGCTTCAAGCCCAGGCTTCATCTTGGCCCATGCCCAGCCTTTGCCCTATTCCTGGCTGCTGCTGTGGCCCTCATGCTGGGCCATCACAGCCAGACCTCATCCAGTCAGCAGCCAGGGGCCCAGCTTGCAGTGGCCTGACCATCAGCTGGCCCAGATGGGCCTGAGCCTGACCTGGAGTTCTGCCCCTGACTTGCTGGTGACCATGGGCAGGCGACTGCATCTCAGTTACCCCATTTGTAGCCCACGTGTGTTGTCATGAAAATGAAACAAGGTGGCGCTGGTGAGAAGCAGGTGGAAGGCAGGGCTGCTGGCCACAGGCTGCTGTGAGGATCAGAGCTCGGGCAGTACCTCCAAACTGCATGGGCATTGGCATATACCTCCCTTTCACCTCAACTCAGGCTATCCCCCAACCCCTGTCTAGAAGGGTCTCTCTGTTCTGCTTGTCTGGATAGAATGCCAGTCACTATTGGGTGGTCCTCCAGGTCTTCATGGGTTGATCCTTTGTTAGGGTTATAGGGATGAGTGGGGCAGGGACTGGCCTACATGACAATGAGGCATTCACAGCCTGATCAGGGGCCTGGCCACTGTCCCTTCTCTTGACCCATCACCTCACTCTGCCAACCAGGGACAAGCAGCTCCTGGGGTTGAGGGCTGCCTGCCTTCAACTCTGGGTCTGGGAACAGCTGGTCAACTGGTAGGAGCTCCTGCAGAGGTTTCTGATGGCTGAGGCCCAGTGGCAGTAGTTGGGATCCTGAGCCTGAGAACTGCCATGTCTTCCACTCTTTCAGCCCAAGTCCTCTCTCTCTGCAGGTGTCCCCTGAAGACCTTGCAAAAGTGTGAGATCGCCCTGGAGAAACTCAAGAATGACATGGCGGTGGTGAGTGGGATGCCAGACACCCCTAGGGGAACCAGGGCTCTCCTAAGAGCTCCTGGGAGTGCTGCTGAGAGGGCCTTCAAGGTCAGGGCATCTGGGCGGGGGCCGGGCCTGACCTTGGACCCTGCCCACGAGGCTTCCTGGCCAGGTCTGCTGTGCTGGGTGGGAACATGGGAGAAGTCACCCTCTGTCTACGGCCCCCGTGGGTGCCTCCTTCACCCATTTCAGAGGAGGCAGGGACTGTAGGGAGGATAGGCTGTGGGGGTGGGGGATTATTCCCAGGATCAGCCAACATTGTCTGCACAAGGGTGGAGGCTGTGAGAGAGGCCTCGGGAATCTGACTGTGAGTGACCATGGGCCTGGGGTGTGAAGGCCCCCTAAATGGGGAACCCTCGGGTCCCGGGCTGCTGACCGTGCCCATCCTGTCTCCAGCCCACTCCCCCACCGCCCCCGGTGCCACCGACCAAACAGCAGTACCTATGCCAGCCGCTCCTGGATGCCGTCCTGGCCAACATCCGCTCACCTGTCTTCAACCATTCCCTGTACCGCACATTCGTTCCAGCCATGACCGCCATTCACGGCCCACCCATCACGTATGTCCAGCTGGGCTGGGCTTTGCGGAGGGCGGCCAGCCCTGGGCCGCGTGTGCCAGGTGTGGTCACCATGCCGCCTCCCCAGGGCCCCAGTGGTGTGCACCCGGAAGCGCAGGCTTGAGGATGATGAGCGGCAGAGCATCCCCAGTGTGCTCCAGGGTGAGGTGGCCAGGCTGGACCCCAAGTTCCTGGTAAACCTGGACCCTTCTCACTGCAGCAACAATGGCACTGTCCACCTGATCTGCAAGCTGGGTGAGTGTCCAGAGGGCCGGGACTGGTGTGGGAAAGCAGGCCCTGACCGCAGCCCCAGGACTCTGCCATCCAAGCCAGATGGCACAGCGCCCAGAACCCACCCTGTGTTCACGCCCCGCCAGGCTGTCTGCTCTATCCTCACACACACCGGGCTCCAGACAGCCTGGCCATGCCTCAGTCCCCACTGCCAGAGCCCGCACACTCTCACCTCCCCAACACAGATGTGGCTTTGCTTGCCTGGGCCCTAGGGAGGTGGTAGGCAGGACCTCTGGGCACCCATCAATGCAGAGCACTCCAGGCTTCACGTTTGGAAATCTGAGAGTCAGAGAGACCTCCTCCAGGCTTTGCCACAAGCTTCACCAGAACCTCCCTGGGTGTGGAGTCCTGTTCCAGAGCAGGGCTGTGAGGCAGGGCAGGCCGGGGCTTGTCCAGGTCACAGATAGAGCCTTCTGTGTTGCAGATGACAAGGACCTCCCAAGTGTGCCACCACTGGAGCTCAGTGTGCCCGCTGACTATCCTGCCCAAAGCCCGCTGTGGATAGACCGGCAGTGGCAGTACGGTAGGTAGACCCAGAGGAGCTGTCTGGGGACCCAGGGCAAGCAGGGGTCATTGTGGAAAACCAGGCTTCCACTGCAGCAGGGACAGCCTCTGTGTGCTCCTGCCCCTCCCCAGCTCAGGCCCCTCCCTCCCCTCTTCTGGCTCCTCCTGCACAGACAGCAGCGGGTTTTCCAGTGGTCGCCTGAGAGAAAAGGGTCTCTGCTCCCACTGTGTCCCTTCGCCCCTTCAACTTGTGTCACGTCAGCTGTCCAGGGTGGTTGTGTTCAGTGGGTGAGGGGTGAGTAAGCCCATGGCTCAGGGACAGTCCCCGCTCTTCCCAGAGGCCACTAGCTTCCCAGAGGCCACTACCTTGGCAGGGCTGCCAGGTTCCACTGGTAGCTTGGGCACACAGGGCCCAATCTGGGTGCTGTGGCTCCAGAGAGAACCACGGTGGCAGGGGGCAGTCTCTGAGCCCAGAGCTGGCACACAGCAGAGCTGGCACACAGCAGAGCTGGCACACAGTAGAGCCAGGCTGGGTCCCCAAGGTTGTTAGAGGCAGAGCCCTAGATCCTGTTCAGATTTGGTTCTCACTGACGATGAGGCTCTGGGAGGAGAGCCCAAAGGCCGGGCAGCGTGCAGGACACATCACCTCCTGGTGCTTCGGCCCGCGCCTGGGGCTACCCCTTCCCAGAGCACTGCCGGGTGTGCCAGGAGCGAGCGCAGCGCCGGCCGCCTTAGGTTCACGCCCACTGCTCTGTTGCAGACGCCAACCCCTTCCTCCAGTCGGTGCACCGCTGCATGACCTCCAGGCTGCTGCAGCTCCCGGACAAGCACTCGGTCACCGCCTTGCTCAACACCTGGGCCCAGAGCGTCCACCAGGCCTGCCTCTCAGCCGCCTAGCCAAGACTGCAGGGATGGCCCGCAGCCTCATCGGGGCCAAGGACACACGCCTCCTGTCAGACACTTCTAGGTGTTGGCTTCCTTAGAGAGCCTGGGGTTAGGTTAGCTTTCCTGCTTTTATCTTCTGCCTTGGGGACCTGCCAAACGAAATCCCACACCTGTACAGAACTGGGATAGGCGCAGTGGAGCGGGTTGCTTGGGGGGCGTTGGCCGACTTCTTAGAGAAGGCCCTCCATGTGACTTCCTCCCAGGAGCCAGATGCGATCCTCAGGCTGCTCTCACCGTGGCCTGTCCACGGTCCAGGTCCATCTCAGCAGCGTGAGGGTGCACTCAGGGTGTTGTTAGAGCGTCTCGTGTGTGCTAGACGCACCCCTACTCGTTCCTATAGAACACAGAGGACATAGGAAACCCTTAAAACACACATGGGATTCTCTGGTCACAGTTTTGGGTTCAGGCTATGCTGCTTTGGGCAGGTGGAGCACCCCCCGAGGAAGCCTGCAAGTCCAGGGCACAGGCTGCCTTTTGGAGGGAGGGCTGGCCCATAGGTGCTGCTGGCTCCCCGCCACCAGCTGGGCCTCAGCCCTCACGGCATTCCTGCTGAGCACCGTGGGGCACCCAGGGAGCAGGGGCGTCAGGGATCCTGCTGCCGGCACCCCTGTGCCGCTGGCATGAGGGCCGTGTCCCCACTGTGAAGGATGAAGAGCAAGGCCCTCAGGACCCGTGTCCTCAGAGCACCACACACTGAGCACCCAGAGACAGCGGGCCTGGCAGCGGGCCGGGCCATGCAGGGAGCGCCTCCCTATGTTGCCTGCCACTCTGGGCACCGGCCAGCACCCTCTGGTGAGAAGAGGTCCCCCCTTTTTATGTGCACTACCCCACCATCTGTGATTATAATAAATTTATTATTCCTGTGTTTGTCAGTTGTTCATCACTGTGTCCCCTTCTCCATGAATCTGGGCTCGCTGTCCTGTCAGGATGCTGTCAGCCTTGGGGCTGCCTGGGGCCTCTGCCTCCCTTCCAGGAGGGACTTGAGGTGCTGCAGCTGAAAGGCAGGGGCAGGGGTGTGGTGGGGCCTGCGGTGGCACCAGGCTGCCCAGGGCCATCCCCACCACCCAGGGCCTCACCTCTTGGGCCTGCAGAAGGTTGGTATTCCACAGCTGGTGGATGACCACTTACACTGCTGAAGTGTGGTGGGCTTTCGCAGGTGTGGGGACAGGATCATCGGGGAGTGCCATCATCTGCCTGTCCCTGTGCTGGCTGCCCACCCAACAGAAAGCCCTGGCGTTAGAGGCCTCTGCTTCCCTGTCTCTGAAAGTCATTACAGTAGCCAGAAATGACCTGCCCAGGTGGGTCTGAGCATCCAGGCAGCATACTTCCCCCAGGCAGTGCCCAGGCCAGTGTGGGGAACAGGGCCTGGCTCCCTTCTCCCACTGACCAGAGTGCTCTGGGTGCCAGATGGGGGTCTCGGACTGGGGTCTGTCCCTTCCTCCCCTCTGAAGGTGCCCTGAGGGTCAGATGTGCTTCAGTGGGTGACCAGCTAGCTGCCAGGCTGCCCTTAGTCAGGACCCTATACCCAGTGGGGCTTCTTGCTTCAGGGCTGGTCTCAGGGGACGTGCAGAGATGCAGGAGCCTGTCCTGCTGGTTGCACCGCTCAAAATGTGCACTCTGCAATGTCTCAGGGCAGCCCGGCAACTCGGGGAGTACCAGAGCCTGGTCCTGCTCTCCTAGTCCCCTCCAAAGGCAGGCTGTGGCCAGGGGCAGCAGGCACTGACCAGCTCCATTCTAATCAGGCCCAGGAACACAACTCACTTTTCTTGGTAAAAAGATTACTTTGTTTTCTTTTCTCTGAGAAAGTGGTTTAGGGGCTGTTGCTGCCCCCTCTTGTGGGCTCAGGTCAGCACAGGTAATCTGCAGGACTCCAGGGGAGGGGAGGAAGACAGCGCCCACCCAATGGACAGAGTGTGGACAGAGCGTGGCCATTGTCTGCTTTCATGAGCCCTGGAGACAGGATCCTAGAGCAAGGGACACAGCAGTTTGCTGACTGCAGTGTGGGAGCCTAGTAAATGTGGTCCTGGGGCCCTTAGGGTGCAGGCAAACCTTACTTGGACTGCCCTTGCACCCCAGGAACTTTGTCCAGCTTGCTGTTGTGAAGCAGTGGCTCCTCCTCAAGGTCTGCCTTCTGGGGTACCTTAGAGTACCCCAGTGCTTTAGAGTCTTGTTTCTTGAAGGAACCGGCTGGGGCCTGTCCTTTCCTTGAGAGTTGGCTGCAGGTCAGACCCGACAGGGCCAGTCACTGCAGGCACCAACAGCCGCTGCCCAAGTCTTTCAGGATCAGCTGTGTGTGCCCAAGAAGCCCCTGCCTCAGTTGCCTCCTCTGTAAAGGGAAGCCTGCCTTGGAGGGTTCTAGGAGGAATAAATGAGGTTCTGAGGATGAAGCCCATGGGTGGTGCCTGTGAACATTCTAGAACAGTCAATATAGTGGAAGCTGGCTCTGTTTTGGGTAAAATAAAACTGCATGCGAGGCCTGGGACTAAGCCTGCATGGGTTTCCTCTGCAAGGACAACGCCCATGGCACGCCTGGGCTCATCACAGGAACAATAGGGGCCAGGGTTGGGGCCAAGGAAGATGCCTGGTCTCGAGCCACTCCCCGCTCACTCTGCAGAAGATGCCATGAGCCCAGGGCTCCGTGGGCAGTGCCATCCCTCCTGTATCCTGTCTGCTTGTGGAGGGGGACGTGGGCCAAGCAGGGCCTCTGCCAGGCAGCCAGTGTACGTCCTTCCCCCTAGAAGGCCACCCAAGGAGGCCCCTTCTGACCGCTTGCTGTGCTGGCTTGGGGTGCCTGCCATGAGGCCTTGCTGCCCTGCGTTGACAGCCCCTGTGACTGGCCCCCAGTCCTGCCCACCCCACCCTAGGCCCCTCCTGGTGGTTTCAGCTTACAGGGCTCCCTTCAGCTGCCCGTTCACCCCCAAATCCTTGAGGTTGGCCCAGCAGAGGACTTTCAGCTCCCTGGTCAGCACCTCTAGTGACCACCCAGGCTGGGGTCCCTGTGGGGCACTTGCCCCTGTGAGCACATGGAGGACACCAGCCTGCTCACCTGACACCATTTAATTCGAGGTGGAGTTGACAGGCTGGAAGTTGCCACCCGCACACCTGCCTGAGGGAGAAGCCCTCCGTCTGCCTGCAGGCCTGTGTCCTCCCTGCTCTACCCACACTCCACTGAGGCAGCCCCAGACCCACCGCGCGCCCAAGGGAGCAGAGGCCCCGGAAAGGTTGTTTCCTGAGGGGCCATCCAGAAAGCGGGAGGGCTTGGGACCCATGGAGCAGCAGGTCCGGAGGGAGAGCATGGCCTCTTCCCGTGTCCTGTCAGGGTCCCCAGCACTGCAGGGCCACACTTTGCCCAGAACAGCTCACTGGAGTTGCCACCGCAGCTAGGGAAGGGCCTTCACTCAATCCCATTCTCTGTGTCTCCCTAGAAGGGAGAGCCCTGGACAATGCCCCAGCTGGGATGTTCCCAGGCTGGTCCCATTCACCAGTCAGATGTCCTCCTGATGTCAGCCCCGGCCCCAAAGGTAATAGAGTGAGCTCAAGAACTCAACCAGAATCCTGGGCTGGGTGGGGGCCACCATTGGGATGGGGAAGTGCCTTGGACAAGTGGCAGGGAAGCAGGACTCTGGTTACTCCCCCCACCCCCATCCCCACAGTTGTTGCTGAGATGGCAGGAAGGAATCCCTGGATGGGGTGTGCCCGGAGCCCTTCTCCCAGCGTATCAGGAATCAGAGCCACAAGGCTGGAGATCCTAGGCCCAGCCACAGCAGCAATCTGAGGCAAAGACCCAGCAGGGTAGGGGCTGTCCCAGAGTCCCCTCCCATTTCAGGAGCTCTGCTTGGAGGAGGGAAGGTCTGGGAAGCACCCTGTGCCCACCATCACCACTGCACTGACCACAGCCCTTGGGCTTCCTGAGAGCAGCACGTGCTGTGCTTGGCTGTATAACATCGTCCAGCCATGGCTAGGGGCAGCAGCATCTGTCCAGGTCCCTCAGAACCTGTCCTCACTGGGTTGGCATACAGAGGCCAGTGCAGCCAGGTGGGCAAGGACAGTCTGGAGGGGCTCCCCGGGGTGGCAGGAGCTTCCCATCAGGCACGAAAGGGCCCAAGTCTCACCTTTCTCCTGTGACTCATTCATTATGAGCTTGTAATGGGGATCTGAAATCAAGCGCATGCTCTTCTCATCACTTGTGAAGCCACAGCCATTCTAAGAGAAGCAGCTTGGGCTGTCCACTACCCCCTGCTGAACCCCGAGAGTCCTGGCTCGCCACTGGCTGACTGGGCCCTGCCCCACAGGTCCCGCTTTCCACCACACCTTTGCTGTGGGCATGTGAGGGCAGGAATGACCCTGCCTGTTCCCTAGGCAGAGCCCACCCAGCACATCAGCCTCATCCTCCCATCTGACTACAAGACGCCCATGGTGCCAGGCAGGACCTGGGCCCCAGGGGTACAGGGGTGAACTCTGGGAGCCCCTGGCCATGGATGAGCATGGTCAGTGTCATGATCCTGTGGGCATCAGGGACTGGGGAGAGGCTCAAGAAGACATGGGGAAGGGGGATCCTGACATAACAGATGCCTGGTGATGGAATACTTAGCACCTAGGTAAGGCAGCACCAGGGAGCGGGGAGGGAGATGAGGCTGCAGGCACTGGTGCCCTCGCTGGAGCCTCTGCTGAAGCAGGGAGGGAGGAGCGGAGCCACATCCTGGCGGGCCCTCTTTCTGCTCTGGTGGGCAGTGGGGGTGAGGAGCTGCTAAGGGTGCAGTTAGGAAGGCCCAGCCCGAGGACAGTGTGGGCACAGGCGAAGCCGGGGGCATGCCTGCTCCTGATCCGGCATGTTTAGTTGGAGAAAATTCACTCAGTTGTGCACCGGCACTGGGCATGTTTTCCTTCTACGAAGTTTTTAACAGATGTGTACCTGACCCTGCCTGGAGAGGGGAGGGCTGGCAGGGTCAGCGTTTGAAATGATGCTGCCCCCGGCGGGACAGGCAGACAAGGAGGGCACCGCCCCGGGCCTAGGCGGGTCTCCGTCCTGGGGCAGGGGAAGAGCTCAGCATGGCAGGACCTAGCGTGGGCTTGCTGCCCTGTGTCCTCCCTGAGCCCAGGCAGGTGCTGGAGTTCATGTGCTGCGTTTCTGCTCTGCGGGCCGCCGCCGTGTTCAGGCGCTTGGGGAGGCAGGGCAGGCCTAGGGCCCTGTGGCTGGGCTCACCCTTGTTCTCCCACTTCAGATGCTCGATCTTCTAGTGGAGCTTGGCCAGCAACTCCAAGGACTGCTGCTGTAGGAACTGCAGGCCCAGGTCCAAGTCCAGGATCTGCCTCTGCTGGTCGATCTGGACACCCACAGACCGGCGGCACTGCGGGGGGTGCGACGTAACCTGAGATCCCGGGGACCAGCTGGGAGGCTAGCTCGCACGGCTCATGTCGCCACCCCCAACTACACAGCCGCTGCCACTGCACCCTGGCTCAGTGGCCATGCTGCCCGTCACAATGGAAAGGGGCGTGGCTGAGGAGCAGGGTGGGCAGCTGGGGCAGGGCCTGTGGCTGGCTCTTCCTGGGTGAGTACAGTCTGATTTAAAAGGCACCCAGGGCTGGGCACGGTGGCTCATGCCTATAATCCCAGCACTTTGGGAGGCCCAGGTGGGCGGATTACTTGAGGTCAGGAGTTTGAGACCAGCCTGGCTAACATGGTGAAACCCCTTCTCTACTAAAAATACAAAAATTAGCTGAACGTGGTGGCACGTGCCTGTAGTCCAAGCTACTTGGGAGGCTGAGGCCGGAGAATGGCTTGAACCCGGGAGGCGGAGGTTGCAGTGAGCAGAGATCGCGCCACTGCACTCCAGCCTGGGTGACAGAGGGAGACTCTGTCTCAAAAAAGAAAAAATAAAATAATAAAACGCATTCAGGCATTCTCTACAGCCTGGGCAACATAGTGAGACCCTGTCTCTATAAAAAGTAAAAGAAAAAAAATTAGCCGGGCTTGGTGCTGTGCTCCTGTAGTCCCAGCTACTTGGGAGGCTGAGGCAGGAGGACTGCTGGAATCCCGGAGGTCAAGGCCGCAGTGAGCTATGATGGCACCACTGAACTCCAGGCTAGGTGACACAGTGAGATGCTGCCTAAAAGAAAAAAAAAAAAAGAAATATGTCTTTCTTTACAAGGCCTGCCCTAAAAAAAAAAAAAAAAAAAAATGTTCGCCAGAGCCAGGCCAACTGTGATTTTACCAGATGCCAACATACCCAACCCAAGGGAGGAAGGGAACATACCCAATCCCAGCCTGTTCTAGCTCCTCTTCCCCACATCTTCCTGCCACATCAATAGGGCTCCTGTATAATAACAGGGGATACAAGTGAAAGAACAGCCCATCTCAGAACTTATTTGAGAAATGTCTAGGAAACCCTAAAGACAACAGGGAGACAAAAACTAAGACACCAGAGGAAGTTTATGCCTCTGACACTTACAGTTAGAACAAACAGCACACATGGCCCAACCCCTAACCAGAGCAAAATAAAACCTCACACAGGCCGGGCGCTGTGGCTCACCCCTGTAATCCCAGCACTTTGGGAGGCCGAGGCGGGTGGATCACGAGGTCAGGAGTTCAAGACCACCCTGGCCAAGATGGTGAAACCCCATCTACTAAAAATACAAAAATTAGCGGGCGTGGTGGCAGGCACCTGTAATCCCAGCTACTTGGGAGGGTGAGGCAGAGAATTGCTTGAAGCCAGGAGGTAGAGCTTGCAGTGAGCGGAGATTGCGGCACCGCACTCCAGCCTGGGTGACAAAGTGAGACTCTGTCTCAAAAAACAAAAACAAACAAACAAAAACTTCACACAGAAAGCCCATTTATCACGTACCCCGTACAGCATGTCCAGCTCCCCACAAAAAATTTCAAGGCATAATAAAAACCAAAAAATGCAGTTTGAAGAGACAGCAAGCATCAGAGCCAGACTCAAATATGGCAGAGATGTCGGAATTATCAGACCAAGAAATGGAATACAACTATGATTAATATGCTAAGGGCTCTAATGGAAAAGTGGACAACATGAGATTACAGACAGAAAATGGAAACAGGGATAGACACTCTGAGAAAGAATCTAAAGAATATGTGAAGGCCGGGCACAGTGGCTTATGCCTGTAATCCCAGCACTTTGGGAGGCTGAGGCAGCGGATCACTTGAAGTCAGGAGTTCGAAGACCAGCCCAGTTCGAGACCAGATGGCAAAACCCCATCTCTACTAAAAAATACAAAAATTAGCCAGGTGTGGTGGCATGAACCTGTAATTCCAGCTATTCAGGAGGCTGAGGTGGGAGGACTGCTTGGACCCAGGAGGTGGAGGTTGCAGTGAGCTGAGATTGTGCCACTGCCCTCAAATCTGGGTGACAGAGTGAGACACCACCAAAAAAAAGAAAAGAAAAGAAAGGAAACAAGGAGAGGAAAGAAAGGAAAGAAAGAAAGAAAGAAAAGAAAGAAAGAAAGAGAAAGAGAAAATAAAGAAAAAGAAAGAAAGAAGGAGAATATGTGAGAAGTCAGCCAGGTAGTGACTCATGACTGTAATCCCAACACTTTGGGAGGCTGAGGTGGGTGGATCACTTGAGGTCAGCAGTTCAAGACCAGCCTGGGCAACATGGTGATAACCCATCTCTACTAAAAATAAAAAAATTAGCTGGATGTGGTGTCATGCACCTGTAATCCCAGCTACTCAGGAGGCTGAGGCAGGAGAATTGCTTGAACCTGGGAGGTGGAGGTTGCAGTAAGCTGAGATTATGCCACTGCACTCCAGCCTGGGCAGTAAGACTCCGTCTCAAAAAACAAAAAGAAAATATAAGAAGTCAAAAACACAACAGAATGAAAGATCAGGGCTGGCAGCAGTGGCTCATGCCTATAATCCCAGCACTTTGGGAGGCCAAGTTGGGTGGATCACCTGAGGTTAGGAGTTGGAGACCAGCCTGGCCAACATGGAGAAACCCCGTCTCTACTCAAAATACAAAAATTAGCTGGGTGTGGTGGCGCATGCCTGTAATCCCAACTACACAGAAGGATGAGGCAGGAGAATTGCTTGAACCTGGGAGGTGGAGGATGTAGTGAGCCGAGATCATGCCACTGCACTCCAGCCTGGGTGACAGAAGGAGACTCTGTCTCAAAAAAGAAAGAAAGAAAGGTCAGGTGCATGGCTCATGCCTGTAATCCCAGCACTTTGAGAGGCCAAAGTAGAAGGATCGTTTGAGCCCAGGAGTTGGAGACCAGCCTGGGCAATATAGCCAGACCCTGTCTCTACAAAAAATTAAAAAAATTGCCAGCATGGTGGTGCACATCTGCAGTCCCTGCTACTCAGGAGGCCAAGGCTGCAGTGAGCTGTGATTGTACTACTGCACTCTGGCCTGGGTAACAGAGAGAGACCCTGTCTCAAAAATGGGGTAAAATGGTATAGGAAATTTGGATCTAAAAAAAAAAAAAAGGAAGTGCATTAGATAAGAAATAAATGAAGATAAAATAGAATCTTTTTTTTGGTGGGGGTGGGGAACGGAGTTTCACTCTTGTTGCCCAGGCTGGAGTGCAATGGCACGATCTTGGCTCACCACAACATCCGCCTACTGGGTTCAGGCGATTCTCCTGCCTCAGCCTCCTGAGTAGCTGGGATTACAGGCATGTGCCACCACGTCCAGCTAATTTTGTATTTTTATTAGAGTCGGGGGTTACTCCACGTTGGTCAGGCTGGTCTTGAACTCCTAACCTCAGGCGATCTGCCTGCCTCGGCCTCCCAAAGTGCTGGAATTACAGGCATGAGCCACTGCACCTGGCCAGAATCTTGTATTGTTCTTATTTTTAGTTGAACAGATGGCAGGTTATTCAAAATAATTATATCAACATGTATTCAGTAATTATAGCTTATGGATAGCTGGAATGAATGGCAGCAATGTTATAAGGGATGGGAAGGAGGATATCCTGAGTGGAAAGAAAGTCACCCAGGCTGGAGTGAAGTGGCACAATTATAGCCCACTTGCAGCCTGCAACTCCTGGGCTCAAGCCATCCTTCTGCTTCAGCCTCCCTGGTAACTGGGATTACAGACACACACCACCATGCCTGGCTAATTTTTAAATTTTTTGTCTCGCTGTGTTGCCCAGGCTGGTCTCAAACTCCTGGGCTCAAGAAATCCTCCTGCCTTAGCCTCCCAAAGTGTTGAGATTACAGGCGTGAGCCACTGTGCCTGGTTTATGGTTGCTTTTGAATGTCCTAGTCCTACATAAGTGGCTTCCAAGAAGGGAAAAAGAAAAATGCAGGCAGGAAAAGGTGCTGATCCATAAAAACCTCTGGAAGGTATGTCTCTAGGGAGGGGGTGAGTGTTGAGGAGGGATGTTGCAAACATGGTAGTGGAGATGGCAAGAGTGGCTGCCTGCCTCTTCGTCTGCACTTCCACAATCTGAAGCAGCCATCATCAATCGGAACACAGATCCCCAGTATTTGGAGGATGGGGCTCTTATTGCCTGCTGTGGCTCCTGCAAGCTATAGGGAAGCTACCCCAGAAGTATAGGCATGGCTGCTTGCACCACCAATTTAAATGCTAATTACTTCTGAAAACACCCTCACACACATGCCCAGAAATAATGTGTAACCAGATATGTGTGCATCCAGTGGCCCAGACAAGTTGACATATAGAATTAACCATCACAAGTCCACCCCTTGTCAACCTGGTACCTACACACATCTCCTTAAACCATACTTAACCTCCAAATAAACACAATAACAAAGTCAGTGTTAGCAGTGGAAGGTGTCTGAGTTAGTGGCAGCGAATCCGTATGGGTCTGCAGCAACCTCAATTCTTGCCTCCTCAGAAAAAAGAATTCAACTGGCCGGGCATGGTGGCTCACGCCTGTAATCCCAGCACTTTGGGAGGCCAAGGCGGGCAGACCACGAGGTCAGGAGATCGAGACCATCCTGGCTAACACGGTGAAACCTCGTCTTTACTAAAAATACAAAAATTAGCCGGGCATGGTGGTGGGTGCCTGTTGTCCCAGCTACATGAGAGACTGAGGCAGGAGAATGGCAGGAACCCAGGAGGCGGAGCTTGCAGTGAGCCGAGATCGCGCCACTGCACTCCAGCCTGGGCGACAGAGCAAGACTCCGTCTCAAAAAAAAAAAGAATTCAACTGAGGGGCATAAGGCAGAAAAAGAGACCGAGGCAAGTTTTGGAGGAGGAGTGAAAGTTTATTTAAAAAAGCTTTACAACAGGAAAGAAAGTATTCTTGGAAGAGACCTAAACAGGCACATAAAGGTCAAGTGCGGTGTTTAACCTTGATTCTAGGACTTTATAGACTGACCCCTTTCCCAAGATTCTTCCCCTAGGGTGGGCTGCCTACATGCACAGTGTCCTCCTTACCCTTGGGAGATGAGCACACGCAGTGTGTTTAGGAAACTGTACGCATGCCCATCTGAAGATTTCTTCCGTCCCAGAAGGTCATACTCTGCCATTGTCTCTTAATGCACATGGCCGGGGAAATTGCTTCTCCCTGGTGCCTGCATTCAATTAACACTTTAATGAAACAGGTGTGACCCATCAGGAACTGGCCTCTCCCTGATGCCAGCTGCCAATTTATCACTTTCATTTTTAATTTATTTTTTAGAAGGAGTCTCACTCTGTCACCCAGACTGGAGAGCAGTGGCATGATCTCGGCTCACTGTAACCTCTGCCTCCCAGGTTCAAGTGATTCTCCTGCCTCAGCCTCCCGAGTGGCTGGGATTAGAGGCATGCACCAACATGCCTGGCTAATTTTTGTATTTTTAGTAGAGATGGGCTTTCACCATGTTGGCCAGGCTGGTCTCGAACCCCTGATGTCAAGTGACCCACCCACCTTGACCTCACAAAGTGCTAGGATTACAGGCATGAGACACCATGCCCAGCCCTGGCTTTTTTTTTTTTTTTTTTTTTTTTTGAGACGGAGTCTCGCTCTGTGGCCCAGGCTGTAGTGCAGTGGCATGATCTCGCCTCGCTGCAAGCTCCGCCTCCTGGGTTCACGCCATTCTCCTGCCTCAGCCTCCAGAGCAGCTGGGACCACAGGCGCCCACCACCACGCCCAGCTAATTTTTTGTATTTTTAGTAGAGACGGGATTTCACTGTGTTAGCCAGGATGGTCTCGATCTGACCTCATGATCCGCCCGCCTTGGCCTCCCAAAGTGCTGGGATTACAGGCGTGAGCCACTGTGCCCAGCCGCTAATTTTTTATTTTTTATTGTTTGTAGAGAGGGGGTCTCCCTATGTTGCCTAGGCTGTTTTGTTTTTTTTTTTAAACAGAGACAGGGTCTTGCTATGTTGCCCAGGCTGGTCTTGAACTCCTGGGCTCAAGCAGTCCTCCCATCTTGGTTTTCCAAAGTGCTAGGATTACAGGCATGAACCACCAGGCCCGGTCTCCACTGTGAATCTTTTTTTTTTTTTTTTGAGACTGAGTTTCACTCTTGTTGCCCAGGCTGGAGTGCAGTGGCACCATCTCGGCTCACCGCAACCTCCGCCTCCTGGGTTCAAGCAATTCTGCTGCCTCAGCCTCCTGAGTAGCTCAGATTACAGGCATGCACCACTACGCCCAGCTAATTTTTTGTATTTTTAATAGATACAGGTTTTCACCATGCTACCCAGGATAGTCTTGATCTCCTGACCTCATGATCCACCTGCCTCAGCCTCCCAAAGTGCTGGGATTACAGATGTGAGCCACCGCACCCGGCCGCTAATGTTTTATTTTTTATTGTTTGTAGAGACAGGGTCTCCCCATGTTGCCTAGGCTGTTTTTTGTTTTGTTTTGTTTTGTTTAACAGAGACAGGATCTTGCTATGTTGCCAAGGCTGGTCTTGAACTCCTGGGTTCAAGCAGTCCTCCCATCTTGGTCTCCCACCCAAAATGCTAGGATAGGCGTGAACCGCCAGGCCCGGTCTCCATTGTGAATCTTTTTTTTTTCTTTTTTTTTTTTTGAGACTGTGTTTTGCTCTTGTTGCCCAGGCGGGAGTACAGTGGTGCGATCTCGGCTCACCGCAACCTCCGTCCGCCTCCTGGGTTCAAGCGATTCTCCTGCCTCAGCCTTCCTGAGTAGCTGGGATTACAGGCATGCGCCACCATGCCTGGCTAATTTTGTATTTTTAGTAGAGATGGGGTTTCCCCATGTTGGTCAAGCTGATCACGAACTCCCGACCTCAGATGATCCACCCGCCTCGGCCTCCCAAAGTGCTGGGATTACAGGCATGAGCTACCGCGCCCGGTTTACCATTTTGAATCTTAAGAGGACAAAGTCTGGTTCTCTAGAAGGCCCGAGTAGCTTTTCCCCTGAGCATCTTGAGAAAAAAGTGCTCTGAGCACTCCTTGGGAAGTCCGAGACAGCACATGCAGCCAGGTGCTCCCTGGCTGCTCTCCCAGAGGTCAGCACAGCTGGAGGCAGCTGGAGGGAGGAGGCTGCAGAGGCGCTGAAGCCAGGAAGACCCAACAGTGGAGAGAGAAGTTGCCTGGTGACTGACCCTCGGCTTGACCCTGTGCTCCCCTGGGCTGAGCTGGGTGTCAAAAGGCCTCCACCCTCCAAAGTGCCAGCCTCCTGCTGTGGCTGGAAAGCATTTGCTCCTCCTCCTCTTCTCACTTCTTTGCATTCTTCTGATCTCTTAAGGGCGTACAAAGATTCACATGGATATTAAAGTCAATGGTGATTTTCATAGCTGGAATACTCGTTGGGAGAAAGTAGGAATTCTTTTTTTTTTTTTTTTCTCCCAAGCTCAAGCGATCCTCCCACCTCAGCCTTCTGAGTAGCTGGGACCACAGGTGTGAGCCTCCATGATGGCCTGGCTAATTTTTTATATTTTTAGTAGAGATGGGGTTTCACCATGTTGCTCAGGCTGGTCTCAAACTCCTGAGCTCAGGCGATCCACCTGCCTCGGCTTCCCAAAGTGCTGGGATTACAGGCGTGAGCCACTGTGCCTGGCCAAAAGTAGAAATTCTTGATTGGGAAATAATTTTATATATTTCGGCCCCTTCTCACTTGGGAAAATTCTGCTAAGAATTCTGGTTTTGAGAGTCAAGGGAAGCTAGCTTAATTTTTAAAGTGAAGGCTACATAAGAGTCCTCTCTCCAGTGTGGTGGCTCACACCTATAAACCCAGCGCTTCGGGCAAATCACTTGAGCCCAGGAGTTCAAGACCAGCCTGGCAATGTAGTGAGACCCCTATCTCTACAAAAAAATTTAAAAATTAGCAGGGTGTGGTGGTGCGTGCCTGTAGTCCTGGCTACTTGGGTGGGATGCTGATGTGGGAGGATTGCTTGAGCCCAGGATTTGGAGGTTGCAGCGAGCCATGATGGTGCATTGCACTCCAGCCTGGGCAACATGGCAAGACCTCGTCTCAAAAAAATACAAAGAGTCCTCTCTATGTTGGAAATGTCAGAGTTATTGGCCATTTAGGGGATCTAACTTGCTCTTTGATGTCCAAGAGGAAAGGTATAGAGTTCTCCTGATTACACAGGGCCTCTGCTTGTGGGTCGCCTGCATGAGGCGATCAGAATCTGAGTCACCTGGGATCATGTGGGTGCTGGTACATCCTAGAGATAGGATGTGTTGGTCATGGAAGAGAGTGGGCCACAAATGGGTTCCAGGGGAATAGCGTTGCCTGGTGCAAGGAGGGGGATGTGGAGGTGCAGGGAGCAGGGGTGGTGTCTGGAGAGCCTGAAGCTGTGCTGCCAGAGGCTCCAGGCCATGAGGTCTGAGAAGCATCTAGATTTGGCCTGTTCACAGCAGGGAAGTGTGGTCCAGTGGCAAAAAGTTGAGGGCATCCTAGGAGTTGAGGAGGTGGTGGCGGTTAGAGTAAACCACTCTGGAGGCGTCCGGGGTGGAGAGACGAGAATGTGCAAGAACTCCTGCCTCTAGCCTGGCCTCCTCAGGACCCCGGCCACCAGCCTCCCTCCTAGAAGTCCCCAGAGCTTCCTCCTCCTTGTGCCCCAGAACTGGTTCCTGGGTTGCTCCAACCCCAGACCTTCCCTGGAAGTCCCCCCCAGTGCCTCCTGGCTGGGAACCCCCAACTGCATTTTGCTTCTGCTCTCGTGCCAGTAGTCCCCTTTTCTCTCCAGTGTCCAGGCCCCAACCACCAAGACCCTGCCTCCTCACTTGGCTTTGCTGTTCTTAGTTCTCTACTCAGTAGGTTGTGTCTGCCTCCATTCCTGGCCAGACGCTGCCCTGGGGCTGAGTGCACAGTCCCCAGCCACTCCCGAGATCCTCAGAGCTTCTGGAAGCCACAGACATGGTGGCATATGTTTCAGGTCGTCAGCTTGTTTTTTTTTGGAGACAGAGTCTCGCTCTGTCGCCCAGGCTGGAGTGCGGTGACGTGATCATTCACTGCAGCCTTGACCTTCTGAGCCCGGGTGATCCTCCCACCTCAGCCTGTCAAGTAGCTGAGACCACATGTGTGAGCCACCACACCTAGCTTTTTGAATCTTTTTTTTTTTTTTTTTTGAGACGGAGTCTCACTCTGTCACCCAGGCTGGAGTGCAGTGGCACAATCTTGGCTTACTGCAACCTCCAGCTCCCAGGTTCAAGTGATTCTCCTGCCTCTCCCGAGTAGCTGGGATTACAGGTAGGTGGCACCACACCTAGCTAATTTTTATGTCTTTAGTAGAGACAAAGTTTCACCATGTTGGCCAGGCTGATCTTGAACTCCTGACCTCAGGTGATCTGCCTGTCTTGACCTCCCAAAGTGCTGGGATTACAGGCGTGGGCCACGCGCCCAGCCAACTTTTTGAATCTTTTGTAGGGATGGGGTCTTGCTGTGTTGCCCAGGCTGGGCTTAAACTCCTGGACTCAAGTGATCCTCCCTGCCTTGGTTTCTCAAACTTCTGGGATTACAGGCCAATCTACTCAACGTTGATATTGAGTAGAAGGCAAAATTCACATGGCTCCGGCCCAGCCCCTTTCTGTCTCAGGCACTTCAGTGTTAATATGCGCCTTGGTTTTGCTGCTGCCGAGTCTACTGTGCCCCTGGGCAAGGAAAGCAAAGGAAACCAGAGGGCCAGGCCCGTGGACACTGGGGTGAGGGGCCAACAGGGTGCCCAGCAGTTGTTTCCACAGCCCCCACGTGGTCAGGGACCCTGTATGGGTGAACCGCCTGGATACTGAGCCTAGGCGGCGGAAAACTCAAAAGCAAGGGCAGGTTTATTCAGATCCCTGGTGGAGTTACAAGCTTGGTTTGGTTTTTGGTCACAGGCCCTAAAATACCTGTATTCTGAGTTTACATAAAAATACAAAGCACTGGCCGGGCGCGCTGGCTCACACCTGTAAGCCCAGCACTTTGGGAGGCTGAGGTGGGTGGCTAACATGAGGTCAGGAATTTGAAACCAGCCTGACTAACATGGTGAAACCCCATCTCTACTAAAAATACAAAAATTAGCTGGGCATGGTGGCGCATGCCTGTAATCCCAGCTATTCGGGAGGCTGAGGCAGGAGAATCACTTGAACCTGGGAGGCGGAGGTTGCAGTGAGCCATGATCGCACCGCCGCACTGCAGCCTGGGCTACAGAGCAAGACTCTGTCTCAAAAAAAAAAAAAAAAAAATCACCACCGAGACGCTGTTCTCCCTGGTGTGTCATCTGTGGGGTGAATGAAGGTGTGAGATACCCCGTGGTGGTTTCTGTCAGTGAATCTGTAGTTGTCATATATTTTGAATACTTCAATATCATCGAACAGTTGCTGTGTCTTTAAGCACTAGATTTTATTGAAGCTACCTTCTTCCCTTTTTAGTCCCATTTCCCCTAGATGCATCCACGACTGCAGGAACCCCCCTGCCCCCACCAGGAGCCCAAAGATAACCATGTTCCCACCTGGAGTGGCCTCCCACCTCCAATGCCATCAGGGCTGGTGCAGCTTCCCCACCTGGTCAGCAACATCATGGCCAAGGAGTAGAGGGCGTAGCCCAGGGTGAACAGCAGTGCACAGGTGAGGGGCCTGATGCAGAACAGAGAGGCCATGAAGAAAGCCAGCAGTAGCCAGGGCAGTGTCAGGTAGCTGCCTAGGAAGTGCAGGTTGAGCCTGTGGCCGCTGGCCAGCGTGGGCTCTGTGAGGTGGTAGCAACAGAAGCTGGCAAGGAAGTCATCTCAGGAACACAGAGCCGCCATCTGGTCTGCAAACTGAAGCGCAGGCAGTGGCACGGGGGCATGGGGTGGTGGCACCACAGGCCTCAGGACAGCTGCACCCCACCCCCACAGGCCACCCTGAGACTGCACCCCAGGCAGGAGCACCCAGAACCCTCTCTGAAGAGGCCAGGCCAGCCCTCCTGCCCACTCACTCTGTGTTTGATGGCAGATGACAGCCGGAAGGATGCTCAGACCAAGCTGGTAATCTCATAACTCCAGAGGGGCTGCAGCTCCGGGTCCCCCTGGTACTCAATTTCAAACCTTTGCAGCCTGTTGATGATCTAGAAACCCAGGCTATAGGGTTGGGCCAGAAAACATGGCCCTGGCCAGGTGCAGTGGCTCATGCCTGTAATCCCAGCACTCCGGGAGGCCGAGGCGGGCGGATCACAAGGTCGGGAGTTAGAGACCAGCCTGATCGATATGATGAAACCCCGTCTCTATTAAAAATACAAAAATTGGCCAGGTGCAGTGGCTCACACCTGTAATCCCAGCACTCTGGGAGGCTGAGGCAGGTGGATCACGAGGTCGGGAGATCAGGACCATCCTGGCTAACACTGCGAAACCCCGTCTCTACTAAAAAAAATACAAAAAAAAATTAGCTGGGCTTGGTGGCGGGCACCTGTAGTTCCAGCTACTCAGGAGGCTGAGGCAGGAGAATAGCGTGAACCCAGGAGGTGGAGCTTGCAGTGAGCCGAGATTGCGCCACTGCACTCCAGCCTGGGCTACAGAGCAAGACTCCGTCTCAAAAAAAAAAAAAAGTTAGCCAGGCATGGTGGCATGTGCCTGTAATCCCAGCTATTCAGGAGGCTGAGGTGGGAGAATCGCTTGAACCCAGGAGGTGGAAGTTTCAGTGAGCCAAGATCATGCCACTGCACTCCAGCCTGGGCAAGAGAGGGAAACCTTGTTTCAAAAAAAAGAAAGAAGAGAAAAGGAAACATGGCCCCTGCACACAACTCAGAAGAGCCAAGCCATCTCTGCTCACAGGGGAGGAGGGAGCTGGGGACACGTCAGGGCCCAACCCATGCACCTCTGGGACTTGGGCCTCTCACCTGGTACTGGCCCAGGGGCGTGGGGATGAGTCTGTCCTCACCCGCGATGCAGTCCGGAGCTGCTTCTTTCCATTCTCATCCTGGATGGTGTCCAAGGCAAGTGTGAGAGACTCTGCGTGAGCTGCACTTCACTGAGCTACCAGAGAGAGAGAAGCTCCTCTGCCCTCAGTGTCAAGGCAAAGGAACACCAGTCTTCACCCCACCAGCCTCTAACAGTGGCAACGAGAGCACCCGGACATGACACTCGGGGTGTGGGCCTGCCTCCCACAACACCGGGTTCATCTGCATGGGGCCTGGGACGGATGCATGCTGACCATGGGCAAAGGGGGAGTGGATCCTTCGGGGAAGGGGACCCTAACGGCCGTGGAACAGGCCCCATTGCTCATACTCGGAATATCTGGCGCAGGTACGCCAGGGCCTCCTCCAGGCACTCGTCCATCTTCTGGACGCTGTCCTGCCCCATCTCGCCCAGGTCATGGCTGAATAGGAGCCGTTGGTGTCTGTGGGGCCAAAGCCCAGCCACAACAGGAAGGAGTGGCCAGCTGGAGTCTCCACACACTGGTCCGAGATGGACCTGGCCGTGTGCTTGGCCTGCGTGATGAGCTGAGTAAGGTGCAGGACCTGCAAGGGAGGCGAGGGCAGGTCACCGGCAGGATACGCCTGTACTGCCACCCAGGCAGGCTGGCTGGGGGCCCTAAGATGGGTGCACAGCCAGATCACTGAGTGACGGGAGGAGCAGCTTCTGCTGGAGGACTTTTAAAGACTAAAGAATGATCTTCTAAATGTGAAATTTCCCAACACTGCCTTCGTTATCAGAAACAAATCAGACTTTACTGAAACGGGGAAAGGAGATGTGCGTCAACTCTCCGCCCAACCTCCCTCCCTCCCGCCAGAACACAGCACTTCCCTGCCTCTGCTCAGCCTTGTGGCTCCAGGGGTCCTGTGAAGGGGCACCGCCAACCCACTCACCAGGGTGTAAGCCTCGGGCCCGAACATCGGGTGTACTTGCAGTCCTGGCCCTCCAGGCCATAGATGTGACTCTTCACATTGAAGGAGGCATCAGTGACCACTGGTGGCCACTATGACAGGATGCTGCTGGCGAATGTGCAGGCTGTGAAGAGTCGGTGCTGGCGGTAGGGGGATGACGAGCTCCGGCTCCGGGAACAGCTGCTCGAACTGGAAGGCAGGAGACGAACCTAGCGCCCACTTCCGGGGGCACAGAGAACCTGGTTGCTGCCCACAGGTTTTCAGGATGCCTCCGAGGTATCTGGGGAGCCATGACCCAGGGGTGTCCTCCTGAGGTCCTGCCCAGCAGTGTCTCCCATGTAGCAGGTGGCCGACATGGGGAGGGCAAATGAGGGAGCTGGTGGCTCACAGAGCCCCCGACAGTGTCTGCAGGAGGGCAAACACCAGGAGGAGTGACAGAAGCCAATGTCCAACCCAGCCAAGACAAACGCATGCCAGAGACCAAGACCGCCTCCCAAGGATGCTGCCACGAGTTGCCAGGGAGAAACTGTGGTGCCATGGGCCCGCAGCTTGGTCTGTGCAGACCCCCTCTGTGGGTATACCTGCGGTCTTCCACCCAGTGCCTGGTGCCTGGTGGCTGCAGGGCAGGCAGGGTCCAGCCGGTCTCAGCCTTAACTGTGCAGTGTTATGGATGACAGCTCAGGAGACTGTTGGCAGGCAGGGAGGGCAGGACACAGGCAGGTGAGACCCAGGCCCTCTGAGGTTGCTGCATCCTTAGCAGGCCTGAGGCCCCTTTCCAAGAGGACTGAAGCCACCATGGCAGAGGCCAGCCCAGAGCCTGAGGGGGCTGAGGGAGGATCCCCCAGAGGGTCCAAAGGGGAAGGCCTCGGGCAAGGAAAGGAGAGGTCAGTGGCCACGCCAGGTGCCATGGAAGCCTGGGGGGGTCTGCTGTGAGGATCAAGCAGGAGATGAGGGGAAGGTGGCCACTGGTCTGCTCTGTGCTGGTAAGGAAGGGTTAAGGAACAGTTTGGGGGTCACCATGAAAATTTGTCTGGGCCAGAAGGGAGAGGGGACAGGTCACCCACTGCTTCCATGAGAAACCCATTCTAGGGCCTGGCGAAGTTGAGCCTAGGAAGGGCTGGTCTGTGCTCCACTCAGCAGCAGCTGGGAGAGGGCCAGGGCCAGGCTGACCCCAGCACAGGCCGCTGTCTTGGCCTCCACCCACTGGAGCAACATTTGCCCAGGGGAGCCAGTGGCATGTGAGGAGAGGGGGCCAGGGCTCACCATTTCTCAGACACACTGGGGCTGGGAGTTGCTGCTGGCAGCCTGCTTGTCAGCTGCATACCACCATGGCTGCAGGTAGCTCAGCCACACCTCCAGGACCTGTGGGGGAGGTGTGTGCTGAAGGCCCAGTGGCTGGGGCCAAATCCTCTGATGGCCTGGAACCCAGGTACCCAGGTGGCAGCTAAGTTGGCTCTTCCCACGTCCCCCAGAGGGCGCAGGAGAGACGCGCACAGCCCTGTGAGATTTGGTTCTCTCACTGCTCTTCAGAAGCCAGGGTCATGGGCGGGCTCTTCCCGGCCCACGGGACCCAGTGCTACCTGGTTGCGTAAGAGTAGAAACCTGTCTGGCACCAGACAGGTGGGATGGGGCAGGGCTTTGCTGTGCCTGAGGGTTGCCTTTGGAAACTGAAACAGAAAGAACAACGTGGCCCTCCAAGGCCCCCTCCTCTCCAAGGTCTCTGTGACAACACTTGTTCTCCTTCATCCACCCCAGGGGACCTCCCTCATTGGGGCACACAGAAGACACAGGCACACATGTGATGGGGCCGACACTCCTAGCTCTGAACAATGCGTCCAAGGGCCAGTGGCCAAAGCAATGCCGCAGGAAGAGGTAGAGTTTCTGCTGGACTAACCTCGGGACAGCGGCCTGCAGAGGAGGGGAGGGTCACCAGCCGCTTGCACAGTAAGGTGGCCCTGCTCACAGATGAGCCCGGGGTTCCCATTAGTGAGGGTTGGCTCTGCTGGGAGAGAGCACTAGGCACTTCTGAGTGGTAAGAGCTGGTTTCAGCCCCATTCTTCAGAGGAAGAAACCGAGGTTAGGGAGCATCCCGAGGACACAGCATGCAGGCGGCCAAGCCATTGCATCTCCTGCACACACCTCACCTCAGCCCCACACAAAACAGCCCACTCTGCCAGCCCCGATGGGCCTGGGAGTCAGGACCCGCCCCAACCCTTCTCCTGACGGGTGGGGAGGAGCAAGAGACGGCACCGTGATGGGGCCTTTTTGGCCAGTCTGGAGAGAGAGGCTCTGGGAGCCAGAGATCAGCCGGCAGCCCCACCAGGCTAGCTGAGAAGGCACTTGCGTAGCCCTCCAGAGGCCTCACGTGCTCTGTGAGCAGGAAGGGATTCCCCTCACCCTGCCCCCCATGCCCCGGGGAGAGGTCGCCGTGGGCAACACCGGAGGAGGGGAACGAGGAGGAGACAGCAGCGGCTGGAAGCCGCAAGGGCCACCCACTGTTTGAACTCCCCCAGCGGGCTGGTGGTGTGGGAGTGGACGAAAGGTGAGACCTGCTCTGGCTTCAGGCTGTCGGCAAAGGCGTGCAGGTGCTTCAGTGGCAGGCGCACCACCAGCATGTGCCCCTTGGTGGGCATGAACGACTCCTAGGTGGAGGAAGAGGAGTCAGGGCCTGGGAAGGGCTGCAGCACGTGGCCTCCAGGTCTGACCACAGCCCGCCCTGGGACAGCTGATCTGCCTCCACACAGGAGGCACGAGCCAGGCAAAGAGTGGGGCCACCACTGTGCCTCACACCCAGCGGGTGTGCCTTGCACTGCTTGGTCTGAACTGCGACCAGCTCGTGGTAGGGAAGTGCTTGGCCCAGCGCCCACACAGCCTACCTGGGGAGAACTCGCTGAGACAGACGCATCTGCTTCTGCACCGCTGCACACCCGCGGTGGGTGGCACAGGGCTATGGCCCGCCAGACTGTGCCCTTGGCCATTGCTGCCTATCTTGATCCTCATGGCAGGAGGAGGCCGATGTCACCCCCAAGCTCTGGATCCAGGGTCTCCCAGGGAAGATGGCTAAGGCCAGGAATTCGAGATTCGCTTGGGCAACATAGGGAGGCCCTGTCTCTACAAAAATTTTAAAAAGTTAGCTGGGCATGGTGGTGTGCACCTGTAGTCCTAGTGACTCAGGAGGCTAGGGTGGGAAGATCGCTTGAGCCCAGGTGTTCTTGGTGCAGTGAGCTAGGATCGTGCCACTGCACTCCAGCCTGGGTGACAGAGTAAGACCCTGTTCAAAAAATAAGAACCTTCACTTTTCTCCCCAATTCCTTCCATCTGCTCCTCATTCTGGACACAGCTGGATGAGGGCTCACCCTGGGAGAAGCGCTGGGCATCAATTCCTCTGTTGCCCACAGACCTGTGGTCAGGAAAACCCCAAGACAAGAGCACAGTCAAGCTAACAGGCCAAGCTTTTGATTTACAATGTACAAGCAGGATCCTGGAGACCTACACCCAAGAGGAAAGCCTTTTTGCTGGCTGTGGGCTTTCTCTGGTTGCTCAGCATTGAGAGGGCAGGGGGGAGCATCAAGAGTGGATGAGGGCAGGAGAAGGGGGCACTGAGGGTGGGCCCCTGAGTCCGAGTGGACATGCTCGCCTCTCCATGCTTACCCCCAGCCCTTTGGGCCTCAACACATCTGTGATGCTGAGACTGGTGCAGGGCCCGGCCTCTGGGTATATCCTGGGATGCTGCAGAACCCACATGGACCACTGCTCACATCACTGCCCACTCAAGTCTGCCCGTCAGGAAAATGTCCCCACAGGTCCAGGAGACACACCCCACAGATCAGTGGCTGAGGCTGGGAATGGAGGTATTTTCTTCTTCTTCTTTTTCTTTTTTTTTTTTTTTTTGAGACAGGGTCTCACTCTGTCACCCAGGCTGGAGTGCAGCAGCACAATGTCGGTTCACTGTAACCTCTGCCTCCTGGGCTCAAGGGATCCTCCCACCAAAGCCTCCCGAGTAGCGGAGACCAGAGGCACATACCAACATACCCAGATAATTTTTCTATTTTTTTGTAGAGGCAGGGGTCTCATCATGTTTCCCAGGCTGGTCTCAAACTCCTGAGCTCAAGCAATCTGCCTTCCTTGGCCTCCCAAAGTTCTGGGATTCCAAGTTTGAGCCACCGTACCTGGCTATTTTCTTCTATCTCTATCTTTAAGTATTTAGGCAATGAATTTGCATTGCTTTGGAAGGAAGGAGAAAACCAGTACCTATACGGCCCGACTAGAATGGTACTAGTGGGGTGGGAAGTTAGACCAGGGTCCTTCTCCTCCAGTCTCACCCCTGGCCCTCCCTCTGATCCTGGCCTGGGATCCTGAGCCATGACATCCTCCCTGCAGCTCACGGGAGGGGACAGCATCCACATAGGAACTGGGAACCTGCCTTCCCCTGCAGGTTCACTTACCCAACATCACCTGGTCCTTCCAGAGGGTCTGGAGGGGCCAGTGTCTGCCCCTGCCCCCAGCAGTCACATGAAAGCCTCTCAGGCTATTTTCCCACAGATTTGCTGAGCCAAACTTTTCCCTCAGCTCTGTACCCCTCCTGGGCCACATTCCCATGTGTAGTCCCTGGCCACAGTCACACCTGCTTGCTTCTCAAAGATGTGTACCCAAAGCCCCGCATTTCCCACTGGGCCCAGCCTCACAGCACCTCAGCTCACTCCTCCAGGGTCTCCCTGGTCACCTGTCCTGCCATGGGGGTTGCTAGATGCTTCCTGGACACTGCCCTGGCCCAAGCCCTCATGTCCCTCTTCTCCAGTGGCTCCTGCGGAACAGGGACGCCATCACATGCAGTGGTTGCCATCCCAACCCACCGGCACTTGGGGCCCACATGTTTTTTTCATCTTGCGCTCAAATTCCCATTCAATCACGTGTGCTCCTTCGCAGGGTGAACGGGACAGACCCCTGGCTGTGGGCACAGCTCGTCTCCCCGGGCTCTCACAGACTCACTAACTCTGTCGTCCCCGAAATCCCCCATGGGCCTGAACTCTGCTTCACTGACCTCAAATCCATCCATACGCTTGTCATTTGTGCCTAGGCAGACCACAACCTCTATGAGGTCACTACCTATTCTCATCCACCTCCACAGGTGTCTACGAGTGGCCAGGGCTCCCTAGGTGAAGGACTGACAGCCTCTGTGAGCTATAGGGCCAAGCCCCAGGTCCTCCCCAACCCCCTTGCCTCACACACAGTCTGGGTCATGGAACCTCCAAGCTGGATGACAGTTCTGAACAGGGCAGCACCCACATTACCGTAAGTCCCAGGCCTCTGTGTCTTCAGCTCCTTCCTTAGCACTGGGCCCTGCAGAGTGGGGGTGAACCGGGCCACTGCAGAGGCCTCACGACTCCAGCTCTTCAAACCAGGGCCGAGCACAGAGCCTCCAACACCAGAGAACTTGTGACACCTCCACCACTGGTGGGGAGTCTGGCCAGCCCAGGCCACATGCCTCATTCTGACACACAGCCACACCCCACTCCCACAAGCCAGGCTAGTCTGCAAAGCCAGGGGCCAGGCCAGGCTGGAGGCTGATCTCTGCCTCCCTCAACACAGGGGCTTCACTCTGCCTGAAACTAGCCTCTGAGTCACCTGCAGCTGGGCCCAGCCAGCCCCTTGCTTTGCCAGGCGCAGACACGCACTCCGGGCAGGGGAAGGGAATGAACGAGCACAGCCAGTACTTGGTAGGTGTGGAGGGCCTGGAGGTTGGGCTGCCGGGGGCTGTGGTGGGCACTGGAGACACAGAGTCGGTAGTGCAGCACCTCCAGCTGAGAGAGTGAACAGAGAGAAGCCGGAAGAGGCAGAAGAGAAAAGCATGAGAGGACAGGGTGGTGAAGGAGAGACATGGTACCGGACATGGGAGGGGGAAGTGGAGAAAGAAAGCAATGAGAACGAGCCCAGAAGTGAGGAGAAAAAAACAACAAAAGCATGGTCAGTGACCATCCAAACAACTGCAGTCCCAGCAGCTGTGACCAGCGCAGCACCCTCCTCGGCAGCCAGGCCAGAGCTGTGACAGCACTCTCCTCAGCCTTGGAGGCTGGGGGCGGATAGACCCTCCAGGTCACCTGGGTGGCCTCTCAATGTCGCTGGGGCCTAAAGGCCTCTCCAGCTCATTGGAAGGGCCCAACTCACTGCCCTTCCAGATGGGACCCGCTCTCCCCAGTGACTCTGAGGCCACACCGTGTGTGCCATGTGCACACCACAGCCCTTCAAGTACCCAGGGCCTTCTCTCTGGGACATGCTGTCAGCCACCAAGGCCTCAAGATCCTGAGGCCCAGAAAATAAACTGGCAAAGCATGTTCTAGGAGGAGGACTCTGCCTAGAGAAGACACATATGTAATTGACTGGATTTCCCTGGGTTGTTTTGAGAAATTTATCAAATTTGTATATGACATGATCAATTCCTATGTCTAAAACCCAATCAATGTCCCCTCCATGAGTGGATCTCTCTGAGAGCTGAGGATGAGGACAGGTCCCCAAGGGTAGCACAGGCTCAGGCCCCCAGGCCCTGCCCTCCGCACTCCCCCAGCCTGGAGGTCAGCCGAGGTGGTGTGTGCATCAGCTCTGACTCCAGGAGGCAACCTCTCCTACCGCATCAGGAACTCCCACCCTCCAGATATGGAGGGCTCCCAAGGGCAGGAGCCCCCGAGGACCTGGCCACAGCCACACACACCCAGAGGCAACAGGAAACTGAGGCTAAGCTGGCCCCCAGCCAGGACCCTCCAATCTACCACCCTGCAGCGCTGCAGCCTCCGAAGCACCCCTTCGGCCCAGCATAGCCAGAGCTGGCCTGGTGCATATCCTGCCCCGTGAGCGCCATGCCTCCTGCCCAAGTAGCACGACCACTGGGCTCCACACAGGAGACATCAGAACACACCTGCTAGATGTCACAACACGCAGAGCAGGGCGGGAAGGAGCAGGGCAGAGAGATGTTGCCCTTCACAGCCTTCCTCTGTGCCAGACCTAGGGCTCAGGCAGGAAACAGACACACAGTTCTCCAGTGCGTCTCTGCCCTTGCCTAAGGAACACGGTGGCTTGTGGGGCCATTGGCCATCTTTATGGCCCACGGGGCCACCAGGGAGCAAGCATGCACCTCGGATTCAACCAGGGTGTGGAGGGCAACCCTGGGAGCCTCACTTCCTGCATCTGAAAATAAGAGCTAGCAGAGACAGGCAGGGATTTCTGTATGGCAGGAGCAGCATAGGCCTGGGCAAGCGGCAAAGGGCCAGGGGCCTTGGGGGCCCCGACCTCCACAGCTGCCTTTCTCTGACCCCCACCCACCCAGTTTTCTCACGTTTTGTTTTTTGCCTCAACTGGAAGAGGCAAAAAGTGGAGCATCTCTGGGCACTTCGTCCCACCACTGCAAGTCATTCTGAGCAGGACTCACGCAACCCAAGGTCTGGCCAAGAGGAAGCGAACATTGAGAAGAGGGGAAAGGCACCTCCTGCCCTCTGCAGGGACGACGCCTTGCCAGTTCCCCTGACCCATGAGGACACAGAATCCTCACAGGTGACAGCCCAGAAGAGCCTTTCTGGCTTGCCCTTGAAAGTAGGTGTGTTTCCACTCACTCAGTAGGCAGAACCAGCAGATAGGAAGGTGACACAGTGCAGCGGCCCCTGCCCCTGCCAGGTCAAGCCACATGCAAGAGCGCTGAGCAAGTGTTCTAGGGCGCCAGGGAGAAGCGGGGCCCTAGGAACCAACCAGCCCCCCAGGCACCAGCCAGGCATATGCAGTAAGTCTGCTCTGGAAGCGGGAAGGGCACTGCAGGCTCTTTGTGACTCAGGAGGCCCAAGATGGGGTCCCCAACTTTTCCTTGTGCTCCTTCCAGGTGATGCTGAGGGTGAGGATTTGGGGGAACCTATGCTCTGAGAGAGCCTTCACATGGCAAAGCATGGGGCCACAGAACTGGCTGCAGAGGCTGTGGCAGAAACAGACCCACAGCTCTTCTCCAGAACCGGAGGAAAAGTGACAGGAGGCTCTTCTGAAGTTTAACTCCATCACCCACAGATCCTTCATTCTGGATGAAGCCTTCTGGAACTTTGTCAGCAATAAAGGCAAAGTCTCCCATGCATAGACGCCACGGGCACCGGACTACAGGATGTGTGCCCAGGGCATGCTGCCTAGAGAGAGAGTGGGGAGAGGCGAGGCGGAGGGGGAGGAAGCAGGCCAGGCTGCTTGTAGGAGGGCGCCAGGCCCCACACACCATGAGTATGGCGGCTTGCTCATGCTCTGGAGGAGGTGGGGGAGTGGGGGGCAGACAAAGGAGGCTAACTATGGTGCCACTATGGTGGGCATGGGTCTGCCCTGGGCCATCACTTCATGGGAAAGCACAAAGGCACTGCTGATGGTGGAGGAGACAGACGAGAACGCGGCTCCCAGAGGCATTGCAGCTCCCCCACCCCCACAGCAAAAGTGCCACAACCTCATCTGTTCCTGTTGCCAGGGAGGGGGCTCCGGAAGCTGCACAGGAAAGGCCCTGGAGAGGCCAGACCTCCAGGCCTCAGTGTCCACATATCAGGGTGCAATGCCACCTGCTCCTCATCGGGAACTAGAGAACTATGCCCACTTCTTATTCAGCTTCTGAATGAAGGGTGGGTGGTGGATTTCTGCTTCCCACCATCCGGTCTGTGAAAACTCACTCAAATGCAGGATAAGAAGCAGCAGGCTGAGCATGGTCAGAAGCAGGAGGTGGGAAGAAAAACTATGGAAACCTACCTTGGCATGAGGGGAACTGCATTTTTTGGTACATCTCCAGAGAATAGTGTTGAAGCCACATTTCGACAAAAACCTGCAAAAGAGCATTACGTAGTCAAATCATTCTCGATAACTGCCAAGACCATTCAGTGGGGAAAGGACAGTGTCTCCCATAAGCAGAGCTGGGAACACAGAACACCCTCATGCAGAACAGTGAAGCTGGGCCCTGCCCTCACACCATCGACAAAAACTAACTCAAAGTGGGTAAGCGGCCTGAGGATAAGAACTAAGACCATAAACTTACAGAAGAAAACATGGGAGAAAGCTTCATAACACTGGATTTGGCAATGATTTATTAGATATGATGCCCAAATCACAAGCAACAAGCAAAAAAATACAGCATCAAAAGATACTACTGATAGAGTGAAAAGAACCAGCGGGCATGATGGCTCAGGCCTGTCATCCCAGTGCTTTGGGAGGCCGAGGCAGGTGGATGGCTTGAGGCCGGGAGTTCAAGACCAGCCTGGGCAACATAGCAAAAAGTTGTCTCCACAAAAAGCACAAAAATTTGCTGGGTGTGGTGGGGCACAGCCATAGTCCCAGCTACTGGGAGTCTGAGGTGGGAGGATCGCCTGAGCCCAGGAATTTGAGCTGTAGTGAGCCAAGATCATGCCACTGCACTCCAGCCTGGGAAACAGAGCGAGACCCTGTCTCAAAATAAATAAATAAATAAATAATAAAATAAAAATAGAAGCAACTCCAGTGTTCACTGAGAGATGAATAGATAAACACAACATGGTACATCCGCACAAGGGAACACTATGCAGCCTTAAAAAGGAAGCAAATTCTGACACATGCTGTAACATGGATTAATCTCGAATCCATTATGCTAAGTGAAGCATGCCAGTCACACACAAAGAAGTACTGTGTGCTACAGAAAAATGCTTTAGATATGAGATCTAGGAGTCAAACATATAGAAACAGAAAGCAGAATAGTGGTTGCTAGGGGCTGCGTGGGGAATTAATTGTTCAGTTTCTTTTTTTTTATTAAAAGAGATGGGGAGCCAGGCATGGTGGCTCATGCCTGTAATCCCAGCACTTTGGGAGGCCGAGGCGGGTGCATCATGAAGTCAGAAATTCAAGACCAGCCTGGCCAAGATGGTGAAACCCCGTCTTTACTAAAAATATAAAAATTAGCTAGGCACCGTGGCAGGTGCCTGTAATCCCAGCTACTCAAGAGGCTGAGGCAGGAGAATCACTTGAACCCGGGAGGCAGGGATTGCAGTGAGCTGAGATCGCACCACTGCACTCCAGCCTAAGCGACAGAGTGAGACTCTGTCTCAAAAAAAAAAAAAAAAAAAAAAAAAAAAGAGAGAGAGAGACGGGGTGTCACTATGTTGGCGAGGCTGGTCTCAAACTCCTGGCCTCAAGCAATCTTTCCCACCTTGGTCTCCCAAAGTGCTAGGATTACAGGAGTGAGCTCTCATGCCTGGTCGGTTCAGTTTCAGTTTTGCAAGATTCTGGAGATTGGAAAGGAAGCAAATTCTGACACATGCTGTAACACGGATTAATCTTGAATCCATTATGCTAACTGAAGCATGCCAGTCACACACAAAGAAGTACTGTGTGCTACAGATAACAACAACGTGAATGTATTTAATACTACTGGCTGTACACTTGGAAATGGTTAAGACAGTAAATTTTATGTTATGTATATTTTACAATTACAGTTTTTTTCTTAATTAAAAAAACGAAAAGCATTAATGCTTTGGTCCAGGAAACAGCAGAACCTTCCAGTTCTGTCCTGTTGTAAGCTTGTGTCATGGTCTCCTGCCCTCTTCACAGCCAGCACATCCCATGGTCCACACAGCCAAGAGCCATCTGGGTATCATGGTCCCCTCTGGGGACCATGCCCCTCCCAGGGACAATGGTCCCTATCATTCTAGCACCCGAGGTTGTTGTGAAATGGTGTGGAGGCTTCAAAAAGCACGGCACCCCACATATTAGGAGTTATGTACAAGGTCGGAGACAGAATCCTATCTTATCTACTTCCCAGGTGTCAACGGCGAGGCTGTGGCTACCAAGTCAGTCCTAGGATCCAGTGTCAGGAGCAGCACCTGCCAAATCTCTCCAAGTTATGCTCAGAAGACACAGCCAGGACCTGGTGGATAGCACTCAGGGAGTGAGCCAGTCCACACCATCGTGAGAGGCTGGAGCCCCCCAGGACAGACAAGGGACTCTGTCACCTACTATTTGGATCCCCTGAATCAACAGAAGGCCTGTGGAGGCTGCACAAACCCCTCACCATTCCGTGTCACAAAAGTGCTACTGGGGCAACGCTTAATATCCACATGATGGTAATCATAGGAAGCATCTCCAGCAACACGAGAGACGGACACCAAGAGACCGCAACAATTATATCACAATGGGCAAATGAAACGACTCCGATGGACAGGGGATCCTGGGATGAAAAACACCATGAATGACAAGTAAGTTAGGTGGGTGGGCAGACTTATATTCATGTTTTCTAAATGTCATACCAGGAAAATGCCAACAATTTAGAATCAGCCCTGGGCTAAGCGGCCGCCTCTGGGACTCTGACCCATATAGTGGAAGATGGCTGACCAGTTTCTTTTGAAACAGACGTTGAGACCAGCTCAGCTCTCACCCGGAGCAGAGTTTCTGACCTCCAGATCTCCTGGGAGGCGGGGTCTGCATTCACAGACATCTGATGAGAGAAGTGTCGCTTCAGGGGGCTAGTGTGCTGGAGGCTACAGGAAGCAAAGGGCATGGCTGGTGTCCTGAGGGAGACACGGAAACAGGCCCAAGGTAGGAGCTCCTGCTGGCCAGGCCAGGGGCGATCTGGACATCAAAATCAATGACAGCAGGGACGTATTACAACTTGTTCAATTGCACAATGCACAAACCTCACCCCTGCCCCAAATCCACACTGATACACCTGAATAAACAAATAGCAAAGAGAAAAGTCTTCCTTCCCGCAGAGCGACCACTGACCCAATACAGGAAGAATGAAGTTAGGGAACCACCACTTGGCAACTGCCCTATTAATAGCTTATTTGGTCAAGAATCAAGTGAGGCCAGGCATGGGACCTGCGTGAGACGCCTGAAATCTCAGCACTTTGGGAAACCAAGGCAGGAGGATCTCTTGAGGCCAGGCACTTGAGACCAGCCTGGGCAACACAGTGAGACCCCGTCTCTACAAAAACATTAAAACATGAAATAGCTGGGCACGGTGGGGTGTGCCTGTAGTCCTAACTACTTAGAAGGCTGAGAAGGGAAAATGGCTCCCTCCTTGGGCCTAGGAGTTGAGGCTGCAGTGACCTATGATGGCACCAACTGCACTCCAGCCTGGGGTGACAGAGCGAGACTCTGTTTCTAAAAAAAATAAGATGTCCAGCTTGGGCAACATGGGCAAAACCCATCTCTATTAAAAAAAAAAAAAAGCATTCAGATGTGGTGATGCATGCCTGTAGTCCCAGATACTTGGGAGGCTGAGGCAGGAGGATCACTTGAGCCTAAGAGATTGAGGCTGCCGTGAGCCTAGATCATGCCACTGTACTTCAGCCTGGGGTGAGAGAACAAGATCCTGTCTTAAAGTAAAATAAAATCAATTTGAAAAAAGGAAAGAATCGACTTCTCTGTGTATGGAGTAGCCCTTCTTCTATTCCTTTACTTTCTTAATAAACTTGCTTTCACTTAAAAAAAAAGAGAAAAGAATCAACAGTTGATGTTAATACTAGTGATAATACATAGTCTCTATACATCTTCCCGGTAAATCATCATTACCAATTTTTCTTTTTTTTGAGACAGGGTCTCATTCTGTTGCCTGGGCTGGAGTGCAGTGCTGTGATCACAGCTCACTGCAACCTCAACCTCCTAGACCCGGGCCTCCCAAGTAGCTGGGACCACAGTGCACACCACCATGCCTGCATGCCTGGCTAATGTTTTTCTTTCTTTGTTTTTTGTTTTTGTTTTTTTTTTGAGACAGACTCTCACTCTGTTACCAGGCTGGAGTGCAGTGGCTCCATCTCGGCTTACTGCAATCTCTGCCTCCCAAGTTCAAGCGATTCTCCTGCCTCAGCCTCGTTAGTAGCTGGGACTACAGGCATGCACCACCACGCCTGGCTAATTTTTTGTATTTTTAGTAGAGACGGGGTGTCACCATGTTTCTCAGCCTGGTCTTGAACTCCTGACCTCATGATCTGCCCGCCTCTGCCTCCTAAAGTGCTGGGATTACAGGCGTGCACCACCACACCCAGCTAATTTTTGTATTTTTAGTAGAGATGGGGTTTCACCGTGTTGACCAGGATGGTCTCGATCTCCTGACATCGTGATATGCCTGCCTTGGCCTCCCAAAGTGCTGGGATTACAGGCATGAGCCATTGTGCCTGGCCAATATTTTTCTTTTTAGTACAAACAAGGTCTTGCTATGTTGTCCAGGCACTCATTACTAATTTTTTTTTTTTTGAGATGGGCTCTCACTCTGTAGCCCAGGCTGGAGTGCAACAGCATGATCTTGGCTCAATGCAACCTCTGCCTCCTGGGCTTGAGTGATCCCCCCACCTCAGCCTCTAAGTAGCTGGGATTACAGGCGCATGCCACCACGCCAGGCTAATTTTAAAATTTTTGGTAGAGATAGGATTTTGCTATGTTGCCCAGGCTGGTCTCAAACTCCTGAGCTCAGGTGATCCACCCACCTTGGCCTCCCTAAGTGCTGGGATTCCAGGCGTGAACCACTGCACTCAGCCTCATTACTATTTAATCTGGGCACGAAGTACTTATTTTACAGTGGACAAACCTGGCCGACACCCTTTCCACCCAGTGATAAAGCTAGCATCACCAGTGATGGGGCAAAGGGGCACTGCAGGCCTCCTGATGAGACACCTGGCAAGGACCAGGTGTCCCCGCTGCAGTGCTCCTGCCAACAAAGCCCAAGCTATGCCTAATCACCAGCAAATACAAGACAGCCCAAGGGGTGGCCACATGCTTTGGAGGGGTCAAGGTCAGGAAAGACAGACAGGCTGCAGAACCATTCCGGACTGAAGGGGACTAGAAACATCACTGCATGCAGTGGGTGAGCCTGTGCTGAAACCCAGCCAGGTAACGGGCATGAGTGGGGTAGCTGGTGGTGAACCCCGAGGTCTGATGACTAGGTGTAGCCTGGTGGCAATACTAACTTCCTGGTGTGGTGGCATGTGCTGGCTTGCACATGCCAGCAGATCTGGGGTGGGCCAGCATCTGCAGAAACGGGCCTGTATGCAGCCTCCTGGGGAAGGCAATGGGGCAGCAAGATTAAGGAGGGTCAGAGGAGCACACGCACTGTGACTATATAAGATAATGCATTCACTTTTAGGAAATACACTGACATATTAAGAGGCCAAGGGGTGTCCTACCTGTAGTTTATTCTTATTGGCTTAGGGGAGAAAAAACATATCATAGAAAGGGGATAAAGCAGATGCAGCAAAGTGTTAATTTGGAAATCTGGATGAAGGGTCTATGAACTTTTTTTTTTTTTCTGAAACAGGGTCTTCTTGTGTCACCCCAGGCTAGAGTGCAGTGGCGCAATCATAGCTAACTATAGCCTTGAAGAGTGCACAAGAGATCCTCCCACCTCAGTCTCCTGAGTAGCTTGGTCCACAGTTGCACGTCACCATACTCAGCTGATTTTATTTTTTGTAGAAATGAGGTCTCCCTATGTTGCCCACACTGGTCTCAAATTCCTGGCCTCAAGTGATCTTTCTGCCTTGGCCTCCCTAAGTGTTGGGATTACAGGAGTAAGCCACCATGCCCAGTCTGCAAGTTCTTTTTATTATGCGTGGAAACTTTTCTGTAAGTCTGAAGTTATTTCAAAATAAAAAGTTAGCTAGGTGTGGTGGCCTGCGCCTGTAATCCCAGCTACTTGGGAAGCTGAGGCAGGTTCACCCTCCCAATCCGTGCAGTATGGCATCAGGCTCAGCCTGTTTGGTCTGGCACAACAGGCTCTTTGGCCCAGGGCCTCCCCCTCTCAAGACCTGCTCCTGGGGCCAATAAAGGATTGTGGAAGCTAGGAGTTCAAGACCCACCAGGGCAACACAGCAAGCCTCCCCTGTCATATCTCTACAAAAAAAAAATGTTTTAAAATTATCTGGCTGTGGTGATGCGTGCCTGTAGTCACTGAGGTGAGAGGATGACTTGAGCCCAGGAATTTAAGGCTGCAGTGAGTGACGACTGTGCCGCTGCACTCCAGCCTGTGTGACAGAGTAAGACCCTGTCTTTAAAAAGACATAATGACTGAATGTGGTGGCTCATGCCTGCAATCCCTGCACCTTGGGAGGCTGAGGCAGGAGGATCATTTGAGCCCAGGAGTTCTAGACCAGCCTGGGCAACATAGCGAGACCCATCTTACAAAAAATACAAGCTGGATGTGGTGTTGCACACCTGTAATCCCAGCTACTCAGGAGACTGAGACAGGAACATCACTTGAACCTGGGAGGTGGAGGTTGCAGTGAGCTGTGATCACAATACTGCCCTCCAGCCTGGGCAATTGAGCAAGACTCTGTTTCCAATATATATATGTGTGTGTATATATACACATATATATATTATACACACACATATATATAACATAAATGTGTATATATACACACATTATATATATATAATTTCTAAAAGAAAAAATTAAATTACAAAAAAACTCAAAAGCTGGGCATAAAAACCACTTGGCAACTGAATTGTACATCTGAGAGGGTGTGAATCCACCTCACCTCCAAGTCCTCCACAGCATCAGCAACATTTCAGGGTCACTGACCACTGCCGCCACCCAGGCAGCCTCTCCTCCTTGCTGCTCCCTTTCTCCCCTCCACCCTCTGGGGCATCTGTCCACACATGTGAATTGTAGGTAGAGGCCTGTCCTGGCTTGCACATGCCAGCAGATCTGGGGTGGGCCAGCATCTGCAGGAAGGGGCCTGCACGCAGCCTCCCAGGGAAGGCGATGGGGCAGCAAGATTAAGGAGGGTCAGAGGAGCACAGGCAGCTGCTGCCTGTGCAGAGGGTCTCCTGGGAGGTCCCCAGAGGGTCTCCTGGGAAGTCAGCCAAGAGGCCCTGGGTTAGGGCCCACTGAGACCCCAGCACAGCTAGGCACAAGAGCCCCTGGTTCACACTTCCCACCTGTGCAGTCACCAACAGGCTCAGCTTGTTTGGACTGACACACAGGCTCTTTGGCCCAGGGCCTCCCCTTCAAGACCTGGTCCTGGGGCCCAGAGAGATTTCCATTTTTTTTTCCCCCATAGAACAAGCCTTCTGCCATGCTCACCACCTCAGACACTGCATGTGGGGAGGGCTGCTTCATGCAGAACACAGCCCATTCCCATGCAGGCCGTGGAGGCCTCCAGAGACCTGATAGCTTCAGTGATGGCCACAGACATCGAAAACTAAAGGACAGATCACCCTCCTCACCCCCACCCTCCAGTCTGTGCTAAGAAAGCTGGAGGTGGGGAATGAGGCATAAGACAAATTTGGGAACCCTGGACAAAGGGTGGCACCATTGTCCTGGTGGGTGATTCAACTGACCAGGCCACTCCCTTATGGAAGGGCCAGGTCTTCACAATCAGGGTAGCCTTACCTGGGAGCAGGTGAGGGACTGGCCCATCCTGGGCTGGAGGACAGTGAGGGTGGTGGCAGGCTGCCTTTGGTGGGCAGGAACCATGACAGGTACCTGTCCACCAGGAGGAAATAGGTACAGTCTGAAATATGGACATGGAGAGACACAGGGAGTGGCTGGAAAACCAAGCTAGTTCTTAGCATGGGGTCTGGGCACTGCCTGGCCCCAGAGCACTGGCAAGTGCAGGGAAGCCCCGGGCCATGCCCCCACCCCTCCCAGCAAGAGGCATCCCTTCCCTACCTTTAGTGTGTTGAGGCTCAAGGCAAAGAAGCATATGTAATACTCGAACGGATCTGATGGCAGCGTCAAGGGCAAATACACAGGGTTGCTGGGAAACCCCCAGTGTTGAGAGCTGAGCCACCCACAACCTTCCTACCTCAAGGCCACCAAAGGATACTCAAGGCCAGGTTCAGGCCAAGGCCCTTAGTTGGGCGGAACTGGATCTTGTGTTACAGAGGACTGTCAAGGACGCACTCCTGGATGGATGCCTTCACGAGACCCTGCAGAGAGAGGCAGCAAGGCTTGTGGGCAGGCACTGGCGTGTAGTGCCCGGTACGCAGTGCCCCACATGCACAGCAGCCCTTTGGGAAAGCTGCTGGGGAAGAGACCCGCACACAGAACTCACCTGTGGGGACAGTGCCCTGCTCCTGAGCAGTGCCTCAACAAGAGTCTTTGCTCAGAACTTCCACCATCTCATAAAAAGCTGCAGACAGGCCAGGTATGGTGGCTCACGCCTGTAATCCCAGCACTTTGGGAGGCCGAGGTGGGCAGATCACAAGGTCAGGAGTTCCAGACCAACTTGGCCAATATAGTGAAACCCCATCTCTACTAAAAAAAAAATACAAAAATTAGCCGGGCATGGTGGCATGCATCTGTAGTCCCAGTTACTTGGGAGGCTGAGGCTGAAGAATTGCTTGAACCCAGGAGGCGGAGGTTGTGGTGAGCCGAGATCGTGCCACTGCACTCCAGCCTGGCAACAGAGTGAGACTTTGCCTAAAAAAAAAAAAAAGCTGCAGATGGCAAGGGTAGCAGCCATGCAATACCCATCTCCTTTGCCTCTCATACCCCCGGAGCAAATCACTCCTTAATTTGCCCTCAGAGGACCGGAGGAGACTGCCCGTCACCACTGGGCTGTGCAAGGTCCACTGCCCGAGCACCACTCTCACCACTGTGGTTTACTTATGGGCAGGTAGGAGATGGGAAAGTCAAACTTAAGTCTTCAGCTTGAAGCTTATAAACCAACTTCATCATTGGGCCGCTGAACATGAAATTGAACAAACAAAAACAGGGTATATGAACTGCAAATTATCTTGCTTTGATTGTATCTTAACCTTAAGAAATTGAGAGTGACTTAAAAGTGGAATCACCATGAGGAAGCACCCTGCCTCTCTCGGGTGTCAAACCTACCTTCCCAGGGTCGAGAAATTCCATCACCATGCTGTACTTCACAGGATTCACGCGCCTCTGTAAGCAGCGCAGGTTCCAGCCCACAAGGACACCATCCAGGCTGCCGAAAATGCTACCAGCCATGGGGAGATGGCGTGCAGCTCCTGAAACAGTGTGCGGTGAGGCTGCAGGCAGGACCAGCACCCACTCCTGCCCCAGCTCCAGGCCTGCACCACCTGCTGCCCAGCTCCCTCTGAGGAGGCCACTCCCTGGCTGAGACCCATGGGATCAGCCCTGCGCTCAAAGGAACCCTGGTGCGGTGATGCCAATGAGAAGAGCAGCTTTGGGTTCTTTCACTGGGGTACGTGGCTTACCAAGCAGTGCTGCTTTAGACGTGGGCCAGTTAAGTAAGTCAGCCTCTGATCAAAATACATTTTTTGTGTGTGATAAAAGCCTAAATTAAGGGAAAAAAAAAACAAAAAAATGAAAAAATGAAAAATAAAATAAAATAAACAAAATACCTATTCTTTTGAGACAGGGTCTCATTCTGTTGCCCTGTCTGGAGTACACTGGCGCAATGCACAGCTCACTGCAGCCTTGGCCTCCTGGCCTCAAGCAATCCTCCTGCCTTAGCCTCCTGAGTAGCTGGGACTGTGGGCACACACCACCACGCTCAGCTAATTTTTAGATTTCTTGTAGAGATAGGGTCCCAGTATGTTGCCCAGACTGGTCTCAAACTCCTGGCCTTAAGTGATCCTCCCACCTCAGCCTCCCAAAGTGTTGAGATTACAGGCATGAGCCACCACACCAAAAGATTTTTTTTTTAATGTCAGAAACTTCTGATGGATGCGAAGGATGCTCTATTAGAAAGGAAAGCAACACCCTTCCCAGAGTGAAGCCCTTAAAATCTAACTGACCTGTTGTCATTTGGTATTAACTCCTTGTCTAGGCCAGCTTCCTGGGCTTGACAATTCCAGGTGTGATTTAAATACATATTTTTAGCATTTACATCAGGGTTCCTCAACGTTGATGCTATTGACATTTTGGGCTGGATTCTTCTTTGTTGCAGGGAGCTGTCCTGTGCTTTGCAGGATGTTTCCAGCATCCCTGGCCCCTACTTACTAGATGCCAGTAGCACACACTCCCCATCACCCCCAGTTGTGATAATCAAAAATGTCTCTGATATTGCCAAGTGTCCCCTGAGGGACAGAGCACCTGTGGTTAAGAACTCCTGATCTGCAAGTTCACATATTTAAATGTGTCCATAAACATGACGGTCATGATAATGGGCCAGGACTCTGTGCCAGGCAGTGCTTGGAGTGGGGGTGGTGGGGGGAATTAGGAATTATAATAAAGTTTTTAAAGGAATGTGTAAGACATGCTCCAAAGAGAGATGTCAGCAGAGCTATACCTCTGCTGGAAAATCCTCAATGACTTTAACCAAGTCTTGGCATCACTGTGCAAAGGGCTTATTTACAGAGTCAGCTTTCAGGGTAGCCTAGAAGGTAGAACAAAGTGAAAAAATCATGAGGACATTCACTGCAGCTTTTAGTGATACTCTGGCTTGAGTCAAACAGAAATCCAAGTGATAGGTTATGAGTCAGACACATAACCACTGGCGTGATTCCCCAGCCCCTCATGTGTGTCAGTGGCCCAAAGGATGCTACTAGGAGAGGCTGTGGTTCTATGCACTCTGGACCAGGAACTCTCAGGCTTGCTTCCCAGTACCAACTCAGCGTGCTGCTCATCATCAGAACAGGACTGACTTCCACCAATCCATAAGTAGGGGTTGGCCCCAGGGTCAGCCCCAGAGCCAGAAGAGGATCTCGATTGTGTAAGGGCACCTCTCACAGACCACAGAGTACTACTGAGTTCGTACGCATCAAATGGAAATTTCCCACCTGATGGACCATCATGATTACACAGTTGTGATCATCAGTAAGAATGCCCAACAAAATCAGGGCTACAGCATCCTCTCTTAACTGAGCTGTCTTTTATTCAGCAGACAGTGAACCTACTAAACCAATGACCTTAAAACACAGGGCAGGGCCGGGCGTGGTGGCTCACGCCTGTAATCCCAGCACTTTGGGAGGCCAAAGTGGGCAAATCACAAGGTCAGGAGTTCAAGACTAGCCTGGCCAAAATGGTGAAACCTTGTCTCTATTAAAAAAACACAAAAAAATTAGCCGGGCTTGGTGGTGCATGCCTGTAATTCCAGCTACTCTGGAGGCTGAGGCAGGAGAATCGCTTGAACCTGAGAGGCAGAGGTTGCAGTGAACTGAGATCGCACCACTGCACTCCAGCCTGGGCGACAGAGAGAAACTCCGTCTCAAAAAAAAAAAAAATAAAACAAAGCAAAACAACAACAACAAAACACACACACACACACACAAGGCAGGTAAAAATTATAGATGGCTTGCACCAAGTAAACACTAAACATAAAGGCAATGGAGAGGCCAGAAAAGACTCAGGACAAGGACTAATAAAATCTACCCACAGTCGTGGGATATACGGAAAGCATCCTGACTACAAGGATAAAAATAGCGTCTGTGCAAATGGACTCACATCAGGAGAAACTGCTAGAATCTGTCTACCTCCAAATGCCTTGTCTACCTCCAAATGAGGGTGGATTTCACAGGATTTGAGACAAGAGATGGAGACCTGAGTTGTCTGGCCATGTGGCAGACCTGGTGGCTCTAGTGGGGTGCCCTGGGGAGGAACGTCCTTCCACATACATATTTACAAAAATACCTCCTAAGAACTAAAATTAGGAACTTTCATCACCAATACTTGCTCATACCTAACTTCTCGCTTCTCAGTATCATTTTTTCTTTTTTTTTTTTTTGAGTCTTACTGTGTTGCTCAGGCTGGTCTTAAAACTCCTGGGCTCAAGTAATCCTCCTTCCTCGGTGTCCTTAGTAGTTAGAACTACAGATACGGACCATTACACCCAGTTCTCAGCACCATGTTTAATAGTTAAAGTGCTAACCTAGCACCCCCTCAGAACATAAGAGTGTCTCCATTTTTCACTAATGACAATTATGATTATCAGAATGTTTCATGTCTGTTTAAGAACTTACAGATCATGAACACTCTGATGTACATCATTCTCATTTGCTCCTCCCCCTCCTCCTCCTCATACCCCCTTGGGAAGTAGAGAAAATAGAACTTGAATGAATTTGTCTTGTATGGGAAAACCCAGAGCCCAGAGCCCAGCGGTTGAGTAACCCCAAGGCCCTGTAGTAATAAGGGGGCACAGTCAAGCTTAAGGAGTCTGGCATTGCTTCCATCACACGCTCCTAAAAGACAACCACTAGAGAATTCTTCAAGTCAATGGGAAGAACATTCAAGTCCCACAGCTACAGAGCTGTGGCCACACTGACACTCATCCAGACAGCTGATATTTACCAGTAGAAAGCTGGGCCGCTGCAGGTGAGGGAACGCCATAAAAGCCTCCAGTGGAGAGTTGAAAATGGCCTTCTTAGCAAACCACTGTGGAAAAACAGAGACAAAATCTCAACATCTGCAGCACAGCAGAATCTTTTTATTTTTCTAGAGACAGGGTCTCATTCTGTTGCCCAGGAGAGAATGCAATAGCACGATCATAGCTCACTGCAACCTCAAACTCCTGGGTTCAAGCAATCCTTCCCCCTGAGCCTCCTGAGTAGCTGGAACTACAGGCACACACCACCATGCCTGGCTAATTTTCTTCTTATTTTCTTTTTTGTAGAGACAGGGTCTCGCTATGTTGCCCAGGCTAGTTTCAAATTCCTGGCCTCCACTGGCCCTCCTGCCTTGGCCTCTTAAGTGCTGGGATTACAGGTGTAAACCACTGCACCTGGCCCTAACAAAATATTACATAGTTTCACAATGCCCAGGAGAACATTTGTGTAACTCAACATGCATTACATTATCGATTCTCATGTCTTCTTTATTTATTTGTAGAGACAGGGTCTTGCTTTCCCACTCAGGCTGGAGTGCAGTGGTATGATCATAGCTCACTGCAACCTCAGACTCCTAAGCTCAAGCGATCCTCCTGCTTCAGCCTCCCAAATAGCTGGGACTACAGGCACACACCACCAGGCCCTGCTAATTTTTATATTTGTTGTAGAGATGTGGTTACATCATGTTGCCCAGGCTGGTCTTCAGCTCCAGGGCTCAAGTGATCTACTTGCCTCAGCCTCCCAAAGTACTGGGATTACAGGCGTGAGCCACCACGCCCGGCCAGCAATTCCCACATTTTACAGAAACACCATTCGCATGCAGCCCACAGTGGCCAGCTTCAGAGCCAAGTCTGTGGTACTGAATCCTTGGTAATGCTTGTACAGCACTTGCTGTATGCCAGGACTTGCTCTATACACCACACACACTGTCAGTCCCCAGGAGGGGAATGTGGTATGTGATGCTTCATAAACACATTGAACTCTTTCTGCCAAGGAACAGCCATTAACACCTTGGGGTTACTTGCAACTCACCTGTGGACTGTTGGTCTGAGCTATTGTCCATCACTTGCAACTCAGTGTACACAGGTTCATCAGAGCTGGTCCCAAAAGCAAGTCCAAGCGCTGGAGAGCATGAGTGGGAAATCTCACTTCCACCTCGGATGGAGAAAAACTTCAGCAAGATTGTCATTTTATCTTTCCGACCCAGATGGACTCCATCTTGACTCAAAGACAACCAGAACATCACCAAGCATCTCCTACAGGGCAGGCTTGGTACTAGGTGGTTTTATTTAGATTATTTCATGGAATGTTCAGGAGAATTGCTCCCTCTTCACTCCTGAATTCTTGATGCAGTTCTTCCACTTTCGCCCTTTCTTCTCGTCTCTGTCTCATTCAGCTCCCTCATTACAAACCTTCCAACTGGCTGGATGGCGCAGTTGCTCAACCAGCAGAGAGCACTGGGGTAGCCCCAAATAAATGTTCATGTCATCTCCAAATTACCAGCACTATTCCCAGGTCCCAATTCAAGACAAAACCTTATCAGCCTCATCAGTGAGAGCACGTTTTCACCGAGCTGAGTAAAAACTTAGGTACAAGACCATTCAGTGGGGAAAACACTCATTTCTTTGAAGAATGGTGCTGGGAGAACTGGATATCCACATGCAAAAGGATGAAGCTGGACCCCTACATCACACCATATACAAAAATTAAGTCACAATAGGTCAAAGCCCTAAGTATAAACACTAAAACTGTTAAACTCTAAACAAAAAACATGGAATTACATTTTCAAGATCTTGGATTTGGCAATGGATTCATTCTTATTTGGTTTTTAACTTCATTGTGAGCCAATTTAGCATCCAAAATTCCAGTAGGTTTGGTAAAAATTGACAAGCTGATTCTAAAATTATAGCAAAAATGTAAAGGGCAGGCCGGGTGCAGTGGCTCACACCTGTAATCCCAGCACTTTGGGAGGCTGAAGCAGGTGGATCACTTGAGGTCAGTAGTTTGAGACCAGCCTGGCTAACATGGTGAAACCCCATCTCTGCTAAAAAAAAAAAGAAAACACCAAAAATTATCCGGGCATGGTGGAGTGTGCTGTACCTGTAATCTCAACTACTTGGGAGACTCAGGCAGGAGAATCACTTGAAGCCGGGAGGCGGAAGTTGCAGTGGGCCAAGATCATGATACTGCACTCCAGCCTGGGTGATAGAGTGACTCTGTCGAAAGAAAGAAAGAAGGAAAGAAAAAAAAGAAAAAGAAGAAAGAGAGAGAGAGAGAGAGACAGACAGACAGACAGAAAGAAAGAAAGAAAGAAAGAAAGAAAAGAAAGAAAGAGAAAGAGAAAGAGAGAAAGAAAGAGAGAGGGAGGGAGGGAGGAAGGAAGGAGAAAAAAATGTAAAGGACAAAGAAAATCTAGACTCTTCTTAAAGGACAACTCACCTCATCCTGGTCATCTTGGCGTCTTCATGATTATGAGCATGAGGACTTCTAGAATTCTCTCTCTCTGTCCCCTGTCCTCTCTAGGATTCCACAGTCTTCCCAGGTGACCAATACTTGGGATCCACCTTTCAGGCAAGGTCCTCTTCTTACCCATGGGGCTTACATATCTAATCCAGTGGTTCTTACCCAGAGCTGTGCACTGGCACCAGGACACCCCAGGCACACTTGGGGCAGCCCCTAGAGATTCGGTTGGTCTAGTTTGGAGTCTTCTTCCACAAACGCGACTGTGATTGATTTACATCTGTGACTGAATCCCTAGTGAAGATGCCTAATTGCAGCACAGTGACCTCAGTGACGCTAGCCCTAAGCATAGCCACCCAGAAGAACAGGGCATTTGGCCAAGCGAGAGTGGTGTTCTGAGGAGGGTCCTGGTCACACACCTCCATCTGTCTCCACACCTGTCTGGCCATCTGGGCCCAGCTAATCGGAGTCCAGTACCTCTTTTCTTGGTCTCAGGCCCACACAGCTTCACTCTTCGCATGTAAGCCATGCCCCTCTGAATTTCTGATGCCACTATCTTATCTCCAGTGCTGGAGTTACTACTTCTTTCAGGGAACATCACAATTCTTTCCGCATTTGAAACTTCCCACTTTCAAAAGTTTTGTCTTTCTCAGTGTCACCTCCTCTGTCTAAGGGTAGGGCCCAGGTGTGAGAAGCAGGGAACTAAGAGAACCATCCTGACTCTCGGGGAGCTGTTCTGCCTTGGCCCGTTGCTGTGAGGACACACGTCCATGGTACTGAGACAGCCAACAGCCCTGGGAACCAGAAACCTCACCCTCCTATGAGCAGGTCATGGCAGGTAGACACAAGCCTTGTTCTGGGGGCCAGGCTAAGAATGTCCCATGGATTGAACAGTAGAGACATTGACCCTGTTTGAGGTGTGAATTCTAGATTTGAGCTCCAGCAGTGCAGTTAGAAGCAGCCGACCTGCCTCTAGTTCCTAAGCCCTCGTACCCATCACACTGTTCTACAGAAGTGGCCACTTGATCCCCTAAAGCTGTGCCCTCAATGGACACTTTGTTCACATTTAAGTGAATATGATCCTTTTAAAAATTAAAAATACATATTTTAAAGATAGTCTTACCCTGTCACCCAAGACGGAGTGAAGTGGGATGAACACAGGTCACTGCAGCCTCAATTCCTGAAGTTGAGGAGTCAACTGCCTCTGTCTCCAAAGTAGCTGAGACTACAGGCGTACACCACACCTGGTTTCATTCAGGTGAATATAATCTTTGCTGCCAGCATCTCACCCTTTGATAGTAATCACATCCTCTTAAGAGGGCTTTGGAAACAATTGGCCTTGGCTAGCCAATCCCAGGTTTTCGCTTCCATGAGGGTCTCCAGCTTCACACAATATTGTGCCCATATCTGTAGCGGCCTTGGTTTTTAATTGCAAACAACAGCATCCACCCACATCAGTGTTGGTAAAAAATAAATTGCTTTTTTTTTTTTTTTTGAGACAGACTCTCGCTGTCGCCCAGGCTGGAGTGCAGTGGTGTGATCTCGGCTCACTGCAAGCTCTGCCTCCCAGGTTCACGACATTCTCCTGCCTCAGCCTCCCAAGTAGCTGGGACTACAGGTGCCCACCACCATGCCCGGCTAATTTTTTGTATTTTTAGTAGAGACGGGGCTTCACCGTGTTAGCCAGGATGGTCTCGATCTCCTGACCTTGTGATCCACCCGCCTCAGCCTCCCAAAGTGCTGGGATTACAGGTGTGAGCCACCACGCCCGGCCAAGGTATTGCTTCTTTAAGAATGGAGCTGTTAATACTGCTGGTACCAGAAACATTAAAAAAGAAAAATCCTGCATGAGGGCCAGAGGAGGAGTACAGGAGAGTGAGATGGAGTGGAATCCTCCAGTGGGTGATAGATGGATGGACAGACAGATGAATAGACAGACGAACAGATGAACAGACGGACAGACATGAATAAACAGGTGGACAGACAGATGAATAGATGAACAGACAGATGGACAACTGGATAGATGGACAGATGAAACTAATAATCTGAGAAATCAGAAAAGCTTCATGAAAAAAGTGGGACTGAGCTGTGTCTCCACGGATAGATATAAAAGCAGAGGACTCTCCACTTGAGTCGAGAATGACCCAGTGTCCTGATCCAGAGAGGAAGCCAGCCTGGCTTGACTGGGAAATTTGTGGGAGGACTCAGAGGCCCTTAAAATGAGGCCAGGTGAGGTTGGGCTGATCCGAGCCAGCTCAGGACTCCTCTGCCACACAGCACAGCTGCCTTAGGGGACACATTACTCAGGGAGTTGCTGGGACCTACTGGGCCCAGCATTGCCACCAGCACCAACAGCTTCAGAGAGGGGGGACACACACTTGGGGTGACTCCAAGACTGTGGGTGGCACCTGCCTCAAACAGGGGACAGGCACAGGGACACCTCTCGGGGTCTGGCACCCCCACGCACTGTGCCTAGGTCCCAACAACGCCCACTGCAGCCCTGTGCCCATCATGCCCAGAAGGTTTCCGCTTCAGCCTGGCCCCTGTACTGGCCCCAGGAATTTGGACCCAAGCCTCAGTCACTGGGTAAACAGCAGTGGGAACCAGCTCATTACTCTAGGTAAGTGGCTCTTACAACCTTCCCCAGCCAGTTCCACCCTCTGTTGTCTCTGGAAAATATGTTTTCTCTCCCTGGGGTGGCTTCTCCTCTGCCCTCCCAGCCTTAATCACTGACCCCTACCTTTCTCTATGGGTCCTGGGGGAGGTGGGTTAGTCTTGAGGTAACCAGCAGAAGGGCCCCAGGTTCCAACAGCCAGACGCAGCCTGGTCCCGGGGCCTGGGCTGGGTTTAGGCAAGGTCAGAGTTCCTTCACCTCTTTCAGGGCAGGCACCCGAGGTGCGGGGCAGAGGCCAGTTCTGACTGGCACACTGCAGTAGCATCAGAGACACCCCCCGGACCCCAGGGTCTAGGCTGATGGCTGGATGCCCATCCAGCCTGGGAAGGCCACACGGGGGCCTGGGGACAAAGGGGTCACCATGAGGTGACATCAATGCAGGTGCAGAGAGGGCTCTGGGTCTAGGCTGCAGCTCTCTGGCCTCTGCTGGGTCATGAGGACACAGGGACAAAAAAAGAAGATGGGTCAGATGGGGCAAGATGGCCAGAGCCCAGCCCTCCCAGAATAGTCATCAGAGAGGAGCAGATCCCTTAGGGCAGAGACATATTTGTCCCTGGAGCCCCTTCACCCCTGGGGCCTGGCGTCTCACTGTCCATGGGTCAGTCTCCCACCTTCCTCAAAGGGCACGTTAGACTCAGGAGGTGACAAGAGGGGAGCGAATGGGGGGTGCAGAGGACTCTACGGCAGCCAGCTGAAGTCTAGAGTTGTCAGAGTCCGTGGAGGCAGGCATGGGGGGCTGCTGTGTCCCGTGGTCCAGGGGAGCAGCCCCAACACCACAGTGGAGGTGAAGGGTCCTATGGTTGGGGTGGTGGGGACAAGGGAGGTGAAGAGCGGTGGAGGAGCCCCGGGGCTTGTCTGGGTGCAGCCCACCCTTCATCAGGAAAGCTGAATGGGATGGGCTGGGGCAAAGCCTGGTGCCCCAGGGGACAGGAAGCTCCAGGCCCCACCAGGCTTGGGCCTTTCCACACTCTGCCAGGATAGTCCTGTGGGCTGGGCGGGGACGTGCAAATTCCAAACTCAGACTCCAGAGACCAGAGAGGAGGGAGCACAGCCTGCCCTGGGTACACACAGGGAAACAGAGGCTGCAGAGGAGGGCTGGGCCAGGGCTCCTAGAAAAGGTGACTTGGGAAGAGCTCCTAGGAAGGTGCGGGCTGGCTGCTCTGCAGAGGTCTTGAGTGAAAAGGAGGGGAATGAGGAGGGAAGAGGCAGCCCCGGGTGGACTGGACAGCCATGCCGTGAACCTCACAGAGACTTTAGACAGAGAGGGGGCTCTACAACACCCCAGTACTCCCTCTGCCTCTCTTGCCCCCTCCTCTGTCCACACAGGTCTGCCCAAGGCCGCCCCTTTGGACACTCTGAGGAACTCCAAGCCAACAAGATGCCTCTCATTAGTGACTTCTACCCTGATGCCGTGATGGTGGCCTGGAAGGCAGAGGGCACCACCATCACCCTGGGCATGAAGACTGCCACACCCTCCAAACAGAGAAACACAAGTACACGGTTAGCAGCTACCTGAACCTGACGTCTGACCAGTGGAGGTCCCCCAGCAGCTATGTTCTTAGGCCCCTCACCCCACCCACAGCAGCCAGGAGCTGCAGGATCCCAGGGCAGGGGTCTCCCCTCCCACCCCAAGGCATCCAGCCCTTCTCCTTGCACCCAATAAACCCTCAGTAAATATCCTCATTGTTAATCAGAAATTCTGCTCCCTGTCTTCATTTCTTACCTTTCATATAATTTGACACTTCCCCCAGGTTCTCAGTGGGGGATGGGGGAATCCTGACACTCAGTGGGAAAATAGCTTGTGGGAGAGGCTCCCAGGCTCCCAGGGGCATCTGCTGGAGAAACAGGCCAGGCAAGGAGCAATCTGATCACTGAAGACCAGTCCCTCTGCCCTCTCCCTCCTCCAATTCCCCGCTGCAGCACTCCCTCCCCCAACCCCCCGCCACTCCCTGCCTCCTTTCTGGATGGAGCTGTCCCTGGCTGGGCCTTCAGATATGCCCTCTGTCCTTGCCCTAGTAAAGACACTCTTCCCACCTACGACCTCTTTTTCCTCAGCCTGGAAGTAACACTCTGGGCCTGGAGTTCCTCTGCCCGTGGCCCTGGCCCCTGGAATCCCCTCCTCCCTCTCTGCCCAACTCCCCACCCCTGAGAGCTGGACTGTCCAGAATACTCCAGCACCTTCAAATTCATGAGCTGTTAAATTTGGGGCCCACCTCGATTCTTCACCTGCCAGCAGGTTCACAGGTGTAAGAAAAATCGGAGGAAGGCAAGAAGGAAACACACACAAAAGGCTTGCAGGAGGCTCAGGACACTTGCCAAAGATAGGCTCTAAGCTCCCCAGGAACCAGAGCAAGAAGGGTAACAGGAGCTCCATCATTTCTATGAGATTTAACAAAGCCTTTGCTTGAGGGAAGTTGGTGTTTTCAATGCTGAGGCCAGGCATCTCCTCAGAACTAACAGTGGGGATGTGTTTTTTGTCTGTTTGTTTTGTTTCGTTTTGTTTTGAGACGGAGTCTCACTCTGTCGCCCAGGCTGGAGTGCACTGGTGCAATCTCGGCTCACTGCAAGCTCCGCCTCCCAGGTTCACGCCATTCTCCTGCCTCAGCCTCCCGAGTAGCTGGGACCACAGGCGCCCACCACCATGTCCGGCTAATTTTTTGTATTTTTTTTTAGTAGAGGTGGGGTTTCACCGTGTTAGCCAGGATGGTCTTGATCTCTTGACCTCGTGATCTGCCCACCTTGGCCTCCCAAAGTGCTGGGATTACAGGTGTGAACCACCACTCCAGGCAGTGGGGATGTGTTTTACCCAATCCCTTAGTATTGATTGGATTTGGGCTCCGACACCTGCACAGGTGACTGCCTGGCAGCCCCAGAACACGGAGATGTTCTCAAGTGTGTGGCACAGAAAGTCACTGGCTGCCTTTGGGGGGCATTCTTTTTGGGAAACACCTCTCCATTGGATCCTGGGCCTCAGGTGGAAAACCAGGTCCTGCCTCGGGACTTTCTCTGTGAGGCTCCCTGGGTCTGGGGCTCCAGCCATTCTCCGAGAGGAAGGTGCCAGGAGAGAGAGCAAGGCCCAGCCCCACCTAGTCTTTCCTGCATGGTCCCTGCTCTGGTAGAGACAGGGTTTGGCCTGGCTGGGTTCCACACCTGCTGAAGGATGCACAGATGGTAGATGCCCAGTCTGACCCTGGGTCTACCCAGGGCTAACCCCCTTCCCTGAGGCCAGACTGAGGAGGCTGAGCCTGCCCAGGTCCTGCAGGTGTTCAGGGCAGCACAGACAGTGGGTGCCCAGGCCCCTGACCCAAGGTCACCCTTCCCTCTTGAGGCTGTGCTAGGCAGGGCCAGGAGACAGTACTGAACACACCAATCCCCTTGTGGCTCTGTGGGGTTGGGGACCTACACTCCTCAGTCTACATCGAGCCGGTGTAGGAGACAGGCAGAAGCAGGAGGGTCCTCGGAGTCCACAAAGCAGAGCAGGGGCAGGTGCTCGTGTGCCCATTTCACCGAAGAGAGAACTGAGGCTCCACGGGAAGGGAAGTGACCTGCCCGGGTCAACATGGTGAGCTGCTGCCTGACCCACCCCCAGCCTCTTTCCACAGCTCCTCAGTCCTTCATTCATTCACTCACACACTCATTCAGCAAACCCTCAGTGAGCACAGCTGTGGGCCAGGTGCTGGTGCAAGACCAGGACCACCTGCCCTGGAGAAGCTCATGAGCTGGAGGACAACAGGGAGACACCACTGCACCCCCCTGTCCTCAAGTCCCCAAGGTTGGAGCTTGGCCCAGGGAGCGCCTGGGGCAGCAGGGGCATCTCCCCCTACTTAGCAGAAGATTTAACTGAAAGAACCATCTGACGGAGCCCCAGCTGTCATCCCTGGGCCACAGTGGGAACATCACAGTCCCTCATCAACCCTCACAGTGACCCTGAGGCCCAGGGCAGCCATGGTCCACCTCACATAGGGCAGGCCGACCATGAGGAATGCACCACGGTTGCCTCATAGCGACCCTGAGCTCTAGAGCTGCCATTGCCCACCTTATAGAGGGGATGCTGACCAGGAGGGAGGCACCAACCAGGGCCACCCAGGCTCCGGCCAGCCTGAGAGTGGCCCAGCTGGCCCTGTGCCTGCACTGCCCTGCACCTGCTGCCCTGCCCAGCTCAGACCCTGGTCATATCCTCAGGAGTGATGGCCCCACAGCACCAGGGCAGGGTAGGTCCACACTGGGAGAGCCCCTAAAGGTACAGAGAAGAGCACTGGAGTCCAGGGAGGAGGGATTGTCCCGGCCCTGGTCCTGCCTCGCTGTGACCAGGGCTGAGGCATTTGCTCTAAATCAGATGGGGGAGGGGCATCTGTGGCTTCCTCTACAGCCAAAACCAGAGCCCCAAATAGCCCCGGTGGGTATGGAGGGGCCTTGGGGGAGGGGAGGAAATGGGAGGGGAGGTGGCTGCTTGGGGCTCTGGGTGAGGGCTAGGAGCTCCTACTGAGCTAAGCGGATGACTCTCCTATCTGACCTGGCCCCCCATGGGGCCTGCAAAAGCACCAAGAGAGCATCCCCAGCCAGGCCTGTGGAGGGGCCCTTGACCCCTCATACTCACTGAGCCCAGTGGTGGGAAGAGGGGGCTGGTCCCCGGCCAGTATTCTCCTGAGGACACCGACACTCACTGGTAACAAGCAAACCAGACCCAGATGCTCCAAAAAGAGGCCACTGGATCCCAGCAAGCACCCACTCCCCCCAACACGAAGGTCCAAAACCAAGCTTCAGCCAACTAGAATGTGGGAACTTCCCGGGAGGTAGAGGAAACAAGTCACTGTCCACTTGCAATGCCCACCGGTTAGTGACGCAGCACAATGACAGTCACACCTCTCAGAGGGGGCTCTCCCTCGACTCTCCTTCCTGACACATCAACAAGGACAGCCTTACCAAGGGCCACACCTGGGCAGTCACCATGGGGTTCGTGGTCTCACGTGGGCCCTGCTTAAAGCCCCTGGGGATAAGCTCACTCCAGCTCATGAGAGGCCGGGGGTGACCCTGACCCCATTTTCCGATCAGCGATAGCACAGCACATGTGGGGACCAATGAGAAATGAGTCTGGGGAGACCACGGGCTTCAGGGAGAATGTTTCGATGAGGCAAGTACAAGAGCCAGTGAGGGACTGGGTGACTTCTGTGGCCTGTGTCACAGAGCTGGGGCCATCAGATGCCCCATGTCCACTCTGAGGACAGAGTAGCCCATGGTTAGGATGACCCACCAGCCAGGCCTGGCCAGGGCACCCACAGGAGACAGGAAGGCTGTGAGGGCCCGGGGGCACGGAGCAGCTCTGAAAGGAAGGGGTGCTGGGTCCCGGGGCTCCTGGGCAGAGTGGTTGAAGAAGGTGAGACCCCAGACCAGCCAGATGGGCCCACTTCTCAGGGGACCCTGGTCAGACAAGGGAGCACCTCCTGCTCATGGAACACAGCAAGGGGCAAGGTAGGCACAGCCAGGCTCGGAGAACTCGTATTTGGGGGAGATGTAAATCAACCCAATAGACAAGGGAGCGATGTGGTGTAGGAGATGGGGTTTGTGCTGGGGAGAAATAAGGCAGAGAGTGGGGAGTAGAGAGCACCTGTCTGGGGTCTCAGGAGGAGCGATGTCCCAAGACTGGAGGCGGCCAGGGGCTGAGGAGCCCTGACTGGGCCAGGCCTGTGGCTGGAGCTGGAGGCTCGGGTTCAGCCTCAGTTTCCCCTCTGTGAAGCTAGGTTCATAATAATGGAAATTGACTTTCTGGGTGGCTGGAGAGACATTCAGATGGAAAATGGATATTCTATTTTGTCTCTGTCCTTGGTTGTTGTCATCTCAGGCTGTTCCAGCCCCAGTTAGCCTCGGGTCAGCCCCCTGCCCATGTTGGTCTCCCCATGAGCTCAGGCACCTCATCCCCAGCACAGCTGGCCTGGAGAAACCAAGATTCCCTGAGGCTTAAAATAGCTGGAAAGCCAGCCCAGCTGCAGGTGCCTCCCTGTAGGATAAAATGTAGGAGAAGATCTTCAGGAGCTAGGACTAGGCAAAATTTTCTTAGACTTGACACCAAAAACATAGTCTACAAAAGGAAAAATTGCTAAGCTAAGTTTCATCAAAATTTAAAAATTTGTTCTGCAAAACACCTTGTTAAAAAGATGACAAGTTACAGACTAGGAGAAAATATTTTCAAACAACATATATGAACAAAGCACTGTTATCTTGAGTATATAAGGAACTTGCAAACTCCACACAAAAAATCAAACAATCCAATTAGAAGATGGGCAAAAGACACGAGCAGACATTTCACCAGAGATGATACACAATGGACAAATAAGCCCATGAAAAGATCTTCAACTTCACTAGCCATTTGGGAAATGCAAATTAAAACCACAATGAAATATAATTTACACACATCAGAGTGGCTAAAATAAAAAATAGTGACAAGACAAAACTCTGCTGAAGATATAAGTGTGAATCACTCATATATTGCTGGTGGGCATATAAAATACCACAGCCACTGCAAAAGTGTGGCAGTCTCTTTTTTCTCTTTAGAGACAGGGTCTCCCTATATTGCCCAGGCTGGACTCAAATTCCTGGGCTAAAGTGATCCTCTCGCCTCAGCCTCCAGAGTAGCTGGGACTAAAGGCACATGCTACTGTTGATGTTTGGCAGTTTCTTATACGACTGAACATGGAACTACCGTATGACCTAGCAATTACATTCTGACTCATCTATCCCAGAGAAATGACAACCTGTGCTCATACAAACAACCGTACGTGAATGTTCATTACAGCTTTAATAGCAATAGCCAAAAATCTAGAAATAACTCAGCCATCCATCAGCAGGTGAACAGTTAAACTGTGCTACATCCATCTTATGGAATAGCACTCAGCCATCCAAAGGAATCAACTCTTGATACACTCAACCAGCTCAACCCTCCCCAGAACGCACCTGGGTGGGAAGGTGCACAGCAGATTGGGCCACTAGATTTACCCAGTGTGGAGGAAACAGGTACCTCCTCCTAGATTTTGTTCTTGGCAGAGATAAACCAGTGCTTCTCAGTCATTTTTGCTTTTTACTAGCCATGGGAGGTATTTTCCAGTAAAGGCTTCTATGACCAAATGCATTTGAAGGAATGTTCCATATGCTCTCCCACACGCCTTCAATTTCCTGAGAGTGACAAGAATACCAGAATAGCCAAGGTTCTAAGATATCCTTCAGGATACCTGTTTAACTTAAACTTCCCCAAACTATTTGATTATGAGACTCTTTTCAAGCATAAACATTTTCCTTCCAGGAACATTTGTATTCTTATAAGAAAATATTAGAAAGCATTCCAGGTGACTTACCTAATGGGAGAACCTCAGGCGCCAAGCCAGATGAGATAAAAGTTTCAAATAGTGCTGATAAGGTTTTCTTGGTTCAGCTGCCTCCCTCCAACTCAGCTGCTGTCACACTTCTAGGCAGTTTTGACTGGACTGTAAATTCCTTCTGGCTGGGGCCATGTCTCAGCACCTTGTGCAGGAGTGATACAAACTAATGCTTCATAATAAATACTTACTCACTGACTTTCTCTTTATTCATCCCAGGTGAGCATGTTTTCCATCCCCTTCAATCTCCACACTCACGGGCAAAAGTGAGTTGTGGGTCTTGGAACTCTCAAGAAGAGGAGGAGATCTTCAATTTGCATATGCAGAATCCAAACAAGTCATCTTGAGTCCCCACAAGTAGGTGGGCTTATTTCTCACATAACAAAATCGCCCCTCCTTTGCAGCCTCTACACCACTGCAGATCAAGCCCAGCTAAACCTTGCTGTGCTATCCTGAAGGTATTGCTCCCAGATCCCGGCTGTCAGCTCCTGTCCAGCATCACAGGGCAAGTCCAGAGACATGATCATGTAATTGACCAGGGATGACAAGTGGGTCCTCTCAGTGGACAGGTGTCTGCAGTAGGTAAGCCCTGTCAGGAGAGGAAAGAAAAGCATCATCATCTACCACCTGATACCCTTTGCCCTGTCTTATGGAGTCCCCAAAGTGCTGTCCCACACTCCCATCTTTATTTTTTTATTTTTCTGAGACGGTCTCGCTGTCACCCAGGCTGGAGTGCAGTGGCGTGATCATGGCTCACTTCAGCCTAAGCCTCCCGTGCTCGAGCAATCCTCCCATCTCAGCCTCCTGAGTAGCTGGGACTACAGGCATGTGCCATCATGCTCAGCTACTTTTTAACCCCTCCTTTTCTTCACAAGGAAGGCAAGGCTTGATGTCACTTGCTGGCTGAATGGCTTAATAGCTCTACAACCCTAGGGAAGTCTTATCACCTTGCTCAGCCACAGTCAGGGTGATGCCATCCTCCTCTGCTGGAAGCCAAAACATTTAATTGATAGGCTGGAGGCAGAGAAGGGACAGGAAAGAAGGTGGCCAATGACTCTGTGGCCTTGCTGTGCCTTTGTCTGCCTCCAATCCATACACAGAGAAAGACACTGTGAGATGTGGACAACTTTCTTTCAAATATCAGCTGAATACAGGTATTCATCCAAAAGAAAGGAAATCAGTACATCAAACAGTTATCTGCATGCCCATGTTTACTGCAGCACCATTAACGATAGTACAAAATCAACCTATGTGTGGAGGAATAGTACAGAATCAACCTAAGTGTCCATCAATGAATTGACAGTTAAAGGAAATGTGGTATATGTATGCAATGGAATATTACTCAGCCATGAAAAAGGATGAAATCCTGTCACGTGCAGTAACATGAATGGAACTGAAAATCATTATGTTAAGTAAAAAAAGTGAGGCACAGAAAGACAAATATCACATGTTCTCAGTCATACATGGAAGCTAAAAAAGTATTTCTCATGAATGCGGAGAGTAGACTGGTGGTTACCAGTGGCTGGGAAGGGAAGAGTAGGAGGGGAATGAAGAGAAGTTGGTTAATGGTACAAAAATCCAGTTAGATGGAATTAAGTTCTTGTATATTATAGTAGGAAAAATATAATTAACAGTAATTTATTGTATATCTCAAAATAGCTAGAAGAACTGTAAAGTTCCCAACATGAAGAAAACATAAATGTTTGAGGTGATGGATGTTCCAATCACCTCAAACGTGATAGATCAATACGCAGTGGATCTATCAAAATACTACATGCACCCCCAAAATATGTACAACTACAGTATATCTATTACAAATTTTTTTAAAAAGAGGGCCGGCCGGGCACAGTGGCTCACGCCTGTAATCCCAGTGCTTTAAGAGGCTGAGGTGGGTGGATTGCTTGAACCCAGGAGTTCTGGACTAGCCTGGGCAACACAGTGAAACCCAGACTCTACAAAAAATAAGCAAACTTAGCTGGGTGTGGTGGCGTGTGCCTGCAGTCTCAGCTACTTGGGAGGCTAAGGTGGGAGGATTGCTTAAGCCTAGGAGGTCAAGGCTGCAGTGAGCCAAGATCTTGTCTCTAAAAAATAAAATCGGCTGGGCGTGGTGGCTCACGCCTGTAATCCCAGCACTTTGGGAGGCCGAGGCCGGTGGATTGCCTGAGGTCAGCCATCCTGGCCAACATGGTGAAACCCCGTCTCTACCAAAAACACAAAAATTAGCCGGGCATGGTGGCACACCCCTGTAATCCCAGCTACTTGGGAGGCTGAGGCAGGAGAATTGCTTGAGCCTGGGAGGCAGAGGTTGCAGTGAGCCGAGATCGCGCCACTGCACTCCAGCCTGATTGACAGAATGAAACTCTGTCTCAAAATAAATAAATAAATAAATAAAACAAAATCAGATAAAAATAAAACAAAATTGCAGCTGGATTAAAAAGGCCCCAGTAAGTCAGGAACCAGGGAGAGAGATACTGAGGGGGCAGCTTGCTTTCAATGATGGTCCTGCCTCAAAAGCACACCTACCAATGTGCCACCCCTTATCTGTCACACCCTGTCACCTGGAGGGTGTTAGGCAAAGTGCCTCAGCAAACGCCAGCCCGTGCTGTTTGCTCTGGCTGTGCCCTTTCCTTCTGGCGTTCCCCAGCCATTTCATCCTCAATTCCCAGTGAGAACCCTGGACATTTTGCAGCCTGGGGACTAAATTCTAACAGGAGGGTCAATCATAGCAATGATGATGATGATGATGACCACGATGATCTAATAGCTAATACTTACACAGTACACACTATGTGCCAGGGAGCTGTTAGCAGAGTTTGCATAACTCAGTCTCGCCACAACCCAAGAAAGCAGGCGCTACTGTTATTTCCATCTTATGGATGGGGTAAGTTGAGGCCCAGACTGGTTATGTCACTTGCACAAGTTACATAACTGGAATCTGAAACCAGATCACCTGGCTCCAAAACCTGGGCTCTCAACCACCATCAGCCATGAGCCACATCATCTGATGACATTATTCCAGACCCGTATCAACCCCCAACCCTTCCTGCAGGAAGATATTTCATTTGGGTCCAAAAATACTTGCCCAATGCCTGCTCCACGCCAGCCCCTGCATTAGGCAAAAACGTGGATTGTAACGGAACAGGCAAAACCTTTGTCCTAGTAGAGTCACGCTCTCCCCGCCTCTGCAGCACTCAGGTGAGCTGCACTGTGGTTTCACAGGCCCATGCAGGTGTGTGTATAGCTGCAGGTTTTATTTCCCTAGCCTCACAGCCTCAAGAGGAGAGATAAAATGTGTATATTCAGGGATGGAAAACACACACACATTTTCTCTCTCCCATCAAGGCTGTGAGGCTACGGAAATAAAACCTGCTAAGAATAAATATACGGAGAAGAAAAAACAAAGCCTTGGAGTCAGGCCAGAGTCTGAGTCCCAGCTCTGCTGCTTGGTAGCTGTGTGACCTTGGGCAAGTCACTTTGTCTCTCTGTGCCTTAGTTTCCTCATCTGTTAAGTGGGAACAATCAGAATACAGATACTAGGAATTTAATTTTTAAGTTTTGGGGGAGGCATAACGTCACTTTACTCTTCTGCTTCTGCCCATGACAGAAGGAAACTGACATTTACTGAGCACCTACAGTATGCAAGACTAGCTGCCAGGGGCTTTCTACATGCTCCTCACTTAATCCTGAAAACAAACCCTCCACTGTGGCACCTGGGGGTACAATGGTGATTTAATGAAACCTCTGTCCCCAGGGGTCCCCATTGTTCACTGCCCTCTCTTAGGACTCAGGCATAAAATTTATCCCCAATCTGTAGATGATGAAACTGAGGCTCAGAACGGTTCATGTAAATTCACTGAAACCAGGCATTCAGGTAATAGAGGAGGAGAGGTTCAAGCTCCAAAGCCAGTATCTCCTGGTATCGCTGACATAGAGTAGGCACTGATAACTGCCCCTCGGAGACTACACGGCAACAAAGACCTATGTACATCCATAGAAGGCTCTGCAGAGGATCTGGTACTTCATATTGTCACAAGAGAAGTTTCTGGGGAGCCCTGCAGGCAGAGAAGGAGGGAGATGCTTAGAATAGATTCAAACACAGCCCAGGTTTTTTGGAGAGGAGCACAACTTGTTATCTCTAGAGGGTAACTGAAATCAGCCAGTCATGAGGAGTGCAGGGAGGGTGCTATTACCTCCACCTTTACAACATCACCTCTTCCACTACCAGTGACCCAGTTTGCCCTTGAGAAATCACTCCGTCCACAACTTTCTGTCTCCGGTTTCTAAAGGGATGACTCTACCCATTTATAGGACCAAAGCTGGAGTCATAGTAATGGAAGCGGAGATTGTCATATGACCCAACCTGAGCCAATGAGAATTAGGCTTGGGACTTTCATTGTAACTACCAGGAAAAAGTCTTTTTCTGCTTCAGTTTCTAAACCAGTGGGATACAGGACAGTAGCTCCTAGGAGCTATCTTTGCCACAACATAAAAAGGGCCTGCCTGTGGATGGAACCATCACAGAGGGAAGCAGAGCCAAGAGCTGAAGAAACAGAGATTCCCGTCTCGAGCATCTGAGCCTGAAGCCACTATGACTCTAAGCTTCTGTTATGCCAACAATTTTTTTTACCTGAACCAGTCTGAAGTGGGTTTCTATCACTTGCAGAAAGAGTTCTGATTTCTTTTTTTTTTTTTTTTTACACAGAGCCTCGCTCTGTCGCCCAGGCTGAAGGGCAGTGGCGCGATCTCGGCTCACTGCAAGCTCCACCTCCCAGGTTCACGCCATTCTCCTGCCTCAGCCTCCCGAGTAGCTGGGACTACAGGTGCCCGCCACCACGCCTGGCTAATGTTTTGTATTTTTAGTAGAGACGGGGTTTCACCGTGTTAGCCAGGATGGTCTCGATCTCTGACCTTATGATCTGCCTGCCTCGGCCTCCCAAAGTGCTGGGATTACAGGCATGAGCCACTGCACCCGGCCGAAAGAGTTCTGATTTCTAAAGTGACCCAGCTGAACCAAGAGCCAAACTGGGATTCAGTATCTGGCTGTTTGCTAAGTAGGTGATGCCTCAAGGATTCTCCCTGCATGGGAATTTGTGGCAACTTTTTTGGCTGAAAGAGGCAAGAGGAGTAAGGTACCAGCATTGCTGGATAAATCCAGGACTGCTGAAGGGAGTGTTGTACGCTCTTGCAATGAACAGAATGGAAGAATATCGGCATATTTATTCTCAGCACATCCCAAAGGACATCCAGAAAAATCCAGGGAGACTGGGGTGGGGGAAACATAGCCGAAGTCCTCTAGTTAGACATGTGAACTCCAAATATGAGAGACAGGTCTCAGTTAATTTAGAAAGTTTATTTTGCCAAGGTTGAGGATGTGCGCCCACGGTACCGCCTCAGGAGGCTCTGACGACATGTGCCCACGGTGGTCAGAGCAGTTTGGTTTTATACATTTTAGGGAGATATGAGACACCAATCACCGATCAATGTATGTAAGATGAGCATTGGTACTGTTCAGAAAGGCAAGACAACTTGAAGTGGGGAGGAGGCTTCCAGGTCATAGGTAGATAAGAGACAAACAGTTGCATTCTTTTGAGTTTCTGATGAGCGTCTCCAAAGGGGGCAATCAGATATGCATTTATCTCAGTGAGCAGAGGGGAGACTTTCAATAGAATGGGAGGCAGGTTTGCCTTAAGCTGTTCCCAGCTTGACTTTTCCCTTTAGCTTAGTGGTTTGGGGCCCTGAGATTTACTTTCCTTTTACAGGCACATGGAGGCATTGAATACTGAAGTGTCCCACTTTGTGCCCTCAGGTTGGTGAGGCTTACAGTTGCTCAGGTTACATGAGAATAGGGTCACATAAACAGCTGTCCCACTGTGGGCTTGGTTTTCTGCAAGGTACTGAGTTCCCCATTATGCCAGGTGTGTAAGCAGACGCTGTAACAGGAGAGAGGGCAGTAAGTTATGGCAGCATTTTTTTTCTTTTTTCTTTTCTTTCTTTTTTTTCTTTTTGAGATGGAGTTTTGCTGTTGTTGCCCAGGCTGAAGTGCAATGGCGTGACCTTGGCTCACCACAACCTCCGCCTCCCAGGTTCAAGCGATTCTCCTGCCTCAGCCTCCCGAGTAGCTGGTATTACAGGCATGCGCCACCACACCCAGCTAATTTTGTAGGTTACAGCAGCATTTCTCACTGGTCCATGGACCATCAGCCTAACAGTTACTTGCAGTTGCTCCAACATGTGTATTCCTGGGCCCTGCACAGACTTAATCAGAACTTCTATGAAGTAGTCTAGGAGCTGGCATGTTTTGCTACCTAGCCCAGGGGATTCTGATGCACAATAAGAGAATATCCGGTAACATTAGCACTTCTCAATCTTAAAAGTACACACATGGTCTTGGGACTACGTTAAACACAAATTCTGATTCAGAAGGTTTGGTATAAGAGACTGACCATCTGCCCGGTGCTGATGCTGGTTCACAGGCCACAGTCTGAGGAGCCAGGAGCTTAGATGATGACTTCAACAATGTAATGCCAGCCCTCACACCGTACACTCCTATGGCTGAAGACTGGACCACACACTGGTACAGAAGACCAGCAAGGACAATAGGGTTCCATTCTACCAGGCAAGGCCAGGAGGAAACAAAACCAGTCTCATGAACTGGCTGAATAGTTCCAAAGAGACAAAAGCTCTATGGGCAAAGAGAGAGATGCGCCTGAGATTTAAGTTTACATGATAAAATGGTAACTGTTATTTACTGAACAGTACTGTGTGCAGGTGGCATATTCTGGCCACTTTAAACCATTATCTGAGCTGGCATTTACCATAGCCATATAAAGTAAGCACCAGAATCTCCACTGTGTGGAGGAGCAAACTGAGATGAATGTGGTTGACATTAAATAATATTTGAGATTATTCTGCCTTCTAGGCTCATGGTAGGGCTGCACTTCCTGGCTCCTTGTGGATGGGGCCAATGAGCTGTGGGTGGGTATGACATGCTAATTTTGGGTGGGGCCCTTTTATTGTGGGTTCAAGCCCCTCCAATGCTACCTTTCCCTGTCACTGTGACTGGCAACATTCAAATGATGGCTGCTCCAACAGCTGGACCCTTTGGTGTGGAAAAAACAGAGCCTCACCATTTGACCTATGAGAGACACACAGCATGCATGATAAATAAAATTTGTTGTAAAAAGCTGAGTTTTAGGACTGTTTGTTACTGCACCATATAACCTTGTATAGCCTGACTAATACACATAAGTTTCAACAGCTAGAATTTCACAAGGCCAGGATTTAACCTAGATCTGGTTGACTCCATAGTCTATGTTCACTCAATTCAATGTAGGGAAAGATACTGGCATCCACAAATCTCAGCCGAACCACTCTGTCAACAGAATGAGAAGGACGATTTCCAGGAGCTGGGCTGACATAGGAATGAGAGGTTACTCATGGAGACATCCATCAGATCCTGGGGGACTGTGGTGAGTAGAACAAGAGCCCTGGTCAAGCCTATGTGGGTCACAGAAACCTCATCCCAGAGCAAGCAGCTCATCCCCAGGCCAGCACAGGGATAGGGAAAGACCCTGGAGGTGACAGCAGAAAACAGCAGCCCCAATTATAGTCTGACCCAGGCTATTGAGCCCACCTGACCCAATGAAAGCCACCACCAAAATCTGGGGGCTCCAACAGATAGGCAGAACTGATGACAACTGAAGAGAGAGGAAGAGAACAGAGAGAGACAACAGCCAAGAAAACAGGCCCTATCCCAGAGCAGGCCAAGCCTCACCATGTTGTCACTTAGTCATGCTCAAAGGATGCTACAGGAAGGAAGGGGCACCTGCTGGGTGCTTCTGTAGAAGAGGCAGGCCTCATGGGGTACGATGAAAGGGAGCCTGACTCAACAGATGAGGCAGGGCACCCATGGGCAAGAGACCCAGTGGAGCCGCTGCTAATGAAAGAAAAGGGTACTTGCACTATCCATGGTTCTGAGGCTAAAGCTGCTCCACCAAGTGGGTCTCAAACATATTAGTGACAATAGCTGTCGCTTTGTACTGAGTGCAGGTACCATCATTATACCCTTTTCCAGATTAGGAAGCTGAGACATGGAGAGTTTAAACAACACGCCCAAGGCCACCCAACTAACAAGTGGTGGAGCCAAGATCCCAGCCCAGGGGATTTGACTCTTCTTCTGAGACTGAGTCTTGCTCCGTTGTCCAGGCTGGAATGCAGTGGTGCAATCATGGCTCACTGCAGCCTTGACCTCCCAGGATCAAGCAATCCTCCCTCCCCAGTCTCCTGAGTAGCTGGGACTACAAGTGTGCATCACCACACCCAGCTATTTTTTCTGTATTTTTTTGTAAAGACAGGGTTTCACTGTGTTGCCCAAGCTGGTCTCAAACTCTTGGGCTGAAGTGATCCTCCTGCTTTGACCTCACAAAGCACTGGGATTACAGCGTGAGCCACTGAGCCTGGCTCAGGGATGCGACTCTGATCTTACTCTTCCTCCCTCAGCTGTGTTCCCATAGGCTCTTGTGGCTACACAACATCTGCTCTGTCCTCAAGTGGGGTGATTCTGTCGATGTCTGGAGAGACTTTGGTTTGCCATGCCTTGTGGATTAACTAGGTGCTACTGGTGTCTAGTAGGTGGAGGTCAGGGAGGCTTCTAAACACTCTATAATACACCAGACAGCCCTCAACACAAGGAATGATTTGGCCTCAAATGTCAACAGTGCTGAGGCTGAGAAAACCAATGTTAGACCAGCACTATCCAACAGAAATACAATCAAGTGGTCAAGGCCCGGTAGCTCACATCTGTAATCCCAGAACTTTGGGACGCCAAGGCAGGGGGATTGCTTGAGCCCAGGAGTTTGAGTTTAGCCTGAGTAACACAACAAGACCTTCTACAAGAAATCAAAAAATTAGCTGGGCATGGTTACACATGCTGTGGTCCCAAGTACCCAGGATGCTGAGGTGGGAGGATCGATTGAGCCCAGGAGGTCAAGGCTGCAGTGAGCCATGATCTCACCACTGCACTCCAGCCTGGGCACCGAGGCCACACTACCCATAGGCTGCTCCCAGCCAGAAGCGAGCATGCTAGGTACTAGTGCCACCTGTTCCTGCAGGCAAGAGAGTCCTCTAATAGTCAACAGTCCACCAGAGACTCCCAACTGATCTGGCCAAATGTTCCTAGAGCTGTGTGTTGTGTCTCAGACTCCTCCTGCCCAACCTTCTTCCTTCACCCTCTCCCCTTCATCAGCTGGCTTACTGTTCACTTCAAGGTCAAGACATTGGCTGTCTGATGCAGGGACATCCCTGGCACGGCCTCCATGGTCATCTAGCAAGGGGAGGGTGGAGCAAAGGCTTGGTCCCATAGCATATATTCACCCATCTCCTTGTCCATTTGTTGTCTTCCAGCAGAATGTAAGCTCTGAGAAGGTAAGCAGTTTCCTCTCCTTTCCTACAACTGCTGTCTTCCTTGTATCTAGCACAGTGGCTGGCACAGGCTAGGTGCTCAGTAAATATCTGGTGAATGAACCCAGGTCCCCTGAATTCTCTGCTTCATTTCACAAAGCTGATCTGAGCACCTATTAGGTCTACAAGCTGTGGCAGGTATTGGGGATAAGATCTGAGCAAGACAGGACCCTTGCCTTCAAGGCACTGAGTTCTCAAAGGCAAGATGGTAGCTATACAGCTAGGCACAGAATTGTGTGACTACAGACTATGGCCACAGAGCTCCTCCTTGCTGACAGCTGGTGGGAGCTGGTGTTGGCTTTGTTTACTGAGCATCCCTACAAAGGGATTTGGGGCTTATGTAATCTGAACTCAACCAGAAGGTCAGAGAAGGCTTCAGACCAAAGTTTAAGATAAAGAGGCTGAGGCAAGGCTCCAGTCCCAGAGCATCCCCAGGAGGCCTACCCTGTTCTTCCATGAATGTCTCTTGATTAGAAACTCTAGAGTCTAGGAGGTCAAGGTGGGAGGAACACTTGAAGCCAGGAGTTCAAGACCAGCCTGGACAACAAAGCAAGACCTCATCTCTATAAAAAATAAAAATTAAAAATAACTAAAAATAAAATGAGAGACAGAGAGAGAGAGAGAGAGAGAGAGAGAGGACAGACCAGCCTAGGCAACATGGTGAAACCCTGTCTCTACAAAACATACAAAAATTAGCTGGGTGTGGTGGTGTGCACCTGTGGTCCCAGCTACTCGGGAGGCTGAGGTGGGAGAGTCACTTGAGCCTGTGAGGCAGAGGTTGCAGTGAGCAGGGATCGTACCACTGCACTCCAAGTCTAGGTGACAGAGCAAGACCCTGTCTCAAAAGAGAGAGAGAGAGATTGTGAGAAACAGCAGAGTCTGACTGGAGCTGAATTATTGAGCTCAGCCTGGGACCAACTGTCCCACCCACTGACCAGCACTGAGGACAGAGGGTAAACCCTGCAAAGGAACATTTTTCATCACTCCAAGACCTGATGTTAACCACACTGAGGCTTCACATTACACAGAACACAATGACAATGTTCTGGTTATGTTTCTTGAAAAGAGTTTTTTTTTTTTTAGAGATACACATTAAAATATTTACAGATGAAATCATATAATGTCTGCACGTTGCTTCAGAATAATATTACAGGGGAGAAGGGATAGGCTGATTCAGGCCATTAGGGCCTGGTGAAGGTACCCGAGTTCTGTCTATCTTTAGGTTAAAACTTTTTCATCATAAAAGGTTTCCTGAAAAAAGCAAGAAAATGTAAAAATATATATATATAGATTACATGTGGACTTGGAGCAGCCAACACCATTGCTTCCTGTCCCCACCAGCAGCCAAGACTCCTCAAGCTGAAATACTGGGGTCGGCCACACCTTTGCACCACAGCTTCCTTTGTTCTTCCTGAAGTCTTTCCTAATTGTGCTGGAATGCAGGCATTGCAGCAGGGAATCCCCTGTTCCAAAGCCTTTGCTGGATTTTTTTTTTTTTGAGGCGGAGTCTCGCTTTGTCGCCCAGGCTGGAGTGCAGTGGCGCCATCTCGGCTCACTGCGAGCTCCGCCTCCTGGGTTCTCGCCATTCTCCTGCCTCAGCCTCCTGAGTAGCTGGGACTACAGGCGCCCGCCACCACGCCCGGCTAATTTTTTTGTATTTTTAGTAGAGACGGGGTTTTACCGTGTTAGCCAGGATGGTCTCAATCTCCTGACCTCGTGATCCGCCCACCTTGGCCTCCCAAAGTGCTGGGATTACAGGCGTGAGCCACCGTGCCCGGCCACTGGATCTTATAAATCACAGGATTTCAGAGGAGATGCGGCCCTGGATCAGATACTAACATCTTATGTCTTCCCTTGAGTGCTGGGAAAGGGGAGGTTGGAGACTGGGAAACATTTTGCCATTTGCAGTCTTAGGAGATCTTTGTAAAGATTTCTCCCTCTGGCTGGTTTTGACCAGGATATTGCCAAATTCCACGTCTTGGTTTCTGGATCCTCCCGAGCCTTTGAGTTTCCCGTGAGGCCACAGCTGTAGGGAGGCTGAGCCAAGTGGCCATAACAACCAGGCAGAGTAGCAGGAAGAAGCAGGGGCAGGGTACAAGCCTCCCCCTCAGGAGGGGAACTTCCCTGTGCCAAGGGGAATGAAGGGACCCAGGAGATGCACAGCAGACCCAGTGCCCTACCTCTTTTTATAGTCCAGGTCCCCCACAGACCCCTTTATCAGCTGGCTTACTGTTCACTCCAAGGTCACGACAGTGGCTGTCTGATGCAGGGACAGAAATCCCTGGCACAGCCTCCATGTTGTCCCTCTGCAGAGACAGGAGGACTCAGGCCTGGCCATGATGCTGGAGTCACCGTGGATATAGGCCCTGGCCCATTTGACTCAAGAACACATACATAACTGGAACCAAGAGGCTGGCGAATCCTCTCAAGACCCTGGCCACTTGGAAGACCCTAAGCCTCCTTGCAGGTGGCCATACTAAGCAAAGTCACTTGCAGCCACCCTTCCACGATGCGTTCTACATCACCCAGCTGTGAAAACCACCCACCCCCATCCCCATCCCCTTCACACTCATGCCTTCCTCCTGAGCTCAAGGGGCCCTGGCCCAAGGTTCCTTTAGAACCAGGAAGGAGGTTTTGTCCCTCTGAAAATCATCCTTTTCAAACAGAAGGCATTTATCTTGGCCAGGCTTAAAAGACAAAAAGATGATAGCTGAGCTCTAGGGCCCATCCCACAGACAATATCCAGAAACCTTCTCCCCACAATTCCCACACCAGCCTCCCAGCAGCTGGATCTTTTCTCCACGGGATTTGCCTACAAGACTTCTCTCCGGCTTTATCTCAGGCGGGTTTGTCAGGGGAGCAATGTCACCATCCCTCCACCAAATTCACCTCAACAACATTTACTGAGCACCAAGTGTGTCCCCACCGTGGCTCAGCCTTCCCACGCACTGTCCTGATTTAACCCCACGTGCTTATAACCCAAGGGAGAATCACTGCGATATTTTATCAATGTAAAGACACACATCTTAATTGTTCATATTTTCATGCACCTGAAATTTGGGTAGGTCTTCTAATTACAACTGTGACATGGCTGTCCCGCCTGGTCCCATACAGACTCAGTCACAGCAGTTCATAGCATTGTCACTTTAATTAAGTTTTGGGCATGGTTGTTACTTCAAATGTGGAGTGTAGGTGCTATTTTAAATGTCTTCAAAAAGATTCAACTGTGATTCAGCTTTGAATTGAAAAGCTATTGTGCACACAGGAAGCCTGGGAACAGAGCAGCAGAATGCCTGTGCGATGCTGGCGAGGCAGACACATATTCATCCCTGCAGACAGGCCCACAAGTCCAGATTTTCTTGCAAAGCACCAACCAAATACTTAAAAACTTAAAATGGGACTTAAAAACCATCCCAGGCTGGGCACAGTGGCTCACAACTGTAATTCCACAGCTTTGGGAGGCCTTCAGGATTACTGAAGCCCAGGAGTTGGAGACCAGCCTGGACAACATGGTGAGACCCCCATCTCTACAAAAAAAAAAAAAAAAAAGAAAAAAAAGAAAAAACTTAAAAATTACCTGGACATGGTTGTATGTGTCTGTAGTCCCAGCTACTCAGGAGGCTGCGGTGGGAGGATCGTTTGAGCCTGGGAGTTCCAGGCTGCAGAAAGCTACGATTGTGCCATTGCATTCCAGCCTGAGCACCAATGAGATCCCATCTCAAAAACAAAACAAAACATCCCCGGGATGAGTGGACACACTTGCAAGAAATGCCTCACTTCCTGTGCTTCTCGATTAGGGGCCACCAAATGTTTCATGCAAAGGGTGATAGGGAATATTTTTGGTTTGTAAGCTACACAGGCTCAGCTGCAACCACTCAACTCTGCCATCAGGGCCTGAAAGCAGTCATAGGGTTGTAACTATGCTCCAACAAAACTTTTTTTTTTTTTTTTTTTTGAGACGGAGTCTCGCTTTGTCACCCAGGCTAGAGTGCAGTGGTGCGATCTCGGCTCACTGCAACCTCCGCCTCCTAGGTTCATGCCATTCTCCTGCCTCAGCCTCCCAAGTAGCTGAGACTACAGGTGCCCACCACCGCACCAGGTTAATTTTTAAAATATTTTTGGTAGAGACGGGGTTTCACTGTGTTAGCTAGGCTGGTCTTGATCTCCTGACCTCGTGATCTGCCGGCCTCAGCCTCCCAAAGTGCTGGGATTACAGGCATGAGCCTCCGCGCCCAGCCCCAACAAAACTTTATTTGCAAAAACAAGTGGAGGACCACATTTGGTTCATGGGTGGTAGTTTGCTGTCCCTTTCTCTTGATAGAACAGAAAACAATGTGGAAAAATGAGGGCACTGATGATTTTAAGTCAAAAGTGATACAGAAGATGAACTTTGAACTAAAAAAAAAGTTTTAAGAATATCTTACTTCAATGATATTTTATCTGTGTGTACTTACAAAAGTGATGTGTGATTAAAAAACCAAACAAGGGGACTGCCATCAGCAACAGCCCCAAAGCCCACTGGGCTCCTTGGTGGGTTGTGAGTTCAGCAGCCTCAGCAGGGTGCATCAGTCGAGCACAGCTAGGACTCCCCACAACATGCGTGTCCCAGGCTGGCACTGAGACACAGCGCTGATGTTGCTGCCGGGGGCTGCTGATGGCACTGGTGCTGGTGCTGGGGTGGCTGCTATGGGTGAGGGGGCGTCAAGGAAGAGCACAGTAGTGTGTAGATGTGAACCAGGGTCCCCAGGTGGTCGCCTTTGAATGGGCCAATGTCCAAGACCTGTACATGATTGTGCTCTGCATCCTTGCAGCCAGCCTGGCCAAGACTGGTTCTACCTGTCCCACAAGGTCACCAGCATAGTCCCTGAGAGCACCCTGCTCATCATCCTGGGCCTGGTGCTGGGCAGCATCATCTGGGTGGCCAAACACATAACATCCTTCATGATGATGTCCCTCATCATGCTAGATGCCAGCTACTTCATCCCCAACTGGCTCTTCTTCGGCAACCTGGGCACCATCCTGCTGTACAAGGTCATCAGCACCATGTGGAATGCATCCACCACCATCCTGTCCCTCTATGACGTCTCTCTTAGTAGGCTCATGGGCTACCTGCAGATAGGGCTGCTGGACTTCCTCCTGTTCGGCAGCCTGATCACCACTGTGGACCCAGCAGCTGTCCTGGTTGTGTTTGAGGAGGTTCATGGCAATGAGGTCCTGTTCATCATCATCTTCAGGGAGTTGCTACTGAATGACTCTGTCATCATGGTTCTGTACAATGTGTTTCAATCTTTTGTGACACTGGGTGGTGACAACGTGACCAGCATGAACTCTGTGGAAGGTGTAGTCTCCTTCCTTGTGGTGAGCCTGGGGGGCATGCTGGTGGGAATGGTCTTTGCCTTTCTGTTGTCACTGGTGACCCACCTCACCAAGCATGTGCACATCATCGAGCCTGGTTTCATGTTGGTCATCTCCTACCTGTCCATTCTGATGTCTGAGAAGCTGTTGCTGTAGGCCATCCTGGCCATCATCTTCTGTGGCATCTGCTGCCATAAGTACATGAAGGCCAACATCTCAGAGCAGTTGGCCCCCACCATGTGCTACACCATGAAGATGCTGACCAGTGGCACCAATCCCATCTTCATGTCCCTGGGCACCTTAGCCATGAACCTGCTCATCTGGACGTGGAACAAGGCATTCATCCGCCTGCACTGGCCTTCATCTTCAGGTACTGAGGCCATCAGTGTCATCCACTCCTGGCTCCTGGACTGCTATTGGATGGTGTGGCTGGAAATCATAGGCCAGGTGGTCATGTCCTGTGGAGGCCTGCATGGGGCCATGGCTTTCATCCTGGTCATACTTCTGAATGGAAACAAGGTCAAGGAGAAGAACCTGTTTGTCAGCACCACCGTCAACATCTTCAAGGTCATCTTCTGGGGTCTGACCATCTAGTCCCTGGTGCAGTGGCTGAAGGTGAAGAGGAGTGAGCACTGGGAGCCTAAGTTCCATGAGAAGCTGCAATGCCACCCTCTCGACCACATCCTCTTGGCCATCAAGGACATATCGAGGCATATCAGGCACAATGATCTCAAAGACATGTGGTCCCACTTTGACAGGAATTTCCTCAGTGGAGTCCTCATGAGAAGGCTGGCCCAGAAGTCTCCAGAAGGGATCCTCAATGTCTTCCATGCACTGAACCTGAAGGATGCCATCAGCTAAGTGACCAAAGGAGAGTGCCTGAGATCCCTGGCCTTCATCGGCTCCCCAAGTACTGATAACGTGGTAAACGTGGACTTCACACCACGATCGTCCACCATGGTGGCCTCTGTCTCCTACCACCTGAGGGAGAACATCAGCACCGTCTGTCTAGACATTCAGTCCCTGGAGCAGCATGGCAGAGCATTCGGTACGGGGAGGACACGGTCATGCACCACATGCTGCAGCAATACCTGTGCAAGCTGGGGAAGGAGTATATGCATCGCTACAGCCACACCAGCTGAGGACAAGAAGCAGGACCGAGATATCTTCCACAGGTCTATGAGGAAGCACCTGGAATCCTTCAAGTAGACCAAGCTCAGGATCACCCAGAACAAGAAGGCGGCCAAGCTGTACAAGCCAAAGCGTGCCCAGAAACAGAGAACTCCCAAAGCTCTGTACCCGCTCCAGCACAGCTGCACTAATGCCAACCCAGGCCAGGGCCTGGGCCTGAGCGGCCATCCTACACTGCTGAACAAAATGAATTTGCAAAAGTGATACCCCAGGCAAGGCTCCAGGCCCCTCCCAGCCCAGCATCTCTCCCCAGCACGGTGGGGTGCATCCAGAGTGCCAGGACTCAGGGCCTGACCCTGGAGTGGCTGCAGGCCCAGCAAGTGGCCCAGGCTCAAGTGCTATTTTCAGGTCCTTAGCAGTTTGTTGAACTGCTGGGTCACCTCGTGCGCTGCAGGTAAAGTTGCAGGAATGTCTTCTGTTTGCTCAGCACTTGCGATTTAGACTCCTTGAACCAGCACCTGCCCCCTTTCCCTCCCAGTTACCATCCTGCCCTTGCCAGCTTTGGAGGTGGAAGCTCTGGGTGGCTGCCATGCAAATGCCTCTTCTGGATCTGGTATCGCAAGGGGGGATAGAGGGATGAGGCCTGAGGTGACCTTGAGGTCATTTAAATTTTCTAAATTAGACAAAACAATTAAAAAAAAACCATATTCCCATGCCTTTTAAAAATCAAAACCACGTACTGTTTCTTTTCAGTGTAAGCAGTTTTAATTACCTACCAGGTGCAGAGTCTAGGATACAAGACAGAACTGCAGATAAAGTCTCTTTCCAGCATAGCTAGGAGACATGGCTCACTCCACCTGTTCCCAGGCCTCACCTAGAAATCTAATGAATGGCTCCAAACCAGGTAAACTAGATAATTTTCCAAAGTCAAAGAAGCAGTTTATGACATTAAAGCACTTAGCCAATTTAACCTCTGACTTAATTTAGAACAAATGTCTAAATTTTAAAGACTTTTTTACCAATAATTTTAAAACTGTATTTCCCAAAGATTACTGAAGTCATGTGAAATAAAAGGCATGAGAGTGTCTATTCTTCTGACAACATATTTAAGAGGTTTCATTTTCTCTTAATCCAATTAATTAGAGTACCTTCATATAAGCATCACACACACAACACTTCTAGACAGGAGAAGATCTAGCAGTTGTAAGTTTTTCTTTCCCATCTTATGACTTTCTGACTTGTCCTATATTTTGCTCTTTCCTAGTCATTCTACTTTAGGACAAGAATTTGCCATACAAGATGCTCTCTCACATAAAATTTCTTTCCTTCATAACCTATCTTACATAAATATATCTTCATATCCACAACTTTTTCTTTTCTTCTTTTTTTTTTTTTTTTTTTTGGAGATGGGGTTTTGCTCTTGTTGCCCAGGCTGGAGTGCAATGGTGTGATCTGTGCTCACCACAACCTCTGCCTCCCGGGTTCAAGCAATTCTCCTGCCGCAGCCTCCCAAGTAGCTGGGATTACAGGCATGTGCCACAACACCTGGCTAATTTTCTATTTTTAGTAGAGACGGGGTTTCTCCATGTTGGACAGGCTGGTCTCGAACTCCTGACCTCAGGTGATCCGCCTGCCTCGGCCTCCCAAAGTGCTGGAATTACAGGCATGAGCCACCATGCCCAGTTTCCACAACTTTTTTTAGATCTCTCTCCCCTACTAATTTCTGATGCCCACCCAAATCAAAAAGGTCAGATAAAGCAAGGCAAAACAGAGTAGAGCCTTAGATTTTGAGAGGGACCTGTCTGCTTACACTTCTTGAAGTTCCATAAGGAAAACAGACGTTTCTCCTAAAATGGAGTCTATGGCACCTTCTGTTTTTCCTAAGGAGTCCCAGGTTGTCAGGAATTACCTTAGGTCCTCTCATATGAGCATCAAGAGTGGCAAGAAGACAGACTAGGGAAATAATTCAGTCAACTGAGAAGAAAAAGAAAACCTTAGTACTGTTCCCCTTGTAAAGATGGATAAATGGAGGCACCATGCATACTGTACGGAACCCGCCCAGGCAATGCAACCTGGGATAGCATGCCCAACGTGCCCCCGTGGAGAGCAGTGCAGACCCAGATACCACACCTACCCTGCTTCCTTTTCTACCACTCTGGCCATACTCCCACTGTGGGCTGCCCTCCTACCGCTCTCCCCGCTGCAGTCTCCATGGCCACCACCAACCTCAGCTAAGCGAAACACGTTGCCACACGCTCAAGCCTACCGCATCCAGCAGGCGTCTTACCCTTCTCCTTCTCTAAGCTGGGCACCGAACATCAGGGTATGCAGACACAGGAGAGCCCGGTAATGGCCTGATTCCTTGCCCCCTCAGCCGGCTTTATATAGGGAGGTTTTGCAACTGAGTGCCTGGACTACATATTCTGATTGGATGAGAGAAAACGTCTAGGCCTACTCTGATTGGACTTTATTGTCATGTTCTGATTGGTTGCCTTAAGAATTGCTCTCATCCAATCAGAACATGATAATAAAGTCCAATCAGAGTAGGCCTAGAGGTTTTTCTCCCATCCAATCAGAACATGTAGTTCAGGACCCAGTGGTGTAACTTCCCTATATAAAGTATGCTGAGGGGACGTCAGGCCATTGCAGATTCTTTAGTGTTTGCCTCCTCAGCGGCTCTTGCCCGGCTTAGAGGAGGAAGAGGCGAAAGGAAAGACACCTCCCTCACTCTGGCCTAAGGCACCACGGCTCACCTCACTGCTGTGGTTGGTGGTTGCTGCCACGGAGACTGAAGAGCCACCGGAGTAGTAGGAGGGTGGCCCACAGTGCAGGAGCTGCTCAGTGCCCGGCTTAAAGGAGGAAGAGAAGGGGAAGACCCCTGTCCCAAGCTGGAGGCTGGAGCTCTTGGCACCTCGGCTGGCCTCTCTGCGATTGGTGGCTGTAATGAAGACTGCAGCCCCGCCTGAGCATTAAGAAGGAGAAAATAGTTTTTGGGTAAATGGAGGGAGAAAAGAGAGTGGCAGGTGGAAGGAGTACAGAGAGAGTAGTAAAGGGGGGAAAACACGGGGGCGAGCAAGAGGGAGAGGAAGTTTTGCGAAAAGAGAGTGGGGAGAAAAGTTTTTGGGTAGATAGAAGGGGAAAAGAGGGTGGCAAGCAGGAGCCATAAAAGATGGTGGGGAAAAGAGTGGGGGAAAAGTTTTTGGGTAGATGGAGGGGGAAAAGAGGGTGACAAGCAGGAGGGGGGAAGGAGGGTTGGGAAAACGACGGAAAAATAGTTTTGGGGGGCAGATGGAGGGTGAAAAGAGGGTGGCGTGTGGGAGAGGGGCGGGAGTGGGGAAAAGAGGTTGTTGAGCAGGAGCGGGGAGAAGGCTTTGTGAAAAGATGGTGAGGGGGGAAAGACAAGAAAAAGGTTTTTGGGTAGATGGAGGGGGAAAAGAGGGTGGTGAGTAGGAGGGGGCAAGAGTGGTGAGCGAGGGAGACAAGGTTTTCCAAAAAGACCATGGAGGAAAATGTTTTTGGGTAGATGGAGGGGGAAAAGAGGGTGACAAGCGGGAGAAGGAAAAGGGGTGGTGAGAGGGAGGGAGAGAAGGTTCTGCGAAAAGAAGGAAGACAGAAAAGAAAGATGGTGCAGAAACAAAAAACGTGGGTAAAAAGCTTTTGGGCAGATGGAGGGGAAAAAGTGGCAAGTGGGAGGAGAAGAGAGGGTGGCGAGAGGGAGGTAGGGAAGAGGATTGGGAAAAAGATGATGGGGAAAATAGTTTTGGGGTAGATGGAGGGCAAAAAGAGGGTGGCAAGCAGGCTAGGGGAAAGAAGAGGGCGAGCGGGAAGGAGGAAGGGCTTTGTGAAAAGACAGTGGGGAAAAATTTGGGGGGTAGATGGAGGGGGGAAGAGGGTGGCGAGCCGAAGTGGGGAGAAGGCTTTATGAAAAGACAGTGGGGAAACGTTTTTGGATAGATGGAAAAGAGCGTAGCAAGGAGGGGAAAAAAGACGATGGGGAAACAGTTTTTGGGTAGATGGAGGGGGCAAAGAGGGTGGTGAGTAGCAGGAGTAGGAAAAAGGCTTTGGGAAAAGATGGAGGGAAATGTTTTTGGGATGATGGAGGAGCAAAAGGCTAATGAGAGCGGAAGGGGGAAAAAGAGGGTGGGTAAAAACTGTGGGGAAGTTTTTGGGTAGATGGGGAAAAGAGTGGTGAGTGGGAGAGTAGAGAAGGTGTTGTGAAAAGACGGTGGGGAAAAAATGATGGGGAAGAAGTTTTGGGGTAGATGGAGGAAGAAAAAGGATGGCGAGAGGGAGGGGTCCGAAGGCGGTCAGGAAAAGAAGGCAGGGAAATAATGATGGGGGAGAAAGCTTTTGGGTAGATCTTTTTCTGATTTTTAAATCAGATTATTTGCATTTTTGTTTTTGAGTAGTTCTTGTCTTCTTTATATATTTTGTGTATTAACCCCTCGCCTGATGCATAGTTTGCAAATACTTCCATTCTCTGGATTATTTCTTCATTCTATGGATTGCATCCTCTGCTTTGCAGAAGTTTTGAAGTTTAATGTAATTCCATTTGTCTATTTTTGCTTTTTCTGCTTGTGCTTTTGATGTCTATTTGAAAATTCCTTGTCCTAACCAATTTCCTAAAGTATTTTTCCTATGTTTTTTTCTCTAGTAGTTTCATAGTTTCAGATCCTATATTTAAATCTTTATTTTGAGTTGATTTTCTTACATGGTAAGATAACAGTCTAGATTTATTCTTCTACCTGTGGGTGTTGGGTTTTCCTAGCACAGTTTATTGAAGAGATTGTCCTTCCTGAATGTGTGTTCTTGGTGCCTTTGTTAAAATTGAGTTGACTGTAAATGTGTGAATTTATTTCTCAGTTCTCTATTCTGTTTCATTTGTCTATGTGTGTCTGTCTGTCATTTGTCTATGTCTGTCTCTCTGTCTCTCCCCGCCCCCCCCCCTTTTCTTGCCAGTACCATGCTGTTTTGGTTACTATAGATTTGTAGTATATTTTGAAATCAGTGTGATGCCTCCAGCTTTTTTCTTTTTATTCAACATTCTTTTGTTTATCTGAAGATATTTTGCATTTCCATGTGAATTTTAGGCTGGTTTTTTTTTGTATTTCTATGAAGAACATCTTTTGTAATTTAACATGGATTGCACTGACTCTGTAAGTCATATATTGGGTGACACAGATATTTTAACAATATTCTTTCTAGTGCATGGACATAGGATAGCTTTCTATTTACTTGCATTTGCTTTAATATCTTTCATCAATGTGTTTTATAGTTTTCATTGTGGGATCTTTTGCCTTTTTGGTTAAGTTTATCCCTAGGTATCTTTTTTTGGTGAGTACTGTTAATGAAATAGCTTTCCTGATTTTTCTTAGGTGTTTCACTATTGGCTCATTGGTGCGCTACTCATTTTTGTATATTGATATTGTGTCTTGCAATTATACTAAATTTATTATTTCTAGTAAAATTTTTAGTGGAATCTTTAGGGTTCTCTATTATATGATCATGTTACCTGAAGACAGAGAAAATTTGACTCCTTTTTTTCCAGTTTGGATGCCTTTTATTCATTTGTCTAATTGCATTCTCTTGCCTAATTGCTGTAGTGAGGACTTCCAGTACTATAATGAACAAAAGTGGTAAAAGTAGCCACGTTTGTTCCAGATTTTAGAGGAAGAGCTTTTAAATTTTCCCCATTGATTATGATGTTAGCAGTGGGTTTGTCATATATGGCCTTTATTGTGCTAAGTAATGTTTCTTTTGTATTCATTTTGTTGAGTTTTTATCATGAAAGAATGTTGAATTTTATTTTTTTCAGCATCTACTGAAACGATTACATGGTTTTTGTTGTTGATTTGCTGAATATGATGTATCACATTTATTTGTTTATTGAATCATCCTCATTTTCCTCAGATGAATCTTGCTTGATCATGGCAGATTATCTTTTTATTGTATTGTCAAATGCAATTTTCAAGTATTTTGTTGAGGATTTTTTTGCATCTGTGTTCATCAGGGATATTTGTCTGTGGTTTTCTTTTTGTGTTGTGTCCTGGTCTAGTTTTTGTACCAGGGTAATGCTCGCCTTATAGAACAAGTTTGAAAGTATTCCTCTTCATATTTTGGGGAATATTTTGAGTAAAATCGGTATTCGTTGTTTTAAAAATGTTTGGCAGAATTCAGCAATAAAACCATGATTCGTGTGTTTTTCTTCAATTGACAGGAGACTTTTTATTACTGCTTTAATTGCATTACTCATTATTCGTCTCTTCAGGTTTTTTATTTCTTTATCATTCTATCTTGGGAATTTGTTATATGTCCAGAAATTTATTCATTTCTCCTACATTTTTCAATTTGTATATAAGTGTTTTTAGTAATCTCTTAGAATACTTTGTATTTCTGTGTGATCAACTGTAATGTCTCCTTTTTCGTCTATCATTTTCAGTTTTTCTTAGTCTAGTTAAAGCTTGTCAATTTTGACTTTTTTCCAAAAACAAAAAAACCCCAGCTTTTGGTTCCGTTTGACTTTTTGTATTTTTTTTAGTTTCAATTTTTAATTTTTTTCTAATCTTTATTATTTTATTTCTACTAATTTGATTTTTCTTGTTTTTCTCATTACTTGGTGTATTGTCAGGTTGGGTATTTGAGATCTTTCTACTTTTATACTGCTGTGTTGACTTCTTTACCCTTATATAATTATCTTTCTAGTTTTTCTTTTTTTGACTTAAAGTCTATTTTATCAGATATAAGTGTAGCTACTCCTGCTTTTTTGTTTCCATTTGTATGGGATATCTTTTATCATCCTTTCATTTTCAGTCTATGTATGTCTTTATAGGTGAAGTGAGTGTCTTAGTCAGTATATAGTTGGGTCTTGTCTTTAAATCCACTCAGCCACTTTGTCTTAATTGGAGAATTTAATTCATTTATATTCAAGATTATTACTAACAGGTAAAAACATACTGTTGCCATTTTTTACTTGTTTTCTAGTTGTTTTGCTACTCTCTTTTTTTGTTTTCTCCTTTCCTTTCTCTTCTCTCCTCTCTCTCTCCTTTCTTCCTTTCTTTTCCTTCCTCTTTCCCTTCCTTCCTGTCTTTATTTGTAGTGAGGTCATTTTCTCTGGTAGTGTGTTTTAATTTCTTGCTTTTTTATTTTTAGGGTGTCTATTACTGATTTTTGTTTTCTGGTCAGCATGAGGCTAAACAACATAATTATAACGAGTTATTTTAAACTGAAGAAAACTTAACCTTGATTGCAAAGAACAAAAAAGAGAGAAACAAAAAAAACTAAAAACATTTACCCTGTAACTCTATCCCCCGCAACACACACACATTTTGTATTTAGATGTCTTTCAGTATTTTTTTTTTTTTTTTTTTTTTTTTTTGAGACGGAGTCTCGCTCTTTGGCCCAGGCCGGAGTGCAGTGGCGCTATCTTGGCTCACCGCACGCTCCGCCTCCCAGGTTCACACCATTCTCAGCCTCCCGAGTAGCTGGGACTACAGGCGCCAGCCAACGCGCCTGGCTAATTTTTTGTATTTTTAGTAGAGATGGGGTTTCACCATGTTAGCCAGGATGGTCTCGATCTCCTGACCTTGTGATCCGCCCGCCTTGGCCTCCCAAAGTGCTGGGATTACAGGCTCAGTATGTTTCTATATTGCCTATCCCTTTAAAAATTGTTGGGTTATATTATTATTTTAACAATTTTGTATTTTAGCCTTCACATGAAAGATATAGGTTGCTTATACATCACAACTATAGTATTCTAAATTTATCTGTGTACTTTTAGTAATGAGATTTATACCTTCAGATGGTTTCTTGTTACATGTTAGCATCATTTTCTTTCAGACTGAACAACTCCCTTTAGCATTTCTTGTAAACCAGGTTTGGTAGTGATGCATTTCCTCAGCTTTTGTCTGGGAAAAGTATTTATCTCTTCTTCATTTTTGAAGGATCTATTCTTTGGGTGTGGTTTTTTTCATTGGTATTGTTTTTCTTAAGCACTTTGAATATGTCATCCCACTTCTCCCATAGGAGGGAGGCCCTCAGCCTGTTTAATTTTTGCTGAGAACTCTGCTTCCTGACATATCAAAGGTCCTCAATATGTTGTTTGATTCACTTCTCTTGCTGTTTATAGTATCCTCTTTGTCCTTGACATTTGGAGTTGGATTATTATATGCCTTGGCATAGTTTTTTTTTTTTTTTCCTTGAGATGGAGTCTCGCTCTTGTTGCCCAGGCTGGAGTACAGTGGCACAGTCTTGGCTCACTGCAACCTCTGCCTCCTGGGTTCAAGCAATCCTCTTGCTCAGCCTCCCAAGTAGCTAGGATTATAGGCACCCACGACCATACTTGGCTAATTTTTGTATTTTTAGTAGAGATGGGGTTGCACCATGTTGGCCAGGGTGGTCTCGAACTCCTGACCTCAAGTGATTCACCTGCCTCGGCCTCCCAAAGTACTTGGGATTACAGGCCTGAGCCACCGCACCTGGCCACTTTGGCGTAGTCTTATTTGGCTTGAATCTGCTTGATGATCTTTGGTCTTCATGTACCTGGATATTTATATATTTCTCTTGAATTGGAAAGCTTTCTGTTACCATCTTTTTGAATAAGCTTTCTACTCTTTCTCTGCTTTCTCTTGAAGACCAATGACTCTTAAATTTGCTCTTCTGATACTATCCCATAGATTTCCTAAGCTGCCTTCATTCTTTTTTTTCTTTTCTTTTTTCTCCTATTGTGTATTTCAAATGGCCTGTGTGAGCTCACTGATTCTTTCTCTGTTGGATCAGTTCTGCTGTTGAGGCCCTCTCATGCATTTTTCAGTGCATCCATTATATTTTTCAGCTTTGAGGTTTTTGTGGTCTTTTAAAATTATTTCAATCTCTTTGTTAAATTTCTTTGATACATTTCCGAATTACTTATATTTTTAAAATTGCATTGATTTTCCTCAAAACAGCTATTTTTTACCTCCCTCTCTGAATAGTTTAACATCTTTATCTCTCCTAGGTTAGTCACTGGTGACTTGTTTATTGTTTGGTGAGGTCATACTTCCCTGAATGTTCTTAATGCATTTGGGCCTATGTTCATGCCTGGGAATTGAATAAGTCAGTATTTATTCCAGTCTTTGTAGTCTGGTCTTGTTTGTACCTGTCCTCCTCTAGATGGTCTTCCAGAAATTCCAAGGGTACTGACTATTGAGTTCCCTAAGGCTGGGGTCACTGAAGCTGTTTCAGCACCAGGGTGCCCTAAGCTCAGGTTCACTGTGACTCTTGCAGGACTGAGGTCCCAGAGGGCCCTGATGGACTTGGAGAAGATAAGGGAGGGGTTCCCTGGGTTCCCAGGCAAAGTGCTTCATTCACTTCCCTCTTCTTCCCATTGGAAGGAGTCTGGGTACTAAGCTTTGTGGATCTGGGAGAAGGGTGGCTTGGGCACTCCCATGGCCACTGCAGCTGGCACCACATACCCGAAGCCCACAGCCTCTAGGACCAGAGCAGCACTGGGGCTTGTCTGAGTCCTGTGGCCACTACTGCCTGACTGCTGCTGACTTATGTAGGTCTTGAGGCCGAGCTACTCTGCTGGTGGTGAAGCTGGCCAGGGTTTAGGTCCATCCCGCCAGGGCAGCAGGTTCTCTTCTACCTCCAGGCAGGTCTAGAGGTGTCTGGGAGCTCCTGCCTGGGATCAGGGCCACTGTGTTCTGCCTGATGCTGTGTCCACCGTGGTGGAGCCTGGACTGGGTTCTCCTCTTTCCTGCATAGGAAAGGAGTTCTCCCGGCACTGCACTGCCTGGAGTTGGGATTAGGGTAACACAGGCAGCCCTGTGGCCACTGTAGCGGATGTCATATATGAAACCCACAGCCTCCCAGACCAGCACATCATTGGTTGCTGGGGCTCACCCAAGGACCACAGTGGCTATGGCCTGCCTGCCACTGAAATTTATTCAGAGCCTGAGGCCACTTTAAACAGCTGGTGGTGAAGGAAGTCAGGACTCAGGTTTGTCCCACCGGGCAGTGGATTCCCTTCTAGCCCAGGTCATGTCTAAATGCTCTGTCTGTGGGCACCGGCCTGGAATCAAGGACCATGGGGTTCTGCCCAGTGCTGTGTTTTACTGTAGCAGAGCTGGTACTGGGCTCCAAGGCAAAGTTTAATGCACACTCTCTTCTCCCTCCTGGAAGTGGACACATTGTCTCTCTGCACTGCCTGGGGTTGAGGGAGGGATGGTATAGGCACTGCAAGACTGTCTTTTCCACCCTGTTTAATGTGTCTTTTCTTGTTTTTAAGCTAAAACCAGGTTCTGTGATCTGTCACCTGATTTCTTTGGCTCTTGTGAAGGTATTCTCTTGCTTAGATTGTTGGTGGTTCAATTTGATGTTCCTGCAGGGAGACAATCTTGTAGAGTTCTATTCTGCCATCTCGCTCCACCACTTCTCATTTATTTAATTGTTCTTCAACTTATTTCAACAATATTTTGCAGGTTTCAAAGTATGAATTTTGCACTGCTCTTGTTAATTTCTAAATTTATTACTTGTTTTGTTGGTATTATACATGGGTTTGTTTCCTTAATACCATTTTAAAGCAGTTTATTGATAGTATATAGAAATAAAATTAAATTTTTAGTATTGCATTTATATCTTGAAACTACGTCAAATTTATTTCTAATAGTATTTTACTGAATTTCTTAGAATTATATATGAGATCGTGCCATGTGTAAATATAAAAAAATTATTTTCTTTTCAATAAGGATGTTTTAAATTTTCCGTTCTTTACTACACCTCGCTACAATCTACAATATAATGTTGAATAGAATTTGCAAGAGTGGACATTCTTGTAACTGATTAGTCATTCACCCTCTCATTGCTGAGTATAATGATAGCTGTAAGTTTCATAGGTAACTACCACTAGTTTCAGGAAGTTACCTTATTGTTCGTAAATTTGGAGTGTTTTGTTTTTTTTTTGTTGTTTTTTTTTTTTTTTGGAGACAGAGTTTCACTCTTTTTGCCCAGGCTGGAGTGGTACAATGGCGAGGTCTTGGCTCACTGCAACCTCCGCCTCCCAGGTTCAAGCGATTCTCCTGCCTCAGCCTCCCAAGTAGCTGGGATTACAGGCGCCTGCCACCATGTCTGGCTGAGTTTTTGTATTTTTAGTAGAGACGGGGTTTCACCATGTTGGCTAGGATGGTCTCAGTCTCTTGACCTCGTGATTGCGCCCGCCTCAGCCTCCCAAAGTGCTGGGATTACAGTTGTGAGCCACCGCTCCCAGCCTGGAGTGTTTTTATTATTAGAATGTGTGATATTTTCTCAAATGCTTTCTGTCTGAGATGCTTATATATTTTTGTCTTTTATTCTGTTAATATGGTGTTTGCATGCAATGATTTTCAAATATTAAATCAATGGTGCATTCCTGGGGTAAATCACATCTGCGTATAGTGCATAATCTATTTTATATGTTTCTGGATTCAGTTTGGCAATATTTTGTTGAAGACTTTTGATTTTATAAAACAATGTGCTGGGCGTGGCGGCTCACGCCTGTATAATCCCAGCACTTTGGGAGGCCTAGGTGGGTAGATCACCTGAGGTCAGGAGTTCGAGACCAGCCTGGCCAACATGGTGAAACCCTGTCTCTACTAAAAATACAAAAATTAGCCATGCATGGTGGTGCACGCCTGTAATCCCAGCTACTTGGGAGGCTGAGGCAGGAGAATCGCTTGAACCTGGAAGGTAGAGGTCGCAGTGGGTTGAGATTGCACCACTACACTCCAGCCTGGATGACAGAGTGAGACTCTGTCACACACACACAAAATGAAAGATACTGTTCTATATTGTTTTGTGATACAGTTTTGGTGTCAGTAATCCTGGCTTTATAAAATGAATTGGGAAGTGTTCTCTCCCCTTTTATTTTCTGCAAGAGTTGGTGAACAATTGATATTAATTTCTCAGTGTGTTTGATAGATTTTGCCTGGGAAGCTACTTGAGATTTTTATTGTAAGTTTTTAAAATTACAATCCAATCTTTTTACCTTCTGTAGATCTATTTCGATTTTCTATTTCTCCTTAGTCCTTTCATCTATTTTAGTTTGTGTCTTTCTAGGAATTCATCCATTCTATCTAGGCTATCTGATTTTTTTAACATAAGATTTTCACTGCATTGTCTTGTATTTTTATTTTGTAATACTGGCAGTGATGGGTTTTCTTTTATTGCTGATTTTAGTAATTTGAGTCTCTTCTCTCTTTTTCTTGATTGACCTAAGTAAACATTTGCCAATTTTGTTATCTTTTCAAACATTTAATTTTGGTTTATTGATTTTCTCTGTTGTTTCATATTCCCTTTCTGTTGGCTTAACTCTTATTATGAAATTTTTTTTGTCTTTAAAAATTTTATATTTGGTTAATTAAAATTTAAGTTGATTTTGGGGTATCAACGCTTCTCTTATATGAAAATAAGAGCATGAATCAAGAAATAATGGGTTCCCAAATACTGCAGTGGAAACACATTTTTTTGGGGGGGTACAAAACAAGTATCCATGTACATATAGTCCTTGGTTCCCCAAGTCATTGAGTCAACTTAGTCAAAATAAGTAGCCTCTCATTTCTTATCTCATGAGGGTGGTCTTGCCTTGCTTGGAGACATTATAATGAATTCACTTGATGTAGTTACTTTTAAGCATACCAGTTTACTTCATATCCCATTTTCAACCAGTTATCGTACCCGGAATAATTGCTAGAATCAAATTCCATCATGCACAGGTAAATAAGTAAATTCTGTCATTTACTATCTAAATTAGATATATAATTATTTATAGATACGTACATATATTTTACTTGTAATTCAGTGAACATAAGGCTTTGTATGCTCTGTCTAAAATATGCTGTCTATATTAATTCTCATGATAGTAAAGAATAGAGTGATGGAGTCTATATTTTACATATATCTTCCATTTAGTAGCAGAAATAAAATCCTTGTACTTGATTTGGTAAATTCCTCCATTTAAATTAAGATGTTACTTCCCGGAAACAAAATTTTTTTTTCTTTTTTTTTTTTAAATTTTAAATCTTTAATTTCTGTTTTCACATATTTTCTTTTTGCTTCCAAAAGGAAAGGAGTGCGTAGCTCTGTTGACTGTGTACATCGTCCACAGCCCCTGGGTCGGGGCAGGGTCCCCTAGGCCGCCCGGGGGTCCACATGCAGCCCCTGGGGGGCCGGCGCGGGGTGAGGTCCGGGGGCCGCCTTATTGCTGAGGTCCGGCCGGTTGGGGCCCGCCGCTAGGCGCGCTGGCTGGGCAGCTCCTGGGAGATGAAGCGACGCAGGCGCTCCAGGTACTGGCTGTAGAGCTCGATGTCGTTGTGCCCGGCGCCCTCCACCCACAGCGGCTCCACCGCCTTGGGGCAGCGCTCGTAGAGCGCCAGCCCGTGTGAGAAGTCGATCACCTCGTCCTCCATGCCGTGGATGATGAGCACGGGCGACGTGATCTTGGACACCTTCTCGATGTTAGGGAAGGCGTCGAAGCAGTAGGTCTTGGTGTCGGGGAAGGCGACGCGCATGCCCGAGGTGAGCGGCGAGTGCAGCACCACCGCGGCACACTCGTAGCGCGAGGCCAGGTCCACGGTGGGCACCGTGCCGATGCTCTGCCCGTACAGGATGATGCTGTCCGGGCTGATGCCGTACCTGGCGGCGCCGGAGCAGGGTCAGCCGCGGCCTCCGACGCGGGCGCACCCTTCCCACCAGCGGGCGTCCCCGGGCCCAGCTCCGGATGCGACCCTCCAGTCTCCCCACTCAGCTAAGTCAGTGGGTCAGACCCAGGCTCCACACCAGTCCCGAGGGCCACCCCCAGCCCCCAACACCGCGGCGGTGGGCGAAGCCAGCGGCCCCGCCCTATTCCCTGGCGCTGCCGTTCACTGGCGTTTCCTAGCAAGGATCTGCAGGGATCCCGCCTACAGAGTGCCCCTGGGGCAGGGGTAGGGGAGGCCCTGGCACCTCTCCTCCTCCTGGTCACCCCTAGGTGCACACTGGGAACTGTGTGCCCCCTACATTCTGAATGCTTCACGCCTCCCTGCCCGGGTTAGAAAGCCGTTCCTGGTGCACTGGCCAGGACAGCAGACACTCTTCCTCCCTGCAGCCTTTGCCCACCCCCTTGGCCATGAGGAATTCAGGCAGCTGTGTCCCCAAATGTCTCCACCCGATTTTGGAGTCTCGGAGTCCCCACGCCCAATGAGATGCCAGTGCAACCCAGGTCAGCATCGAGGGTGGTGGCTGCGGAGGTGGCACCCCCTCCCACCAGCACCTTCCCTTGGGAGTGGACAAGTCCTCGGCCACCTCAGCACCACCAGCTCCCACCCAGGGGCACCCCCACCCCCAGGTCACTGGTGTGCGGCCCCTGACCCAGCTGATCCAGCAACAGTTACAAGGCCTCCTCGTGCCCAATCCCAACCACGCGGGACCCACCTGCCACCCTGCCCATGCCGGGACCCCACAACTCTCCTCCCACACGCTCCAGGCTCTGATCCCAGGCAGACGCCCTCTTGCAAGGCAGGAGCATGGGCAGGTGTGCATCCCCTCTGCCTGGCATTCGGACTCCACCAGCGGGCTGTCCCCGTCCCTGGCCTGGAATCCCAGCCTCCTGGCAGCACTCCACAGCTCGCCACTCACCCATGCCCCAAAGGATGCTGCCTGGCTGGTGCCTGTGGCCCCAGCTCTGCCTCGGCCTCCCCGGCCTGCTCCCTGGCAGCCATGGTCAGTAGTGTGCTGAGCCAGCCCAGCCCTACCACCTGCTACAGTCAGGAGCCCCCAGCTGCCACCTGGATGTCACCACTCAAAGGAACGGGACACATCCCCAGTGGAGGCCCTGGGCATGCTCTGGCCTCCCCCTCACAGCTCTGGGCCTAGGTTCCTGCAGGACAAAGTGGCAGCAGGACAGATGGCCGAGCAGACAGAGCTCAGAGCTGGCCATGGCGGGTGTGACTCTGCCAGAGGCCCAGGCAGTAGAGACAGGAGGGGCCGAGGAAGTCGCATGAAGTGGTGATTGGTGTCAGCGCCCCACACTGCTGGGAGGCCCCCGGAGCCAGGGTGGTGCCAGGGGACCAGCTCCCAGGCCCACAGCAGGGACCGCCTGCAATATCACCAAGGCAACGAGGACCCCACCTCCCCAGGGCCTCTGACTTCTCAGAGTTGTGCCTGGTCCCCTGCGGGAGCAGGTCAGACCAGTGGGCTGGGGAGGGCCAGGACGAGACAGCCCCAGTGGATGGCGAGCAGGAAAGGCCACCAGAGGCCCACCCGGGTCTCCTCGTCCAAAGCAGCACTGGCCCGGGCGGTGCTCAAACACCGGTGAAGGGCCCAGGCAAGCGCAGGGCTGGGGACCTGGATGACTAGGAGGGCTGGATCTGGAATCGAGGCTGGCCCAGACCTCGGGTGTGTGCTGGGGGTCTGCACCTTACCCTGCAGGCCCTGCCCCAGGATGGCCAAGCTCCGCAGCCACAGGGCCTCATGGGCCAGGCCTCGGGACCTGGATGCAGCAGCCTCGCCTCACTTGGCCCCAAGTGCTGCCTCCGCAGATGGGCTCCCAGCCACACGTGCACAGACCCCCAGACCACCACCCACTCCCGACTGCCGGGTGGCATCCACGCCCCTGTGATAAGCTCAGCCCCTTCCCGTCCTCAGGCCAGGGGTTCCCAGGGAGCCTGGCTCCACAGGCCAGGGTGTGGGAGGACCGCCTGGCCACACCTCAGCCATGTGGAGGCGGCACCTGCACACCCAAGCTCGCCTGTCCGGCTCTCTGGCCCTGTGCATCCACTGTGGCTCCCCTCCTGCAGGGCCGCCCAACTTCCTCCCAGGGAAGCCCGCCCCCCGGCCCCCGGCTTGGTCCCCTCTTGGGTGTGCCCAGGCTGAGCTGCCCCCAGGGTCGCCCTCACCTGGTGCGCAGGGCCTGCCAGGCGGCGTCGATGTCGGCATAGAGGTTCCACTCGGAAGGCCTGCCCGCGCTGGCACCGTAGCCGGAGTAGTCGTAGATGATGTTGCAGTGGAGGCGGGAGTTCAGCCCAGTATAGAAGCTGCTCATCTGGCCCAGGTCCACCGCGTTGCCGTGCGAGAAGAAGACCGTGTACCTGGCACCAGGCACGCAGCGAACATACATGCAGGAGACGCGGTTGCCGTGGGCGCTCTTAGTGGGGAAGACCTCGATGGTGTCCAGCTCGCGCTGGCTGTACTGGAAGTCGGCGAGCTCCGTCAGGTGCAGCTTCCAGCGCCCGAGGAGGCCCGCAGGGTCCCCAAGGGGGCGGCCCCGGCCCCACCAGGCCCCGGCCCCACCAGGCCCGGGCTCAGGCACCAGGGAGTAGGTGGCCTCCGGCGGCAGGAAGGCGAGCTTGGCAGCGATGCGGCCGGGGCAGGGCGGGTAGCAGAAAAGGCAGCAGAGCTCACTCAGCGACAGCCCGTTCATGGCAGGCGCCTCCCGGGCCGGGCCTCCACCGGGGCCCCCGCCAACAACGCCGCCCGGCCTGGCCGGGCAGGGGAGGGGTGGGGGTGCTCCGAGTCGCGGGCAGGGGTGAGAGCCCCAGACGGCAGCCCCATTAGGAGGCCAGGGCCCAGCCCCATCGCGGTCCAAGCCGCCCCAGGGAGCCTCGCAACCACAGGTCTCCATGTCGTGCCGTGGGAAGGCCACCCCGGCCCGCGCCCCCGGGCCCCAGGGCCGCGCTCCATGGCTCCCGACCGCCCGCCCGTGCATCCGTCGGTCCCTCCGCGCCCCGGCCCGGCCTCCTGCACCGCCACCGCCGCAGCTCCCCCACGAACGGAAGCAAAATTTTTCTTAACGGGATGATAATTCACTAGTTTACCTCTAATGAGTCTCAGTATTTAATCTATCATGAAATTACGCGGCACCAAAATAAAATATAATTAGTTAAAACACAAAAATTATTTTATTGATTAATTTAGACATCAGATGTTTACATTATGAAATCAAGGTATTTTTTGGTTTTTGTTTTGTTTTTAGAATATTAGCAAATATTACCAAACATGAACCATAGTAAAAGTTCTTCAGTAACACTTTACCATTCCGTTTTCAAATAACCTGAATTTATGTGCCAGATTGAAAAGCTTTTACATGAGTGACCTATATTTCTGTATGTATCCAAATATTTGTATATCATGTAGACAAGCCAAGAAAATACACAGATATGTAAGCCATTGCATAGAATGGTAAAGAATACATTCTTAATAAGATGCATTCGCTTAATGCTCCAAACAGGTCTCTAGTATCTCAAATGCAGCATTCACCCACTATTTCCAAACATATCAGGGCCAGGTGCCATGGCTCATGCCCATAATCTTGGCACTTTGGGAAGTTGAGGTGGGTGGATCACTTGAGGCCAAGTTCCAGACCAGCCTGGCCAACACGGCAAAACCCTGTCTTTACTAAAACTACAAAAAAAATAAAAATAGCTAGCCATGGTGGCACACTACTATAATCCCAGCTACTCAGGAGACTGAGATACAAGAATCATGTGAACACGAGAGGCAGGGGATGCAGTGAGCTGAGCCGAGATCACGCCACTGCACTCCAGCCTGGGCAACGGAGCGAGTGAGACTCTGTTTCAAAAAAACAAAACCAAAAGCATTGTATCATGATATGTGACTAAGCTGAATTTAAAACACTGTAACATAAACTAGATGAAAAGTATTATACAAAATTTTTCTTTGTATTTCTATTTGTTTTGAATTTACCAACAATTCAAATCTTGCTGAGAATATTTGCACTATAAATATTTCTGTGATTATTGGTTATATTCAAATTCGCTCATTTTCAAAGCTACCTGTATAAAATTATTAAAATTGTACATAGCTTGGAATAAGAGTATGTTGAATATAATTGCCATGTGATACATTTATATTTAATAATTAAAGGCATATTACAACACTTACGCCTCATCTTAATGTTACTTAACCTTAGAAACAGAGTAAATGATAGGAATAATATGGGAGACAAACTGTGGAAAGCCACATTCTGTATATCTCTGTTGTTTTTATTAAACTTTTTTCCTACTGCACTTTAAATTTGTCATAGACCATTATTTTAGTAATTATTAATGTAATCTTACGTATGTATATTCTCTACCATCTTAGCAGGTTGAATAAAATACATGATTAAAGGCAAAAATGTGTGCAAGGAAAATATAGAATATTTAAGTTACAAAAAGCTACTCTTACTGAATCTCTTAAATTACAGCTTATAGCTAAAGAGTACAAACTATTGTAAAAGTTTTCTCCCATTTGTAAGTAATTACACATATAAAGTATCTCCCCATTCAGTAGATCTTATATTTCTTTGAGAAACATATATTAAATATAAAATATTCTGAATTCTAAATTGCATTTAAAATTGTTCATCATTGGTTATATTATGTAATTATAAGCAAGTACATTTAATGACTACATACTGTAAACTTTCTTTACCACGTGGCACAAATAGTTAATTTACCTTTTTTTTCTGTCTCTGTCTTCTATGTCCTAGGCTATTTCAGTTTTCTCACGAGTAGCCATTATTTTCAATGAACTACCAAAAAGTTATAAGGCAGCCACGATCAAACAAAAATGTTAGTAATATAGTATAGTATAAAGGTTTTTTATTTCTTAATTTATATTCCAAATTGTTAAATAATTTTATCATCCAGTCTTGATGTCTGAAAACATCTTAAAATAGAGAAGTTCACAGTATTAGATGCTGTATCTTTCTTCATCTAATGACAAAAGACTTTAGTTCTTTTCTCAATTTTAGGAGAAGTTTTGCTTTAAGACCAATAAAAACATAAGTTTACATAAGCTGAGAGCACGTTATGTATAGCTACTCTGTGGAAAACATTTTATTTTAAGAGCTATTAGGAACATCTTTTGAGAATATTCAAGCTATATATGATGCTGCAAATTTATTTTTATGGTTGCTATAACTGGCAAGGCAAGCAGATGATATGCTTGAAGCTATCTCGTGATGAGCACATCTGAGGGAATAAAGAAGGGCCTTCACAAGAAGAGGGAGGCAGCTGGTACATTCAGTAATGCATCATGAACACCAATGCAGTGGCTCCTGAGAAAGAGTCAATATAATACCTGGATTCCTTGTTTCTATCTCATATGTAATCCAGTTTCAGGGAAGTATAAAAGTGACAGGGATGGGGAGAGTATATGAACCATTAATATGAAATCTAAAGAAGTGCAGGCATCCAGCTGTCTGGTGTCTACTGAGGTCGTTCACCCAGATTAACAATACAGATACTTAGTTAAATTCTGAACTGCAGATAATGGGAAAGTAGGATTGTGGAAATCGGCTCCATCCAAATTATTACTCAGGTCTCCTCCTCTTCCAGATGCTGTCCCCACAGTATACTCAAGGTGTCTGATGACAGTGATGAGCAACTGAGGAATCATTTAATTACCAAGTTCTTCATCCTTACTTAAAAATGTAGAGTCACAAAATCATATATGAAAACACACTCTTTTTTTTTTTTTTTTTGAGATGGAGTCTCTGTTACCAGGCTGGAGATACTCTTTTTCAATAGAGTATGGCCTTCTGTCCACTCTCCTCTTATTCTTTCCAGAGTAGCAAGGTGTCCTTACGGCATACATTTAGCATAAAATTAGATGGGTTCCATTATAAAATAAAATGGAGACAGAATAAGTCAATACTGAATTCTTTGGTAAATCAAGCAAAGTCTTTAAAAATTTTTCTAGAAAATGGATTTATTTTTGTTTTTATTTAGTGTTTGTTTTATTTAGTTATTTTTAGTTTTTTTGTTTGCTTTTGCTTCATTGTTCTGCATTGCTAACTCGTTAAAATCACAAGCTATCTTATTGTATATTGAGTGTATTTGCAAGAGCTGTTTAGTGTTTTCTTCCCTAGTGAACCAACATAACGATTATTCTGCTATGAGTCTATGTTACGAAATATGTCTATGTCCTGCTATTCTCAGGCTTCATTTTTGCCTCTAAATCCTTCAGGTACTGTTGTTTTGGGCAGTGTAATGGATGTTTCTTCTTTTGTTCTTTCTGTGCCTTGAAAATTTCAGTAAGGAAATAAACTGGTTGTCAAAAACACCTGTTTGTTAAAATTGGAATCAGACTTTTTAAAGAAGAGATATACTTGGTTTCCTTGGCTAAATATTCAAAAGTTAATAGGATTTTTTTCATAGTATAACATAGTTTCAAAAGTTAAACGTAATTGTATTTAGTTTTATTGAATACCTACTTGTGTGGCATATTACATTTATTTTTGTTAATATTAAATTTAAACAATTTTAAGTATAAATTATTATATAGTGTGCAAATGTCTTTTTCATATAATGACTTCTTTTTCTCTGGGTATATACCCAGTGGTGGGATTGTGGATGAAATCTATTTATAGATCTTTAAGGAATCTCCATACTGTTTTCCATAGTGGTTGTACTAGTTTACATTCCCACCAGCAGTGTAAAAATGTTCCCTTTACACCATATTCATGCCAACATCTGTTGTTTTTTTATTTTCTTAATTGTGGCTATTCTTGCAGGAGTAAGGTGGCATCTCATTGTGGTTTTGATATGCATTTCCCTGATAATTAGTAATGTTGAGCATGTTTTCATTTGTTTCTTGGCCATTTGTGTATCTTCTTTTCAGAATTGCCTAGTCATACCCTTTGCCCACTTTTTGATGGGATTTGTTTATTCTTGCTGATTTGTTTGAGTTCCATGTAGATTCTGGATATTAGTCCTTTGTCAGATGAATAGTATGCAAAATATTTTCTCCTAATCTGTGGGTTGTCTGTTTACTCTGCTGATTATTTCTTTTTCTGTGAAGAGGCTTTCTAGCTTAATTTGGTCCTAGCTACTTATCTTTGTTTTTGTTCCATTTGCTTTTGAGTTCTTATTCATGAAGTCTTTGCCTAAGCCAATGTCTAGAAGAGCTTTTCTAATGTTATATTCTAGAAGTTTTATGGTTTCAGGGCTTAGATTTAAGTCTTTCATCCATCTTGAGTTGATTTTTGTAAAAAGTGAGAGATGAGGATCCAGCTTTTTTCTTCTACATGTGGTTTGCAAATTATCCTAGCACCATTTGTTGAATAGAATGTCCTTTCCCCACTTTGTATTTGCTCTGTCAAAGGTCAGTTGACTGTAAGTATTTGGTTTTATTTCTGGTTCTCTATTCTGTTCCATTTGTCTATGTGCCTATTTTTATACCAGTACCATGCTGTTTTGGTAACTCTAGCCTTGTAGTATAGTTTGAAGTTGGGTAATGTAATGCCTCTAGATTTTTTTTTTTTTTTTTTTTGCTTAGTTTTACTTTGGCTTTGAGGGCTTTTTTTTGGTTCCATATGAATTTTAGGGTTGTTTTTTCTAGTTCTGTGAAGAGTAATGATGGTATTTTGATGAGAATTGCATTAAATTTGTAGGTTGCTTTAGTCAGTATGGTCATTTTCACAATATTGATTCTACTCATCGATGAGCATGGGAGGTGTTTGCACTTGTTTGTGTTGTGTATAATCTCTTTCAGCAGTGTCCCTTAGTTTTCCTTTTAGAGATCTTTCATCTCCTTGGTTAGGTATACATTCCTAAGTATTTTATTTTTTGCAGTTGTTGTAAAAGAGGTTGAGTTCTTGATTTGATTCTCAGCTTGGTCATTGGAGGTGTATAACAGTGCTACCTCTGATTTGTGTACATTGATTTTGTATCCTGAAACTTGGCTGAATTCATGTATTAGATCTAAGAACTTTTTGGATGAGTCCTTAGGGTTTTCTAGGTATACAATCATATCATCAGTGAACAGCAGCAGTTTGACTTCCTCTTTACCTATTTGAATGCCCTTTGTTTCTCTTGTCTGATTGCTCTGGCTAAAATTTCCAGTACAATGTTGAATAGAAGAGGTGAAAGTGGATATCCTTTTCTTGTTCCAGTTCTTAGGCGAAATGCTGTAGATTTTTCTCTGTTTAGTATAATGTTGACTATGGATTTTTCATAGATGGCTTTTATTACCTTGAGGTATGTCCCTTCTATGCTTTTTCTGATGGTTTTAATCATAAATGGATGCTGGATTTTGTGAAATGGGTTTTTTTGCATCAATTGAAATCATATTTTTAAATTTTTAATTATTTATATGTGATTAATTACATTTATTGACTTGCATATGTTAAACCATCCCTTCATCCCTGATATGAAACCCACGTGATCATGGTGTATTATCTTTTTGATATAATGTTGGACTCAGCTAGTATTTTGTTGAAGATTTTTGCATCTATGTTCATCAGGGGCTGAACTATAGACCTACAGAGTCTGAACTATTGGTCTATAGTTTTCTTTTTTTGTTATGTTCTTTCCTGGTTTTGGTATTAGGGTGTTACTGGCCTCATAGAATGATTTAAGGAGGATTTCCTCTTTCTTTATCTTTTGAAATCATTTCAGTAAGATTGGTACCAATTCTTCGAATGCCTGATAGAATTCAGCTGTTAATCCATTTGGTCCTGGACATTTTTATTGTTGGCAATTTTTTTTACTATTGTTTCAGTCTCACTGCTTGTTACTTGTCTGTTCAGTTTCTTTCTCTTTTTTTTTTCCACGTAGGATCTCGCTCTGTCGCCCAGGCTGGAGTGCAGTGGCACAATCTGAGCTCACTGCAACCTCTGCCTCCCAGGCTCAAGTGATTCTCTTGCCTCAGCCTCCTGAGTAGATGGGATTACAGGTGTGCACCACCACACCCAGCTAATTTTTTTTATTTTCAGTAGAGACAGGGTTTTAACTCTGTTGGCCAGGCTGGTCTCAAACTCCTGGCCTCAAGTGATCTGCCCACCTCAGTCTCCTAAAGTGCTGGGATTACAGGTGTGAGCCACTATACCCAGTGCAGTTTCTATTTATTTGTGTTTTAATCTAGGAGGGTTGTATATTTCCAGGAATTTATCACTCTCTCTAAATTTTCTAGTCTGTGCACATAAGGGTGTTCATAGTAGCCTTGAATATATTTCATATTTCTGTGGTATTGGTTGTAATATTTCCCATTTCATTTCTAATTGAGCTTATTTGGATCTTCTCCCTTTTTTTCTTAGTTAATCTCACTAATGGTCTATTGATTTTGTTTATCTCTTAAAAGAATCAGTTTTTTGTTTCATATATCTTTTGTATTTTTGTTTCAATTTTATTTAATTCTGATCTTTATTATTTCTTTTTTCTTCTGGGTTTGGGTTTGGTTGGTTCTTGTTTCTCCAGTTCTGTGAGGTATGACTTTAGATTGTCTATTCATGCTCTTTGATGTAGGCATTTAATGCTATGAACCTTCCTCTTAATTTTGCTGTATCCCAGAGGTTTTAATAGGCTTTGTCACTATTATCCTTCAGTTCAAACAATTTTTTAAATGTTGCATAACAATGTTTATTTAGTTTTACATTTGTTTACAATTTCTTATAAACACTTTTCGTTATAATTTTATACAAACAACAGTAGGAGAAACAAGGAGCTAGAAAACATTAGAAAGTTGAGATTTGGAGGGAAGAATTTTAAAGACTGGAAGTACTAGAGGGAGAGAATCTAGAGAATGAAGGAGGCAATACTTGAAGAGATAACACAATGTTCCAAATTTGTTGGTAAAACATGAATTCGTAAATTCAGGAAACACAATATATACCAAACATATATTTAAATAAAATCCAGGCCTAGACTCAAGGTAGTAGTAAATGACAAGATACCAAACACAAGATTTTAAAAGCAACCATGGGGAGAAAAAGATCATCAATGAAGGCAAGACAGTCAAATCGTAGGCTTCGTAACAGCAACAGTGTACCCAAACAATTATTTTATTTATTTATTTATTTTTTGAGATGGAGTCTCGCTGTGTCGCCCAGGCTGGAGTGCAGTGGCGCAATCTTGGCTCACTGCAAGATCCGCCTCCCAGGTTCACGCCATTCTCCTGCCTCAGCCTCCCACCTAGCTGGGACTACAGGCACCCGCCACCACACCTGGCTAATTTTTTTTTGTATTTTTGGTAGAGACGGGGTTTCATCGTGTTAGCCAGGATGGTCTCGATCTCCTGACCTCGTGATCCGCCCGCCTCGGCCTCCCAAAGTGCTGGGATTATGGGCGTGAGCCACCGCGCCTGGCCATATTTATACTTTTTTAATACCACTAGGCTCAACCCGTATGATATTTTTTGCAGCAGCTTTCTTGAGATGTAATTCACATACCGCATAAATCGCCCATTTAAAATGTACAACCGAGCGGTTTTTAGCGTATTCATAGAGTCGCACATCACCACAATCAATTTTAGAACATTTTTATCACCCCCCAAAGAAATCCACATCCTTTAGCCGTCAACCTCCAATCCTTCCATTTCTCTGCACCTAGGCAATGTATAATCTACTTTCTGTCTGTATAGATTTGGGTACTCCGGATGTTTCACGTAAATGCAGTCATGCGACACGTGATCTTGTGGCTGGCTTCTTTCACTTAGCGCCATGTTTTCTAGTTTCACCCGTTTTCAGCATGTGTCCGTCCTTTTCCTTCTTTTCAAAACAGTTTTATTGAGATGCCATTCACATACCATGCAGTTCATTCATGTAAAGCATCTGTAATTCAATTGCCTTTAGAATATGCACAGTTACGTAGCCATCACCACAATACATTTTAGAACATTGGTATCACCTCAAATTCCTTTTTATTGCCAAATAATATTCCACTGTATGGATATACCACGTTGCATTTATCCACTGGTGGGCATTTTCACTCTTAGAATATTATAAATAATGTTGCTATGGATATTCGTGCACGAGTTCTTGTGGGGACATATGTCTTCATTTCTTTCAAGTATATACCTAGGAATGGAATTAATGGGTTATATGGTAATTCTATGATTAAGCTTTTGAGGAACTGTCAGACAAGCCATGTGATTGATTGATTGATTTTTAAAGACAGGGTCTTATTGTATTGCCCCAGCTGGTCTCCAACTCCTGAGCTCAAGCAATCCTCCTACCTCAGCCTCTGAATGGCTGGGGCTACAGGCACGTGCCACTGCACCCAGCTGCCATGTGATTTTTTTCTTCCCAATTTTCTCACTGAACATTAATCATGTGTATTTTCATGAATGGTTAAGTGTTCTTTGAGCATGTGGCTTTTAACATTTGCTTTTAACATTTAACATATCCAAATTTTAGTTGGCCAATCCCCTGTTATTGGGGACACTTCCAATTTTCATTATGATAAACAGCATTTCCATGGGCATCTTTTTTTTTTTTTTTTTGAGACAGAGTTTTGCTCTTGTTGCCCAGGCTAGAGTGCAATGGTGAGAACTGCAGCCTCCACCTCCAGGATTCAAGTAATTCTCCTGCCTCAGCCTCTTGAGTAGCGGGGATTACAGGTGTGCGCCATCATGCCTGGCTAATTTTGTATTTTTAGTACAGCTGGGGTTTCACCATGTTCGTCAGGCTGGTCTCAAACTCCTGACCTCAAGGGATCCAGCCACCTAGGCCTCCAAAAGGGCTGGGATTACAGGTGTGAGCCACTGCGTCCGGCCCCATGAGCATCTTTAGGCATCAATCTTTTATGCATCTCTGGTTATTTCTCTAGAGCACATTAGTCAAATGATTGTATCAAAGGGCACAGGCAGTTTTGAGGCTCTCAGTGCATGATGATATATTGCTTTCCAAAAAGGCTGTGCCCGTTTGCATTCTCAAAAGTAGAGTGTGCACCCCTCCTTATATTTTAATAGTTTCCTGAGGTCATCAGAACATGAACATGGGGAGGGCAGGGACTTGCTTGGGCATCTTGGATACCATGCCCAGTTGAATGTGCAGTACTTAGTAGGGGTTTGTGTGACAGGAATGAGTGAGAGCACATGAAGGCCCAGATGAGTGCAGGGTCCGTGGGGCACAGAGGAGGGTACAGGTGTGTGAGCACCGTGTGGACTTAGCACACGGCTGACGTGAGGACTCAGTGCAGACACAAGTGGTAACAAGGCCTCGTGAATCAAAGAGCTCCTCAACCTGGAGGTCGAAGCAGCTGATTGGAGATGAGGAAGCCACACTCCAAGGTCACTTAGGGACAGACGCTGGCAGGGCTGATCTGAAGACTGGCAGCAACTCCTTTTTATACTCCACTCTGCAAGCGCCAGTCTTTATGCAGAGTTCTGGAAGAATTCCCTTCACTGAGCTAGCAAGGCCATCAAACTCTGCGTTCACCTGGATATCCTAAGGAGACACCCATTACAAGGATGAACTTTGTTACTATCTGAGAACTTCACCATTTTTCACTCACACACGCAAGGTCTCAGAGAAGCTCCTTCGGGCGGCTTCTCCCCTGTGGATGACAGTCTCATACCCGCAAACTAGTAAGATCCAGGAGAGAAGGGGACAATGGGGGATGTTTAGAGGCCTGCTGTATTTATTTATTTAGAAATGGGATCGTACTGTGTCACCAGGCTGGAGTGCAGTGGCTCAATCGTAGCTCTCTTCATCCCTGAGCTCCTGGACTCAAGCTATCTATCCTCTTGCTTAAGCCTCCAGAATAGCAGGGACTACAGGTGCCCACCACCATGCCCGGCTATGCTGTATTTCCAGATCTGGGGGCTGGTTACATAGACACCTATGCTGTTTGTGAAAATTCTCCAAGCTCTATGCTTAATCTTTGTGCATTTTTCAGCATAGATGTTGTTCCTCAATTAAAAACAAAAAACCAAGGGGTTGTGAAGAACAGAACTGGCACTGATGGAGTCCTTCTCTGTGCAAGGCCTTTCCCTTAGGTCTGTCATCTCAGCTTATGTTCATGATGGCCTTGCGGGGTAGACGTTAGCCCCATTTCACAAAAACACAAGTCTGAGCCCAGGGAAAGATTTTCCTTGAACTATAAGTCTTCAAAACTATTTCCCTCAAAGCTCAGAATAAAATCTGGGCTAGTCAGATTATACTAGTGATAACAGATAACAACAGTTAAGGAATAGAAGGTAGAATATTCAATTCAGGCTAATTGTTTTTCTTTGTTTTTTTGTTTTTTGGGTTTTTTTGAGGTAGAGTCTCGCTCTGTCACCCAGGCTGGAATGCATTGGCATGGTCTCGGCTCACTGAAACCTCCGCTTTCTGGTTCAAGCAATTCTCCTGCCTCAGCCTCCCGAGTAGCTGAGGTTACAGGTGAGCACCACCACATCCAGCTAATTTTTCTTCTATCTTTTACAACACAGAGTTTCACTCTTGTTGCTCAGGCTGGAGTGCAATGGCACGATCTCGGCTCACTGCAACCTCTGCCTCTGGGTTCTCCTGGAGGTGATTCTCCTGCCTCAGCCCCCTGAGTAGCTGGGATTACAAGTGCATACCACTATGCCCGGCTAATTTTTGTATTTTTAGTAGAGACAGGGTTTCACCATGTTGGCCAGACTGATCTCGAACTCCTGACCTCAGGTGATCTGCCTGCCTCGGCCTCCCGAAGTTCTGGGATTACAGGCATGAGCCACCAACTCCGGCCAAATTTTTGTATTATTAGTAAAGACAGGTTTTGCCATGTTGGCCAGGGTGGTCTTGAACTCCTGACCTCAGGTGATCCACCTGCCTTGGCCTCCCGAGGTCCTGGGATTATAGGCGTGAACCATCATGCCCATCCCAGGCTAGTTATTGATTGATCGTTTATGATTCTTTGACTCAGAATCTTGTCCAGGATCTCACACTGATAGACACAGGATTTGGTCCCAACCCTGAACTGATTCCAAAGCCCATGGCATTCCCACGAGACTAGGGGCTTCTGATAATGACCATACATTGTGACAAGTAAGTGTATATTTGGGCAGGATAATGCCATATGACATTCTATTTCTTTTAGAATGACAGATCCAGTGCTGACAGGAATTCTCAGAGCAGCAGGCACATGGTTAAGGCAAGAACAGGCCATTAGAAGGAAATGGTAAGGACGTTTGACATCGGTTGTCCCAAACCTGAAGAATTGAAACTACACAGACACATTTCTGGAAAGGCTTTCACTCAAGTCTGGGTTGAAAAAAATCAGGGTTAGAATCAGCACTGATTTGTAACTCAATTTTTTTGTTTCCTTCCCTTTTTTTTTGAGATAGAATCTGGCCCTGTTCCCCAGGTTGGAGTGCAGTGGCACAATCATAGCTCACTGAAGCCACAAACTCCTGGGATCAGGTGATCCTCCTGCTTCAGTCTTCTGAGTACCCGAAACTACGGGTATGTGCCACATGCCTGGCTAATTTTTTAAAAAGCTTTTTGTAGAGATGGGGATCTTGCTGTGTTGCCCAGGATGGTCTTGAACTGTAGGCTTCAAGGGATCCTCCCACCTCAGCCTCCCAACATGCTAAGATTATAGGTGTGAGCCATCTCACCTGGCACTTTTTCTACATTAAAAAATCAAAATTCACCAGGCGCAATGGATCATGCCTGTAATCCCAGCACTTGGAAGGCCGAGGTGGGTGGATCACCTGAGGTCAGGAGTTCGAGACCAGCCTGGCCAACCTGGTGAAACCCTATCTCTACTAAAAAAAAATATCAAAAAAAAAAAAAAAATCAGCCGGGCGTGGTGGCACACACCTGTAATCCTGGCTACTCAGGAGGCTGAGGTAGAAGAATTGCCTGAATCTGGGAGCCGGAAGTTGCAGAGAGCCAAGATAGCACCACTGCACTCCAGCCTGGGCGACAGTGAGACTCTGTCTCAAAAAAAAAAAAAAAAAAAAAAATCAAAATTGACCCAAGACATGAGAGACCATGGCACAGGATCACTTGAGGTCAGAAGTTTGCAACCAGCCTGGGCAACATAGCAAGCCCCCATCTCTAAAAACTTTAGCCAGGTATGGTGACCTGTACCTGTACTTCCAGCTGCTTGGGGAGCTTAGACAGGAGAACCACTTGAGCCAAGGAATTTGAGACTGCAGTGAGCTACGATCACACCACTGCACTGCAACTGGGTGACAGAGTGAGACCCTGACTCAAAAAAAAAGTGGCAAAATTGAATGAAAAGGGATCCTAATCTCTCTCACAGCCACTCAAGTGAAGCTTCCAGCACCACAGTCCACCTGCAGACAGTCAGGGGAGGGGCAGAGGGCAGCCTTGCAGGTGCTGCGCCTGCAGATCGAAACCTCAGTGGATAGGGAGCATCATGCCCAGACCTCCACTTATCCTCTCTCAGCCAATGAAGAACCCAGGCAGGTGCCCCAGGTGAGATCCCATGGAACCAGCAGTCTGGAGTTCTTGTGGGGACATATGTCTTCATTTCTTTCAAGTATATACCTAGGAATGGAATTAATGGGTTATATGGTAATTCTATGATTAAGCTTTTGAGGAACTGTCAGACAAGCCATGTGATTGATTGATTGATTTTTAAAGACAGGGTCTTATTGTATTGCCCCAGCTGGTCTCCAACTCCTGAGCTCAAGCAATCCTCCTACCTCAGCCTCTGAATGGCTGGGGCTACAGGCACGTGCCACTGCACCCAGCTGCCATGTGATTTTTTTCTTCCCAATTTTCTCACTGAACATTAATCATGTGTATTTTCATGAATGGTTAAGTGTTCTTTGAGCATGTGGCTTTTAACATTTGCTTTTAACATTTAACATATCCAAATTTTAGTTGGCCAATCCCCTGTTATTGGGGACACTTCCAATTTTCATTATGATAAACAGCATTTCCATGGGCATCTTTTTTTTTTTTTGAGACAGAGTTTTGCTCTTGTTGCCCAGGCTAGAGTGCAATGGTGAGAACTGCAGCCTCCACCTCCAGGATTCAAGTAATTCTCCTGCCTCAGCCTCCTGAGTAGCGGGGATTACAGGTGTGCGCCATCATGCCTGGCTAATTTTGTATTTTTAGTACAGCTGGGGTTTCACCATGTTCGTCAGGCTGGTCTCAAACTCCTGACCTCAAGGGATCCAGCCACCTAGGCCTCCAAAAGGGCTGGGATTACAGGTGTGAGCCACTGCATCCAGCCCCATGAGCATCTTTAGGCATCAATCTTTTATGCATCTCTGGTTATTTCTCTAGAGCACATTAGTCAAATGATTGTATCAAAGGGCACAGGCAGTTTTGAGGCTCTCAGTGCATGATGATAAATTGCCTTCCAAAAAGGCTGTGCCCGTTTGCATTCTCAAAAGTAGAGTGTACACCCCTCCTTATATTTTAATAGTTTCCTGAGGTCACCAGAACATGAACATGGGGAGGGCAGGGACTTGCTTGGGCATCTTGGATACCATGCCCAGTTCAATGTGCAGTACTTAGTAGGGGTTTGTGTGACAGGAATGAGTGAGAGCACATGAAGGCCCAGATGAGTGCAGGGTCCGTGGGGCACAGAGGAGGGTACAGGTGTGTGAGCACCGTGAAGGCCAGCTCCATAGGACTTAGCACACGGCTGACGTGGGGACTCAGTGCAGACACAAGTGGTAACAAAGCAGAATGGTGCAGACTGTGGCAAGTTGAGAACTTATGCCTCTGTAAAGGGGGCAGCCACCACTCAGTTACTGCAGATTACTCTATCTTTGCTGAGGACAGTTGCACAGGTAGTGCACTGCAGAAGGGTAACACCTTAGAGGGATGTCATTTGCATCATAGATGCAAAATTCACAGGCAAAGACTGATGTAGTTTGTCCCTAAAGTTTTGCTTTGATTTGCAGATATTTATCCATGGCAGTTTCGTGAAAAACGTCTATAGAAGGTTTTGAGGAATGGGCACCTTTTAATTTGCTACTAAACTAAACCCCAAGGGCCCATTATATGCCAGCGTGGTCCTAGAGATTCCACACTCATTCAGTTCCTTTTCATCATAGGAAGTGGGCATTATAATATCAGGTCCACTATAAGAGCTGGAGGCTGGGCATGGTGGCTCATGCCTGTAATCCCAGCACTTTGGGAGGCCTACCTGGGCAGATCGCGGGAGCCCAAGAGTTTGAGACCAGGCTGGACAACACGGTGAAACTCTGCCTTTACAACACATACAAAAAGTTTAGCCGGGCTTGGTGGCATGGCCCTATAGTCCCAGCTATTCGGGAGGCTGAGGTGGGAGGATCGCTTGAGCCTCGGAGGTCAAGGCTGCAGTGAGCCCAGATTGCACAACTATACTCCAGCTTAGGCCACAGAGCAAGACCTTGTCTCAAAAAATAAAATAAAATAATAAAAAGAAAGAAAGAGAAAGGAACAGATCAATAGGTACAATAAAGTAATATTTGTATAAAAAAAGCAAAAGAACATATTTATTTATTTGGATATTTGTTTATATTCATAAACTATCTCTAGAAAGATACCAAGAAATTGAATCTATTTGGTTGTATCTGAGAAACTGCAGGAATAGGGACAGGGTTGAGATGATGCCTTCTGAATTTTGAAATATACAAATGTATTTTCTACTTAGAAATAAATGGGCCGGGCGTGGTGGCTAGGCCGGGTGCGGTGGCTCTCGCCTGTAATCCTGGCACTTTGGGAGGCCGAGACTGGCAGATCACTTGAGGTCAGGAGTTTGAGACCAGCCTTGCCAACATGGTGAAACTCCGTCTCTACTAAAAATATGAAAATGGCCAGGTGCGGTGGCTCACCCTTGTAATCCCAGCACTTTGGGAGGCTGAGGCGGGCGGATCACCTGAGGTCAGGAGTTCAAGAACAGCGTGACCAACATGGAGAAACCCCATCTCTACTAAAAATATAAAATTAGCCTGGTGTAGTGGCGCATGCCTGTCATCCCAGCCACTCAGGAGGCTGAGGCAGGAGAATTGCTTGAACCCGGGAGGTGGAGGTTGTGCTGAGCTGAGATTGCGCCATTGTACTCCAGCCTGGGCAACAACAGCGAAACTTTGTCTCACAAAAAGAAACAACAACAACAACCACAAACACACACAAAAATTAGCTGGGTGTGGTGGTGGGTGCCTATAATCCCAGCTACTCAGGAGGCTGAGGCACGAGAATTGCTTGAACCTGAGAGGCGGAGGTCGCAGTGAGCCAAGATCAGGCCACTGCACTCCAGCCTGGGCAATAGAGCAAGACTCAATCTCTAAATAAATATATAAAATAAATAAATAATATTAAGACAAAACTCATAAGGACATTACATAAACCAAGTTATGCCAGTGATTTTTTTAAAATATCAAAACAGGCAGTTTTATAGAAAAATATAACTTCAGGCCAGGTGGGGTGGCTAATGCTTGTAATCCCAGCACTTTGGGAGGCCGAGGTTGGCAGATCACCTGACCTCAGGAGTTCGAGACCAGCCTGGCAAGCATAGTAAAACCCCAACTCTACTAAAAATACAAAAATTAGCTGGGTGTGGTAGAACATGCTTGTAACCCCAGCTACTTGGGAGGCTGAGGCGGGAGAATCACTTGAACCTGGGAGGCGGAGGTTGCAGTGAGCCGAGATCGCGTGACTGCAACAGAGAAATTCTGTCTCAAAAGAAAAATATAACTTCATAAAAACAAAGTAGGGAGAAGCAGAAAAGTTTGTCTAGATCTAGAACCATTAAAGGAATTGAATGTTTATTTTAAAATCTGTATCCCGGCCGGGTGCGGTGGCTCACGCCTGTAATCCCAGCACTCTGGGAGGCCGAGGTGGGCGGATCACAAGGTCAGGAGATCGAGACCATCCTGGCTAACACGGTGAAACCCCATCTCTACTAAAAATACAAAAAATTAGCCGGCCCTGGTGGCGGGTGCCTGTAGTCCCAGCTACTCCAGAGGCTGAGGCAGGAGAACGGCGTGAACCCGGGAGGCGGAGGTGGCAGTGAGCCGAGGTGGTGCCACTGCACTCCAGCCTGGGCAACAGAGCAAGACTCCGTCTCAAAAAAAAAAAAAAATCTGTATCCCATCCCCTCAAAAATCTCACAAAAAAACAAAACCAAAGAAAAGCACCAGGCCCAGATGATTTTATGGACAGCAAACATTAAAAAGAACATAAAGTTTTTATCTTCTACATAATTTTTAAAAATTAATTATTTATTTTTGACAGGAAGTCTCGCTTTGTAGCCCAGGCTGGAGTGCAGTGGCGCGATCTCGGCACACCGCAACCTCCGCCTCCCGGGTTCAAGTGATTCTCCTGCCTCAGCCACACCAGTAGCTGGGACTACAGCCGCGTGCCACCATGTCTGGTTAATTTTTGTATTTTAGTAGAGACAGGGTTTCACTATGTTGGCCAGGCTGGTCTCCAACTCCTGATCTCGTGATCCGCCCGCCCCAATCTCCCAAAGTGCTGGGATGTGTGAGCCGCCACGCCTGGCCACTACTTTTTCTTTTCTTTGTGTGTTTTTTTTTTTTTTTTTTTTTTTTTGGTGTGTGTGTGTGTGAGATGGAGTTTCCCTCTTGTTGCCCAGGCTAGAGTGCAATGGTGCGATCTCAGTTCACTGCAATCCCCGCCTCAGCAGGAGAGCAGGAATCTTCAGTGATCCACTGGCGGATCTGCAGCCATTGTGCGCGCCAGGTCTTCCCAAGTCTTTTGTGCGCGCGCCTCTCCTTCCAGTACCTATCAAGCCAGCGTCCCCTAGCCTCCCGCCATTGCCAGCAGGTGCTGAGATCGCGCCATTGCACTCCAGCCTGGGAGACAACAGCGAAACTCCGTCTCAAAATTAAAAAAAAAAGGATGAAAATTTTGGAAAAATATGGAAGAAACCAAATGGATTTCTAGCTCAACTAAATCGTAATTATTCAGTGTCTAGTTTTTGCAAGAAACCATATATTTCATGTCCACAATCGGCCACAGTCCCAGCTCTCAAGTGTAGGTCTTTCCTAAGCAAATTGAAGAACACAGGCATAAAAGTGCATTAAGTCAATAAACATTTTTCTCTGTGTCTCTCTCTCTCTTTTTTTTTTTTTTTTTTTGAGACGGAGGTTCGCACTGTCACCCAGGCTGGAGTGCAGTGGTGAGATCTCGGGTGACTGCAAGCTCCGCCTCCCGAGTTCACGCCATTCTCCTGCCTCAGCCTCCAGAGTAGCTGGGACTACAGGCGCCCGCCACCACGCCCGGCTAATTTTTTGTAGTTTTAGTAGAGACGGGGTTTCGCTATGTTGGCCAGGCTGGTCTCCAACTCCTGACCTCGTGATCCACCCGCCTCCGCCTCCCAAAGTGCCACAGCCCCGGCCTTTTTTTTTTTAAGACAGAGTCTCGGCCGGGCGCGGTGGCTCACGCCTTTAATCCCAGCACTTTGGGAGGCCGAGGCGGGCGGATCACGAGGTCAGGAGGTCGAGGCCATCCTGGCTAACACGGTGAAACCCCGTCTCTACTAAAAATACAAAAAAGCAGCCGGGTGTGGTGGCGGGCGCCTGTAGTCCGAGCTACTCCCGAGGCTGAGGCAGGAGAATGGCGTGAACCCGGTAGGCGGAGCTTGCGGTGAGCCCAGAGATCAGGCCACTGGAATCCAGCCTGGGCGACAGAGGGAGACTCCGTCTCAAAAAAAAAAAAAGAAAAAAAAAAAAGACTCTGACTCTGTTGCCCAGGTTGGAGTGCAGTGGCGCGATCTCGGCGCATCGCAATCCCTTCCCAGCCCCCGGGTTCAAGTGATTCTCCAGTCTCAGCCGCCGGAGTAGCTGGGACTACAGGCGCGTGCCACCATGTCTGACTAAATTTGTATTTTTACTAGAAAGGGGGTTTCACTATGTTGGCCAGGCTGGTCTCCAACTCCTGATCTCGTGATCCGTCCGCCCCGACCTCCCAAAGTGCTAGGATTATAGGCATAAGCCGCCACGCCCGGCCTTTTGTTTTTCTTTTTCTTTTTTTTATTTGAAGACTGAGTTTTGCACTTGTTGCCCAGGCTGGAGTGCAATGGTGCGATCTCAGCTCACTGCAATCTCCACCTCAGCAGGAGAGCAGGAATCTTCAGTGATCCACGGGCAGATCTGCCGCCATTGTGGGCACCTGTTCCTCCCGCGACCTTTGTGCCCGCCTCTCTCCTTCCAGTACCTATTGCATGACCCCCCACGTCCGCCTCCCGCCATTGCCAGCAAGTGCCTCGCGCGGGTACCTGGCTGCGCTTATTAATCCGTTAAGCTCGCTCTGTCACGGGCGCCGTGATGTGCTCACGCGCCCGCTCCCTCAGGTTTAAAAGGCGCGTTGCCCGGCAACAGAAGAAACTGCTGGCTTAGCCGTTGGCCGAGTTGGCGGCTGGACGAGGACGCTCAGAGCCCAGCTCTCGAGAGTTCAAGCAACCGACGGTTCCCCACTGCTCCCAGGAGCGGTTACCTGGGCACTCTGTGCCCCTCCTTCCTGTTCGGGCCCAGGCCGAGGACCTGCCAGTAGGGCTCAGTTGCCTGGAGCCCGTTCAGCCCATCCCCCAGTTCACTTTGCCTGTGGGATCTCCCCGTTGCTCCTGCCCGTGGACTGAGTGGCAGGCCATCCTACAAGCACCCGGACACTTGACATCCGTGGTGTCAAGACAACTCTAAGAAGGTTTTCCGTGATCCTGCAAGCCCTGCCTTCCTTTCTGGGATCCTGCCTTCAATTTGATTGCACAGGTACCACAGCAAGCCAGTGCTGTGTGCTCCGAGTTCCAGGGCGTCCTCCAGCTCAGCCACTGCACTGAGAACATGGACTCTCTGTGGGGCCCAGGAGCTGGGAGTCACCCCTTTGGGGTCCACAACAGCCGGCTGTCCCCAGACTTGTGTCCAGGGAAGATAGTGTTGAGGGCCCTCAAGGAGAGCGGGGCAGGGATGCCTGAGCAGGACAAGGACCCTAGAGTCCAAGAGAATCCTGGTGATCAGAGAAGGGTCCCCGAGGTCACCGGGGATGCACCGTCTGCATTTCGGCCCCTGCGGGACAATGGAGGCCTCTCTCCCTTTGTGCCCGGGCCCGGGCCTCTGCAGACAGACCTCCATGCCCAGAGGTCAGAAATCAGATATGACCAGTCATCCCAGACCTCCTGGACGAGCTCGTGCACCAACCGAAATGCCATCTCCAGCTCCTACAGCTCCACGGGAGGCTTGCCGGGGCTAAAGCGGAGGAGGGGGCCAGCCTCATCCCACTGCCAGCTGACCCTCAGTTCCTCAAAGACAGTGAGTGAGGACAGGCCTCAGGCTGTCTCTTCGGGTCACACCCAGTGTGAAAAGGTGGCAGAGAAAGCACCAGGGCAGACACTCGCCCTCAGGAATGACTCCTCCAGATCCGAGGCCTCTAGGCCCAGTACACGCAAGTTTCCCCTGCTGCCACACAGGCGAGGGGAGCCTTTGATGCTGCCACCTCCCGTAGAGCTGGGGTACCGGGTCACTGCTGAAGACCTGGACTGGGAGAAGGAGGCGGCATTCCAGTGCATCAAGAGTGCACTGCAGGTTGAGGACAAGGCCATCTCAGACTGCAGACCCTCACGGCCTTCCCACACTTTGTCCTCACTTGCAACAGGGGCTTCTGGTCTGCCTGCCGTTTCTAAAGCACCCAGTATGGATGCACAGCAGGAGAGACACAAGTCCCAAGACTGCCTGGGCCTAGTGGCCCCCCTAGCATCTGCTACAGAGGTCCCCTCTACAGCTCCCATGTCTGGGGAGAAGCACAGACCACCAGGCCCCCTGTTCTCCTCCTCAGATCCCCTTCCTGCCACCTCTTCCCACTCCCAGGACTCAGCCCAGGTCACCTCGCTGATTCCTGCCCCCTTCCCAGCTGCAAGCATGGATGCGGGCATGAGAAGAACAAGGCCTGGCACTTCTGCTCCTGCAGCTGCCGCAGCAGCCCCTCCCCCCTCCACATTGAACCGCACATTGGGGTCACTATTGGAGTGGATGGAGGCCCTTCACATTTCTGGGCCTCAGCCACAGCTGCAGCAGGTGCCCAGAGGTCAGAACCAGAGATCCCAGACCTCCCGGACCAGCTCGTGCCCCAAACGAAATGCCATCTCGAGCTCCTGCAGCTCTACGGGAGACCTCCCGGGACGAAAGCGGAAGAGGCGCCAGCCTCATCCCACTGCCAGCTGACCCTCAGTTCCTCAAACACAGTGAGTGAGGACGGACCTGAGGCTGTCTCTTCGGGTCACACCCAGTGTGAAAAGACGGCAGATACAGCACCAGGGCAGACACTCGGCCCCAGGGGTGGCTCCCCCAGATCCCAGTCCTCTAGGCCCCGTAGACACAAGTTTCCCCTGCTGCCACGCAGGCGAGGGGAGCCTTTGATGCTGCCACCTCCCTTAGAGCTGGGGTACTGGGTCACTGCTGAAGACCTGGACCGGGAGAAGGAGGCGGCATTCCAGCGCATCAACAGTGCACTGCAGGTTGAGGACAAGGCCATCTCGGACTGCAGACCCTCACGGCCTTCCCACACTTTGTCCTCACTTGCTACAGGGGCTTCTGGTCTGCCTGCCATTTCTAAAGCACCCAGTATGGATGCACAGCAGGAGAGACACAAGTCCTAAGACTGTCTGGGCCTAGTGGATCCCCCAGCATCTGCTGCACAGGTCTGTAGTCCCAGCTACTCGGGAGGCTGAGGCAGGAGAACGGCATAAACCCGGGAGGCAGAGCTTGCAGTGAGCTGAGATCGCGCGACTGCACTCCAGCCTGGGTGACAGAGCGAGACTCCGTCTCAAAAAAAGAAAAAGAAAAAGAAAAAAAAAGTTCTTGTGACATTTCTGTATGAAATCAGCCTTCACTACATGGATAGGACCAGCACGCTTCCGCGGCACGACTCTGCAATCTTACTACATTTTTTTTATTTTGTATTTTATTTATTCCTTTTGAGACAGTCTTACTCTGTCACCCAGGCTGAAGTGCAGCCGAGATCTCGGCTCACTGCAACCTCCACCTCCTGGGTTCAAGCAATTCTCCTGTCTCAGCCTCCCAAGTAGCTGAGACTACAGGCACACGTCAAAAGGCCCGGCTAATTTTTGTATTTTTAGTAGAGATGGAGTTTAGCCATATTGGTCAGGCTGGTCTCGAACTCCTGACCTCAGGTGATTGACCTGTCTTAGCCTCCCGAAGTGCTAGGATTACAGGTGTAAGTTTATTTATTTATTTAAGATGGAATCTTGCTCTGTATTTATTAATTTATTTATTTGAGATGGAGTCTTGCTCCATCGCCCAGGCTAGGGTGCAGTGGTGCAATCTCGGCTCACTGCAACCTCTGACTTCCAGTTTCAAGCGATTCTCCTGCCTCAGTGTCCCAAGTAGCTGGGATTACAGGTGCCTGCCACCACAGCTGGCTAATTTTTGTATTTTTAGTAGAGACAGTGTTTCACCGTCTTGGCCAGGCTGGTCTCAGGCTCCTGACCTCATGAACCACCTGCCTCAGCCTCCCAAAGTGTTGGGATTACAGGCCTAAGGCACCATGTTCGGCCATATTTATTTATTTAATTATTTAGAGACAAAGTCTTGCTCTGTCACCCAGGCTGGAGTGCAGTGGCGCCATCTCAGCTCACTGCAGCCTCTGCCTCCAAGGTTTAAGCGATTCTCATGCCTCAGACTCCTGAGTAACTGGGACTACAGGTACTCACCACCACGCAGGGATTTTTTTTTTCTATTTTTTTGTAGAGACACAGTTTCACCATATTGGCCAGGCTGGTCTCGAACTCCTGACCTTAGGTGATCTGACAGCTTCGTCCTCTCAAAGTACTGGGATTACAGGCATGAGCCACCGAGCCCGGCCTCTCACTACATTTAAGTGATGCCATGGCTCATGCCTGTAATCCTAGCACTTTGGGAGGCCAAGGCAGGTGGATCACCTGAGGTCAGGAGTTTGACACGAGCCTGGCCAACATGGGGAAACCCCGTCTCTAGTAAAAACACAAAAATTAGTCAGGCATGGTGGTACAAGCCTGTAGGCCCAGCTACTTGGAAGGCTGAGGCAGGAGAATCACTTTAACCGGGAGGCAGAGGTTGCAGTGAGCCAATATCATGCCACTGCACTCCAGCTTGGGTGACAGAGTGAGACACCATCTCAAAAAAAGAAAAGAAAAGAAAAGAAAAACATATGATGCCGGGGCATCTCGGCCTCAATACCTGCATGAGCACAGTCATGTCCAGGCCAGGGCTGCTGGTCGAGGTCCGGCCCCATCTCTTCCAGCAGAAAGGGAGTAAGCTTGCAGGGAGGCTGGGGGACAAGATCCCAGGATCTCAGCCTCTGCTCATGGATCAGCTCTGAGACCCCGAGTGAGCTGGGGGTGCTCTGTGCGCATTGGTTTCCCCAGCTGTCAAGTAAAGGGATTGGATGAGGAAGTCTTGTCAAGGTGGAATGATCTCAGATTTGGGGCAGCAGTGAAGGATCCCGCTCCCTGGGCCATGCCAGTGGCCCGGCCTCGGCTGAACACAGCCCCAACACTCTGGAATGGGGATGAGGGGGCAGTCAGCTCTTGCTCCTAGTAAGAGAGATGCAACAGGGCTCTGTGGCTGAGCTGGGTGCCTTGCCTCACACTTGTAATCCCAACCTTTGAGAGGCCGAGGCAGGAGGATTGCTTGAGGCCGGGAATTTTGAGAATAGCCTGGACAACATAGCCAGACCCCATGTCTACAAAATAATAAGAAAACACACAGCTATAGTCCAAGCTACTTGGCAGGCTGAGGCAGGAGGGTCCCTTGAGTCCAGGAATTGGAGGCTGCATTGAGCTATAATCGCACCACTGCACTCCAGCTTGGGTGACAAAGTGAGACCCTGTCTCTAAAAGAAAAAAAAAATTGGCCTGTGAGCATGGGTTTGATCTTCAAACAGGACCTGGAGGGTAGGGACAGACAGTGCTGTCACCCTTAGGTGCTGAACACTCAGAAACGGGCCAGCGGCAGCCCTTCCCTCACCTGCAGACACCAGATTGGGCAGAACAGCACGTGGCACTTGCAGCTCTTGCAGTGAGGGCAGAACCCAGTGTCAACCCTTCTGCCTGTGGGAGGGGCTGCTGAGGCCTGCGGAGAGGCCAGGGTGGAGGCTCGTCCCCTTGTCCAGCCCTTGGCGTGGTCTCCACCAGGTCCCCAGCCCACCAGTGCAGGGCGCCCCTGAGCCTGCTGCTGCCACGGGCCCTGTCTCTACCCAGGACGTCCCCCCACCCTCGCTGTGTCAGGGAAATGATCATGGTGGCGGTGACACTCCGCAGGCAGGGCTGCTGAGAGAAGCTGAGAAGGGTCACACTGCAGGCAGAGGCCCGTGTGACAAGCCCCTCTCACCCCGAGAGAGCTGACCAGGCAGCTCACGAGCAGAGCCACATCCCGGGAGTCCGAGAAAGGTCCTGGCTGGGCTCAGCCACCTCATTGGCCACGGGCAGCCTTTGTCGTGTGAGCCTTGCTCTCCTGGGGAGGCTCAGGCTGACGGCTGATGTGGGCATTGCCGAGGGTAACCTGTGGCCCAGTGTATATGGCCGGGTCTCCTCAAGCTGCATTCATTCAAGTAGGACCCAGGGTGCGTGCCCATCTCCAGCCCAGGGCAGCTCCCCTGTAAGCTGGGTGAGCTACTGAAGCCAAGGCAGGAGGCAGCTGACAACACCCACGGCCCATGCAGAGGTGGTGGAAAGGCTGGAGTCAGCAGCAACACCAAATCCCGGACCAGGCAGAAACCACCCAAGACTGAGGGGCTCGTGCCAGAGCGGTGGCCACAGGTAAGAACCCGGGCCCAGGCTGTGTGGCAGGAATCCTCCATGTCCCAGGGCTTAGCATAGCAAAGGAAGACCAGCCGGGTCACCCTGGTGGCCATCTGTCCCTGTCCCACCTGCAGAGTCAGAACAGCCTCTCCCCAGTGGGGATCATCTCTCTCTGCCAAAGCAACAGCGGTCCCTGCCCCAACCAGACTACCCCACTCAGTGGAGTTACGGATGCTGCTCCAGCATCCTAACACTGCCCAGCTGGTGCCTGCCTGTGCTCACCCGCACCCCCCAGGCCGGCCTTCCCTGCAGCCTGGGCTTGGCCACCTTGGCCTGATTGAGCACTGAGGCCTCCTGGGCACCCAGCCCCATCACTGCACCTGCTGCTTCCAGCCCCACCCCACAAGCTCAGGGGTTCTTCCCAGCGGCGCTGATCATGAAGTCAACATGCACGCAAGTCGTCTCAGGAAACTTTTTAATGAAAGTGTTGGCCACGGTGGTGTGTAGGTGGCTGAGCTCAGATTGCAGCTGCTGAGACACCAGCCACTTACCAAGAGAAAGCCAGGCTGCTTCAAACCCAGGGCCCGCGGCAAAAAAGCATCACTTCCGGCCGGGGAGTCTGGAAGCCACGCCTTGTGGGAGGTCACACTGGCATCTAGGCCTTCGCCTGCACTGCAGAAGGAGAGCCGGGTCCCCCTCCTGGAGAACGCTGCGTTCCCCAGCCCCACACCGGCTTTGCCACCACACAGGCTGTTGAGGCAGGAGGCGGGTAAGACGTAGCTGTAGACCCAAAGCAACCACCAGCCCTGGGACCCTGCGGGAGAGAAGCACTTTTAGAACATGGAAAAGTGTGGTCATCCCATCATTAGACAGCACACATCCTACATAAATAAAAAGTCGTATGGGGAAGGAGGTTGGGGAGGGAATAAAAAACTGGCACAGACATTGATAGACTGGTTTCCAGTTTCAAGGTAACAGATGCACATCATGAGACCAGAGGAGGCAGAGACAAGGGCTGGATTTGGCTTTTCTAAGCAACATGTGTTCCTGCGCAGGGCTGAATGGTCACTGAGACAGAGATGGAAGCCAGGACAGGGGAGCCCACTGGGCCCAGATAGGTACAGAGAGCAGAGGCTCCTGTTCTGTCCTCACCACCCATGAGGGTGACACTGCTTGTAAATGGTGGCTGTGCTCTCCCAGCAAGAAAAAAGCACAACTAAATCCACACTGCACAAAGACGCAGACAGAAAGCCTTCAAGTGGCTCTGTTTTCTGCTCCCTGCCTCATCAGGTCCACAAGCAGAGAGGAGTGTCAGGTACATATCCCTGCTGTCAGGCTCCCCAGTAAGCTGCGGGCTCAGCAGGAGCTGCCCACTGACACACAGGGGACACCCACTCCTGCCACCTTGGGAGCGGTTGCCAGACAGAGCCGTACTGGGTGCTGGTGTCATCCAGGGACCCCACACACTTCCTTAAATGTGATCCTGCTTCCCTCTGCGCAGCTGCATCCTCTCCTCCTGCAGGACCGTCTGGAAACTTGGCTCTCAGTTTGCTCTCCCTTCTCTCCTCTGCCTGCCCCAAGCCCCTCTTTCTAAAAAAGTGATGCCACGTTCATGGGATTATTTCTTGAAAATACTTGGCGGCCTCCATGCTTCTGTTTTCTTTGAGTCAGGTAGTCAGGAGGGTTTACAAACAATGCCTGGGCTCCCCCGCAGGTGCCGGCAGATGGGGTAGCGAATGGTCCTGTGCCTCCACCTGCTCCGGGAGGGAGTCTCCCGTCTCTAGGCCTGGCCCCTTCCTAACCCTCCACGTATCCTGTTCTCCAGAGACTTCAGAACCCACTCCTGAGAACAGCGGAGCCAGGCGCTTAGAGGAAGACCAAATGCTGCCAGGACACGGATTGTCCAGGGATTACATTCCAGCATCTTATTAGGTATCTGGATCTGTTGGGGAAAAAATTAGAAACTATGTATAAAACTTACAAATATTCAAGTATCAAAAGGTTATTTAGGATGAAAGTTTTAAAACAAGTCATCAGCAAGCTGCTACCACCAAGTGGAGACTTATACAAAAGTTGAGCGAGTCCACTGAGCTGAGAGGACAGAAATGAAGTCACCTGTGCTGGGGCAGGGGCAGGGACACTGGGGGCAGGGAGTGTGTGGGCAGAGAAGCCAGAGAAGTCCAGGCCTGTGGAAGCCAAACAGGAGAGCGTGGGCCGGAAGGGCGGTCAGGATCGGGGGACGAGGTCGCTCTCCCTGGAGAACGAACCCTAAGGTGCGTAGCCTGGGATTCCCTCCCTGGAGGTCCTGTCCCCCGACATTTCACAGGCCTTCTGAGCTGCTTTCCAAGGAGGACTAACACGGCAACAAAAGAACCATTTCTGCACAAAAATCCTGGAAAGAAAAAGAAGCAAGCCGAGAATGGAGTCAAAACGCTACCCAGTGCTGACTAAGCCTCTCAAACCCTGTTCTAAGTGGACTGTGGTTTCTAAGTCAGGGAAATGGAAGAGGCCCCACCCACACAGGGACAGGGCCACGGCCCCCACAGGATGAAGCAGCAGCGTTTATTCAAGATACAACAGTGAGGGAATCCGGTCACGTTCCCTTCTCCCCAGAGAGGGCGCATCTTGACAAGTGATCGAGTAGAAATCTTTTAAACTCTAAGTTAAGTTCATAAAAACCACTGGTTTCACTCTGTCTCCCAGGGCCAGGCCTGGCCTCTGAGATGCACTGGCTTGGGGCGCCCTCAGGTGGCTGCATGGAAAACCCACAGTCTGAGGCCAGCCTGGGGCTTTCAGACCTGGGCGGGATCTGCCCAGGCCACCTGTCCTTCTGCTTTGGGCCGCTGTCTCTTGGCAGATGGCCTGACACCTGGGGGTGGCCCAAGGATGCCTCAGAAAATCTTGATTCCCACTCTACAGATAGCCTGATTAGCCAGAGGTTTCCAGGCCATCTGTCCGCCTCCAGGAGATGGACTGGGACCTTTAGACATCGGTGGAGAACAGGATGCTCTGTCCCTTGCTGTCCGGGGCAGGGACGGCCTCCAGCCGCAAGAAGTACAGCAGCACCTCGACCTGCCCTCGCGGAGTGGGGAAGAGGAGAGTGGCTCAGAGGGGGGCTCACAGCTGCTGGTGGGGAGGTCTTTGGGGCCCAAGTCCCCAAGTCCACCTCAGGTGCTAGAAACCCCTGCTGGTGTCATGAACCCCTTACAGTGAGACGGGGGTGGGGTGGGGTCCTGACAAGGCATGACTTGTTGGGTGGGGGGTGGTTATTTATTTTAGAGATGCACAGGGCCTTGCTCTGTCCCCCAGGCTGGAGTACAGTGGCTCCATCATGGATCACTGCAGCCTCTAACTCCTGGGCTCAAGCAATCCTCCTGTGTCAGCCTCCCAGATACCTAGGATTACAGATGTGTGCCACAATGCCTGCCTAATTTTTCTTTGTATTTTTTCTAGAGATGGGGTTTGCTACATTTCCCAGACTGGTCTCAAACACCTGGGTTCAGTTGTCCTGCCTCGGCCTCCCAAAGTGCTGGGATTACAGGCATGAGCCACCACACCTGAACACTTGGGGTGGTTTTAAGCCCCCAGCAAGGTGCACCAGCAGGAGCAGGAGGTGGCCTAGGCTCCCCCTATCACTCCCATCCATGCAAACCTAGGCAAGTCCCTGTCTCTGAATCTCAGCCACCACCACATACAATGCAAGTTGGAAGATGGGCAGGACTGGGGGTGGGGCAGGCAGAGGCCACCTCTGTCAGGCTGGGGTTGCATGGGCTGGAGCCTGTCTTCCCACACCTGGGACATGACCTCCAAGGACCAGCTGTCAGTCATGGTGATGGGCTGGCCGGGGTTGGCAGGGAGCTTGCTCTCCTTCTCGGAGGGCCGGAGCAGCATGGGGCCAAAGACAGTGGCAAGGTTGTGCAGGGACATCTTATTGACTGCCTCCTTCTCTGCCACCCTGTAGAGGACCAAAGCAGAAGGTGCTGTTTCAACGCCACCACCAGGAGAGAGGCAGAGGGGCTGTGCCGTGCTAGAGTCCTCAGGGAGAGAGTGACCTCGACCCTGGCTATGAGCCAATGCGCCCGGCCTCTCACTCTTCTTTATTCAGCATAATTTATTCTGACGTATCTTCAGTGTAGGTATTCTCTTTTTATTCTCCTATTCCTGTTAAACCCATTGGGCTGAATGCTGTTTATTTCTAGAATGTCTACACCTGTTTTTCTGCAAGGTCATTTTTTTTTCTCGTTTGCTGTTCGTCACATATACTTTCAAGCTCATCGGTTCCCTCCGTGAGTACAGGTAAGTGGAGGAGCCTCATGGTCTGCCTCAGGTCTTTGAGATGTTGAGTCTCTGGATCTGGTCCTGCTGCTGGCCTTTTCTGTCCTTGCTCATGGGGCATTGTTTCCGTGAATGTGTGGTTACTTTTGACTGCATTACTCATTGTCCTGGAAAAATGACTTTGTGGGAATTTTTCAGACCTAGGGTAAAGATGCTTCCTCCAAACTAGGTTTACGCTTCCTTCTGCCAGGTACCTCAGGGCGCTGTCAGCCTAAAGCCAATTTAAACTAAATCCATCAACTGTGAGGTTTTGGAATCTTCTCACTGGTGTGAATTTGGGCCATAAGTCCCAAATTCTGTGGGGTGCTCTGTGGGGTGGGGACCAGCCTTAGAGTTCTCATCGGAAGCCCGGGGTGGCTGGATGGGGGCAGATGTTTTCAGGGCAAGAGCGGCTTGGCTCGCCTCTCTGGTTTCTGGTTTCCCCAGATGGTGCCTGGCGGCTCCTCACTGTCTTGTCAGCCCCTGGATGCCTTTAAGAAAACATCCTTTTATTTTGTCAGCATTTTTGGTACTTCTCAGTGTGAGGGCTGGTCCAAGTATTTGGCTTATCATAGTTTTACAAAAAGTTGGTTTCTATGAAATCTTAAGTCACCTCTTTTTTAAAAATGTACCTTTTAGTCCGGGCACGGTGGCTCACTCCTGTAATCCCAGCACTTTGGGAAGCCGGGGCAGGCAGATCACTTGAGGCCAGGAATTTGAGACCAGCCTGGACAACATGGTGAAACCCTGTCTCTACTAAAACTACAAAAATCAGTCGGGTGTAGGGCCAGGCGCAGGGGCTCACGCCTGTAATCCCAGCACTTTGGGAGGCCAAAGCAGGTGGATCACCTCAGGTTGGGAGTTCAAGACCAGCCTGACCAACATGGAGAAACCCCGTCTCTACTAAAAGTACAAAATTAGCTGGGCGTGGTGGCGCATGCTTGTAATCCCAGCTGCTCATGAGGCTGAGACAGGAGAATCACTTGAACCCGGGAGGTGGAGGTTGTGGTGAGCCAAGATCATGCGATTCCCCCTGCCTCAGCCTCCCAAGTAGGTGGGACTACAGGCAAGCACCACCATACCCGGCTAACTTTTTTTTGGTATTTTTAGTAGAGACAGGATTTTACCATCTTGGCCAAGCTGGTCTTGAACTCCTCACCTCGTGATCCACCCACCTCGGCCTCCCAAAGTGCTGGATTACAGGCGTGAGCTACCGCGCCCAGACTAAAAGCGCGCCCGGCCGTCTACTACTTCTTATAGGGTGAGAGGCGGGAGGATCGCTTGAGCCCTGAAGTTTGCGGCTGCTGCAGTTGGCTTTGATCGTACCACTGCACTCCAGCCAGGGTGACAGCAGGACCCTGACTCTAAAAAAAGAAAAAGAAAAAAAAGCATATACTATTAATACTTCCTCCTTACTATAATATTTACCGTGGCCTTTATCAGACTAGAGAGTGCTTTTATCTCTCCCTTTTGTAAGAAAGAGCTTTTAGAATTATCAATAGATGGTCAGGTGAGGTGGCTCAGGCCTGTAATTCCAGCACTTTGGGAGGCCGAGGTGGGTGGATCACGAGGTCAGGAGTTCAAAACCAGCTTGGCCAAGATGGTGAAACCCTGTCTCTACTAAAAATACAAAAAAATTAGCTGGGTGTGGTGGCGAGTGCCTGTAATGCCAGCTACTCCGGAGGCTGGGGCAGAGAATTGCTTGAACCCAGTAGGCGGAGGTTGCAGTGAGCCAAGATTGTGCCACTGCACTCCAGCCTGGGCAACAGAGTGAGACTCTGTCTCAGAAAAAAAAAAAAAATTATTAATAGATGGTGACCCTCATCTTCACGTTTTCTGCATCTATTGAAGTGCGCCACTGAGATCGTGGAGTTCTTCCCTGTTTGTCCATATGATGAACAACACTGATTTTCTGATGTTGAACAATCCCTGGAATAAACTCTGTTTGGTTTCCATGGATTTCTGTTTCCCTTTAGATTTTGTTAGTAATTTATTTTGGATTTTTGCATCCAAGTTCATAATTGTAACTGGACAAATAAAGGCAGATTTTAAAAGGACAAGTTGGGAGGCTAAGGCGGAAGGATCACTTGAGCCTGGGAGATTGAAGCTGCAGCTAGCTTCGATTGTTCCACTGTACTCCAGCCTGGTGACAGCAGGACCTGCCTCTAAAATAATAATACTTAAAAGGACGAGTTTACCTACAGTCTCACCAAGCAATGAAAGAGCTTATCTTCTTCCTGTTTCCTTTACGGATCTTGCTCATGTATTTTATCTTAGTTACTTTAGCATAAATGCTAAATCAAATTCTTTTTCACTAGACATCATAATAGCTCTAGGCATACCACATAATACCCAAGCACATTTTAATCATTAAAATTGTTTCCTTTTTTTGTGGCTACTGTAACCACTTCAGCGAACCATTTAGTGTGTAGTGGGTTTAAATTTTTTCTCCTTCCTGGGATAAATTTCCCAGGAGAGGGATAATTGGGTCAAAAGTTACGAACATATTTATGGGTTCTTTTCCACAAGAGATCGATCAGTTTGCAAGTGCCATCTGCACTGTGGGGGAACCAATCTTCAACTTGCCTGCATTTGGTATTAGTATTTCATTAACCTTTCATTGATCTAATTACGGCTCTTTGACACAATTTTCATCAGTGATGGACTAAGTGTGATCCGGCCTGACCCGCCTCCGGCCGGCGTGAGAAGGGGCATGTGTCGGGCTACCCTCGGGCTTCCCCTGCCGCCCATTGTGATCCAGCCCGCTAGGCGCTCCCTGCCGCCCATTGTGACGCCTGCCAGCCGCAGGCTGGGTCCCCGAGGCGGGCGGCATTTAGGCTCGGTCTCCACAGCCATGGCCGCGACGCAGGAGCTGCTGCTGCAGTTGCAGAAGGATAACCGAGATGGTCGCCAGCGGAAGCAGGAGCTAGAGAAGCTGATGCGCGGGCTCGAGGCCGAGAGCGAGAGCCTGCCTCAACCAGCGCCTGCAGGACCTGAGCGAGCGGGAGCGGAGGTGCGCGGGGAACGCCCCTCTACCTGGCGGGCGCGCGAGGGTCGGTCCCGCAGGCAGCGCCGCGAGGTGCTTCGCAGAGTACCAGGCTGATCCGCCCGGGCCCGCATCTCTGCTCTAGGCCCTTGGGAACGGGTGATCCACCCAGCGGACCCAGGTGGGGGACTCGGCCAGGACTTCCCAGTCCTCAATCATGAGCCTGCGGCTGGTCCTTCCTGGCGACTGCGGGATCCTGAGCGACCCAGTCCGCCTTGTAGCGCCAACCTCAGTTTCCCTCTGCAGGCTGCTGCGGAGGCGAAGCCAGGAAGCGCTGCTTCTGCAAGGGGAGGTGCGCGAGGCGGCGCGGGAGCGCGCGCAGCGGGTGCGCAGAAGACTGGAGGAGGCGGAGCGCCACAAGGAGGACTTGGTGAGGAAGAGTCCTGGAATGGGGCTGGACCCAGGGTGGGGTGGGGCAGGGCGGGCGGAAGGGGGCAGGATCCGGGGGTGGGGTGAGGTAGGACCGGCGGTGAGGCCGGCACCGCCCCAGGACCCTGTCCGCAGGAGCAGCACAGCAGGCAGCTGCAGGGCAGTGGGAGGAGCTGTCGAGTCAGGTACGTGCAGGAGATGGGAGGGCCTGTCTCTTGGTTCCTCTCGGAAGTCCTGCCCTTGCCCTCGCTCTCATTGCCTCCCCGTCCCTGTCTCCCCTGACACTCGTTCCTCCAGAAGCCCGGTAAACCCCGTCCTTACGAGCCCCGCCCCTAGCTCTTCTACTACGGAGGGGAACTGCAGAGCCAGAAGAGCACGGAGCAGCAACTCGCAGCCCAATTGGTGACGCTGCAGGTGCTTGAGCGGGACCCTGAGGTCTTTAGTAGGGGCGGAGCAGCAGCGTGAGCGGGGCCGTGACCACCTGGGGGTGTGGCTTAAGGCAGGCCCTGAAGGCGTGGGCGGGGCGGGGATGTGGGCGGGGCATAATCGCCTGGGGGCGGGGCCCTGAGGGCTAGATACGGGCGGAGCGCGGAGGGGGCGGGGCCATGACCAGCTGGGGCGTTGCTTACGACTGGTCCTGAGGACGTGGGCGGGGTCATGATCGCCTGGGGGCGGGCACTGAGGGCCGGGGGCGGGGCCCGGAGGCGCAGCGGGTTGCCGGCCTGCGGACCTCCTGACATTCCCTGGGTCCTTCTCAAGAATGAACTGGAGCTGGCGGAGACCAAATGCGCCTTGCAGGAGGAGAAGCTGCAGCAGGTGAGGGCAGAAGCGGGTTCTGTTGGAGGAGGGTAGGCTTTCGAGTGTGGATGGGGAAGGGCCTGTCGCCCCGCCCCCGCCGAGTCTAACCCGGGTGTCCACACCCAGGACGCGCTGCAGACAGCGGAGGCCTGGGCCATATTCCAGGAGCAGACCGTAGTCCTGCAGGTGCGGCCCCACTCAGACGCCAAGGTGCCTCCCGCCTCTCCTCCCCCAGACCTGGGGCGGTAAGTCTCCCAACCCACCGCCAGGACGCCTCCCCGAGGCCTCAGTCCGCACTCTCACCCGCTCCAGGAGGTGCAGGTGAAGGTGATGGAGGCTGCGGAGGAGCTGGACGCCTGGCAGAGTGGCCGGGAACTGTAAGGGAGTTGGGCTTGCGGGCGCGGCGGGGCACTGTGGGGCCGGGCCGGGCTGGGCTCCCACCTGCATGCCTGTCCCCGCAGGTGTGACGGGCAGCTTCGCAGAGTGCAGTACAGCACCGAGTCGCTCATGGAGGAGATGGCCAGGGCGGACCGAGTGAGCGCCTGCGCGGGTCCGGGCGGGGTGGGCTGGAGCGGGACACCCCTCCCCATCCCCCCCGCGGTACCGCCTCCCCCTCCTCCTGGAAACCGGGCCGGCGCCGCGGGCGCGGAGGTAGCTGGATGCGGCCCTCTCTCCCCGCAGGAGACGCGGCTGTTCGGCGGTCCTCGCGCGCTGGCCATCAGGTGAGCAGGGCGGTGGGCGCGGCCGCGGTCCCCCACGTGCCCGCCCGAGCCGCCGCCCACCTGCCCGCCTTTCGCCCTGCAGGCGCTGCTGACGCTGCCGCTCCTCTTCCTGGGGCTGTCGCTGCTCTGGACGGTGCTGTTGGACCCCGGCGCCGTCTCCGCGTGGCTCTGGAGCCTCACCTCGGAGACGACGCTGCGCCGCCTGCGCTACACGCTGTCCCCGCTGCTGGAGCTGCGCGCTAACGGGCTGCTGCCAACCTAAGTGCAGCGCCCCGCGCCTGGCTCCAGGTGGACTCCAGGGCACCGGCTTTATTTCTGGTGCACTCCTCTCCTGAGAGTGTAGACCAAGGTCGCCTAATAAACTCCTCAAGGGATGAAGCTCGTGGGTTCGTCGTCTGTCTCCCATGTCATGTAGGAGCTTGACTGGCTTTTCAGCCTCCAAAGATTCCTTCCTTTCTTACAGCTCATGGATTTAGATCCACTCCCCAGTATTGTAAACAGCATTTTTAGTTTTTCAGGATACATAATTTGCCATATTGCCAGAAACTTGTACATAGCATTTGACACTTTTTTCTTTGCCAATTTGACAAGCTGCTTTTTTCAAGTATTGTGATTTGAAATTATTTCTACTATATTTGAATTTATTTCTACCATTTGTAACATGTTGATCCTGATTTTTCAATGCTCCCCTTTCCTTCTGTTTGATTATTTGGGAAGTCACACTCTGTATTCTGGTATTCTTACTACTTGAGCTCAGCTCATTGCTGTCATCTTCCCCTAAACCGCCTTAAAGCATCTTAGGTCTTTTCCCTCTGATCACATGTGCTACTTTTTTTTTTTTTCTTTTCTTTTGAGATGGAGTCTTGCTCTGCGCCCAGGCTGGAGTGCAGTGGCATGATCTCGGCTCACTGCAAGCTCTGCCTCCCGGGTTCCAGCGATTCTCCTGCCTCAGCCTCCCAAGTAGCTGGGACTTCAGGCGCCTGCCATCATGCCCGTTTAATTTTTTGTATTTTTAGTAGAGACAGAGTTTCACTGTGTTAGCCAGGATGGTCTCGATCTCCTGACCTCGTGATCCGCCCACCTTGGCCTCCCCAAAGTGCTGGGATTACAGGCATGAGCCACCGTGCCTGGCCAACATTTTCTCCAGATATCTTACCGAGTCCTAATTTCCACTGCGGACAGAGAATACACTCTGCGTGATTTTAATTCTATCTCATTTACTGAGACTTGTTTTGTGGCCCAGCACAAAGCTTGTAATGAACATTGAGAAGAAAGTGTATTGTTGCTGTTGACAGAGTGATTTTTTTTTTGAGACGGAGTCTCGCTCTGTCGCCAGGCTGGAGTATAGTGGTGTGCAATCTCGGCTCACTCCAACCTCCACCTCCTGGGTTCAAGTGATTGTCCTGCCTCAGCCTCCCGAGTAGCTGGGACTACAGATGCATGCCACCATGCCCAGCTAATTTTTGTATTTTTAGCAGAGACAGGGTTTCACTGTGTTGGCCAGGATGGTCTTGATCTCTTGACATTGTGATCCGCCTGGCTTGGCCTCCCAAAGTGCTGGGATTACAGGTATGAGCCACCGTGTCAGGCCGACAGAGTGTGTTCTAAATACCCAGCAGGTCAAGGTGAGTGACAGGCTTGTTCAGGGCTCCTGTGTTTACTTTCTTGTTGGTAGCGCCGTCAATTGCTTATTGTGAAATGCCCCTTCATAAACACCCATACACATTTTGATTATGGATGGCCCGTCTTTTTTCCATCTGTTATTTTCATCTTAGATCTGTCTTCATATGTAAAGTGCTTTGGTTATAATCAGCACATAACTGGGTCTCACTTCTTCAATTCATGTTTATAATCCCTGACTTTTAAATTGGGCTGGTAAGTCTATTATGTTTCTCCTTTTCTGCCTTCTTTTGGATTAGTATCTTTTAAAACTCCTTTTAACTTATACGCTGACTCATATTTTTTATTAAGACAGTCTCACTCTGTCATTCAGTGTGGAGTGCAATGGTGTGATCTTGGCTCACTGCAACCTCCACCTCCCGGGCTCAAGCGATCCACCTCAGCTTCCTGAGTAGCTGGGACTACGGGCTTGTGCCACCATGCCCGGATAATTGTTGTATTTTTTGTAGAGATGGGGTCTTGCCATGTTGCTCAGGCTGTTTTCAAACTGCTGGACTCCAGCAATCCACCCACCTCAGCCTCCGAAAGTGCTGGGATTACACATGTGAGCCACTGTGCCCAGCCTATATTTTTATTTGTACTGCTCAGGACTCAACTGTGCTTCCTAAAGCTGAATATTTGTCTTTTTCAACTCTGGAAATCCCATTAGAAATTGATTGGGGCCGGGCACGGTGGCTCCAATCTCAGCACTTTGGGAGGCCGAGGCGAGCAGATCACCTGAAGCCAGGAGTTCAAGATCAGCCTGGCCAACATGACGAAACCCCTTCTCTTCTAAAAGTACAAAAATTAATTAGCTGGGTGTGGTGGCGTGCAGCTGAAATCCCAGCTACTTAGGAGGCTGAGGTAGGAGAATTGCTTGAACCTGGGAGAGAGGTTGCAGTGAGCAGAGATCACGCCACTGCACTCCAGCCTGGGCGACAGAGTGAGACTCCGTCTAAAAAAAAAAGAAAAAGTTGACTGGAGCTTTTCATTCAACTTTTTTTTTTTTTTTTTTTGACCCTGTTACCCAGGCTGGACTGCAGCGGTACCATCATAGCTCACTGGAGTCTTGCTCTTCGGCTCCAGTGATCCTATCTTTCTTACCCTCCTGAGTAGCTGGGACTACAGGCATGCACCACCATGTGGCTAATTTTAAATTTTTTTGTAGAGACAGGGTCTTCCCGTGTTGCTTATGCTGGTGTTGAACTCCTGGACTCAAGCAATCCTCCTGCTTTGGCCTGCTGAAGTGCTGGGATTAGGAGCCACCCCGCTTGGCTTTCCTTTCCTTCACACTGCATGTTTGGTCATTTCACTATTCTGATCACTGATTTTCTCTTCTTACCTGCTGCTGTTTAGCTGATCTTTTGGAGTTTCTCTTTTGTTTCAGGTCTTTATTCCTATCTGCTTCAGATGCAGGGCCTCGGTGGGTGGGAGTAGATGCTTGCTGGGTCTAGTCACACAAAGATTTTGGAGTTCCAGAGCACAGCACTTCAAAATGAGCAAGAGGGAAAGACTAGAGCAGTGGGAAGATGCTGCGGAGAGCCACAGACAGGCCCCCACGGCAGCCCTGAGGGAGACAGTTTTGGAGCGGGCAGACAGCAGTCAGGACAAACACAATGTGTGTTTTGGTGCACCTATGCCGTGGTGAGATTGTGGGAATCTCATGTTTGTTAAGCCACAACCCGTGCTCCTGGGCCCCAGCCTATGAGTGCAGCCAACACTGGGCCCCCCTCTCTAGGGGCAAATCCAGGAACTGCCCTTTGGCTGAAGGTGGACTTAGGACTTGACACAAAACCTCACAGATTCCAACACAGCACTATTTTGGGTTTTTATTTTGTTGATGTTGGTTAAATCTTATCTCTTTTTTTATACACAATACTTCATGTACCTATGAAATAAGACAGGTAGGGAATATGTCCAGTGCAAACAGAGGACTCACACCTGTGCATAGACAGCACCATCCATTGATTGTCGCTGCAGTCCATGGCGTTACCAAGGCTGCGCCACCCACGTGCTGCCCCAGGAGGCGCTACCAGGTTCTTTGGGCCACAGGCCTCTCCTCCACTGCATGTGGCGGCAGGGCAGGGAGGTCGCAGGGCTCCATGATTGTGGGACAGCTTTGAGGGCACATGGGGCAGAGGCCCTCGAAGGTCCCCTCCTCAGTAGGGGATGTCATTCTGATAGTACTGGATCATGTCGTAGGTCCGGCTCCTGAAAGGCCAAGGAAGAGTGAAGGGAGATTCGAGGAGCCAGCAGGGTCTGGGGTCCCTCCCCACAGGGAGCCCTACCTGTCCAATCAGCCCCTTATGGCTGCCCAGCACCTGAAGGTACAAATGTCCCAGGCGTGCCCTCCCCCACCCAGTGACCACATCTCCTGCTCCAACCCGGGGGACTCCGAGGCCACCTCATGCTCCTCAGCCAAACCGCTTCCATCCGTGGGAGCCACTGCTCTGCCCCATGGGACTCGGGCCCCTTGGCTCGTCCTGGCCAGATGCCTCCAAGGGGTCTGTACGCTCTCCTCGCACCTCTGGAGAGCCCCTTCTCGCCCTGCCCCAGCCCCTCTTGAGGTCCTGGCCGCCTGGCTTCTCTGCTTCCTATCAGCAAGAGCTCCTTCCGTGCCCAGCCTCCACAGTGCCCTTGTTAGGGTGCCGGACCCGGGCGCCACCTGGGGGCAGGTCTCAGCTTCCTCTCACGCTCCTCCGGCAGTTCCCCATGCAGATGGCCACACCTGGGCCCCTCCTCCTAGTCTGTGAATGTGGTCTGTCCCATGGCACAGCCTTGGGCTCCCACATGCCCCTCAGGGCCTTACCAACCCCACATGTTTAAGTGCTGCCCCCTTCGGGGATGGCTCACTTGCTGGGATCGCCATCCTCCCTTTGTTCAGGCCGGACCCCTCAAAGCCACCTCTGACTCCCACAGCAGGGAGCCTGTCAGCCCGGTGCTCTGCCTTCAGACCCTGAGCCAGCCCTCCCCAGGGCCCCCTGCACCCATCTCCTCCCACCACAGTAGTGACCAGCAGCCCGGCCTGCACCTCCAGTCACTGCCCACGAAGCAGCCCGAGGCAGGCGCAGGGAAGGAGTGGGCTCTGACTCCTCAGCCCTCCTGGGAGGAGGGAGGCCTGACACCACACTCAGTTCTAATACTCCTGGCCTTGTGTCCCTATTGCTCCTTCGGCCTCACGAGCCCTGCCCAGGTGGGCCCGGCCTCTGCCAAGTGTTCCCCTCGGCACACCACAGCCCCCTAAACCAGCACCCCACTGCTCCTCAAGAGCTCCTGTCAAGACTTGGGTCTTCATGAGAGGGGCGGCTTGGGGACAGCAGAATCCTCATCGCCTGGTGCAGGCAAGGCCCTGCAGGTGCCCAGTGGCCACCGAGGCAGTGGGAGAAGGCAGGGGGGCGGGGCACTCACCTGTTGCTGAGGAAGCAGCTCTGGATGACCTTCATGATGAAATTTGCAGCCTCGCGCTCAGTCATGTTGGGGCTAAACCTGTGCCTGGGGGAGAGGCTGTGTCAGGGCTGCCATGGGCAGGGCCGTGCTGGCTCCCTGGCCCAGTGGGAGGAGGGTCTTCCATGGGGACGGACTTCAGCTGAGAGCCACGCCCTGGAAATGTACCTTTGGGGTCCACATGTTGGAAGATGGGGTGCTGTGAAGGCCACGCCTGGCCTATCATGGGCCCTGTCCCCTTCCCAGCATCACCTGAGTGGCCCCATGGCATTAGGGGACTAAGCATTGGGGAGCTAAGCTACTGCAGCCCCAGACCTTAGGGTGGAGGTGGGTTGGGCGTAGCATCCTTGACATAAAGAGGCCCCTGGGTGGGTCTCTGGTGTGGCCGGCACAAGCAGGGGCCCCTCACAGTTGTGGTCTAGGGGCAGAGCCTCACCCAAGAACCCTGTCTGCTCTGAGGTTCCAAGGAGATGACAACCACAGTGACAATTACATGAAAGGTACCTATCTTGGATGGAGCCTCAGCTAATGGACAACTGTCCCCCAGATGGCCTGCGTGTCCACCAAGGAACCTACTTCAAGAGCTTGATTGTCTGGCCGCGAAAACAGGGCAGGCCCGTGTCCAACATGAGAGTGACCAGGGAGACGACCGCGTCCATGTAGGGCCTGGGGAGAGATAGGAGGGAGCGGTGGGCTGAGGCCAGCCTAGGTGGTGGCCCTGCCTGTAGTCCTGTGGACTGGCTGATGCCAACAGCCTCAGGTGTGGGCTCCTGCCACCCACCTCGCCTGCCACATCTTGCACATCCCCGAGGCAACTTTCGATCTGCTGCACTTGGTAACCCATACCGCCCAGGCAAGGGCTGCCCACACGCACTCTGGACAGGCTGAGTGTCCTGCCCTGTCCCCCACATAAGGCTGCCGGCCATGGCTTCTGCACTTGGGTGGGATGCAGACACGCTGACCTGCCTTTCTCTGCAGGGCAGTGGGGATGAACCCAGGTTGGACTGTGGCCTTGGCCAAGTGACCTGTATATGAAACTGGGACAAAGCCCATCTTTGGCACGTAGCCTGTGGGGTGGCAGGTGCTCAGGCTTTGGTGACAGGGTGGATGGGATGCCCAGAAAGGGAGAGCCCATGGCTGAAGGCGTGGGCAGGATCGTGGGGAAGGTGGTTGGAATTAGATGTCCAGAGCAAGAATTTACTGGCACAGGTGGGCAGACAGAGGTGACCAAAGGACAGGTGTAGGTCAGCAGGTGGCTGCTAGCACCTACCTCACTCTCTGGAACCGGATTCCCTTCATCCTAAAGGGGATCTCAGAACGTTCCACACACCCCCTCCGCCTCCACCCTGGCCCTCACCCAGGCTCACCGCACAGCCAGGTAGCCTCGGACACACATCTCCATGAACCACTTGAAGGGTGTGGCCTCCATCTTGCCCCCCATGATCATCACCATCTCATCCGTCAGCTTGATGTCGGGTTCCCAGCCGAGATTGCCGCCCGGCGAGCTTTCAAACATGAAGCCAAAGTCTGCAAAACCCCAAAGAGCTGCCTGTGACTGGGTAGGAGCCAGGGCGGGCAAGGACAAGTGGTCTGTTTTGAGGAGTGGAAAAGGACTGCAACAGGAGCACCCCCTCCACCCCCAACAGGCAGGTTGTGTTTTCTTGGAGACAGTGATGGGGTGGGTGGTGGGGCAGCAGGCAGAGAAAGAGAAGGGAGGAAGTGGAGGAAGGAGCCAAGCTGGGGCACTGAACCTGGACCAGCCCCACTCCGCCCAGCTCCAGCTTCTGACTCAGAGCAATGGCGGCTCTCGCCCTAGCTCCCTGGGGCCGGGGCCAGGCACCCTCTACAGCAGAACAGCTTGGTGGCCGACAGTTCGGACCTCAGAGCTGGACCCTGACACTCCTGGCAGGGTGGTCCTGGGCATTCTCCTCTCTGTGGGGTGGGGATCCCTATCCACCCCTGGGTGCCAGGGGTGAAGGGAGAGGAGGGTGGCGCTGTGGCTGGCTGACCGATGTGGATGATATGACCCTTCTTGTCCAGCATAATGTTGCCGTTGTGTCTGTCCTTGATCTGCAGCAGGAACAGCAGGAGGCTGTAGGCGGCCATGCTTCGGATGAAGTTGTAGCGGGCCTGTGCAGAGAGCGCCCTGGGCTCAAAAAGGCCCTGGGGCCTGTGGGCATTCTCCCTGGTCCCACACCCAGGATCCCTGGGCCTGTGGGCACTCTCCCTGGCTCTGTACCCCCACTGTGGAAGCAGAGCCCGAATCAGCAAGCCAGTCTTCGGTAGCAGGAGTGACAGGGGCTCTCTGTGGAAGTGGGCGTGCAGGCACTTCCTCCCACACTCAGAACTTAACTTTCTTCTAAGGAGTCCAACCCAGCCCTACATTCTTTTGACTCCCAAAGTGGCTTACAGATGCCCTGGTGTTTTTTTTTTAAATGGAGTCTCGCTCTGTCGCCAGGCTGGAGTGCAGTGGCATGATCTTGGCTCACTGCAACCTCTGCCTCCTGGGTTCAAGAGATTCTCCTGCCTCAGCCTCCCGAGTAGCTGGGACTACAGGTGCCCACCACCATGCCCAGTTAATTTTTTTACTTTTAGTAGAGATGGGGTTTCACCATGTTGGTCAGGATGGTCTCGATCTCTTGACCTCATGATCTGCCCATCTTGGCCTCCCAAAGTGCTGGCATTACAGGCGTGAGCACTGCGCCCGGCCAGGTGCCCTGGTTTTTTTGTGTTTTTTTTTTTTTGAGATGGAGTCTCACTCTGTTGCCCAGGCTGGAGTGCAGTGGCGCAATCTTGGCTCACAGCAACCTCTGCCTCCTGGGTTCAAGCGATTCTCCTGCCTCAGCCTCCTGAGTAGCTGGGACTGCAGGCGCGTGCCACTATGCCCAGCTAATTTTTGTATTTTTAGTAGAGACAGGGTTCACCATTTTGGCCAGGATGGTTTTGATCTCTTGACCTCGTGATCTGCCCGCCTCGGCCTCCCAAAGTGCTAGGATTACAGGTGTGAGCCACCGTGCCCGGCCCAGGTGCCCTGGTTTTAACCCTTAACAAAGGATGACTGAGGAGAGCAGGGTGTGGGTGGAGGCTGGGTATGGGTGGCTGGGGTGGGGTGGAGCACACACGACCTCCCCCGGCCTGTGGCCACCCTGGCTACCTGCTGGAAGGCCAGAGTGGACTCATCCCCGTACTGGCGTGTGAAGTAGTCGTACATGCCGAAGTCTGTCTGGCGGCCCAGCTGGTCCCGGGAGGTGCAGTCGGGGATGCACTCGATCACCCCGCACTAGGAGGAAAGGCCAGTTCTGAGGCCCGCTGGGTGCGAGGTGCCCAGGGCTGCCCTACTGGCTCCACTCAGGGAACTTACCCCAGGGGCAGTGGCCACCACGCGGTAGGGAAAAACAAAGAGGTCCAGGCCGACCAGCTGGAAGATGTTCTTGAAGAGGTCGATGATCTGCAGGGCCAGCATGTCCTGGGAAGCCGGGAGGCGCAGGATGCGGTCAGTTGGCGTCCTTGCACCCCAGCAGCTCTTCTGGCTCATGCAGGGCAAAAGCCAAGCACCCAGAGATGGAGTGAGGTGGGGAGACCACAGCCGAGCAAGAGTCTGGAAGGCCTTCCTTTCTGACCACCGGGGGCTGGACTCAGGCTGCTGGGACCACCAGGCCCTGGGCTGAGCATGAGGCTGAGCTGTCTGGTGGGGTGTGTGAGATAAGGCACCCAACCCCTGGACAGTTCCCTCAGGTGGGCACTGGCATGGCGGGGACAGTGGGAAAGGGGCTGGAAGGAGAGGCCTCTGGGTTTTGCAGAAGCCCTAATTTACCCCGTGGCACCTGAACCATATAAGAGAAGGAAAAGATTCACATTTCTGCATATGAGATTGGACTCTGGCGGGCCTGGAGCCTTGGGGAGCAGCAAGCCCAGTCCCCAAGCCTACTCGAGGCCTGACCCTGCTTACCTGCCGGCAGTCGTCTCCCACCTTGAAGATGGCTGCCTGCCAGGAGATCTTCTGGCCGTCGGCCTCCTGCGTGCTGCACTCATCCTCGGAGTCTGAGCGGCACCGCAGACCTGCCCGCAGGGAGAGAGGCCGCTGTTAGCCTGTAGGCAGTGAGAAGCCCTCTGAGGGGGCCAGGGATGAGTCCTCTCACATGCCTGAAAGGAACCCCAGCAATCTTGGGGATCACTTCTTCAAAACCCCAAGGAGGCCAAGGAGGAGCCCAGCAGGGCCCAAGGAAAGCCTTGGAACAGCAGGTGGAATCCAGGGTTGGAGTCTAAGAACATTTAGGCTTAAATGGAACTAAAAACAGAGCCCCATTTCATCTGCAGTGAAGACCCAGGTGTGCCTGGGTCAGTGTTGGGTGCTGTGAGCTAGGGGGCAGGAGGAATGTGTCTGTACACTGGGGTCCTGGGAGGGCTCGGGGCCAGCGTGCAGACATGGCCATGGGAGGCAGGTCCCTGCAAGGGGTGGCAGCCCCCTCTCCACAGCTGGCCACACCGTCTGTACTGGGTTGAAGAGTGTCTCCCTAAAATTCATGTTCACCCCAAACCTTAAAATGTGTCCTTATTTGGAAACAGGGTCTTTGCAGATGTAATTAGGTTAAGACAAGGTCACAGTGGATTAGGACAGTCCCTAATCCAATGACTGATGTCCTTCAAGGGAGATCATCATGTGAAGAGGGAGGCGGAGATGGGAGTGGAGCATCTGCAGGCCAAGGAGTGCCAGGACTGCTGGCAACACCACCAGAAGCTGAGGAGGCAAGGTGTGACCTGCCCAGAGCCTTCAGAGGGGGCACGGCCCTGATGATGGACTCCAGCCTCCAGAACTGAGATCGTCCGTACGGTAGCCCTGGGAAACTAACACCCCCCAACAGCCCCGGGCCCCTCAGCCTCAGGAAGGAGCCTGCTGGAGCATGCCAGCTGACTCACGGCAGACAGACCTCTGGGGTGGCACATCTGTCAGTGCATTTGAGCTCCCTGCCATCCCCCAATGAGGGATCTGACTGAGTGAGGGCAGACAGATGGACAGACATCATCTTTTATGGAGAGCTATACTAAATTTAACACATGCCAGAAGAAACTGGCATTAGCAAGGAAAAGCACTGAGCTCCCAAACAAAATCAGGGTTCTTTACTGACCTTCTTTTTCAAGTTCACTAACTCCACATCGCTTCACCTTGAACTTGGCCAGATATGGGGCTTTTGCAGCACTGAAAACAACAAAAAGAATGTGGCACCCATGATGCAGCCGAGAAAAACTTCGCACGCGGACGCGTGGAAGTGGGGGATGGGTAGGGTGAGGCGCCCACCTCTGCATCGGGGTCCCAGACTTGTAGTCGATGTCCAGCACAATGGCCTCAGGGTTGCTGGGCAGGTAGCAGCCTGTGCAGGGACAGAGGCAGTCACAGGGAGTGCATGTGTCACCACAGGTGAGCCAGAGTCAGTTTCCAACACGGATGTTACATGCGTGTCCACCCTGCAGGCACACCCCGCCCCTGTGGAGGGGCCTCTGGTCCTTGTCCAGGGCACCACTAACTTATTATTCCATGGCCGCTAAGGGTCCGTCCTCCTTGACTCTTCGACTCTTCCAGCCATCAACCAAATAAGTCTGCACCTTCTGGGAAATGCTCTTCCTGGAGGAGCACTGAGCCCCATCCTCACGGATACAGCCCTACTGCTTCTGGGGGTGCGTGTGAGGCCTGTCCTGCCTCCACCTGCCTGAGCAACCCTCTGAACAGCCCTCCATTCTTGGAGTCCTTTTTTTTTTTTTTGGATAGAGTCTCACTCTGTCACCCAGGCTGGAGTGCAGTGGTGCGATCTTGGCTCACTGCAACCTCCGCCTCCCAGGTTCAAGCAATTCTTCTGCCTCAGCCTCCTGAGTAGCTGGGATTATAGGCGCCTGTCACCATGCCTGGCTAATTTTTGTATTTTTAGTAGAGATGGGGTTTCACCATGTTGGCCAGGCTGGTCTCAAACTCCTGACCTCAAGTGATCCACCTGTCTTGGCCTCCCAAGTGCTGGGATTACAGGTGTGAGCCACTGCGCCTGGCCTTCCTTACCCATTTGAATACTACTCTCTCAAAAGGCTTACTTAAATGTCACTATGTCCATGAACTGTCCTTGGTTCTCCCAGCCTTTAGGACTTTTGTCTAAGACGTTTCTTTTTTTCTTTTTGAGACGGAGTCCTACTCTGTCGCCCAGGCTGGAGTGCAGTGGCTCGGTCTCAGCTCACTGCAACCTACGCCTCCCGGGTTCAAGCGATTCTCCTGCCTCAGCCTCCCGAGTAGCTGGAATTACAGGCGCCTGCCACCGCGCCTGGCTAATTTGTGTACTTTTAGTTGAGACGGGGTTTCACCAAGTTGGCCAGGCTGGTCTGGAACTCCTTACCTGAGGTGATCCACCCGCCTTGGCCTCCCAAAGTGCTGGGATTAAGGCATGAGCCACCGCGCCCGGCCAACATTGTTTCTTTATGTTTATTTTATATCTCTGTGAGTTCAAGCTTCTTCAGCTCAGGGACCATGTCTTACTCATCTTTTTAACAGCTACAATACCTAATGTCATGCCTTTTCTTTTCTTGTTTTTGCTTTTTTGAGATAGAGTCTCACTCTGTCACCCAGGCTGGAGTGCAGTGGTGCAATCTCGGCTCACTGCAACCTCCACCTCCTGGGTTCAAGTGATTCTTGTTCTCAGCCTCCCAAGTAGCTGGGATTACAGGCACGCGCCACCATGCCTGGTTAGTTTTTTTTTTTTGAGACCAAGTCTTGCACTGTCATCCAGGCTGGAGCGCAGTGGCGCAATCTTGGCTTACTGCAAGCTCTGCCTCCCGGGTTCACGCCATTCTCCTGCCTCAGCCTCCCGAGTAGCTGGGACTACAGGCGCCCGCCACCACACCCGGCTGATTTTTTGTATTTTTGGTAGAGACGGGGTTTCACCGTGTTAGCCAGGATGGTCTTGATCTCCTGACCTCAGGTGATCCACCTGCCTTGGCCTCCCAAAGTGCTGGGATTACAGGCATGAGCCACCGCACCCGGCCCAGGCTCCCCTTTCTCAGTGAGTGCTCAGTAAATGTGTGAAATAAGAGGACAAGGGAAAGCCTGTTTCTGGCCAAGGAACTGCCAGTCCCCAAGGGGGATGTGTGCTCCTTGAGCCCTGAGAGGTGGGCTTTGAGGGGAGCCAAGCTTGGCCTTGCTGTGGGGTACAGGGAGAGGGGGGCATGCCATCTCCTCCTCTTCCTCACCTGCCCTTCTTCCTGCTCCAGGCTGTGGCTCACACTCAGGCCCCTCTGTGCTCTCCTGCTAGAGCCCTGCTGGCTTCCCTGACCTCTGGGGCAAGACTCAGCCAACACAATCTAGAGCCAGGGGCTGGGGACTTCTGTGCATGCCCCCTGCAGTACAATGCTTCCAGCTCTTTTTGCCCCTCCCCAGCAGTTGTGGCCTTCCCGATGCGGGAACAGAGGCCCTGCATACATGTCCTGCCCTCTCTGGGAAGCCGTGCTGTTGTGTGAGCTCAACACAATGTGTTGGGAAGAAATGGTTAAACCGGGGTCCTGCAGGGCACTCCACAGCTGAGACCAGCCGCTGTGAACATCTGCACAGGACAGAGTTTGGAAGACAAGTTTGTGCCAATAGTTAGAAATGCAGAGAGAGGCCGGGCACAGTGGCTCATGCCTGTAATCCTAGCACTTTGGGAGGCCGAGGCGGGCAGATCACAAGGTCAGGAGATTGAGGCCATCCTGGCTAACACGGTGAAACTCTGACTCCACTAAAAATACAAAAAAATTAGCCGGGTGTGGTGGCGGGTGCCTGCAGTCCCAGCTACTCGGGAGGCTGAGGCGACACAGCGAAACTCCATCTCAAAAAAACAACAACAAAAAAAGAAATGGAGAGAGAGCTGCCCAGTGAAGTCTGGATTTCCATCTTCTCTTGAAAAGCTCAGCTTGAATTCCCATGTGGCCACAGCCACAGGCACCCAGGAGCGACTTCCCATGGAGGCGGTGGGGGGGTGGTGCTGATGGGTCCCAGCACACCTGAGCCGTCCCACACTGGGCCCGCCATCCCCTCGTCTGTGTGACCTGCTCCTGTAATGCTGGAGCCTAGGAACCCTCTTCTAGAGTAACAGCTACTGAGGTCACTGTCAGCCTCCAGAAAAACAGCAGGCAGCAAGGAAGATGAAGGGCACCCACTGACGAGCAGCTCCCGCTCACTAGCGGCAGATTCTGGGGAGGGGCTGGGGTCCTGGGGCACCAGGCACCGTGGGCCCAAGCAGGTGTGGGGCTGGCCAAGCCACTGTGTCCACATCCTGCAGTGCCTGGAGAGGGCAGCAGCCTTCACGCCCCGCCGCCCGCCTGCAGGAAGAGGTTGGTCTGAGCCTCCAGAAGCCACCTGCTCACCCGGCTGCACCTTCACTTCAGACAGGGCCGACAGACAAGCCTTCTTTCTCTCGTCGCCTTTAGGGTAGGGCCTGAGAAACAGGAAAGAAATTCTTGCTTTGTCTCCTGGAGGAACTGGCTGCTGGGGGACAGCCCAGGGCCCCTCCTGCCTGGATTGCCCTCTCTGTCCCTCTCTTCCCGGCTCTAGCTGCTCCTAGCGCAGCCAGGCACCACTGGCAGCGATTCTTGCCCTGCATTCCTCATGGAGAATCCCCGACAGCCCCGGAAGGGCTGTTTTCTGGCAGGCTCTGCCCCTGCTGTGTGCGGGGGTGTGTGGCTGGGGGTGGTGGGGGTAATAATGCCTGCCACCTGCTGCCACCCAGGAAACGCTAGCTCCCGTCCTTCATCTCGTGGGTTAGAAGCTGCCAGCACTGCTATTCTCAGCACCCAGCCCAGAAAAGGACCTCAAAGTGACCAAGGTCAGAGCAGTGTAAGCACTGGAGACAGCCCAGCCAGCGTGCCCAGCATTGATGACTCCAGGGTTTCATCCCTTATGAATGCACAAAGCCATCAACATCCAAGGATGGTGTCAGGTCCACATGAATGGAAGGTCTAGGAAAACGATGACAGGACCTGCAAAGGCAGTCTGGTTTTCCTGACACCATGAGGATCGATCCTTCAAAGTGTGGAGAGGGCAGGGTGGCCTCAAATTGTGGAGCCATGTGCTAAATTCCACAAACCTCAGGAATGAAACTAAGCTGTGTTTCCTGAAACTGGCGTGGCCGTGCATTCTGCCATACCTTCAAGAGCCCTGGCTCACCCCAAGCAGTGCTTCCCCACCCACCCTGGCTGTCCATCAGAACCACCAGCGGCCCCGCTGCTAGAGACTCTCATTCATCTGGTTGGGGCCAGGCACGGGTATTTTTAAAGCTTCCCAGGCAATTCTGTTAAGCTGCAGGGACTGGAAGGAGATCCCAGAAGGTGGTTTCTGAAGCACTGCACTTACTTGATGATAGCCGACACGTTGGTGATCTTGTTAAAGAAATCAAACTCCCGCTGGTAAAAGTCCTTCGCTGGGCCGGACAAGGAGCCTGTGATCTCCTCTACCAACTGATCCAGGAGGTCGCCGATGTCAGCTGCCAAGGAAGCAAAGAGGCTTAAGTCTCTGTGGCTGTGGCAGAGGCCCCTCAGGAATACCAGCCCTGTTTCCCAGGCCCCAGACTGGCAGTGCCCAGAGTATGCTCTGCAGGCTTGGTGAGACCATAACAGCTGCCGTGTGCCCCTTTTGCTGTGTTGACACAGCTGACGCTGCTGGGAAGCTAAGCTGGTGCCTAAGCGGAGCTCAAGGCAGGGGCCAAGCGCACAAGTGGACGTGGAATCCTCACTGCTGCACACGCTACACACGCAGGAAGAAAAAAGCCCGTGTCATTTATGAATGTCACAGGGCATAGAATCCTCACTGCTGCACACGCAGGGAGAAAAAAGCCCGTGTCATTTATGAATGTCACAGGTGAAGCAATGAAAACTAATTCTTATTAAACTCTACCCTGAATACATGTCTTTTTTTTTTTTTAATAGAGGCACACAGTGGGCGGGGCTCTATATTAAATAGTGCCTCTCACTATTCAAATCCCAGGCTGAATTTAAATTCCTGGGCTCAAGAGATCCTCCTGTCTCAGTCACCTGAGTTGCTGGGACTACAGCTAGTAGGTGGGACTACAGGTGCGCATCACCACATCTGGCTTTTAAAGTATCCTTTGTGATGAAATGGGATGTGCACGAAGCACTCTTGCCGCATCTAAGGCAGGCGCTGTCCTGAGAAGCACCTGGAGCTTGTCTGATTTTGGAGCCTGGACTAACCTTTTTCACAGACCTTTGTTTTTACTTGAAGAAATGACTGACAGACAACATATAGCTATTCAGACTTAGGGATGTGGCAGATGTTTTCCTGAAAATGAACAAAAAATAAATCTTCCACTCAAAGGAACTGAAACATTTTTTTGGAAAACTTGGATCTGCTGCTGTGAGCTCAACAGCTTCCCTTAAAAACTCTTTCTGGGCCGGGCGTGGTGGCTCATGCCTGTAATCTCAGCACTTTGGGAGGCCGACGTGAGTGGACCACAAGGTCAGGAAATTGAGACCATCCTGGCTAACATGGTGAAACACCGTCTCTACTGAAAATACAAAAAAATTAGCAGGCGTGGTGGCAGGCGCCTGTAGTCCCAGCTACTCGGGAGGCTGAGGCAGGAGAATGGCGTGAACCTGGGAGGCGGAGCTTGCAGTGAGCCGAGATCGTGCCACTGCACTCCAGCCTGGGCGACTAATCAAGACTCTGTCTCAAAAAAAAAAAAAAAAAAAAAAAAAACCCTTTCTGGTAAGACTGGCAGATGTGAACAAATATGATTTTTCCACACTGTACAAAGAAATGCATCAACCTTTGAAAGATGTGCATAACTCACTGGCCTATATTTTACAAATGCCCACCGTTTGATGTTATAAAAGCTTTTGTGGGTCCAGGTGCGACGTAGACAGACTTGAACAAAACACAGCATGAGAAGTTTACTGCCAAGTTTAAGATGCCACACTGCAATTAACCTTTTTTTTGGCGATCCTCCTGCCTTGGCCTCCCAAAGTGTTGGGATTACAAGCATGAGCCACCATGCCCAGACTGCAAGTAATCATTAAGAAGCTAGGCTGAGCTACAAAAAATTAAAAATTAGCCAGTCGTGGTGGCGTGCACCTATAGTCTCAGCTACTTGGGAGGATGAGGCAGGAGGATCGCTTAAGCCCAGGTGGTCAAGGCTGCAGTGAGCCGTGATTGCGCCACTGCATTCCTGCCTGGGAGAGGGACCCTGCCTCTAAAAAAATAAAACAAAAGCTACCACTTCTCAAGTGTGGTGCAGTATCAAAAAGAATCTCCACAATGACCTGAGAGACTACTAACATACAACTTCCTTTTTCAACTACATTCACTTCAACTGAAACAACACTGCAACAGATCAACTGCAGAAGTGGAACGAGAATGAGAATCCAGCCGTCTTCTACAAGGAAATGCCACTCTTTTGGCTCATTTTTTAGTTTTTTGGGGAAAGTTATTTTCCCAAAAAGATGTTATTTATATTAACATGTAATGAATGGGCTTACATTTTCTGAAATTCTGTCTTAATCTCTAATACTCGTTAACACTGACAGCTAATGCTCACATTAAACAGCGCTCTTTGAGGACCTCAATAAACATTTCTGACAGTGCAGGGGTCCTGAGGCTGTGCTATTTGGGAACCGCTGCCCTGGGCTGACGGCCCCTTCCTCACATGCAGTCACAGTTGTGTTGACCATGGAGACTCTGCAGAAGCAGCCACTGGAGCAGAAGGGTCTCACTCGCACTTGGGAGTGCAGGGTGGCATCGGACAGCAAGTTAGCAAAGGTGTCATGAAGGAGGGGTCCTGCTCCCCTGTGTGCTGAAAGGTGAGAAGTGCCCCAGCAAAGGGTGGGAGTGGAGGGGTCGGTGAGCTGGGGCAGTGCAGGCTGGCGAGAGCCCTGGGGGCTGTAGAAGGTGCTTGGCAGTGCACTGAAGACAGTAAGTGAGGCCTGTGGGAGGACAAAATACTCACGGTCTTTCTGGTGGCCCTCTTCATCTAGATAAATGTTAGTCTTCATGTTCCAGATGAACTGGTGTGCCAGAAGCTGGGATTTAGACGCTGCCCACAGAATATACTCCCGCACATAGCCCATCTGCAGGAGAGCAAGGTCCCTGTCAGCCAGGCTCGGCCCTCTCCATGAGGAGGGCCTTGTCAGCAGCTGCTGACTCCCGGCATTTGGTAGACCAGGCAAGGGTAAGGCCCGGTGGCTCTAGTGGTGTGGACAAGCTCTCCAGGATTGATGTTGAGTCCAGCCAGTGGCCAGGCCAAGTTCCAGCTGGCTGGGGGCTGGGACCTGGGGGGCAGGGTTGCAAAGCGGGCGACAGTCAGCCTTTGTCTCCTCTGTGTCTTCCCATGGGTTTAAGAAGCACAACTCTCAAACCAATTTCTGGAGTTGTCAAGTACGAGAAAAAGCAGGCTGGGTACTAAAAACTCACTTGTGAGCTGGTTGTTTAGAACAATGTTCCAAAGTGACAGACAGGTTCCAGAAACATGCAGAGATACCTCCTTCACAAACTGACACACTGATATGATTAGGTTTTGTGTCCCCACCCAAATGTCATCTTGAATTGTAATCCTCAGGTGTTGAGGAAGAGACCTGGTGGGAGGTGACTGGATCATGGGGACGGTTCCCCCTTGTTGATCTCATGACAGCGAATGAGTTCTCAGGAGATCTGATGGTTTTATAAATGTTTGACAGTTCCTCCTACACACACACTTGCTCTCTTTCGCTTGCTGCCAGGTAAGACGGACCTACTTCCCCTTCCACCATGATTCTGTTTCCTGAGGCCTCCCCAGCCACGTGGAACTGTGAGTCAATTAAGCCTCCTTTATAAATTACCCAGTCTCGGGAAGTTTTTTTGTTTGTTTGTTTGTTTTTGAGACAGAGTCTCGGTCTGTCACCCAGGCTGTAGTGCAGTGGTACAATCTCAGCTCACTGCAACCTCCACCTCCCAGGTTCAAGCAATTCTCTTGCCTCAGCCTCCCGAGTAGCTGGGATTACAGGCGCACACCACCACATCTGGCTAATTTTTGTATTTTTAGTAGAGACAGGGTTTCGCCATGTTGTTCAGGCTGGTCTTGAACTCCTCACCTCAGGTGATCCACCCACCTCAACCTCCCAAAGTGCTGGAATTACAGTTATGAGCCACCGCACCTGGCCAGGAAGTTCTTTATAGCAGTGTGAAAATGGACTAATATACACAACTGTGGTCACCATCCTAAGGACCTATCCTCCTCTTCCTTCTTGGTCATTTTCCGCCACTCATAGTAGTAACTCCAGTTTTTCTTTTTAATTAAAAAAATTTTTTTTGTTCCTAGAGCCATAAGTTTTGAAACTCCAGTTTTAATTCCATGCCCTAGGTTTAAAAAGGTGAGCTGGCCTTTCTGGGCAGCCTCCTGGAGTCTGTGGCCACTGATCTGGTGAAGTGTCCCTTGGATGGACATTTTTGACCTGGGTGAGTCGGGGGTGGTCTTACCACACAGGCAGAAGTCTTCACTTTGGGTTTCCCAATTCTAACCCGGCAAATGGATCTAAAGACAAACTATGAATGTTCAATGTGTAGTGTTTTTAAATATAAGTTTGCTTTTTAATTATGTAAACACTGACAGAGTTCCAAAGTCAAAATTATTAAATATGGTACATATCTGTCAGTTCCATCCTGATCTCTCCCTCTTTGGCCATTTTTATTAACTTTTGATTTACTGTTCCTTTTTTTTTTTGAGACAGAGTCTCGCTCTGTCTCCCAGGCTGGAGTGCAATCTCAGCTCACTGCAAGCTCCGCCTCCCGGGTTCACGCCATTCTCCTGCCTCAGCCTCCCGAGTAGCTGGGACTACAGGTGCCCACCAAGCCTGGCTAATCTTTTTTTGTATTTTTAGTAGAGACGGGGTTTCACCGTGTTAGCCAGGATGGTCTCGATCTCCTGACCTCGTGATCCACCCGCCTCGGCTTCCCAAAGTGCTGGGATTACAAGCGTGAGCCACCGCGCCCGGCCTACTGTTCCCTTTTTTTGTAAAAGTATAAACAAATATGTATATACATTTGTATTGCCATAGTGATATAAATTTTTTTAAACTTAAAAAATATTCCAGGCTGGGTGTGGTGGCACACGCCTGTAATCCCAGCATTTTGGGAGGCCGAGGCAGGTGGATCACCTGAGGTCAGGAGTTTGACACCAGCCTGACCAACATGGGGAAACCTCATGTCTATTAAATACAAAAATAGGCTGGGTGTGGTGGCTCACGCCCGTAATCCCAGCACTTTGGGAGGCCAAGGCAGGTGGATCACCTGAGGTTAGGAGTTCGAGACCAGCCTGGCAAACATGGTGAAACCCTGTCTCTATTAAAAATATAAAAATTAGCCAGGCGTGGTGGTACACGCTTGTAATCCTAGCTACTCGGGAGGCTGGGGCAGGAAAATCACTTGAACCTGGGAGGTGGAGGTTGCAGTGAGCCGTGATCGTGCCACTGCACTCCAGCCTGGGCAACAAAGACTCTATCTCAATAAATAAATAAATATTTATTATTTTTTTGAGACGGAGTCTCACTGTATAGCCCAGGCTGGAGAGCAGTGGCATGATCTTGGCTCACTGCAAGCTCTGCCTCCCGGGTTCATGCCATTCTCCTGCCTCAGCCTCCCAAGTAGCTGGGACTACGGGCTCCCGCCATCACACCTGGCTAATTTTTTGCATTTTTAGTAGAGACGGGGTTTCACTCTGTTAGCCAGTATGGTCTCGATCTCCTGACCTCGTGATCCGCCCGCCTCAGCCTCCCAAAGTGCTGGGATTACAGGCGTGAGCCACTGCGCCTAGCCATTAATTAATTAAAATAATTAACCAGGTGTGGTGGCACATGCCTGTAATCACAGCTGCTTGGGAGGCTGAGGCAGGAAAAGTGCTTGAACCTGGGAGGCAGAGGTTGTAGTGAGCTGAGATCACACCATTGCACTCCAGCCTGGGCAACAAGAGCGAAACTCTGTCTAAAAAAAAAAAAAAATTCTGGCTGAGCGCAGTGGCTCATGCCTGTAATCCTAGCACTATGGGATGCCAAGGCAGGTGAATCACCTGAGGTCAGGAGTTTTGAGACCAGCCTGGCCAACATGGTGAAACCCTGTCTCCACTAAAAATACAAAAAATAAGCCGGGCGTGGTGGCATGCACCTTCAATCCCAGCTACTTGGGAGGCTGAGGCAGGAGAACTGCTTGAATCTGGGAGGCAGAGGCTGCAAGGAGCCGAGAATGCCACTGCACTGCAGCCTGGGCAACAGAGCGAGACTCTGTCTAAAACAAAACAAAACGAACAAAAAAAAATTCCCTAAAAATGGAAAGCAAGAAAGAAACCAGTGAAACTAGCTGAGTCCTGAGTTGGTACAACCACACACAGAAGAATCATTTCAGGCGGCCTTTCTCTGGTAGCCACCACCAAGAGTTCACACGGAGGCCCTGGGTACTGGCTCCCCTCCCCACTGCCTCTGGATCTCACCCTTATGCTAGGCCTGTATGCAAGCAGAGAGCCAAGCAGTCAAGGGAAAATAATGTGGGAGGGGAGCCAGGGGGAAGGAAACAGGTTGCTGAAGAGAAGGTGCCTCATGACAATCCTGTAAGTTGCCACCAGTGTGAAGGCTCCGGCTTGGTGAGTGTGGCTCCACACATATCACCACTCAGAGGCGCAGAGAGTGTGGCACTACCTAGTGAGGGCAGTGAATGATTCCACAGGACTCAGTCTTTCAGCAGAGGCTGGCTGCTGTTCTAGAAGCACTTTGGTCTACAGACTCCAAGGCTAGCCCCTGGGACACCCAGCCATGTAACTCAGCCAGCCCACAGGTGGGCCAGAGTGGTGAGGACTCAGCCAGGACACATGGAGTCTGCTGCCCAATTCATCCAGGGAAATGAGGTCAGCCCTGGGGTTGGGGAATAGGGCAGACAAGCTGCACTCAGACACAGGGTGCAGTGGGCAGGCTGGCGCGAGGGCAGAGGCGGCTCGGGCTCCTGGCTGTGGTCATTCCCATGGATATTTTCTGTGCCATGACCTGTGCTGAGCACTTTATGTCCATGGATACTGTTACGGGCTGAACTGTGTCCCTTCAAATTCATATGTTACAGGACCTCAGAATGGTACTGTATTTGGAGATAGGGTCTTTATAGAGATGATTAAGGTAAAATGAGGTCAATAGGGTGGGTCCTAATCTAGTATGACAGGTGTTCTTATAAGGGGAGATTAGGACACAGACACACACAAAAGGATGACCCTGTAAGGACTCAGGGAGAAGATGGCTATCAATAAGCCAGGGAGATGGGCACAGTGGCTCAGGCCTATAATCCCAGCACTTTTGGAGGCGGAGGTGGGCAGATTGCCTGAGCTCAGGAGTTTGAGACCAGCCTGGGACAACATAGCGAAACTCCATCTCTACAAAAAATACAAAAATTAGCTGGGCGTGGTCGCACACGCCTGTCATCCCAGTTACTTGGGAGGGGTAGCGGGGAAGGTGCTGAGGTGGGAGGATAGCTTGAGCCCGAGAGGTTGAGGCTGCAGTGAGCTGAGATCACGCCACTGCACTCTAGCCTGAGTGACAGAGCGAGACCCTGTCTCTTAAAAAAAAAAAAAAAGCCAGGGAGACAGGCCTCAGAAGGAAACAACCCTGTTCGAACAATGACCTTGGACTTCTGGCCTCCAGAATTCATGTTTTTTGTTTGTTTGTTTGTTTTGTTTTTTGGCCTCCACAATTCTGAGAATGAGAATAGACATTTCTGTCGTTTAAGCTGCCCAGTCTGTGGTGCTTCGCTATGCAGCCCTGGCAGACTAATGCATATGTCATCTCGTTAATTTTCCTCACCACTTCCGGCTGAAGAGGGCAGGATTCAGGGATTTGAGGGGACCCCACCGATGAGAGGGAAGCCTGGCCAGGCTGCCTAGCCAGGCTGGCAACAGCCCCAGAACCGGCTCGCTCCACAGAGCATGCTTGGGCCTCAGGGTGAGGCAGTGGGTGAACATGGGTATCAAGGGACAATCACAGGGCCTGGGGTAGGGGGAGCAAGGGGACTGCTGGGCAGCCCTGCCCCTGAGGAGGCTCTGAGGAGCCTGTGAGGGCTGGGGACAGACCGGGCACAAGCTGGTGTGGAACACACTCTGTGAGTGAAGAGGACGGCCATGCAGGTGCAGGCTTACCTTGTCGTACCTGAGGGCCTGCACAATCTGGGGGATGTAGAAGAGGATGGCGTCCTGTGGAGGTGGAGCAGAGTTGGCCATGACTTCTGAGAGCAGAGCCACCCAACCCTACGGCCCAGGCCCTGCCTCTGCTTCTGCTCTGCCCACAGCAGGGCTGAGAACTGGGGAAAGCCCAGAGGATGGCAGGCAAAATGACCGATGGCTCAGAACACAGGAATGGAGGAAACAGGTAAAAGGAGCAAGGCTCCCGCTCTACAGCGGGCGAGGGCCTCGTGCTCCTCACTAGGGAGCCTGCCTCAGGGAATGGTCTGCTGTGGGTCAGACTCTAGAATATTCCAGAGACCCTTCTCCACCATCATCATGGCTATCTCGTGGGCTCCCTGGGCTCCCACAAGGAGTGAGGGACCCTCCACGGGTGAGGTCACTGTGGGGTTCCAAGGCACAGCTAGCTGCACTGCTGTGTGGGGTGTGCACAGCTGCCGCGCCGCCTCGTAATCAAACTCAAGTTAACTTTATGTCTTTAACTCAAACGCCTCACTAGATTAAAAAACAAATGTAACTAGAGAACACATTTGAATTAGAACTAAATCCATCTTCTACAACTACTTGAGCAAAAAACAGGGAAAGGACCAGTATGTAACGGGGCGACCTCATGGCCAATGGTGGGGCCTGTGCCTCTCACCAGGTAAGACCCCTCCCAACAGTCCTACCAGAGGCCAGCTCAGCAGGGCCCTGGGCTCACCGGAGGGAAGGACCGCAGGACTTTCACCCCGTACTGCGCCGTGAGAGGGTGCGGCGGGTACATGCTGGAGAAGTAGGAGAGGCCTGTGGGTGGGTCCGTGGGCGCCCAGCACAGCACATGGCTGAGCTCTGGAGCATCGGCGTCGATGGTGTGCCAGGTGACCAGGAACTGCAGAGAAGGTGGGGAGATGCTGTGGCTTGGGCAGTCCCGGGACCTCTGGAAATACCTGGTCCACGGGCCACACAAGGACGGCCATGAGAAGTGATGTTTCTAAGCATCGGTAACCATGGGGAAGATGCTTCTGATGTGTTATGGAAAACAACGTAACTGCAATTAGGGTGAAGTGCATTACATTTTTTTCTACTGTGAACAAAATAAATGCTACAGACAAGAAATAGAAAACACAGGAAATCAGAAAAACCATGAATAGCACTGAAGTTGCCAAGCGGCTGTTTTTGTCTCATTTCTAGTTTCAGGCATTTCTGGGTGCAGTGTGCTATTTTGTGCAGTTTGAACTCAGGCCCTGGTACGTGGGCTACACTACCTTGATTGCTTCAGGCACATCACTAACGGCTCCCGGGTCCAACCGAACGAGACGGGTCACTTCGTTCCCAATGGCTTCTGTGTTCTTAAACCTACAGTGCACAGAGGGTATGGGTGGTGCTGCCTCGCCAGGGAACCTGCACTCTCCCACCACACTGGAGTGAGGGGAGCCAGGGGGAAACACTGAACTGGAGGGATTCACATCAATACCAAGTGACGGCTTGGGTACAAACAAATAGAAAGAATGAAGACCTGCTATTTGATAGCACAACAGGGGGACTACAGCCAATAATAACTTAATTGTATATTGAAAAATAACTTTAAAAGAGTGTAACTGGATTGTTTGTAACTCCAAGGACAAATGCTTGAGGGGATGGATACCCCATTCTCCAAGATGTGCTTATTTCACGTTGCATGCCTGTATCAAAACATCTCATGCACCTCATAAATACAGACATCTACTACATATGCACAGAAATTTAAAAAAAAAGTTTAAATAAAAAAATGTTTAGCCAGGTGACGGCTAAATGTTCTATTATGCCACTAACTAGTAGGTCTGAACATTAGTGTTTTTTAAAAAGAGGATTATAATCTGCTGTGATGAAATGCTGGAACTTTCTTAAAGAAACAGGAATTTTTCTACACTTAACTGTTTAAAGGGCTTCCTTTCACCATCCTTGTCTTAAAACCCCTGCCTCTTACTCCTTTTCCTACCATATCCTCTCCTGACTCTCCACAGCTGCTCATCCAGTGAGTCAGTGTCTCAGTCAACAGTCCAGGGGCCACAAGGCACCTGGTCCATGAAGGGGCAGCTACTGGTTTCCAGGTGTTCCCACCTCAGGCTAATGCAAGGCGGATGTCCCATGAGCACTGTGCTTTGAGACAATGCAGAGCTGCGCTGCGATCCTATTCCAGAGGATCAAAGTAGGGCTGGAGAGAGGATGCAGTACATTGGCAAGTCTGGGCTCACAATGGAGAATCACCCACCCTGGACACATTCACAGGAGGCTGTGGACCATCTGGTGGGATTCTAAACAGGGACTCTGCAGTCCCTCTCAGCCACCATCGGTCTGAAGTTCTGTCCCCATAAGAGCTGCCACAGAGAGATCACAGGAATGTCACTGCTGTCTGCAGCATGTGCCTCCTCCAAATACTCTGCCACTGAAAGGTGACATCCAGGAACAAACCCAAACCCTCCCCAAGGCGGTTCCGGCAGCCACCTGCCAGGAGTGACAGCCTCCACATGCTTCCTATCCGGCAGGAATCAGATCTTGGCTCTGAATTCACCCTGCTGCTACCTCCCTAGGCTCCAGCTGCTGCAGCACCCCAGGCAGGCATCTGAAAAGATCACGAGGGTTGCTGGGTTATCTCTGCACAGAAGGGCTCGGGGAGTGTCCTGGGGCTCGAGGACTAGACTACTTCCTGACTATCCTTGAAAGGGGCTGCAGGGCACTCCTGAGAACTCATGACCCAGCTGGCAAGCACCCTGCGCTGGACCTCTGGTGAGGCCTGTGTCAGGCTGTGGTGCCCGGGGGCCCACCTGGCAGGCAGCTGCACGGCTAGGTAGGGAGAGATGCTCCAGGCGAGGTTCACGTTGTCCTTCCACTGCTTCTCACTCAGGCTGATGTACTTAGATCTCCAGTTGGCCACGCTGTTCTCTCCGGCCTGGTCTAGTTCCAGTTCCGGGGCTGACAGCGGGTTGTACCATGTGATGAGACGCTCGATCTCAGTGGCCTGGCAAGATAAGACATAAGGCCTGATATGCACCCCTTCTGTGAGTGCCCACACACTGCCCCGGCCACCAGGTGTCGTACAGGCAGGTGGCGGGCAGCAGGCACAGCTGCACCTGTGGGCCTTACCAGCAGGGACAGCAGCAGCGTCCTGCGCTTCATGTAGTATTTGTGCAGCTGGGAGCCCCGGTTGGTTTTCTTAGACATGCCTAGGAGGAAAGACAAAGCACAGGTGTAGTCCTCAGATGCTACCTGTCTGCCCTGAGATTCTAAACCTAGAGGAAGCTTGCAGTGCTCTGTTCTGCTGTCTGAGCAAGTGTCCATCAAGCAGCTTGCAACTAGAATGATAGCTTGCATGTGATGGCCCCAGCAGCACACCTCCCACCGACCTGATTTCTTGGAGATGGTGGACATGCCGCTGGACAGGGGGTATGTGTTGATCCAGCCTTGGGTGGCTTGTTGCCGAGAGCCGACAGTTATGTCCAGGTTGCTCCGGGTGTCCTGATTATCTGAGGGCAAACACATTGTTGATTCTAGAGTGAGGTGGCTCAAGAAAAGGTACCACAAAAAATAAACTACTATTCACCAGAGATAAAGCAATTAGTGGCAGAGCAGGCATTTTCTGGAGTCCTGGAATCGACTGCAGGAACAAATCTGTCTGGATGGTGGGTTTTCCAAAAGCATGAGAAGTTCTTTATTTTAACTATTCTAGATGGAATGTTTAAACATTTTTATTATATTTCTTTTAACCTTTTCAAAATTTATTTATTTATTTACTTATTTATTTTTGAGATGGAGTTTCGCTCCTGTTGCCCAGGGTGGAGTGCAATGACGTGATCTCAGCTCACTGCAACCTCCGCCTCCTGGGTTCAAGTGATCCTCCTGCCTCAGCCTCCCAAGTAGCTGGGATTACAGGTGCCTGACACCATGCCCAGTTAATTTTTGTATTTTTAGTAGAGACAAGGTTTCACCACGTTGGCCAGGCTGGTCTCAAACTCCTGACCTCAGGTGATCCACCCACCTCGGCCTCCCAAAGTGCTAGGATTACAGGAGTGAGCCACTGTGCCCAGCCTATGTTTTATTTTTGAGAAGGAGTCTCGCTGTGTTGCCCAGACTGGAGTGCAATGGCGCGATCTCAGCTCACTGCAACCTCTGCCTCCCGGGTTTAAGCAATTCTCCTGTCTCAGCCTCCCGAATAGCTGGACTACAGACGCCCACCACCATGCCTGGCTAATTTTTGTATTTTTAGTAGAGATGGGGTTTCACCATATTAGCCAGGCTGGTCTCGAACTCCTTACCTCAAATGATCCACCTGCCTTGGCCTCCCAAAGTGCTGGGATTACAGGCGTGAGTCACTACACCTGGACTTCTTCTAGCCTTTAAAATAGAATAGGCTGAGCACAGTGGCTCATGCCTGTAATCCCAGCACTTTGGGAGGCTGAGGCAGGTGGATTGCTAGACGCCAGGAGATCGAGGCCAGCCTGGACAACAAGGCAAGACGCCCTATCTCTACAACAACAATAAAAATTAGCCAGGGGACCTGGCATGTGTCTGTAGTCTTAGCTGCTTGTGAGGCTGGGGTGGGAGAATTGCTTGCACCCAGGAGTTTGAGGCTGCAGTGAGCTATGATTACACTATTGCACTCTAGCCTGCGCGACAGAATGAGACTGCATTTCTAAAAAAAAGTAGAAAATAAAATAGAATAAAACAAATATCATAATTTTCTTGATAAAAGATGGCAGTTATCTGATCACCGGCAACGTATAGTCCTTTAGTACGGTGACAACTTGAGGGCCTGTGGGGGCAGACTGTAAGGACTGTTTGCCCTCTTCTAAGTGGAGCCAGAAAGCTGCCTTAGAAAGTCACTGCATCTGCTTTTTTCTTTCCTTTTCCTGCTAGTTAGGTTGTCAGCCGTGGGTCTGCTAAAGAAAACCATCTCAGCCAGGCAATGTGGCCCACACCTGTAATCCCAGCACTTTAGGAGGCTGAGGCGGGCGGATCAGAAGGTCTCAGCCAGGCAATGTGGCCCACACCTGTAATCCCAGCACTTCAGGAGGCTGAGGCGGGCGGATCAGAAGGTCAGGAGTTTGAGACCAGCCTGGCCAATATGGTGAAGCCCTGTCTCTACTAAAAAATAAAAAAATTGGCCGGGCACGGTGGCTCACGCCTGTAATCCTAGCACTTTGGGAGGCCGAGGTGGGCAGATCACGAGGTCAGGAAATCGAGACCATCCTGGCTAACACGGTGAAACCCCATCTCTACTAAAAATACAAAAAATTAGCCAGGTGTGGTAGCGAGCGCCTGTAGTCCCAGCTACTTGGGAGGCTGAAGCAGGAGAATGGTGTGAACCCGGGAGGCGGAGCTTGCAGTGAGCGGAGACTGCACCACTGCATTCCAGCCTGGGCGACAGAGTGAGACTCCGTCTCAAAAAATAAAAATAAAAAAAAAAGTCTGGGCGCGGAGATCGAGACCATCCTGGCTAACACGGTGAAACCCCGTCTCTACTAAAAAAATACAAAAAATTAGGCAGGCGTGGTGGCAGGCGCCTGTAGTCCCAGCTACTCAGGAGGCTGAGGCAGGAGAATGGCACATACCCGGGAGGCAGAGCTTGCAGTGAGCCGAGATTGTGCCACTGCACTCCAGCCTGGGCGACAGATCAATACTCTGTCTCAAAAAAATAAAATTAAATTAAATTAAAAAATAAAAATAAATAAATAAAATTAAAAAATTAGCCAGGCATGGTGGTGAGCACCTGTAGTTCCAGCTACTCAGGAGGCTGAGGCAGGAGAATCGCCTGAACCCAGGAGGCAGAGGTTGCAGTGAGCCAAGATTGCGCTACTGCACTCTAGCCTGGGAGAACAGGGCATGGCCTCCTTACAGAGGTTTGCTGCTTCTTTGCGTGGCATGTTTTCATTCGGCATACCCTTCCCTGGAATGCTTTGCCCTGTCCACCCTGCATGCCGGTGCAGCCATTCAGACTCAGCTCAACTGTCTCTCTTCCAGAAAACCATCTCTGATTCCTCAACTCTGGATGGGCCAAGTGCCTGTCCCCGAGGAGTGCTCCCATAGTTCCCTCATATTGAAATCACCTGTCCATTTGACTGCCTCCTACAAGACAACAACAGACCATACCCCAGTCATGTGGGTGTGCACCAGCCTCAGCCCAATCCTGGGCCGTCAGCTGCTCAGAGGGGTGTGTGAACGCAGCTGGTGCCAGTGCAGGGAAAGTGCGGTGAGTGGAGTCTGCTCAGCTGCCTCGGGTGCGTGTTTATGCTTCTCAGCTCAGGCCAGAGGAGAAGCAGAGCCAGGCATGCACCGGCCTCCAATGACCGTGCAACACAGCCAAGGCCAGGGCTCAGGGGGGTCTAACTGCTTTTCCGTCCCTACCTCTGGCACCCTCGGGGCAGCCCACGTGGCACCCCTGTCCTGCCTGCCTCCACCATGAGCAGCTGCACTGTTGAGGGTTACCTGGGGGAACAAGCTGGCTGGCGGTCAGGTACTTCTTATCTGAGAACATGGCGGTCCAAAATTTAATCATGATGCTTATGTCTTCACGCAGCCGCTTCTCTCCTTGAGTAGGGAACTTTGGGGGACAGCTTCAAACAACCATAAGAGGACAAGGGCTGAGTGTCTGGAGTCAGGGACTAGAGGCCAGTCACACAAAGCAGTGAGAAGGTGATGCAGACAGTTTCTTAATGACAAAAGGTCAGCCCAAAGCCAGTCATTAGCAAGGATGATCTGGCCCATTCCCATGGGAAGGTGTGGTGGCTCGGGAGCCCTCTTATGCCCTCCTCCCTCACTGCCCACAGCAGCCCCTACAGCTTTCCACTGAAGCTGCACTTGTGGCAGATCAGGGCAAGGAAGCTGCACTCACACAACAGCACAGCCTATGGGTGCAGAGCCCCAGGCAGTGGGTGTTTGCAATTCTTCGTGCAATAAGCCTTCACATTAACAGGGAAATTAAATGGACGCACTTAATCTCCTAAATCAGTTGAACTGAGGGAAAATTTGCCTACATCTCGCTGGGAGGCTAGCTCTAAGTACACGGGACACATGCACAGGGCTGAAGGGTATTTAAATCCACAGGGCCAGGGATACTGAAGGAGGAGGTTGGTGAGCACAACTGGGCAACTGTGTATTCCTGTGAGTGACTTCCTGGGGGTTTGGGGCGATGGAGCACTTGGAGGGGCTGCGCCGTCCCTGGACGCTGCACAGCACATCTTGGGGGAGTACCTGAAGTAGTCAAAGGCAGTGGAGTAGATCTTCTCGCGAAGCACATTGCGGATGGTTGCATTTGGAACCACATCGGCATGCAGGAGGGACAGCCCCAGGGTCAGCAGCCTGTGAGGGAGCCCCGGACCCAGTTAGAGCAGGAGCCTGGCCTGGGGCCAAGTTCACCTTATGGACTCTCTTCCCTGCCCTTCCAGGAGCAGCTCACTGAAATGTGTTCCCCGTCTACAGAAGTACCGTGATACACAGACGCCCCATGACACACTGTACACACCAGGGGCCCTGTGCTCCCCAGGAAGAGGGCCCTCACTTGAAGCGGGGCCCGATGGCCGCCACGTGCCGGTTCATGCTCCCCTTGGCCCCGCCGATGTTCAGGGACATGGAGCGCTGCAGCAGGCTGGAGAAGATCTCCACTTGGTCAGAGCTGCAGTACTTGGCGATCTCAAACCGCTGCACCAGGAACTGAGCGAAAAGAGGAAGACGCTGTGGTGGTGGGGCTGAGCCGGGCTAACCCTGGGGCCGGCAGAGACAGCTGAGGAGGGGTTCTGGGCTGACTGGCCGAGCTTGCCGAAGGCCTTGGGCTCGGCTACCCCCACCCCAGGAACAGTCCTGGCCCCCCAGGTGGAGCACCCCACAGCCTTCGTGGGGGAACAGGCACGTACGTCGATCCAGATGTAGTGGGGGGTCACTTCGGGGGGACAGGGTTTGGGTTGACTTGCTTCCGAGGCAGCCAGGGGGTCTGCTTCCTTTATCTCAGCAGAAAACAGGCCAAATTTCTGCTCCACCGTCATGTGCCAGGCCCCTGCCATCTCCCGCATGAACTACAGGTACAGAAGGAATGTTAGCTCCTCTGTGAAACACAAAAAGGGGCTACTGTCAAGTTTTCTCTAATTAAAAAAAGGAACACGTGCTCACTGAATAAGATTTAGAAACCAAGAAAAGTATGAAGAAAAAAATGAAGATCGCCTATAGTCCCACATCCCAGGGTCATCTGTGTCAGTGCTTGGTGTATTTTCTCCAGCCTCTCGAGGCTGCCTTCTGTTCAACCCGGTTCACCGTGTGGACATTGCAGGTGTGAGGTGGCAGCACCCGGGATGTACCTGATGCCCTGACAGGCACTGGGTAGGTGACTCTTCTCTATAACCCTGATAACCCTCTGTGGCTGTGAGCGGGAAGACCCCTCTGTGGGATGCTGAGCTGGCAAGGGCAGAAGAGGGTTCTGGATCCAGAGCCTGGCTCCTCCTCTCCACCCCACACAGACCCTACCTGATGCCTTCATCCCGCTAACCAGATTAGGAAAGGCCCATGGAGCCGAGGCGAGCCTGCAGCCACCATGGCCAGGCCTGGGAGCCCAGGGTCAGGCTGCTCCCATGGCCCAGTCATGCTCAGCCAGGTCCCCATTCCGTGGGGGGGCATGAGGGGTGCCCAGAGGGAGCAGCATGGTGCCCGGGAGACACCTGGGTGCTGCAGAGAGTAAGAGGTGCAGCTCACACATGGAAAGCCCCCATGATTTCTGGGTGTTTTTACAAGGAGACCAACAAACAGCATTTGGCATCTGGCCAAAGAGGATTCTATCCCTCTGTTGTCCCAGCAGCACCAGCTTCTACAAGGGCTCCAAGCGCCTGTGCAGAGGTGGCAACGAGGCCTAGTGAGTAGAACACACACCGCGGCTCCCTCCCCAGTACCATCCCCTCCCTTCTTCCTCATGAGGTGGATCAGGGTGGCCACGTGGCCAGTCACAGGGCTCTCAGCCAGGGTCCCTGCTGGCTGAGGCGGCCACTGTTCTCCCCGGCCACTCTAATGAGCCAGGGAGAGTGAACTGGGCAAGGCCCTGGGAACACATGCCAGGGTGAGCTTCATAAGGTCAAGGCAGCTGGCCTCTGCCTTTTGCACTCTGTCCTTGTCTTCCTTCCTGCTGGGAGGCACAGAAGCCATCTGGAGGCTGTGAGGGTGGAGACAAAGGCCACATAAGCCCAGGATGGCCAGGAGCCGACGGGAGCCCGGGGCGGGGCTCTGTCTGCTGCTTCCCTCTAAGCTGCCCATGGGGTGAGGACTCCTGGGGGACGAGGCACTAGAGCCTGCTTTCTGTTTCCTGCAGACCGATTAGTCTTATGGAAGCAGACAAGGGAGAAAAAAATGGGGGGGACCCCAGAACTGCCATGGACAAGAAGCCATGGAAGAGACACACTCCCACCTATTTGTTACACAACCACATCCTGGTGGCTGCCTCTGTGCCAGGGCCTCGTGGACTCTGGGCATGGTGCTCTGAATGAAGACAAACATGACCACACAGTCTATGGTGGGGACCACAGACAACAAGAAATAAGCTACACACACTGAGAAACACTAAGAAACAGCAGTGCGAGTGAGCGTGTGACAGACCAGGTGGCCAGGGAGAGCCCTGGCAAGGAGGGGATATCTGAGATGAGCCCTGGAGGAGACGCAGGAGTGAGGCGCAAGGCACGGCCATCTGAGAAGAGGGAATGCATGACGCGGCCTATGGTGGGAGCAGCCCAGGAGGGCAGCTTCAAAAGTGAAACTGATGGGATGTGCTGAGAATCATCCGTGGGAAGTGCAAGCAGGACCCCAGCATGGCCACAGCACAGCAAGCAAGGGGAAGAGAGAGGATGGAAGTCAGGTGGGAAGGGGGCTTGCAGGTCACAGAAACAAGCCCACCTTCGAGTCTGTAGGGGGGCTCTGATTCCCCCCTGGCTTGCGCCAACCGCATGTGGAGAAGGGGAAGATGCCTGGGGTTGGGGAGCAGGAGGCCAGGCCAGAGGGCAGCAGCTGGGATGCTGGGACTTGTCAGATCCTGGATAAACCTCAAAGGTGAAGGTGATGGGATGTGCTGAGAGTCATCTGTGGGATGTGCATAAGAGGGAGTCAAAGACGTCTGAGCAGACAGAAGGACCTCGCTGGCATCTACAGTGAAGGGAAGGGCCATGCTGGCATCTACAGTGAAGGGAGGGACCTTGCTGGCATCTACAGTAAAGGGAGGGACCTCGCTGGCATCTACAGTGAATGGAGGGACCTCGCTGGCATCTACAGTGAATGGAGGGACCTCGCTGGCATCTACAGTGAAGGGAAGGGTCACACTGGCATCTACAGTAAAGGGAGGGACCTCACTGGCATCTACAGTGATGAGAGGGACCTCGCTGACATCTACAGTAAAGGGAGGGGCCACACTGGCAGCTACAGTAAAGGGAGGGGCCACACTGGCATCTACAGTGAAGGGAAGAACCACCCTGGCATCAACAGTGATGGCGGATGGGCGACCAGTGTAGCGGTGTCTGGAGCTGTGGTTGGACCCATTAGTTGGGGCTGCTAATCAGTTCACCATGCAGGCTGTGGGCCAAGCCACTGAAGGGATGCACCTGGACTAGGAGTGACTGGGCTGGGTAAGCAGTGGAGCTGGCCAGAGTACCCAGGCAGGGAGGAGGAGCCCTGGGGCATGCCAGTACTGAGAAGGCCCTGAGCTCAAGAAGGTCCCTTTATTCTGGAGGATGAAAGGGCTACAAAAATTACAAAGGCCTTAAGTCCCTGGGAAAAGCAGTTAGGCTCCCAGAACAGCTGCTTTCAAGACCCAGAACTCTGAAGGAGGCTGTGAGCAGCTTTCCCTAGGCTGATCTGTCCTCCTACCATCTGGGGCCTGCTAGTGATATCTGTACTCCAACTGCCCTGCCCCCAGGGGTCAACCAACCCACTCCTATCTGAGGACCCACTCCTATCTGAGGACCAGACAGGGAGGCCAGAAGTTCAAGGGCACCTGGACTAAGGAAGTGGAGAGGAGAGAGGTGGATCTGGGCTCCAGAGCCCCAGGTACAATGTGAGGGCTGACACGTGGTCAGGAGCACCCCCAGTGCCCTATGAAATGGGAACGGCTACAGCCCCTACTCTTTTTCTTTTTTTTTTTTTTGAGACGGAGTTTCGCTCTTGTTGCCCAGGCTGGAGTGCAATGGTGCGATCTTGGCTCACCGCAACCTCCGCCTCCTGGGTTCAAGCGATTCTCCTGCCTCAGCCTCCTAAGTAGCTGGGATTACAGGCACATGCCACCACACCTGGCTAATTTTGTATATTTAGTAGAGACAGGGTTTCTCCATATTGGTCAGGCTGGTCTCGATCTCCCGACCTCAGGTGATCCACCCGCCTCGGCCTCCCAAAGTGCTGGGATTACAGGCGTGAGCCACTGCGCCTGGCTGAGCAGCCCCTACTCTTAAGGCCCACCGAGGTCTGAGGCTGAAGCAGCATATGGAAAGGAATCCTGACCATAGCAGCACTGTGTCCTGACAGTCACAATTTGTGGTGAAACCAGGGCTTCCAGAAGACCCTGAGAGGAGGGCACACTTGTCCTCTTCTGGGAAGTGGAGAGTCCCACCAAGAGATAGTGTGTAGGCAGGTGTGTGTAGGCAGGTGTGTGCAGGCAGGTGGGCACCTGGGCCCACACAGGAGTGAGCGTGGCTAAGACTTCCCAGGATCGGGTCCCTCCTGAGCCCACAGGAGGACAGCCTCAGGGTGTGGGGGAAACTGCAACCATCAGCCTAGACCCCAAGGCCTGGGTTCAATGGACAGGAGAGTAATATACATATAATGCCCTGCTTAAGTTGGGCACACAGCAGGACCAGAGCAAGTTATCAGTTACTAGTGCAGCCCACATGCATTTATTTTGGGTCATGAATTTTAAGTATCATACAAGGATCATGAATCTTTCCCCTCTCAGTGAAATGAAGGTCCCAGACCCCTGTAAGGAGGTCAGGCTCCCCACTGTTCCCACGCTGAGATGCGAACAGCAAGTGTGACATCTCTTCATCTCCTGGGCACTATGGGACCTGGACAGGTCAGGTCCTTGTGGAGGCAGAGACAGGGAGTGAGGACCTGAATGACCACGTGCTGCTGGGGCCAGTGCCAGGTGTGAGTGTGAGTGGGTGGAGAAGCCTGACACAGGCCAAGGGACCTGAGGCCAGCTGAGCCACTGGAGATGGTAGGAGCAGGAAGTGCAAGCTGGACTCCAAAAGACCCCAAATGAAACAGTAATTTGGTTTGTATAAAAATCCCTTTAAGACACCTTTCCCAATTTTGCTTAAAATAAAAAAAAAAGGAAGTGGGGTAAAAAGCAGGAAGAACCCATACTTCCTGCCAAGACCAGCTATTGAGTAGGAGGAGGAGCCACCAGACATAAGAAAGACATCTCGGACAGGCGCGGTGGCTCACGCCTGTAATCCCAGCACTTGGGGAGGCCGAGGCAGGCGGATCACAAGGTCAGGAGATCGAGACCATCCTGGCTAACAAAGTCAGGAGACTCAGTCACAAAAAAAAAAAAAAAAAAAAGCAACTGGCTGGGCGCAGTGGCTCACGCCTAAAATCCCAACACTTTGGGAGGCCGAGGCGGGCGGATCACAAGGTCAGGAGATCGAGACCATCCTGGCTAACACAGTGAAACCCCGTCTCTACTAAAAAATACAAAAAATTAGCCGGGCGTGGTGGCAGGCGCCTGTAGTCTCAGCTACTCGGGAGGCTGAGACAGGAGAATGGCGTGAACCCGGGAGGCGGAGTGAGCCAAGATCGGGCCACTGCACTCCAGCCTGGGTGACAGAGCGAGACTCCATCTCAAAAAAAAAAAACAAAAAAAAGCAACAACAAAAAAAGTCCCAGCTACTGGGTCAGGAGGCCGAGGCAGCAGAATCACTTGAGCTCAGGAATTTGACGTCAGCCTGGGCAACATAGCAAGACTGTCTTCAGGAAAAAAAAAAAAACAAAAGAAAAAAAATAAAGACCTCCTTCTCTCTGGGAAAATATACAGCAGTCCTCCTCAACTGTCAGTTTTATTTAAATGTACAATGTCCAGTATAGAAACAAAAACTTTCAAACATTGAAGAAAAAAGATAAAAAGAAACTGACCCAAGATGACTCAAATACAAGAACAGACCAGATAACGATATAAAAATAATTACAATAAATATGCTCAAAGATTTATAAGAAATAATGGAAAGAATGCATGAAGGTAAGAGAATCTCAGCAGCAGAAAATGCAAACTATAAAAAAGAATTAAATGGCTGGGCGTGGTGGCTCATGCCTGTAATCCCAGCACTTTGGGAGGCTGAGGCAGGTGCATCACCTGCGGTCAGGAGTCCAAGACCAGCCTGGCCAACATGGTGAAACCCTGTCTGTACAAAAACACAAAAATTAGCCAGGCATGATGGCTGGTGCCTGTAATCCCACTTACTTGGGAGGCTGAGGTGGGAGAATCACTTGAACCCACGAGGCGGAGGTTGCAGTGAGCCAAGATTGTGCCACTGCACTCCTGCCTGGGCAACAGAGTGAGACCCCATCTCAAAAAAAAAAAAAAAAAAAAAAAAAGAATTAACTAGAAATCCTAGATCTGGAATTGTTTCTTTTTCTTATTTTTAAATTAAATATTTATTTTTTGTTTTGTTTTCTAGACCTGAGAATTGTATCTGAAATAAAAAATATACAAGATGGTTTTACAGCAGAATGAATAAAGCAGAAGAAAAGAACAGTGAACTGGTATACAGGTTAAAAAAAAAATTAACCAAATGAAAGAGTGAGAAAAACCCTGAAAAACTGAAAAAGACTACAGAGAATGTCGATGATCTATGGGACAATACCAAGTCACTAATATATGTGTACCTGGAATCCAAAAAGGAGAAGAGAGAGAGAATGAAGTAAAAAAAAATTAAAAAAATATTGACCTTAAGAGCCTAGGAAGTAAAAAAAAAAAAGAAAAAGAAATGACAAAGAAATACTGACCTCAAGATTTCCAAGTTTGATGAAAATCCTAAATCCCTGAAATTAAGAAGCTCAATGAATTCCAACAGGATAAATACAATGAAATTCACACACAGTCAAACAACTAAAAATGAAAGATAAGGAGAAACATCCAACAAGTAGTCAAAAGAAAAACAATAACATATACAGTCATCCTTGGTATCCTCAGGAGAACTGGTTCCAGGATGTGGAACCCATGGATATGGAGGGCCGGCTGTACTGAGAAACAAAAAGACTGTTGACTTCTCTCCAGAAACAATGCAAGCTACTAGACAATAGAAGATAATATCTGAAATGCTAAAAACAATAAAACAAAAAACTATCAACCTAGAATCCTGGGCCTAGAAAAAATAATCCATATGCATCAAAGATGAAGGTGAACTAAGATGAGAGAATTTATTTCCAGCAGACCTGCATTACTGGAACTGTTAAAGAAAATTACTTGGCAGAGGAGATCACAGGAAGACTGTAAAAGTGTGAGTGATGAAAAACATTTGGATAAATTATAATGCTGTAACAAAGCCTTGTCTTAATTTCTTTGAAAGACTTTTGATTTTTTTGAACAGAAACAACATTATAAGGTCTAATGCATATAGTAGTAAAATATGAAAACAGGACACAAGGAATTAGAGGGAGAAATTGGGTGTCATAATGGCAGTGGGTATCCACAGTGGCAATGGTATACAGCTGTCTCTGCAGAATCCTCTCCCTGGCAAGAACTATAACTGATGTGGCCACTCCAGTTGTCATTTACTGACAGCTCACTAGGATGCAGGTGCTCTTGTAATGATGTCCACCATGCAGGTGAGGAGCCCCGCCCAGGAATCAGAGCCCTGCAGGCTGAAGCGTGACTTCCACAGGCCCTTCTGCATATCTTTGATGGGAGCAGGCTGGTCAGGCTGAGAACCCAGCACTCCCCTGACTTCACAGGTGTCCCCCTGACTAGACAACCTCCCCCAGGCGCCCACTGGACCAAAATGTTTCCTAACAGCGCTCAATGGTGTGATTGATACAAACCCCACGAGGTTATAAAATAGCAGGCAAATGTGAGATATTATCATCACTGCCACCACCACCAGCCCGGAACATTTTAATTACATTTTTGGAAATATTCCAATTTTCCTGAGGGAAGAAGAAAATCAAAATCCCCCTTTTTGACCACTCATTTCAACTAATCCTAAGAAATACAGAAAGAAAACATGTCAAATTCCCTGCTACCCTGACAGTTAACAGAATCTTTGAAAAATAAAATTGTTCTTAAGCGTTTATCTAATCAGCTGAAACGTGAGTATAAACTTCCTTGTGGGCACCCCCTGCAGTAGCAACTCCAGAAATACGGATGCAGGGAAAGGGGGCTGATCCCAAGATTAGGTCAAGAAAAACATTCCCGTGGACAAACACAACTGCTCCCAATCAAATTCAAAGTTAACAGGTGTTCAAAAAGCTGGATTTCCAATTTCAGTAGAGAAATGGCTCCCCCTACCGAGGTTTTGGGAGATAACGGCTTCTAGGCACCAGTGGGATGCTGTTAACATATATTCTATTTTCTGTGACTGTCAGGTATAATAATAGAATCTGTAAGGAGACTGAGGCTTGAGAAGGTGAGGGGCTTGCCCAGTGTCTCCATGCTTGGTGGTGGCGGCACCAGGGAAGGCTCTTCCCGTCTGTTATCCCATCCCATCCTCACTGCCAACCCGAGGTCAGGGTCCTACCGGCACTTCCACTCCATCCTTGCCAGCCAGCAGCCACTCCCAGCAGGCCAGGGCCGTCTCCATGCCATGCTCATTGAACATCCGGAGGGGACCCCAGCACAGATGATGAAGGAGCTGCGGGTCACAATCTGGAACCAAACACACGTCAGTCAGAGGCCTCCAACAACAGCTGAACCCCAAAACAGCTTCCCTGGGCCAACAAGAGTTGACCAGCTGGGGCCAGTGATGGCCTTTTATTGACTTTCCACTCATGAGAGATACTCCTCTACTGGGGGAGCTCCTGCTCTTTCTCCGGCCAGTACTCCAGCTGGCTATGGGTCATCAAGGCCAGCATTCATTTAGAAACGAGCCCAGAATTCCACAGTGCTTCAGTGAGTTACCTTTACTGCTAATGAGCATTGCGGTCAGCTTGAACATGGCCTGCGTGTAGTGCTGAGGATGACTGCGGTCTAAAGCTGAATGTAGATCCTGGACCATCATTTTGTTCAGGTCAGACATCTGGCCTGTGGTGCCTGAGAACCGAATCATTCCATACACCTGCAAAAACATTCTCATCAGCAACTAAGCATATAATCCAGGCAATGTGGGTAAGGTTCTGGAAGCCACCAGACCACACTTGTGGTGGCACTGGTGGGTGCCTCGCTGCCCCAAAGTGGAGCTCATGCATGCAGAGAGACAGGCTCATTTCAATGATGCTACCACTGATCACAGCTTTTTTTTTTTTTAAAGAACAGCTCCTCTAGAAATGCATGTTGGCAGTGCCACCACTGCAGATGTTCCCCAAGGGTGGGAACCTTGTCCCTCATCATTGTACCCAGCAGTGAGCCCGGGGTCTGACCCATGGTGGGACTGCATGAATGTGAGCTGGATAAATACATTTCCTCAAACTCAATTAATGACTCAAACAACAATATCAGCCTCATTATTATTTTTTGAGAGAGGGAGTCTCGCTCTGATGCTCAGGTTGGAGTGCAGTGGCGTGATCTCGACTCAGTGCAACCTCCGCCTCCTGGGTTCAAGTGATCCTCCCACCTCAGCCTCCCAAGTAGCTGGATTACAGGCATGCGCCACCACGCCTGGCTAATTTTTCTATTTTAGTAGAGACAGGGTTTCACCATGTTGGCCAGGCTGGTCTTGAACTCCTGACCTCAAATAATCCGCCCACCTTGGCCTCCCTAAGTGCTGGGATTACAGGCGTGAGCGGCCACACCCAGCCCTCCTTACTATTATTAATAATTTTTTCTTTGAGACAGAGTCTTGCTCTGTTGCCCAGGCTGGAGTGCAGTGGTGCGATCATAGTTCACTGCATCCTCGAACTCCTGGGCTCAGGTGATCCTCCTGTCTCAGCCTCCCAAAGTGCTGGGATTACTGGCGTGAGCCACTGTGCTTGGCCAACCTATCTATTTTTAAAGACAAATATAACTTTTTTTTCCAGAGAGAAGAACATACAAGTGACAGAGTGCTAAGAAGGAGTGAACTCCCACTCAGACCAGGCCACTGATAGACTTTCAGAGTCACCAGGGAGCTTAGAAATGGCATAGACTAGGCTGGGCGCGGTGGCTCACGCCTGTAATCCCAGCAGTTTGGGAGGCCGAGGCGGGCAGATCATGAGGTCAGGAGATCAAGACCGTCCTGGCTAACACAGTGAAACCCCGTCTCCACTAAAAATACAAAAAATTAGCCGGGCGTGGTGGTGGGTGCCTGTAGTCCCAGCTACTCGGGAGGCTGAGGCAGGAGAATGGCGTGAACCCAGGAGGCAGAGCTTGCAGTGAGCCAAGATTGTGCCACTGCACTCCAGCCTGGGCAACAGAACGAGACTCTGTCTCAAAAACAAAAACAAAAACAAACAAACAAAAAGAAATGGTATAGATTAGCTTCTGAGTTTATGGAGCAGGAAATGGAGGCCCACAGATGTGATGGCACTGGTGAGGCTGGAATAAACTGTGGTGTGGTGGGTGAAAGCCCACGATGTGGAGTTGGAAGATGTGGTTCCAGACCCCACTCCACTTGTGCGACTTTGGCAAGTTACTTAATCTTGGGAACCTCCGTTTATCTATAAAACTGGAATAATAATACATACATCTTACCGAGTGCCCAAGAGCCTATGGCATGTAAGTGTTTGTTACTGCTGTAAAAAAAAGCCAAAAAAATTAAAAACCTTCATTCAGTGTAGCCAAAGTGTACACAGAGTTACCCTCTTGTGGAAAAAACAAGTAACTGGTCATTAACACTCTGGAATGTGCCAAGAATCCTCCTAAAATGTGCTCTTTAAATCCTCCTAAAATATGTTAATTCCACATCACCGGGACGCTTTGTTCATTTTCCACTAGGAAGCGGCCAACAGGCCTCAAAACAAGAGGACACGTTAAAGGCCCTAGGGCGCAAGGACAAGAGAAGCACCTCGCCCGCGTAGCGGTTGCGCAGATTCAGGGATGCCATGAAGTTGGAGTAGTCTTTCTTCACACAGGCCGGGCGCTCGCTCAGCTGAGTTGCCTACAGACAGATAACCATTATTGTAGACTATGGCAGCACTATCCTTTCCTCGTGTTTACCATGGCTAAGCCTAAACCCAATGAAGCAGTCACACTCGGGTCTGGGGGTTACTATTAATAAAAATCTTCACTGCTGGCAAGTTAATAAAGCAAAATATTTTAGAATACCCAGCAGTTTGATATGTTCCATAAGAAATTAAAAAAAAAAGTCTCTGGAAGGCAGTTTCTGCTACTGGTAAATAGGCCTTTGCAAGAAAAAGAATCACTAGATTGTGAGAGCAATGTCACCTGTGATGGAAACGCCATGAAAGCATTCACAGCCGTCTCCTTGAGAGTTGCGTGTGCAGCTTATAAATGTCACTTACAGACCGTAAAGGGGCTGAAGGGGAGAGCCAAGGCCAGCAGGCTCTTAAACATCTGCTGGCTGCTCTTCAGTCTAATGGGAAGAGACAGAAAAGGGTACACCTTGAATACAAAGGCAACCCACAGAATGGGAGAAAAATATTTGAAAACTACCGCCCACCCACTCCACCCCTCCAGCCACTCTCTCTGCTTCAGCCTCAGCCTCCCAGCCCCAGGGCCTCAGTGACCTGGCTTCCTAACCCAGGCTGGCTGCTGTGCCACACCTTTCAGTTCCTGTTCATCCACGGTCACTGCAGAGTACAGCATGCATTGAAAAGGACCTCCTTTCGCATTTCCCTTTAGCATCAGTACTAATGGGGAAAGTGAGCTTCTCAACTGTTTTGAGTTTAGAGGGATTTTTTTTTGAGGGGACATGGTGTGGAGAAAGAGGACCAGGAGAAGAAAATACAGATGTTGGGGAACATCAAAATATAAACAAGAACAAAAATACATGATTTCTCTCATGAAATTATTAAACTGGTTTATTTAAAAAAATAAATTACGTGAAACTGCTTTACATTTTCTGGAAACAATGCGGTCTTTGGCACCAAGCAGGACTGAGTTAGAGCTTGGCTCTGATACTAATCAGCTGTGAGACCTTGGGAAGTCAATGTCTCTGAGCCTCAATGTGCTCATCTGTAAAGTGGGCATAACCCTCTCACAATGTTGTTACACGTTCAACGTAATGACACACACAATGTCCTGGCATGGCAAACAGCACCTGGTGGGCAGTGCAGGCCGGCTCCCTCCCTTCCACCATCACTCCTCACTGCCCAATGCGATCTCGGCTCACTGCAGCCTCCACCTCCCTGGTTCAAGTGATTCTCCTGCCTCAGCCTCCCGAGTAGCTGGGATTACAGGTGCATGTCACCACGCCTGGCTAATTTTTGTATTTTTACTAGAGATGGGGTTTCATCAAAAAAAAAAAAAAAAAAAAGAATTTTTTTTTTTTTTTTTTTGAGATGGAGTCTTGCTCTGTTGCCCAGGCTGGAGTGCAGTGGCGGGATCTCGGCTCACTGCAAGCTCCGCCTCCCGGGTTCACACCATTCTCCTGCCTCAGCCTCCCAAGTAGCTGGGACTACAGGCGCCTGCCACCATGCCCGGCTAATTTTTTGTATTTTTAGTAGAGACGGGGTTTCACCGTGTTGGCCAGGATGGTCTCGATCCACTGACCTCGTGATCCGCCCGCCTTGGCCTCCCAAAGTGCTGGGATTACAGGCATGAGCCACCGTGCCTGGCCCCAGAATTAATTTTTAAAAATTAAAAAAAATAACTTAGAGAAAACCTAACTTACATCAAATTTTCTGGGGAAAAAGAACAAAATATTTTAGGCAAAACAGATCTTTCACAAGTCAGCTGGCTAGAGTCTAGAAAAGGCTTACAAATGAGAACACATATTCTATTTTATGTAATAAAGCTTTGCTCCTACCACCCCCAAAAAGGAAAAGGCTTATGACTATCATAAACACTTACAGTCTATGAGTTCCGCCTCTGGCCTCTGTGGCCACCCAGTGGCAGAGACGTCCAGGTCAGGGCACTGATACCTGGTGCCCCGTCAGAGTAGGAGGCCCAGGGCGGGTGGCCCTGCAGGTGCAGGCTGGACCCAGCTCAACCATGTCTGCTAGACTGGTGTCTTTAGAGATAGTGCAGTGACCTCGAGGAGAGTGCCCTGATAGCAAAATGAGGCGAGAAGACACCAGCATTCTCTGGCACATCCTCAGGCCCCACAAAAGCCAGAGGGCACTCAGGCCCCTCTCTCCCGCCGGTATCCCAAGGGAGGCCTGTCACCCTTCCTCCTGGGTACACAGCCTCTGCACCTCCACATATCCCATCCCATGCTCCATTTGGAGAGAGTTGGGAAGCACACATGGCCAGGCTCTAGATTCACATTAACCAACAAAATCTCTGACCAGCCCCAGTCACATGGCCAGGTGGAACTGCCTGCTTTAATCCTTTTTAACTCTTAGCTCTAATTTAACTCAGAAAGTATTGCTGTGTGAACCCTCTGTCCTCTAGATTAATCTCTAGCAGAACAAGAAGCTGAAGGCATTCATGTGCGGTTCAGCACCTGCAGAAAACAGAACTGTTCAGGAGTCCAGTATACGCTCCAGATAAGTGCAACTGTGGCATCGCGCTGCCCGTGTCAGGCGGAGCTCTGTTTCCATCCTCTCAGATGGGGACATTCAAATCAAAATCTGATCACTGACATATCAAGCACTGATCCCCATAAATCCATAAATTTAAAAAAAAAAAAGCACAATAAGGAAACACTCATTTCAATGGCCACCTCTTCTTTGGGCCAAGGTGCGGCTTGCACCACTACCATTGTCAACAGACATCCACAGCACCCTGCATGTACTCATGTGCGTCATGAAAAGCGACAGCCGAGCTCTAAGCCTTCCCCTGCACTGTGGCTCCTATGGTCTAAGGGGTCACTGCTCTTCAGAAGGCTCGCACATACCCCAAGAGTTGTGTTCTGCTTGTTGTAGCCAGCAAAGTGAAGGATGCTCTCAGTGGCCATGGCCAGCCCCGTGTGCTGGGACAGTCCCGATACCCAGTTCTGATGTTTGTTCAGATATTCCTGAAATAGGAAAAACACATGGGGTTTCAGTTATTTATCTGATTTTTTTAGAGGCAGGGTCTCGCTCTGTCACCCAGGCTGGAGTGTGGTGGCACGATCATGGCTCATTGCAGCCTCGACCTCTTAGACTCAAGCCATCCTCCCGCCTCAGCTTCCCAAGTAGCTGGGACTATAGGGGCACGCCACTATGCCTGGCTAATTTTGCAATTTTTTTTGTAGAGATGGTGTCTCACTATATTGCTCAGGTTGGCTTGAATTCCTGGGCTCAAGTGATCCTCCCGCCTCAGCATCCCAAAATGTCAGGATTACAGGCATGAGCCACTGTGCCTGGCCTTGCTATTTCATTTAAAGGGGAAAATAAAACTTTATAAATTAAGGTGTGGGCAAATGGACCAAACACTGGGTTTCTGTCCTGGGTCTGCCCCTCCCTAACTAGCTGTGGGACTGTCAGTAAGTCAAAGCCCCTCTATGACCAGCTACTGCTCATTTGACTGAGGACAAGGCCAATTCCCCGAGCGGCTGTCATGCAGTCACTGCGGTGTTGCACCGTCAATGGGAGAGGGCCATTTATTCTTTCAGCACATCCTTGCTGAGCATCTGCTGTGGTAGCCACCAGGCAAATAAGCTACAAAGCCTTGGCCTTGCGGTCAACAGGCAGGCTGTGTGGTGTGGAGCCTCGGTTCTCTACTGCAGCATACCAGCAGCCTGGTGTGGGTGAACTGGACAGCAGGAACGAAGAACAACACCTGTGTCCACCTGGCCACCCAGTGGGAGAAGGGTGCTGGGCAATGGGATACCTGGCAGAGCCCAGGGGTGTGAGGGAGGCCTCCTGCTCTGGGGACCACAGGGGGCTCAGCCTGCAGGAGTACCAAGGACAAGGGTCTCGAGGGTGGGGGCAAGCCTGGAACAGATGCAGGCCCTGTTTACAGGCGTGAACCAACTAATTCCCTTAAGAAGAAATGTACAGGAGTATATACATGCAGAATTGTCTCAATGGTTTTGGGGGACTCCTGGAGCTCCAGAAACCCATCCTTGGACACTATGACGATGAAGAGTGACTAATAATCAAGTTTAAAAGGGAAGTACACTGACCAGATACCCTATTAAAACCAGACTACTCTGGTGGGTGGAGGAGAGGGCAGATTCGGGGAAGGCTGAGGCTGGGCACGGAGGGTGGGGAATAAGCACACTGCAGGGGAAGTGAAAGGGCAGGCCTGGGGCACGCCAAGGGGACACCTGGTGGAAAAATCAAGACCGCTTCAAGCCTTTTCATTTTCCATTTCCTTCTTAGGCCAGACCTGCGTGAGAAAGTAAAAAGCTCTATCAGCTGCTTTTTTTGTCCACTTAAACTTTCTAGGCATTAGAGGGGGCCTCCCCTCTTCAGACGACAGACAGCCTTGGGACCTGAGGCCCTTTTGCTGTAAATGAACAAAGGGAAATAGTTTCTTGCCACTGCGTTTCCACACAGCTCTCAGGGCTCTTGGAGCTGGCTGCTCTATCCTTCCTGGACTCCACAACCAGAAACACTTTTGAGCCTGTTTCATCTTTAAAGTGCTGCCAGGGTAAACCTCACAAGAGTTCCTCTCAGCACACCCACTCTCTGCTAACACAGATTCCTTCCAGAGGTATTTTTCTCATCTTTGATTCCTTTTAAGGCAATTCTTTCCTCTCACACCCTGTGGCATTACATGGTTTACTTCGTGGCCATCTGAGTTTCCAAACCAGTGTTTTTGTCTGAAAGACTCCCATGCACCTACATGTGCAGCTTATGTGGAGCTTTAATGGGACACAAGTCCCCAACTCTGCCTCTGCTCCACCAGCCTTGGTCAGGCCCCTGCCTTTGGGCACAGGTGCCAGCAATGCACTTGGCACTTAGAGATGCTGCCATCTGGCAGCCTCCCACATCCACCACACAAGCCCTTCCTCTCGTGAGCAGCCCCCAAGTCTTGCCACAGACCTGGCACCTCACCTGGTGTGAGCCGTCAGATGCCCTCCTTGTGCCCTGGCCAGCACTGGCCCCACAGGCGCTCCTAACACACAGAGCAGCCTCTGAGGCATCTATTATTCTCAGGCCCTAGACTGATGCTTCCAGTCTCCATTCACACTAGTGCTATTTGGATTTTGAGTTCTTCATGTCTCTGTAAAGCTTTTTTGGGAGTTTGAAGGAGCTTATGGCAATTGCCTTTTGATGGTTTCAAGTACCTGCAGGTGGGACTTGGTGACGGTAGGTGCCCACTTCATGGCCTCCTGGAGGATCATCCCACAGCGTGCAGCGAAGTCCTTCACAATGCTCTGGAAGAGGGTGAAGCTGCTTCTCAACAACCCGAGGTCAGTTCATCTGAGCTGCCGTAGTGACTGTCATGGGCTGAACTATGTCTCCCCAAATCCCTATGCTGCGCCTTAACTGGTACCAGTACCTCAGAGTGGAACTCATTTGGAGATAGGGCTTTAAAGAGGTGATTCAATTAAAAGGCTGATAGGGTAGGTCCTGATCCAATCTGGCCAGTATCCTTCCTTACGTGTGTGCAGAGGAAATCTGGACACACAGAAATACTGGGGCAGGGAGGAGGGTGTGCACAGAGGGAAGAACACGTAAAGACACAGGGAGAAGGCTGCCATTCACAAGCCAAGGAGAGAGGTCTCCACAGAAACCAGCTCTGCCAACACTTTGATTTTACACTTCGGCCCTCAGAACTGTAAGACAATCAATGTCTGTCAAGACCTTTCAAGCTGCCCAGTCTATTGTCTTTTGCTACAGAAGCCCAAGAGACTAGCACAGCCACTAAGTTTGAACCTCAAGGCCCCTGGGGCCAGGAAGCCCACACACACTATGATCTGTATGTAATTCCTGCACAAGGTTTGTGGCAGAATCTACAAGAATAACATGTCACAGGGACACTGTGCAACTTGTGTCCTGGGTCTGGGACTGGATGGAAGGGCAGGCTCTGCGTGGCAAAATCCTCTTCGGTGCCACACCACTCTGTGGGAAACTCCCCATTGACAGCTGGTCTGGCAGAGGTCCAGAGGTAGGACATGACTCAGCCCAGGCTGAAGGAGCTGTGAGCTGAGTTGCAGTCTTGCCACAGTGAGGGCTCTGAGACCGAGTTGGGGAGAGGAGAGACCCAGTACATCCTCCTCTTTTGGAGTGATTTATTCTGCCAGTTTCCCCATTGGATAGCACAAGTCAAAGGCATGATCCCCTATTACCACAATAACAAAATGTCAGTGCACCTCAGAGAAGTGAAGTCCACCTGAAAATCATGCTTGTGCGACGCAGACTCGAGAGGCTATAAACTGGCTGGTAGCTGAAGACCTCTTTGGCAGCTAAACCGAGAACACAGCTGAGTCAACATGGCTGAGGTGGGGGAGCTGGGCTTGGAAGACAGAGCGACCTGGGGGCAGCCAGCTCCCCTTGCACTCGGTGGAGCCTGGCAATGGCTTGGTCTCCTCACTGGGGGATGGGGCCAGCACCACCCACACCTCAAATTGCTGGGGACTGGGTGAGCTCATGCAGGTTGACCATCTCGTGGAAATACTCAGGGAATTGTGGTAAAGATGGCCCTTAGTGCAGGGGATCGTGTCGGGCCTACCTCACGGGCTTCGTACGTGTCAGGAACCGTGATCCGGTAGGGGGCGTCGGGGATGTCATAGTAAGGCTGATCCTTGTGAATATCCTGCAAGCACAGCAAGACTCCCTCTTCCAAACTGCCTTCCCCAAGTTGCCACTAGCAACCACATGGGCCACCCCTACCCACCACCTGTCTGTCTGTGACAGGCCTCCATACTTGATGCAACTTATTGCAAAACACCAGGTGGATTTGGGCCCCCTCACCCCCAACTCGACACCTGTAGCATTAATTATGTTCAGGCTTATTGTCAGAGAAGCATGCCACAACACAGGGCGGACAGGGCCGGCGGGGTGGTGGTAGAGCGGGTGGTGTTTGGGCCCTAGGTCTCCTGGGGACACTCACAGCGCTCAGTGACAGTGACAGGGTCTGCAGGATGTCCAGCATGGTCTTCAGCACAGTCCCGCTCCAGAGCAAGTGGGGAAACCTGCACCAAGAGCCAGCTCTCAGGACCAAGAGCCAAACCTCCAAGGAAGGTCTGCTTCTAGGAGCCCCCTCAGCTGCCAGCCCGAGCCCATATCTGCTTCAGGCCAGCTGAAGGAGGAGGTCGGGAGGCCCTTGCAGCAGGATGCCTGGCCTCCTCAGGCTCATTGCAGTAAGGTGAGCAACGCCTGGTCAGAAAGGCTCCCCAGGCCCCTGCCAGCCCCACTTCTTAGGGCCAGACAAACCTGACACCAACTGCCTTGGTTATGCACTGGCCAGGACACCCCTCACTTTCCAAAGCAATCCTCTTAGTTTCTGACCAGGGTTCTCCATTATTTCTCACATAATGGAGAAAACAACAGTATCTACCTGACACCCTGGGGTAAGACAGGCCATGGGCTCCGATGGCCCCAGGGCTGAAGGAGAGGTGTCTCTGCACAGCTGTGACCCACCAGTGGCCCACTGCTCAGGAAGCCCAGCTCAGACACACGCCACGTGTGTGCTGGACTCGTTCTCGTGACCCCTGGCTGGCTCCTGACCACCTGTGGTGGCGCTGCTGCCTGGACCAGGCACACAGTATCTGCAACAGGCTCCAGAACCACTGGATACCTCTGGGGAGCTGCAGGCAGCCTCCATGTGGGTGTTTTGCTGCCTCTGGCCTTCTCACCTTGGAGAAGCTGGTCCAGCCCACCTGTGAGAGTTCTCATCAGTGTGGGGACATGTCCCAACAGGGTCTGTTTTGGCTCCCAGAACAAAGAGTATACAGCACAGAAGGGTCTGTGTGGGCTTTTGTTCCTGAGAAGCCCAAAGATACTGATCCTACCAGGGGACCTCTGGCTGGGCCCTGGGCTAGAAGATGGTGCACCAGGTCATGCCAGAGTGGGTGGGACTGAGAGACACAGGGATGTGGCACCCAGCAAATGTGCTGTAAGTAACATCGATAGCTCAGAATGAACAGAAGTTTCTGCACCAAAATTCAGACTCTGCAGGAAACTCACAGACATTGGAGGGAGGCTGCATCACCCTTAGGAGTTTTCATTCTGACTCCATTTTTTCCTAGATTAATAATATAAGGATGATTTTTCCCAGCATTTGAAATCACAGAAGTTTATATACATACACACAAAACATTAGCAGGAAAATGAGCTTACTTATCCACCAGACCAGATAGATACTTGTCTGCCACCCTCCTTATCCTCTTGTGGATGTGGTTGAAGTTCACCAACAGGAACTGAGCGTGCCGCTCCAGCTCCTCCTCGTTCTCCTTGGTCTTGGCCTAGAGATGCAAAAGAAACAGGTACCGCAGTGCCCCAGATGCCTCCAGCAGACAGACACGCATTCATGCTGGAGAGGCTTACTTTATCCGCCATCATGTTCAGGAAGGCATCGAATACTTTGTCCGCGACTGCAATCACACACTGCATCATCCCTGAAACGAGAAGGTTTCCATGGATAAGGTGCAGCAACAGAGAGAGAATCCTAGCAACTTTCAATCATTTTCTTTTGAAATGATTTTAGACTTACAGAGAGTGGCAAAGACAGCACAGAGCTCCCATATACCCTTCACCTAGCTTCCCTGGATTTTAACATCTGCAGTAACCAGGCTGATGTGTCAAAACTGAGTCAGATATTGATATAATCCTATTACCTAAACTTCAGACTTCGTCTGGATTTCCCAGGTCTCCCACACATGCCCCGCTTCTGTTCCAGCATCCAACCCAGGACACCAGGTGGCATTTAATCTGTGTCTCCTACTCCTGTCCAATATGTGGTGACTCCTCAGTCTGTCAATGTCTTTTGTGACTTTGACACTTTTGAAGAACAGTTATTTTGTTGAATGTCCCCTAATTTAGGTTTGTCTGATGCTTGTCCATGATAAGACTAGGGTTACAGGATTTGAGGGAGAACTCCATAGAGTGGATGTGCCCTTTCTTTTTTCTTTCTCTTTTTTTTGAGATTGAATCTCGTTCTGTTGCCCAGGCTGGAGTGTGGTGGCGCGATCTTGGCTCACTGCAACCTCCGCCTCCTGGGTTCACGCCATTCTCCTGCCTCAGCCTCCTGAGCAGCTGAGACTACAGGTGCCCACCACCACGCCCGGCTAATTTTTTGTATTTTTAGTAGAGACAGGGTTTCACCACGTTGGCCAGGATGGTCTTGATCTCCTGACATCGTGATCCGCCCGCCTCGGCCTCCCAAAGTGCTGGGATTACAGGCGTGAGCCACCGTGTCCGGCCTGGATGTGCTCTTTCTGCATCACGTAAGTGGTATGTGATAACAGTATCTCTTATTACTGGTGAAGCTAACCTTGATCCCTTGGTTTGAGTTACCGTTTTTCCCTTTTTCTATTTTTTTTGAGACAGGGTCTCACTTTGTTGCCCAGTCTGGAGTGCAATGGTGAGATCATAGCTCAGCTGCAACCTTGATCTCCCAGGCTCAAGGGATCCTCCCACCTCAGCCTCCCTGGTGGCTGGGATTACAGATGTACAACACCATGCTCAGCTAATTGATTATTTTTTGTAGAGACTGGGAGTCTCACTATGTAGCCCAGGCTGGTCTTGAACTCCTGGGTCAAGCAATCCTTCTGCCTCGGCCTCCTAAAGTGCTAGGATTACAGGCGTGAGCCACTATGCCCAGTCCCTTTCTCTATTCTTTAGAAGCAAGTCACTAAGGACAGCCCACACTCAGAGCCAAGGAATTAAATGCTACCTCCTGAAGGAAATTTGTGAATGAGAATTACAGCCACCACAGCGATTGATATTTTGGGGAAGATACTTTGAAGTTATGCAGAGATCATGTCTTTTAAGATTTTGCCCCTTCACTTTGGCATCCACGAGTGAATTCTGCCTGCAGTAGTTACTGTGGTTGTCATAGGAATTTTCTATTTCCCTCAATTCTTTCTACTTTTTAAAAAATGTTGGCCAGGCATGGTGGCTCACGCCCATAATCCCAGCACTTTGAGAGGCCGAGGTGGGTGGATCACGAGGTCAGGAGTTCGAGACCAGCCTGGCCAACATGGTGAAACCCCATCTTTACTAAAAATACAAAAATTAGCCAGGCATGGTAGCGTGCCACTGTAATCCCAGCTACTTGGGAGGCTGAGGCAGGAGAATCGCTTGACCCCAGGAGACAGAGGTTGCAGTGAGCTGAGATCATGCCACTGCACTCCAGCCTGGGTGACAGAGCGAGACTCCATCTCAAACAAAACAAAAATTTATTTTTTAGGGACAGGGTATCGCTTTGTTGCCTAGGCTGGTCTTGAACTCCTGGGCTCAAGCAATCCTCCTGCCTTGGCCTCCCAAAATGCTAGGATTACAGGCATGAGCCACCGTGCCCAGCCTCTTCTATTTTTATTAATAGTAACTGGAATTCTGTAAGGAAGGTTCAGCCTTTTTCCCCATTTTTTATTTATTCGGTAGTCTAATCATTACAGAACCGTGGATGTTTATTCGTTGGGTTATAATCCAATACCATTTATTCTATTCAAATCATTCCAGCTTTGGCCACTCGGAGCTCTTTCAGGTTGGCTCCTGTGTCATTCGGACAGGCCCCATGTCTTGTCTTTTCTTCTTCTTTCTTGGCGTGTCCTTACTTTCTGGTGTAACAAGGTGCCCCAGGCTCATCCTGTACAGGCCTCCCTAGAATCAACCATTTCTCCATGGAGCCCTGGTTCCTTTTATTGGAGAATACTATTTAGAAACCAAGATCTGAGCACCGGATATGCTCATTGTTACAGAGGTGCCAAGTAGGCTGTAAAAGGCAACAGAATGGGCTGGGCACAGTGGCTCATGCCTGTAATCCCAGCATTTTGGGAGGCTGAGGCGGGTGGATCACTTGAGGTCAGGAGTTTGAGACCAGCCTGGCCAACATGGTGAAACCCCGTCTCTACTAAAAATACAAAAATTAGCTGGGCACGGTGGTGCACACCTGTTAATTCCAGCTACTTGGGAGGCTGGGGCATGAGAATCACTTGAGCCTGGGAGGTAGAGGTTGCAGGGAGCTGAGATTGTGCCACTGCACTCTAGGCTGGGTGACAGAGCGACACACTGTCACATAAAAAAAAAAAAAAGAAAAGAAAAAGAAAAAAAGCAACAGAACACAGTGATCATCACAGTGCAGATGAAGAAACTGTAATAAAATGCCAATTCACACTCCATAATGCTGTTTCTCTATCCAGTGTTTTTAATTTGCATGACTACATGCTGGGTCTGCCCTCTGCCTCCAGGCAGAGAGACAAGGCAGGTGCTATCAGCTTGGCACCTCACACCCAGCATGAAGCCTGAGACATAAAGAGGCCTTTCATAGCTATCTGTTATAAGGGTAAGTGGGACCGCAGCAATTTGAAAAGTTATCAGTGTGACCTGGACAGATGCTCAAGGGTAGTGAGAGGCTGCTTTCTTAAGAGGCTGGGTTGGGTGGGTGAAATCTTATTTTGGGCCATGTGTTTAGTATAATAGCTTTTTTTTTTTTTTTTAATTTTTTGAGACAGAGTTTCGCTCATCGCCCAGGCTGGAGCGCAGTGGTGCGATCTCAGCTCACTGCAACCTCCGACGGGTTGCATTCCCAGATTCAAGCAATTCTCCTGTCTCAGCCTCCCGAGTAGGTGGGATTACAGGCATGCGCCACCATGCAGGGCTAATTTTGTATTTTCAGTAGAGATGGGGTTTCTCCGTGTTGGTCAGGCTGGTCTCAAACTCCTGATCTCAAATGATCCACCCGCCTTGGCCTCCCAAAGTGCTGGGATTACAGGCGTGAGCCACCACACCTGGCCTAGTATAATAGTTTTTTCATATAGTTCTTTGGAAACTGAAACTGTAAATTCCTGATAATCAGATAGACATCAGATGCCAATCAATGTCATGTAGTAGCATCTAAGGAGATTAAAAAAAATTTTTTTTTTGAGACGTAGTCTTGCTCTGTTGCCCAGGCTGGAGCGCAGTGGTGTGATCTTGGCTCACTCCAACCTCTGCCTCCCAGGTTCAAGTGATTCTCCTGCCTCAGCTTCCCAAGTAGCTGGGATTACAGTCACCTGCCATCACACCCAGCTAATTTTTGTATTTTTAGTAGAGATGGGTTTCATCATGTTGGCCAGGCTGGTCTCAAACTCCTGACCTCAAGTGATCTGCCCACCTCGGCTCCCAAAGTGCTGAGATTACAGGTGTGAGCTACCACACCCGGCCCTAAGGTAAGTAAGATTTTTACTTTAAAAAGGCCACTCTCCTCTTAACCCCTTAGTTTAGCTCTGGATTACTGGTGAACTGACTCACAGGATGGTGGGCAGGTGAGCAGCAGGCTCCTGCCCTCACGTTCCTGTGCAGCTGAGAACATAACAGAGGCTCATCTTATACCTGCAGAGAGGAGGCAGAAGTCCCCACTTTAGTGGGGCTGCTAGATATTTCATATACCCTCTCCTCCTGGTAGGTTCTGAAAATTCAAGAATAATATATGTCTCCAAAGACATTTCCTTCTTATCTTTCATGTTTTAGAGGAAAAATATAAGAGGGATATACACTCAATAGCTGTACATTTACTGGCTAAGTGCCACGCTCAGAACAAAAATAATCAGTTTGAAACCATGTGGAAGAGTACAATGTACTGCAAAAATGAAAATCGCTTTATTTTGAATTAAGGTGAGGAGGAACAATCAGTCCCCCGGAACAATTTAACGTCCTCTGATGTCACAGGAACAGAAAAACAGAGCTCAGAGAGAAGGGCGAATGAGACATCTCACTTCAGAAAGGGATCTGATTCGGTTTATGAATATTCTCTAGAAGGCTGGCAAAATCTGCTAGGTTCTCCTTCCTTTTTTTTTTTGAGATGGAGTTTCACTCTGTCTCCCAGGCTGGAGTGTGTGGTGTGATCTCAGCTCACTGCAACCTCTGCCTCCCAGGTTCAAGTGATTCTCCTGCCTTGGCCTCCCAAGTAGCCAGGACTACAGGCACACGCCACCGCACCTGGCTAATTTTTGTATTTTTAGTAGAGATGGGGTTTCATCATGTTGGCCAGGCTGGTCTCGAACTCCTGACATCAAGTGATCCACCCACTTCAGCCTCCCAGAGTGCTGGGATTACAGGCGTGAGCTACCGCACCCAGCCTTTTTCTTCCTTTTTTTGTCTCCTCAGGTCTTGTCTGAATAATGTGCTAGGTGCTTAATTCTTCTAGAGGTTGGCAGTTTCAATTTTGTTGTTGCTTAGTCTCTCTCCTAGAACCAAAGAATCGCAGGGTGGGCCAATTGTCTAGCACAAGCTTTTCCAATCTGCAGTCCACACACAGCCCAGGATGGCTTTCAATGTGGCCCAACACAAATTTGTAAACTTAAACATTATGAGATTCTGGGCCGGGCGCAGTGGCTCATGCCTGTAATCCCTGCACTTTGGGAGGCCGAGGCGGGCGGATCACGAGGTCAGGAGATCGAGACCATTCTGGCTAACACAGTGAAACCCCGTCTCTACTAAAAATACAAAAAATTAGCCAGGCGTGGTGGTGGGCGCCTGTAGTCCCAGCTACTTGGGAGGCTGAGGCAGGAGAATGGCATGAACCTGGGAGGCGGAGCTTGCAGTCAGCTGAGATCGTTCCACTGCACTCCAGCTTGGGCAACAGAGCAAGACTCTGTCTCAAAAAAAAAAAAAAAAAAAAAAAAACATGAGATTCTGTGTCTTAAATGTCTTAAAATATTATAAGATTTTTTGTGTGTGATTTTTCTTTCTTTTCTTTTTTTTTTTTTTTTTTGCTCATTAGCTATCGTTAGTGTTAGTATGTTTTATGTGTGGCCCAAGACAATTCTTTTTCTTCCAATGTGGCTCAAGGAAGCCAAAAAATTGGACACCCCTGGTCTAGCACAAAACTTAGCACAAAATCTGCTACTACATGGACAAATGCAAGGTGGACGGATGAGGGGAACAGATCAATGAACAGTTCAGCCAGAGCTTGACAGCATCTCTCTTATAGCCCCAACTGGTCCTGGGGCATGTGTGTGAGACTCTCTGAATGTGGCCCCCACCCCGCCCTGTGTCTACATCCCCTCTGGAAGAGGCTTCTCTGTAGAAACTGCCTGCCTGCACCTCCCATCCCTGGCCTCAAATGGGCTCCTTGCTCACTCCAATCCCCTCCTTACTGCCAGAAGGGGGAGCTTCCAGAACCCTCACAGTCTTTCCTTGCCAACTCCACTGGCTCCCAGCTGCAAAAATAAATTCATGCACCTGACTTCCTGACTGTTGTACAGCAGTGTGAAGTGCTCCACAAAGGACTTACTAGAAGAGTCTTACCTGAAGCAGTATCTCAGAGCCCCTGGGGCATTTTTTTGTTTGTTTGTTTTTTAAGAGACAGGGTCTTGCTCCGTCACCTAGGCTGGAGTGCAGTGGTGCGATCCTGGCTCACTTCAACCTTGAACTGGGCTCAAGGGATCCCCCTGCCTCAGCCCCCAGACTAGCTAGGACGACAGGCATGTTCCACCATGCCCAGCTAATTATATTTTTTGTACAGATGGGGTATTGCTATGTAGCCCAGGCTGGTCTTAAACTCCTGGCCTCAAGTAATCCACTTGGGTTGGCCTCCCAAAGTATTGGGATTACAGGCGTAAGCCACTGCACCTGGCCTGGGGTGATTTTTAAAAAACATTTCTTGAAGCGTTGATTTTTCTTTTTCTTTTCTTTTCTTTTTTTTTTTTTTTTTTTTTGAGACAGAGTCTCTCTGTCACCCAGGATGGAGTGCTGAGGCACGATCTCGGCTCACCTCAACCTCCGTCTCCCAGGTTCAAGCAATTCTCCTGCCTCAGCCTCCCCAGCAGCTGGGACTACAGGCGTGCACCACCACGCTCGGCTTATTTATTTATTTTTGAGACAGAGTCTCACTCTGTCACCAAGGCTGGAGTACAGTTGCGTGAACTCCACTCACTGCAAGCTCCACCTCCCGGGTTCATGCCATTCTCCTGTCTCAGCCTCCCGAGTAGCTGGGACTACAGGCGCAGGCCACCACGCCCGGCTAATTTTTTGTATTTTTAGTAGAGACAGGGTTTCACCGTGTTAGCCAGGACGGTCTTGATCTCCTGACCTTGTGATCTGCCTGCCTCGGCCTCTCAAAGTGCTGGGATTACAAGTGTGAGTCACCGCACCCAGCCAATTTTTTTATTTTTAGTAGAGACGGGGTTTCACCATGTTGGCCAGGCTGGTCTCAAACTCCTGACCTCAGGTGATCTACCTGCCTCAGCTTCCCAAAGTGCTGGGATTACAGCTGTGAGCCACTGTGCCCAGCCTGATTTTTCAACAAAAGAAAAAATGGTACAAGAAGTATCGGAAATAATTTCTCCATAAGCAAGAACAAGTTGATAGATTCACCAACCTATCAAAGGCTTCTGGTGCGGAAAGGACTACACACTGTTAGTTGTACTTCATTAATACTAAATTTGTCAATCTCAAGAATTTATCAATAAGCATGCCTCAAAGAATTTATTCATACAGTTAATCAAAATTTGTGGATTCTCCCCAATTCCCTTGCATATTTAAACATGATTTCATCATAATTACAAAAATTATCAAATTATTCTAAGCATTTAATTAAAACTTAGGTCTAACATTTCAGCATATTTTAAATTTTTGATTTTAAACACCTTATAAATCAGACTTCTTAGTGCCCTTACACTAAAACTGGCCAAAAAGTGCTTATACGCAGCATTTAACTTTTTCCTTTGTTGTCTCTATTTTAATATCTTTTTATTGGCTAAATACACTTTTGTAAAACTAATATTAGCCTTTTGCAATTTAAAAAAATTAAGGTATAATTTGCATATAATAAAATCCACAGGTCTTATGTGCTCAATTCCATGACTTAACAACTGTACACACTCACGGGACCACTACCCAAACAATCTAGAGGACACTTCCATCAATCCAGAGGGTCTCCTGGTAACCTTCCCAGTTTCCATCTCTCCTTTTTATTCTTATCTTAGCTTTGTCTTCATAGGGTTTTGATCATTGTAACATTTTTATGCCTTCCTACAGTTTCCACCATTTCTCTGTCTTCCCAGGAGTTGGTCTCCTGGGCTAGGGCTGGTAACAGCTGAGGCCCTCTGTGCACTCAGGGTCTGACGACAAGTTGCATCTGGAAGCAAGTGGCATGATCATAGCTCACTGCAATCTTGAACTCCTGGGCTCAAGCGATCCTCCCACTCAGCCTCCCAAGTAACTTGGGACTACAGGCACAAACTACTGTTTCCTGCTCCTGACGTTTAAAAACCATGACTGCTCTCTGGCAACAGCAAGTTGCTGCAGGTCCATCAGTGCCCATCCGAGGAGCCCTGGTCCCTCTAGATGAGTGCTGGAGCACACTTGAGCATAGATAGTGGGCTAGAATGACCATCCTTCTGTTCGGGGCCCTTGCACCAGCAGTAGAACCATTAAGGCGTATATTTGAAGGCTATATGTTTTATACTGATCTTTCTCATGCAATATTTAACTTCATAAAACATTTTCTACATGTAGACAGAAAAGAGGAAGTAGTACGCCTTTTTACCCTATTAAAGCTCAATTCATCATGAAAGCACCATAATAATGAGCTTACCAGATTTGTCTTTCTGAATAGCTTTATCCTCAAAGTAGCAGAACATTACCTGGAAGCGATCAGGATCTGTTGAACGCAGTACCCTAAGAAGAAAACAGCTTTAAATAAATTTTGAAAAATCTGGGCCCTCCCTATCACAGATTTGACACTGCCCATAAGTGGTAAGGATGTGAAGAACATTTGCCCTCTGTCATTCATAAGGGTGCACACTGAGGTGGACTTTTTGGAGGGTGAGGTGCACCATCTATTATACATTCCCATATTTTTCACTCCAGCAGCCCCACCATTAGGATATATCTTCAGGGTTACATGCACAAGGATTCTCCTAACAGCACTGACTGCATTATCCAAAATGGAAAGACTCTGAATGCTCACCAACAGGAGACTGGGCAGATAAGCCAAAGCATACCCATTCGATGACACATCATGCAGCCACCAAACGAGAGGCAGCTCTCTATGTGAGCTGTTACAAAAAAAGTCTGAGACATACTATTAACAGAAAAAAGGAAGGTGCAGGGAACACATGTCCAGCATGACCCCACTTACAGGTTTCCTAAAGGTCTGTCTTTGCATGTGTATGTGTAGGCTATGCATGCTTGCCTATGCACAGAAAATTTCTAGAGGAAAATTAAGAGGCCATTAACAGTAGGATAGTAGAAATGAAGTATTCACGTCTACAAAAGTGATACCTGTATTTTTTCATCTTTAGTATCTTCTGTACTATTCCAGTGTTTTCTCTTCTCTTTTTTGTTTTATGCACTCTGTACATTTTTCTTTTATGGTAAAAAAAATATCTTTAACCTCAGGGGGAAAGGGAGAAAAAGGAAAAAGCGCATGCACTTGTCCCATGGGTGCTGTGAAGGGCTGTTCAGAGTTCCAGGGGCTCCACTAAGGCAGCAGCGGCTCGGCAGGCCATGTCTTTTGGCCTCTGCACCAACCTGTCAAGAGTTAAGCCTCAGGAGGGCAGGCCAGGTGACTTTCAGCACACGCATTCGAGTGTGCACGTGCACACACCTTTAACTTGATTTCCCAAATTCTCCACTTTGTGGTTTTAAAGCTCTCTCAATACCCAGTGGCTGGGAACCTGAGCCAGGTTCCTGAATAAAGGCTTTGAGGTTGCCTCTCTATGCTAACAGAGTGCTCTCAAGGGCCTGGTAGGCAGCCCGAGGTGGAAGGTGGGCTCACAGGAGCTGCTATGGGCTGCGTCTTAGAGTCTTCCTCTGCCAGTTAAGAGCCCGTCCTGAGAACCTGAGAAAACTACTCAGGGGCATACTCATGGGAAAGGCAGAGGTAGCTCTGCCTTCAAACCACATGAGGTTGAGAGGGTCTGGAGATACCTCTTCTAGCCGTACATGCTGGGATGAAAGCCATGTTTTTGCTCTGTTTGGGTCTGGCTTGTTTTGTTTTGGCTGTTTTTTCTTTGAAAATACATTGTTTAGAAAAAAGACTACAAACAGCTATACTAACAGGCTATAGGGGATGACAGTGAGGTCAGTGTTTTTTCTCTCTCTACTTATTTTGCAAGATTTTGTATAAATGTTTTGTTTTTATAAGACAGGGTCTTTTGCCCAGGCTAGAGTGCAGTGGTTTGATCATAGCTCACTGCAGCCTCAACCTCCTAGGCTTAAGCAACCCCCTTGCCTCAGTCTCCTGAGTAGCTGGGACTACAGGCATGTGCCACCACAACTGGCTAGGTTTTTTTGCTTTTTTTTTTGGGGGGGGGGGGGGTTAGAGACAAGTTCTTGCTCTGTTGCAGAAGCTCAAAACTTCCGGGCTCAAGTGATCCTCCCACCCCTCAAAATGCTGGGATTAGCCATTTGTTTTTTTGAGACAGAGTCTCACTCTGTCGCCCAGGCTGCAGTGCAGTGGCACCATCTTGGCTCACTGCAACCTCCACCTCCTGGGTCAAGCAATTCTCCTGCCTCAGCCTCCTCAGTAGCTGGGACTACAGGCATGCACCACCACATCCAGCTAATTTTTATATTTTTAGTAGAGACGGGGTTTCACCATGTTGGTCAGACTGGTCTCGAACTCCTGACCTCAGGATCTGCCTGCCTCGGCCTCCCAAAGTGTTGGGATGACAGGAGTGAGCCACTGCAACCGGCCGTGCCTAGCCATTTTTGTGCAATGTTCTTTTTTTCTTTTTTTTTTTTTGAGACGGAGTCTCGCTCTGTCGCCCAGGCTGGAGTGCAGTGGCGCGATCTCAGCTCACTACAAGCTCCACCTCCTGGGTTCATGCCATTCTCCTGCCTCAGCCTCCTGAGTAGCTGGGACTATAGGCACCCGCCACCACATCTGGCTAATTTTTGTATTTTTAGTAGAGATGGGGTTTCACCACGTTGGCCAGGCTGGTCTCGAACTACTGGCCTCAGGTGATCCACTCGCCTTGGCCTCCTAAAGTGCTGGGGTTACAGGTGTGAGCCACCACATCCAGCCAAAATAAAAGACACTTACAATGAAAAAAGAACAAAGTCAACACTCCCTTGGCTCTGTGGGACTTGGGGAGAATGCGTCACTGATTTCCACATTTGGCTGTGTGTGGAGCCCCGGGCTGAGGGCAGGGAGGAGGAGACTGAGCAGGAGGGTAGGGTGCATTCCCATGCAACCAAAGCACTCTGCCTTTCTTTTATGTATTGAGCTTTCAAGGACTATTTTACTAGAGGGTTGGTGGCAACAATGAAAGGCTAAAATAGTGTTTTCCAAATAGCCTTTCTCTCAGGAACACTTTCTTTTTCAAATCATTTGGGAAAGAAATTATTCTACGACTTATTTGCATCCCTCCCGACTTAAGCTGAGTGTAATTTGACCTTTTCTTGACAACAGGAATCATCATTTTGTAGCCAATGTACTCAGCTGCTGTCCCAGGGCGCCTGAGGCCTCAGCACAGTGGGTCTGTATAGCACTGCCTACCTCACAAGCATGTCGGGGAGTGCGTAAACATGTGTAATGCAGCACAGTACCTGGTACAGCACAGACACTCAATCCAAGCTTACTTCTGAGGTCAACATGATAACAGCTGTAGATCCTAAGTGTCACTACCACTGTTAGGACTGCTGTGGCCACAGATGTGTCCTGAGCATCGGGCCACATGCAGGACTGTTTTGGAGCCGGCCCCACCCCATGTCGCATTTGCTGTTTGTACTCAACCATGGTCCTGGGAAACAGCTCAGTGAGTGTCCTAGACACGCACTCAGCGAGGCTGGGTCCTCAGAAGGGCCTCGCTCAGTCCGTGGGCTGAGTTCACAACACTGACTGCAACTGCTCAGAAGCCTGTTTCCTATCAGAGAGAAGATGATGCGGAGCTTAGATACTGGGAGGTGTTACTATACGTGGTGTCTGGTGGTCATGAAGGAGGGGCATACGAGAAAAGTAGAGGGTGTTTTTGCTTGGTTTTTCAGAAAGTTTGCATGTCTTGGGAGAAGTTGAAAAAAGTCTCATGCTTACGAGGGCACAAAAATGAAAACCCTGCTCAAATGTGGATGTGCATGTGCATGGTGGTGAAGGCACGTGTACCTCATGTACTCCAGCCGGTACACAGAGAGGAGGTAGGTGGACATGGCGAAGTCCAGCTTGTTGATGAGTGCGGACACCTCGGGAGGGGGGTCCAGCAGGTTGATGATAGTGCTGCGGAGCTCACTCAGCTCAGCCTGGAGGGAGAGAAACATCCGAGGGCTCATGGGGCATCCCCCAGGACAAACAGGTCCCAGTGGCTGGCAACATGTGTTAATAATGACAGTGAAAAGATCTGCCCTAATTGGCACAGAGAGCATGGTAAAAATGAGATGTGAATCCTTACGGGGGTGACCGTGTCATTCTTCATGGCTGAGTTATACTGGAGGACGGACCGCAGTGGCTCCTTGCTGGGAAAGGTGAGCAAGGGGGACTTAGTGGCTATTTCACAGACCCCCTCGTACCATTCTTCTGGCCAGAGTCCTGCAATAAAGTGAACATAAATGAGGAAATCACCTTGGTCGGAAAGCACTGCAGTGAGGTTGACTGACAATTTCTATAGTCATGGGTCCTTTGAGACAATTATCCCAAAAACTAGGCACAGAAACGAAGTCTGTTACCTGACTTGGACAGACTTTTCCTAAGGTGTATGGCATTCTCAGCACCCTAAACTACATCTGGGGACAGTAACACTTGCTAATACTTGCAGAAAGAAGCAGCTGCATGTGGACTCATTTAAACATGCTCACATTCATAATTACGTGGGCTCTGACCTCACCTTTACCTTCACTCTGCACTCCGTCTTCACTGGGAGAGAGATGATCCCCCTACCTGAGCCCTCCACAGCGAATCCCATCAGAACGGAATACAGCCAGAAGTCTCGGAAGAGCTTCTGTAACCGAGGCTTAGCTTCTTTGATGGGTGGCAGTCGTCGGGTGAGCTGATGTGCCAAGAAGAGAGGGAGAAAGGAGGTTATTTGCTGAGGAAACCCTAAGCCCTGTAGGTGTAAAATCAACCACAGATTCATTCTCTAAGAGCATTCTCAGAAACTCAGACTGGGTAGGAAAAGGCACACTGAGCAGTGATGATTCTGCCAATAAGCATTGTCCATCCACTCATTTACTGAGTCCCTAGTGTGCACCAGGTGCTGTGCCAGGGAGGAAAAAGCCCTGTTCCTGCACTTGAAGGACTTCCTGTCTAGTTTGGAGGCAGGTGAGCAACAGTTACAGTGGGGTGGAGTTCCCAGAGAAAGTGTCATGGGTCTCAGAGTTAACATTTGAGGAAAACTTAGCCAGGAAAGAAGAGAAGGCAGCCTGTCCAGCCACAAGAGCATTAGGTCCTAAGCCTGGCACTGTGGAGGGTAACAAATGCTCAGGAAAGGCAAACAATGGATGCGAGCCAGAGCTTGAGGAAGGGATGCCACTGGGGAGGCAGGGAGAGCACAAGAACTCTCATGGGCCAGGCAGCACAAATTTTCCAAACAGTAATCTTCGGCAGAATCCCCATATATGTAACAGGTAAAGCAGAGTTGCTTGGGTGCAGGTGAGGGGCTATTGTCCTTGTGTTCCTGCTCCAAATGCTGGGGGGAGGCAGGGAGAGACTCATCAGTGGTATAAATGGCTAAACTTGGCCAAGCACGGTGGCTCACGCCTGTAATCCCAACACTTTGGGAGGCCGAGGTGGGCAGATCACCTGAGGTCAGGAGTTCAAGACCAGCCTGGCCAACATGGTGAAACCCCATCTCTACTAAAAATACAAAAAATTAGCTGGGCGTGGTGGCAGGCACCTGTAATCCCAGCTACTCGGGAGATTGAGGCAGGAGAACTGCTTGAACCCAGGAGACAGAGGTTGCAGTGAGCCAAGATCGCACCATTGCACTCCAGCCTGGGCAACAAGGGCGAAACTCCATCTCAAAAAACCAAAAGGTTTAACTTGTGCACGATGCCCAGCTGGACAGGCTGATCCTTACGGACCCCCCAGTGGATGTTGAGCTCCCATCAGTGATGTTGAGCCTGTGGTAAGCGGGGGCTTTGCTACCCCCAAACACTTATGAGCACCTGGTATGGGCCAGGCACTGGGCCGGGAGAGAGGTGGGAGAGATGAAGACACCATCTCTTGAGGCAAGGAGGGCACAATGGGATGGGCTGTGACACATCATGCACAGCAGGCAGGACTGTAAACTGTCACAACACTTCTTTGAAAGCAATTTGGTAATATGCATCAGAAATTCTAAATATCCCCACATATTTCACCCAAAATCCCATCCCTGAGAAATCTATCCAAAAAATGTTAAAAAGCTGATTTAGGCACAAAAATGTTGCAACAGCAAAATAAATAGAAACACACTAGATGTCTACCTGAAAGGGACATTTAAATAAGTAATGGTATATTAAAAGTATAATAAATTGGCCGGGCACAGTGGCTCTTGCCTGTAATCCCAGCACTTTGGGAGGCCGAGGCAGGTGGATCACGAGGTCAGGAGATCAAGACCATTCTGGCTAACAGGGTGAAACCCTGTCTCTACTAAAAAATACAAAAACATTAGCCGGGCGTGGTGGCAGGCGCCTATAGTCCCAGCTACTCAGGAGGCTGAGGCAGGAGAATGGCGTGAACCTGGGAGGTTGAGCTTGCAGTGAGCCAAGATGGCGCTACTGCACTCTAGCCTGGGCGACAGAGCAAGACTCTGTCTCAAAAAAAAAAAAAGTATAATAAATTAATTATTTTTGAGATAGGGTCTCACTCTGTTACCCAGGCTGGAGTGCAGTGGCACAATCATCACTGCAGCACTGACCTCGATCTCCCAGGCTCAAGTGATCCTCCCACCTCAGCCTTCCCAGTAGCAGGGAGGACAGGTGTGCTCCACCATGTCCAGCTAATTATTATTTTATTTATACTTTTTGAGATGGAGTCTTGCTCTGTCGCCCAGGCTGGAGTGCCGAGGCACAACCTCAGCTCACTGCAACCTTTGCCTCCCAGGTTAAAGCAATTCTCCTGCCTCAGCCTCCTGAGTAGCTGGGACTACGGGCATGCACCACTATGCTCAGCTAATTTTTGTATTTTTAGTAGAGATGCGGTTTCACCATGTTGGCCAGGCTGGTCTCAAACTCCTGACCTCAAGTGATCTGCCCGCCTCAGCCTCCTAAAGTCCTGGGATTACAGGTGTGAGCCACCACACCTGGCCTAATTATTATTATTATTATTATTATTATTATTATTATTATTATTTCCAATTCAAAAATTTTAATTTAAAAGTAAACTTTAATGTCAAAAATGCAAACTTGGGGAGGGGAGAAAGATCACACGCAAAGCTGCCACTTCACACTTGCAGGGCTGCACGGCAGCTAGGCAAAGGTGTTCCTCAATTCCCAGACGGTGCGGCGGCCAGACAGAGGTGCTACTTACTCACTTCCCAGATGGGGTGGTGGCCAATGCCCGGCTTAATTATTGTTTTTCTTTTTTTCATACAAACAGACACCTTACTGACTTTTTACATTTTTTTGTAGAGAAAGGCTCTCACTATGTTGCCCAGGGTGGTATTAAACTCCTAGGTTCAAGAGATCCTCCCGTGTTGGCCTCCCCAAGTGTTGGAATTACAGGCGTGAGCCACCACACTCAGCCAAGAATCATATTTTCTAAGACTATTTGGTGACACATGTAGAACTCACAATATGTCAAGAGAAAAAAATCCAAAACGTATAAATAATATGATATAGATTTTAAAAAATCTAAATATATACATATAGAACAAAGATGGGAAAAAGCAGCCACATGTTAAGATTATTTCTGGGTTGCTAGGGATTTCACTCTTCTTCTTTAATGTCTATATTTCCTGGAGCTCTTCCATCAACATGTTCCTTTTACAATCAAAGGGAGGGTGCAGGTGCCGGTCCAGGGCTTGGCAACCTGTGTGGAAGAAGGCTCCACACCTCTGCTTGAGAGCCGCCAGGGCACTGTGTCCTTGGGAAGAGTGGGCCAAGACCTGGGGGTGCAGGGCAGGCTCTGGGTAGGTGCTGAGGAGGTGGGGCACTTTGGAGAGGGCTGTGTGGAGGGCAGCAGCAGACGGAAGCGACACAGGGCAGGAAATCTAGAGCCACACAGGATGTGGCCACAAAAGGACAGTTGACAAGGGGCTTCCAGTTCAGCTAGTGGCCAAGGACAGTGACAGTAAGAACACGCAACTGTGGGACTGACTGTCTCTGAAGTGACCGGCCTCCCAGGATAAGGTCCCAAGTGATGGTGGAGATATGAAGGGGTTTCCAGACTACAGAATTCAAGGCCTATGTGGCTAAGAGGTTCTGGTACCTTCTAAAGAGAACTAGACTTTGGTGGTTATGGAAAGGGTTGCGCTTCTAGAATGCTTCCCTCTCAATGAGAACAGTAGCTCCACGTGGCTGGGAAGTTCAAAGTGGTTTTGACACAGAAAAGAGGAAGTAAGTGGACTCTATCTTTGATTTGGGATCCTACTCCTGACCCTGTGAACTTCTTGGCTCCCTCTTGAGGACGTTGGCTTGAAAGTGGCTCTGTGGGTTCTCCCTGCTCTCTGACTTCTCCGAGCCTGCTGGCCACTGTCTTGGCTGAGACTGCTCTAGTCTCCAGAAAGGAGATCTGCTCACTCCTAAGAAGTATCAAGGTCAGGCCAGGTGTGGTGGCTCACGCCTGTAATCCCAGCACTTTGGGAGGCCAAGACAGGCAGATCAGGAGGTCAGGAGATCGAGATCAGCCTGGCTAACACGGTAAAACCCCATCTCTACTAAAAATACAAAAAATTAGCCAGGCGTGGTGGCACACACCTGTAGTCCCAGGTACTCGGGAGGCTGAAGCAGGAGAATCGCTTGAAACCAGGAGGCCGAGGTTGCAGTGAGCCAAGATTGCGCCACTGCACTGCAGCCTGGGCGACAGAGCGAGACGCCATTTCAAAAAAAAAAAAAAATCAAGGTCAGGGGGGAAGTGGGAAGACTGAAATAGATAAAGGATTCTAAAGAGATATAACAGTCAAATGCGACACATGAAACCCTGACCAGATAAAAATTAAAAACCCATAAAATACATGTTTGAAGTCATAGAGTAATCTGACTTGGACTAGACATGTGATATATGTGAGGCTTGTGATCTTCCCAGGAGTGATGGTAGCACAGCACAGGGCAGAGACCCGTCCATGGAAGAAACACTGGTGCTAGTGCCCAGGGCAGAAGTGAGTGATGTCTTTAAGTGGATATGGAAAAATATTAACTATTCTACCTAGGTTGTGGGTGTATGGATATTTAGTATTCAATTATTCCAATTTCTCTGTGTATGTATACATATTTTTTTTAGAGACAGGGTCTCACTCTGTCGACCACACTGGAGTAGGGGGTACAATCATAGCTCACTGTACATACTCAAGTGATCCTTCTGCCTCAGCCTCCTGAGCAGATGGGACTACAGGTGTGCAGCATCATGGCCCAGTTTTTTTTTTTTTGGTAGAGATGGGTTTTGCTAGCCGGGAGCAGTGGCTCATGCCTGTAATCCTAGCACTTTGGGAGGCTGAGGCGGGCAGATCATCTGAGGTCAGGAGTTCAAGACCAGCCTGGGCAACATGGTAAAACCCTGTCTCTACTAAAAACACAAAAATTAGCCAGGCATGATGGCAGGCGCCTGTAATCCCAGCTACTTGGGAGGCTGAGGCAGGAGAATCGCTTGAACCCAGGAGGCAGAGGTTGCAGCAAGCTAAGATTGAGCCACTGCACTCCAGCCTGGGCAACAGAGCAAAAACTCCGTCTCAAAAAAAAAAAAAAAAAAAGAGAGAGAGAGAGATCGGTTTTGCTATGTTGCCCAAGCTGGACACGGACACACACACACACACACACACACACACACACACACACACACACACACACACAAGCTGGACACAGAGACACACACAGTGACAGGGCAAAGGTTCCAAAATTTTAAACCTGGTAAATCTGGGTACGGGTATACAGGAGTTGTTCTACTACACTATTCTTTCAACTTTTTTGAAAGTTTGAAGTTATTTCAAAAGAAAAAGTTTTCCAAACTTTAGTGATCCTCCTGCCTCAGCCTCCCAAAGTGCTGGGATGATAGGCATGAGCCACCGTGCCTGACCCCTCTGTATATTTTTAGAATTTCATGTTAAAAGATGGAAAAGTCTGGATGAGGTAGTTCACGCCTGTCTTCCCAGCTCTTTGGGAGGCCAAGGTGGGAAGACTGCTTGAAGCCAGACGTTCAAGACCAACTTGGCCAACATAGTGAGACCCCGCTTTTTTCTAACTAAAAAAATTTTTTTCCAAGTTGGAAAAAATATCTAGCCATAAGACAAACCTTGAAACTGCAAAAGAACAATGGAGTATGTGTGACAGGAGGTACTGCTCTACAGTGGGGTTAAAGCCATACACAAGCTGTGGTGGCTCACGCCTGTAATCCCAGCACTTTGGGAGGCCGATGCGGGCGGATCATGAGGTTAGGAGTTCAAGACCAGCCTGGCCAGCATGGTGAAACCCGTCTCTACTAAAAATACAAAACATTAGCCAGACGTGGTGGTGGGCACCTGTAGTCCCAGCTACTAGGGAGGCTGAGGCAGGAGAATGGCGTGAACCCAGGAGGCGGAGCTTGCAGTGAGCTGAGATTGCGCCACTGCACTCCAGCCTGGGCGACAGAGCGAGACTCTGTCTCAAAAAAAAAAAAGCCATACACAAGCTGTTACCACTAAATGGGAAAATGACTGAAAAATGTCAATGTCAAGAGGGACTGAAATCAAATTTTTCCAATAGTGGGTTACATGATCAGAAATCCAAATAGACAGGAAATATGTTGGCTTTATTTATTTATTTATTTATTTATTTATTTATTTAGACAGAGTCTCACTCTGTCACCCAGGCTGGAGTACAGTGGCATGAACTCGGCTCACTGCAACCTTCACCTCCCAGGTTCAAGCGATTGTCCTGCCTCAGCCTCCCGAGTAGCTGGGACTACAGATGTGTGCCACCACACCCAGCTAATTTTTGTATTTTTAGTAGGGACGGGGTTTTACCATGTTGGTCAGGCTGGTCTTGAACTCCTGACCTCAAGTGATCCACCCGCCTTGGCCTCTCAAAGTGCTGGGATTACAGGTGTGAGCCACCACACCTGGCCGGTACTGGCTTTAAAAATAACAAAAGTAATACATACACATAGAAAAAGGTCAAACAAAGAAGTACATAGAATGAAAAATGAATGCTGTGTCCCCTCCCAGACCATTTCTGTGAATAAATATGTAATACCATGAAATGATGAGGACTAACATTTTCTGAATGCCAGGCACCACTCTATGTGCTTTCCACACATTCATTAACCTCATTTAATTTTCTCATTTAATTAATGAGATAAATTAATGTATCTCATTTAATTTTCACAACAACCTCATGCAGTAGGTGTAACTGTCACCCTCATTTCAGAGAGCAGAATACTGAGAGCTGGAGGCCAAGGGGCAATTTCAGCCAGGGTGGCTGGTGACGCCTCGGTGAAACCAAGAGCGAACAGTGAGAGCAGCGGCCACCTGCTGGTCTGCAGGGATGGTGTCCTGGGCAGAAAGAATAGCAAGTGCCAGGGCTGTGCTGGGGCCGGGCTTTGCATGTGTGAGAACAAGACAGAGAATGAGGGAGGTGGGCCCACGAGGAGTGTGGGCACAGACAGCAGCCTCTGCCTGTGGTGCCACGCTGAAGACTCAGTATTGTATGTGACAGATGAAGGCTCTAAGAAGACAGCTCTGACAAAAGCTAGAGTGCAAAATCAGACTCAGACACAACCACCGGTCTGTGTCCTGAACACAATGGACCTTTACACTCTGGAATTTCTCAAACGGAGCAATGCACAGACACCCCCATGGGCCCCTTGCACACCCGCAGATTCTCCTAGGAGTCACATTCTCTCTTCAGATAGACTCTGGGTGCCGACACTCCCAAACATGCTCTTGAGGAGCAGTCTCTGTGATAAGCTGATCTTCCAGACAATCCAGAATATTCTTAAAACTTTTTAGATCATAAAATTTAAAACACAAATTAAAAAACAAATTATCATAAGGCCGGGCACAGTGACTCATGCCTGTAATCCCAGCACTTTGCAAGGCTGAAGCAGGAGGATCACTTGAGCCCAAGAGTTCAAGACCAGCCTAGGCAACATAGTGAGACCCTGTCTCTACAAAAAAGTCAAAAGTTAGCTAGACATGGTGGTGTGCACCTGTATTCCCAGCTACTTGCAGGGCTGAGGTGAGGAGGATTGCTTCAGCTCGGGAGGTTGAGGCTGCAGTGAGCCAAGATCACGCCACTGCACTCCAGCCTGGGTAACAGAGTGAGACCCTGTCTCAAAAAACACATAGGGCCAGGCGTGGTGGCTCACGCATGTAATCCCAGCACTTTGGGAGGCCGAGACGGGAGGATCACTTCACTCCAGGAGTTCAACACCAGCCTGGCCAACATAGTGAAACCCCGTCTCTACTAAAAATACAAAAAATTAGTTGGACATGGTGGTGTGCGCCTGTAATCTCAGCCACTCAGGAGGCTGAGGCAGGAGAACGCTTGAACTTGGGAGACAGAGGTTGCAGTGAGCTGAGATCGCACCACTGCACTCCAGCATGGGCAGCAGCGCGAAACTCTGTCTCAAAACAAACAAACAAACAAACAAACACCCATAAACACAAAATGTATCACAGCCTCAGAGATCCCCACGAATGCCTAAGTGGCCCTGAATTTGGGAGGCACTGCTCAGTAATAGTCCTATCTGTCCCACAACAGACAGGAGTGCTGGGCTGCACCTACTGGCAACAAACACAGCAACCCTTGACTGAAGAAAGGTCCATGCCACAATCCCCTTATTCTGTAAGCCACTAATTTTGTCCTCTCTCCTCCACCTTTCACTGAGGAACGAGCTCTTGGAAGGACAGGGACACCCGCCTAGTAGCTGAGCCAGCCACATCAGTCCTGGAGAGCAGGTGGAGGGCAGATGCTGTGATCATCCCAGAAGAGAGGACACAGTTGGAGGCAGATGCATGGTCTCTACTTTCAGCTACCCTCAATGCAGCCTGGTCCCCAGAGGCCTGAAGAGCGCCTTGTTTATGTGGTGACCTCAAGAGGGGCTGCTCCTGCACCAAGGCTATGTGTGCATGCTAACACAGTAACCGTCATATACTCAAAGTGTCAGCTCTAAGAACTGGAGATGAGGAGCTGCAAGCCACTCTACAGTTATCAAAGGCACAGCTGAGGGGGTTTGTGCTGACCAAGCTGGTTGCCTGGTGTTTGGATTGGGACTTATTTACTTTGGAAAATATGCAGCAACAGCCCAGCACCAAAGTTCACATCAAAATCCCACTGATGACCTTGGCTGCTTTCATCTCTGAAGCGCCACTTCTCAGAAACACAGAGGTAAGTTGGGTTTCTAATGTTTCTGCTGATTATAAATTATTTTTGGTGTTTACGGATAGGCAACTGGTTCATTTTTCTAGCAAACTAAGAATTCAGAAGCTTTCTACACTGTTTTAGAAGTGGGAAATGGTTTCATTTTTCAGTGTGCCTATTATAAAATTGTGTCAGTTCCATTGTTGGGAGAGTTGACAAACTTAGAATAGGAGCTGTGGAATAGATGAAAATATTGTACTTATATTAAATTAATCGAATTGGATAACTGTCCTGTGATTATGTATGAGAATATCCTTGCTCTTGGGTATTTTCCCTGAAGTATTAGTATTAAAGGTTAGAGGGGCCGGGTGCAGTGGCTCACGCCTGTAATCCCAACACTTTGGGAGGCCGAGGCGGGTGGATCACGAGGTCAGGAGTTCAAGACCAGCCTGACCAACATGGTGAAGCCAAGTCTCTACTAAAAATACAAAAATTAGCTGGGCGTGGTGGCACGCGCCTGTAATCCCAGCTACTCAGGAGGCTGAGGCAGGAGAATCGCTTAAACCCGGGAGGCAGAGGTTGCAGTGAGCGGAGATCGTGCCACTGCACTCCAGCCTGGACAACAGAGTTAGACTCCGTCAAAAAAAAAAAAAAAAAGAAGAAAAAAGAAAAAATGTTAGAGGAACAAGATATAGGAGACCTACTCTCAAATGGTCTAGAAGAAAAAATGTGTATGTGCATGCCTGTGAGAACACACACGTACGTACACACACACACAGATAATGACAGGGCAAAGGTTCCAAAATTTTAAACCTGGTAAATCTCGGTACGGGTATACAGGAGTTGTTCTACTACACTATTCTTTCAACATTTTTGGAAGTTTGAACTTACTTCAAAATAAAAAGTTTTCCAAACTTTAGGCAGTTACTTCTCTCCCATTCTGCCTGCTCTGTTGGGCCTGGAGACCATACACCAGGAGGGATGACGGTTTATCAAGTGTTATGCTCTGATGCGTGACTGAAAAGGCCAACCCAGCTCTGGCAATTAGCAAGAAAGCACAATATGAAGTTCCCAGGAAAAAAAAAAAGCAAAACAAACTTTTGAATGATTTATCTTTAAAATATATTGTTTCTCTTCAAACAGTAATCTGGATTTAATCACAACCTAGTGATAGTTTTTAAACGTCTTCTACAATGTTTGTTATACTAAATAGCAAAACATCAGGAAGATTTACCTTCAGATCTTTAATTTCAATCCATAAAAGATATCAGAGATATTTTCTCCTTCCTCTGGTAAGGGAATGACGAAAACTATTTTTGGCTTTTTATCAGATAATGTGGGAACAGGGTATAAGAAGTTTCCAAATATAACTTCTGAATACCGGGATAAAACATGCATGTCTTTACTCTGCCACTCTATCTGGCCTCAGATACGTTTTCCTGAATGCTTATTTATTCAAGTTGGTTTTTGTTTTGTTCTTTAACCTTATTTTTATCTGAGAAGAAAACATTTTCCCCCTTTGTTCCTTCTTCTTTTGGCTTTCTTTTTTAAAATAGAGATGAGGTCTTGCTATGTTGCTCCAGCTGGTCTTGAACTCCTGGGCTCAAGCGATCCTCCTGCCTTGGCCTCCCAAGATGCTAAGATTACAGGTGTGAGCCCCTATGCCTGGTCTTCTTCTTCTTGATCTTAGCCAAAAGGCCAAGAAGTGATAAGAGGAGGACACTTGAAGTGTAGTTGGGCAAGGAGCCTTCTACCAGCTGCTTACTTTCTTTGTTCCTGACTTTTAAAAGTGTGTTGCTATTGATACACAGTCTCCTGATATGTAAAATGCTGGGAGGATGAAGCTAAGTTACTCAAAGTGCCATTCAGAAACTGGGCCCAGTTCTATTTGCAGCTACATACATTAGAAATCATTTCTAGAGGCTGAGCATGGTAACTCATACCTGTAATTCCAGCACTTTGGGAGGCCAAGGCAGGAGAATTGCCTGAGCTCAGGAGTTTGAGACCTGTCTGGGCAACATGGTAAAACCCCATCTTTACCAAAAACACAAAAAATTAACTGGGTTTGGTGGCACACACCTGTGGTCCCAGCTACTTCAAAAGGCTGAGGTGGGAGGGTCTCTTGAGCCTGAGAGGAACAGGTGGCAGTGAACCAATATTGTGCCACTGCACTCCAGCCTGGGTGACAGAGTGAGACCCCGCCGTCTCAAAATAAAAATAAAAAGAAATCGTTTCTAGAAACTGTTTTCCCGTGTGTAAACTAGTGGCACTGCAGCCTGAGGCAGGTGCTGAGATGGGGACCTGGAAAAGGCAACAGGCATTTTGAGTCAGAAACAATGTGACTTTCCTGCTCCAAAATGTGCAATTCAAAAGTCTTTCTTAGTTGTGACTAAAACAAACTTTGAACTTACTATTTCAACAGTATTATAAGGGGAAGACCCAAGGAATGGGACTGGCACTGGGAAAACAGCTAGGAAGCTGCTCTGCACGGCCAGGGAGTCTGGAAGCATCCTGGTACTCCAGAGCGAACAAGGCTGAGCGCTTGATGTGGGGCTTAGAGGCTTAACCAACTTGGTTCGAATCTAGCCACTGCCACTTATTAGTGACAGTGACGAAAGGCTCAGTCTCCTGATATATAAAATGTTGGGAGGATGAAACTAAGTTACACGAAGTGCCTTATACAGCGTGTCAGGCATCCAACAGAGGCCATTATCAACATTAACCACACTGACAGCATTTCAAGCAGAGTATCCGAACAGTTACCCCATCTTCAGGCCTACTGAGTTCAAATATTTGCTTAACAAGAGCAGCCAGTAACTCTTACCTGGCCTCAACTGGCAGCAGATATTCTGGGCCTCAAATATCTATCTAATAGGAAATGGTCACAGACACAAAATAAGCTTAACAAAAGGCAGTTTTTTTTTGTTTTTTTTTTGTTTTCTGTTTTTTGAGATAAGGACTCACTCTATCCCCCAGGTTGGAGTGCAGTAGTGGCGTGATCACGGCTCACTGCAGACTCAAGTGATCCTCCTACTTCAGCCTCTCAAGTAGATGGGACCACAGGCGTGTGCCATCACACCAGGCTAATTATTTTTCTTTTCTTTTTTTTTTTTTTGAGACGGAGTTTCGCTCTTTTTGCCCAGGCTGGAGTGCAATGGTGCGATCTTGGCTCACCACAACCTCTGCCTCCTGAATTCAAACGAATCTCCTGCCTCAGCCTCCTAAGTATCTGGGATTACAGGCATGCGCCACCACGCCGGCTAATTTTTTTGTATTTTTTGTAGAGACAGGGTTTCTCCATGTTGGCCAGGCTGGTCTCGAACTCCCGACCTCAGATGATCCGCCCACCTCGGCCTCCCAAAGTGCTGGGATTACTGACCTGAGCCACCGCACCCAGCCTATTTATTTAATTTTTCACAGAGATGAGGTCTTGCTATGTTGCCCACACTGGTCTTGAGCTCCTGGGCTCAAGTGATCTTCCTGCCTTGGTCTCCCAGTGTTGGGATTATAGGCGTAAGCCACAGCGCCTGGCCGGCAGTTCTTTCTGGGGTGATTAGAAGTTGGGACCATGTATTACCTGTCTGAGTCAGCATTATAAACACCTATGGTCACTGTCCTGGCAAAACATGGAATCATCAAAGCTCATCTAACCAGAGTGCAGTTAATAACCAGGAAGTAAGCAAGAGAAAGACAAAGGATTTGGCAGTCAAAACAGATTTGACAGGCCAAGTCAGATCCTCCTCTGAACGAGTCAGAGGAACAAATAAAGACAGGATTGCCATAATGCCTCTGTGCTAAAAGCTTATCTTGTTTACTTAAATAAAGGGAGTGCCCCTCAGGTCTTGAGTAAGAGCTTGCTGACATCACCCTCACACAGACTTTATCTCTTGTTTCTAACCCTGTGTTAGAAGCAGTAACACAGAAGATTTAGTTGCTCCTGACAGCAGTGGGAGCTATTGTCTAAGAGATACAAAGGAGAAAAAAGTATACCTGCAGCAAGTGATATCACCTCTGGGGCTGCCACCACATCACCTCACTACGCCCTGAGGGGGTCTCAGCACTAGACAAGTTCCAAATCTTTTGCAAATTAAACAACCCCAGGTCAGGCGTGGTGGCTTATGCCTGTAATCCCAGCACTTTGGGGGGCTGAGGTGGGTGGATCACCTGAGGTCAGGAGTTTGAGACCAGCCTGGCCAACAGAGCAAAACCCCATCTCTACTAAACAAAATACAAAAATTAACCAGGCGTAGTGGTGTGCACCTGTAGTCCCAGCTACTTGGGAGGCTGAGGCAAGAGAATTGCTTGAGTCCAGGAGGCCGAAGTTGCAGTAAGCCGAGATCGCGCCACTGCACTCCAGCCTGGGTGACAGAGTGAGACTCCATTTCAAAAAATAAAAACAACAAAAGCCAATTACAACAACAACAACAAAAAAACAACGAATTAAACAACCCCAAAGATTGCACAAATTTCAAGTATCTTTAGAATATGTTTTCAGAAAGCCTGGCCCATGGACATTTTTCAACAGCATCTCCATTGCAAAGGTGGAATGGTGTGAGTCACACAGGCATGGCTGAGTCCCACTAATGCACATCCCTTCTAGGTACTCTCCAATCACCAGCCCCAGGTGCCCACTCAAGCCCAGCTCTTAGTGAGGTTTCCCTGACTCTCTGGGCACTTCCACTCCTACCACACAGGGTAGAGCCACACCCCTTTCCGTACCCCCATGTGCTCTGGCAGCATTATTTTGAGAGCCTTCGCTTTACTGCACGTCTGTCCCATCTGTCCCCTGACTGGTCCATGAGCCCCTGGTGGGAACTTTGTCTCTGGTAACTAAACACTGTCTGGAGGTGGTGGACAAGGTGTCTGGAGAAAAACAAACTCCTCCCTGGGATGCCTGAGCTCCCAGGATTCTAGAAGGTTAGTTTTGCAAACCTTTAAAGAAGGGATTTTCATCAAGGGGCCCACAGATCCTTCATTGAGGTTTATGAGTCCCACATCAAAGGTTGGGTGTCTATCTACATCAGATTCTCTTAAAGTCCATGATCCTAAAACAGTTAAGAACTAATGCTGTGAGGGCCTCTTCCTGGGTCAAAGCCACAGGGAACCTGCCATGTGGATGCTGCAGCGGGGTGTGGATCAGCCAGGCCGCCTTTCACTGTGTTCTGTTTTCCCTCCCAGCTTTAGCTCCGCCAAAATGAAACACTCATTAAACGCACTTCTCATTTTCCTCATCATAACATCTGCGTGGGGTGGGAGCAAAGGCCCGCTGGATCAGCTAGAGAAAGGAGGGGAAACTGCTCAGTCTGCAGATCCCCAGTGGGAGCAGTTAAATAACAAAAACCTGAGCATGCCTCTTCTCCCTGCCGACTTCCACAAGGAAAACACCGTCACCAACGACTGGATTCCAGAGGGGGAGGAGGACGACGACTATCTGGACCTGGAGAAGATATTCAGTGAAGACGACGACTACATCGACATCGTCGACAGTCTGTCAGTTTCCCCGACAGACTCTGATGTGAGTGCTGGGAACATCCTCCAGCTTTTTCATGGCAAGAGCCGGATCCAGCGTCTTAACATCCTCAACGCCAAGTTCGCTTTCAACCTCTACCGAGTGCTGAAAGACCAGGTCAACACTTTCGATAACATCTTCATAGCACCCGTTGGCATTTCTACTGCGATGGGTATGATTTCCTTAGGTCTGAAGGGAGAGACCCATGAACAAGTGCACTCGATTTTGCATTTTAAAGACTTTGTTAATGCCAGCAGCAAGTATGAAATCACGACCATTCATAATCTCTTCCGTAAGCTGACTCATCGCCTCTTCAGGAGGAATTTTGGGTACACACTGCGGTCAGTCAATGACCTTTATATCCAGAAGCAGTTTCCAATCCTGCTTGACTTCAAAACTAAAGTAAGAGAGTATTACTTTGCTGAGGCCCAGATAGCTGACTTCTCAGACCCTGCCTTCATATCAAAAACCAACAACCACATCATGAAGCTCACCAAGGGCCTCATAAAAGATGCTCTGGAGAATATAGACCCTGCTACCCAGATGATGATTCTCAACTGCATCTACTTCAAAGGTAAGAGGCACCTTTACAGTTCTCACAGCAAACCCACAACATACTATTTTTGTATGTGGGTAGATTGAATGCCAAGAACTGTACTGTAGCTATAATTTATCCAGGAAAACTAGACACAAGATTGACTCTGGAACGGGGACAGGGAAGGCCAAGCTGAAGTGACAGTAGCATCTGACACTTACTGAGCCCTAACTCTGTGCTTTAACACAGCCTTGTGAGGTCATCACTGTTATTAGCATCCCCATTTTACAGAGGAAGCCACCAACACATGAAGTAAAAGGATGGGCTGGGCGCGGTGGCTCACGCCTGTAATCCCAGCACTTTGGGAGGCCGAGGCAGGCAGATCACTTGAGGTCAGGAGTTCGAGATCAGCCTGACCAACAGACCAACATGGTGAAAACCTGGCTCTACTAAAAATACAAAAATTAGCTGGGCCTGGCGGTGGGTGCCTGTACTCCCAGCTACTTGGGAGGCTGAGGCAGGAGAATCACTTGAACCTGGAAGGCAGAGATTGCAGTGAGCCGAGACTGTGCCACTGCACTCTAGCCTGGACGACAGAGTGAGACTCCATCTCAAAAAAAAAAAAAAAAGAAGTAAAACGATGCTCCAAGGGCACCCAGTTATTAAGGGGCAGAGCCAAAGCTGAACCCAGGGAGGCCAACCCTAGCAATCTGTTAAATTGGAAGAAATAATACAAAAACTGTTTTAGCATTTGGCCAGCCTGGATTTGAGTTTTCTCTTTTCCTTTCCCAATTATCAATAAGCAGGAATATAGACAAAAGGCTAAAGAAATGCACCTGTGAACTATTCAGCTTGAGCAGCTGACATTGACACCTACAAGTGCTTTTCAGGATACTTTTGAACTACTGGGCAGGTGGGATGGAGAAATAAATTACTATTTCCCCAGCAACTGTTCTGGGCTGAGCACAAGGGCACTTTTTAAGGAGGTCACCCCACACCCATCACACACACATAGGACCCCTGGAATCCTAGGAATAAATAAGCATGGATTTGTAAAATCCAAACCTCTCTTTTCAAATATCCTCACCTGGACCAGACCAGAAGAAACCTCTACTTTACTCTCTAAGCTGAGAGTGTGGAAGGGGAAACACGAGGAATGGTTCGGCTTCAGGACTAATTGCGGTGACACACAACCACTTCTCTTTGCCACCAAGGACTACCAGGTACCTGCAAAGGGCAGTACTTGGAGGCCAGTGCTTTCTGCTAGTTAGCTCCCGTGGTTTTATAGCAGCCCAGGCGAAGGAAGGAGACCCCCCCCAGCTCCTGGCTTCTGTTCAGGGAAAGGGGGCCAGAGCCCCTCCTGATCTGTCCACACACCTGCTCTGTGCCTTGGCTGAGGCCCCTGCAGCTCTACAAGGCAGGCATTCTGCTGGATAGGCCAAGCAGGGTCACTCTGACACCCAGGTTTCCACCCCAAGGCATGGCACAATGCTGGCCTCCTGTGGGTGGAATCAAAGGCTGAGTTCTAACAGGCTTGCGGCAGACACACACACAGAGACCACATGTACATGATGAACACACATATCCTTTTCATTACAGGTTATTAGTACAAGTTTTGGAATTGAGCAAACAAGAGTCTAAGCGCTGGTTTCACCACTTCTCGTTTGTGTGACCTCAGACAAGTCATTCAACATCTCTATGACTCAGTTTCCTTATCTTTATCACAGAGATGACACCCACTCTGACAGGGCCGAGGGAAGAACCATAAGCGATGGCAATGCAACAGAGTGGCACATGACAAGAGCTCAGCGAATTTGAGGGAATGAAACTGTAGATTACAATACTAGTACAATATGATAAACATATGATATTGTTAGTGACATTTATTTTACTTCTACTAGCAAATAACCTATGTTTAGGACTGACTTTAGAACAGGCTGGCAGAAGCATTTTTGGCAGCATCAAAGTCCTCCAACCTACTGGTCTGTTGGAGCCCCCCAAGTACACCAAAGAGCCTCTGCATTAGCCCTGGCTGAGGGTTCAGGGACAGGCAGAGAAGTACAGCAGTGAGCCATCCCTGCCTGCATGGAGGTGGAGAAATGATCAGGCATGGTCAGTTGACAATCTCCTAAACACAGTAACCCGTGTCATACCACAGTGTAAACACACGTGCAAATGCTTCTGCTTCCTTTCCCCATCATGAGAATAGTCACTCAATGCCGGGCATCACAAGGGATCAAATGCTAGGAGTACCCAATCATTCATGGATGCTTCTCAAAGGGGACGAGTGTCTAGAAGTGTAATTTTAATTTCACTTAATTTCATATGGAATCATCTCCATTACTAATTTTGTTCTAATTTTAATGTGATAATCACTTTGTAAAGCACAATAAACAGAGGCAGGCTCTCATGAGGAAGTCAGAAGGAAAGAATCCCAAGAGACATGGGACAGCTCCATCCAAACTGAAAGGGCCGTGATTCCCAAAAGAGCAATTTTGTCCCCAAGGTCTGAAGACACTTTTGGTTGTCACAACCTGGGGGGTTGGAGTAAGCATTACTGGTATCTAGAAGGGGGAGGCTGGGGATGTTGCTAAACACCCTACCATGCACAGGGCAGCCCACATTGCCACAAACTATTATGTGGCCCAAATGTCAAAAATGCTGAGGTTGAGAAACCCTGGGTGAGGCAGACTCAGGGAGAAGGGAATCGAGCTTCACTCACAGGCAGGCAGGAGCTGTCTGGTACTTCAACCTCCAAGACACCTCCTGCTCATCTCATCCTGGCTGCTCTACCCACCAGCTAGAAACCTTGAACAAGTTACTTCACTTCTTTGTGCCTCTGTTTCCTCATATGTAAAAGAGGGATAACAAAACGCACACAACTTGCATGTTGCTAGGAGCAGAAATGAGATAATACAGGAAAGGTGCTGAGAAGAATGCCCGGCACATGGCCAGTTCTCAACTACTAGTCACCCATTACTATTAGTTACTCACATCTTAGAGCTAACATAGACATGGGCTTATTCCTGGATACACAGCACTGTCCCCATATCTACAGTGGTGATCCTAAGGGCAACATGGCATCACCCAAATGTCTTGTTAGTCACTACAGAATCACAGTGTGAGGGATGAAGGCCATCAAGACAGAGCTGAGGCTGGCAGGGTGGCTCATGCCTATAATCCCAGTGCTTTGGAAGGCTGAGGCAGGAGGATTGCTTGAGGCCAAGGGTTTGAGACCAGCCTAGGTAACATAGCAAGACCCCATCTACAATTAAAAAAAAAAAAAAAAAGACAGAAAGAAAAAATAGCCAGGCGTGGCATGTGCTTGTAGTCCAAGCTACTGGGGAGGGAGGCTGAGGCAGGAGGATTCCTTGAGCCTGGGAGTGTGAGGCTGCAGTGAGCTATGATGGCATCGCCGCACTCCAGCCTGCATGACACAGTGAGACCTGGTCTCAAAAACCAAATAATAATAACAGTAATAAAAGCTGGAAAGAGCTCAAAGTTACTCATTTGACAGATGTGACAGATGAAGAAATAGAAGCGAGTTAGGTGCCTTACCATGGTCAAACAACTAGTTCGTATCAGACCCTACTCCAGAAACTATTCCAGTCCGGGTAACCTCTCGTTAACCTCTCTTGTTAGAAATGCAAATTTCTGCCCAAATCAGGCCTCAGGAATCAAGAGACTGTGGGGTCGGCTCTGCAGGCTATCTGAATGAGGCCTCCAGGGAAATCAGATTCACTCTCAAGGGTGAGACGATTTCCCTAAAGGAACCTTCTCATAACAGCCTCTTCCTGTGGCCTTTACAGGATCCTGGGTGAATAAATTCCCAGTGGAAATGACACACAACCACAACTTCCGGCTGAATGAGAGAGAGGTAGTTAAGGTTTCCATGATGCAGACCAAGGGGAACTTCCTCGCAGCAAATGACCAGGAGCTGGACTGCGACATCCTCCAGCTGGAATACGTGGGGGGCATCAGCATGCTAATTGTGGTCCCACACAAGATGTCTGGGATGAAGACCCTCGAAGCGCAACTGACACCCCGGGTGGTGGAGAGATGGCAAAAAAGCATGACAAACAGGTATTTCACACTGTGTGTTTGTTCTTTTGAGCTCCCAGATGCTGGGGGTGTCTGGGAATACTGGAAAATGGATCATTTTTTTAAAAAGGGAGAATTATGTACAAGTACCCAAGAACTTCCATACAGGGCCACTCTGTTAATTCAGCCCCAATTTGTTGCTTGAGATAAGAGATGATTAGAGAGCATTCATAAGGGACACATCTGCCCTCTAGGGGCCAGTTTCAGAAGTTAGAGGCAGATGACTTAGAGACAGCTTGGTGCTTGCTTTGTGGCTTCGAGTCCCAGCTTCATCATCCCTAAAATGGGTATAATTCCATTACTTCCCCGGGTCACTTGAGAAAATAACAGAATCAGCGATGCTGAGCGCCCCTCCCAGTACTTGGAACCTAGGAGGCACTCAAAAAAAGATTGGCTCAACTCTTCCCTGCCCAGGAAATTCCAAGGTCCTCTTAGCCTACCGAGGACACATCATTCATGATTTCCTCTATTATTATTCGTTACTTTGTAGTTAAAACTGCAGGTGTTAAGTACTTATTGAGATTATTATTGGGTCATGGCAGAAAGAATGGAGAGGTCTTATTTCTGTCTTACTGGATACTGGCTAGGCCCATATGAAGAAGTGATTCTGGTTTGAACCTCCTTATAGGACAAGAATACAAACATATGCAACCAAACTGAGAAAAGTAGGCTCTCAGAGGAAGGTATTTGCCCGGGTAGCCAGTCATCATGCTCTGTGAATTTTTCCTTAACAACGTCCCTTCTGTACCTGCCTCCTTCCATTCCTCCCTGCAGCCCGGCAGCTCTTGAGAAAGGGACTGCATCTTTTTTTTTTTTTTTTTTTTGAGACAGGGTCTTGTTCTGTCACCCAGGCTGGAGTGCAGTGGCATCATCATGGCTCACTGCAGCCTCAACCTCCTGAACTTAAGTGATCCTCTCACCTCAGCCTCCTGAATAGTTGAGACTACAGGCGTGCACCTTCATGCCCAGCTAATTAAACTTTTTTTGGTAGAGATGAGGTCTCGCTGTGTTGCCCAGGCTGGTCTTGAACTCCTGGCCTCAAGCAGTCCTCCTGCCTTGGCCTTCCAAAGTGCTGGGATTAACAGGCGTGAGCCGCTGTGCCTGGCCCATTTGACTTTTAATTGAGATCTTACTTGGTGCAAGGTATGAGCTAGGTAAAAGAGTGAAGAAGATCAAGCCTTCCTGCCCATCCAGCTGGGATTGCACCTTAAATCTCTTTATCCCCTGCAAAGTGCCAGACTAACTCCACAGGCACTACTGTTGCTATCCGCCCCCTTAGGGATTGAGTAAGTTGAGGCAAAGATTGAGAATATTCAGCATTGTCTAGTATATACAGGAAAGGTTCTTTTTAAAAGTACACTACCAGATATTCGACTCCTTAATTACAAAAAAAAAACCAAATGCCTAAAATTGGGAAACCAAACCAGAGAATTATTTTAGATGCCTTTTTAAACCATAAACCAGGAAAAGTTCTGCTGCTAACCTTGAAGATAGGAAACGAACCATACAGTCTCAAGGAAATAATCATGCAACAGAAAACACACCTCAGTTTTCAGTAGCGGAATTACAAAGGAGTGTGCTTCCTAAAATCCTCAACTGACAGTCCCGGAATATAAATTTTAATAAGTGCTATATCAATTCTGTGATAAATATAACCCGTGGCCCTTTAAAGGGAAAATCATGATTCTTTTGTAACTTGTGGTTCAATAAAACTGGGCCCCCCTTTCCTTTTCTGTCTAGAACTCGAGAAGTGCTTCTGCCGAAATTCAAGCTGGAGAAGAACTACAATCTAGTGGAGTCCCTGAAGTTGATGGGGATCAGGATGCTGTTTGACAAAAATGGCAACATGGCAGGCATCTCAGACCAAAGGATCGCCATCGACCTGGTAACCACTCCCTTGTCCACCCCCGACCCGTCCCCAGGGTCTGCCTCAGCACAGCCCCACCTCCACTTGCCCTTCCTACCCACCCCCCAATCTCATGTCCCAGCTTGGGGTGCTGAGTCTGCTCTTCGGCCTGGGTGGGATACACAGAATGCCTAGTTTCATGGATGCCAGCTGGAGAGCACGGCACCTGGCAGACACTTACTGGGCAGGGGGGATCCCAAGAGCAGCCATGGGGTGAGCCCCACTCCCGCTGACACCAGAGACAGGGGAGACATGTGCTGCGGTCTGGGAAATAGCTACCCCCAGCCAAATCATGAAAGAGCCATTAAACACCGCACTATACACATACTTAACTTAAACCAATCGGGCGCTCAGCAAAAGAGAGAGAACACCAGTCCAAACAGTGCAGCAGACCCAGTTCCCCATCCCGGAGAAGTGCGCAGCAGTGTGGGGAGCTGGAGCTGGGGTGGCTGTCCTGCACCAGCCCCCACGACCCTCAGACCACAGGCACTGCCAAGAGGGAACATGAACCTAGCCGGCCTCTAAGTGCAACGGCTGCCCCTGACAGGTGGTGACAGATATTTTCAAGAGTGACTCTGACCAGCTGTGATTTCCACCTTACATGTTGTCTTTGGATCCTTTCCCTGAATGATATGAGATTGTGCTGGGAACTCTAGCCCTCTGTGTGCTGACCTCCAGAATCTGACAACTTTCCTTTCCAAACAGTTCAAGCACCAAGGCACGATCACAGTGAACGAGGAAGGCACCCAAGCCACCACTGTGACCACGGTGGGGTTCATGCCGCTGTCCACCCAAGTCCGCTTCACTGTCGACCGCCCCTTTCTTTTCCTCATCTACGAGCATCGCACCAGCTGCCTGCTCTTCATGGGAAGAGTGGCCAACCCCAGCAGGTCCTAGAGGTGGAGGTCTAGGTGTCTGAAGTGCCTTGGGGGCACCCTCATTTTGTTTCCATTCCAACAACGAGAACAGAGATGTTCTGGCATCATTTACGTAGTTTACGCTACCAATCTGAATTCGAGGCCCATATGAGAGGAGCTTAGAAACGACCAAGAAGAGAGGCTTGTTGGAATCAATTCTGCACAATAGCCCATGCTGTAAGCTCATAGAAGTCACTGTAACTGTAGTGTGTCTGCTGTTACCTAGAGGGTCTCACCTCCCCACTCTTCACAGCAAACCTGAGCAGCGCGTCCTAAGCACCTCCCGCTCCGGTGACCCCATCCTTGCACACCTGACTCTGTCACTCAAGCCTTTCTCCACCAGGCCCCTCATCTGAATACCAAGCACAGAAATGAGTGGTGTGACTAATTCCTTACCTCTCCCAAGGAGGGTACACAACTAGCACCATTCTTGATGTCCAGGGAAGAAGCCACCTCAAGACATATGAGGGGTGCCCTGGGCTAATGTTAGGGCTTAATTTTCTCAAAGCCTGACCTTTCAAATCCATGATGAATGCCATCAGTCCCTCCTGCTGTTGCCTCCCTGTGACCTGGAGGACAGTGTGTGCCATGTCTCCCATACTAGAGATAAATAAATGTAGCCACATTTACTGTGTATCTGTTATAATTCTCTATTTTTTGAAGCTCAAATATCAAAAGCCAAATCCAAATTCCTGGATAACTCCAGGTATGATAAAGGCTGAGAGGAAGTCACTTGAGCACCACAATGTGCCACAGCAGGGCATGTTCTCAGGACAGGACAGGTGTGTGCTGAATCCTGGGGAGGGTCTGTGCAGTACCCCAGAACTGTGGGGTGCTAAGTGGCACACAAGCCCCAGGGCTCCCACAGTCTATGCCAGGCTGCTGCAGCTTTCATCCCTCATACCTGGTCCTGCAGTGGGTCTGGTTTGACAGAGCAGATGACACCTGAGGAATATGTTTCTGGATCCTTCAATCCCTGGGTAAGACAAGTGAAATCCACAGAGGCTGTTCAGCACGCAAGAGTGCCAGTGCTCTTTCAGTGAGGGGATGACTGACGGTCACAGGTGCTGTGTGTGCAGGTGTCTAACTGTAACCCCCACAGCCTGGCAGATGAGGAAGACAAGGGTTGGAAGAGTTCTGAAACCTGTCCAAGATGCTGAAGTAGTGGGGCTGGGTTCAAGTGCAGGTTGGCTGGACTCCAGGGACCACACAAGGAGTCCTGTCACAGGCTTCTGACCCCATGAGACCAATACCAGTAAGAAGAGTGGTAAAAGGGAGTAGGGACGGAAGGGGAACGTCACTGCCCTTTGTAGGCATGCCTGTGGGTTATCTCACAGAGTCTCCTTACCCTCAATCCCTAGGGGGCTGGCACTGTTACCCCTCCTTTTTACAGCTGCAGAAGCAATTTCAGCTCACAGAAGGGAAGGCCTCTGCCTGAGGCCTGAATCCACACCCAGGCAGGGGGACCCTGCAGCCCTGCTTTCCCCTGCTCCCTTCCTGACTTCCCACACTGGGCTCTGCCTCCTTACTCTGCTGAGAGCAGATGGTGCAGGGGCTGGATGAATTGCCCCAAGCCATCCTCTCGGCTTCCTGGTGAACCCTGATGCTGCGGATGGCCCACTCCTTCAATTCATTCTCCAATCTGCTTCACCCCTCTTCTTTTCTGTCATTCTCCAAACTGCTTCACCACTCTTCTTTTCTGTCATTCTCCAACCTGCTTCACCACTCTTCTTTTCTGGTGCCTGTCCTATATTTCTCATCTTGCTGCAGCTTCCTTTTGGCTCTTCTCATTTCTAAATGTAATAATCTCAAAAAACCCTTTTAGTCCTTTGCCATGTCTGTCCCATACCCAGAAAGGCAGTGGTCACTTCTGCTCACCCAGCGCCCTCTCTGCTACAGCCGGTGTGGAGTCCTCCACACTCTTGAGCATCCAGACACCCCCGTTTCAATGCCTTTTGTTCATGTACACCCACTCAGAATCTCTCAGATCCCCTCTTACAGAAACTAGCCCATCTGTTACTCAAAGCAGGAGAGTACTCATTCAGAACACAGGCTCTGAGCCAGGCTGCCTGGTTTGAATCCTGGCTCTGCCATCTAGTAGCTATGAAACTCTAGTAGCAGGTTCTGTGCCTCAGTATCCTCATCTGTAAAATGGGGAGACCAGCAGCACTTACCTTGAGGGATTGCTGTGAGGATTAATCAAATTAATGTCTAGAAAGCATTTATTTATTTATTTATTTATTCATTTATTTTATTTTTTTGAGACGGAGTCTCGCTCTGTTGCCCAGGCTGGAGTGCAATGGCACAATCCTGGCTCACTGCAACCTCCGCCTCCTGGGTTCAAGCAATTCTCCTGCCTAAGCCTCCCGAGTAGCTGGGACTACAGGCACGTGCCACCACGCTTGGCTAATTTTTGTATTTTTAGCAGAGATGAGGTTTCACCATGTTGGACAGGCTGGTCTCGAACTCCTGACCTCAGGTGATCTGCCCACCTTGGCCTCCCAAAGTGTTGGGATTACAGGTGTAAGCCACCATGCCTGGTCTGGAAAGCATTTAGATCACTGCTTGGTTTTAGCAAGAACTAGGAAAGGTTGTCACATTATTCTCAATCTAAGAGAGTACATAAGCCAGGCCTTCTTAACTGGGGAGCCTTGGGTAGATTGCTTCCATTTAACTTCCTGAGGTTACATGCAAAATCTTGAGAGTAATAAGGATTTCCATGGACAGAGAGTGCACAGTTTTCGAAAAGGTTCTCTGTGACCTAAAACATGTTAATCCACACACACCTGGTTTTGCAGGCACTGAGAAAATAAGTAAACCTTCCAAGGCCACAAAAGTGACTGGTGACACAAGTAAACTTGCTCTCAGTGAAATACATGAATGTTTTTCCAGAAGGAGGTGCATCTTATTAAATCACTATTATATGACAGTGGAACAACTAAGTCTCTAAGCATTAGATACCATTCAAAACGTTTAACTAACAAGCTAAGTAACAACTGAAGTAATTTAATCAATGATATCTCTGAAGAAATATTATTCACAAAGTTGCGGTACAAAGATCACCAAATCTAGCCAGGAAGGAGCCTCAGAGATTGTATGACCCAGCTTCCTAGCAACTCCCTCAAAGTCACTGAGAACAGCTGCATTAGGGCCAAAACCCAGGCTTCCTGCCCCAAATCCACTGGTACTTCCATTCAACAGAGTAATCTGAGACACTGTGTCATCAAAGGTCACAGAATATACTCTATATACAAAATAGAGTATATCTTTCTTTTAAAAAATAAAATAAGTAGGCCAGGAGTGGTGGCTCACACCTGTAATCCCAGCACTTTGGGAGGCTGAGGCAGGTGGATCACTTGAAACCAGGAGTTTGAGACCAGCCTGGTGAACATGGCAAAAACTGATTTCTACTAAAAATACAAAAATTAGCCGTGCATGGTGGTGCACACCTGTAATTCCAGCTGCTTGGAAGGCTGAGGCAGGAGAATAGCTTGAACCCAGGAGATGGAAGTTGCAGTGAGCCAAAATCACGCCACTGCACTCCAGTCTGGGTGACAGAGTGAGACTCTGTCTCAAAAATAAAAATAAAAATAAAAAAATTTAAAAAAAACAAACACACACACACACACACACACACACACACACACACACACACAACAAAAAAAACCACCTCTGGAAATTAGTTTCTTCCAGAAGGTCCAAGGGGTAACCATAAAGTAAATGCAAGGACCCATGATCTCTGTGCTCTTTGTTGAGCAATAAAATCAAATATTTGTTTCCTCCTCCATAATATAACCATTAACTTTCACTAAAAATACACTTATTCTTCTCATGTAAGAGGTCACATCAGGGGAGTATTTAAATGAGCATGTGCTAAGCTATCACAGATAACAGTTCTGCCTGTACCACCCACCCCAGCAGCCCGGAGAGGCGCAGGCTCACACACGATCCCACATGTAGGACCAGGAGTCCAACCTGGAACCCTGTGACCCTCAAATTTGTGTAATTTCAACCAACCTCACCACTCACTGCTTCCCTAAAGTGCAAAGTGCCCGACAGATTTCCACTATGCATATATTAAGCTCTAAATGACAACTGCTCAACATATTTGAAAGTTCACAAGAATACAGGTCATCAAGTTCTGATGGTCAAAGATCCTGGAACTCACTGATTTTAGTGTTGCCCTAAGCATCCTCCCTATCTGCCTAAAACTTGCTCTCCTGCAGAGCCTGCTGCCAACAGAGTGGCTTGGGCTTCATGCCCCTTACTTTTCCCTCCAGGCCACATAAAAGGCCCACATACAACAGCACTTTAAACACACAAGCATACACTACTCAACATTAGCTACACAGTGGGAAAATTTCTGTTTTGAAAAATCAACCAATGGGGCCAGGCATGGTGGTTCACGCCTGTAATCCCAGCACTAAGGGAGGCTGAAGTGGGGCAGATCACTTGAGCTCAGAAGTTCGAGACAAGCCTGGGCAACATGGCAAAACCCTATCTCTACAAAAAAATAGAAAAAGTAGCTGAGAATGGTGATGTGCACCTGTAGTCCCAGCTACTTGGAAGGCTGAGGTGGGAAGATTGCTTGAGCTCCAGAGGTCCAGGCTGCAGTGGGCTGATACTCTGCCACTGCACTCCAATCTAGGTGCCAGAATGAGACCCTGTCTCAAAAACAATAAAAATAAAAATAAATCAACCAATGGGGGTGTCCATGAAAAATACCATGGCAGGCCGGGCGCGGCAGCTCATACCTGTAATACCAGCACTTTGGGAGGCCAAGGCGGGTGGATCACTTGAGGCCAGGAGTTCGAGACCAGCCTGGCCAACATGGTGAAACCCCATCTCTACTAAAAATACAAAAATTAGCCATGCGTGGTAGGGCGTGCTTGTAATCCCAGGTACTCGGGAGACTGAGGCATGACAACTGCTTGAACCCAGGAGGTGGAGACTGCAGTTAGCCAAGGTCGCACCACTGCATTCCAGCCTGGGTGACAGAGTGAGAATCTGTCTCAAAAATAAAAAATAAAATACAATATAATAAAAAATAAAAATAAATAAATAACATGCGACATATGACATTTTACTACTAAAGATAAATAATGGCAAACCAGTCAGTTACTATTTTTCATCTACCTCGGCCAGCCAAAACTGGACACCCTAGAAGTCCCCAGGTTGGGAATAATGATGAACACTCAGATGGTGTGAGCAGGGGAACGACTTCAATGAGACCAGGAGAGGTGCCTCTCTGTGCCTGCAATGCCACCTGTCTGCCTGACCTCCACGTCCCTAGGCTGCCCTAGCAGTTCTGCCACCAGGCCCACCCCTCTGGTGTACAAGGTGAAGGGGACACATGCAAGTGCTCAAGACTCAAACTACTATGGGGTGAGGAGGAGGGAAGGCACTGTAAGGCAGACACAAGGGATGGCCTAGAAGGTTGGTTAAATGGAAGGGAGAGAATATGGAATGAAAATAAATACTGGAACATAGGTGCTGGGCTTAGGACTTGCAGCTAGGAGTGACGAAGAAAGGGAAAAACAACTTCTACAAGTCATTTGGGAAGAAGCGGACCCAAGCTGGGACAGGACAGGATGGAAACAGGCTCTCCAACACGATGGTGCCACACAGGAGGCAGGGACTGTGCCCGCCATGCCAACAACGTCCCCTGAAGGAGACTGGGGCCATAGCTCCGAGGCCTGAGCGCCGACAAGAGGCTTCCAGGCCTGCACTTGTGGGAAGGAGCCAAGGAAGGGATGGAAGCAGGGAGCTGGCCCAGCATCAGTCACAAGGGCATGAGACACAGGATGAAAGTGGAGTCAGATTTAGGACCTGGGAGCCACCCGGCAGGGAACCAAAGCAAGTGCCCTTGTCAATTGGTTGAGGGGGTTCGGGCAGGTCATGGAGAAAGGGAGTGAAGGATGTGCCATGGTGGACACACCTATGGGGCTGTCATGGAAAAGCTGGTGATGGCTGCAGCAGTCACATCTAGAGGCATAGGGGCCTCAACACTGCACCTTTCTAAGGAATTTACTGTGCGTCACCAGGCAACACTTAAAGCATGAACACAGTATCTGCAGTTTTTATCATTCAATTAATGAATACTCACCACAGCTATTACAGGAATGAGTACTCCCAAGTTCCCTGCACTGCTAGAAGCCTAGAAAAGAACAGAATTATTGTCATTAACGAGTATGTGTTTCTTTTATTAAAAAAAAAAAACACAAGATACAACATAGTGTTATGTAAACCTGGAATGTCTTAATCTAAGAGAAATGATGAGAGATATGCAGAGAGAGGCAGAGAGATGCTCATCCAGCATAATTTTAATAGCAAAAAATGAAAACAAATGTGAAAAATAAACCATGGTTACATAAATGATTACATAAATCATGGTACTTCTGCATAATTAGATATGACACAGCTATTTAAAATACAACTTTCTGAAAAGCATTTAGTCACCATGGAAAGAGCCCACAGCACATGTCAAATGAAAAAAAAATCAAGATTTAAGACTATGCTATGATTCAATCCCAATTATGTAATAAATACATATGCATAAAAAAGCTAGGAAGAAATCTGTCAAAGTGTTAGTAATGATTATATATCTGAGTCAAGGGATAAGTGCTTTTTACTTTACTATTTATAGGCTTCTGTATCTTTTCTAAAATAAACATATATTCTTCCCAAGTTAGGGAAATTTGGGGGGTTACTTAATAAAAGATAGACTCTCTGGCTAGACACACAAATGTAGCTAATCTTCAGTACACACTGATTAGTAAAAATTCTGGAAGCACTGGCCTAAGCCGACTTGATTTATGCTCTTAATCTATAATAACAGCAGCTGAAGACCTTGAGCATACACTGCGGCCAGGCACTGTGCTCAGTGCTTCGCATGCACTAACTTCTGGGACGATTCATGGGAGGTCTCAGTAGCTTGCCAAGGCCACACAGCACCTCAGTGGTGGGGACAGAATGCCAAGCTGTAAACATATACACCTACTATGTACTCACAAAAATTTTTTTGAAAATTTAAAAAGAATGCCAAGCTGTTTTCCCTGGGCTGGGGGCCACAAGGGTGGCCCTGCCTGGTCCCCTCTGGGAAACCGATAGCCTAAGGGATGCGTGATGATGGAGAACAACCCACAGACCTTAGTTTAATTTATAATTATAGCTCCTTGTCCTCCACAAGGTGGGGCACTGAGGTCCAATTTCCAGGGGAGAGCAGGCTCCTGAAACGCCCCTCAGACAGGTTACAGCCTCTGCTTTCTCAGGTGCTCAGCACCACCTTGTATCATCAGTACCCCACTCTTATCCTGATGCCTAAGGTCCCGCTAGACACGCGGGACACACTTCTCTCCTGTGCACTGAGGTGGTCCCAGCTGTGTACCCCACTGGGAGACTTGGGAAGTTAGTCAGCCACATGACTGTCGGAGGGCCCGGCATAGCAAGGCTGAATTAGGGACAAGAGTCTTAGGATCCCTGCTTGCATCGGCCACTCTCTCTTGGCTGAGACTTTCACAGGGGGACTCCTTCATGCAGTTGTCATCTCAAATGCCACTCTTCAGAGAAGCCTTCTCAACCAGCCCAATCTAAAGTGCCCCTCACCACCCTGCCCTGTTTCACTCTCCCACTCAGCGCCACAGGCAGAGAGGACCCTGTCTGTCTCGTTCACTTCTGTAACACCCTCATCTAGAGCAAGGGCTGGTAAACTATGGCCCATGAACCAAATCCAACCCAACACCTGTTCTTGCAAATACAATTTTATAGGAGCACAGTCACGCCTGTTCGTTCATAGACAGGTGACCACAGAAGAGTTGAGTTGAGCAGTTACAACAGAAGCTGTATGGCCTGCAAAGCGTAAAATATTTACACTCTGGCCCTTTACAGAAAAAGTGGGCTGACCCCTGACCTAGGACAGTAGCTGGCACAGAGTAGGTGAACAATAACTGTCTGGGGGAAGGGGAAGGAAGAAATGGAAGAGAGAGGAAATGACAAAACAGGGTGGAAGTAGAGATATGGTTGTGGGATACATTGGGGTTTTTCTTTAAATAATCTGATCAATCTTTTATTTTTTAATTTATAGTACCCCCGACTTTTTCTTTTTTTTCCTTTTTGCCTTTATTAAATGCCTAAACACGCCTCAGTACCAAGTGTTATCAACACCAACTCATATTCCTTTCCTTATTTAAAAAAAAAAACTTTCTAGCTCATTACAAACACCCCCTTCCCCTTTCTCTCCACTTTCTTTTACATACCCACCCTATCTAAAAAAATCAAATGTTTAGCCAACCAAAATTAGTTTAAATTATATGACCCAACCCCAGCCAATAAAAAAAATACAAAAACAAAACTTGAGTCAAAAATAAAAATTCTCGTGCCCTTTATTCAAATATGCTCTTATAACAGCTAGCCCAAAAGACACCCCTCTACGCAAAAATAAAATTGCTTTACTAAAACTCTTCTGTTCAAATATTCAATTTCCTTAAAATTTTAAGGGTTATTCCTAACATGGTAGAGCGACTAGTGCCCACGTGACATGCTACTGGGGAGTTACGAAGGAAGAGGCCTCACCTGCCTCGGCCCCACCATGAATGTATTTGGGGATTCAAGACATGACGTTTATCTCAGTAGACCTGTCTTCCTTGGGAGGCCTGAGATTAGGTGAAATCTGGCCCTTCTCATGTTGCCACTGTGTTCTGATGATGGGCCCTTAAAGTCCTCCTAGGCCCAGCTACCACCCCTGGGCTTCATGATAAAGGCAAGGACAGAGAGAGGTGCCCGTGGGGAGCTGAGGCTAGACTGTTGTCATGTCACCACCCTAGGATGGGTCGGGCAGCTTTTATGAGCTGGATATAACCCAGTGAGAAAACTGCCCTCTCCCCTGATCCCCACCAGCATCCTTGAGAAAGAACCCCACCCCTTCTTACTTGCATTCCAGGCACATTTAAATCATTCACAAAGAAAGTGCCATATTCCAACCAAGATGGTGCCTGAAGACTAAGCCTTGGCCAGCAGGGATAGGACACTGATGGGGAAGGCATAGCCATCCTCCTTCCTACCTTTAGGGCAGGGCCCTTCTCGCTTGCCCTCTCGCTGGCTCGCTTCCCCTCCAGCCCCAGCTGCACAAACAACTCCAACAGGTTCATGAGCAGCTCATCCACCAGGTGCTCGTCTTGGATGTTGGCCGCGATGTTGGCCAGGGCATTAATCACTGCCAGGGAGCAATGCCTGAAGAAGAAGGAGTGAAATAACAGCCACTGCCAGGCCCTCAACCGTCCCCAAGGGACGGCACTGCAGGGGTGAGGCGAGCTGAGCGGGCCAGGCCCAGCCTGCCTTACCACACTCCTCCCAGTGTCTGTAAACCAAAGAACTCTCAAGTGGAGAAGAACATGTCATCTTCGTGAAAAACAACCTGTAGAATAAAGCCAACTGATGCAGAAATGACTGCAATCCTCTCTCCTGAAATGTAGTAAGGACCTCCAGGAGACTAAGTTCTAGGCATCTGCAACACTGGGTACCTGTGAGGGTCTCAGGACACTTCCCTCAGGGCTGAAAATGAAAGGGCCCATGCCCAGGCATTCCAGGTTGGATCTTGCTTCCCCCCTACAAATCACAAAGAGCCTTAAAGCATCATTTACCACCCACAGAACTTTCACCTCATGACCAGCTTCTCCCTAACGCTGCCTCCACCTTGGAGCTGATGTCAGTATTTTTTCACATCCAATGCTCAGCAAGTGTTCCAGGGTCCTGCCTCAGGATCTTGGCTGGCCCAATGTAAACCCCGGATGTGAAGCTGACATTGCCCCTTTGGCCAGAAACCTGAAACCACTGAGGCCAACCAGGCTTCTGTGGCCCTGGAGACTGCCAGACTCTGTCATGTCCAAGCGGCACGACCCTGGGTAAGTCTCTTTAAGTCTTTGAGCCTCAGTTTCTTCCTAAGTAAAACAAGGATGATAATTTCTCTTCGTAGGATCACGGGAAGAGTGAAACACCACGTGAAGCACTAAGCATGTCGTCTGCTCCACTAAGAAATCCCAGAGCAACGGCAGCCACGGCAAAAGGCACTGCAGTTAAGTAATACCTGGTAGGTCAAGGGCAAACAAAGGGCAGTAAATGCTTCCACTGGTGAGGAAGACGACAAATCATTTTTGGTGACAATATGAGAAAAGGCTTTATGGAAGGAGAGGCAAGCTGAGCCAGAACTGAAGAACTGGAAGGATGAAGACTGGCAGGTGCTACAGACACAGGGTAAGGCATGGCAGAACACCTAGGAGGGGTGGAAGCAAAGGAAACCGGGGAGGCAGCTGGCGAGGCAGCTGGGGACACTCCTGGAGAAAGGGCCCAGCAGTCACATAGGCGCAAGGAAGCAATGTGTTGGCCTGTGTGCAGGTTCCATGGCAGAGAATGGGACAGAGGAAGGAAGGAAAGGAGAGCCTGACCCCATCCCCAATCCAGTCTTCAGGCTGTTCTAGTAGCCTGGGCTCATGACGGTGGCAGCAAGAAGGCAATGAAGTAGTATCGATGCGAGAGACAGCTCTATTGATTGGGAGCTTTCACATATGCAATCTCATTCCCAACTGCAGGCAGGTTCTCATTTGGCAGATGAGGAAACTGAGGCACAGAGGTTCAGCATTTTCTGAGGTCATGCAGCTACATGGCATGGCTCCACAGCTGCACTCCCACCCACTAAACTGACATGGAGAGAATCCAGAGGAAGGCCTGGACTTCACAGTCAGAAGGGAGGAGCCCGGAGGTCAAGAAGAGTAACGCCTGCAAAGGGGCTCTCTTCTTCCCTCCCCACCCTCCTGTCCTCATCTGACTTCACCTCTCCCCTTCCCTCTCTTCCAAACACGGATGAACATGTCCCTGTCCTCAAGGCATTCCTAGAGGAGGGTAAGGAATAGCCAAGAAGCATCTCTCAATCTGTCAGGGAAAACTGGTCAGACTTTATACAAGTATCAAATGTTCAAGGACGTTTAACGCCTACTTCCTTGGACCCAAAATCCTACTTCTCTGAATCTAACCCACAGAAAGCATCAAAGATGCTCAGAGATATGTAGCTGTTAGGCTGTCAATGCTGCATTTATTAGTGGGAAAACTGGAAAACACCCTAACATCCAAGCTAGAGACTGGCTGGTTAAATCTTGGTTCTACTATAGGATAGGACGCTCCACAACCTCTAAAGGCAACCTGCGCAGGATCATTCATGGTGTGGCTGATGTGCTGCCCCATAAAAAAGCAGGTCAGCTGCATGTGCAGCATGGGCCCAATCAGAAGGAGAGAAAGGAGCTGAGACCTCGTGCGCTGAGATGCTCAGTGGTCACCTCCAGGTGGGGGCCACATTGGGTTTTCACTTCCCCCCTTATGTGTGCACTGATCTGTAGCATATAGTTTTCTTGCAAGAAGAGTTTATTTAAGAGACAAATTCACAAACCTCACATTTTTAAAGTAAGTTAAATACTGTCATGATAAAAAAGTGACAATGAGGTCCAGTTACCTATAGCCGTGGTCCTTGTAATCTTTGGTGGCTGAGTATACAACGGAGCTGGCCTTCACACTGATCTGCTGGAAGAGGTTCCACACTTCCTGATAGATGTATTGCTGGGAGAGAGCAAGATGCACTGTCACCATGCAGGATGCCCTCATGAGGCCCCTCCTGTCATCACCTAGAGAGAAAGCTCTGGAATCCTGGGGCACAACAGCCCAAAGACTATCAGCCCAAAGATCATCCATTTCTAAAGCTTTAATCAAACCTCAAATTAAAAGCTAAAAGGGACATGGCTTAGATTCAAATCTTCTGTTATAATACACTGACAAGAAATTAAACCTCTTTTTCCCCAGCACTCACAGCATCTTACACTATTCTTACTACTCCGCATTAAAACCGTTGTCAGCATTTAGCTCATCTGCAAGGTATATTTAATCTGTATTTGTACATCCCTTATAGTCAAGAGTTTAACGTAGCTTGCACAGGGTTAGTGGTGTTCTGGCTCTGGCCTCCCTTACATTTCCGGTGATAACCAGGCAGCCCAGCTGGTCAATAATCAGCACATCGAGGGGGGAGGGTGGCTGGCAGAATTTCTGCTGTAGGATCTGCAGAATGGGCTCCATGACCTTCGGGGTGTCCCTCAAGGCCACCGCAATGTGTCCCAAGGCTCGGATTGTGTGGTCGGGAATCAAGTGAGCGTCCCTACAGAAGGAAGAACAGAAGCGCCCTAGCAACAGTCCCTCCAGCATGCAGTAGTGAAACAGTACCCAGAGACTACGATCTAGACCTTAATTTCATAACAGTCTTGATGCAGTGTTCATCTGAAACTGACAGCCCAGGATTTTAACCACGGGCAGAAACATAAGCCCCAGGCACTAGTCTGGATGACAAAGATCTTTCTCGACTTCCACACAGTGGTCCAGGAAGTACAATCCAAGGTGGGCTTCACCTTAAATCTTGTGACAACCCTGATACATGCCTATGCTCTGAGACAAGGAGATAAGGACAGAGGCATGCATACGCACAATGCCAGGTGCCCCACACGAGCCTGCTGAGAACAATGGGCTGCCTCTGAGAGACAGGAATAGGGGCGTACTTGTCGCTCTCCTGAGAGATGTAGAGCCGGTTGGACAGGCTGGCCAAGAACGCCTCCACAATCACTGGGTCCACCGTCAATCCAGCCTTCAGGCACCTGAGGAGCAAGAAAACCCATGTGGCACTGAGGCATCAAACCAAGATAGGTTTTTTGTTTTTTAATTTTTCCTTCCTTAGGCCTACAAAGTTTAAAGAACTGCTCTGAATTTTCTTCCCCCCAAATTGGAGGTCATAACACAGAATGAATTCAAAGAATTACTCCAGATTTTGCCCACTTGATAAATGTCTCAGTCGGAAACAATAATTTCATTATTTTGCCCAGAACAGTTTCCTTTGGAATATCATGCTCACCCTAATTCCAATTTCAATCCCTTGTACTGTTTCTTAAGGTCACAGTGACTGATTCCAAAGACAAACGGTCCCAAGATAGCATAGTAAACATCACAATTATATACCAAGGTTTTCATGGTAAGGAGAAACATTTACGTTACAGAGAAAAGGGGAAAAATTTAAAGCCCCTAAAAACATAAAATCTTGTAAGATGTCCTAGCTCTCCACATCTGTTTGGCTCCTGGGCCAGAGTTTGGAAAACAGTTTGAGTCTGACAGACAAGCTGCCATCTTGATTTAGCTTCTAAGGGCAAGGAACCAGAATCCAGGGAAAGAAGTATTTGCATGGAAATCAGACTGTATGTAGCTCTCAAGTTGGAAGAACAAGAGTCCACAGTGCAGGAGTCTGGGCAGCAAGGGGTACCTAATCATATTTTAAAACCTCACATTTATATTAAACATTCCACAGAAAACAAGGTAAAGAAAATATGATGATACGTTACTCTGGATGTTGAGCTAATGGATAATCCTTCTCTTTTTACTTTTCTATACATTACAATTTTTCTCTAGTAAGAATTTCTTAGCCAGGCACGGTGGCTCACACCTGTAATCCCAGCACTTTGGGAGGCACAGGTGGGCGGATCACAAGGTCAGGAGATCAAGATCATCCTGGCTAACATGGTGAAACCCCATCTCTACTAAAAAAAAAAAAAAAATACAAAAAAATTAGCTGGGCATGGTGGCGGGCACCTGTAGTCCCAGCTACTCCAGAGGCTGAGGCAGGAGAATGGCGTGAACCCAGGAGGCGGAGCTTGCAGTGAGCTGAGATCGCGCCACTGCACTCCAGCCTGGGCGACAAAGCAAGACTCTGTCTCAAAAAAAAAAAAGGAAGAATTTCTTTTTTTTTTTGAGACGGAGTTTTGCTCTTGTTGCCCAGGCTGGAGTGCAATGGTACAATCTCGGCTCACCGCAACCTCCGCCTCCCGGGTTCAAGTGATTCTCCTGCCTCAGCCTCCCGAGTAGCTGGGATTACAGGCACGTGCCACCACGCCCGGCTAATTTTTTGTATTTGTAGTAGAGACAGGGTTTCACCATATTGGCCAGGCTGGTCTCGAACTCCTGACCTCATGATCCACCTGCCTCGGCCTCCCAAGTAGCTGGGATTACAGGCTTGAGCCACCACACCAGGCCTCTTATTATGTTTATGATCAGGAAAAGAAAAGAAGTAACAAGAAATAATTCCTCTTTATAGATCAAGTGTAGGTTTAAAATAATCAGAAACAAGCTTTAAAAAAGTATAAATGCAGCCAGGCACGGTGGCTCACGCTTGTAATCCCAGCACTTTGGGAGGCTGAGGCAGGCGGATCACGAGGTCACAAGTTTGAGACCAGTCTGGCCAACATAGTGAAATCCCATCTCTACTAAAAATATAAAAAATTAGCCAAGAATGGTGGTGTGTGCCTGTAATCCCAGCTACCTGGGAGGCTGAGGCAGGAGAATTGCATGAACCCAGGAGGCAGAGGTTGCTGTGAGCTGAGATTGCGCCATTGCACTCCCGCCCCAGGCAACAGTGCAAGACTGTATAAAAAAAAATGTATAAATGGGGTGGGTGCAGTGGCTCACACCTGTAATCCCAGCACTTTGGGAGACCAAGGCAGGTGGATCACCTGAGGTCAGGAGTTCGAGACCAGCCTGGCCAACGTGGTGCAACCCCATCTCTACTAAAAATACAAAAATTAGCTGGGCGTGGTGGTGGGCGCCTGTAATCCCAGCTACTCGGGGGAGGCTGAGGCAGGAAAATAGCTTGAACCCAGGAGGCAGAGGTAGCAGTGAGCCGAGATTGTGCCACTGCATTCCAGCCTGGGCAACAGAGCGAGACTCAATCTCAAAAAAGAAGTATAAATGTCTCTTATTTTGTAATAACCCGCTTGTCTGGAGCACTGCTGTCTACTCGCCACTTGCCCAGCTTCCCACCTGCAGATGTTGTCAATAGCGATGTCTCGGAGCTGCTCGTACATGGAGGGCTGGCTCTTCTTACCCGACATGACGTTCAGGGTTGACTCGGAATGCTCATTGGTCACACTGATTTTTATATCATTGCCAGCAACTGAAAGTAAAAAATTCAAATATATACCTAGTTAGGCCTATCATTTTCCATCACCTTCTTTGTAATTCAAAAACCAAGATAATATGCTGATCATTTATAAAAGCAAAATGATCACTCTAAAAACATCTGACCAAATATTTCAGAAAGAGAAGAGTCTAAGAGCAACAGGAAATAATATGTTTAAATCAAAAGGAAGAATATTCAAGTTAGAAAGTGATAAATACAGAAAACTACCAATTTCTCAATCAACTGTTCAAAAGTACTGATGACCAACCACCAAAGGCAGCTCTGAGGGCGACTGAGGCATGGCCCTGTGCTTGGAGTTACCTCACTAATATGTACAAAGCCTGGTGAGGGTTAGGGATGCTTGCGGGAGCAGGGGCCTTAGAGCCTGAGAGAACCCTCCCCACTACGGGGTTCAGGGAAGTCTTGTTTTTTGTTTGTTTTTGAGATAGGGTCTTGCTCTGTCACCCAGGCCGGAATGCAGTGGCGCTATCACAGCTCACTGCATCCTCAACCTCCTGGGCTCAAGCCATCCTACAACTTCAGCCTCCTGAGTAGCTAGGACTACAGGTGAGCGCCATCACGCCTGGCTAAATCTTTAAACTGCTCTGACTTTAAGTCTTCATCTGAAGGGGAAGATAAAAACAGCCACCTTCATGAGACTGTGGGTAAGAGGGTGATACTACATCAGAGACACTAGCACACAGCAGGTGTTTAATTAATTAATGTTAATTATTGTTTCATCATATGTGGAAACATCATAATCCATTCTCGCAGGGGTAGCAGGGACTGGGCCCCTGGCTAAGTGTTTGGGGCACACAGGATTTGCATTTCAGACTTCCACAGTGAAAGATGTCAAAAAGAAAACAGGACTTGAAGGGGCCTTTGGTGTAACAGGAATACAGGATGAGAGAAGGCCGGGGAAGAAAGGCCTGGAGCTTGGAGGGGACGCAAAGGGAAAGACAGAAGGAAAGGTGTGGCGAAGGAATGCACCCAGGTACAGTCATGAAACCTGTGTGAGGCTCACACACAGTCACAGAGCCCCTTTCTCAGGGCCTGAAGGGCACATAGTCTGTTATTACCTGTGTGGTACTGACTGTGGTACTTGTAGAGCTTCACCAGAACTGGGGACGGGATGACCAGGAAGTCTCGCAAGGACGGTGTCACAGAGTGCACCACCACCGGGAACCTCTCGCACAGGCGGCCCAAACCCTGCAACACACCATCAACCTGTCACATGGCCTGTGGTATGGGACCATCTGAGTAGGCCCTGAGCAGGGAGGTGCTCAACCCTTCAGTACCCAAGTCTGACCCAAAACTTCGAAGGTCAAAGCTCCCACAGGCCACCTGCCCAGGACATAAAAAGATGGAAGCGATGGTGCTGACTCTCCTCCACCTATAGGGGACATCAACTACTATTTTTTTGTTTTGTTTTTGAGACAGGGTCTCGCTGTCGCCCAGGCTGGAGTGCAGTGGCACGATCATGGCTTACTGCAGCCTTGACTTACTGGGCTTAAGCAATCCTCCCACCTCAGCCTCCTGAGTAGCTGGGACTGTAGGCACACACCATCATCCCTAACTAATTCTAATTTTTTAAATTTTTTGTGCAGACGGAGTCTCACTATGTTGCCCAGGTTGGGCTCAAGCGATCCTCCCACCTCTGCCTCCCAAAGTATCGGGATTACAGGAGTGAGCAACCGTACCTGGCCAGGGGATATAGATTGTTAAAGTGTGCTCATCTCTTTTGGAAGCATACTAAAGAAGAAAGGGACAAAATATAATTTTTAAACAATGGCAGGTGTGGAGTCAGTGGGATTGTGACAAGGTTAAGAGTCTCGGCAGAGCAGAGCTAGCACTGTGGGTGTCAGGAGACATCCCCTTGCGTGGCCCCATGGCACATGTCCACAGTCCTTCCCCCACAGGCCTTGGGAATGGCCCCCAGCCTCACAACAACGGAGAACTGAAGCCAGCTGCACCCATATGCCACTGACAGAAAGCCCTGGCATCCTGCAGGGGGCAGCCCACACTCAGTGATGAACTGTGCACAGCACGCACTGGTTAAAGCTCCTAAAGACAGAACCGGCAGGGTCTCCGCTGCTGGTGTGCCCACCACAGCCTGAACAGCAACAGCGTGACAAGAGGGAGGCCCTACAGGTGGGATCTGAGCCTCTCTGGGTTCAGGGAGACTGACCTGCAGACAGCAGATCAGCAGGGGCAAGTGAGCAATAATGACTTTGCTGGACGTCTTGGACTGCAGCTTCTCAGATAGCTTGATGCAAAGGTTTTCTGCACCTTAATTCAAAACCAGAAGAGGAGATGAGTGATCAGCACAGGCCAGTCTTTCTAACACACTTATCCACCAAGTAAGCACAGAATTTAATAAAACCCCAGAGACATACTTTAGGCAGGGCTTATTCATACTGAGAGGTCACACAGTGTGTGACACTCTCTCTCTCTTCTCCGCTGGCCCTAAGCCCCCTTGTCCCCGCAGTGTTCATTCCACAGAAAACTTCCCATTCTACTCCTCCCCCAGAAAAACACTTCACCTGAAGGCACTGAGCTTCCATGTCACCACAGAAAAGCCTAAAGAACCAGCAAGATGCAGCAGAGAGCATACACAGGCCCTGAGGCCACGGGCATCCCCATCCTCCCAGGTCCAGTGCCCTCCATGCAGGACAGGACACCAGACGTGCAGAGCACAGCAGGGGCTAATGCTCCACTCTGCACGTGCCCAGGAGGCCTACTGCAACTGCCTGTGCTGGTAACAGAGCCAAGTGTTCTAGAAGTAGTTTGGGGAAACTTGTGGCAAGAAAGCCTCTGGGTCATGCCTGGAGCTCACATGAGAGGCAAGGCAGTCTGTCTCACCCTGCTCGTCCTTCACAGCCCACACCATGAGGTCCACACAGGCAGCATTCGCCTGACAGCGCAGTTTGAGGGGGCTCAGCTCATTGTGGATCCGGTCTGCGTCATGTAGAATCTTCTGGAGCTCCCCCTGGCTCGTGTTGAACTGCTCCAGCACAAAATCATGGATCTCCTTCACAAAAGAGGTCGGGAGGTCTGTAGGAAAGAGTGTGGCATCACAGCTGGGAACAAAACTACAGTAGAACACAGGCAGTGCTAGCAGCGGCTACAGTCTTCCCCTTTTAACAAAAACCCCAGAAAAGTAGCATTTGCTACTGGCCACTGTGGGTCCTAGAATGCCCACTGGAAAGAAGTTGGATAGGAATTGCACAGCTGTCCTCCACGTGCACACAACCTGGCAATCAGAGGAAATGATCATTTCCCAGGGATGTTACAGCCATGCTTTGTTTTAAGCAGTCAACGTACTAAAACCTGAATACATGAAACATATAAATTGGGAAGTATCGTTGCTGGAACTACTTCCACTGACAATATGAGATACTTCTGTGATTTTTTTTTCTTTTAAGAAAGAGGTTGTCAGGGCCAGGCGCGGTGGCTCACGCCTGTAATCTCAGCAACTTGGGAGGCCGAGGCGGGCAGATCATGAGGTCAGGAGATCGAGACCATCCTGGCTAACACGGTGAAACCCCATCTCTAATAAAAATACAAAAAATTAGCCGGGCGTGGTGGTGGGCGCCTGTAGTCCCAGCTACTCGGGAGGCTGAGGCAGGAGAATGGCGTCAACCCGGGAGGCGGAGCTTGCAGTGAGCCAAGATCGTGCCACTGCATTCCAGCGTGGGCGACAGAGCGAGACTCCCATCTCAAAAAAAAAAAAAAAAAGAAAGAAAAAGGTTGTCAGATAAGGGCAAAAACTGGTTGCAGCCTTGAGAAGAGAATTATCTGGATCTTCAGAGCACTCACCCTGAGTTTGAGAGACTTTTCAAACTCTCATCCCCAGGGCCTGGAAAATTCAGGAGAACCACCATGATGCACGCACAAGTCAGCCCAGCCAAGGCAGCCAGCAACACACAGCAGGGGTGGTGGGGAGGGCAGGGGTAATCCCTGATGCCCCTTCTTAGGGAGTTTCAACCCTTGCCGTGGCCCAGATGACTCAGCTTCTGAGGAATGTTCAGAATCAGATTAGGAAAGTGGTTACTAAATTTTGGTATACCTTCCTGACAAAATATTATGTGCTCATCAAAACTTAAGCTTACGAAGAACACTCAACAGTGTGAGGGGAGAGCATAGGAAAAACATTTTGTAAAATGCATAAAAGATTGTTTCCTCACTTCTGGGAAAAACAAAATTCATGAAAGAGGGACTAGAAGAAAATGCTAAATTGTTGTGTGTGCATGTTAACTATTAAGCTATTGTCTCAGGTTGGGTGCAGTGGCTAACACCTGTAATCCCAGCACTTTGGGAGGCCAAGGTGGGTGGATCATTTGAGGCCAGGAGTTCAAGACCAGCCTGGCCAACATGGTAAAACCCCATCTCTACTAAAAATACAAAAATTAGGCAGACGTGGTGGCACATGCCTGTAATCCCAGCTACTTGGGAGGCTGAGGCACGAGAGAATTGCTTGAGCCTGGGAGGCAGAAGTTGCAGTGACCCCAGATCATGCCAATGCACTCCAGCCTGGGCGACAGGGAAAGACTCTGTCTGAAAAAAAAAGCTAGTACCTCTACATTAACAGATTACATGTATTACAAGTACTTCATTTTCTTTTTTTTAATGTTTTTGAGATGGAGTCTTACTCTGTCACATAGGCTGGAGTGCAGTGGCACGATCTGGGCTCACTGCAACCTCCGCCTCCCAAGTTCAAGCGATTCTCCTGCCTCAGCCTCCTGTGTAGCTGGGATTACAGGTGCATGCCACTGCGCCTGGCTAATTTCTTTTGTATTTTTAGTAGAGACAGGGTTTCACCCTGTTTGGCAAGGCTGGTCTCGAACTCCTGACCTTAAGTGATCAGCCCACCTTGTCCTCCCAAAGTGCTGGGATTATACGCATAAGCCACTGTGCCTGGCCTCTTTTTTAATTTTTTAAACTATCTAAATGGATATGTAAAACTGTATCTGTCCTTAGGACAATATAACATGCACATTTTAGATAAACACCTTAGGAAATAAACTCAGCAAAGGAGCCATCATCGATGGTACCGGGGTTGCAGGATCATGGACAGATTTTTTAAATTTGCTTTTTTCCCAAAATTTCAGTAACATGACCACTTTGCTCATATGTGTTTTTCAGTGGCCCCAGCAGAAAGTGAGTACCAGTCTGCAACCACTAGCATGCGACAGTGGCCTGGGAGCCAGTCTTGCTGTACTCACAAACACATGGGCAAACTGTCCTCACCCTTCATGTAGTACAGAGTGTCACGCAGCATCTTGAACATGGTCAGGTAGAGAGGGTCACTGAAGGAAGTGTAGTAGAGATCAGCACTGGGGTTGGCCTGCAGGGAAGGCAGACACACATGACTATAGAACAGAAATGCCCTTCTGCCCACCCTTTGCCTTCACAGCAAGGCCCAGCGGAATGGTGATTCGTGACTTAGCATTCTAAATGAAGCAACTGTTTATCATGACTCATCACTTGGACACTCTACTGTCTTCATCCTCTTAAGCATCAGACCAAGGAAAACAGGAGGCTCATGCAGTCCAGAGATGCCTGCGGGGGAGCAGCCATCTGCACCCTAGTAGGAAGAACCTCCTTGCTGTGGCTGAAGCTCACCATCTTTGGCCATCATTGGCCCAGACAGGGACATGGGAAGTGGTGAAGGAGGAAGACTGACAAAGGCCACCAGAGTAAGGGATCCACACTGTCCATCATCCCAAGGATACAAATTACAGCCAGGACACCTTCAGATACAACTTATGTTTTGTAATTAAAACTCATTTTAAATTATTCTTTAGGAATCTATTTGAAATGTAGCACTATTCTTCTTCTGAAAAAAAAAAAAAAATTCACACAAGGTCTAATGAGTTAAGAAAGATAATAGTCCAGCCCGGGTGTGGTGGCTCACGCCTGTAATCCCAGCATTTGGGGAGGCCAAGGAGGGTGGATCACCTGAGGTCGGGAGTTTGAGACCAGCCTGACCAACATGGAGAAACCCTGTCTCTACTAAAAATACAAAATTAGCTGGGCGTGGTGGTACATGACTGTAATCCCAGCTACTTGGGAGGCTGAGGCAGGAGAATTGCTTGAACCTGAAAGGCAGAGGTTGTGGTGAGCAGAGATCGCGCCATTGCACTCCAGCCTGGGCAACAAGAACAAAACTCTGTCTCAAAAAAAAAAAAAGGCTGGGTGCAGTGGCTCTCGCCTGTAATCCCAGCACTTTGGGAGGCCAAGGCGGGTGGATCACGAGATCAGGAGTTCAGGAGTTCAAGACCAGCCTGTCCAACATGGTGACACCCTGTCTCTTCTAAAAATACAAAAAATTAGCCGGGCGTGGTGGCGTGCACCTGTAATCCCAGCTACTAAGGAGGCTGAGGCAGAATTGCTTTGACCTGGGAGGCGGAGCTTGCAGTGAGCCAAGATCACGCCACTGCACTCCAGCCTGGGTGACAGAGTGAGACTCCGTCTCAAAAAAAAAAAAAAAAAGATAACAGTCCTTAACTTCTATATACTCCTAGTTGAGTAGGATGGAAAATTATGGTTTATCATAACTCGTTTTTTTCATTTTTTTTTTTAGAGATAGGGTCTCACTCTGTACCCCAGGCTGGAATGCAGTGGTATGATCACAGCTCACTGCAGCCTTGAACTCCTGGGCTCAAGTGATCCTCCTGCCTCAGCCTCCTGAGTAGCAGGGACTACAGGCATGTACCACCATGCCCAGCTAATATTATAATTCTTGACAAGTATAAAAGTGGTCTGCAAATATAGCAAATCTTTAAGGCGCCAGAAGTTGGCCAGAGTGGGATAGGGCATGCAGTGTGAGGTTGACAGAGGGTGAGTGAGCAGGTGGAGAAAAAAAGAATCATGTGGAGAGTGTGAGAGTCATGCCAATTCCCAGGAGGACACTGACAGGAAGAGCTGTGGTTGACAGCACTGCAATGATGGCTTTACAGACAACGTCTGGTGGTCCTCACAGGGCAGAAATGGAGAAATGAGACTGGGAGAGGTTAAAGCAGTTCAGGGCTTTGACTCTGGGAGTCCAGACAACACGAGTGTTAAACTTTGGAGCCTTGGAGACCAACCATCTTACAAGCCCACAGCCCAGCTCCATCACTCACGAGCTATGTAAATAAAGTTCCTGAGCTAAGCCTCAGTTTCCCCATATGTAAACTGGGGATTGTTGTGAGATTCAAGGAGTGAGTGAGTAAAGTTCTGGCACATAATAAGCATGTAATAATTGGTAGTGGTTATTACACTGATTATGGATACTGAGTAATATATTGCAGACTCTAGGTCAAGATTACAAGAAACTTTTTTTTTTTTAGCTATGAAACTGTTTCTTCAAATGGATGTTTATGCTAAAGAACAAATTACAAAACAAAAAATACCAGAAACTGCCCTGGTTCAATGAGAAGGAGGGTCCCAGAGGTGGAGTGCAGGCCCACTAAGTCTCCACTTGTCTAACTGCCCAGCCCAGCTCTCGCCCTGGTCCTCCTGGTCTGCCCTCAGTCACAAATGATCAAACACTTATGATGGAAAACCAAAGGTCTCTGAGACCACAAGCTCAGTCTATAGTGAGTGAGTGAGAGAGTTAAAGCTCAGGCCAATGGGCAGAACGACAACCTGAAAAAGGGTTGGAGACAAGGTAGGAACTGCCCAGATGCAACTTGGGGAGTTATAAGAACTCTGTTACTTAACCAAGAACCAACCCAGACCAAACCACGGCCAGCACATACATCTCACATCTGCAATAGCTCGTTGGCAGGGGTACGAAGCAGGAAGAGACATGGTCTACAGCACATGAAGGGCCCTGGTAGTTCCTTCCCTGCTTCATACCTGAGCCCCAGGTACAGTGGTATCAGGCACTGTGTGTCTTAAAATCAGGTGAGAGAAGGAACACCAGGCTTCAATAAGGAATCTGGGTCAGGGACATACCCATGGTAATAATTAGCCTGGCAAATGACAACCTGTCTGCATCCTAACCCTCAAGAGGGGCCTGACCCAAATGTTCCCCGAGATTTTTGAGACCTCCCAGCACCAATGTAATGATTTCATAAATAATGCTGTAGGCCTTGGTTCCAAATACATTAAAGACAAGAGTTCCAGCCGGGCATGGTGGCTCACGCCTGTAATCCCAGCACTTTGGGAGGCAGAGGCAGGCAGATCACGAGGTCAGGAGATTGAGACCATCCTGGCTAACACGGTAAAACCCAGTCTCTACTAAAAAATACAAAAAAAGTTAGCTGGGTGTGGTGGAGGGTGCCTGTAGTCCCAGCTACTTAGGAAGCGGAGGTAGGAGAATGGCGTGAACCTGGGAGGCAGAGCTTGCAGTGAGCCGAGATTGCGCCACTGCACTCCAGCCTGGGCGACAGAGCGAGACTCCATCTCAAAAAAAAAAAAAAAGTTCCCTAGTTACGCACCCCTTACACTTAAAAACCAGGACTTGCATACGCCTAGAAAAGTGTAGCTCTGAGCCCAGAGGAGCAGCTTTGGAAGCACCAAAGGAGTGAGGAAGATAAAAGAGTAGGAGAGACCCAGGCCAGACTCCCAGCTCCCACAGTAACTATGTGATGTGGGCACGTTAGTGAGTTCTCACTAAAACTCTATCTTCTGTCTGTAATGCCACCAGTCAGAGGCACCCTGAGGTGACGTATTTAAAAGAGCATGCAACGGTACCTACCACAGACCAAGCCCTCCGCGGCAGGTGGATTGTTACCACATGAACAAGGAAAGTGAAAACACTGCAAAACCCCTTCCACTCCAGCCCCCGCTCAAACTCTTCCTGCTTTCTCTACACACGTTTAAGTCAGGCTGATCTCATGGTAATGCCCTCAGAAGCGACATACCTCCATCACACTGGCTACAATGGCATCCAAAGATTTGAGAACAGCCTCCTCAACGATCTTCTTCACCTACCAAGGAAACAGAACCTCATGAAGCAACTGACATACACAGAGACAGGAATGCTAGCTCCTTCTACCGAAAACCCATGACAAACTCACATGGTGAAAAATGTGATGCAGATAAAGGCCAATAAATACAAATTATGGCTATGTATCAAACTATATGCACAAAATGCCTTTAATTCTGAAGTCACTTGGGACTGCTTTTCTACCTTAGATAGCAATGACATAAAAACAAAGGAAAAAGGCCAAACTCCCTCAGATTTGTTGACCTGAGATTTCTGTTTCCAGGATGTGCAGACCTCAGGCCTTGCTGCCATTTCACCCACTCATGGTTAACAGGCACAGTTGTGTGACATCCTCTTGCAATCCCCTCCCAGACATCAAGGACACCCTCACAGCCAGTCCTTGGAGCTCATGGCACCTCCTTCCTCTCCGGGCCAGGTGCACTGGCTCTTCTACAACTGCTTAGGTACTCAAACTAGAGCTCATATTTTAAATTTTCAATAGAAGCAATTATTTTCACCAGTTATCTGTACAGTATTTAGTGTAGGAATGAATTGTTCTGTCAACTGCAGAACCACAAAAAAAAAAAAAAAACTGCCCACATCCACAATTGTAGTATTTGATGAAAGTCATTTCCAAAATGTATAGATAATGATAAACATCCTAGGAAAAGAAATGAAAAACCGCCTAAAAGAAAACCTAGGCCAGCCGTGGTGGCTCACGCCTGTAATCCCAGCACTTTAGGAGGCCGAGGCAGGCGGATAATGAGGTCAGGAGATCGAGACCATCCTGGCTAACAAGGTGAAACCCTGTTTCTACTAAAAATACAAAAACTTAGCCGGGCGTGGTGGTGGTCACCTGGAGTCCCAGCTACTCAGGAGGCTGAGGGAGGAGAATGGCGTGAACCTGGGAGGCGGAGCTTGCAGTGAGCCGAGATCGTGCCACTGCACTCCAGCTTGGGCGACAGGGCGAGACTCCATCTCAAAAAAAAAAAAAAAAAAAAGAAAACCTAAACTTGAAGAAAGTTAAAAGTTAAAATATACTGCAAAAAATAATACCCCAAGAAAGGATGTGAAACAGTCAGTCTTCAGTTAGAATTTCTGACATGGTACTGGGAACAGCCATCTGTGAAGGTCATGGCTCTACCAGGCCACCATTCTATCTGGGGCACTGACACTGAGAAGCAGTTTAGGTAGTTTTCCTTCTTGACAGCAACTTCAAAAACATCCTAGCCTATTTAGTAATTCATTATGGTTCCATCCTCATTAATTATTACCTATGTTGTAATGTCTTCTTACATCTTCAGCCTGAAGCCATTCTCTGAGGGATTTCTATTCACACTCCACACAGCAGGGAGGTGGCCACTCCTCAGCACATGCTCCATGCTATCCAAATTGTTCTCATTTCCAAGACAGCAAGCCCAATCTTGAGAGTCTGGCCTTGATGACATCATCACCCGTACCTATTCAAATCTGTCTTGAACCATCCTAGCTTGATTGTAACAACTTCAGGGCCCCTGGATCTTTATTTTGTAATTTTTTTTGAGATGGAGTCTCACTCTGTTGCCCAGGCTGGAGTGCAGTGCTGCGATGTTGACTACTGCAACCTCCACCTCCAAGGTTCAAGCGATCCTCCTAACTCTGCCTCCTGAGTAGCTGGGATTACAGGGATCCACTACCATGTACAGCTAAAGTTTTGTGTTTTTTAGTAGAGATGGGATTTCACCATGTTGGCCAGGCTAGTCTCGAACTCCTGACCTCAAGTGATCCGCCCACTTTGGCCTCCCAAAGTTGGGATTACTGGCATGAGCCACGGCGTCCAACCAGGGTCCCTGAATCTGACCAAAGCTCTGGCCATTTAAGGAATCGAACAATGGCCCTGGTGTTTTCTCTGGTATCACCCTCAATGTCATCCAAAGGTACCCAAATATGAAAAAGTCAGGTTTTGTTATTAACCCAAATAGAGCCACCCCTTAGAGGAAGTCAAGCCCAGGAAAAGCACTGGACTTGGAGTCAGAATCCCTGGACTGGATGCAGCCCAGCTGCTGGCCTACATATCCATGACGTGTTTGACACCGATTTCCTGACCTCCAAATGGGGATGCATGGGTGCCTCCCCAACATGGTTGCTCAAGAATGAAATGAGAAACCAGTATACAATGATTCCATGAATGTTACTCTACTTCCTTCATTAATCTGCAAGTTTATGACTATTAAATTGTACTTTGAAATACTGGTACTCTGAGTTTTTCTTTTAAAAATACAAGTTTCACCACTAGCAATTTTACTGACATATCCATGGTCTGTTCATCCATCAGTTCTTTGCTTACCAGGTTTAAGAGTTCCCGAAGCATTTCCAATGGAATGTTAAACTCCTTATATGTGACACCGTTGAAAAGGGGAGAGACTGAGAAGCTGGAGCTGATGGTTGAAAAGTAGTACTCAGGCTCTAGGGCAGTCCCATCGGGCAAGCAGGAGGCTGGTGGGAGATAAAGCTGGAAACTCAGCCGTGGTGACAGGCAACTAGGGTACTTCCTCAAGCTGACTCCCCCAATAACCAACAAAGGTGCAGATTTTGCCTTTATTTATATCCCAATTCTCTGCATGTTTTTAAATTAACAACTACAGGGTAGATTGCAAATCCTTGGGGACTGATGCCCCTCACCTGTGTCTTTCAGGTCAAAGACTCAGATATGATGGTCCTAATATTTCCATCTTAGACAATATAACTTAGTATGTGGGAAGTGAAAAAAGAATTGTATCTTTTTTATTTTTATTTTTATTTTTTTGAGACAGAGTCTCGCTCTGTTGCCCAGGCTGGAGTGCAGCAGTGTGATCTCAGCTCACTGCAACCTCTGCCTCCCAGGTTCAAGCAATTCTCCTGCCTCAGCCTTCCGAGTAGCTGGAATAACAGATGCCCGTCGCCACACCTAGGTAATTTTCGTATTTTTAGTAGAGATGGCGTTTCGCCATGTTGGCCAGGCTAGTCTCGAACTCCTGACCTCAAGTGATCCACCTGTCTCGGCCTCCCAAAGTGCTGGGATTACAGGCGTGAGCCACCATGCCCAGCAGAAATACACCTTTTTAAAGGTGAAGAGATATGAAAGCTTGGGGTCCACAGGGCCTCAGAGATATTTTCTCACCAAAATTAGAAAAAAAAATGCACACTACTAGAAGTTTCAAAGTCAGAGCAACTAAGTGAAATACACCTGTCACTAAAAGACAAATACTGTACGATCCCACTTATTAGAGGAACTTAAATCATACATAGAGGTAGAATGGTAGCTATCAGTGACTGGGGGAAGGGGAAATGGGGAATAATTGATGTATAGTTTCAGTTTCACGAGATGAAAAGAGTTTTTGAGATGAATTGTAGTGATAGTTGCACAATATTATAAATGTATTCAATACTACTAAACTATACACTTTAAAATAATTAAGGCCAAGCATGGTGGCTCATGCCTATAAACCCAGAGTTTTCGAAGGCTGAGGTGGGAGGATTGCTTGAGTCCAGGAATTCAAGACCAGCCTGGGCAATATAGGGAGATCCTGTCTCTACAAAAAATAAAAATTAGCCGGATACAGCACCATGGGCCTATAGTCCCAGCTACTCAGGAAGCTGGAGCAGGAGGGTTGCTTGAGCCTGGGAGGTCGAGGCTACAGTGGAGCTATGAATTTGTCACTGCACTCCAGTCTGGGTAACAGAGTAAAATCCTGTATTAAAAAAAAAAAATGACATAGCAAATTTTATGTTATGTGTATTTTACCACAATAAAAAAAAAAGAAGGAAAAAAATCAACAAAAATAAAGTCATTCAGTCATTTGACATTTAATAAATATAAACCCAGACCCAATGCAGTGGCTCACACATGTAATCCCAGCACTTTGGGAGGCTGAGGTGGGAAGATCGCCTCATCCCAGGAGTTTGAGACCAGCCTGGGCAACACGACGAGACCCTGTCTCTACATAAATAAAATTATTTTAAATTAAAATAGAAATATAGTAAATAGGAACCCAAAAGCATATAATTGTTTGAAAATCCATTATTTAGAAACTATAATAGAAAACTATGAGGCCAGGTGTGGTGGCTCACGCCTGTAATCCCAGTACTTTGGGAGGCCGAGGCGGGTGGATCACAAGGTCAAGAGATTGAGACCATCCTGGCAAACATGGTGAAACGCTGTCCCTACTAAAAATACAAAAATTAGCTGGGCGTGGTGGCACGTGCCTGTAATCCCAGCTACTTGGGAGGCTGAGGCAGGAAAACTGCTTAAGCCCGGGAGGCTGAGGTTGCAGTGAGCCAAGATTGCACCACTGCACTCCATTCTGGTGACAGTAGGAGACTGCGTCTCAAAAAAAAAAAAAAAAAAAAACAAATCAAAACAAACAAACAAAAAACTATGATTGAAAAACAGATGAATTTGTAATATTTTCATAAGACAGTATCAATTCATAAAGAAGTGAATACTAAATTTTATGACTTTTTCAAGCACTAGAGAACAGACTCAAAGAGTTTAGTTTAGCTCCAGTTGTGTCAAAGCTGGTATCTCACAGCTGGCAGCACACTGCCAATCTGTCTAAAGAGGACGCAAACCAGCAACTTACAGCAGAAAGGATGGGCAACAATACCACTGGGAGCTGAGACGCCAAGAGGCCAACATAAGAAATGGCCACTGAAAGAGGGAACAAGTAAGGAAAGAAGGGAGGGAGAAACAGCCGGATTAAAAAGGGTAGATGAGGGAGAAGGGAAGGTTGTGATTATCGGGCACTTCTCAGAAAGACACCATGAAATATGGGCTAAGTCCTGTGTGGCTGAACCCCACAGAGGACACAGATGATGGCAAACGACAGGGGCTGCAGGAACTAGGGACCTAACATTTGGGATTTACGCAGGGGGTGTCATTGAAACTTCTTTTTTTTTTTTCCTGTGAGACAAGAGTCTCACTCTGTTGCCCAGGCTGCAGTGCAGTGTCACGATGTCTGCTCACCGCAACCTGCGTCTCCCAGGTTCAAGTGATTCTCATGTCTCAGTCTCCTGAGTAGCTGGGATTATAGGTGTGAGCCACTGCACCCGGCTAATTTTTGTATTTTTAGTAGAGATCGGGTTTTGCCATGTTGGCCAGGCTGGTCTCGAACTCCTAGTCTCAAGTGATCCACCTGTCCCAAAGTGCTGGGATTACAGGTGTCAGCCACTGTGCCCAACCTGAAAGTTTTTAAGCAGGAAAAGAAGTGATCAAATTTGCGCTATTAAAAATAATTCTTATTTATTTTTTATTTTATTTAGTTTTTAAGGGTCTCACTATGTTGCCCAGGCTAGTCTCAAACTCCTAGGCTCAAGCAATCCTCCTACATGGGCCTCCCAAGGTGCTGTGATTACAGGCGTGAGCCACATCTCCTGGCCTAAAAACAATTCTTAAAAACTAAATTCTTACAGCAGTTTGGAAGAGGGCCTGGGAAGGGAGATAGAAGGACCGGCTGTAAGAAAAGTCTTAGTATGTGGTGTTGTATACCTGAAGTCCCAGCTACTTGAAAGGGCAAGGCCAGAGGATCATTATGACTGCACCCCTGCACTCCAGCCTGGGTGACAGAGCAGGACCCCAACTCAAAAAAAAGAAAAAGTCCAAGTAAAACAGGTAGTTTGAGAGGAAACTCAGAAGGCACAGGGTCTGCTGCTGTCTGTCCTACAGTGAGGCATTTCAGAGAGCAGGGCTCGCTTGTCTCGTCACCACTACAGGCAAAGTGGGCGGCAGCCAAGTCTGATGGAGTGATACGTGGGGATCTCGCAGTCAGCCACATTAGTGTGCTCCCATCTGCCACTTACTGGATGTGCTCAAAGTGGGGCAGCGGTCATGGAGAGGAGCCCTCACCACAGAGGGTGGACAATGAGCTGTTTACCAGGAAAAGGGAAGCCTCCAAGGGCACATCATGGCCATCCTAAAATGCCCCAAAGGCAGGCAGGTGGCAGTGAGATTTTCAGAGCCTGGAGGAATACATTCTATACTTAAACAAGGAGTTGTCTCTAAGAGGTGCGATTCTGAGTGGCTGAAATTAGCTCTTATATTCTAACACATATATAGAATGTAACCTGTTACATTCTCACAGATCTAAGAGATGGAAAGCTTCCTACATTTATGTAAGCCCAGATATTCCCTTTTTCCTTCAAAATTCCCCTCACATCTCTCGAAACTGTCTTGAGACATGCTCTTTTAACAAATAGCATTATTCAAAAAAGGAGAGACTATACTGAAGCATGGAATTCTGCCTTCCCCATTTGCTGTCCCTTAATCTGGGTCTTACTTCCATCAAGTAAGGTAGAAATAATTTTAACATGTGTCTGACATGGCACAGGGTAGTCACATGAATCCAATTCAGTAAATTATGTAAAAGTACTTTGTGAACAGCAGAGCTCTATAAAAAGTAGTAATGGGCTGGGTATGGTGGTTCACGGCTGTAATCCTAGCACTTTGAGAGACCAAGGCAGGCGTTCCCTTGAGCCTAGGAGTTCCGGACCAGCCTGGGCAACATGGCAAAACCCCATCTCTACAAAAAATACACAAGTTAGTGGGCGTTGTGGAGGGTGCCTATAGTCCTAGCTACTTGGGAGGCTGAGGTGGGAGGATCACTTGAGCCCAGAAGGTTGAAGCTGCGGTGAGCCATGATCATGCCGCTGCACTCCAGCCTGGGTGGCAGAGTGAGACTCTCTCTCCAAAAAAAAAAAAAAAAAAAAAAAAAAAAAAAAAAAAAAGTAGTAACAGTAGTATTACTACATTCTTTAATATTATCTACATACTTAATGTCATTAAAAAAAAATGTCCAGCCAGGTGTGGTGGCTCATGCATGTAATCCTAGCACTCTGGAAGGAAGAAATGGGTGGATCACTTGAGGTCAGGAGTTCAAGACAAGCCTGGCCACCATGGTGAAACCCTGTCTCTACTAAAAATACAAAAATTAGCTGAGCATGCTGGTGTGTGCCTGTAATCCCAGCTACTTGGGAGGCTGAGGCAAGAGAATTGCTTGAACCCAGGAGGCAGGGCCTGCAGTGAGCCGAGACTACACCACTGCGCTCCAACCTGGGCAACAGAGCCAGACTCTATCTCAGAAAAAGAAAAGAAATATCCACCATTAGTACTTCCACCTGAAAAGAACTTTTACAAGTTAAAGTGCAAAAATTCTGATGGCAGGTATATAGGGGTCTGTAAGTTATTTTCTGTACTTTTCTCTCTAAATAAAATATTTGAAAATTAAATGTACTTTTCTCTATATATAAAATATTTGAAAATTAAATTTTAAGAAACTTAAATGAAAACAGAAAATAAATGCTTCCTAAAAGCTTGGCACTCTAGGTCCATCCATGACAACAGAGTTAGTATCAGCATCCTTAATATCACGAGAAGTCACTGTGAGCCTGTTCTCCAAGTATTACGTCAAAATATTCTTCGGAAAGGTGAAGCCCACCTTCAAAGTAGTGAAAGGCAGATCCTCCAGGGGAACTGGGAGGGGGCATGCCGCGTTCAGGGCTGACCTGAAACACACAACCACAGTTACATATCAGAAAAGACCAGTGAGACCTCCATCAGATTTGTCTTAGACAAGGTCCTCTCTGCCAGCCCAATGTTTGTACTTCAAGTTCTGGTTGAAGCCTCATTTCCTTCCTAAAGCCCATCACAGCTACAGCATTCTCTACTACATGCTATATCACTAAATTCTTTGTGTTTAGCCGTATATTTGACACTTGATTACTGAGCTGAATTGTCCTCAGTGTTTTGTGTTTTTGTCTTTTCTCCATGAGTCAATTATATACTTCTTAAGGGCACCAACTGTCTTCCAGGCAAAATAGCATTTGGCACCCAACTGCTATGAAACATATACTTTATGACTATGAAATCACTTATAAATCTTATGTTGGGGACTAGCCTCAACACCACCTGTAGGGTATTTGATGTTTGGTGGCGACAAAGGAATGAGAAGAAACAGGTTAAGAGTTTATAAAGGCGGGAGCCAGGGGACCAGAGCAAATCAGAGGCCGCAAAGGCCTAGAGTTTTGGTTTTTACACTATTTATTGAGTATAATCACTTAGATTTAAGAAGCAGATGTTTAGGGCGAAACGGTGAAAGGGAGGCAGTGTGTCATATGTGTAATCTATAGTAGCGGCAGTTTAAATGAATTTTTTTTGTGTTTAAACAGTATATTTTCAACTTATTGGACAGCAGTTAGTGGGAGCAGGCTTAACTAGGAGTCTGTATGTTTGGCCATATTTTCATGTTTTAAAGGAGTGGTTTTTTTTTTTTTAACACAGTGTTTATGGATAAGAGAGTAAGTCTTGCTCAGAGTATGGGAACATAATGGCGATAAGGCTTTTTTTTTAGAGGCCTTTTGTGGCTTTTTACACCTCATTGTTTTATATTTTTATGGCCAGTTTATATGTGCACTCTATAAGCCCTTCCCCCCAACATCTTAAGAGGGACAAGACAAGTCTTTGTATTAAAGAGAATTCTAGTGAAACATTTCACGTTACTTAAGTTTACTCCAACTACAAAGAAGAGGGATTTTCTTCGCAGGGGAGCTTAACAGGGTCTTTCTCCTCTGCTCTTTCCCCAGTAGCCCAGGCCCACCTGAGAGATGCTGGACACACTGCTGGTTTTCCTCTTCAGGGTACCCTCCTGACAGACAGTCAGCAGATTGCTGGGGAGGATGGAGCGGAAGTCATTAAAGGAACGCCTTCGAACACCTTCAAGCTCTTCCAGGACACGGAGGGAATGAGGAGGGATTTTGGGAAAGAGCTTTGAGAGGAGAGACTCTTCCATGTTGCTGTAACGCCCAAATGCTCGCGAGATTCCTATCAGGCATGGGATAGCATACTTGCAAAGGTATTCTAGAAGATCAAGTGAAAACGTTACAATATAAGAAAGTATCCTGATAGAGTCATATAGTAAGTACTAACTTGTAACATTGACTAAGATTTCACAACCCACCCACTAATAACTGTGAAGGTTCACAATAAGCCACAATAATGGGGTCCACCCCAAGGGCTGACAAGTGATATCTTCAACCTGTCATTAACAACTTCAGACTATGACTTCAATACACCCAGCTGCCCTGCTTGGAAGGTCTTCATCTATTCATGGCACACCCAAATCAATAAAATAGCTAGGCCATATTATCAAGTACCTTATACATTTATTCCTCTTAGGAGCATATTGGTAGCCTCACAACACAGAAAAAATGACCTTTGGAAGTCAACTAATCTACCCACAGATGTTACAGGTGAAGAAACTGGGGCCCAGAAGGGTGAAGTTACTTGTCCAAGGTGACCCAGCGTCTATGTAGCAGAGCAATGCACATGACCCCATGTGGCCTCTGAGGATACTAACACACAACAAATCAAACTAAAATAGGAAGGTTTTCTCCCATCATATATATTAGGTACCCAACAACAGAAAAGACTGGAGAAAAGCAAGGGAAAGAGTAACCACAAAACCATTTTAAGAAAAACCTTAAGGATACTCGTACCTTTGTCTTGAATCTCCAAGGCCTGGCACATCCCCAAGAGGACATGCAAAACCTGCAAAAGCACCTCTAAAATCTGTAACAGTCAAGGAAACAAGAAAAAAAAAACATAAACAAAATTAGGTAAATATCACGAAACTAAGTCAGAATTAGAAGGCACTTCAGACATTATCTTAACCAACCCCATATATGATACATCCCTCCACAACGACTGTGCCAAGTGGCCAACCAGCTGACTTTCCAGGGACAAAACCCTCACTCTCTGGGCTGGTTCCGAGTTCCTCCCAATACTGGGCCAATGTTGTCCTCCTGGGGCTTGTACCTACCAGCCCTTGGGGCTGCTTTTTCCTCTATTAACATATTCTGTAAACAGGTGATGGGTCCCCAAATCTTCTCTTTTCATGGGTAAACGCCCTAGCGCTTTTCAACCGTATTCTTCATGATCATAAATCCTTTGTAATGCTAATTGCCAGCTTCTGATTTTACGGTAGTCCAGTTTTCTGTCTGGAAGTGTAGTGCTCAGAATAAAATACATTAACATCTGGGATGCTGGAACTCACCCAGCATACTCACCAAACTCATCACAGATTCTACACTTCTATGTATGTGACATTAGCTTTTCTGCAGCCACTTCACACTGCTTATGTGAAGCTCATCTCAATGAGCTTATACATAATTTTTAAATTTTTTTTATTTGTTTGAGACGAAGTTTCGCTCTTGTTGCCCAGGCTGGAGTGCAGTGGCATGATCTTGGCTTACTGCAACCTCCACCTCCCAGGTTCAAGCGATTCTCCTGACTCAGTCTCCTGAGTAGCTAAGATTACAGGTGCATGCCACCATGCCTGGCTAATTTTTTGTATTTTTAGTACAGACAGGGTTTCACCATGTTAGCCGGGCTGGTCTCGAACTCCTGACCTCAGGTGATCCACCTGCCTTGGCCTCGCAAAGTGCTGAGATTATAGGCGTGAGCCACTGCGCCCAGTCCATAATTATTTAAGTTAAGAAATTTTTTTTTGTTCCTGGAAGGGTGGCTTATGCCTATAATCCCAGCACTTTTGTTTGTTTGTTTGTTTTGAGGCGCGGTTTCACTCTTGTTGCCCAGGCTGCAGTGCAATGGCATGTCTCGGCTCACCACAACCTCCGCCTCCTGGGTTCAAGCGATTCTCCTGCCTCAGCCTCCTTAGCAGCTGGGATTGCAGGCATGCACCACCACGCCTGGCTAATTTTTTATTTTTAGTAGAGACGGGGTTTCTCCATGTTGGTTAGTCTGGTCTCAAACTCCCAACCTCAGGTGATCGATCCACCCACCTCGGCCTCCCAAGGTACTGGGATTATAGGCATGAGCCACTGTGCCCAGCCAATCCCAGCACTTTGGGAGGCTGAAGCGGGTGGATCAGTTGAGCTCAGGAGTTCAGACCTGCCTGGGCAAAGTAGCAAAACCCTGTCTCTACAAAACATACAAAAATTAGCCAGGTGTGGTGGTGCGTGCCTGTGGTCAGGAGGCTGACGTGTGAGGGTCACTTGAGCCCAGGAGGCCGAGGATATAGTGAGCCAAGAACAGTGCAGGGGTTCAATGATAGCTCACTGTAGCCTCAAACTCCTGGACTCAAGCAATCCTCCTGCCTCAGCCTCCTAAGTAGCTGGGATTACAGGCATGTGTCACTATGCCCAGCTAATTTTTATTTTTATTTTTGTAGGGATAGGTTTTGCTATGCTGCCCAAGCTAGTCTCAAATTCCCGGGCTCAAGTGATCCTCCTGCCTCAGCCTCCCAGAATGTTGGGATTACAGGCGTGAGCCACCATCCATGACAATAAGCTTATAGATGAGGAAGATACCTAAGTCTTCTTTCGCACCTGCTTCTCCTGAACTATGTAATCTCTACTAACGTAGTTGGTATTTTTTATCTTTCATCTACCCCTACAAAAACTCATGGTATTAGCTTTAGCTCACTGTACAAATCTGTGATTCCCAGCTTTGTGCCTTCTCCAAATGAAATCAACTTGCTTTCCAGATCTTCATTCACAGCACTAGCTTGTTTTGCTCCAATGACAGGAGGGTCCTGCTAGGCCGATACCTCACTGATCACCCTTTGGGACAGTCCTTCAGGCAGTTCTGCAAACCCTCCAAACCATTTGGCCCTCAGCCCATATAACTGGTCCAGGATGTCAGGAAAGGTGCTTGTCCAAAGCATTTATGAAGATCCACTAGAATGCAGCAACTTCATTTCTCTCAACCATTCTTCTTAGAAAACCCAGGCAAAGAAAAAATGAAGTTGGTGTGACATGACTTGTTCATAACCAAGTCAAATCTCTTACATTTTCCTAATATTAAGTAATGCTGAATAATCTACAAAAGCTTGAAAAGCAATAGTTTTTCCATTTTATTTATTTATTTTGAGACCGAGTCTCACTCTGTTATCCAGGCTGGAGTGCAATGGCATGATCTCAGCTCACTGCAACCTCTGCCTCCCAGGTTCAAGTGATTCTCATGCCTCAGCCTCCCGAGTAGCTAGGATTACAGGCTCCTGCCACCACGCCCGGCTAATTTTTATATTTTTAGTAGAGATGGGGTTTCTTCATGTTGGCCAGGCTGGTCTCAAACTCCTGACCTCAGGTGATCCACCCGCCTCAGCATCCCAAAGTGCTAGGATTACAAGCCTGAGCCACCGCACCCAGCCACTTTTTCCATTTTATATGTTAAAGTCATGTTATCACCTTTGGTGTTGACCTCTTTATTCTGATAAATTTTATTCATAGAAAAAAGCCCTTAATGTCCAACTTTTTAATAAAAACACATTATTCTAACATATTTAAGTATTTCTTTAGCCAACCTACAAATAAATGAAGAATCTAAATTAGTCAAAATACATCACTAACTGGGAACATTTAGAATGCAGACAAGCAACTAGGCACTGTTTGGAAGAACCTAGGAACAGCAGCATACAAAAACTAACTTTCTAAGCGATAAATTTAAGAAAAAGTTGTATGATTACATTCTTTGTTTAAAGAACAGGAAAGTATGAAATACATGTTTGTAACATTTCTATCAAAATTAACAAAATCTAAAGAAAGTCTGTGCCCTTAAAGATAAAAGCTTCAGCTACCTAGAAGATTCTCTTCTAGCTGGGCACAGTGGCTCACACCTATAATCCCAGCACTCTGGGAGGTCGAGGCAGAAGGATCACTTGAGGCCCGGAGTTCAAGACCAGCCTGGGCAACATGGCGAAACCTTGTCTCTACAAAAAATACAAAACAAATTAGCTGGCATGATGGTGCACGCCTATAGTCTCAGCTACTTGGGAGTCTTAGGAGGGAGGCTGGCTTGAGGTGGACGGCAGAGGTTGCAGTGAGCCAAGATTGCACCACTGCACTCCAGCCTGGATGACAGAGCAAGACTGCCTCAAAAAAAGAAAAGAAAATGATCTTCTATGAATGACTTCAATCCCCAACAAAGAGCAAGAAAAATGAGCTGCCTCTGCCTTTTTCTGCCGCCTACCTTAAAGGACTTTCTGAAAAGCTGAAAGGGATAGTGCTGCTCATGTCTCTGCAGCCCCTGCCCTTCATTAGAAAAAAGAAAAAAAAAAAAAGAAAAGTTTAATAAGATAAGACTCGAGATCCTAAAGAGTAGTGAAAGACCTAAGCATGTCTTAGGTCTGCTGTCAACAGGATGAAATAGATAAATATCAACAAACAATTCAATCACATTTCACGTTTTTAAAATCTTTTCATCACTTTGGGACTCTATTCAATCTAATAGAAATGCATACCAAATCAACCAACACATGCTTACCTCATCCCTAAGTGAAGGATCCCTATAGGCCACATCAGACAGCAGAGTTACCAAGCAGAAGCTGAAGCTCTCTGCAACCGGGAGGGCACCTGGAAGATGTAAAAACATAAATCAGATAACCAGGAACCAGATACTGGGTCACACCTCTGGCCATCCAATTCAATATGTTCCCTCTCACCATGACCTGCCAAGGGACCAGTTTACAGCAGCTGCCCTCCTTGAGACGAGTCTCAAAAGAACAGCTATGGGCCCAATGAGTTTGCTGAGAAACACCCTTACCTTTCCTTTAAGTAAATGTTTTGGTTCAATAAACTTAAATGTTTCCTGAGCCAATAGCTAGTGTGAGATAACAAAGCCTCTCAACATGACAGATTCAATTTTTTATTCCCTAAGTAAATGTGATAAATCACACACACACACACACACACACACACACACACACACACACACACACAAAACACTCGGCTGGGCGAAGTGGCTCAAGTCTGTAATCCCAGCACTTTTGGGGGGCCAAGGCAGACGGATCACCTGAGGTCGAGTTCAAGACCAGCCTGGCCAACATGGTGAAACCCCGTCTCTACTAAAAATACAAAAATTAGCTGGGTGTGGTGGCGCACACCTGTAATCCCAGCCACTTGGGAGGCTGAGACAGGAGAATAGCTCGAAGCCAGGAAGTGGAGGTTCCAGTGAGCCGAGATCGCACCACTGTACTCCAGCCTGGGTGACAGAATGAGACGCCATCTCAAAAAAAAAAAAAAAAATCAATTTTGAATATTGAATGTTGAATCAAGGAAAAAAGAGTATCCACTATTTAATAGCTATATTCATAGTACATGACAGAAGACTTACATTTCTACTCCAGCACTTAAAATTTTAAAGTGCAGCTCTAGGCTGTTCTCAAACTTGAATGTGCCCATGCCCGGCCTAAAATTTGACCTTTTAGTAATGATGCTCTATTTAATTTGTAGTCCATCAAATTGCAGGACAGACTGGGTGCAGTGGCTCATGCCTATAGTCCTAGCACTTTAGGAGGCCAAAGCAGGCAGATCACTTGAGGCCAGGAGTTCAAGACCAGCCCAGCCAACATGGCAAAATACTATCTCTACCGAAAATACAAAAATTAGCCAGGCATGGTGATGCATGCCTGTAATCCCAGGTACTTGGGAGGCTGAGGCACGAGAATTGCTTGAACCCAGGAGGTGGAGGTTGCAGTGAACCGAGGTCAGGCCACTGCACTACAGCTTGGAGTGCAGACAGAGTGAGACTGTCTCAAAAAAACAAAAAACAAACAAAATCCTAACAAATTGCAGGTACATGCATAATTTGGGATCTGTCAGTTTTAGGCATGTTACCAGAAATGATGAAAACCCAAAGGTTAAGAGGAATACTGGCACAAACAGAATGTTTTTTAATTTTTATTTCAGGTTCAGGGGTACATACGCAGTTTTGTTATACAGGTAAACTGCATGTTACGGGGGTTTGGTGTACAGATTATTTCATCATCCCCGTAATAAGCATAGTACCCAGAAAGTAGTTTTCCCATCCTCACCTTCCTCCTATTCTCCACTCTTAAGTAGGCCCCAGTGTCTGCTGTTCCCTTCTGTGTTCATATGTACTCGAAGTTTAGCTCCCACTTACAAGTGAGAACATGCAGCGTTTGGTTTCCTGTTGCTGTGCTAATTCTCCCATAACGGTCTCCAGCTCCATCCATGTTGCTACAAAAGACGTGATCTTGGCCAGGTATGGTGGCCTCACACTTGTAATCCCAGCACTTTGGGAGGCTGAGGCAGGCAAATAACTTGAGGCCAGGAGTTCGAGACCAGCCTAGCCAACACGGCAAAACTCCATCTCCACTATAAATATAAAAATTAGCCGGGTGTAGTGGCACATGCCTATAATCCCAGCTACTTGGGAGGCTGAGACAGGAGAATCGCTCGAACCTGGGAGGCGAGGGTTGCAGTGAGCAGAGATCGCACCACTGCACTCCAAGCTGGGTGACAGAGCGAGATCGTCTCAAAAAAAGATAAAATAAAATAAAAAATAAAAGGACATAATCTTTTTCTTTTTTTATGGCTACACAGTACTCCACGGTACACATACGACATTTTCTTTATCCAGTCTTCCACTGATGGGCATTTAGGTTGATTCCTTATCTTTGTTATTGTGAATACTGCTGTAATAAACATACTTACGCATGCATCTTTACAGTAGAATGATTTACATTCCTTTGAGTATATACCCAATAATGGGATTGCTGGGTCAAATGGTAATCCTGTTTTAAATTCTTTCAGAAATTGCCAAACTGCATTCCACAATGGCTGAACTAATTTACATTCACACCAGCAGTGTGTAAGTGTTCCCTTTTCTCTACAACCTCACCAGCATCTGTTATTTCTTGACTTTTTAATAATAGCCATTCTGACTGGTGTGAGATGGTATCTCATTGCAATTTTGATTTGCATTTCTCTGATTATTAGCATCAGATGATGAGCATATTTTTCATATATTTTTGGCCACTTGTATGTCTTCTTTTGAGAAGTATCTATTCGTCCTTGGCTCACCTTTTAACGGGGTTTTTTTTTTGTTTGTAAATTTAAGTTCCTCATAGATTCTGGACTTTAGACCTTTGCATAGTTTGCAAATATTTTCTTTCATTCAGTAGGGTGGCTGTTTACTCTCTTGACAGTTTATTTTACTGTGCAGAAGCTCTTTAGTTTAATTAGGTCCCATTTGTCAATTTTTGTTTTTGCTGCAATTGCTTTTGGCATCTTTGTCATTAAATTTTTGCCATTAAATCTTTGCCAGGGTCTATGTCCAGAGTGGTATTTCCTAGTATCTTCCAGGGTGTTTATAGTTTAAGGTTTTACATCTAGATCTTTAATCCATCTTCAGTTGATTTTTGTATAAGGTGTAAGTAAGGGGTCTAGTTCCAATCTTCCGAATATAGCTAGCCAGTTATCCTAGCGCCATTTATTGAGCAGGGAGTCCTTTCCCCATTACTTGTTTTGTTGACTCTGTTGAAGATCAGATGGTTCCAGGTGTGCAGCATTATTTCTGGGCTCTCTATTCTATTTGTCTATGTGCTATTTTTTTTACCAGTACCATGCTGTTTTGGTTACTGTAGCCCTGTAGTAGAGGTGAAGTTTGAAGTTGGGTAATGTGATGTCTCCAGCTTTACTCTTTTTCAGACTACCTTAGTTATTCAGGCTCTTTTTTGGTTCCATAAAAATTTTAAAATAGTTTTTTTCTAATTCTGTGAAGAATGTCATTGGTAGTTTGATAGGAATAGCACTGAATCCATAAATTGCTCTGGGTAGTATGGCCATGTTAACAATATTGATTCTTCCTATCTATGAGCATGGGATGTTTTTCCATTTGTTTGTGTAAGCTCTGATTTCTTTCAGCAGTATTTTGTAATTCTTGCTATAGAGATTTTTCACCTCCCTGGTTAGCTGTATTCCAAGGTATTTTATCTTTTCTTTTTTTTGAGATGGAGTCTCACTCTGTCGCCCAGGCTGGAGGGCAGTGGCACAATCGCGGCTCACTGCAACCTCCGCCTCCCAGGTTCAAGCGATTCTCCTGCCTCAGCCTCCCAAGTAGCTGGGATTACAGGCGTGCACTACCATGCCCAGCTAATTTTTGTGTTTTTAGCAGAGATGGGTTTCACCATGTTGGCCAGGCTGGTGTCGAACTCCTGACCTCAAGTGATCCACCTGCCTCGGCCTCCCAAAGTGCTGGGATTACAGTCGTGAGCCACTATGCCCGACTGGTATTTTATTATTTTTGTGAATATTGTGAATGGGACTGTGTTCTTGATTTGGCTCTCAGCTTGGATGTTGTTGGTGTATAGGAATGCTTCTGATTTTTGTACATTGATTTTGTATCCTGAAACTTTGCTGAAGTTGTTTATCAGATCAAGGGGCTTTGGGCAGAGACTATAGGGTTTTCTAGGTATAAAATCATATAATCTATGAAAAGAGATCGTTTGACTTCCTCTCTTCCTATCTGGATGCCTTTTATTTCTTTCTCTTGCCTGATTGCTCTGGCCAGGACTTCCAGAACTATGCTGGATAGGAGAGGTGAGAGAGGGCATCTTTGTCTTGTTCTGGTTTTCAAGGGGAATGCTTCGAGCTTTTGACCATACAGTATAATGATGGCTATGGGTTTGTCATAGATGGCTATTATTACTTTGAAGTATGTTCCTTCAATGCCTAGAGTTTGTTGTGGATTTTTTTGGGGTTTTTTTTTGAGACAGAGTCTTGCTCTGTTGCCAGATTGGAGTGCGGTGGCGTGATCTCGGCTCACTGCAACCTCTGCCTCCCGGGTTCAAGCGATTCTCCTGCCTCAGCCTCCCGAGTAGCTGGGACTACAGATGCCTGCCACCATGCCTGGCTAATTTTTTGTATTTCAGGAGAGACAGGATTTCACCATGTTGGCCAGGATGGTCTCAATCTCCTGACCTCGTAATCCGCCCACCTCGGCCTCCCAAAGTGCTGGGATTACAGGCGTGAGCCACCACGCCTGGCCTGTTGAGGATTTTTAACATGAAGGGATATTGAATTTTATGAAAAGCCTCTTCTGTATCTATTAAGATAATCACATGGTTTTTGTTTTTAGTTCTGTTTCTGCCATGAATCACATTAATTGATTTGCATACATTGTATCGATCCTGTATCCCAGGGATAAAGCCTACTTGACCTGGTGGATTAGCATTTTGATGTGCTGCTAGATTCAGTTACCTAGTATTTTGTTGAGGATGTTTGCATCTATGTTCATCTATTGGCCTGAAGTTTTCTTTTTTTGTTGTGTCTCTGCCAGGTTTTGGTATCAGCATGATGCTACCCTCATAGAATTAGGGAGGAGTCCCTCCTCCTTAATTTTTTGTAATAGTTTCAGTAGGAGTGGTACCAGCTCTTCTTTATGCATCTGGTAGAATTCAGCTGTGAATCCATCTGGTCCTAGGCTTTCTTCAGCTGGCAGACTTTTTACTACTGACTCAATTTCGGAACTTGTTATTTGTCTGTTCAGGGATTCAATTTCTTCTGGGTTTAGTCTTGGTAGGTTGTATATGTCCAGGAATTTATCCATTTCTTCTAGGTTTTCTGGCTTGTAGGCATAGAGGTGTTTGTCTCTCTGGGTTGGGTTTTTTTATTATTATTATTTCTGTGGAGTCACTGGTAATGTCCCCTTTATCAATTTCTGGTTGTGTCTATTTGGACCTTTTCTCTTTTTTTCTTTGTAAGTCTAGCTAGTGATCTTTTTTTTTTTATTCAAAAAACCAACTCCTGGATTTGTTGATCTTCTGTATGGTTTTCATATCTCATTTCCTTCAGCTCAGCTTTGGTTTTAGTTATTTCTTATCTTCTGCTAGCTTTGGGGTTAGTTTGTTCTTATTTCTTTAGTTCCTCTAGTTGTGATGTTAGGTTGTTAATTTGAGATCTAACTTTTCAACGTCAGCATTCATGCTATAAACTTCCCTCTTAATTCTGCCTTAGCTGTGTCCCAGAGATTCTGGTATGTTGTATCTTCATTCTCATTAATTTCAAATAATTTCTTGATTTCTGCCTTAATTTCATCATTTACCCGAAGGTCATTCAGGAGCAGGTTATTTAATTTTCATGTAATTATATGCTTTCAGTGATTTTCTTAGTATTTAATTCTATTTTTATTGTGCTGTGGCCCTATGAGTTCAGTTTTTCTGAATTTGCTGAGGCTTGTTTTATGTCTTATAGTGTGGTTGATTTTAGAGTATGTTGCATGTGCAGATGAGAAGAATGTATATTCTGCTGCTTTCGAGTGGAGTGTTCTGTAGATATCTATTAGGTCCATTTGGTCAAGTGTCGAGTTTAAATCCTGAATATCTTTAACAGTTTTCTGCCCTGATGATCTGTCTAACACTGTCAGTGGGGTGTTGAAGTGTCCCAGTTATTATGTGGTTACCTAAGCCTCTTCATAGGTCTCTAAGAACTTGCTTTATGAATGTGGTTGCTTCCGTGTTCGATATGTATAAATTTGCTCCCGTGTTGGATATAGTCAAATCTTGCTGAATCAAGCCTTTTACCATTATGTAATGCCTTTCTTTGTCTTTTGTGATCTTCGTTGGTTGGAAGTCTATTTTGTCTGAAATCAGAATAGCAATCCCTGCTCTTTTTTCCATTTTCCATTTGCTTGGCAGATTTTTTTCATCCTTTTACTTTGAATGTATGGGTGTCACTGTATGTGGGATTGGTCTCTTAAAGACAGCATACCATTGGGTCTTGCTTCTTTATCCAATTTGCCACAATGTGTCTTTTAAAGGGATATTTAGTCCATTTACATTCATAATATTGATATGTGTGGCTCTGTTCCTGTCACCATATTGTTAGCTGGTTATTATGTAGGCTTGTTTGTGTGGTTGCTTTATAGTGTCACTAGTCTAGGTACTTAGGTGTGTTTTGTTATTGTTGTTGTTTGTTCTTTTTTTGAGACAGAGTTTCATTCCTGTTGCCCAGGCTGGAGTGCAGTGATGCGACTGTGGCTCACTGTAACCTCCACCTCCTGGGTTCAAGTGATTCTCCTGCCTCAGCCTCCTGAGTAGCTGGGACTACAGGCATCTGCCACCATGCTCAGCTAATTTTTTGTCTTTTTAGTGGAAACGGGGTTTCACCATGTTGGCCAGCCTGGTCTCAAACTCCTGACCTCAGGTGTTCCATCCGCCTTAGACTCCCAAAGTGCTGGGATTACAGGTGTGAGCTACTGTGCCCAGCCCTTAGGTGTGTTTCTGTAGTGGTTGGTAATAATCTTTCCCTTCCATGTTTAGCATTCCCTTCAAGACCCTGTAAGGCAGGTGGTGGTAAAGAAATCCCTTAGCATGTGCTTGTCTCAAAAAGATCTTATTTCTCCTTCACTCATAAAGCTTAGTTTGACCGGATATGAAATTCTTCGTTGCAAATTCTTTTCTTTAACAATGCTGAATATGAGCCAGGCCCAGAGGCTCATGCCTGCAATCCCAGCACCTTTGTGAGGCTGAGGAGTGGGGGTCACTTGAGGCCAGGAGTTCAAGACCAGCCTAGTCAACATGGCAAAACCCTGTCTCTACTAAAAATACAAAAATTAGCTGGGCATGGTGGTGTGTGCCTGTAGTCCCCAGTTACTCAGGAGGCTGAGGCATGAGAATTGCTTGAACCTGGGAGGCGGAGGTTGTAGTGACCCAAGATCGCACCACTGCACTCCAGCCTGAGTGATGGAGTGAGACTCTTTCTCAAAACACAAACAAAAACAAAAACAAAAACAAAAACAAAAACAAAAACAAAACAAAACAAAAAGGCTGAATGTAGGCCTCCATTCTCTTCTGGCTTGTAGAGTTTCTGCTAAAAGGTCTGCTGTTAGCCTGGTGGGACTCCCTTTGAAGGTGACCTGTCCCTTCTCTCTAGCTGCCTTTAACATTTTTTTTCTTTCATTTAGACCTTGGAGAATCTGATGACTATGTGCCTTGGGGATGGTCTTCTTGTGTAGTATTTCATAGGGGTTCTCTGCATTTCCTGAATTTGAATTTTGGCCTCTCTAGTGAGATTGGGAAAATACTCATGGATAATATCCTGAAATACGTTTTCCAAGTTGCTTATTTTCTCTCTCCCTATCTTTCAGGGACACCAATGAGTTGTATATTTGGTCTCTACATAATCCCATATTTCTCAGAGGTGTTCATTCTTTATTTTCTTTATTTTTGTCTGAGTTATTTTGGAGAGCTGGTCTTTGAGCTCTGGGATTCTTTCCTCAGTTTGGTCAATTCTGTTGTTTATTTTGAAATTCTTTTTTTTTTTTTTTTTGAGATGGAGTCTTGCTCTGTTGCCCAGGCTGGAGTGCAGTGGCGCGATCTCGGCTCACTGTTGCCTCTGCCTCCCGGGTTCAAGCGATTCTCCTGTCTCAGCCTCCCAAGTAGCTGGGATTTACAGGCGTGCGCCACCACACCCAGCCGATTTTTGTATTTTTGGTAAAGATGGGGTTTCATCACCTTGGCAAGGCTGGTCTTGAACTCCTGACCTTGTGATCCACCTGCCTTGGCCTCCCAAAGTGTTGGGATTACAGGTATGAGCCACTGCGCCCAGCCGAAATTCTTGAAGTGAGTTTTTCAGCTCCATCAGCTCAGTTTGGTTGTTTTCTTTTTGAGACGGAGTCTCACTCTGTTACCCAGGCTGAAGTGCAGTGGCATGATCTCAGCTCACTGCAACCTCTACCTCCCAGGTTCAAGCGATTCTCCTGCCTCAGCCACGCAAGTAGCTGGGATTATAGGAACCTGCCACCACACCTGGCTAATTTTTTGTATTTTTAGTAGAGATGGGGTTTCACCATGTTGGCCAAGCTGGTCTCGAACTCCTGACCTCAAGTGATCTACCCACCTTGGCCTCCCAAAGTGCAGAGATTACAGGTGTGAGCCACTGTGCCCGGCCGGTTTTTTCTTAAAATGGCCATTTCATCTTACATCTCCTATATCGTTTTATTGTATCCTTTACAGTCTTTGGATTGGGTTTCAACTTTCTCCTGAATGTTGATGATCTTCGTTCCTATCCATATTCTGAATTCTATTTCTGTCATTTTGGCTTGGTTAAGAACCACTGCTGGGGAACTAGTGCAGTCAACTTAGCAGCAAGAAGACACTGGCTTTTGGAGATGCCAGAGTTCCTGTGCTGGCTCTTTCTTATCTTCATTGGCTAATGTTCTTTCAATCTTTGAAGCTGCTGTCCTTTGGATGGATTTTTTTGGGGGTGGTGCTTTTATCTTCTTTGATGTCTTTGGGGGTTTGATTGGGTTCAGTCAACTGGCTTCATTTCTGACAGATTTTTGGGGGACTAAGGCTCAGCTCAGCACTCCTGGGCTATGTCCTCCAACACTGGGGGGCTGGTATTGGGCACTCAGCTTTGTTCTCTGGCTCTCTGAGGTTGAGAACATGCAGCACTGGAGGGGTTGAGGTGTTCTTGGGCCACAGCCACAACACTCTGAAGGGTAGTGCCAGCCAAAGCACTCTGTCGGATAGTGGCAGCCTATTTGCTTGTGACAGCAGCACCAGCAGTGCAATGGGGTGCATGCTCATTGGCTGAGGCAGGGTGCTAGGAGGCCTGGGGCTGCCTGCCTCTATGTGGGCATTGGCAGTAGCAGTGGTGCACGGCCGCTGGGGTCTGTGTGCACATTTGCACCAATGGCAGTGGTAGCACAGAGTTAGAGCTGGTGACCTCTGTGCATGCGTTCATGCCTGTGGCGGTGGTGTTGCGGGGCCCAGAATGTTAATGAGAACAGCAAAACCCATCTTTAGCAGACTGGGACATGTTGCCCAGACTAGTTTTGGTTTGTTTTTGTTTTTTTTTTTTTTTTTTTTTGAGACGGAGTCTCGTGCTGTCGCCCAGGCTGGAGTGCAGTAGCATATCTCGGCTCACTGCAACCTCTGCCTCCTGGGTTCAAGCAATTCTTCTGCCTCAGCCTCCCGAGTAGCTGGGACTACAGGCACACACCACCATGCCCGGCTAATTTTTGTACTTTTAGTAGAGATAGAGTTTCACCATATTGGCCAGGCTGGTCTTGAACTCCTGACCTCGTGATACACCCGCCTCGGCCTCCCAAAGTGCTGGGATTACAGGTATGAGCCACCACGCCCGGCCGACCCAGACTAGTCTTAAACTCCTGAGTTCAAACAATCTGCCCACCTCGGCCTCCCAGAGTGCTAGAATTACAGGAGTGAGCCACCATACCAGCCAATTTATTCCGTTTCTAAAGGTGCAAAGTTTAACTGGAACTTAGAAACAAAGTGATGAAACTATTTACAGTGAACATTGCTGTTGGGTCTCCAACCTCCATCTCACCCTTTTTGAGCAGCAGCAATATAATCTGGAAAACTGACCTCACTCCAGGAGTGAGCCTATAAATTCTAAGGGTAACAGTGACTGATTTGGGGACGGGCAGATGACCCAATTCTGGCCAATGAGACATGAGAAAAGGTTCTTGAAGGTCTCAACGTTCTTGCTCACTCTCAGAAGAATGCAATGGAAAGCTGGCCTACCCAGGCCTACCTTCTCCCCAACTCATCCATGGGCTGTGGCCAACACATGGATGTAAGCTCAGCCCACAATGCTGCAGGCAGTTGTTTCCCAGCCAGGAGGGAGACAAGATGCATCTGATGTGTCAGTATGAATAAACACTTGATCCTACAGACACTGAACATGTGTATTTTCTCTTATATTCAGGGAAAACATTATATACAATTACCTCTGCCTTTCCGAGCTGTGCTTTCTTCTACCCAATACACTTTTGGAAGACCTTTGAGAAGTCGAAGAAGGTAAGGAACCACACAATCTTTGTGCTAAAAAATAATAAGAAGAATAATAAATTAGATTTAATAAAATAAGTGATTGGCAGCTTTTTAGCCCAGATTAAGCCCAAAGCAAAGCATATCCACATCCTAATCATCTCAGAGATTCTCCAGGGATAATGTAAAGTGCATGTAAATTCACATGGCATCACTCCATTCCTGTTTTCACACTGCAGAGTCCAGAGGCTGTCCTATCAACCTGTACCACAGGAGCCTAAGGAAGGGTTCGCACCTGCCTTCTGGAGCTGAGGGTCCAGCCTGCTCAGGCCTCTTCTGGGGGCTGGGCCTCTCCAGGAGGTACACGTGTGTACACACTCAAAGCTGTCTTCAGTGAGAATGGTTTAGAGCCCCAAAACCCATCCATGAGCCCCAGAATAAGATCCTGGGGATGGAGAGAAGCTCACAATGCGGGCATCTCAACTGGGTGATGCTTTTTTCTGTTCATGTCCCTTGTCCATTTTCCTTGTGTTTTTTTTTTTTAATTTTCTACTTCATGTTTCCTCTTGTTCTTCTCAAGTTGAGCATCAGACTTTATAGCCAACTTTAGCCCAGTGAAAAATTTTACTTTCCTCTAATTTCTGAACTAGCCAATCAACACCAATATATAGCTTCGTAATCTTCCATCATTGGCTTTTGGAGCTATTTCCCTATTTACAGATGTTCCAGTTAAGGATTAGATGTGCTCCAGAGAAGAAGTGTGCTCTAGAGAAGAGGAGTACTATTTGATGTTTTGAAATGCTGACAAACCACATGGTAGTTTTAAAAACATGGCTGCAGCCAGGCATAGTGGCTCATAGTGGCTCACACCCGTAATCCCAGCACTTTGGGAGACCCAGGCAGGTGAATCACTTGAGCTCAGGAATTTGAGACCCAGCTGGCCAACATGGCAAAACCCTGTCTCTACTAAAAATACAAGTATTAGCTGGGTGCAGTGGGACGTGCCTGTAGTCCCAGCTACTTGGGAGGCTGGGGTGGGAGGATCGCTTGAGCATGGGAGGTGAAGACTGCAGTAAGTCAAGATTGTGCCACTGCACTCCAGCCTGCGCAAGAGAGTGAAATCCTGTCTCGAAAAAAATTAAAACATAAAAGCATGGCAGAAGGTGGCCGGGTGCGGTGGCTCACACCTGTAATCCCAGCACTTTGGGAGGCTGAGGCAGGCGGATCACGAGGTCAGGAGATCGAGACCATCCTGGCCAATATGGTGAAACCCCTTCTCTACTAAAAATACAAAAAATTAGCCAGGCATGGTGGTGGGCACCTGTAGTCTCAGCTACTTGGGAGGCTGAGGCATGATAATGGCATAAGTAAACCCAGGAGGCGGAGCTTGCAGTGAGCCTAGATGGCACCACTGCACTCCAGCCTGGGCGACAGAGAGAGACTCCATTTCAAAAAAACAAAACAAAACAAAACAAAACAAAACAAAAAACAACAAAAAAACATGGCAGAAGGCATGCAGCTTCCACCTGGCTCTTTTTCAGGACATTTGCCCTGGAACCTAGACACTATGCTGTGATAAGACCCATGAATGAGACTTCAGGTGATTCCTGCCCCCAGCTTTTGAGCCACCCCAACCGATGCTAAATGGAGTCAGTTGAGCCCTGTCTAAATTGCAGATTCACGAATCAAACAAAATGATGTATTAAGCACTAAGTCTGGGGGGACTTTGTTATACCATAATAGATAACTAAAAACAAAGAACTTTATCAAAAACAAAAGTTTTTTCTCTAAACCATAAAAAGGAACTGGCTAAGACATCTGTCGAGGATCCTAGTGTACAGACAGGAACAAAACTCCATAAGGCCTGAACCACATGGCCTCCTGCAGAGGAAGTGGCTCCAGGTGGCTCTTTCCTATATAAACTGTGATGACATTAGCAGCACAGGGTGAGTAAAACCACCTCAGCTCCTCTGGCCACAGCTGCTACCATGGCAGCCCACTGCTGGGACCTGAAGGAGGTCAATGCACAGCCCATCCTGGAGGGAAGCAAGGAATATAAGCACCAGGTAAAAACCAAGGTGGTCCCTAGGGCTTTCTCAGGGGGCTGGCAAAGCATGCTAGGCTTCTCTCCTAGTATATGCAAGGCCGGTGGGCTGCCCTGGACATACAGGCAAACTCTATGGTCCAAGGGACAACATCACATGCCACCTGGGACCCTGCTAGTCCTTACCCAGAACCTGAATGACACTTGTGCTCATCTATTTGTTGTCATCTTAAGAAGTCTAATACAAGTACAACACTTTCAGGACTTACAGGTAAATCTATCAAGAAACGTGTTTGCCAAAGATATTATCAAGTAATCCACATTTGAACAACAATAGTTTCTTATAAATTTTTTTAAAATTATTTTTTGCCCTTTATAATTCATTTTATATTTATGTAGGATATGGTAAACAGAAAAAAAAAATGGTTTTCTTTCTTTTCACATTTATAAATAAACAGGCAAGCTGGGTATGGTGGCACATGCCTGTAATCCCAGCACTTTGGGAGGCCTAGGCACGAGGATCACTTGAGACCAGGGTTGGAGATCAACCTGGGCAACCTAGCAAGACCCTCATTTCTACAGAAAATTAAAAAATCATGCCAATGCCTATAATCCCAGCTGCTCAGGAGGCTGAGATGGGAGAATCCCTTGAGCCCAGGAGTTCAAGGCTGCATTAAATAATGACTGTGCCACTGCACTCCAGCCTAGGCGATAGAGTGACACTCTAAGAATAAATAAATAAATAGCAGAAGAAAGGCCAAAATGTAGCTTATGTATCTAATTTTGGTTTTTTATGTAACCTTGATCAGGTAACCTATTTAATTATTAAAATACTGCTCTATAATTAAAATTCTTATTTGTTTCCAATGTACAAATACTGTTAAAATATTAATGCTTATTAGAGCAAAATTTCCAGGAGATGGAAGCAACCTGTTCTAGATAAATATTCAAATATCTAACATCTTTATTTACCTAACACAGCATAATTAACTTGGAATTTAGAAATAGTATCTAGTAATGATAAAAATAAATAAATAAATAAAAGATTCAATATCCAATGATCAATCATTTGTTTCAAATAGCTTTGGTAAATATAAAAATACACATACACAACAGTCACACTATTTTTTTGTTGGAGCTACAGGGCTAGATTTTAAGTCCCTATTAAAAGGTACACTGAGGCCAGGCATGATGGCTCACACGTGGTTCACGCCTGTAATCCTAACACTTTGGGAGGCAGAGGCAGGCGGATTACCTGAGGTCAGGAGTTTGAGACCAGCCTGCCCAACATGGAGAAACCCCGTCTCTACTAAAAATACAAAAAAATTAGCCAGGAGTGGTGGCTGGTGCCTGTAATCCCAGCTACTCAGGAGGCTGAGGCAGGAGAATCACTTGAACCCTGGAGGCAGAGGTTGCAGTGAGCCGAGATTGCACCACTGCACTCCAGCCTGGGTGACAAAGCAAGACTCCATCTCAAAAAAAAAAAAAACAAGATACACTGATACATACTCTAAAAGTTTATATACATAATCGCAATTTTGAAAAAGATGATATTATATCAAAATTACCTAAAATGATTTTGTCCTTTTGGAAGGAGAAATACAATACCCCTGAGTCTGACTGATAAGCATTTTACCTGAGCTTGAAAACCAAACCTACCCTGGAAGGCACACAATTACTTCTCAAAGCATTTTAACTTACTCTGTGGCACATAATAACAAACAAACAAAAATACACTTTTTTTACAACATAATATATGCACACAATTCTAAAAAACTCAAATTTTCTAAGAAGGTTTACATTAGGAAGTTTCATTCCCACCTTGTCCTACCCTCTCCACTAACCACTTTGATTAGGTTCAAATGTATTCTTCTACTATTGCTTTAGGTAAATATAAGCAGATACAAACTTAAACGCTCACTACACCCCCTTTTACAATGAAGAAACTTTTAATTTCATGAAGACTTACCTGAAGATCAGATTCAATCAGAAAAATGCCCAATGCAATCACTGCATCTCTCCGTCTTTCATCTAACTGGAAGATCCCATGGAAATCCACTGGACACATGCAAAGAAGCTTTTGGACCTAGAAAATGAGACCCCCCCAAAAACAGCTCTACAAAATAGAAAACCACATTCAAAATAAAGCAAGCTGAGTGCAGTGTCATATGCCTGCAGTACCAGCTATTCAGGAGGCTGAGGTGGGAGGATAACTTGAGTTGGGAGTTTGAGACTAGCCTGGCCAACATAGTGAGACCCTATCTCTTAAATAAATAAAAATAAAAAATAGGCCAGGTGCAGTGGCTCACACCTGTAATCCCAACCCTTTGGGAGGCCAATACAGGTGGATCACCTGAGGTCAGGAGTTCAAGACCAGCCTGGCCAACATGGTGAAACCCCATCTCTACTAAAAATACAAAAATTAGCCAGGCGTGGTGGCGCACACCTATCGTCCCAGCTACTTGGGAGGCTGAGGCAGAAGTATCACTTGAACCCAGGAGACAGAGGTTGTAGTGAGCCAAGATCGTGCCACTGCACTCCAGCCTGGGTGACACAACAAGACTCTGTCTCAAAAACAAACAAACAAACAAAACCACTACCATAAACCCCAAAGAGTCCATGTAACCAATAAGTCATAGTTTTTTTTCAGTTAAAAGATCACAGGACATCTCCAGCTGCTGAAACAATTGTACACGTGCCCCTCAAAACACATAAACTCTGAGTAATATGAGCTGAAGGTTAAAACTGTGTATACTCAGAGGGGGTAAGACACAATGGCTAAAGTTTGCATTTTGGTGTTAGGACAGTCTAAGTGGGTGTCCCCACCCCTTGACCACGAACAGGTTACCCAAACCAACCTGCATTAACAATGCCTCACTGACTCTTTTAAAAAATCAAATGCATGGCCAGGAGCGGTGGCTCACGCCTGTAATCCCAGCACTTTGGTAGGCCGAGGCAGGCGGATCACGAGGTCAGAAGTTTGAGACCAGCTTGGCCAATACGGTGAAACCCCGTCTCTACTAGAAATACAAAATGTAGCCAGGCATGGTGGCGAGCGGCTGTAATCCCAGCTACTCAGGAGGCTGAGGCAGGAGAATTGCTTGAACCCGGAAGGCGGAGGTTGCAGAGAGCCGAGATGGCACCACTGCACTCTCCAGCCTGGGCGACAGAGCAAGACTCCGTCTCAAAAAAAAAAATCAAATGTGTGAAGCAGTTGGGACTGAGCACAGCATATAGTAAATGCTCAATAAACATTATCTATTGTTATTGGATATACTATAATAGTGGCTAGTGGAAGGCAAAAGCAGACAATGAGATTCAAAGAATGCTGATTAATGAGTCAATCACTGAAGCACAGGGAAGAACTGGCCCTATCAAAGCCTATGTACTTTGCTCTGTCCTATGCAATACTTTATCAATACCCTGCACTAAAACACAGAAGATACATTCCACTACAAACCTGGCAGATGAAACTAATGTGCTAGAAGACAGCACGAAGACTTGAAAACTCATCAAAATTGGCATAACATCATTATTTCTCCAACAATAGTGCCTGAAAGACAACTTTTGATAATGTGATCAGGGAGGGCCTCTCTAAGATGGTTCCTTAAATTGGGATCTGATCAAGAAGGAAGCCAGGACAAATCAGGAAAGGCTGCTGCTGCAGCAGCACAGTGGAAAAGAAGAAGCAAGGAGGCCCAGGAGTTCAGGTCCAGACAGAGAAGGTCCCCAGAGGGCCCCACAGGCCAGGTCAGAAGCCTGAATTGTATCCTAATAACAAACACATAGAGGCCTTAGGGCATCAAGTTTAGAACTGAAGTCTAGAAGAATCCCTCTGGCTGATACACAGAAAATGGATTTTGGAGGACAAGAGTGAAAACAGAGACAGGTGAGGAGACTCCTGCAGCAGCTGAGGAGACTCCTGCAGCAGCTGAGGCGAAGATGTTAGCATGGTAGCAATCAACGAGTAGAGACAGAAACAGACCAGTTCAGGATGTGTTTTGAAGGAAGAGTTAAGAGGACTTGATGATGGACAGGATATGGGAGAGATTACTTTAGTTGCCTCTTTACCACACTAGAAAGTATCCAGGCCAGGTGCAAGGCTCATGCCTGTAATCCCAGCACTTTGGAAGGCCGAGGCAGGAGGATCACTTGAGCCCAGGAGTTTGAGACCAGCCTGGGCAACACAGTAAGACCCTGTCCCTACAAAAAAATAACAAAATTAATCAGCTATTGTCAGAGGCGTGTGAACCAGAGCAACTCCATCCTGAATAGGGGCTGGGTAAAATGAGGCTGAGACCTACTGGGCTACATTCCCAGGCAGTTCAGGCATTCTAAGTCACAGGGTGAGACAGGAAGTCAACACAAGATACAAGTCATAAAGACCTTGCTGATAAAACAGGCTGCAGTAAAGAAGCCAGCTAAAACCCACCAAAACCAAGATGTCTGGTCTCGAACTCCTTATCTCAGGTGATACGCCCACCTCGGCCTCCCAGAGCGCTGAGATTACAGGCATGAGCCATCGCACCCTGCCACCAAGGCTTTCTTTTTTACATAAAGCATAAGAATGGATTTCCTCTCTCAGGCCAGGTGCTCTGGGTTGGGCTCTAACAATATCCCAGGATCAGAATTCAGCATCATCAACACAGTTTAGCCATACTGCCAGTGCAGCGGTCACCCCACCCAGTAGAAAGAACTGAAGGCAGCATTTTTTACCATCCTCAATTCCTCTGGACTGCCAGGGCCTCCTCTCTTTCAAATGCCCAGAGGGGCTCTGGGGTACTCTGACTTCAGACCTTCCTCCCCTATCCCCACTCAACTAAAAACATTTAAATAGAAATAATCTGTGACCATTCAGAAATTACTTTAAAAGCCAGGCATAGCTTTAAATGTGAAGTGAAGATACCAAAAAGAACAACTCAGAGATCCATGTAATGATTCCATGATTTATGCACTACACTGGCATGTCAGGCAGAATAATGGCACCTCAAAGATGTCCACACCCTCAATCCCCTGGAAGCTGTGAATATGTTACTTTACATGGCAAAAGAGACCTTCCAGATCTAATTAAATTAAGAACCTTGAAATGGAGGGATATCCTGGATTATTTAGATAGGCCCAGGGCAATCACAAAGGTCATTAAAAGGAGAAGAGAGAGGCAGAAGAGGGAGTCAGAGTGATGTGAGATGGGGGCTTGGCCAACCATTGCTCCCTTTGAAAATGAAGGAAGGGGCCAGAAATCAAGGAATGTGGGCAGCTCTAGGAGCTGTAAAAGGCTTGGAAATGATGGCTGGGTGCGGTGGCTCATACCTGTAATTCCAGCACTTTGGGAGGCTGAAGTGGGTGGATCACCTGAGGTTAGGAGTTCAAGACTAGCCTAGCCAACATTGTGAAACCCCATCTCTACTAAAAATACAAAAATTAGCCGGGCATGGTGGCAGGCCCCGTGGCAGGTGCCTGTAGTCCCAGCTACTCGGGATGCTGAGGCAGGAGAATTGCTTGAACCCGGGAGGCAGAGGTTGCAGTGAGCTGAGATTGCGCCACTGCACTCCAGCCTGGGCAACAGAGCAAGACTCCATCTCAATATATACATATTAAAAAAAAATGAAAAAGGCTTGGAAATGAGTTCTCCCCTAGAGTCTCTAAAAAGATACACAGCCCTGCCATCACCTTGATTTCAGTCCAGTGAAACACAGGTTGTGTTTCTAATCTACAGAACTGTAAAATTATAAACGTGTTATTCTAACAACAAGTCTGTGGCAATTTATTTACAGTAGTAATAGGAAACTAATGTAATTGGTCACTGGTAATTAAACAAAACTCAAAGCCTACTGGACTGCCTATCAAGAAAAGTATCAAACTGAGTAATCAGATTACAGGCAATAGGCCGGGCACCGTGGCTCACACCTGTAATCCCAGCACTTTGGGAGGTTGAGGTGGGCGGATCACATGAGGCCAGGAGTTCGAGACTATCCTGGCCAACATGGCAAAACTCCATCTCTACTAAAAATACAAAAATCAGCCAGGTGTGGTGGCCTGGGCCTATAATCCCAGCTACTCGGGAGGCTGAGGCACAAGAATTGCTTGAACCCAGGAGCCGGAGATAGCAGTGAGCCGAGATTGTGCCACTGCACTCTCCAGCCTGGGCCACAGAGCAAGACTCTGTCTCAAAAAAAAAAAAAAGGCCGGGCGCAGTGGCTCACGCCTGTAATCCCAGCACTTTGGGAGGCCGAGGTGGGCGGATCACGAGATCAGGAGATCGAGACCACAGTGAAACCCCGTCTCTACTAAAAATACAAAAAATTAGCCAGGCGTGGCGGCATGCGTCTATAGTCCCAGCTACTTGGGAGGCTGAGGCAGGAGAATGGCGTGAACCCGGGAGGCAGAGCTTGTAGTGAGCCGAGACTGCGCCACTGCACTCCAGCCTGGGCGACAGAGCGAGACTCCGTCTCAAAAAAAAAAAAAAAAAATTACAGACAATATTTAGTTCCTTCTTTATTATTTTCTGTATTTCCCATATTTTCTATAAAAAATATTGATAACTTTAGAATCAGAAAAAAATACGGCCAGGCATGGGCTTACGCTTGTAATCCCAGCAATTTGGAAGGCTGAGGCAGGAGGGCTGCTTGAGCCCAGGAGTTCAAGACCAGGCTGGGCAACATGGCAAGACCCTGTCTCTACAAAAAATTTAATAATTAGCCAGGCACGGTGGCATGCCCCTGTAGTCCTAGATGCTCGGGGATCCGAGGAGGGAAGATTGCTAGAGGATCGCTTGAGCCTAGCAGGTTAAGGCTGCAGTGAGCTGTGATCACACTACTACACTCCAGCTTGGGTGGCAAAGCAAGACCCTATCTCCAAACAAAAAAAGAAAAAGAAAAGAAATACAGAATATACCGAAGTTCATGTGCTGCACTGATATGCTTACCTGAACTGCAGGCCTAAGGATCACTGACAACTCCCAAACATATGAAGAAGTGTAGGTCTAAGGTCAGGAGAGGTTGCACAGATGCAACCAGCAAACGTTCACTTTCAGGCAGGCCATGTGTTATCCTATTCCTGTTTTACAGGTTAGGCAACTAGGTCCAGATAAGTTAAGTGCACCTGAGGCAACAGGTTCCTAACTACATCTTCCTTCTCATTTTGTCTCTTCCTACTCCAATATTTCCACTTCTGGTTCATATACCTTCAATGGTTCCCCATTGCCCAATGAACACTCAGTGCACACTCCCAGCCCCAAAACTTCTCTCATAAACCCAGGCCGCTATGTATCAATTCTCATTTCTCCCTGCCTGGCCTCTTCCATGGTTTTGACCCATCTGAAACATTTTGTCCAACCTGCCCTATCTCCCCTATAAAAATTCAACCCATCCTTCCAAGATCCATCTCAACTGTCTCAAAACTCTCAAACATTTTCCAGACCCCAGCAACTTGATGTAATATCTCCCATCATATCTCTCAATAGCTCACATAGAACTCTGTATTTCTCAAGATAATTACCTTCCTGATGTCTTACAGTTACTTGTATACTTATCCTCTCACTGCAGAGAGGCCTGTGACCTCCTCATCACTCCACTGCACCCTACACATTTCAGAACTTTAACAACTACTTAATGGGACTAAAGCGGCCAAGGTCACAGACATTTGATAAGGTGAGGAGGAAAGAAAAGAGGTACAGGGCTACTAGAAAGCAGGGTTTAACTACACTGTGATAATTGTCATATAGTCAGTACCAGGCACAGTGCTGGCATGCAGTTGACACTGAACAAGTATCTGCTGCCTTACTGAATGAATGGAGGGACGGATGGAAGAACTCTCAAATGAAGTAATATATAATGTACAGTCACTCCCTCATGAGCGTTACAATCCAGCAGGAGTTACAAAACTAATAAAAATAATACAACTAGCAAATAACACAAGTCAGAAACTAAACGACAGAGGGCCCTGAAAGCCTGGAGCAAAATGCTCTTGGAAACTGGGACTCTTATTAGAAAGACATCTGAAAACTTGAACCTGGGTCCTACAGAAACCATCACACCCAGTTCTGGTGGGTGCCATTCTCCAAATAATGACAGCTAACACATATTGAACATTTATCATGTGTTCATCTATATTATCTTATTTAATCCTCACAACAGCTCATTAGGTAGCTATTATTAATCATCCCCCTTTTACATATGATGAAACAGACACAGAGAGGTCAAAGTCCTAATGCAGGATAAAGCATTAACCCTCTAGTCTTTGAAAAAATGAAAAGAAAAATAACATCAAATGGCTTTTCAGAATCAGAATTTTACAATAAACTAGCAAGTTGTTTGTTTTTAGGGGTCTTAGGGGGAGTGGGTCATTATAAAAAGTCATTAAGCCCAAAATCTGACCACGATGGCCAGGGTTATTCCCATTTACAAAAAGGATCCAGAGGGCTTCTACCCACCACTTTCAAAAGGTTGTTAAGTCAATGGACCACAGGGAGGCAACAAATATGACTGACTTAGACTTTGATAAGAACTCTTGGCAATACTTTAACCCAAGGATATTAAAAGACAGGTATCTCAAAGATGTGAATTTTGACTGCCAAGGTAAGGAAATGCTAAACCAAGGAGAAAATAAGATTCAAGGAGAAAGTAAGTCTGGATGACTGGGCAGAAAATTGCAGATGAGAATCAACCATAACAGAGGGTATTTGTAAGGTATTTAGGTCAAAATAAAGCTACAATAATAGCATTATAAAAGTTGGATAATTAAATGATTTTTTTAAAAGAGTACTACTTGTTATTTAAAACCTCTGGGAATTGTCTTCCTGGAGAAACAAAATTCTCTGAGAACAAAAGACTAAGATTTAAGTATTAATGGTATATTTTTCTGTTAAAACCATTTGTAATTGTCTTTCTCAAATGTACCATCCCCTCAGACAAAAAATATTGAATATAAGCTGATATTTTCGAAGTGACTCAGAGCTATCATGATAAACAAAGGTGACTGTGACATGATACACATGGACCTACAAATGTAAATGGAACAGCACCTGATCCTACAAGCACCCTGGATCAGAGTTTCATTAGAGATGCGCTTTTGAGCTGAGCGCGGTGGGAAGTGCCTGTAATCCCAGCTGCTTGGGAAGCTGAGGTGGGAGTACTGCTTGAGCCTAGGAGTTAGAGGCTGCAGTAAGCTATGATCGTGCCACTGCACTCCAGCCTGGGCAACAGAGCAGAATCCTGTCTCCAAAAATACAAAATAAAAAAGATGCTCTTTGGTCATCTGTAGACAGATTCATGACCTTCTAACAAACAAATTCAGCAAGGTTACAGGACACAAGATTAAGATACGAAAATCAGCCGGGCGCTGTGGCTCACGCCTGTAATCCCAACACTTTGGGAGGCCGAGGCGGGCGGATCAGGAGGTCAGGAGATTGAGACACCATCCTGGCCAACACAGTGAAACCCTGCCTCTACTAAAAAAAAATACAAAAAAATTAGGCAGGCTTGGTGGCGGGTGCCTGTAGTCCCAGCTACTTGGGAGGCTGAGGCAGGAGAATGGCATGAACCCGGGAGGCAGAGCTTGCAGTGAGCCAAGATCGCGCCACTGCACTCCAGCCTGGGCAACAGAACAAGACTCTATCTCAAAAAAAAAAAAAAAAAAAAGAAAAGAAGAAAAGAAAATAAATTGTATTTCTACAACGCAGCAATGAGCAAATTAAGAAAACTATTCCATGGTTAATTTTATGTTATATGAACTTTATCTCAATTATTAAAAAAAAATAATAAAGAAAAACACTAACGCAGGAACAGAAAACCAAATACTGCACGTTCTCAATTATAAGTGGGAGCTGAATGATGAGAACACAGGAACACACAGTGGGGGGAACAACGCACGCTGGGGCCTGTGAGGTGGGGGAGGGAGAATATCAGGAAAAATAGCTGTCAGGCACAGTGGCCCATGCCTGTAATCCCAGCACTTTGGGAGGCCAAGGCGGGTGGATCACTTTAGGTCAGGAGTTCAAGATCAGCCTGGTCAATATGGTGAAACCCCATCTCTACTAAAAATACAAAAATTAGCCAGGCGTGGGGGCAAGCGTCTGTAGTCCCAGCTAATCAGGAGGCTGAGGCAAGAGAATCACTAGAACCTGGGAAGCAGAGATTGCAGTGAACTGAGATCACCACAGTGCATTCCAGCATGGGCAATAGTGCAGGCTCAAAAAAAAAAAAAAAAAAAAAAGGGTGGGGGGCCAGGTGCGGTGGCTCATGCCTGTAATCCCAGCACTTTGGGAAGCCGAAGTGGGTGGATCATGAGATCAGGAGTTCGAGACCAGCCTGACCAACATGATGAAACCCCGTCTCTACTAAAAATACAAAAAAATTAGCTGGGTGTGGTGCAACGCGCCTGTAATCCCAGCCACTCAGAAGGCTGAGGCAGGAGAATCACTTGAACCGAGGAGGTGGAGGTTGCAGTGAGCCGAGATCACGCCACTGCACTCCAGACTGGGCAACAGAGCAAGACTCCATCTCAAAAAAAAAAAAAAAAAGTAATAGCTAATGGATGCTGGGCTTAATACACAGGTGATGAGAAGATCTGTGCAGCAAACCACCATGGCACACATTTAACAAACCTGCACATCCTGCACATGAACCTAAAATAAAAGTTGAAGAAAAATGAATAAATAAAAATGTAAAAAGAAAAACAACTGTAATAATCCCAGCACTTTGGGAGGCCAAGGCAGGAGGATTGCTTGAACCCAGGAGTTTGAGACCAGTCTGGGCAACATAGTGAGTCTCTAAAAAAAATTTTAGAAATTAACCAGGAGGCTGGGTGCAGTGGCTCACGCCTGTAATCTCAACACTTTGGGAGGCTGAGGCGGGTGGATCTCTTGAGCCCAGGAATTCAAGACCAGCCTGGGGTACATGGTGAAACCCAAGACCAACCTGGAGTACATGGTGAAACCCAGTTTCTACAAAAACTAGCCAGGCCATGGTGGCTTGTGCCTGTAGTCCCAGCTACTTCAGAGACTGAGGTGGGAGGACTGCTTAAGCCTGGGAGGTCCAGGCTATAGTAAGCTGTGATAATACCACTGCATACCACTGCTCTCCAGCCTGAGTGATAGTGAGACCCTGTTTCAAAAAAAAAAACAAAAAAAACCAGTAGAACAATTTCATTTAAAATAGCATCAAAAAGAAAAAGTACTTATGAATAAAAACAAAAGAAGTGCAAAACTAAGAAACATTACAACATTGCTAAAAGTAAAGAAAACCTAAATAAATGGAAAGACATCCCATGTTCATAGATCAAAACAGTTACTATTGTTTAGATGGCAATACAGGCCGAGCACAGTGGCTCACGCCTATAATCCCAGAACTTTGAGGGGCCAGGGTGGGTGGATCACCTGAGGTCAAGAGTTCGAGACCAGCCTGGCCAACATGGCAAAACCCTGTCTCTGCTAAAAATACAAAAATTAGCCGGGCATGGTTGTGCACACCTGTAGTCCCAGCTACCTGGGAGGCAGAGGCAGGAGAATTGCTTGAACCCAGGAGGCGGAGGTTGCAGTGAGCTGAGATTGTGCCACTGCACTCCAGCCTGGGTGACAGAGCGAGACTCCATCTCAAAAAAAAAAAAAAAAAAAAAAAGGGACAATATAGCAATACAGTCCAAACTAACCTACAAATTCAACACCATCCCTGTCAAAACCCTAGGTGAGTTCTTTGCAGAAACTAACATGCTAACCCTAAAATTTCCATGGTAATTCAAGGGACCCAGAATAACAAAAACAATCTTGAAAAGGAAGGACAAAATTGGAGGACTCATTCTTCCCAATTTCAAAACTTACTACAAAGCTAAAGTAATCAAGACAGTATACTAGCCAACATCAGGAAAGACATACAGACCAAATAAACCCTCACACTTACAGTCAACTGATTTTTGACAAGGGTTCCAGGACCCCTCAATGGAAAAAAGAATAGTCTTTCCAAGAAATCGTGCTGAGACAACTGGATATTCACATGCAAAAGAATGAAACTGGACCCCCATCTCATATCACATAAAATCTTAACTCAAAATGGATCAAAAACTCAAATGTAAGAGCTAAACTATAAAACTGCTAACAAAAAACACAGGTGTAAGTCTTTGTGACCTTGAAATTAGACAGTGGTTTCTTAGATACAACACAAAAAGCACAAGGGACAAAAGAAAAAAAAAATGACAAAATGGACATCATCAAAATTTAAAACTTTTGTACTTCAAAGAACACCATGAAGAAAGTGAAAAAGCCCACAGAATGGGAGAAAATATTTGCAAATCATATATCTTATTAAGAAACTTTTATCTAAAATAAAGAACTATTACAACTTAATTAAAAAAATACTACAATTTAAAATTGGGCAAAGAATCTGAATAGATATATCTCCAAAGAAGATCTACAAATACCCCAAAAGAGTGGCTGTTCTAGGATAGAATAGGCTGGCTCAACATCATTAACCATCAGGCAAATGCATATCAACAACAGAATAATAAGATCCCACTTCACATCCACTAGGATGGCTATAACTGGAAAGACAGACAATACAGAGTGTTGGTGACAATGTAAAGAAAACAAGCCCTCTGTACACCGTTGGTGGGAATGTAAATGGTGTAGTAACTTTGGAAAACAGTCTGGAGTTCCTCTAAAGGTTAAACCTAGAGTTATTGTATGGCCCAGCAATTCCACATCTAGTTAAAGACCCAAGAGAAATGAAAATATGTCTACAGAAACACTTGTACGTGAATTTCCATAGCAGCGTTATTTATAATAGTCAAAATGTAGAAACAATCCAAACATCCACCTACTAATGAATGGATAAAATATGGTATATGCATACAAATATTATTTAGTAATAAAAATGAAGTAATGAGATGCTACAACATGGATGAACCTTGAAAATACGCCAAGTAAAAACCATCATGGCAGGTGCAGTGGCTCACACCTGTAATCCCAGCACTTTGGGAGGCCGAGGCAGGTGGATCACAACAAGGTCAGGAGATCAAGACCATCCGGCTAACACGATGAAACCCTGCCTCTACTAAAAATACAAAAAATTAGCCGGGCGCAGTGGCGGGCGCCTGTAGTCCCAGCTACTCGGGAGTCTGAGGCAGAAGAATGGTGTGAACCTGGGAGGCAGAGCTTGCAGTGAGCCGAGATCGCGCCACTGCACTCTAGCCTGGGCTCCAGAGCGAAACTCTGTCTCAAAAAAAAATAAAAATAAAAATAAGCCACCACAAAAAACCACATCTTATAGAATTCTATTTCTACAAAATGTTCAGAATAAATCTACAGAGACAGAAAGTAAACTAGTGGTTGTCTAGGGATGGGGCTGGTAGGGCTGCAGGGTAACAGCAAGGTTTCTTTTGAGGGCAATGAAAATGACCTAAAATTGATCATGGTGATGGATGGACAACTCTGTGAATACACTAAATATGATGAACTGTACATTTTAAATGGGTAAATTTTGTGGTATGTGAATTATATCTCAAGAAAGCACTATTGAAAAACCTAGCCTATGAAGGATCAAATCAAACCACAAGCAACTGCCGACCAGAACAAAGCCCAACATTCCCTAAAGTAACACAACAAAAATCTAAACACTCAAGCCAGGCACGGTGGCTCGCCTGTTAACACCAGCACTTTGGGAGGCCAAGGCAGGTGGATCACTTGAGGCCAGGAGTTCAAGACTAGCCTGGAACCCCGTCTCTACTAAAATACAAAAAATTAGCTGACTGTGGTGGCGCATGCTAAAGGAGTCCCCATAGGTCTCTGGGACTATAAATACTCATTTAAAAAAAAATTTTTTTTTTTGAGACGGTGTCTTGCTCTGTCACCCAGGCTGGAGTGCAGTGGCGTGATCTCAGCTCACTGCAAGCTCCGCCTCCCAGGTTCATGCCATTCTCCTGCCTCAGCCTCCCCAGTAGCTGGGACTACAGGCCACCACGCCCAGCTAATTTTTTGTATTTTTAGTAGAGACGGGGTTTCACCGTGTTAGCCAGGATGGTCTGGATTTCCTGACCTCGTGATCCGCCCGCCTCGGCCTCCCAAAGTGCTGGGATTACAGGTGTGAGCCACCGCGCCCGGCCTACTAAAATTTTTTAAAATTTTCGCTGGGTACAGTGACTCAAGCCTATAATCTCAGCACTTTGAGAGGCTGAGGTGAGTGGATCACTTGAGCCCACGGTTTGAGCTAAGCCTGGGCAAGATAGTAAGACCCCATCTCTAAAAAAATTTTTCTTTTTTTACTTAGCCAGGTACAATGTGCGTGCCTGTAGTCCCAACTACTTGGGAGGCTGAGGCAGGAGGATCCCTCAAACCAAGGAATTCAAGGTGGTAGTAAGTTATGATCATGCCACTGCACTCCAGCCTGAGTGAAAAAGCAAAACTGTCTCCAAAAAAATGTAATTTCTATTTTTAAAAATGTCTAGGCCAGGCACAGTGGCTCATGCCTATAATCCCAGCACTTTGCGAGGCCGAAGTGGGCAGACGGCTTGAGCCCTGGAATTTGAGACCAGCTTGGGCAACACAGTGAGACCCTATCTATTTTTTTTTTAATGTCTATTTATCCACCCCTCTAATACCAGGGCCTAGCACAGTGCCTGCAACACAGCAAACCCCCAAAGATTTATCATATGAACGGATGGTGCCATCTTTTGCTTTCATAATAGTATAGCCTTGGGTTTTTTTTGTTGTTGTTGTTGTTTTTTGTGTGACGGAGTCTTGCTCTGTCGCCCAGGCTGGAGTGCCGTGGTGCAATCTCAGCTCACCACACCACCTCCCGGGTTCAAGCAATTCTCCTGTCTTAGCCTCCCAAGTAGCTGGGCTTACAGGCGCACACCACCACGCCCTGCTAATTTTTGTATTTTTAGTAGAGACAGGGTTGCACCATGTTGGCCAGGCTGGTCTCGAACTCCTGACCTCAGGTGATGTGCCTGCCTCAGCCTCCCAAAGTGCTGGGATTACAGGCGTGAGCCACTGTGCCCGGCTGCGTTGGTTATCCTGAATCCAGGCTTCCAGATAAGCTTTAAACACAGAAAAACATTCAGGAAAAGAGAATGGCTTCTGCAGCAGAGACAGAGCCTCTCAGGACTCAATAAACAAATGCAAGTGAGACCTGAGGATTTCTGCCTCAACTCTGTATTTATTTGTCAGTTTACCACACAAATGAAAGTAGCGTTCTGGCCAACTTGGCAATGTTCATGAAAGGCCAAGCTTTTCTCCAGCATGCCAACATATACAACAAAAGCAAATACAAAAATAAAAATATAAATAAGCCATCCTGGCTAACACAGTGAAACCCTGTCTCTACTAAAAATACAAAAAATTAGCCGGGCGTGGTGGCGGGCGCCTGTAGTCCCAGCTACTCGGGAGGCTGAAGCAGGAGAATGGCATGAACCCAGGAGGCAGAGCTTGCAGTGAGCAGAGATCACGCCACTGCACTCCAGCCTGGGTGACAGAGCAAGACTCCATCTCAAAAAGTAAATAAATAAATAAACAAATAAGCAATCAGGAAGATAAAATGCATAAATTTCAGCAACTGACGTCAATGATGGAAATAGCTGCTGGTGGGAAAGATTAGAGGCAACCACACCTCCAATGAGTGCAAACTGCAAACACAGACAGCAGAAAAGAGAATCTGCAGTAAGGAGTGAGAAATAGAACATTTCTGCCCCCTGGGGAGACAAACAGCTGGTGACACAGGAGGGCACTGAGGGAAGGCTACGTGAAGGCAGAGGGAGAAAGTGGCCTCGGAAGAAATCAACATTGCTGACACCTTCATCTTGAACTTCTAACTTCCAGAATGAGGAGGAAATATATCTGTGTTGTTTAAGCCAGTCTGTGGTACTTTGTTATGGCAGCCTAGCAAACTAATAGTTAATATGGCATGGTTACAGGTAAAGATTTTTTCTTCTTCCAATTTCTTCTTAAAATATTTTCTAGTTGATTTAATAACAATGATTCTGGCACCGCGTATACCCTCCGCTGACCCTCATTATCTCTCTCCTCTCGCTCTACGGATGGCTCTTCTTAACATAGCCTCACAAAGCAAAGGGAAAGAGGATAGGAAATTCTTGGCTTCATGATACTGGAAAAACGCCAACACTATGATTTTTACTCCATGGCAGACCACTCTAAAGTACAGACTGAATAACCATGAACTCCAGAAAGCCCACTACCCTAAGCACCAAGCCACATATTCTCCCAACTACAGATTAGAATTAACTCATCTTATGGAGCACATATGTCCACCAAGGAGGGTTCAGCCTGTCCCTAATGCCGCAGTGCCATTTAAACATCAGATCGGGCTGGGTGCAGCAGCTCACACCTGTAATCCCAGCACTTTGGGCGGCCAAGAAAAGAGAATCACTTGAGCCCAGAAATCTGAGACCAGCCTGGGCAAAATGGTGAGACTCCGTCTCTATTTTCTTTCAAAAACCAGATCAATAGTTAGCTACGACACCTCAGGATTCTGGCATTCTAACTGAAGAAAACAAAGAGAACATTTTAGGACATGGAAAAAGGGCTCTGATCAAAGCCTCCTGAGGGTGGGGAGAGGAATAGAAGGACAAGGAATGCTATCTACTTTGCAGCTCTGCCCATGACTCTCGGTATCCCAGGATCGAGGGCCCACTGGTTTAATACAGGCCTATAGAGGAGAGACACAAACAGGCCACTGAACTTCCCTGACAAAGGAAGATTAACCAGGCAGGGCCAGGAGGAAGCTTAGTAGGGGTGGCTCAGCAACATTCTGAAGACAGGTGAGAACCAGGAAAGCAGAACAAGACTAGCGGGCAGATAGAAATCAGGAAGGAGGAGTCTGGAAGCCAACTGTATATGGAGATCCCAATGTTGAAAAGCCTCACTTTCTTTCTTGCCTATTTTTTTCTTCTTATCTTTCTCCCAGAGGGAGAGGGCTGAGGACTGGGTAGGATTTGGTTCAAAGGGCTTCACAGACAGAGTGTCCTCTGAGGTGGGTTCCAATCCTGGGGGTGGGACCCCAGTCTAAAGCACAGCCTAGCAGGAAAAGCTCAAAGCTCAGCCATGGATCAGAACAGATGCTCAAGGGTCTTGGCTTTGGCTATGGGAACATGGCAGGAGTCTAGTCACCAGACCTGAAATATGAGAGTAGAATGGGATCTTGGTCAGGTTGGGGTAGCTCACACCTGTAATCCCAGCACTTTGGGAGGCGAAGGCAGGAGGATCCCTTAAGCCCTGGAATTTGAGACCAGCTTGGGCAAGATGGTGAGACCCCCATCTCTAATTAAATAAAAAAAAAAAAGTAGATGGGATTTATGGTATTTCATTGGTTCATTAAAGGAAAGAGAAAAAAAAAAAAGAGTAGACGGGAAACTTGTAGCAAGGCTGACTTGCTGCTGTTCACCTGAGCAATCAAATTAACACTGCTTCTGATTTACCTGGGGCCTAGCACATACCAAGGAGCAGCAGGAGCTCAATAAATGTTTTCTGAAAGTAATTTTGTTTTTTTTGAGACAGAGTCTCCGTTTGTCGCCCAAGCCAGAATGCAGTGGTGAGATCTCGGCTTACTGCAACCTCAGCCTCCTGGGTTCCAGTGATTCTCTGGCCTCAGCCTCCCAAGTAGCTGGGATTACAGGCGTCCGCCACCACGCCTGGCTAATTTTTGTATTTTTAGTAGAGACGGGGTTTCACCATGTTGGCCAGGCTGGTCTCAAACTCCTGACCTCAAGCGATCAGCCTGCCTCAGCCTCCCAAAGTGCTGGGATTACAGGCGTGAGTCACTGTGCCCAGCCTAAGGTAATTTTTTTTTTTAAGTAAAGTCCACAGAGCAGTAATAGGCTTGGTTTCATGGACTGGGATTAGAGTGAGTGACTAGAGTAAGTAAACACAACTGTGGCATGTAGAGAGACAAAGGTAGGGAAGGTTATGTCATTAATGTACCTCAAGTGTCACTAAAACCATGTCAGGGCTGCCTGAGTTACCAATGTCTGAGCTGAGATGTGAGGTCTGGTTCTGCAAACTTAGCCTTCGCCAGGTCAACCCTATCTAGATCAAGCCCCACGCAGTCCTCCAATCTCTCAGGAAGAAAGAAGAGAAAAAAATAGAAGCAAAGAGAAGGGGAAGAGGGAAGAGAGAAGGGGAGGGATTGGGTTTTAAATACTCATCTCCCCCTATAAGTCTCCATCTTTATTATCTCAGGTGCGTACTCTAAAATTCCTTTACTCTTAAGAACAAGAAACTTGGCCGGGCGTGGTGGCTCACGCCTGCAATCCTGGCACTTTGGGAGGCCGAGGTGGGCGGATCACCTGAGGTCAGGAGTTTGAGACCAGCCTGGCCAACACGGCGAAACCCCATCTCTACTAAAAATACAAAAATTAGCTGGGTGTGGTGGCAGGTGCCTGTAGTCCCAGCTACTCAGGAGACTGAGGCAGGAGAATCGCTTGAACCCGGGAGGTGGAGGTTGCAGTGAACCGAGATCATGCCACTGCACTCCAGCCTGGGCAACAAGAGTGAAACTGTCTCAAAAAAAAAAAAAAAAGAACAAGAAACTTTTCCTTGGGAATGCTAAGGGCTTTTTGTCAATTGCTTCAAAAGGAGGAATGTAGTAAAACACATATTATAGGACTACATATTTTATATATATATATTTTTATTATACTTTAAGTTCAAGGGTACATGTGCACAACATGCAGGTTTGTTACATATGTATACATGTGCCAGGGACTACATATTAACAATGATCCCTAGCATAATCAAGTCGCAAGATCTTAGATAAGGATGAGAGGAATTCACATATATTTAATGGGGTCAGCCACTTACAGAAGCCTCCTCTATGAAATAAGGTGCTTCAGGGGTCCCCAGACTGCCCACATGTATATAGTTGTACTCATGGCTAAATTTTTTACAGTGAATGGATATCAGCAATAGGAAAGGACCTCAAGTGTCACTAAAAGCATGTCAGGGCTGCCTGTAGAAACCCATGCACAGGCTTCCTTATGTTCTCTCCCTCCTGTGAGGATATACATCAAGCTTGCTCCTTGCTACAGCAGCAAAATATTCAATACATGTGTGCAGTTTGTGCCCAGGAAAGTCCATTAGAGAATCAGCACCCTAAGTTTTTAATTTATGCACCACCAGCCTAGCCATCAGATTCCCAGAAGGAAAGCAGGTATTCAACATAAATCATAGTTTGTAAAAAGGATCTAGGCATAGTGAACCATCTTTATTACTAATAGTTACAGGATTGAGGAAAGCATTCAAGTGCTTATTTCCCAGATGCCAGCCAAAGGCCAACTTTGTAAGCAGGCTCTTGTAAAAACAGCAGCCCCAGTGCTGCTCTATTCACTCTTCTTCACAGAAGTGATTAGTAATAGCTAGGCACAGTGGCTCATGCCTGTAATCCCGGCACTTTGGGAGACCAAGGCGGGTGGATTACTTGAAGTCAGGAGTTCAAGACCAGCCTGGCCAATAGGGTGAAACCCCGTCTCCACTAAATACTAAATACTAAACCCCGTCTCTACTAAATACTAAAAAATTTGCCCGGGGTGGTGGCACACGCCTGTAGTCCCAGCTACTCAGGAGGCTACAGTGGAAAAATAGCTTGAAACTGAGAGGCAGAGGTTGCAGTGAGCCGAGATCTCACCACTGCACTCCAGCCTGGGCAACAGAGCGAGACTCCCTCTCAAAAAAACCAAAAAAGTGATTGGTAAATGTTGCCAATGAGACTGAAGTACTTCCTAAAGTAAGTGGCATTAGGGAGCTGCCAACCTGTGGCTATGGCTGTGTTCCTTGTAAAATATAATCTTTTTCTTTTTTTTTTTTTTTTGAGACAGTTTTGCTCTTGTCACCCAGGCTGAAGTGCAATGGCGCAATCTTGGCTCACTGCAACCTCTGCCTCTCAGGTTCAAGCGATTCTCCTGCCTCAGCCTCCCAAGTAGCTGGGATTAGAGGCACGTGCCACCACACCTGGCTAATGTTGGGTTTTTAGCAGAGACAGGGTTTCACCATGTTGGCCAGGCTGGTCTCAAACTCCGACCTCAAGTGATCTGCCTGTCTCAGCCTCCCAAAGTGCTGGGATTACAGGCATGAGCCACCGTGCCCCATCATAAAATATAATCTTGACAACTGAAGCAGTTATTACTACAAAGCTAAGAATGTTGCAATTACAGAATGTTCTCGTGACTAGTGAACATGGCTGAAGAAGCAAATTGAGCTCAAGGTGCCCTTTTCTGAGTTACTGAGTGGAAAGGGTGCTACCACTGCTGGAGCTGCAGGACCAGCTTCTTAAAGATCATCCAATTCACTGCATTCTCTTCTCTCTCCTCCCAGAATCCAGCAATCAGTCATAAGATATATTTGTTGGCTCTCCTGCTAAGAAGCGAATGTGCTGACTAGCTAGCATGAGTTTGATTCAATAAAACAGCACTACACTCCATTAGTCAGACTATCTAATGATAACAGTGCTCATACATTAGGTACCCACGTGCCTTTTTGTTGCTCTTCACAATACTCCTATGAAGTACTACCTTGTATTTGACAGAAGATAGCAAAGTATCAGAGAAGGGAACTGACCTGTCTAGAGTCACACTAGTGAAAGCAAGTGATACAGGATTTAAATTCAGAGGTTCCATTTTCCAAACTCATGTCCTTTCCATTGCATTGTACTCCCTCTTTAGCTAGAAGTCAGGTTAGCACCAATCTGCCGGGACCTTCTCACCCCGAAGGTGCATGATAAAATCAAATATGAGAACCGACAAGGCCAAGGACCAGGTCACTCTGCCAAAAGTGCCTAAAACAGCCTTTCAGCTTCATCCATCAGCAGACAGCCACAAAACCACTCCCAACTGCAGCAGGCTGGTCTCCGGTCACCACTGTCTTATCTTGTCGGAAAACATCCTCTCTCCATGTGCCAAAAAGTTGAGTGGGAAAATAATTCCATCCTTTCAGAGCTAAACACTGTGCTGAGTCTCATCGCACACGGGTGGGCAAAGAAAGTTGACATTTACTGCTCACCCACTCTGTGCCTTGACCTGTGCAAGATGCTTTATGCTAGAACTCATTTAATTCTCAAGAACAACCTCATTTTACAGATAAGGATACAGAGGCTCTAAGAGTTAAATTTACCCAAGAGGACATGGTAAGTAAGTGCCAGTGCAGGGAACAAATTCAGGTCCCACTCTAAAATCTGTCTCTTTCCAGATCTCAAGGCACACCACTGAGTTGCCTTTCACCTTTCTCCCAAGATGAGGATTGCTCTGGCATGACTTCACCTTTCTCTTCTGAAGCAATTCCAAGTTCACTTCTCTGCCCACTGACAGTTCACTCTCCTTTCCCTGCCACTGTCCCTTCTGCAAACGCACAATCTTTTACCCAACCTAACGCCCCCAGCCTCGTAGAATAACACTGCGCAGTTGGTTTACAGTCACAAAGCACTTTCAAGACAGTGTTTCGTCTCCTGGTCACCACAGTCCGGTGAAGCCGGCAAAGCAGATAAAAGCATCCCCATTTTACAAGAAAGCCATCTTCCCAAGGTCGCGGAATAAAAAGCAGGTGAAATCGGAAGCAGAACCCCAGGTCTTGACCCCTGGTCCTCGGCTCATCCCACTGCTCCGCACAGCCGCCCACGATCCAGCCTCCACCTCCGCGATGTCACAAGATGCTCCCTGGGCCAGCAGCTCACATCCCCCACCCCCATCCCACAACCACCCACCTGCAGCGGCCCTGCAGGCCCCGCCGACCCTTCCCCCACGGTCCCTCTCTCTTCACCAGCCCCTCCCACTAGGGCCTCCTTCCCCCGCTAGATCCCTCCGCTCAGGCGCCCCCTCCCGCACAGGCTGCCGGCGAGCCCAGCCTCGGCCTCCCACAGACCCTCGTCCCGCCTCCACGCTTCGTCACCCCAGCCCCTCCTCCTGTCAGCCCGCGGCCCAGCCCGCCGACGTTACCTTCTCCAAGGATGCTGGTCTCTGCACCGCCAGGGAGCGGGCCAGTGACAGGACCGTGTTGAAATAGAAGCCCCGCGAGGCGCTGGAGCCGGAGCCGGAGCAGCCGCCGCCGCCTCCGCCTCCGCCTCCGCCTCCCCGGGCCGGGGCCGCCGCCATCACCTCACGAGCCGCGGCGCTGCCCGCCGGCTCCCCGCTCCTGGCCCGCGAGCGCCCGACCTCAGGGCGCAGGCGTAGGTGCATCCGGCTTTCCCGCCACGTGACCTCTCAGTTGCTGACACTAGATAGGGCGTGGCTGCGGGGCGGGCCCACCGCTGCAGGGGAGAGAGGGGATGGACAGTAGGCTGCGGTTGCGCGCGCCGGATGTGGGCCCCCCCCAGCCGACCTGCGCGATGGTCGGCTCCGAGGGCGGGGCCACCTGCGCGCGACGCGCGGAAGGAGTTCGCGCGACGACCGCGGGGTCGGCGGGCGGGGCGAGGCCCTGGACGGCGGCGGCAGTGGGGCTCCTCCTTCTGTTTCCCAGACCGAGAGCCGCGCCGGCACCATGTCAGCTTACCCTAAAAGCTACAATCCGTTCGACGACGACGGGGAGGACGAAGGCGCCCGGCCGGCCCCTTGGAGGGACGCCCGAGACCTCCCCGACGGGCCCGACGCGCCCGCGGACAGGCAGCAGTACTTGCGGCAGGAGGTCCTCCGCAGGGCTGAGGCCACGGCCGCCAGCACCAGCAGGTCCCTGGCCCTCATGTACGAGTCCGAGAAGGTTGGGGTCGCCTCTTCCGAGGTGAGCCTGGGGCAGGGCTGGTGTGGACTCGCCGGTCTCTGTGCTGTCAAACGGAGACGAGAAATGTTTTGCTCACAATCTTTTGAGAATTCTCAAGTTGCCTAGCATAGATTCTTGCACCTTAGTGACTCGATGGTGGTAACAATCTGTTAACTATGTAAAGGTATGTGCATCTGGAGTACTTGAAGAGGGCAGTTTACCCCAGAAATCTTCCTTAGCTATTAGTCTGCTTCGTTGATTTTTTTTTTCTTACGCCTAGCTCACGGGGAAACGCCAGATTATTTTCTGTCCAGGTGAGTAAAAATTCTGAACAGCAGGTCCTAGGTTTGGGAAATGGAGAGTCCGTTTCTTCGACATTATTTCCTGTGCAAAATCTGGCACAGGGTTTTGGCCATTCCTTCCGGAGTGAGCCAGAAAGAGAGGACTATGTGCCTGCGAGTGTCAGGTGATACCCTGAAGCATCAGGGCAGGTGGTCCACGAGTTCTTCCCGCATCATTGACATCTCCACCTAACCAACCAATAGAGGTATTGAAGTCCCTTCAGCCCAGACAGCTGCCTAGTTGACCAAAGCCTGGGTTTGATTGAGTCCAGGGTCTTACCTTTACTTCCCAAATCCTAGACAAATAGTGTGCGGGTTAAGAGTTTGTTGCTCCAACTCATCTTCATCAGTTCTTCCCATCCTTAGATTTCAGAGAGTAGTACCTTCAATAACAATTATTCTGGCCGAGCGCAGTGACTCACGCCTGTAATCCCAGCACTTTGGGAGGCCTAGGCGTCGGATCGCCTGAGCTCAGGAGTTCGAGACCCGCCTGGGCAACATGGTGAAACCCTGTCTCCACTAAAATTAAAAAAAAAAAAAAACTAGCCGGGTGTGGCGGTGCGCCTGTAGTCGCAGCTACTCAGGAGGCTGAGGTAGGAGAATCGCTTGTACCCGGGAGGCAGAGGTTGCAGTTAGCTGAGATCGTGCTGCTGCACTCCAGCATGGGCAACAGACCGAGATCCTGGAGGGTCTTTTTCTTTTTCTTTTTTTTTTTTTTTTGAGATGGAATCTCGCTCTGTCGCCCTTGCTTGGGTACAGTGGCATGATCTGGGCTCACTGCAACTTCCGCCTCCGGGATTCAGACGATTCTCCTGCCTCAGCCTCCCGAGTAGCTGGGACTACAGGTGCGCCGCCACACCCGGCTAATTTTTTTTGTATTTGTAGTGGAGACAGGGTTTTGCCCCGTTGGCCAGGCTGGTCTGGAACTCCTGACCTCAGGCAGTCCGCCCGCTTTGGCCTCCCAAAGGGCTGGGATTACAGGCGTGAGCCACCATACCGGTCGAGAATGATTCTTTATTGTACACCACAGTCTCTCTTCAGCCTGCTAATGAAACAGTTTTGTTTGGACAGAGAAAAAAAAAGGTTTAAAAAAATGTATAAGCCAGGCGCGGTTGTACTTCTGTAATCCCAACAATTTGTAAGGCTGAGGTAGGCAGATCATTTTAGCCCAGGAGTTTGAGACCAGCAGGGGTAACTGCGTCTCTACAAAATTTGAAAAATTAGCCAGGCATGGTGGCACACACATGTGAGTGCAGCTACTGAGGAGGCTGAGGCAGGAGGACCGCTTGAGCCCAGGATGTCAAGGTTGCAGTGAGCCATGTTCATACCACTGCACTCCAGCTTGGGCGACAGAGCAACACGCTATCATTTCCCCTTGCTGTTTTCTTGGGTTAATTCCCTTCCCCACCTCTCTCTGTTCATGTATCCCTCATTGATCCACCTCCCTGTGGTTTTTTTTTTTTTTTTTTGAGACAGATTCTCGCTCTGTCACCAGACTGGAGTGCAGTGGCACCAACTTGGCTCACTACAGCCTCCGCCTCCTGGGTTCAAGTGATTCTCCTGCCTCAGCCTCCTGAGTAGCTGGGACTAAGGCGTGCACTACCACACCCAGCTAATTTTGGTATTAATAGAGTTGGGGTTTTGCCATGTTGGCCAGGATGGTCTCGATCTCTTGACCTCGTGATCCACCACCTCGGCCTCCCAAAGTCCTGGGATTATAGGCGTGAGCCACTGCACCTAGCCCACCTCCCTGTGTTTAACTGTTGGTTTTTTATTTTTGTTTTGTTTGAGACAAAGTCTTACTCTGTCACCCAGGCTGGAGTGCGATGGTGTGATCTCGGCTCACTGCAACCTCCACCTCCCCAGTTCAAATGATTCTCCTGCCTCAACCTCCCAAGTAGCTGGGATTAGAGGCACCTGCTACAACACCTGGCTAATTTTTTTGTTTTTGTTTTTGTTTTTGTTTTTTTGGTGTTTTTTGTTTTTGAGACGGAGTCTTGCTCTGTCTCCCAGGCTAGAGTTCAGTGGCGCGATCTCAGCTCACTGCTACCTCTGCCTCCCAGGTCAAGCGATTCTCCTGCCTCAACCTCCTGAGTAGCTGGGCTTACAGGCACCCGCCGCCATGCCCAGCTAATTTTTGTATTTTTAGTAGAGACGGGGTTTCACTGTGTTGGTCCGGCTGGTCTTGAACTCCTGACCTCATGATCCACCTGCCTTGGCCTCCCAAAGTGTTGGGATTACAGGCGTGAGCGACCACACCTGGCCTCTGATTTTTGTATTTTTAGTAGAGACAGGTTTCGCCATGTTGGGCAGGCTGGTCTCAAACGCCTGACCTTAGGTGATCTGCCCACCTCAGCCTCCCAAAGTGCTGGGATTACAGATGTGAGCCACTGCGCCCGGTCCTAACCTTGTTAGGGAGGTTTTGCCTGTAGTTCTTACATCTCATACCTACTGGATTCCTATGTTCCATTCTAAATGGGAAGTCTTGGCTTAGATTTGAGAGGATTGCCTGAGGTTTTAGGGCCCTGGTGAATGGGTCACATGATTGAGGATCTCAAGCCCAAGGAATTCAACTAACAACTATTTAAGGAGACATCTTTGTAAACTGAGAACAAATGAAGTAGGGAATCAATGATTCAAAGTAGGGCATTGTGGCAGAGGATAAACTTGAATCTAGCTTTTAAGGCTGAGGTTTACACAAGAGGAGTGAGAATGAGGGATGTTCTTAGGGAAGACAGGAAAATATGCAAATGCACTGGCCCAGCAACAGAGCTCCTGGGTCCAGAGGAGGGACATGATAGACTGGGTGTGTTAGAGGACAGGGGATGGAGGAGGTAGCTTAGGAGCCCTTGGAGGTCATAGGGAAAGTTCTGGTCTCATAGCGCAGGAGAGGCAAAAATGTAATAGTGGTGAGTTTGATATAGATTGTGATGACATGCCCCGTGCTGCCCCCAAAGGTCTTTCTATGCAGTGGGGACAGTGAGAGCTGAGGCAGAGTGGCACTTCAGGCATATCAGGCTTGGCCAGGCCAGGCATTGCTGTGAGAAGTACAGTGTGGTCATGACTGGGCAGGTGACAGGTGCTCTTGTCAGTGAGACAACATGTTGGAATTTTCCAGGATTGGGTCAGTTCTCAATTATGAGAAGCCCTGGGAGTCAGGGATGACCTACATCTCCACCACACCCAGTGTTCTCCAAGCTGTCTTTGTTTTTGTGTTTTGTTTTGGGGGAGGTTTTTTGAGATGGGGGTCTCACTCTGTCAACCAGGCTAGAGTGCCGTGGTGCAATCTTGGCTCACTGCAGCCTCTGCCTCCAGGTGCAAGTGATCCTCCTGCCACAGCCTCCCAAGTAGCCAAGACTACAGGTGCACGCCACCACACTCGACTAATTTTTGGTATTTTTGGTGGAGATGGGCTTTCGCCATGTTACCCAGGCTAGTCTCGAATTCCTGAGCTCAGATGATCTGCACACCTTGGCCTCCCAGTGCTGGATTACAGGCTCCAAGCTGTCTTTGAATCACTCTAATCACTCTTTCATTCCCTTTGGTGTTGGGATGGGAACAGAGGAGTATGAGCTCTTCCAACCCTCAGTGCACAGTGTGGCTTCCAGCAAATTCCAGCATACCCTGCTAATCACCCAACTTAGGTGCCTGGTTACCCCAGCACTGTGAAACATGCCAACACATGACAGATTTATGTCAAAGATGAGGACTTTACAAATTATATTAGGTTGGGAAGATTATAATTCAGTCCCAGCTTGGCAGGAAAATGGCTTAGTTAAGTCACCTCTAGCAAAGAGAGCTGCCCTTCTCCTACTGTGAAACCTGGCAAGGATTGTTTCTCACAAAGGCTCAGGCCACAGGCTATGACCACAAAAGAACAGAGGAGAAGTAGTGGGAGCAGGGCGGTTTCCCCAGGCCGACCTGGTAGGCGCTTTGTAGAACTACAGGGAGACTTGTAAGCCACTCGTCTCTTTCCCTGTTTAGTAAGCATGATTTCTTCTTTTTTTTTTCCTAAGGTTTAATTTTTATGAAGAGAGATTCCAATCACATGGTTCAAAATTTCAAAACATACAAAAGGGTGTAGTCTTCTCCCACTTCCCTCCCTATCATCCCTCTGCCCCTAAGGCAGCCAGGCACTTTCCCTCCTTCAGTGTTTTGGGGAGATAATGCCGTGGATAAAAATGGGTTTTTTTTTTTAAGTGAAGTATTGTATACATTCTGGTCTGCATGTGCTTAATAGAATGGAGTTTGTTCCACACTAGTATGTAATGAGCTGGGCTTTCTTTTTGGCTGTGTTGTATTCCATTGAACAAATGACTTCTATTTATGCAGCCTGTCCCCTAATGATGAGCATTGAGGTTGTTTACACCTTTTGGTGAGTCTATTTGCATCCTACTTGGACATGGTTTTTGTACACCTTTTCATCACTCCAGTGGAGGAGACTCACCTGCCCAGGACACTCTGCTTCCCCTCTTGTAGCTGAACTTAACTCCACTGAGGTTTTCTGGGGCCCGAGATCTCGGTTCAGGGGAGTCCAGCAACAAACATTAGACCAGGGTTGGAACGGCTGGCACAGTAACATCAATGGAAAGGGACAGAGTTTGAGAGTTCAAACGTGATGCACTCAGCAGCCACCGCCAGCACATCCTCCACACCGTCTCGTGCAGGGGCCCACCCATCTCTGTGTCTTTCCAGCACACAACAGTCACCCACACTGGGCATTCCATTCAGAGGTGGGAGAGAGGAGGACACCCCTCCTGGCCCAGGAGCAGAGGCCATCAAGGTGTCCCCGGAACTTAGAGTAGATACATTGCCAAAAGGTGATATCCTCATTCTCAGGGATTCTGGTCTTGGAGCAGCCCACTCCAAATGAGGGGCCGTACAGACCAAAGTCACCCCTCTGAGGCAGCGTGTGGTGATACTGATGCAGCCAGAGTTCTTAGCAAAAGTTGATGGATGGGGACAAGCAGCTGCTAGATTAAGTAATTCCTCAAATTTGTAAATGTCAGCAGTGGAAGAGGAGCAGTCTCTTACCCATCTCTTGCTCAACTTTCTACCCCCACGCTTCTCAGCACAATGTCCTTAAGCGTTATTGGCGCTCCCAAAATAGTTGCCAAATGAATAAGTGACCTGGGGAAGGAAAGGAAGGAGGGAGGGAACAGAAGATTGCCTGAAAAAGGAGGAGAGAGTTGGGTGGAAAGAATGCATTGAGCTGTGTGCCTTGGTTGCAATGCCTGTCCTGTGACCAGAAAATGCATCCCAACACATGTCAGGCTGTGTCTAGCAGGTGGGAGGGAGTCTGGTGGAGAAATGGCATTGGACCACATACTCACCGCTAGGTCTGTTCGGGATTTATTTTTAATTAATTTTTGGTAAACTATCAATGATTGAATTTGACCATTGATGGCCAGGTGTGGTGGCTCACACCTGTAATCCTAGCACTTGGGGAGGCTGAGGCAGGTGGATCCCTTGAACCCAGGAGTTCAAGATCAGCCTGGGGAATGTGGTAAAACCCTGGCTCTACAAAAAATACAAAAATTACCTGGGCATGGCGGTGCATGCCTGTAGTTCCAGCTACTCAGAAGGCTGAGGTAGGAGGATCTCTTGAACCAGGGAGGTCAAGGCTGCAGTGAGCTGAGGTCATGCCACTGTATTCCAGCCTGGGTGACAAAGTGAGACCCTGTCTCAAAAAAAAAAAAGAATTAGACCATTGATCCCAGGCCAATTTGCTGGCTTGTTGGCTGTAACAGGATGCCTTCTGAGGATGGGCTGGTTGTTCGAGCTTCTGGCTTCTCCTTCCTGGGCACATCCACTCACAGCTGCCACATTGTCCCAAGGAACCTTGCTTTGCTGACCAGGAAACATGCTGTGACAAGCTGAGCGGCCATCTGCTATACAGCTTTCTGCCTCTGAGGTGTTCTTAGAGTGGGAAGTGTTGTAGGGAGGTGTTTGGGGGTTCCCAAGACTACCCTCAACTTCACTGATTCACTGGAAGGATGCACAGAACTGTTACACGTATGGTGATGGTTTCTTACAATGAAAAGATGCTGATTAAAACCATCAAATGAAAAAAGTGCATAGGGCAGCGTCCAGGGGAAACCAGGCACAAGCTTCCAGTTGTCCTCTCCCCATGGAGTCATGTGGACAACACTTCTCCAAGCAGTGCGTGACAACACACACAGAGTATTGTCAACCAAGGACCCTCACTTAAGCCTGGGTGTCCAGAGTTTTTTGGGGAGTCTGTCACATAGGCATGGCTGAGTATAGTCTCCAACCCCACCAGAGGTCAAGCTGATAACGTGTAGCCCAAGGCCACCATCATATATCACATTGTTAGCATAGTCTGTCTGACCTGGTCTAAGCTTAGGCTCACTTGAGCAAGGACACTCTTATCAGGCAGGATATTCCAAAAACAAGGAACCAGGCTAGGGCCACACCTCTCTTTGGAATGTGGAGTGTATGGACAACCCAGAGCTGCTGAGCTAGCCTTTTGCTCAGCCCCAGGTTGGCCTGCACACAGACGGCGAGGGGCACCAGCACTACCGCCTTTGCCCTTGGTGGTTTTTCCTGCACCCTAAGACCCGATTTGTCTCTGAATCCACCCCATACTCCAGCTGCCACAGTCAGAGCCCCGGGTTTGAGCATCTGCCATGGGTGCTCACGTATCCCTGCCAAGGCTTGTGCCTGTGCACACTCCCTTGGGAAGGGAGAGATGGAACAAAGATAAATTTCAGATTTCTAGATTCAGCTCACTGACTCCAGATTGGCCTCCGTCTACTTATGATGAACCTCATTTATCAGAACCTGAGTTTACGAGCTCAGTATGAGAAACACAGTATTGATGCCCTTCCGTCAGGAACCTGGGGAGGTCTCGGTCACGGAAGCCCACCTGATGTTATAAGATGTGTTGGCTGCGAGTTGCAGTTGAGATCTGTTGGTCACTGCTGCCCTTTGAAGGCCTTAGTGACATCCTGTGGGTGTTCCCTGCCGAGTCCTGTGGGTAGCCCCGCTCACTCCCCACACGGTTCCTCTGCCCCTGCACAAGCTGCACCCTCTGCCTGGTGCCCTTGCCCCACCCCAACTCTTCGTTGTGATTTGTTTTTAGGAAAACTAAGTCCAAATGGACAGGACCCCCAACTTTCTGACTGCCTAACTTCTCAGTCTCTCCTCCAGCCTCAACAGGGAGCCTCTCTGACCCCCACCTTAAGCTAAACAAAGAGTCTGCAGGGAGAGGTGACTCTGTGTGTGTATGTGTTTGTGTGCACGCGTGCAGTAGCTTTAGTTTCTGCCTCCCCCACAGGACTGTAAGCTCAGTGAAGCAAGGACTCATCTGCCTTTCTTGGATTCCGAGCATTGCAATGTTGTCAACAAATGAAAAGCTGAGATTGAACCTCACTCATCTTGCTCTCTGTTAGACTGTAAACACCATCAGGACAGAGACTTGGGATTGTTTCGTGGACAAAGAGAGAACTCTTGTTGGGGTTCAAGGGAGTAAGAAGGGCATCACCTGTAATGCTTAGTAATCACTGAAACAAGGAAGCACTTTGCATGTGCGTCCTTTACACTGAGGGCACCTGCGGAGCTCACTCCCCTAGCAGCCACCCAAGTCCGTTCAGGGACCTCATTCTCCCACGGGAAGTTGGAGAAGATGGGCCGTGGCTCTGCGGAGGGGGGTGTGGACCTGCCTCGGTACCTGGAGCGGTTGAGGCCTGTCTTGGTGGTGGCTGGGGCACAGGTGTCTGCCTGGCCTGTCCTTACAGACTGTCAGTGTTCTCTTTCCTGGTATTTTGGTGTTTGCTCTGTCAAACCCTTCTTCCTCATTGGTTGGAACTAGGTCACAAGCACATTAAGTCCGGTCATTTCCTCTGCCTTCTGGGGGTGGATTTTAGCAGAAGAAACAACTCCTCCCTTGCTGGCCTCATGACCTCTGGTGAACACTAGCTTTCAGCAAACAGAAACTTCCAGAGGCCAGAGCAGCACTCAGTCGCCTGGCCTTCCAGCCTCACAGGCAAGATAAGCCACCCTCACAGACTTCTCTGTGCTCCCATCTAAACATCTAAATCAGCCATCTGGTTTCCTTAACAGTAGCACAGACTCTGGGAGTTTGAGAGAATGTGTCTCTTGTGAATAAGAGAAAATAAGTCCATACTGGGGAAGGTAGCTCTCCAAATTGAGATGAGGAGGTCAGGGTGGGAGGGTGAGTGGTCGTGGGTTGGCCCTGATGGGAGGAGCTCACCATCAGGGAAGCTGAGGACCTCCCTCCTAATGTGACAGCAGAGTCTTGGCCACCTCTTCATTCCCCAGTCCCCAACCTGGCTGCTCTGAGTGTCTTTCCAGCTACTGGAAAGCTTCTTCTGCAGCCTGCAAAGCTAGCTGGAACTGGACTGTCAGAAAAACATGTAGATGCTGGAGAAAATCTGTTAATCCTAACGTATAGCTCTGCCTTATTCCAGAGAAGACCGCAGTGTGGACATGAAGATGATAAACTTGAGGTGATGGAAGGAGCAGAAATGCCAGATACATTAGCAGCTCTTTTTTCTTTTGAAAACTAGCCCTTGCAAGATTTGCTTGACATACTGAGTGACACTATCCAGAAAACATCTTTTTTTTACTTAAAAAAGGCTGATGGTTTGTTCAGACATCTCTTGTGAACTAGTGAAAAACATAAACGTTGAAAGCTGTAAAATTCAGCAGTTCTAAGTTTATTTCCAGCAAGAGTTAAACAAAGTTTAATAGTAAATTCAACCAACCAGTGTTTTAGCTTTTTGCCTATACATTATGTTTTTAAATTTCACCCATTAAACAAGGACTCAGGTTACACATTGATTCCTTAAGGACTTTAAGGAAGCCACAACCATTTATTTATAGTTGCATTTTGCTCTTCAGGTTTCCAGGATGTTTAAAATTTTTTTTGACTTTGTTTTTAGGCATCAAGAGAGAATATATCTAAAAAACATTTGCATAGTTAGTGTAATTGCTAAGCCACAGGGTGATGGGTGGATAGATTCAGAGGAAGGCAGCTGAGGGCAGAGGCTGCCTGACAGAGCAGGAAAAATGAAGCTCGAGAGCCTTCTGGCTGGAAAGGCAGCTCACAGATGGGCCGCAGCTGTAGATCAGTTCTGAACTAGGGACTGAAGCAAGTTTGTCGTAAATAAAGGAAAGTGGTAGTGTTGATGTTGTGAATGTATATCCACAACCAGAACCATCAGCTCTGGAGGGACCATCAGGCTGCCACTGTGGCCACAGAGCATCACTCACGTCTCCATTGGGCAGATTTGCAGAGACTCAGCAGTGAACAGAGCAAGTCCCTGCCTCGTGGAGCTCATATGCTGTGAGCGGTGGCTCATGCCTGTAATCCCAGCACTTTGGGAGGCCGAGGCGGGTGGTTCGAGACCAGCCGGGCCAACATGGTGAAACCCCGTCTCTACCAAAAATACAAAAAACTAGCCAGGCATGGTGGCAGGCGCCTGGAATCCCAGCTACTCAGGAGACTGAGGCAGGAGAATCGCTTGAACACAGGAGGCAGAAGTTGCAGTGAGCTAATATCACGCCACTGCACTCCAGCCTGGGTGACAGAGCAAGACTCCATCTCAAAACAGAAAAGGAGGTGGAGAAGAGGGGTAGTGGTTGGAAGAAGGAATTCTCCTTTAGGGAAGATGTCTGGGAAGGCCTCTCTGAGAGAGTGGCCTTTGAAAGGAGACCCTAATTGGATGAGGGATGAGAGGCTGAGCCATGTAAGTATCTGGATGGAAAACATTACAGGCGGAGACAGTGGTGTGTGCAAAGGCCCTGGGACAGGGTCACCCGTGTTAACAGGTTTTAAAGCTGGAATTGTGGATGGGCTAGAGTCAGACACTAATAGGGCCCAGAGGGGACACTGGTCCTTGAAATAGAATTTGAGGATTTGACCATGGCCAGGAGGCTCAGGTGGCCCAGTGGGAACTCCTTAAATGGGAACTTCCTAAAGGAAGAATATAAGAACCAAAGTCCAGGGGGCAGTGCCAGGCCCAACCTGTGAGGGTTCCCAGAGTTGGAGGGCTAGAGAGAATCTGCTTCCAGTTCAGGCCATAGACTCTGAACCTCACAGGCACATTGCCATCCATCTCCCCTCACCCCCAACCGAGACGGAGTCTTGCTCTGTCGCCCAGGCTGGAGTACATTGGCACCATCTTGGCTCACTGCAACCTCTGCCTTCAGGGTTGAAGCAATTCTCCTGCCTCAGCCCCCCGAGTAGCTGGGATTACAGGTGCCCGCCACAACACCTGGCTACTTTTTGTATTTTTAGTAGAGAGGGGGTTTCACCATGTTGGCCAGGCTGGTCTTGAACTCCTGACCTCATGATCTGCCCGCCTCAGCCTCCCAAAATGCTGGGATTACGGGTGTGAATCACTGCGCCACCCTCTGCCATCCATCTTAACATGGCGCCATGAGCCAGCCTCTCAGGAAAAGGGTCTCATGAACAAATGAGGAAAGCAAGTAGAGGTAGGGCAGGGAGGGAGAGGCAAAGGAATGTGTTGTTGGAAAGGGTAGTGTGCCCCTCACAGATGACAGTACCCGTCTCCAGATGTGCCCACTGAGAGTTTATGAAGGGGCTGCTCCATGTGGTCCTTGACTGCCCTGGGGGAGAGTCACAGAAAGCTATAATGCCACTGCCTCTCGGTTTCCCCAGGAGCTCGCCCGTCAGCGAGGAGTCCTGGAGCGCACAGAGAAGATGGTGGACAAGATGGACCAAGATTTGAAGATCAGCCAGAAACACATCAATAGCATTAAGAGCGTGTTTGGGGGGCTGGTCAATTACTTCAAATCCAAACCAGTAGAGACCCCACCTGAACAGAATGGCACCCTCACCTCCCAGCCCAACAACAGGTGAGTGCATCTTCTACCATCTGGGTATAAAGGAGCAGAAGTGGGGATTAGTGCAAATGACCAAGACTTTCAGTCCACGTCAGTGCCATGAAGGGATCCAACAACCCTTTAAGTTACTCATCAGGGGATATTTGTCCTCAAACATTGTGAAACCAGGAACTGTTCTTCCCTGATCCCATGTTCACTTGATTGACATCTAGTCTGTCAATAGCTTCTCCAATAATTGTGACCCCACTACTTTGAAAGAGAGGGTGTTCACCTCAGCGTAATCTGTACAAATGTGACTCACTTCACATAATTTTTGCTTTAAAAAATCTTTAGGGCTGGGTGCAGTGGCTCACACCTGTAATCCCGACACTTCAGGATGCCAAGGTGGGTAGATTGCTTAAGCCCAGGAGCTCGAGACCAGCCTGGGCAACATAGTGGGAACCCAGTCTTTACAAAAATTACCCAGGCATTGTGGTGCACACCTGTAGTCCCAGCTCCTCAGGAGGCTGAGGTAAGAGGATCTCATGAGGCCTGGAGATCAAGGCTGCAGTGAGCTGTAATGGTGCACTCCAACCTGGGCTACAGAGGGAGGCCCTGTCTCAAGAAAAAAAAAAAAAAAAGTCTTTATGTCTAAATTTGTCATATCTAATCCAATTCGCCCATTGATTTTTATTTGAAAATTATAAGGCTGGGCTCAGTGGCTTATCTGTAAAATCCCATGCTTTCAGAGGCTAAGGTAGGAGGATTGTTTGAGACCAGCCTAGACAACATAGCAAAGACCCGTCTCTATAAAAACTAAAAAAAAAAAAAAATTAGCCAGACATGATGGCACGTGCCTATATTCCTAGCTACAGGGGAGACTGAGGTGGAAGGATTGCTTTAGCCCAGGTGTTAGAGACTAGAGTTAAGCTATGATGGTGCCACTGCACTACAGCATCAGTGACAGAGTCTCCCTGTCTCTAAAAAAAAAAAAAAAAAAAAAAAGATTTAAAGCTAAATAATTAAAATCAAAAAAATAAAGTTAGAAGTTGCTTTCCTCAGGTTTTGGCTCGAAATATAAAATCATACATGAGACTGGGGGCCAGGCACGGTGGCTCACGCCTATAATCCTAGCACTTGGGGAGGCCGAGGCGGGTGGATCACCAAGTCAGGAAATCAAGACCATCCTGGCTAACATGGTGAAACCCTGTCTCTATTAAAAATACAAAAAATTAGCTGGGCGTGATGGCGGGCGCCCGTAGTCCCAGCTACTCGGGAGGCTGAGGCAGGAGAATGGTGTGAACCCGGGAGGTGGAGCTTGCAGTGAGCTGAGATCATGCCACTGCACTGCAGCCTGGGCGACAGAGCAAGACTCCGTCTCAAAAAAAAAAAAATTCATGAGATTTTGGTAGACTTCAGTGTTACATGTTCAAGGATAAAGGAATGGAGTTTCTGCTGAAGTAGATTACTATTGTTTGTATTTCAGATCACTGTGTCTGTTTTTATTACAAAAACAACATGGCCACATTACAGACAATCTATACTTTACCTACCGCAACACAAAAACAGAAAATTTCATTTTCCCCTTATTCAGTATTTTCATAGTTGTAACCATAGTATTCTTTTGGTTTGATAGCCTTTTTCTTCCATTTAACCCAGAAAAACTGCTTGATATTATGTGATAACTCAGGTTCCATAACCATCTCTCTCTCTCTCTTTTATTTATTTATTTTTTATTTTATTTATTTATTTTTTTTGAGATGGAGTTTCACCCTTGTTGCCCAGGCTGGAGTGCAAAGACGTGATCTCAGCTCACTGCAACCTCTGCCTTCCAGGTTAAAGCGATTCTCCTGCCTCAGCCTCCCAAGTAGCTGGGATCACAGGTGCCCACACCATGCCTGGCTAATTCTTTTTTTTTGAGACGGAGTCTCACTCTGTCACCCAGGCTGGAGTGCAGTGGTGCGATCTCGGCTCACTGCAAGCTCCGCCTCCCGGGTTCATGCCGTTCTCCTGCCTCAGCCTCCCGAGTAGCTGGGACTACAGGCGCCTGCCACCATGCCTGGCTAATTTTTTGTATTTTTAGTAGAGACGGGGTTTCACCGTGTTAGCCAGGATGGTCTCGACCTCCTGACTTCGTGATCCATCCGCCTCCGCCTTCCAAAGTGCTGGGATTACAGGCGTGAGCCACCACATCCGGCCTAATTTTTGTATTTTTAGTAGAGATGGGGTTTCACCATGTTGGCCAGTCTGGTCTCAAACTCCTGACCTCAGGTGATCCACCTGCCTCAGCCTCCTAGAGTGCCGAGCCACCACGCCAGGCTTTTTTTTTTTTTTTTTTTTTTTTTTTGAGACAGAGTCTCACTCTGTTGCCCAGGCTGGAGTGCAGTGGCACCATCTCAGCTCACTGAAACCTCTGTCTCCCAGGTTCAAGCAATTCTCTTGCCTCAGCCTCCTGAGTAGCTGGGATTACAGGCATGTGTCACCATGCCTGGTTAATTTTTGTATTTTTAGGAGAGATGGGGTTTCTCCATGTTGGCCAGGATAGTCTCGAACTCTTGATCTCAGATGATCCGCCCGCCTCAGCCTTCCAAAGTGCTAGGATTATGGGCGTGAGCCACCACACCTGGCCTCTCTCTTTGTTTTAATTCTGTAATGTGGAGCTTTTCTTTTTCATTTTATTTATTTATTTTTTAAGAGATGAGGTCTTGCTGTGTTGGCCAGGTTGGTCTTGAACTCCTGGCCTCAAGCAGTCCTCCCACCTCGGCCTCCCAAAGTGCTAGGATTACAGGCATGAGCCACCACACCTAACTGCAGAGCCGTTTTTTTTAATGCATCACTAAGGTACAGTAAAATATGTGCATCTTAAGTGGAGAGCCAGTGACTGTGAACCTGTGTACACTAGTGTGGCCACCACCCAGATCAAGATGTAGGGTGTGGCAGGGAGGAAATTAGATAACTACTTCAAACTCAGAGTGGGGCTGGGGAGAAACCAGTGTAGGTAACAAAGCTGGTGGTGATGGCAGAAAGAACAGGCAGGCGAAGCCATCAAGAGTTATGGAGAGGTTCAGGCATGGTGGCTCATGCCTGTAATCCCAGCAATTTGGGAGACTGAGGCAGGAGGATCACTTGATCCCAGCCTGAGCAACATGACAAAACCCCGTCTCTACAGAAAAACACAAAAATGAAGTTGGGCATGGTGGTTCAGGCCTGTAATCCCAGCACTTTGGGAGGCCGAGGCGGGTGCATCGTTTGAGGTCAGGAGTGTGAGACCAGGCCAGCCAACATGGTGAAACCCAGTGTCTCCTAAAAATACAAAAATCAGCCAGGCATGGTGGTGCCTGCCTGTAGCCCCAGCTACTTGGGAGGCTGAGGAGGAGAATCCCTTAAGCCTGGGAGGCAGAGGTTGTAGTGAGCGGAGATTGCACCACTGCACCTCAGCCTGGGTAACAGTGAGACTCTGTCTCAAAAAAAAAAAAAAAAAAAAAAAAAAAAAGGCCGGGCATGGTGAGTCACGCCTGTAATCCCAGCACTTTGGGAGGCCAAGGCCAACGGAGCACGAGGTCAGGAGATTGAGACCATCCTGGCTAACACGGTGAAACCCCGTCTCTACTAAAAATACAAAATATTATCCGGGTGTGGTGGCGGGCGCCTGTGGTCCCAGCTACTCGGGAGGGTGAGAAATGTGTATGGCGTGAACCCAGGAGGCGGAGCTTACAGTGAGCTGAGATCACGCCACTGCAACAGTGAGCTGAGATCACGCCACTGCACTCCAGCCTGGGCGACAGAGCAAGACTCTGACACACACAGACACACACAGACACACACACACACACACACACGAAAATTAGCCACACACACACACACACACACACACACACACACACACACACACACACGAAAATTAGCCGGACATGGTGGTACGTGCTTGTGGTCCCAGCTACTGAGGTGGCTGAGGTGGACCCGACCTTTTGGCTTAGGTGGGAGGATCACCTGAACCCAGGGAGGTTGAGCCTACAATGAGCTATGATTGTACCAGTCTACTCCAGCCTGGGTGACAGAGTGAGACCCTATCTCAAAAAAAAAAAAAAAAAAAGTACTGCAGGAGGGACCTGCAGAGTTGGCCCTGGGAACCTGCCGGCCTCAGTGAGTGCCCTGGGGAGGCACTAGCTAAGGTTATGAGGGTTGGTTGGTTTTTTTGGCTCAGCCATAATCACCATTCTGGGTTCTCCAGCTCAACCCTAATTTTAAACATCCGCCATTTCCCTCCAGTTCTAGTCGTTGCTTGTTTTTTGTTGTTTTTTTTTCAATATACATATCAGAAAGATGTTTTATATCCTAATCTTTGGCCACATTTAATTGCCATAGGAGAAGGTAGGATGTTCATTTGTTTTGGTCTAAGACATCCTCCATGTACAAACTCAGGAGCAGAGTGAGCCCTTGGAGGAGTGGGAAGCTGGCAAGTTTGTGACTAGCACCCTTTCACACCCTTCCACATCCTACATACCTCTTCACAAAGGCTGCTTCTGGGGCTCTTGGAGGCCCCTGCATCCCTGAACATAGCTATGAAAGCCATGGAAGTCCTGTGGCTCCAGGGGCAGTTTTCTTTTTTTGGAGCATCATGAAAACTCAGGGGCTTCCCAGCAAAGGCTTCCATCAGTGAGGCAGCCATAGTTATTTCAGTGAGGTGGGCTTTGTCTCTTGGGAAGTCCTGTTTGTCCTTGCTGACAGCTTTCCAAGCTGCTTGTTCTCATTTCCACTTAAAGCTGATGCGTTCCCGTCAAGGTCCCCAAAGTCATGTACCCTGCCTGGCCTGCCCCTAGATTAGCCCCAATCAGTTGTAGCATTCTTGCCATCTCTTAGTAAATTCAAGAAAGCAAAACTTTCACCCACACTCTGCAGTTCTGTGGGAGCAGAAGCTGCAGGAATGCAGTCTGTCTGTTGGAAGATATGGGGGAGGCAGACAGTCCACAGGGATGCAGTGGGGACCCAGAGGAGAGGGAGGTTGGCCCTGGGAACAGAGGAAGGCTGCACAAAGGACCTGACTTTTTGCAGAAGGTGAAGGTTTTGAGGGAACCCACCAATTGAAGGAGGGGTTGGTGCAGGCACATGGCAGTAAAAGCACAGGGGAAGCCGGGATGAAGGAAGTTGTTGGCCATTTCAAGGGCCCAGCAGGGCCAGACACAGTGGCTCATGCCTGTTATCCCAACATTTTATAAGGCCAAGGCAGGACAATCACTTGGGGCCAGGAGTTGAAGATCAGCCTGGGCAACATAGCAAGATTCTGTCTCTACAAACATAAAAAATTTTTAAAGCTGGGCATGGTGATACAGGCCTGTAGTCATATTTACATGGACGACCAAAAAAAAAAATGGGGGGGCGGCTGGGTGCAGTGGCTCACGCCTGTAATCCCAGCACTTTTGGGAGGCTAAGGTGGGCGGATCACGAGGTCAGGAGATCGAGACCATCCTAGCTAACACGGTGAAACCCCGTCTCTACTAAAAATACAAAAAATTAGCCAGGGGTGATGGTGGGCACCTGTAGTCCCAGCTGCTTGGGAGGCTGAGGCAGGAGAATGGCATGAACCCGGGAGGTGGAGGTTGCAGTGAGCCAAGATCAAGCCACTGCAGTCCAGCCTGGGCGACAGAGACTCCATCTCAAAAAAAAAAAATGCAATAAATTGTGAGTAAAATTTTTGTGATCCTGTCAAAACCTTTAATCCATAAATGCAGGAATACTGTCACTTAAAAACTTTGCCTTTTTTTTTTTTTTTTTTTTAAGACAATGTCTCGCTCTGTCGCCCAGGCTGGAGTGCAGTGGTGCAGTCTCTGCTCACTGTATCCTCCACCTCCCAGGATCCAGCAACCCTCCCACCTCTGCCTCCCAAGTAGCTGGGACTACATGCATGGGCCACCATGCACTGCTAATTTTCGTATTTTTTGTAGAAACAAGGTCTCACTTTGTCTCCCAGGCTGATCTCAACCACCTGGGCTCAACTGATCTTCCCGCCTCAGCCTCCCAAAGTGCTAGGATTGCAGGCATGAGCCACTGTGCCTGGCCCACTTAAAAGCTTTTTTTTTTTTTTTTTGAGATGGAATCTCGCTCTGTCACCCAGGCTGGAGTGCAGTGGCGTGATCTCGGCTCACTGCAAGCTCCGTCTCCCACGTTCACGCCATTCTCCTGCCTCAGCTTCCCAAGCAGCTGGGACTACAGGCACCCGCCACCACGCCCGGCTAAATTTTTTTTGTATTTTTAGTAGAGATGGGGTTTCACCATGTTAGCCAGGATGGTCTCGATCTCCTGACCTAGTGATCTGCCCGCCTCGGCCTCAAAAGCTTTTAAAATAAGTTTCTCCTATCAAACTTCTGTTCAGTCATGCATTTCCTGTGTACATCATTATCACACAAACCCTTCGGCCTTCTCTGAAGTTTTGTCTCTTGGGAAGCCCTGTTTGTCCTTGCTGACAGCTTTCCAAGCTGCTTGTTCTCATTTCCACTTACAGCTCATGCGTTCCTGTCACATATGCACCCTTAATTTGAAATTCTCTAACTTATTTAAGACTTGGTTTCTGACCAGGAACCACCCTCTCTTAAACCTCTACTGTCTTATCACTTTTCTCAGTCTCCCTAGAAATTGGCTTTCTTGGCTGAGCGTGGTGGCTCACGCCTATAATCCCAGCACTTTGGAGGTTGAGGTGGGCGGATCACAAAGTCAGGTGTTCAAGACCAGCCTAGCCAACATGATGAAACCCTGTCTCTACTAAAAATACAAAAATCAGGCCTGGCACGGTGGCTCACGCCTGTAATCCCAGCACTTTGGGAGGCCAAGGAGGGTGGATCACCTGAGGTCAGGAGTTCGAGACCAGCCTCACCAACATGGAGAAACCCTGTCTCTACTAAAAATACAAAATGAGCCAAGCAAGGTGGCACACACCTGTAATCTCAGCTACTTGGGAGGCTGAGGCAGGAGAATCGCTTGAACCAGGGAGGCAGAGGTTGCAGTAAGCCAAGATCGCACCATTGTACCCCAGCCTGGGCAACAAGAGCAGAACTCCCTCTAAAAAAAAAAATTAGCCGGGCGTAGTGGCGCTCACCTATAATCCCAGCTACTCAGGAGGCTGAAGCAGGAGAATCTCTTGAACCAGGGAGGTGGAGGTTGCAGTGAGCCGAGGTCATGCCCCTGCACTCCAGCCTGGGAGACAGAGCTAGACTCCGTCTCAAAAAAAGAAAAAGAAAAAAATTGGCTTTCTTTGTGGGGGAGCCATTTTTCACAAAGAAACCATTGTTTTCCTCATTTATGTATTACCAGTATATATGTGATGGCACATAGAAAGAATAAAGCCAGCGTTGAGATGTGCAGGCTGAAAGGTGGCCAGGCAGACTCAGAAGCCAAGTGTCTCTTCCTACTCCCAGCATGGCAATGCACTGCCCACAGTGGTGCTTAGAGGAGCCAGTTCTGTGTTCTAGACTTTCAGTCACAGCTTCCGTGGGGTGAAATCCTGGAGTGTTAAATCCTTCCATTCACCAGGCTCTGCTGCATTCTACCCATAGCTGGAGCCCTGGGCCTGCAAAACCCTTAGCTTGCGGGAGTCTGGACTTGCTCTTGCAAGTTGGGAGTCATTAAAGACTTTAACTGAAGAGGTGCTTGCCAGTATTGCTTTAGAAAGATGCGCAGCACCCATGGGGAGTAAGGATTGGAAGGGAGGGAATTGAATTGAGAGGCATTGCCATAATCCTTGTTAAAGGTAAAGAAAAGCAAGGCAGGCCGGGCACGGTGGCTCAAGCCTGTAATCCCAGCACTTTGGGAGGCCGAGGCGGGCAGATCATGAGGTCAGGAGATCGAGACCATCCTGGCTAACACAGTGAAACCCTGTCTCTAAAATACAAAATACAAAATAAAATACAAAAACCCTGTACTAAAAATACAAAAAATTAGCCGGGCGTGGTGGCGGGCGCCTGTAGTCCCAGCTACTTGGGAGGCTGAGGCAGGAGAATGGCGTGAACCCAGGAGGCGGAGCTTGCAGTGCGTGGAGATCACGCCACTGCACTCCAGCCTGGGTGACAGAGCGAGACTATGTCTCAAAAAAAAAAGGCAAGGCAGAAGGAGAGGCTGGGTTTCTGGGCTACTTAGGGGGTGGGAGATCAAGAGGGCGTTTGTTTTGCCTGGATTACTGGGAGTAGCGCTGTGCAGGGGGAGGGCAAAAATTGCGAGTAACCCTGATTCCCAGATTGGCTGGCGAAGTGGTCAGGCTGCTGTTGAGATAGAGGAGAGCAGGCTGTTGGGGAGGCACAGCTCCCAGCTGGAGGCACCTGCCATACCTTAGGGGGCTCAGCAGGATGTCGGGGATCAGCAGGGCATCAGGCATAGTCTAAATGACTTTGAGTTGCAAGAGCTATCCCTGTCTACAGCCAGAGTCAGCAAACTAGGCCACGGAGCAAAATCAAAGATATTTTATAGGGACTTACGTGATGAGAAAAAAACATACTTTCACAACTTTTTAGTGACAAAATTTAAAATATAAAAACAGTGGCCGGGTGCAGTGGCTCACGCCTGTAATCCCAGCACTTTGGGAGGCCAAGGTGGGCGGATCACGAGGTCAGGAGATCGAGACCATTCCGGCTAACACGGTGAAACCCCGTCTCCACTAAAAATACAAAAAATTAGCCGGGCGTGGTAGTGGGCGCCTGTAGTCCCAGCTACTCAGGAGGCTGAGACAGGAGAATGGTGTAAACCTGGTCAGCAGAGGTTGCAGTGAGCCGAGATCGTGCCACTGCACTCCAGCCTGGGCAACAGAGTGAGACTCCATCTCAAAAAAAAAAAAAAAAAGTAATAGGCTGGACACAGTGGCTCATGCCTGCATGGCTGTAATCCTGGCACTTTTGGAGGCTGAGGCAGGGGGATCACTTGAGTAGGCACCTGTAATCCCAGCTACTCAGGAGGCTGAGGCAGAAGAATAGCTTGAACCCGGGAGATGGAGGTTGCAGTAAATCGAGATCACGCCACTGCACTCCAGCCTGGGCAACAGAGCAAGACTCTGTCTCAAAAAGAAAAAACAATTTAAGAATTGGCCAAGCATGGTGGCTTATGCCTGTAATCCCAGAACTTTGGGAGGCTAAGGCGGGCGGATCACCTGAGGTCAGGAGTTCGTGACCAGCCTGCCCAACATGGTGAAACTCTGTCTCTACTAAAAATACAAAAAATAGCCAGGTGTGGTGGGGGCCTGTAATCCCAGCTACTCAGGAGCCTGAGGCAGGAGAATCACTTGAACCCGGGAGGCAGAGGCTGCAGTGAGCCAAGATTGCGCCACTGCACTCCAGCCTAGGTGACAGAGCGAGACTCTGTCTGAAAAAATTTAAAAAAAAAAAAAAAAAAAAAAAAGCCAGGCAGGGTGGTGAGTGCCTGTGGTCTCAGTTACCCAGGAGGCTGAGGTGGGAGGATCACGAGCCTAGGAGTTAGAGACTTCAGTGTTTGCACCACTATACTCCAAACTTGGTGACAGAGAGAGACCCTATCTCAAACAACAACAACAAAAACAGTAATAGTTGAGTACAGTATTCTGGTAATATAAGTGCACTAATGAGAGGAATGAAACTCTTGAGGTTCTAAGTTTGTCATCTGAGGTGCACATGGTCATCTCTAAGGCCATTCTTTGCTCATGGTCATATAAAAACAGGTGAAATTTTGTTTTGTGTATTTTACCATAATAAAAATAACTTGGGGCCAGGCGCAGTGGCTCATGTCTGTAATCCCAACACTTTGGGAGGCCGAGGTGGGTGGATCACTTGAGATCAGGAGTTAGAGACCAGCCTGGCCAACATGGTGAAACCCCATCTCTACTGAAAATACAGAAATTAGCTGGGGATGGTGGCACCTGCCTATAACTGTAATATCCCAGCTACTCGGGAGACTAAGGCGGGAGAATCACTTGAACCCGAGAGGCAGAGGTTGCAGTGAGCCAAGATCACGCCACTGCACTCCAGCCTGGGTGACAAAGCAAGACTCCATCTCAAAAAAAAAAAAAAAGAACGGGGAAACAGTACAAAAACAGGAGGTGAGCCAGATGTGATCAGCAGGTCATTGTTTGCTGACTGTAGTCTAAAGTACCGGTTTGGTTGTTCCATGTGCTTTTCATCTGCCTGGTCCTAGGAATCCAGGTTTCCCTGAGAGAGGGCCACCTAACTCGATGCTACACTGCTTTTTTTTTCTTTTTTTTCAGTAAAGACAAGGTCTCATTATGTTTCCCAGATCTCACACTCGTGGGCTCAGGCAATTCTCCCACCTCAGTTTCCCAAAATGCTGGGATTACAGGCATGAGTCACCACACCTGGCTTAGCTGCCACACTTCTGAGGCAGGGGTCTTCATAAGCTTACTGCTTGGCCCACTGTGCTCCTGGGAGAAGCTGTTGAAATCCCTACTTTGGTCAGAAGGAGTTTGGCACAGAGGAGGCATTTGATTTTTAGCACACAGGCATTATGTGAAAAGACTGATAACATTGTCATAGGGGTTTTTCCTTTTTAAACGTTTTCTTTTTTGTGAACTTTTATCCAAAGATTGAAAGAAGCTATAAGTACAAGTAAAGAACAGGAAGCAAAGTACCAGGCCAGCCACCCAAACCTTAGAAAGCTGGATGATACAGGTAAGTGGATACCTGTGTGCACAGCCACATTTGAATTCTGGGGGGAGACCTCTAGGTTTGGCGTTGGTCCTTGGGGGGCAGTGGCAACCTCTCTGGGGAGGTGGGCAGGGGCCCCAGCTGCTGGCATCACCCATGCTAGCCAAAGGGCCTTAGGGACCCCGCATGCTCTTGCGGAGCTGGGGGTGTGCATTATGGTGGGGCTCCTCCTTCTCTCCCTCCCTCCCTCCATGGAGAGGAGAACAAGGAAGTGAGGGCCTGCATTCCATTGAAAATGAGCCTGCCCGGCCAGCCTGGTGCAGTAACACACGCCTGTAATCCCAGCACTTTGGGAGGCCAAGCTGGGTGAATCACCTGAGGTCAGGAGTTTGTGACCAGCCTTACTAATAACGTGGTGAAACCCTGTCTCTACTAAATACAAAAAAATTAGCCAAATGTGGTGGCACATGCCTCTAATCCAAGCTACTTGGGAGGCTTGGACAGGAGAATCACTTGTATCTGGGAGGCGGAGGTTGCAGTGAGCTGAGATCACGCCACTGCACTATAGCCTGGGCAACAAGAGTGAAACTCTGTCTCAAAAAAGAAAATGAGCGTGCCCATCATTGGTTCCTGCCTGTGTCATTCTCAATTGTTCCAGCAGTAAAAAGCCAACTGCAGAAAAACCCCTTGGTAAATAGAATACTGGCCCCTCAAAGCTGTCCACGTCCTAATCCCCAGACCCCGTGAGTGTGTTAGGTTATATGGCAAAGGTGGAATTACAGTTGCAGATGGAGTTACAATTGCTAATCAGCAAGATGGGGAGATTATCCTGGGTTGTCCAGTTGGGTCCAGTGTCATCACAAAGGTCCCTTTTAAGTGGAAAGAGAAGCAGGAGAGAGAGCAGCAGAGTCAGAGATCTGAAGATGCTGCTGGCCTTGAAGATAGAGAAAGGGGCCCACCTGCCAAGGTACACGGGTGAACTGTAGAAACTGCAAAAGGCGAGGAATTAGATTCTTCCCAAGAGCTCCAGAAGGAGTGCAACCCTGAGGACACCCCGACTCAGCCCAGTGAGACCCATGTTGGACTTCTGACCTCCAGAACCGTAAGACAAGTTTGTGGTCATTTGTCACAGCATCAGTGAGGGACTAATACAGCCTCCAGCCCAAGCAGAAGGAGCAGCAGCCACATGGACAAGGTGTGCAAGACAGTGTTGATCGAATCATTCCACTTCTATCAAGTGATAGGCCCAGAAACATCCCTTATCTGGAAAGGAATTTAGGGCTCCTGGGGCCTCCTCCATAGGCCCCCACAATAGCCAGGTACATTGAAATTGGTGCTAGAAACCAAAGGCTTACTGTGCTGCCTTCAAGAAAACGATACACCATGGAAGCTCTGGAACCCACCATGGTTGTGGTTGATGCAGCTGAGGAGAGCCCAGATGGAGGAAGAGCGGGGAGCAGGAGAGACTAACATCATCAGCACAGTTCATTCTGGAAAGGCAAGTGGAGGAAGTGAGTGTAAATTGAAAGGCAAGGGCTGGGAAAACCGGCCTCATCACACCCTGGAGAAGGGGCACAGGACACTGCACCCAAGACACAATTTTAAGGAATTAAAGAGAGTTTTTATTTGTGCAGTATATATTAACTTAAAAGACTGAAGAAAAAATCGACACAGTTTGCAGAATGGTTTCAGTTGGTTGGTGCTGGAGGAAATGTGCTAAGTCTAGAAAGTGAAGTTTCCCTGAAAGAGATAAACCGGGATGACAGGGCTTTTCCGTGTGCGTTTAGAAACTGAAGTTCATTCAAGCCAAGAAAGATAATTTTAAAAAAGAAGAAACTAAAAGTTCAAGGAAGATTTCTTGTGGCAAATGTGCATTATTTAACATTTCTTTTTTTTTTTTTTGCGTATTTGTTTCAAGTGCAAAGATAGTGTAGAAATAAATTTCAGAAAGAAACGAAATTACCCATAATTCCATTTATGTAACGTAACAATTTGTATTTTTATACTTTGTCCACAGACTGTGTAGTTTTGCATTATTGCAGTTCCACTTCTGTATTGTCACTTGTGTGACTCTGTCTTTCCTGAGCTTGTGCACCAGGAGTTAGGTGACCCTTAATTTGAGGGTGTTTGATCTCCCAAGTACTGAGGGAAAGTGAGAACCCTCTCCTACCCCGTGGAAGCGTCTCTTCTTCTGGCCCATGAGCCTGCGCTGTGCTCCTCCCTCATCCCTCTGGATAGCCTCAGAACCAACCCCTTCGTTCCTTCCACCCATTTTCCAGATGAAATTGTTTTGGGTGTGTGAAGCAGCATTTGAAGGAATGTCAATTAACCGCTCTCCTGGTGTTTCCTTCTAAACTTAGACCCTGTCCCCAGAGGGGCTGGTTCTGCCATGAGTACTGATGCTTACCCAAAGAACCCACACCTTCGAGCCTATCACCAGAAGATCGACAGCAACCTAGGTAAGACTGAGCACCACACCAGCTTCTGTAAGCCACTGTCCTTCAGGCAGCTTACGCCAAGCATAGCCCCTGCATGAGCATCCTCCAGCTTCAGTTCCCTCACCACACATCACATCCCACGCCAAGCTGGGTCCATCTTGCCACCTCACTGTCTCTGGAATCTCTCCACTTCTCACCATTTCCTACTTCTAGCCCAGCCGAGCCCTCCCCACCTCTCACTTTCATGAACAGCACCAGGGACCCAGGAGTCCCTGAGAGGCCATAAAGTATAGCCTGGACGTGACCGCTCACTTCATCCTTCCCACCTGGCCACTCAGAGCCCTGTTTTCCTCCTTGTGAAATGGGCTACCTCTGAGAACAGTGGAAAGGTTACCTGAGCCAGAAAGTGCCTGGGATGGTAAGAGTTAGTGCTCGTGTTGCAATTGGCACTTTGGCCACACAGCCTCCAGCATGATGTTTCAAAACGGAAGGGTGTGCAGGGGGCCGGGCGCAGTGGCTCACGCCTGCAATCCCAGCACTTTGGGAGGCCAAGGCGGGTGGATCACCCGAGGTCAGGAGTTCAAGACCAGCCTGACCAACATGGTGAAACCCTGTCTCTACTAAAAATACAAAAATTAGCCGGGCGTGGTGGCAGGCGCCTGTAATCCCAGCTATCGGGTGGCTGAGGCAGGAGAATCACTTGAACCCGGGAGGCAGAGGTTGCAGTGAGCCAAGATCGCACCATTGCACTCCAACCTGGGCAACAAGAGCGAAACTCCACCTAAAAAAAAAAAAAAAGAAGAAGTGAAGGGTATATTCTTCCAGAACTCTCTCATGGAACCCCACACACTCACAGTGCAGTCCAGGCTCTCTTTGGCTGCCCTAGTCCCTTCTGCCCTCATCACCTGCAGGCTCGTGTGGGATTTCTGATGTGAGTTCTTTCTGCCTCGTGGCCCCTATCTGCCTGGATGGGCTCCCCCGACTCTCTGTAGGCTGGCTCCTTCTCTTTCTGTCAGTCTTGCATTAGTATGGCCTCCTCTCCCTGTCTCTCAGGACCCTTGTGTTTCCAGGGGGCTGCCCTGGCCGTTTGTGATTGTGTATCTGCTGGTTTGCCTGCTGTCTTCCCAATCAGACTGTAGATTCCAGGACAGCATGGGAGTGTTTCCATTTTGTCACTACTTTGTATCTGGGGCCCAGCAGGCAAGCACTTAGTGATTATGTTTTGTTTTGTTTTGTTTTGTTTTGAGACAGAGTTTTGCTTTTGTTGCCCAGGCTGCAGTGCAATGGTGCAATCTCAGCTCACTGCAACCGCTGCCTCCTGGGTTCAAGCGATTCTCCTGCCTCGGCCTCCCGAGTAGCTGGAATTACAGACATGCACCACCATGCTCAGCTAATTTTGTATTTTTAGTAGAGATGAGGTTTCTCCTTGTTGGTCAGGCTGGTCTCGAACTCCCGACCTCAGGTGACCCGCCTGTCTCGGCCTCCCAAAGTGCTGGGATTATAGGTGTGAGCCACTGCGCCCTAGCCAGTGATTATTTTTTGAATGGAAAAGTCAGTTACTTGAAATTCAAGTAGGTGTTGGCCTGTGGGCAGTTCTGTGAGTTTATTCTAAGTAGTGTCTCAGACTTGCTGCCTCCTCCTACCGCTACTCCCTGAGCAGAAATCTCCCCCGTGGTGACCTGGGTCACCCTGTCAGTCTCCCACCCCCTGTTAGGAGTTGGCAAAGTGTAGGGGACAAATAATAAAATCCTCCCCTGCTGTAAAGGTATCTAGTGGAAGGCAAAACTGAAACCCATGAAGATGCACATGGAGTGTCTGTGCACGGGTTTTCTCCTGCTTGCTGTCTGGGAAGCCCCAGACAGCTGCCACCTCCTTCTATGCCCTGGACTCTGTCCTCCAGAGCCAAAGACTTATCTGAGGCAGAAGGTGTGTCTGCCCAGATCTAACCACTCCAGAGAAGCCCAGAGAGGCGTGAAAGCCCTTTGTCCTTCACTGCGAGAAAGGGAGAGGTTAGGGCTAGTGGTATGGTTGGTGCCTGCTGGCAGAAGTGGGAGAAGGGACTTTGAGGAAGGATACTGCATTCAGAGGCAGGAAGAAGTGCTGAGTACTGCCCGCCACTAGGAGGTGCTGAGGGTGCACAGTTGGCACTGTGGACGAGCAGCTGGGCAGTTACCGGCAGGACGCAGTCTAGAGTAGGAGGTGGGCCTGGGCAGAAGGGCGAGTGGCTAGTTCAGAGCTCAGCCCTCTGGCCCTGCTGACACAGGCCAGGCCGGTCCACTCTGGTGGGGCAGGGAGTGTTGCCTTTGTTCACACTCTTCCCGTCTTAACACTATCTCCCTGCTATTTCAGGATCTCAGGCAAGCTCTCTGGACTCCAGCGCCCTGGCCTGGTGGTTTTACATTATCACACATTTTATCTCAGCCTCTCTGTTTGCTTATCCTTTGCTGCCCTGGCTGCCAGTGAGCTTCCTCCTGAGGCCTGAGGCAACCACAGGCTCTGCTCTCCATGGAGCACGAGGCCATGAATTTTAGTAAGCTTAAGAAGCAAAGAGCTGAAGACTTATCTTTTTTTTTTTTTTAATTTTAATTATACTGTTTTTCTCTTTCTTTTCTTTTCTTTTTTAGAAATGGAGTCTCGCTTTGTTGCCCAGGCTAGTCTCCAACTTCTGGGCTCAAGTGATCCTCCCACCTCAGCCTCCCAGAGTGCTGGGATTACAAGCATGAGCCACTGTGCCTGACTTGAAGACAATCTTTTTATTTTTATATTTTTTAATTTCTTTCTGAGAGTTTTACTCTGTCGCCCAGGCTAGAGTGCAGTGGCACAATCTCAGCTCACTGCAGCCTCTGCCTGCTGGGTTCAAGTGATTCTCATGCCTCAGCCTCCCGAGTAGCTGGGATTACAAGGTGTGCACCACCATGCCCAGCTAATTTTTGTATTTTTAGTAGAGACGGGGTTTCACCATGTTAGCCAGGATGGTCTCGATCTCCTGACCTCAAGTGATCCACCCACCTCGGCCTCCCAAAGTGCTGGGATTACAGGCATGAGCCACCACACTCAGCCTATCTTTTTATTTCATTTTTTGAGACGGAGTCTTGCTCTGTCGCCCAGGTTGGAGTGCAGTGCATTGATCTCAGCTTACTGCAACCTCCTCCTCTCAGGTTCAAGTGATTCTCTTGCCTCAGCCTCCCGAGTAGCAGGGAATACAGGCATGCACCACCACATCTGGCTAATTTTTATATTTTTTAGTAGAGATGGGGTTTCACCATGTTGGCCAAGCTGGCCTCAAAATCCCGACCTCATACGATCCACCCACCTCAGCCTCTCAAAGTGCTGGGATTACAGGCATGAGCCATTGTACCCGGCCAAAACTACCTTTTTAAAAAAACTGATTTTGGCCGGGCGCGGTGGCTCACGCCTGTAATCCTAGCACTTTGGGAGGCCAAGACGGGCGGATCACAAGGTAAGGAGTTCGAGACCAGCCTGGCCAATATGGTGAAACCCTATCTCTACTAAAAATACAAAAAAAATTAGTCGGGTGTGGTGGCGTGTGCCTGTAGTCCCAGCTACTCAGGAGGCTGAGGCAGAAGAATTGCTTGAACCCAGGAGACGGAGGTTGCAGTGAGCCGAGATCATGGCACTGCACTCCAGCCTGGACAAAAGAGCAAAATGCTGTCTCAAAAAAAAAAAAAACAAAAAACTGATTTTGCTTAGATTTGTGGTACCAGTGCTAAGCCTTTGTGTATCCTGATCCTTTTTCTCTTAGTGTTTTATATTTAATCTTGCAAGTAAGAAGGCTTACAAAGCACCACCTCTTCTCTCTCCTCTCTGGCTCTTTCCTGGCTGCTGTTCCTAGTAAAAAGGCAGAAAGCAGCCCTGGGCATATCTCCCTACCCCCAGCGTGCACAAACACACACACACATACACACACACACACACAGTCACAAACCTGGGAAAAGGCTTTACTCTTCACCCTGACAGAATCAATTAAGTCAAGACTCATCTCTGCAGTGGGTGCAGTCCCCCCAGGCAACACAGATCCCTGTCTCTCCCACTTACCCACACCATCAAGAAGCATTTGCAGGTGCCGTGACTGTTTGCTCATGCCTGCGTGTCATTTCCTCCTCCTGCAGATGAGCTGTCCATGGGACTGGGTCGTCTGAAGGACATAGCCCTGGGGATGCAGACAGAAATTGAGGAGCAAGATGACATTCTTGACCGGCTGACAACCAAAGTGGACAAGTTAGATGTCAACATAAAAAGCACAGAAAGAAAAGTTCGACAACTCTGAAGACAGACGGATTTCCACTCTATTGTGATGAAAAGATTTGAAAGATCTTTTTTTGAACTTCCAAGAAATTTCATTTACTATTTTAGTATGTAAATTAATGTGTGTTTGCAAATGTTATAATAGAGTAGGTCTTAAGACATTTTTGCTGTTATAAGGAAGTGTTTGTCCCACATTTTCCTAGGGTTAACACCTCACCAAGTTCTTCCAGCAAAATGCTTATTAGAGTTTTTGTCTGAGCACAGTAGCCTGGCCCTGCATATCTTGGGCGTTTGATTACCATGCTGGAATAAGAAGAGTTGCATTTCTCATTTTAATGAGCATATGGAAAGATGGGAACAGAATTTCAGTCTTGCAGCCATGAGCCTCTATTTCTCATTCCTAAGCCTTACCATGAGTCAGAGTGTTAAGGGGGCCTGTGAACCAGTCGTTTGGTGGAGGAGGGTCCTTCCCACACCTTTGTTTAGGAGTCATCATTCACACACACACACACACACACACACACACACACACACACACACACTCTCTGAGCACATTATCTGTGATTCTTTCATCCTCCCAGAAAGGATCAGTGTTAGAATGGGAAATAGAGTGTGCCATCTTGCTCTTTTGTTGGCAGATGTCCCCGCTTCCCTCCAGCCCCCCATCCTTGGCATGTATATTAGTAGGAGGGCTTCACACCAGCACTGCTCACTGCGACTCCTGGAAATGTGTGGGGAATTGGGTGAGCCCCTCTTCCCCACGTGCTCCCATCTGTAACTCTCCATCTGTGATTTGCAACAGGTCTTCCACTGGCTCGAGGCTGCGAGGCTGACCGACAGGGGCGCCCAATAGAGTTTGTGGGAATGGAGTATTGCACAGATGCAGCTGCACAATGGTCTTCCTCCACCCCTCTGGGAATCACCATTAGGCAGGCCTCAGTAGGGCAAAATGTTTATTTGGTACCGGGGGTCTCCTGACCTGTCTAGCATTCCCACCCACTCTTCTGCACTTCTTGCAAGGTAACTTGAATCATCACTTATTTCTCTGCCACCTGGTTTTAGGACTGGCACTCTATAAATGACGCTGACTTTGTATAGAAGGATTTTGCTAAGGGGGCAAAAAGCCCAGATACCATTTTAACTGGCCCAGTTCATTTTCTCCTTTCATTTTACAAAAGAAATCATGCAGAAGCATCAATTAAAACTGATTTATTTATGTTGGTACATCCAACAAAATAGTTGGAGCCACAAGGCCCTTGTCTTTTTAAAAAAACAAAATATTTTGAAGATGGTGAAAGTGACTGATTTTAATAATGAGATAGGTCACTTAAAATAACAGTGCCTTTGACCTTAAAACATGGCACTGGCCCATGTGACCTTTGCCATTTCCCAGTACTTCCCTTTACAGTCTGCAGCCTATAAACAGTGGTGTCTCAAAGCAAAGGAAACCTCCACAAGTGCTGCAACAGTGCATTAGTTTTTATGTAGCAATTTGTTTATAAAAATTCCCATCCCATAATGCATGACCTTCCTAAAAATATCCACAGCCTCCATAGGCAAGGTGAGCTTTCTGTGCTACCCACTTGTTAGATTCCAGCCACCTCAGGGATTCTGATCCATGTCATTAACGACCATCCCAGGGTGTGAGGGCCTGATTAAAGCTTATCGAACTAGACATTTGTTTATTAGATGAGCTCGGCATTATTATTTTCTCAATAACTGGTAGAAGGGAAATTTTAAACATAACACTCAACCCAAACAAAACTACTTCGTGAGGCTTTCAGCAAAAAGGCTGCTTAAAAGCATGAACCCGGGATGCAGAGCAGCTTTTGTGCACGGTTCCACTTACTGTAATTGTTTCTGGTTCTTTCCTCTAACACCTTCCATGTATGTCAACTTTTTATCACCGTCAGGCATAGACTCGTGGAGATTAGTCATTATAGCTCAGACCTAAGCTAATTATTTAAAATAAATACATGTAAAGGCCACTGCCACATTCTCAGCAGACTTCCACTTGCCTAATGAGATTAGTGATTCAACTGACTTGAAGCACAGTAACATCTTATTTTATGCACATTCCCTGTCTTTTGCTGGACTGATGAAGCCAGTCACCCGCCCTTCTCTGTTTTTTGGTTTTTTTTTTCTTAACCCCAGGTATATGGAAGGGGAGTTGCCTTCACTTTTCTGGAAATTTGTCTTCGTCTGACATATTAGAGGGCCTCGTTTTGTCCTGTTCTTGTTCAGACCCTCTCGTTCTACGTCCTGTGCTGAGGGGACTGTCCGTAAGCTACAGGACAGCGAGCTGGTCCTTTCTGCCACTTCTTCCCCACTCCCATGCCCAGGAAGGCCTGGTTGCTGATGCTACTTTATAAATGAGTTGCTTGCATTTTCACAGAGAATGAAGGAAGACGTAACATGGCTCCAGAAACTTTTCACATGATGATTGGGATCGACAAAAAAATGCTACCCTCTAGACTAGACACATTTCATGGAGACAAGCAAAATGGTGCCAGGGCTGGGCTGACTGTGGGATGGGATTTGGTACTGCAGACAGATTTTGATTTCCACAGTTGAGCTGGAAACAAACTGTGCCTTCAAAAAATGACTTTTCTAACTTAAGGTTGGTTATATGTTAAGTGTGCTACTAACTTAAAAAATAGTGGCTGGGCGCGGTGGCTCATGCCTGTAATCCCAGTGCTTTGGGAGGCCAAGGCGGGGGGATCACGAGGTCAGGAGATCGAGACCATCCTGGCTAACACGGTGAAACCCCATCTCTACTAAAAACACACAAAAAATTAGCTGGGCGTGGTGGTGGGCGCCTGTAGTCCCAGCTACTCAGGAGGCTGAGGCAGGAGAATGGCATGAACCTGGGAGGCAGAGCTTGCAGTGAGCCGAGACAGCGCCATTGCACTCCAGCCTGGGCAACAGAGCAAGACTCCGTCTCAAAAAAAAAAAAAAAAAAAAAATAGTGCACTCTCTGGCTGGTCACGGTGGCTCACGCCTGTAATCTCAGCACTTTGGAAGGCCAAGGCAGGCGGATCACGAGGTCAGAAGATCGAGACCATCCTGGCTAACACAGTGAAACCCCGTCTCTACTAAAAATATAAAAAATTAGTCGGGCATGGTGGCGGGCGCCTGTAGTCCCAACTACTCGGGAGACTGAGGCAGAAGAATGGCGTGAACTCAGGAGGCGGAGCTTGCAGTGAGCCAAGGCGACAGAGCAAGACTCTGTCTCAAAAAATAAAAAATAGTGCACTGTCCTTCGAGAAAGTTTTCTAACATCTAGTAATTTGTAACTTAGAAGTGGAGTTGCCTTGTGGATGTCTTTTTTGCATTCTGTAGGAAATGAAACGTGAATTTAACTCGGGTTGCAAGAAATAAAAATGTCAGTGCATTTAAATTTCTCTTTAACCTCTTTTTGTGAATATGTAATTTTAAGTGTACACTATACCAATTTAGTAATAATCTTATACTTTGCCCATATGGGCCTTTTCTGCAGATTTTTTTTTTTTTTTTTTTTTTTTGAGATAGAGTCTCACTCAGTCACCCAGCCTGGAGTGCAGTGGCACAATCTCGGCTCACTGCAACCTCCGCCTCCCAGGTTCAAGCAATTCTGCCTCAGCCTGTCGAGTAGCTGGGGTTACAGGTGTGCACCACCATGCCCGGCTAATTTTTTTATTTTTTTAATACAGACAGGGTTTCACTGTGCTGGCCAGGCTGGTCTCCAACTCCTGACCTTGTGATCTGCCCGCCTCAGCCTCCCAAAGTGCTGGGATTACACGTGACCTGTAGAATTTTAAAGTTACAAATGTTGTTCAGCATCTTCAGCTCTGATGAATGCGGTGTCAGTACAAAATGATGAGCTAGAGCCAGGGCATGGTGGCTCATGCCAATAATCCCAGTGCTTTGGGAGGCTGAGGCAGGAGAATCTCCTGAGGCCAGGAGTTTGAGACCAGTCTGGACAACATAGTGAGACCCCACCTCTAGAAAAAATTTTTAAAAATAGCTTGGCCTCTAGTCCCAGCTACTTTGGAGGCTAAGGTGGGAGAATTGCTTGAGCTCAGGAATTTGAGGCTGCAGTGAGTTATGATCATGCCACTGCACTCTGGCCTGGGCAACAGAGGGAGACCCTGTCTCTAAAAAATAATAAAATGATGAGCTAAGTTCGAGACCAGCCTGGCCAACACAGTGAAACGCTGTCTCTATTAAAAATACAAAAATTAGCCAGGCATGGTGGCATGTGCCTATAGTCCCAGCTACTCAGGAGACTGAGGCACGAGAATCACCTGAACCCGGAAGGCAGAGGTTGCAGTGAGCCGAGACCACACCACTGCACTCCAGCCTGGGTGACAGAGCGAAATTCCATATTAAAAAAAATTGATGAGCTAGTCATTAAAAGTGCTCATTATGGCTGGGCATGGTGACTCGCCTGTAATCCCAGCACTTTGGGAGGCCGAGGCAGGCAGATCATGAGGTCAGAAGATCAAGACCATCCTGGCTAACACGGTGAAACCCCGTTTCTACTAAAAATACAAAAAATTAGCTGGGCGCAGTGGCGGGCAGCTGTAGTCCCAGCTACTCGGGAGGCTGAGGAAGGAGAATGGCGTGAACCCGGGAGGCGGAGCTTGCAGTGAGCCGAGATTGTGCCATTGCACTCTAGCCTGGGTGACAGAGTGAGACTCCGTCTCAAAAAAAAAAAAAAAAAAGGAAAAAAAAAAGTGCTCATTATGTGGGGATGGGATGGGCTCTTTAGTTCGAACTGTTTCAGAACAGCACTTTTCCTCCATGCCTTCAACTCAACAAGTGACCATATTCCATCAAAATGTGAAGTTGTTTTTTTAAACAAATTTTGTCTCCTGTGTAGTTATTTCTTAGTGAGTTGGTGGAGGGGATCTTCCTCGTTGAGTCTTCATGCATTTGGTCTTTGATGCCACGTTTAGCCCTATGAACTACCTTCTGTCCTGAAACCCTCTCATCAGTTTTCCGGTGTGTCTCCTAGCTCCCTACCCGCTCTGCAGCACTATCTAGACCAGGGCTCAGCAAATTTCTGTAAAGGGCCGGAGAGTCAGTGTTTCAGGCTTACAGGCCAAACCATCTCTATCTCTATTGCAGCTGCTCAGCTCTGCCATTGTTGCATAAAAGCAGCCAAAGATCCGGGCGCAGTGGCTCACGCCTGTAATCCCAGCACTTTGGAAGGCCGAGGCGGGTGGATCACTTGGGGTCAGGAGTTTGAGAACAGCCTGGCCAACCTGGTGAAACCCTGTCTCTACTAAAAATGCAGAAATTAGCCAATCATGGTGGGGTGCACCTGTAGTACCAGCTACTTGGGAGGCTGAGGCAAGAGAATCACTTGAACCCAGGAGGCAGAGGTTGCAGTGAGCCGAGATTGTATCACTGCACTCCAGCCTGGGCGACAGAGTGAGTTTCAAAAAATAAAGAATAAAAGCAGCCAAAGACAATACGTAAATAAGTGAGAGTGCGCGAGAGTGGCTGTGTTCCAAAGCTTTATTTATGGAGACTGAAATTTCACATAATTCACATGTGATAAAATGCTATGAATTTTTTTTGTTTTTGAGACAGCATCTTATTGTAGAATCAAAAGGTCTGAGAAAGCATCTGTAGGTTAGGCTAGGCCATTTTGGAATTTTTTTTTTAATTAATTTTTTTTTTTTTTGAGATGGAGTCTCACTCTGTCTTCCAGGCTGGAGTGCACTGGTGCAATCTCAGCTCACTGCAACCTCTGCCTCCCACATTCAAGCGATTCTCCTGCCTCAGCCTCCCAAGTAGCTGAGATTACAGGCGCCCACCACCACGCCCAGATAATTTTTTGTAACTTTAGTAGAGACAGGGTTTCACCATGTTGGCCAGGGTGGTCTCAAACTCCTGGCCTCGTGATCTGCCCACCTCAGCCTCCCAAAGTGCTGGGATTACAGGTGTGAGCCACGGAGTCTGGCCCATCTTGGAAATTTTTATCTGTCAGTGGGCTAGCTCCCCGTGTCCCAAAAGCCACTGTGGTTTTAGTGGAATATCATCTTTATTTATTTATTTATTTATTTATTTATTTATTTATTTATTTTTTATTTTTTTGAGACAGAGTCTTGCTCTGTCGCCCAGGCTGGAGTGCAATGGCGCGATCTCGGCTCACTGCAACCTCCACCTTACGGGTTCAAGTGATTCTCCTGCCTCAGCCTCCTGAGTAGCTGGGATTACAGGTGCATGCCACCAAGCCTGACTAATTTTTTGTATTTTTAGTAGAGACGGGGTTTCACCCTGTTAGCTAGGATGATCTCGATCACCTGACCTGGTGATCTGCCCGCCTCGGCCTCCCAAAGTGCAGGGATTACAGACGTGAGCCACTGTGCCCGGCCAAATATCATCTTTAAATATCATCATTATAAATAAGGAATGATGAGGATTTGAACCCAGGCAGTGGACTTTTCTGGGGAGACAAAGAAGTGGACATTACAAGCTGGATGCGGTGGCTCACGCCTATAATCCCAGCACTTTGGGAGGCTGAGGTGGGTGGATCACCTGAGGTCAGGAGTTCGAGACCAGCCTGGCCAACATTGTGAAACCTCGTCTCTACTAAAAATACAAAAATTAGCTGGGCGTGGTGGTAGGCATCTGTAATCCCAGCTACTCAAGAGGCTGAAGCAGGAGAATCTCTTGAACCCAGGAGGCGGAGGTTGCAGTGAACCGAGATCGCACCACTGCACTCCAGCCTGGGTGACAGAGCGAGACTCCATCTCAAAAAAAAAAAAAAAAAAGAAGAGGACATTACAGAGGAAGAAGCATAAGTGAAAAAAATCAAGGCGGCTCACATTTGGCATCTGCAAGTAGGGAACTGGCGTTATGGGTTGTGGGTGGGAGATGACATGAAAGGTAGGCAGGATCTAATCTAAGAGGCCTTATGAGCCATACTGAGGAGTCAGAATATTGCACTTCAATGACAGGGAGGTACTGATGGAGTCTAAGCAAGCGAGTGACGTGACAAGATTCAGATTTTGAAAGATCATAAAGATGCATCACCGCATTATTTATAAAAGCAAATAATGGCTGGACGCGGCGGCTCTTGACTGTAATCCCAGCACTTTGGGAAGCCAAGGCAGGCAGATCTCCTCAGGTCAGGAGTTTGAGACCAGCCTGGCCAACATGGCAAAACCCTGTCTCCACTAAGAATACAAAAATTGGCCAGGCGTGGTGGCAGACACCTGTAATCCCAGCTACTCGGGAAGCCAAGGCAGGAGAATCGCTTGAACCCGGGAAGCAAAGGTTGCAGTGAGCCAAGATCACACCACTGTGCTCCAGCCTGGGTGACAGAGCAAGACTCTGGCTCAAAATAAATAAATATAAATATAAATAAATAAAAGCAAATAATAAGCCTAGAAACAACCTGATTAGGAAGATGATGGAGTCAACTATGTTCACCCATAGCTGCAACAGACAATTGCATCTATGAAAAGTCTTCAAAGATAATGCTTGCAAGATTAACATAAAACATTATATGGTATGGTCCCAACTTTGTGGAAAAGCAAACCAATATATGAATTTCAAACAAAAAAAAATCACTCTTGCATCAGTGAGGAGGACAAGCTGGGAACAGAGTAAGGAAAAGACTTTGGTCATGGTCCAAGCAAGAATTGAAGAGGGGCCCAAACTAGAGTGGTGGCAGGACAGAAAGGGAGAGATGGGGCAGACTGCAGAGCACTGGGTAGGACAGGCTTTAGTGACCAACTCACCAATGTAGGATGACGTAGAAGGAGGAAGCGAAGATAGCACTCAGGCTTCTGGGCAAAGGAATTAGTAGACAGTGTTTTTCACAAAAGGAATACAAAAACAGGCCAGGCGTGGTGGCTCACACCTGTAATCCCAGCACTTTGGGAGGCCAAGATCAATGGGTGGGTGAATCACATGAGGCCAGGAGCTTGAGACCACCCTGGGCAATATGGTGAAACCCTGTCTCTATTAAAAATACAAAAAATTACCCACGTTGGTGGCGAGCACCTGTAGTCCCAGCTTCTCGGGAGGCTGAGGCATGAGAATTGCTTGAACCCAGGAGATGGAGGTTGCAGTGAGCCAAGATTGACCACGCACCCCAGCCTGGGCAACAGAACAAGACTCTGTCTCAAAAAAACAAACAAACAAATAAACAACAACAAAAAAAACATGGCTGGGCATGGCAGCTCACACCTGTAATCCCAGCACTTTGGGAGGCAGAGGCAGGAGGATTGCTTGAGTCCACGTGTTTGAGACCAGCCTGGGCAACATAGTGAGACCCTGTCTTTACAAATAATAAAAAATTAGCCAGGCATTGTGGTGCATGCCTGTGTTCCCAGCTACTAGAGAGGCTGAGACAGGAGAACTGCTTGAGCCCAGGAAGTCAAGGCTGCAGTGAGCCATGACCATGCCACTTGGGCAAGAGAGTGTGACCCTGTCTCAAAAAAAAAAAAAAAAAAAAAGCACAAGCAAGTTTGGGGTTAGGGACATTGATGAACTAGGTACTGGACAGGTTAAGTTTGAAGACCTTTGGGACATCCAGATGGATCCCAGGTGCTGCACCAAAAGTTATGCACAAAACAGATCAGAATCCCTGCCCTCATGGAATGGACAGAGAAGACAATGAATAAGACAAGTAGAAAATTAATAGGCTGGGCGCGGTGGCTCACGCCTGTAATCCCAGCACTTTGGGAGGCCGAGGCGGGCAGATCACGAGGTCAGGAGATCGAGACCATCCTGGCTAACACGGAGAAACCCCGCCTCTACTAAAAATACAAAAAATTAGCCGGGCGTGGTGGTGGGCACCTGTGGTCCCAGCTACTCGGGAGGCTGAGGTGGGAGAATCGCATGAACCCAGGAGGCAGAGCTTGCAGTGAGCCGAGATCGCGCCACTGCACTCTAGTCTGGGCAACAGCGAGACTCCATCTCAAAAAAAAAAAAAAAAGAAAGAAAATTAATAGGCCAGGCCAGGTGTGGTGGTTCAGGCCTGTAATCCCAGCACTTTGGGAGGCCGAGGCAGGTGGATCACCTGAGGTCAGGCGTTCAAGACCAGCCTGACCAACATGGTGAAACTCTCTCTCTACTAAATATAAAAAAATTAACTGGGCATGGTGGTGCATGCCTGTAATCCCAGCTACTCAAGAGGCTGAGGCAGGAGAATCGCTTGAACCCGGGAGGCAGAGGTTGTACTGAGCTGGGATCATGCCGTTGCACTCCGACCTGGGCAACAAGAGCGAAACTCCATCTCAAAAAAAAAGGAAAGAAAACAGGCCAGGCGCAGTGGTTCACGCCTGTCATCCCAGCAGTTCGGGAGGCCGAGGCAGGCAGATTACCTGAGGTCAGGAGTTCGAGACTAACCTGGCCAACATGGTGAAACCCCCTCTCTACTAAAAAATACAAAAATTACAAAACAATTTAAAAAACTACAAAAATTAGGCTGGGTGTGGTGGCTCACGCCTGTAATGCCAGCACTTTGGGAGGCCGAGGTGGGTAGATCACCTAAGGTCACGAGTTTGAGACCAATTTGGCCAACGTGGCAAAATTTGTCTCCACTAAAAGTACAAAAATTAACCAGGCGTGCTGGTGGGTGCCTGTAATCCCAGCTACTCCAGGGGCTGAGGCAGGAGAATCGCTTGAACCCGGGTGGCAGAGATTGCAGTGAGCCAAGATTGCCCCACTTCACTCTAGCCTGGGCAAAAGAGCAAAACTCCATCTCAAAAAAAAAATAAATAAATAAAAATACAAAATACAAAAATTAGCCAGGCATGGTAGTGGGTGCCTATTAATTCCAGCTACTTGGGAGGCTGAAGCAGGAGAATCGCTTGAACCCAGGAGGCAGAGGTTGAAGTGAGCCGGGACTGTGACATTGCACTCCAGCGTGGGTGACAAGGGCAAAACTCCCTCTCAAAAAAAAAAAAAAAGAGAAAAGAAAATTAATAGAATATTAAATGTGACCATGGTGAAGTATTTGCATATGACCTATGTACATTCTCCTGTATACTTTTTGTTGTTGTTTGTTTTGTTTTGTTTTTGAGACAGTCTCACTCTGTCACCCAGGCTGGAATGCAGTGGCTCGATCTCGGCTCACTGCCACCTCGGCCTCCCAGGTTCAAGCAATTCTTGTGTCTTAGCCTCCTGAGTAGCTGGGATTACAGGCATGCCACGCCTGGTTTTTTTTTTTTTTTTTTTTTTTTTTTTGCGACAGAGTCTTGCTCTGTCACCCAGGCTGGGGTGCAATAGCACAATCTCAGCTCACTGCAACCTCCACCTCGCAGGTTTAAGCGATTCCCCTGCCTCAGCATCCCAAATAGCTGGGGTTACAGGCACCTGCCACCACGCCCAGCTAATTTTTTGTATTTTTAGTAGAGACAGGGTTTCACCATGTTGGCCAGGCTGGTCTTGAACTCCCGACCTCAGGTGATCTGCCCGCCTCAGCCTCCCAAAGTACTGGGATTATAGACATGAGCCACTGCACCCAGCCATATACATATTTTGAGACAGTGTCTCACTCTGCTACCCAGGCTGGAGTTCTGTGGTGGGATCACGGCTCACTGCAGCCTCAACCTCTCAGGCATAAGTGATCCTCCCACCACAGCCTCCTAAATAGCTGGGATTATAGACATGTGCCACCACACCCAACTGATTTTTTTATTTTTTGTAGAGATGGGGTTGGCCAGGCTGCTCTGAAATTCCTGAGCTCAAGTGATCAGCCTGCCTTGGCTTCCCAAAGTACTGAGATTATAGGCATGAACCACTGCGCCCAGTCTAGAAATTTATTTTCTCACAGTTCTAGAGGAACCAAAGTGTTGGGTCCCTTCTGAGAGTGGTGAGAGAAAGATCTGTTCTGGGTCTCTCCCTGGCTTGTACAGGGCAGTCTTCTCCCTGTATCTTTATATCATCTTAAGGACACCAGTTATACTGGATTAGGGCCCACCCCAAAGACCTTACTTTCAGTAATTACCTTTGTTAAGACCCTATCTCCAAATAAGGTCATATTCTAAGGTACTGGGGATTAGAACATCCACATATGAATTTGGCAGGGGAGTCAGGGGAGCACAGTTCAACCCAGAACCTATACAAATAAGTTTCAGCTGGAAGGAGCTGACATCTGACGGCCTTTCTTTTCTTTATTTATTTTTTATTTTTTCTGAGACGGAGTCTCGCTCTGTTGCCCAGGCTGGAATGCAGGGGAGCGGTCTCAGCTCACTGCAAGCTCCACCTCCCGGGTTCATGCCATTCTCCTGCCTCAGCCTCCTGAGTAGCTGGGACAACCGGTGCCCGCCACCACGCCCGGCTAATTTTTTGTATTTTTAGTAGAGATGGGGTTTCACCGTGTTAGCCAGGATGGTCTCAATCTCCTGATCTTGTGATCCACCCGCCTCAGCCTCCCAAAGCGCTGGGATTACAGGCATGAGCCACTGCACCTGGCCTGGCCTTTATTTTCTTTGCGTGGCTGAAATTGGATGGAGCAGAGATAGATGACTGGAGAGTTAGATCACCAAGGATAGGGCTGTCATAGACCCAGCTAAGACAGGGCACTTAGAAGGACCCTGGTCTTTAACACATTTCATGGATTTAAAGAAATAGAGTAGCAGTTTCTAGCCTTAGAGTCACTAGTTAGCTTCGCAGCTGCTTAGCAGCAGGTAGTAGAGGACCTCACCAATACGGCTGAAGTTCAAGAGCAGGACTCCTGAACCAGGCCCTCTGTCTTGCACCTATAATCCCAGGTACTCGGGAGGCTAAAGCGAGAACACTTGAGGCCAGGAGTCTGGGACCAGCATGGGTAACACAGCAAGCACTGGCCCCCTACACTTCTTAGAAAATTAAATTTTTTTTTGGAGACGGAGTTTCATTCTTGTGACCCAGCCTGGAGTGCAATGGCGCAATCTTGGCTCACTGCAACCTCCACCTCCCAAGTTCAAGCAATTCTCCTGCCTCAGCCTCCCGAGTAGCTGGAATTACAGGCGCACGCCACCACACCCGGCTAATTTTTGTATTATTAGTAGAGAAAGGGTTTCACCATGTTGGCCAAGCTGCTCTTGAACTCCTGACCTCAGGTGATCCACCCGCCTTGGCCTCCCAAAGTGCTGGGATTATAGGAGTGAACTACTGTGCCCAGCTAAAAATTAAATTTTAAAAAGATCAAGCCTCCTGTCCCTGGGCTGACCAGACAGCCAAGAAAGGCAAGTTAGAAATCAGGGCTCTGGCTTAAGGCTTAGGGCAAAGGTCTGGTTCCCTGACTACGGTCACAAGGCAGAAGTCTAGGTGCCAGACCCAGGGCTCAAATCAGAGAAAAAGTAAAGCTGACTTGACATTGATCTTTGCATTTAAGTGCTTTAAATATTCCCCAAAAAATGTCCCAAAATCCGGATAGGACTTGACTTGACTGACACTTGCTTAGTTGCCCATGCTGGATTGCAGTGATGTAATCATGGCTCACTGCAGCCTCGACCTCCCAGGCATAAGCGATCCTCCCACCTCAGCTTCCTGAGTAGCTGGGGCCACAAGCACATGCCACCACGTCCTGCTAATTTTCTTTTTTTTTTTTTTTTAGACCAGGTCTCGCTGTGTTGTGCAAGCTGATCTTGAACTCCTAGGCTCAAATCATCCTCCCACCTCTGCCTTTCAAAGTGCTGGGATTCCAGGTGTGAGCCACTCCACCCAGCCAGGACTTGACCATAGACTAAAAGCAAAAGAGTGAGGCAAGCCATTTATAAATAGGAAAGAAACTGCTCACCCGACCCCCACCAATGCTGAAGGAAGCACAACAACACCCTAAAGAAGATACAAACCTTGGAGACAAAGAGCACCTCTAGGTCATTTAGAAATTAAACCAAGCTGGGCATGGTGGCTCACGCCTGTAATCCCAGCACTTTGGGAGGCTGAGGCAGGCGGATCACGAGGTCAAGAGATCGAGACCATCCTGGCCAATATGGTGAAACTCCATCTCTACTAAAAATACAAAAATTAGGCCGGGCGCGGTGGCTCACGCCTGTAGTCCCAGCTACTCGGGAGGCTGAGGCAGGAGAATGGCGGGAACCAGGAGGCAGAGCCTGCAGTGAGCCAAGATCGCGCCACTGCACTCCAGTCTGGGCGACAGCGAGACTCCGTGTCAAAAAAAAAAAAAAAAATTAGTTGGGTGTGGTAGCACTTGCCTGTAGTCCCAGCTACACAGGAGAATCGATTGAACCCGGGAGGTGGAGGTTGCAGTGAAGTGAGATCGCGCCACTGCACTCCAGCCTGGCAACAGAGCGAGACTCCATCTCAAAAAAAAAAAAAAAAAGAAAGTAAATCAAGGCCAGGCGCAGCGACTGGGAGGCCGAGATGGGCAGATCACCTGAGTTCGAGACCAGCCTGACCAACATGGAGAAACCCTATCTCTACTAAAAATACAAAATTAGCCAGGCGTGGTGGTGCATGCCTGTAATCCCAGCTACTCAGGAGCCCCAGGTGGGAGAATCATTTGAACCCAGGAGGCAGAGATTGCAGTGAGCCAAGATCACATCACTGCACTCCAGCCTGGATGACAGAGCAAGACTCCATCTCAAAAAAAAAAATTAAATGAAAACAGATGGGTGCAGTGCCTCATGTCTATAAATCCCAGCACCTTGGGAGGCCAAGGCAGGAGGATTACTTGAGCCCAGGAGTTTTTATTTATTTATTTATTTTTGAGATGGAGTTTCACTCTTGTTGCCCAGGCTGGAGTGCAATGGCGCAATCTCAGCTCACCACAACCTCCACCTCCCAGGTTCGAGCTATTCTCCCGCCTCAGCCTTCTGAGTAGCTGGGATTACAGGCATGCACCACCGCACCCGACTGATTATGTATTTTTAGTAGAGACAGGGTTTCTCCATGTTGGTCAAGCTGGTCTCGAACTCCTGAGCTCAGGTGATCTGCCCTCCTGTAATCCCAACACTCCCAAAGTGTTGGGATTACAGACATGAGCCACCGTGCCCGGCAAGCCCAGGAGTTTGAAACTAGCCTGAGCAACACGGCGAGACCCTGTCTCCACACACACACACACACACACACACACACACAAACACACACATAAAAAATAAGAATAAAAATAATTAGCTGGGCGTGATGGTCTGCACCTGTAGTCTCAGCTATCTGGGAGGCTAAGGCGGGAGGATTGCTTGAGCCCAGGAGATTGAGGCTGCAGTGAGCTATAATCCTGCCACTGCACTCCTGGTCGACAGAGTGAGATCTCATCTCAAAAAAAAAAAAAAAAAAAAAAAAGACCTGTGTGGTGGCTCATGCCTGTAATTCAAGCACTTTAGGAGGGCAAGGCAGAAGGATTGCTTGAGTACAGGAGTTCAAGACCAGCCTGGGCAACATTGAGAGACCAAGTTCTGTTGTGGGTTGATTTGGCTTTTTTTTTTCTTTTTTAAAATGTGGTTTGTTTCAAGTTTCCCTTCTCCACGATAGGCTAATACTGATCATGTCATTCCACCACTTAAAACTTCTGTTGGGGCCGGGTGTGGTGGCTCACGCCTGTAAGCCCAGCATTTTGGGAGGCCAAGGCGGGTGGATCACAAAGTCAGGAGATTAAGACCATCCTGGCTAACACGGTGAAACCCCGTCTCTACTAAAAATACAAAAAATTAGCCGGGTGTCGTGGCGGGCGCCTGTAGTCCCAGCTACTCGGGAGGCTGAGGAAGGAGAATGGCGTGAACCCGGGAGGTGGAGCTTGCAGCGAGCCGAGATCACGCCACTGCACTCCAGCCTGGGTGACAGAGCGAGACTCCGTCTCAAAAAACAAAAAAACAAAAAAAACATCTGTTGGGGGCCAGGTGCCTTGGCTCATGCCTATAATCCCAGCACTTTGGAAGGCCGAGGTGGGTGAATCACTTGAGGTCAGGAGTTTGAGACCAGCCTGGCCAACATTGTGAGAGACCCTTTCTGTACGAAAAATACAAAAATTAGCCAGCCATGGTGGCAGGAGCCTGTAATCCCAGCTACTCGGGAGGCTAAGGCAGGAGTATTGCTTGAGCCTGGGAGGTGGAGGTTGCAGTGAGCCAAGATCATGCCACTGCACTCCAGCCTGGGTGACAGAGTAAGACCCTGTCTCAAAAACAAACAAACAAACAAATCCCACTTCTGTTGGCTCCTATTAACGTGTCATTTAAGGAAGCCAATTGGCCAGTTTAGGCAGCACATGACACAGTCTCCACTGATGGCCCTGAGTGTGGCCCTGGGTTCACAGGACGAGAGGTGGCTAGCGTCTTACAGGTACTAACCAAAATCACAATAAATCTTATAATCAGAAGACCATTATTACTCATTTACAATAAGAGAGATAACTGACCAGAATGTAAGTTTTCTGATGCGAGCGCAGAGCATTGTGCCTGGCACAGAGTAGGCACTTAAGAAGTTTTTGTAGGATGGATAGTAAGAAAAGGAAGGGAGAGAAGAGGGGGTGGGGAAGGAGCAAGTGAAAGGGGAAAAAAGCTCATTCTCTTTCTGTAGGAAGGCTATTTGAGGAGCCAAGTTAAAATCAGATTGAATAGTGCTTATTCCTCCACTAGACTAAGTACCACCAAGCAGGACCATATCACATTCACTTTGCATCCCCAAGTCTAGCTCCTGGGAGATGCTTAATACAGGTGTGCTGAACCTATTTGTCACTTAAATGTTCATTATCTCAGGATCTTACAAAGGGCTTCTTTTCCTGAAATCCAGCAAGGAGGAGTTTTAGTCCGCATGTGTCTGATTACCCAAAGAAATGTTTCCTTCCGCTTGAAGGCAAAGCCACAGTCTTTCTTTTTTTCTTTTTTCTTTTTTTGAGACGGAGTCTCAGGATCTCAGCTCACTGCAAGCTCCCCCTCCCAGGTTCCTGCCATTCTCCTGTCTCAACCTCCCAAGTGGCTATGACTACAGGCGCCTGCCACCGCGCCCAGCTAATCTTTTATATTTTTAGTAGACACGCGGTTTCACCGTGTTAGCCAGGATGGTCTTGATCTCCTGACCTCATGATCCGCCCACCTCGGCCTCCCAAAGTGCTGGGATTACAGGCGTGAGCCACTGTGCCTGGCAATTTTTGTATTTTTAGTAGAGAAGGGGTTTCACCATATTGGTCAGGCTGGTCTCAAACTCCTGACCTGAGGTGATCCACCTGTCTCGGCCTCCCAAAGTGCTGGGATTACAGGCATGAGCCACCATGCCTAGCAGGAAGCCAGAGTCTTGTATGAGCTCAGTCAAGCACAAGTGGTCCCATTCTTGCTGGTCCTTGCCTTAGGAATGGGCATGTGCCCTGATGGGATGGGATGTAAAGGGAGAGCTCTCAGGTTTCTGGAGGAAGTGCTCTTTGCCCTTAAAAAGGGACACAAGGGCTGGCCTTGGTGGCTCATACTTGTAATCCCAGCATATTGGGAGGGCAAGGTGGGAGGATCATTTGAGGCCAGGAGTTTGAGACCAGCCTGAGCAGCATAGTGAGAGACCTCATCTCTGCAAAAAAGAAAAAAATAAAAGAGGACACAAGGCCAGGCATGGTGGCACATAACTGTGGTCCCAGCTACTTGGGAGGTTGAGGCAGGAGGATTACTGGAGCCCAGGAGGTTGACGCTGCGGTGAATGATGATCGTGCCACTGCACTCCAGTCTGGGCAACATAGTGAGACCCTGTCTCTAAAAAAAGGACACAAGGAAATGACTGTCCTTCTCCCACTGGGCATTGGCATAACTGGATGTGAGGCCTGGGATAACCAGCCAGAGGATGAAGCCAAAACCTGAAAGAAATTAGAACCAAAAAAAATCACACAGAAGCAGACCCACGGCCTGGACATCCTGCATCTTGAGCTGCCTGCTACAGAGTTCATGTTATGAAAAATAATAAATGCCCTTGCGCCTGGCTCAAACTATTTTGAATAGGGATTTCTGATATTGCAGCCAAAGCATGCTAATACAGCTTGTTAGTTAAGATGATTACATCATGAATCCATGGCGAGTAAACTTTTGTAAGACCATTGAGTCACTCTGGTGTTGCAAGTATAGACGGATCTGATTGCCTAATTCCAGGAGGGTTAGGCCCTGACCTCAGTCATGACTACTTTCTGAATAGGCTTGGCACCAGGAATTGAGTGGGAGGAACCTAGGTGATCTAGGAGTTTAAACAAAAATAAAATCTTCAATTTTAGAAGAAAAGATGTCCCAAGAAACTGCTCCATGATGGGTAGGAGATAAAAAAGTGGAAACAGGTACCTGAGCAGGAAAAACTATGTTCATGATTTTATACTAGCTCTTGAGGTTTTAGTCTTGTGTTAGGAAAAGTGGATTTAGGATTAAAGTCTTCTGTCCGTACACAATCTACAGCATTAAAAGATTTTACCCTATCAGATTGGCACATGCCTGTGGGAACAGCTAATCGGGAGGCTGGTGTGGGAGCATCACTTGAGCCTGGAAGTTGGAGGTTGCAGTGAGCCAAGATCAAGCCACTGCACTCCAGCCTGAGTGACAGAGTGAGACCCCTATCTCAATTAAAAAAAAAAAAAAATCTTACCCTATCAAAGATTCGAGTTCAGTGAAGATCCATTATAAAATACTTCCTCCTTCAAATAGAGATGATGATAACAGGCATCGATGCAATACTCTTAGTAAGCATTGACTCTTGGTTGTTTTTTAGTCAAAGATTTCTAATTCTGGCTCTATTACTGAAAGACCATCTGGCCACCCATTATGGTACACAGGTTATATAACAAGAATGCTATGGTTATTGACTGAAAGCCATTTTATAATGAGACACCCTATTGCTATTACATAAAAGGCAGTCTCAGCTATAGAACGAATTCTCCCTTGGTCAGTCACTGTGGTCCTACTAATCATGGAGGGAAAAGATGTTTCTCTCAGAAAATCTAAACTGAGTAGGAAAGCCCCAGGAGGTGCAAGCCTGGTTGCACATTAGAATTGGCTAGAAGTTTTAATAAATACTCATGATAGCCCTTGAACATATGAAAAGATGCTTGACCTCACTCCTAATAAGAGCAATGCAAAATAAAACTACTTTGAACATTTTTTTTCACCTATCAGATTGGCAAGAGTCTAAAAGTTGAACATAAAATTTTATTAATATCCAGTTCTCCTCTACTTCTGAGAATATGGACTATACAATTTCCTGCACCCCCTGAATTTAGGCTTAGCATGTGACTCATTCTGGCCCATAAAATGTGAGCAGAATTAACATATTTTCCTCTGGGCTGAAGGATTTAATAGCTGGTGCTATTAATCAAACTATGGGGATTCTCCAGTTCTGTTCCCCAATTCAGCTACTAAGTGAGAAGGTGAAGTGTTCCATTTGGTGCAGCCTCAGGATGGGGGAGTTTCACCACCCTGGATCTGAGCCGCTGCACCGAGGAACATTGCCCTGTGTCAGAAATAGTTAAGCCACTGCTGCATAATCCCAGCCCATTGTGACACACGCTGTTGATGAAGCTGTGAGTAAACAGGTATTCTCCTATATTGCTGCAATAGTACCAAATGCTAAAAGCATCATGGAGGGCAATTTGACCATAGCTATAGATGCACATTTATCATTTAATCTATCATTTAATTCCACTTCTGGGAATTCATCCTACAGAAATGCCTGCATACATATGAAATGATGTATGCACAAAGTTATACATTATGGCATTGTTTGTAACGAGAGTTTGGAAATAAATATCTAAGTATGGAGACTGGTTAAATAGACTATGGTCTATCTTCACAATGGAATAGTATGCAAATATAAAAACAAACAAACAAACAACAAGGAAACTCTCAAAATGCTGATGTGGAAATTATTCCAGGATATATTGTTAGATTTTTAAAAAGCAAGACGCAGAAGAGTGGATATGTTTCCTTTAGTGTAAGAAAGGGGGAAAATAAAAATATTCTTACATAAACATTTGTGTGATACACAAGAGATGAATAGAAGTAGTTAACTATAGGGTCCTCCAAGTCGGATGGGATGGGAGCAGGACTTCTCAATAAATACCATTTGTATCACTTTATATTTGAACCATTTTAATACATTATTTTTTTTTAATATAGTACTCAGGTCTCCCTGCAAGCCAAATAAATAAATCAGTCTTCTGGGATCAGGACTGGGCTTTTTGTTGTTGTTGTTTTTTTATGCTATGCAGGTGATCAAATGTTCAGTCAGCACTGAGAATCGGTGTTTTAAGCTTCAGTCTCAGATGAAACACGATATCTGAGAGGCAGTTTTTGTGTTGTGGGTATGGGTAGTATTTGGCCTTTGCTCTGTGTTCTAGAACCTAACTCTGATGGCTCAAGTAACCCTTCTGGTTGGAATACTATAACTAGATGAGGGAGCTCCATCTGGCACAGATGTTGACAGTGCTGTGGGATATGCCCGGATCATGTGCCAGGCTATCTGGAACTGAATACTCTGAACTAGAGAATTGGGCTAGACACAGAGATGAAGTAAGATGCAAACCAATATTGAATTTATCAAGGCTGTGTGGTTATAATCAGGGGTCTTTTTTAGGGGAAGACATCTATTAGAAGTTGTGGTAGTAGGTTGGGCACGGTGGCTCACGCCTGTAATCCTAGCACTTTGGGAGGCCAAGGCGGGCAGATCACGAGGTCAGGAGTTTGAGACCAGCTTGACCAACATGGTCAAACCCTGTCTCTACTAAAAATACAAATATTAGCCAGGCGTGGTGGCAGGCGCCTGTAATCCCAGCTACTCAGGAGGCTGAGGCAGGAGAATCGCTTGAGCATGGGAGGCGGAGGTTGCAGTGAGCCAAGATTGCGCCACTGCACTCCAGCCTCGGCGACAGGGCAAGACTCCGTCTCAAAAAAACAAAAAAGAATTTGTGGTAGTGACCTTAAAAAAGTTCTGGGTCACACTGGGAGCAACACAAAAGGCACACATTCAATATAGAAGATTTTTGACCTAAAGTTGGCAAACAATGGCCCATGGGCCAAATCTTGCCCATCAACTCTACCTTTATGGCTTGTGGGCAAAGAGTGTTTTTTTGTTTGTTTGTTTGTTTTGAGATGGAGTTTTGCTCTTGTTGCCCAGGCTGGAGTGCAATGGCACGATCTTGGCTCACCGCAACCTCTGCCTCCCGGGTTCAAGCAATTTTCCTGCCTCAGCCTCCCAAGTAGCTGGGATTACAGGCATGTGCCACCACGCCTGGCTACTTTTGTATTTTTAGTAGAGACAGGGTTTCTCCATGTTGATCAAGCTGGTCTCACCTCAGGTGATCCACCCACCTCAGCCTCCCAAAGTGTTGGGCGTGAGCCACCGCACCCAGTCAAGAGTGGTTTTTACATCTTTAAACGGTTGGGGGGAAAATCAAAAGAATATCTCATGATACATGAAGATTATGTGAAATTCAAATTTCAGGGCCCATAAATAAAGTTTTCCTGGAATATAGCTGTACCTAAACCTATTGGGACAAAGTCACATACAGTGTGGCTGCTTTCCCACTACAATGGCAGAGTTGAGTAGTTGTGGCAGACACGTACCTGGCACTCTCATCCCTTTGTGCTGCTGCTCAGTGCACTACAAGTTGGAGTGCTGCAATTATAATTCAGCAGTATTTTGGCCAGGCGTGGTGGCACACGCCTGTAATCCCAGCACTTTGGGAGGCTGAGGTGGGCAGATCACAAGGTCAGGAGTTCGAGACCAGCCTGATCAACATGGTGAAACCCCATCTCTACTAAAAATACAAAAATTAGCCAGGTGTGGTGGTGGGTGCCTGTAGTCCCAGCTACTCAGGAGGCCGAGGTAGAGGAATCACTTGAACCTGGGAGGCGGAGGTTGCCGTGAGCCGAGATCATGCCACTGCACTCCAGCCTGGCGACAGAGCAAGACTCCTTCTCAAAAAAAAAAAAAAAAAAAATTGCCAATGCACGTTCTTGTATCAAAAGAAGAAAAGTATAATTTTCTTTTTTTGAGACAGGGTCTCGCTGTCTCAATGCCCAAGCTGGAGTGCCGTGGTGTTTAATCACAGCTAACTGCAGCCTTGACCTCCTGGGCTCAAGCAATTCTCCTACCTCAGCCTCCTGAGTAGCTGGGGCCACTATGCACAGCTAATTTTTAAAAATTTTTTGTGGAAATGGGGTCTTGCTATGTTGCCCAGGCTGGTCTCAAACTCCTGACCTCAAGTGATCCTCCTGCCCCAGCCTCCCAAAGTGCTGCGATTACAGGCATGAGCCACCACACCAGGCCAGAAAAGTAGACTTTGGATGTCACACTTTCAAGGCAAAGTGTAGATTATTTTGTTACTGTATACAATTGCAAGGTCGGGGGCGCAGTGGCTCACACCTGTAATCCCAGCTACTTGGGAGGCTGAGGCAGAAGAATCACTTGAACCCGGGAGACGGAGGTTGCAGTAAGCCGAGATTGCACCACTGCACTCCAGCCTGGGTGACAAGAGTAAAACTGTCTCAAAAAAAAAAAAAGCATACAATTGCGAAGTATTGTGTTTATTATGCAGTGACACCGTATCTGTGCTAAAAGAATAAAATGTATGTTAACTTAGACTAAGCAGTCATCACAGTATTACCAATTTATAGGAAAGCAACAGTCAGAAAAATTGGAAAATTTTGGCTAGGTGCTGTGGCTCATGCCTGTAATCCCAACACTTTGGGAGGCTGAGGCAGGAGAACTGCTTGAGCCCAGGAATTTGAGACCATCCTGGGTAACACAGCAAGACCTCATCACTACCAAAAAAAAAAAAAAATTGGCCAGGAGTGGTGGCATGTGCCTGTGCTCCCAGCTGCTTGGGAAGCTGAGGTGGGAAGACTGCCTCAGCCCAGGAAGTCGTGGCTGCAGTGAGCTGTGATCATGCCACCGCACTCCAGCCTGGGTGACAAAGCAAAACCCGTCTCAGAAAAAGGAAAAAAAAAAAAAAAGAAAGAAATAAAGAAAAAAAATAGGAAAATTTCAAATGGAACATCTTATCAGAATTTCTGCACAAAAATGAAAAATGAGGCTGGGTGTGGTAGCTCATGCTTATAATCCCAACACTTTGGGAGGCCAAGGTGGGAGGATCACTTGAGCCCAGGAGTTTGAGACCAGACTGGGCAACATAGCAAGACCCTGCCTGTACAAAAAAAAATTTTTTAATTAGGCAGGTGTGGTGGCACATGCCTATAGTACCAGCTACTTGGGAGGCTGAGGTGGGAGAATCACTTGAGCCCTGGAGGTAGAGGCTGCAGTGAGCTGTGATCATGCCACTGCACTCCAACTTGGGTGCCAGAGTGAAACCCTGTTTCAAAAAAAAAAAAGAAAAGAAAAAATGAAAATGAAACTGCAAAAGTAAGTTTCCAAGGGGCTTATGTGTTAGCCAAAGAAAGCTGCTTACTGGCGGTGAGTTCATTAAATTGTGTTTGTCGTAGCAGAAGAAAAGTGTCCAAAGAAAAATGATTTTGAATGATTTTCCTTGATTATCAACGACTTGATAGATGTTACCATTAGTGCTCAATTGTTGTTTATTTGAGGTGCCAATGCTGAATATAAAATCACTGACAAATACATTTCTCTTGAATAGTGTGCATGGAATAACTATAGGCAATATTCTGAAAAGTTGGCCGGGTATGGTGGCTCATGCTTGTAATCCTAACACTTTGGGAGGCCAAGGACAGCAGACTGCTTGAGCCCAGGAATTCGAGACCAGCCTGGGCAACACAGTGGGCCCTCATCTCTAATAGACTTAACCTCTGCCAGGCACAGTGGCTCATGCCTGTAATCCAGCACTTTTGGAGGCTGACGCAGGCAGATCACCTGAGGTCGGGAGTTCGAGACCAGCCTGGCCAACAGGGTGAAACGCTGTCTCTACTACAAATGCAAAAATTAGCCAGACGTGTTGGCACACACCTGTCATTCCAGCTGCTCGGGAAGCTGAGGCATGAGAGTCGCTTGAGCCTGGGAGGCAGAGGTTGCACTGAGCCAAGATCATGCCACTGCACTCCAGCCTGGGTGACAGAGTGAGACTCTGTCTCAAAAATAAATAAATAGGCCGGGTGTGGTGGCTCACACCTGTAATCCCAGCACTTTGGGAGGCCGAGGCAGGCGGATCACCTGAGGTCAGGAGTTCAAGACCAGCCTGCCCAACATGGTGAAACCCAGTGTCTACAAAAATACAAAAATTAGCCATGCATGTTGGCGCGCGCCTGTAATCCCAGCTACTCAGGAGGCTGAGGCAGGAAAATCACTTGAACCCAGGAGGCAGAGGTTGCAGTGAGCCGAGATCATGCCATTGCACTCTAGCCTGGGCGACAGAGCGAGACTCCATCTCAAAAAAACAAACAAACAATAACAAAATAAATAAATAAAAGACTTGAACTCAGACCAGACGTGATGACCAGCTGAATTTAAGCATATTAGTCAGCAGAGGAAAAGAAACTAACCAGGATTCCCTCAGTAATGGCAAGTGAACAGGTAAGAGCCCAGCACCAAATGCCTGCCTTGCAGAGTTTTTACATATATATGTGTGTGTGTGTGTGTGCATTATATATATACGTATTCTTTTTAAGTTGAGAAAACAATAATTCAGTATAACCCAAAGTGGAATCTGCTAAAATGGGTAACAAGTGATGGTGGTAATCATGTATGAAGCAGAAAAAGGCTTAGTTGAGCAAATTTATAAAGCCCTGGAAAATATAAGGTGTTTAGAGCCTATGGTTATTTATGACATTATTCATCTGAAACTAATCCATGATAAAAATATATATATATTTTTGAGACAGAGTCTCTCTCAGTCACCCAGGCTGGCGTGCAGTGGCGCAATCTCAGTTCACTGCAACCTCTGCCTCCCAGGTTCAAGTGATTCTCCTGCCTCAGCCCCCTGAGTAGCTGGGACTACAGGCGCACGCCACCATGCCTCGCTAATTTTTCTATTTTTAGTAGAGATGGGGTTTCACCACGCTGGTCTCAAACTCCTGACCTCAGGTGAGCTGCCTGCCTTGGCCTCCCAAAGTGCTGGGATTACAGGTGTGAGCCACCACACCCAGCCCTTTTTTTTTTTTTTTTTGAGACACAGTCTCACTGTGTCACCCAGGCTAGAATACAGTGGCATGATCTGGGGCTCACTGCAGCTTCAACCTCCTAGGCTCAAGCACTCCTCCTGACTCAGACTTCCAAAGTGTTGTGTTTACAGGCATGAGCCACCACACGTGGCAACTGTAGCTATTATTTTTTGATACGGAGTCTCACTCTGTCACCAAGGCTGGAGTGCATTGGTGCGATCTCGGCTCACTGCAACCTCCACCTCCTGGGCTCAAGCGATTCTCCTGCCTCAGCCTTCCCAGTAGCTGGGACTACAGGCATGTGCCACCATGCCTGGTCTTTAGTAGAGACGGGGTTTCACCATGTTGGCCAGGCTGGTCTTGAACTCCTGACCTCAGCTGATCTGCCTATCTCGGCCTCCCAAAGTGTTGGGATTACAGGCATGAGCCACCGCAGCTGGTCTGGCGATTGTAATTATTTTAGAAGACAAGAGTTTAAGTATAATACCATCTAGAAACCCTGGGAATATGCAAGCTAAGGAAGAATCAAAATCTATATGTTACAGCTTTTTTTTTTTTTTTTTTGAGACGGAGTCTGGCTCTATCGCCCAGGCTGGAGTGCAGTGGTGCAATCTCGGCTCACTGCAAGCTCCGCCTCCCGGGTTCACGCCATTCTCCTGCCTCAGCCTCCCGAGTAGCGGGGACTACAGGCGCCTGCCACCATGCCCGGCTAATTTTTTGTATTTTTAGTAGAGATGGGTTTTCACCATGTTAGCCAGGATAGTCTTGATCTCCTTACATCGTGATCCACCCACCTCGGCCTCCAAAAGTGCTGGGATTACAGGCATGAGCCACTGCGCCCGGCCTATTACAGCTTTTTTAATGGTTTCTTTCTGTTTCTCTACTCATTGCTGTTTTGCTATCTCAGCATTTAGTAACTTTTTTTGGAATGTTTTTGACAGGGTCTTGCTCTGTTGCCTAGGCTGAGGTGCAGTGGCACAATCAAGGCTTACTGCAGCCTCGACCTCCTGGGCTCAGATGATCCCCCAACCTCAGCCTCCTGAGTAGCTGGGACTTGAACACCTGGGCTCAAGTGATCTACCCACCTTGGCCTCCCAAAGTGCTGGGATTACAGGCATGAGCCAACATGCCCAGCCTGGAAAGTTTATTTTATGCTTGTCTCAACTGTGCTAAGGAAAAATAAAGGAAAGTATCTTTTACAAAAATTTTATTATGACAAATTCCAAACATACATAAAAGTATTATAGAATATAATTAACCCTACCCTCGCATCATGTCACCTGGTTTCAATAATTATCAATCTCACATGGCCATTCTTGTTTCACTTTTATCTAACCCACACCTTATTCCCCTCTGGAGTATTTAGAAGCAAAATGAGAGATATTTGGTTCTTTTTTTTTTTTTTTTTTTGAGATGGTGTCTCACTCTGTCTCCCAGGCTGGAGGGTAGTGGCACAATCTTGGCTCACTGCAACCTCCGCCTCCCAGGTTCAAGCTATTCTCCTGTCTCAGCCTCCTAAGTAGCTGGGACTACAGGTGAGCGCCACCATGCTCAGCTAATTTTGGTATTTTTAGTAGAGACAGGGTTTCACTATGTTGGCCAGACTGGTCTTGAACTCCTCACCTCAAGTGATCTGCCCACCTCAGCCTTGCAAAGTGCTGGGATTACAGGTGTGAACCACTGTGCCCGGACTTTACTTTTTTCTAAAAAGAGAGTTTATTTAAGGAAAATAGAGAGCAGAGAGTTTATTTTTACAATGTTTTTACATTGACTGGGTGCCGTGGCTCACTCCTGTAATCCCAGCACTTTGGGAGGCCAAGGTGGGCGGGTTGCGAGGTCAGGAGTTCAAGACCAGCCTGGCCAATATGTTGAAACCTGGTCTCTACTAAAAAATACAAAAATTAGCCAGGTGTTGTGGCATGCGCCTGTAGTCCCAGCTACTCAGGAGGCTGAGGCAGGAAGAATCACTTGAACCAGGGAGGCGGAGGTTGCAGTGAGCCGAGATCACGCCACTGCACTCTAGCCTGAGCAACAGAGTGAGACTCTGTCTCGAAAAAAAGAATGTTTTTACTTTTTTTAAAATAGAGATGGGGTTTTGCAATGTTGTCCAGGCTGGTCTCTAACTCCTGGCCTCAAAGGATCCACCTGCTTCACCTTCCCAAAATGCTGGGATTACAGGTGTGAGCCACTGCACCTGGCCAAGAGCAGATAGTTTATATAGACAGATAGTACACCCTGAAAAGATGAGGCAAAGAGGGCTGAGGCAAAGAGGGCTGCTGAAAAGGGAGTGAGCCAGCAGCTAATGTTCAATTATCATTTTTCTCTGGCTTCCTCCCATCTTTATCCATCTACATTCAAAAACCATACATTAAGTATGTATCGGCTGGGCGTGGTGGCTCACACCTGTAATCCGAGCACTTTGGGAGGCCAAGGCGGGCAGATTATGAGGTCAGGAGTTCGAGACCAGCCTGGCTAACATGGTGAAACCCTATCTCTACTAAAAATACAAAAATTAGTCAGGCATGGTGGCGCGTGCCTGTAATCCCAACTACTCAGGAGGCTGAAGCAGGAGAATCACTTGAATCCAGAAGGCAGAGGTTGCAGTGAGCCGAGATTGCACCACTACACTCCAGCCTGGGCAGCAGAATGAGACCCCATCTCAAAAAAAAAAAAAAGTATGTATTATGTGCTAGGTACTGGGAATAGAAAAAATAATATATAGCAGGCTGCCCTCAAGATGCTCAGATTGGGATGAGAAAAATATTTATGAACAATTACAATAGAATGTGATAAAAATTAATTTAGGCTGTGCCCACAGTGTATACATAGTAATCAGAGAGTATGGTCAGTTTTGGTTCTGCTTTTAGAATATGTGTTTGGAGTCACCAGAGATGTGACCCCTAAATGCTTCATGCTGATTATTAGCCTACTAAAGGAAAAACTATGGAGAGGTGAAGGACGCTCTGCATTTAGAGGGCAGAGAGCGGGTTGCTGTGGCTCACATCTGTAATCCTAGCTACTTTGGAGGCTGAGGCAGGAGGACTACTTGAGCCTAGGAATTTGAGACGAGAGTCAGCAACAGAGAGACATGTCTTTAAAAACAAAACAAAACCCAAAAAGCCTAATTCAGTCAAAGCATGGGTAGAAGCCAGATTAAGAAGGTTGAGCAGCTGGGTGGGTGGCTCACGTCTGTAATCCCAACACTTTGGGAGGCCAAGCTGGGAGGATTACCTGAGCCCAGCAGTTCCAGATCAGCTTGGGCAATACAGTGAGACCTCATCTCTACAAAAAATTTAAAAATTAAAAAATCACCACTAGGATTACAGGCGGTGGCTCACGCCTGTAATCCCAGCACTTTGGGAGGCTGAGGCAGGAGGATCATGAGGTCAGGAGTTCAAGACCAGCCTGGCGAACATGGTGAAACCCTGTCTCTACTAAAAATACAAAAATTAGCTGGGCATGGTGGTGCATGCCTGTAATCAATCCCACCTACTTGGCAGGCTGAGGCAGGAGAATTGCTTGAACCTGGACCTGGGAGGCAGAGGTTGCAGTGAGCTGAGATCACGCCACTGCACTCCTCCAGCCTGGGCTACAGAGCTAGAGTCCGTATCAGAATAAAAAAAAAAAAAAAGGGCTGGGCAAGGAGCAGGTGATTATGAAGTGGTAAATCTGACAGTGAAAAGTAGTTAGAAAACAAAGTGGAGATTTTTCTCTCCACCCTCACCCACCCACTGAGGGTGTATGCTCAGGGTTTTAGGGTATAGAGGTAGAGGCCCAGGGAATGACTGAATAATAATAATGGAAGACTCATATGATGCTTACTATGTGCCAGGTACTATTCTAAGCACTTTGCATATATTAACTTGTTTCATACATAGCTGGGCGGGGTGGCTCACATCTTGGCTGAGGGGGAGGATTGTTTGAGCTCAAAAGTCTGAGACGAGCCTGGGCAACATGGTGAGATTTCGTCTCTATTAAAAATCAAAGGCCGGGCGCGGTGGCTCACGCCTGTAATCCCAGCACTTTGGGAGGCCGAGGCGGGCGGATCACGAGGTCAGGAGATCGAGACCATCCCGGCTAAAACGGTGAAACCCCGTCTCTACTAAAAATACAAAAAATTAGCCGGGCGTAGTGGCGGGCGCCTGTAGTCCCAGCTACTTGGGAGGCTGAGGCAGGAGAATGGCGTGAACCCGGGAGGCGGAGCTTGCAGTGAGCCGAGATCCCGCCACTGCACTCCAGCCTGGGCGACAGAGCGAGACTCCGTCTCAAAAAAAAAAAAAAAAAAAAAAAAATCAAAAAAATTAGCTGGGCATGGCAGCGCGAGCCTGTAGTCCCAACTACTCGGAAGGCTGAGGTGGGAGGATCCCTTGAGATGGGGAAATCAAGGCTGCAGTGAGCCATGATAGTTCCACTGCACTCCAGCCTGGGTGACAGAAGGAGAACCTGTCTCAAAAACAAACAAAATAAAACAAACAGGCTGGGCACGGTGGCTCACGCCTGTAATCCTAGCACTTTGGGAAGCTGAGGCAGGCAGATCACCTGAGGTCAGGAGTTTGAGACCAGCCTGGCCAACATGGTGAAACCCCGTTTCTACTAAAAATACAAAAATTAGCAGGGCATGGCGGCGGACAGCTGTAATCCCAGCTACTCGGGAGGCTGAGGCAGGAGAATCGCTTGAACCCGGGAGGCGGAGGTTGCAGTGAGCCGAGATCGCGCCCCTGCACTCCAACCTGGTGACAGAGCGAGACTCCGTCGAAAGAAGGAAAGGAAAGGGAAAGGGAAAGGAAAGGGAAAGGGAAAGGAAAGGAAGAGAGAGAGAGAGAGAAAGAAAAGAAAAGAAAAAAGAAAAGAAAGAAAGAAAGAAAGAAAGAAAGAAAGAAAGAAAGAAAGAAAGAAAACAAACAAAAACAAATAGGGATTAATAAATAGGCAGAAGCAGGCATAATCCGGGGCAGGGGAAGCCTCGGGGCCACGCCCGAGAGGCATTTGTATTTTACTTTCAGCAGTTCAGAGCCCATGATAGCCAGGTTACCCACTTGTGGACTTCCTTGACCACTTAATTGAGTCAATCTAACCCTCACCTTCTCTCTCCTCTCACTCCATTTAGCGGGTCACGTAGCCACTAGGGCTTCCTTAGCCTATCAGGCCACCTGGGGACTGAGTCATTCAGTCAGTCACCTATCTGGTGGTCACATCTGCCCCTGGGCTCATCCTTTTACTGGGCCACCTCGGCCCATCGGGACCTGTCAGTCCTTGACCTCCCTCAGGCCCCTAGGCTGGCCAGGTCGCCTCAGTGCCACGCCTCCCTGGCCCGCGATTCAGCCTGCACGTTACGCTTTGTTCCCAGAAGCAGGTTTTCGAAACGCGGTTCCCTCTCGGCTCCAGCTGTTTTCCTGCCAGCGCTGGGAGACCCGGCAGCCGCAGCGCCCCCAGCGGCGCGCAGCGGCCCAGGAAGAGAGTGCCTACCGCCGGCGCCTCTTCAGCCTCCTCCTGGAACGCGGGAGCGGGCGCGACCAGCGCCCACCCTGATCGTCGCGACGGTGCTCCTGATTGGCTGCGCTGTGTGACGTAACGGGAGGGCCCCGGCGGCCGCCGGGAGCCGGGGCCCAGCGCGTGCGCAGACGGAGCGCGCTGAGCGGAGGGGGAGGTGGCTGCCGCTTCTCCCGCGTCCGCCATTTTGTTGCTGTGGCTATTGGGAACAAGCTGGGCAAAAGCACCCCGGAGGCGCGACGCTCCTTCGAGTTCGGTGCCTCGTGTGACGGCGGGGGTCGGTGAAGACCCGTCGAGCTGCGGCGCCGGCGCGTTCCAGGCCGGGAGTCACTGGAGGCACCCCTGGGACGCCGAGCAGCCCGAGAACCCCGGGGTGGCCTCCGCTGCGGCTCGGGTTTGCCTGCCCCGACCCCCCGGCTCTGCCGTGCATTCCCGGGCGGCTCTCTCCGTGTGGCGGCCCCGGAGCAGGCGGGCGGCGTCGGAGGATGCTGCGGGCCCGGAGCCGAGAGGAAAGTGCTGGCCCAGCCCTCTGAGCGCTCCTCGAGGTGTGCGAGAGGCCCTTCCTCGGCCCCAAAGCCGTCTGCCGGGCTAAGGCGTGCAGAGCAGGCGAGGACAGCCGCCGCCCCTACCGCCGCAGAGTCCCCGGTCCAACACCATGTCCTCCGCCAGGTTCGACTCCTCGGACCGCTCCGCCTGGTATATGGGGCCGGTGTCTCGCCAGGAGGCGCAGACCCGGCTCCAGGGCCAGCGCCACGGTATGTTCCTCGTCCGCGATTCTTCCACCTGCCCTGGGGACTATGTGCTGTCGGTGTCCGAGAACTCGCGGGTCTCCCACTACATCATCAACTCGCTGCCCAACCGCCGTTTTAAGATCGGGGACCAGGAATTTGACCATTTGCCGGCCCTGCTGGAGTTTTACAAGATCCACTACCTGGACACCACCACCCTCATCGAGCCTGCGCCCAGGTACGCGAGAGCCCTCCCCGACCGCGGAGGAAGGTCGAGAACCGGGTCTGTCGAAGAGTGCTTGTATAGGGGGGTGGGGCGCGCTTGAACCCATATTCCCCGCATTCTGAACCAAATTATTTTCCAGAAGGCCTTCCTAACAGAAAGCTAGTGTCAGGATCTGGGTCACTGGATAAGAGGATGCGTTTTTTTTTTTTCCCTCTCACGAGGCTGTTTCTCAATGTGAAGAGGATGCGTTTTGAATGTTTAACGGTGGTTGCATAGTTAAAATGCACGCTTTTTGCCTTTCGTGACTTTCTCTGGGTGTAATACTGATGCAGGGATTTGTTGGTTTTTCTAAAAACCTCTTTTTTTTTTTTTTTTTTGAGACGGAGTCTCGCTGTGTCGCCAGGCTGGAGTGCAGTGGTGCGATCTCGGCTCACTGCAACCTCCGCCTCCCGGGTTCAAGCGATTCTCCTGCCTTAGCCTCCCGAGTAGCTGGGACTACTGGCTCACGCCACCACACCCAGCTAATTTTTGTATTTTTAGTAGAGACGGTGTTTCACCATGTTGGCCTGGATGGTCTCGATCTCTTGCCCTCGTGATCCGCCTGCCTCGGTCTCCCAAAATGCTGGGATTACAGGCGTGAGCCACCACACCCGGCCAAAAACCGTTTTTAAGCCATAGACTTCTTTGAGAATCTGAAGATAGCCGAGCACTCACCACCCCACCCCCACCCCCACCCCCACCCCTCCCCGCCAAAGGCACGTACACACAAGTTTGCACACCATCCCGGGTGCTTGTACTCCCTCCAGATCTCTGAACTCCAGGTTAAGAACTCCAGGACTGCAGCCTTTGGAACAGTCAAAAAAATGAAAATGCTTTAGCGTTTAGAAACAAAAAAACCTTTAACCAAAATATCAGAACTGTATATTGATACTGTGGTGCCAAGTTTGAAGCAGGCCAGACACCACCACTTTTATAGTACGTTAATTACAAAGATAAGAGAAGGTGCATTGGCTTCAGCGAGGATATTTTTTGGAAAATTTATTGCATATTTTCTCCCCGAGGACCATTAGTAGGCCAGAGATCAGTCTGGTTAATTTCCAAGGTGGAATTAGGCTAGAATGTTATTAAGGAAAATTTTTGAATGACACTTAGTTGTATCCTAGTTCAATTTCAGACATGCTTTTTGTGTTAAGTCTAATGATTTTGTATTTCTTATTTTAAAATTAACGCAAAGTGACCAAGCATTCTCTTTTCCAAGTGAAATACGTTATTTTAATTGATTAGTTGCTTTAATTTGCCTTAAGCGTTTTAGCAGAGATTTGCTTTTATTGTTGTGTTTGCCCTGTAACACTGATTTTATCAGAGGTTTCTTTTATTTAAATTATCCCAAATTTGAGTTGAAAAGTTGCCTAGAATTTTTAAAGTAACAAACTGGCCAGTTCGTTTCTTAAACATCTATTTTAAAAGGACTGGGTGTTGATACAGTTTTTCCAGGGTTAGATGTTTATGACTTTATGGATTTGTCGACCGGGTATTACTCTAAACTTTAAACATTAAAAGCTATTATAATTGAGGACACCAACTGTTTGCATAGTGGGATAGAGATAGAAAAAAAAAAGCCATGACAGTATAATGACTACAAGATTAACTACTGAACTAAATGGACTTTAAAAGTGGGGAGAAAGTGATTATAAATCAAATACTGTATAACAAAGACCAGGACACCAAGAATCTGATTGGTGAAACCTGCGGTTCCTGGCAGATGCTGGTAGTTGCAGTCAACTTTGAGCACAATATAATTCCAATTTAAGGAGTTGAGAATCTTAGAACCCACTGTAGTGAGATTTGTAATATGACTGAATAAATTCTTCCTCTCGTTTGTGAGCGTGAATTATATAATTAATACCAGGCATTCATTAAGCCATGCATATGCTTATGTTGAGGTCATGAGTACTAATAATACAGCTGTTTCAAAAAGCAAGTTAATGGGCGGGTGTGGTAGCTCACGCCAGTAATCCCAGCACTTTGGGAAGCCAAGCCGGGCGAATCACGAGGTCAGGAGTTCAAGACCATCTTGGCCAACATGGTGAAACCCCGTCTCTGCTAAAAATACAAAAAATTAGCTGGGCGTAGTGGTGGGTGCCTGTAATCCCAGCTACTCGGGAGGCTGAGGCAGGAGAATCGCTCGAACCCGGGAGGCGGAGGTTGCAGTGAGCCGAGATCGCGCCACTGCACAGCCCGGGTGACAGAGTGAGACTCTGTCTCAAAAAAAAAAAAGGAAAAAGTTAATGACTTGAGTCTCCTTCTAGAGGAAGGAAAAGAAGTATGCCGCTTCTCTCTATCCACAGAATCGCCTCCAGATTTTCCGTACATGCATGCATCTTCTTAGAGAACAAGCATGTAATTCTGTCTTTGCCCTCTTTCGTCCTTCCTTTACTGCAGCTGTACTAGGCTGCTCACTTATTCCCTGGTAGCCATCCTTCCTTACTCATACCTTTGTACCTTTGCACCTTTGCTCCAGCTGTTGGCTCTTCACTGACTGCCTTAACTACACCTCACTCTCCATCTGTTGAAATCCTACCTGTTGTTCCAGTCCCCTCACAGATTATAGGGCCTTTCTCTGACCCTACCCCTCACGTTCAGCTTTGTTTCTCCTTCTCTGTGCCCTCTGCCTCAGGCCTGTTGCTTTAATTTAGTTTTTCATTTTCCTAGGTATCTCTGAAGGAGATCACCATGCTGGTTGAATTAGATCCTGACTGAGTTTACTTTGTTATACTGAATCTTCGAATTGCCACTCCCAAGCCTGGTTTTCATGGCTTAGGTTTAACATGTTATTAGCCTTTTATAGAAAGCTAGTGACTACTAGAGCCTGGGCCAAACGGAAAACTCAGTGTAATGCTTCTTCGCATCCCAAACAGGGTACATTTAGTGGCTTAACTTTGCAGGCATCAAAACTGAGCTTTTAAAGCCAGAGTTTCATGCCTCTTGGCTAATATTTTGGTTTATCTTGCATAGCTAAAATTTGTAACAATAATGTCCTACTCGAAATTTAAGGACTGGTGGCTTGCATTGTTATAGTCTTATCCTTTTCATTAGAATGCTTCATAATTTTTAATTTTATATTTTTATTCAAATGTTTATAAGAGAATTATAACCCAGTGTAACCCAGTGTAGGTACTGGGAAAGATGTGTGACAGACATACTTTCTTCCTGTGGAACTCCTACTGTAGTGGAGAAGACAGACTGAAAAGTAGAAAAATAAAGTACTAGTAAGATCAATATACAGGAGGGACCTACCTGGGGTGGCGTGGTCAGAGAAAGCATGAAGCTAAGACCTGAGGGTAAAGAAGAACCCAGCCTAGGCAAGGCTTGGCCTGAGAGGAGGAGAAGAGCCTTCCAAGTTTAGGGAAAAGCTTATGTAGATGTCCTGAGGTGAGAAAGTCCATTGTGTTGGGAGTGTGTTTCTTTTCTTTCTTTCTTTTTTCTTTTTTTTTTTCTTGAGACGGAGTCTTGCTCTGTCGCCCAGGCTGGAGTGTGCGATCTCGGCTCACTGCAAGCTCCGCCTCCTGGGTTCACACCATTCTCCTGCCTCAGCCTCCCGAGTAGCTGGGACTACAGGCGCCTGCAACCATGCCGGGCAAATTTTTTGTATTTTTAGTGGAGACGGGGTTTCACCATGTTAGCCAGGATAGTCTCGATCTCCTAACCTAGTGATCCGCCCGCCTCGGCCTCCCAAAGTGCTGGAATTACAAGTGTGAGCCACTGCGCCCGGCTTTTTTTTTTTTTTTTTTTTTTTGGTAGATGACGTCTCACTCTGTGGCCAGGCTAGAGTGCAGTGGCCCAATCTCGGCTCACTGCAACCTCTGCCTCCCAGGTTCAAGTGATTCTCCTACCTCAGCCTCCTGAGTAGCTGGGACTGCATGGGACTACAGGCACCCGCCACCATGTCCGGCTAATTTTTGTATTTTTAGTAGAGACAAGGTTTCACCATGTTGGCCAGGATGGTCCCTATATCTTGACCTCATGATCCACCTGCCTCAGCCTCCCAAAGTGCTGGGATTACAGATGTGAGCCACCCTCTCCGGCCTGGGAGTGTGTTTCTTAAAGGAGAAAGGGGGACATATAAAATGAGTTTGGAGATAAAGATCAGGGTCAGGAATTGGGTTTTTATTTAAAGTGCTGTGGGCTCCAAGGAAGGAATTTGAGGCAGAGGAGTGACCTGGGGCTGTTATTGTAATCCAGCTACAAAATGATGGTGACTAATAGTGACAGTGGAGCTGTGACTTGGAGATGCCTATTTTGGAGATAAAATTGATTTGCTGGTGGGTGGGGATGAAGGGAAAGGGAAGAAGGGATGATTTGGTCTATTTGTAACTTTGTTATCTTCTGTGTTTTTATCTTTAACTGCTTTTTGTATTTGTGGTATTCCTATGGTGGATTTTATTTTATTTATTTTTTTGAGACCAAGTCTCCCTCTGTCCCCCAGGCTGTAGTGAAGTGGCATAATCTGGGCTCACTGCCACCTCCGCCTCTGGGGTTTAAGATTCTCCTGCCTCAGCCTCCCTAGTAGCTGGGATTACAGGCATGCACTGCCACACCTGGCTAATTTTTGTATTTTTGGTAGAGACAGGGTTTCACCATGTTGGCCAGGCTGGTCTTGAACTCTTGACCTCAAGTGATCCACCTGCCTGGGCCTCCCAAAGTGCTGGGATTACAGGTGTGAGCCACTGCGCCTGGCCTAGCTCTAGTGTATTTTTATTTAATAAGGGCTGTTTCCAGTTTAACAACAGAATGCTTCAGAAGGTAGCTTGCTTTGTTTGACATTTTCCATTTCTAGCTTGTGTCGATAGATAAATTCAGGCTATGAAGAAAAATTAGAATAAATAAAATTTTACCATTAAAAACTAAAGGAAGTTGGCCCTTCAAGAAAATAATGTACTGTACTCAGCAGACTTTGAGCATTACATGTACCTGGTAATATGGAACCAACATTGAATCAGACAGCCCTATCATGCTTCTGAGGAGCTTACTGGTTACTAAAAAAAAAATTTTTTTTTTTTTGAGACGGAGTCTTGTTCTGTCGCCCAGGCTGGAGTGCAGTGGCGGGATCTTGGCTCACTGCAAGCTCCGCCTCCTGGGTTCACGCCATTCTCCTGCCTCAGCCTCTTGAGTTAGCTGGGACTACAGGTGCCCGCCACCATGCCCGGGTAACTTTTTGTATTTTTAGTAGAGACGGGGTTTCACCGTGTTAGCCAGGATGGTCTCGATCTCCTGACCTCGTGAACCGCCCGCCTGGGCCTCCCAAAGTGCTGGGATTACAGTTATGAGCCACCGCGCCTGGCATTTTTTTTTTTTTTTTTGAGACAGAGTCTTGCTCTGTTGCCAGGCTGGAGTGTGGTGGTGCAATCTTGGCTCACTGCAACCTCCACCTCCTAGGTTCAAGTGATTCTCCTGCCTCAGCCTCCCAAGTAGCTGGGACTACAGGCGCACGCGCTACCACACCTGGCTAATTTGTGTATTTTTAGTAGAGATGGGGTTTCACCATGTTGAGCAGGATGGTTTTCTGTCTCTTGACCTCAGGGGATCTGCTCGCCTCGGCCTCCCAAAGTGCTGGGATTACAGGCGTAAGTCACCGCGCCTGGCTACTAAAAAAAAAAAAAATGTAAAGGTTGGCTGTGCTCGGTGGCTCGTGCCTGTAATCCCAGCACTTCGGGAGGTTAAGGCAGGAGGATCGCTAGATCCCAGGAGTTTGAGACCAGCCCTGGCAAGATAGTGAGACCCCATTCCCACAAAAAATTAAAAAATTAGCTGAGCATGGTGTCATGCGCCTTTAAGTCCCAGCTACTTGGGAGGCTGAAGTGGAAAGATTGCTTGAGCATGGGAGGTCGAGGCTACAGTGAGCTATGATCATGCCACTGCACTTCAGCCTGGGCAACAGAGCCAGACCTTGTCTCAAAAAATGAATGAATGAATGAATGTAAGTTGTATATATTTAATATATTTAATCTCCATGCATGGTGAAACAGCTGTGGGAGAACTGAGAAAGGGTGCTTAGTCTAACCTGAGAGCCCAGAAGAGGAGCCTCACACACCTGTGAAGTAGAAGCCAATCCCTGAAGGGACAGGAGGAAACAAGAAGCATGGTTGTGCCTCCTCTTTACATCCCCTGTTCTAATTATTTAAGAACTCAAATCTAGACTTCCATAATTTGGAATGGGGAAAGGATTGCCAGTAATTTTAATCAGCATAGAATTCAACTCTGTGAATAAACCCCTTTGCGTTTCTCCTGACCAGTAGTTAAAATCATGTGAATTTGATTCAGAGAAAAATACAAGAACATGGCCAGGTGCAGTGGCTCACGCCTGTAATCCCAGCACTTTGGGAGGCCAAGGTGGGTGGATTGCCTGAGTGCAGGAGTTTGAGACCAGCCTGGGCAACACGGTGAAACCCTGTCTCTACTAAAATACAAAAAATTAGCTGGGCATGGCGGCGTGTGCCTAAGAGGCTAAAGGCAGGAGAATCACTTGAACCTGGGGGGTGGAAGTTAAAGTGAGTCGAGGTCGTGCAGCTGGACTCCATCCTGGGCGACAGAGTGAGACTCTCTCCAAAAAAACAAAAAACAAGAACACTGTCATGCTGAGAATGGAATCTTGTCCAATTAAGAGTTGTGTTCCCAGCCGGATGTGGTGGCTCACGCCTGTAATCCCAGCACTGTGGGAGGCTTAGGCGGGCGGATCATGAGGTCAGGAGATCAAGACCATCCTGGCCAACATAGTGAAACCCCGTCTCTACTAAAAATACAAAAACTAGCTGGGCGTGGTGGCATGCATCTGTAGTCCCAGCTACTCCGGAGGTTGAGACAGGAGAATCGCTTGAACCTGGGAGGCAGAGGTTGCACTGAGCCAAGATCACACCACTGCACTCCAGCCTGCCAACAGAGCGAGACTCCGTCTCAAAAAAAAAAAAAAAAAAAGAGTTGTGTTCCCATGGAAAGTACTAGTAGCCATTCGATTTGTGACTTTTAAAACTCAAATCCACAGAATTGTGACCTAAATTTTTCCTTTTGATCTGAATGATTAGACTAGATTTCTGAGGGTCTTTAAGATTAAAATATTTTAATTCTGGGCCGGGCGTGGTGGCTCACGACTGTAATCCCAGCACTTTGGGAGGTCTGGCAGGTCGGGAGTTCGAGACTGAACCTGGGAGGCAGAGATGACAGTGAGCCGAGATTGCGCCAGCGCCACTGCACTCCAGTCTGGTCAACAGAGCGAGACTTCGTCTCGGAAAACAAAAAACAAACAAACAAAAAACATTATTTTAATTCTTTCAGATAAGTAAAAGGGGGCACAGCCTATTAGTTGGGAGTTCAGATTAACTTGAGTTGAATCTGAGCTAAAATCATAACAAGTTGGGTGGGGCCACCAGGCACATAGCAACTCACCTGGAATGAACGTGACAAGAACAGTGGAAGAGGATGAGAAGAGGCTTTGAAGGTGCACACTCAACGGTATTCGAATTCTGTCACACCAGTTTTGTGACAGTATTAAACCAGAGTTAGGTAATTTGAATACCTGAGCTTTTGTGCTTTCAGAAACAAAAAAGGAGGGAAATAGGAAAGGGAAGTTCTTTGATATATAGAGGCCTACAATATACCAAAGCTCACTGCTAGACTCTTGGAATCTAATGGAAGTAAACCATGTTTTTGTTTTTGATTTTTGTCTTTGAGAAGCTTTGGTCTATTGAAAAAATTAGAATGCCATGACAGCTTAAAAGCAAAGGCAATCAACTGTACCTAAGAGGTGGGGAGAGGCTTGAAAGAGGAGATGCTCTTCAACTGATTCTTTAAGGATGAGAACAAGTATACGAGGTAGAAGAGGTGGTGGTAGAAGAGATGGTGGCAGTGCTTGCTGGTAAAGACACAGTTATAATTAATGTAGATGATGGGCAGGAACCTAGGAAGGAAAGATAAAGCCAACTTGTAAAGGGCCTCCTCAGCCTTGTAAATGAGCTTAACAATGGGAGCCATCTAAAGTTTTTAAAAAGAGAACTGTCAGATTTTAAAAGGAGAACTGATGAGTTTTACTTTTGAGAAACTGCTCTGGGTGGGGAAAGATCTGAAGGACTAATTCTCTGTTACTGGAGAGGGACCCTGAGAAGCTGAGCCAAGATCAAATGCCATAGGAATGTAAAGTGGCACATAGAAGGTGAGGGGAGAGGTATGATGACTTCAGAGAGGATTGAGTGGTGCCTTTGAGACAAGAGAAAGGGATTAGGGTGGGTGCGTGATTCTTTTCAACAGGAAGAATCTTTCTTTGAGGTACCTGCTGGAAGCCAGGTGGTATTTAGCAATCTGATGGGTTTGTTATTGAGAAGAGAGGTAAGGGCTGAATACATATAGATTTGGGAATCGCAGCTTAGATGGGATCACCCAGAATGAGGAGGCAGAACAGGAATAAGTAGAGAAAGAGAAGCTGCGGAAGGAGAGGCAGCCACAAGCATAGGAGGAGGAGCCATTAGTGATGGCCTGAAAGCCCAGGGACAGAAGGGAGGGGACCTGGGCATTAAATGCTGGTCAGTGATAAAGAATGGTGGTTACTGGCTGGACATGGTGGCTCACGCCTGTAATCCTAGCACCTTGGGAGGCGGAGGCAGGTGGATTGCCTGAGCTCATGCGTTCGAGACCAGCCTGGCCAACACAGTGAAACCCTGTCTCTACTAAAATATAAAAAATTAGCCAGGCATGGTGGCGTGCGCCTATAGTCCCAGCTACTCGGGAGGCTGAGGCAGGAGAATGGCTTGAACCTGGGAGGCAGAGATTGCAGTGAGCCAAGATCGCACCACTGCACTCCAGCTTGGGTGACAGAGCAAGACTCCGTCTCAAAAAAAAAAAAAAAAAAAAAAAAAGAATGGTGGTTAAAGCAGTTTCACTAGAGAAGTACTTAGCTCATCTTGGAATTGAATTTTTTTTTTTTTTTTTTGAGACAGTGTCGCTCTGTCGCCCAGGCTGAAGTGCAGTGGCATGATCTCGGTTCACTGCAGTCTCCACCTCCCGGGTTCAAGTGATTCTCCTGCCTCAGTCTCCTGAGTAGCTGCGATTACAGGCGCCCACCACCATGCCCGGCTAATTTTTGTATTTTTAGTAGAGATGGGGTTTCACCATATTGGACCAGGCTGGTCTCAAACTCCTGACCTCAGGTGATCCAATTGCCTCGGCCCCCTAATGTGCTGGGATTACAGGCATGAGCCAGTCACCACGCCCAGCTGGAATTAAGTTTTCTACCTTTTTTTTTTTTTTTTTAACTGTGAAATATTTCATACATAGAAAAGAGTAAGGGTGCCGTGGCTCACGCCTGTAATCTCAGCACATTGGGAAGCCAAGACAGGTGGATCACTTGAGGTCAGGAGTTCGAGACCAGCCTGGCCAACGTGGTGAAACCCTGTCTCTACTAAAAAGACAAAAATTAGCCGGGCGTGGTGGTAGATGCCTGTAATCCCAGCTACTTGGGACGCTGAGGCAGGATAATTGTTTGAACCCGGGAGGTGGAGGTTGCAATGAGTTGAGATCGCACCATTGCACTCCAGTCTGGGTAACAGAGCAAGACTCTGTCTCAAAAAAAAAAAAAAAAAAAAAAAAGGAAAAAGAGTAAGCCTGGGCACGTTGGCTCATGTCTGTAATCCCAGCACTTTGGGAGGCCGAGGGAGGCAGATCACTTGAGGTCAGGAGTTTAAGACCAGCCTGGCCAGCATGTGAAACCCATCTCTGTTAAAAATACAAAATTAGCCCGGCAGTAGTGGGGCCCTGTAATCCCAGCTACTGGGGAGGCTTAGGCACAAGAATAGCTTGAACCCAGGAGGCAGAGGTTTTGGTGAGCTGAGATCACACCACTACACTCCAGCCTGGGCAATAGAGTGAGACTCTGTCTCAAAAAAAAAGTATATGTAAGCTGGGTGTGGTGGCATGCACCTGTAGTCCCAAATAGTGGGGAGGCTGAGGTAGGAGGATTGCTTGAGCCCAGGAGTTCAAGACCAGCCTGGGCAACATAAACCCCCATCTCTGCAAAAAATTAAACAAGGATTGGCTGGGCATGGTGGCTCATGCCTGTAGTCCCAGCTACATGGGAGGCTGAGGTGGGAGGATCACTTGAGCCTGGGAGGTCAAGGCTATAGTGAGCCATGATCGTACTGCTGCACTCCAGCCTGGGCCATAGAGCAAGACGCTATCTCAAAAAAATTTACAAAACAAGCCAAAAAAAACTATCATCTGTGTGCTCCCTTTAAAAAATAAATAAATAAAACATTGGCCAGGCGTGGTGGCCCAGACTGTAATCCCAGGACTTTGGGAGGCTGAGGTGGGAAGATTGCTTGAGCTCAGGAGTTCAAGACCAGCTTAGACAACATGGCAAGACCCTGTTTCTACCAAAAATACAAAAATTAATCGGATGTGGTGGCATGCACCTGTAGTCCCAGCTACACAGAAGGCTGAGGTGGGAGGATCGCTTGAGCCTTGGAGGTTGAGGCTGCAATGAGCCATGATTGTGCCTCTGCACTCTAGCTCGGGCAACAGAACGAGATCCCATCTCAAAAAAAAAAAAAAAAAAAAAAAAAGGAATATTACCAGCACCTTTGAAACTTCCTTTTTCTAGAAGTTGATTGTATTGGTTCTTAGCATGCATAAGGAGATTTTAAGCTTAGAACATATTAGCACTTGGTTTAAAGATGTTTTGTGTATGGTTTATACATGTAGAAACTGAGAACGCTTTTAACCAAAAGAGCTGAGAGATTCGTTATCATCAGAAAAGAAAAGTCAGTTACGAATTAGTTGTTAGGGGCTTTGCTGCTCAAAGTGTGTAGTGGACAATAGGCAAAAAGTGAGAAGCATGGTCAAGGGTGTTTGGATGGGCTTGAAAACCCTGTGCATTTTATTTTATTTTATTTTATTTATTTATTTTTGAGTCGGAGTCTCACTCTGTTACCCAGACTGGAGTGCAGTGGCGCGATCTCGGCTCACTGCAAGCTCTGCCTCCCGGGTTCACACCATTCTCCTGCCTCAGCCTCCCGAGTAGCTGGGACTACAGGCGCCTGCCACCACGCTCAGCTAATTTTTTTGTATTTTTAGTAGAGATGGGGTTTCACTGTGTTAGCCAGGATGGTCTCGATCTCCTGACCTCTTGATCCGCCCGCCTTGGCCTCCCAAAGTGCTGGGATTACAGGCGTGAGCCACTGCACCTGCCTTATCTATTTAATTTTTTGAGACGGAATCTCTGTCTGTCGCCCAGGCTGGAGTGCAGTGGCATGATCTCAGCTCACTGCAACCTCCGCCTCCCGGGTTCAAGCAATTCTCTTGCCTCAGCCTCCCAAGTAGCTGGGCCTACAGGCACACGCCACCACACCTGGCTAATTTTTGTATTTTAATAGTGACAGGGTTTTGTCATGTTGGCCAGGTTGGTCTCAAACTCCTGACCTCATGATCCACCTGCCTCGGCCTTCCAAAGTGCTAGGATTGCAGGCATGAGCCACTGCGCCTGGGCAACACTTTATATTTTAAAGGGAAGTTGGGGGAGGGTGCTATTTTCAACCTTGCTCAAAGAACAAATAATTGGGAAGCAATAAATTTTCTGATGAATATGCTTCATATTTCTTTAGACAGTGGGGTCTAATGGAAAGGCTAAGATATCTGACATGGAGCAACATGTATTTATCTCTTCAGTGGAACTAATGTGTAATTTTCAGGGGAGTTTGATGAATAAATGAGTTTGAGAATATAGGGCAGAGGACTTGGAATTTGTGTCAGGGTTATGGCTGGTGAGATTGATTTGGTGTCAAATTTATGAATATCTCTGCAGATACTAACACAGAAAATGAGCCCCAAGGTCACTATAGCAGTATAGTAGTGGAGGGAAATAGAAACTATCTTTATCAAATTTCTACACAGACATACCCCTCACCAGGGAAGCAAGGAAGTTGAAAAGCACACTTTGCCTCCCTAACCCAGGAATTTAGATGGGGGATCAGCAAACTGTTGAGTAAAGGGTCAGATTTTAAATATTTTCAGCTTTTCCATAGAGTCTCTGTCCAACTACTCAACTATGCCTTTGTAGTGAAAAACAGTCATAGACAATACGTAAATGAATGGGCTTGGCTATCTTCTTTTTTTTGTTTGTTTTTAAGATGGAGTCTTGCTCTGTCACCCAGGCTGGAGTGCAGTGGTGTGATCTCAGCTCATTGCAACCTCTGCCTCCCAGGTTCAAGCAATTCTCTTCCCTCGGCCTCCCAAGTAGCTGGGCCTACAGGCGCACGCCACCACACCTGGCTAACTTTTGTATTTTTAGTAGTGACAGGGTTTTTTGTCATGTTGGCCAGGTTGGTCTTGAACTCCTGACCTCAAGTGATCCTCCCGCCTCGGCCTCCCAGTGTTGGGATTACAGGCGTGAGCCACCACACGCCTGGCTTTTTTTTTTTTTTTTTTTTTTTTTTTTTGAGATAGAGTCTTAACTGTTTCAGGCAGTGACGTGATCTTGGCTCACTGCAAGCTCCGCCTCCCGGGTTTACACCATTCTCCTGCCTCAGCCTCCCGAGTGGCTGGGACTACAGGCGTGTGCCACCACACCTGGCTAATTTTTTGTATTTTTAGTAGAGAGACAGGGTTTCACCGTGTTAGCCAGGATGGTCTCAATCTCCTGACCTTGTGATCCGTCCACCTCAGCCTCCCAAAGTGCTGGGATTACAGGCGTGAGCCACCACACACTGGCTAACTGCTTTTAACTATACAAATAATAAAATACTCTTGGATGGAGTCTAAGGTGGAACTGACTGTGCTCTTAATAGTGTCTGAAATTTATATGGTACTTACTGGACTGTTCACAGGCTCTCTGTGGCTCTTGAAATAGCAGGGGCTGGGTGTGATGGCTCACACCTGTAATCCCAACACTTTGGGAGGCCAAGGCGAGAGAATTGCTTGAGGCTAGAAGTTCAAGACAAGCCCTGAAAACATAGTGAGACCCCCATCTCTACAGAAAATTTAAAAATTGGCTGTGTGTGATGGCAACTGCCTGTAGTCCCAGCTACTCAGGAGGCTGAAGTGGGAGGATCACTTGAGCTTGGGAAGTGGAGGCTACAGTGAGCTGTGGTTGTGCCACTCTGCACTCCAGCCAGGATGACAGCAAGACCCTGTCTCAAAAAAAAGAGAAAGAAATAGAAGCAGGGATATACTTGAAGGGGTATGTGTGTGTTCATGTCGGTACATTGGATGCTTGGTGCTGCTCGGTAATTTTGAATGCCTCACATGCATTATGCCATTAATTCTCATACACCTGACAGATGCAGGGTTCGTCCCTAAGGCTGATTAGCTCATTATGAGTGAAGAGTTTAGAACCAGACTCCCTGAGTGCAAGTCTAACCTCTTCTTTGGCTCCTCATTTGTAAAATGGGGATAATAACAGCATCTACCTCACAGACTATTAAATAATCCAATCTCTTCAAAGATCGTAAACCATGCCTAGCATAGATAATAAGTATGAGCTCTTTATTATTACTCTTGCTCCTACTACTCTTGCTAGCTATTTATTTTTATTTTTATTTTATTTTATTTTATTTTTTTGAGACGGAGTCTCGCTCTGTCACCCAGGCTGGAGTGCAGTGGTGCAATCTTGGCTCACTGCAAGCTCCGCCTCCCGGGCTCACACCGTTCTCCTGCCTCAGCCTCCTGAGTAAGTGGGACTACAGGCACCCACCACCATGCCCGGCTAATTTTTTGTATTTTTAGTAGAGACGGGGTTTCACCGTGTTAGCCAGGATGGTCTCGATCTCCTGACCTCATGATCCGCCCACCTCAGCCTCCCAAAGTGCTGGGATTACAGGCATGAGCCACTGCGCCGGCCTCTTATTTATTTATGTTTTGAGACAGTCTTGTTCTGTTGCCCAGGCTGGAGTGTAATGATGCAGTCATAGCTCACTGCAGCTTCTAACTCCTGGGCTCAAGTAATGCTCCTGCCTCAGCCTCTTGAGTATCTGGGACCGCAGGTGTGTGCCACTATGCCCGGCTCATTTTTTGTCTGTTTAGTAGAGACAGGGTTTTGATATGTTGGACAGGCAGGTCTCCAAGTCATCTGCCTGCCTTGGCCTCCCAAGGTGCTGGGATTACAGGTCTGAGCCACCACGCCTGGTGGATTTATTATTTTTAATTTGGCAAGTCTGTAAGCCCTTTTTTGTTCCTTTTTTTTCAAGAGGCCAGAGGCAGAGGCCTTTGTCATTTTCTGTGTGTCCAGGGAAGTGTGCAGGATGTAAGCCATAGATTAGGACTGGGAGGAAGAGTGTGTGGTGGTTGTGACAAGGGTCCAAAGGAAGGCAGCTTCCGAACTTACTTGAGATTATAAAAATAAATTTAAACCAGGTATCTCTGTGTAATCAAAAGGTTTCTGTAAAACAGAGATGGAGTGTATGTGTGTGTGTATACTTGTAATTTGAAAAGACATTCAGAATAGTAACTTTTGGGACAGTACAGACTACAAAAATTACAACATGATAGAACCTTCTTAACTACTAAGAATATAGAAAGGAAAATAAAGCCAGGCGTGGTGGCTCACACCTGTAATGACAGCACTTTGGGAGGCTGAGGCGGGTGGATCACATGAGGCCAGCAGGAGTTTGAGACCAGCCTGGCCAACATGCCAAAATCCTGTCTCTACTAAAAATACAAAATTTAGCTGGGTATGGTGTTGCACATCTGTAATCTCAGCTACTCGGGAGGCTGAGGCAGAAAAATCACTTGAACACGGGAGGTAGAGGTTACAGTGAACTGAAATTGCGCTACTGCACTCCAGCCTGGGTGACAGAGCAAGATTCTGTCTCCAAAAAAAAGGCTGGGCTCAGTGGCTCACACCTGTAATCCCAGCACTTTGGGAGGCCGAGGCAGGCAGATCACGAGGTCAGGAGATCAAGACCATCCTGGCTAACAAGGTGAAATTCCGTCTCTACTAAAAATAGAAAAAATTAGCGGGGCGTGGTGGCATGTGCCTGTAGTCCCAGCTACTCAGGAGGCTGAGGCAGGAGAATTGCTTGAACTTGGGATGCAGAGGTTGCAGTGAGCTGAGATCCTGCCACTGCACTCCAGCCTGGGCAACAGAACAAGACTCCATCTCCAAAAAAAATGTAGAGGCCGGGCATGGTGGCTCATGCTTGTAATCCCAGCACGTTGGGAGGCCGAGGTGCGTGGATCGCCCGAGGTCAGGAGTTCAAGACCAGCCTGGCCAACATGGTGAAACCCCTTCTCTACTAAAAATAAAAAAAGTTACCTGGGCGTGGTAGTGGGCGCCTGTAATCCCAGCTACTCAGGAGGCTGAGGCAGGAGCATCACTTGAACCTGGGAGGCAGAGTTTGCAGTGAGCTAAGATCACGCTATTGCACTCCAGCCTGGGCGACAAGAGCAAAACTTGTCTCATAAAAAAGGAAAATAATTTATTATAGAGGAGAGTGGTATATTAAGAAGTTTGACAGGCACTGGCTTAGAGTAAGATTTTTCTCTTAGAGTAATTTTCTTTCTCTCTTAAGGTATCCAAGCCCACCAATGGGATCTGTCTCAGCACCCAACCTGCCTACAGCAGAAGATAACCTGGAATATGTACGGACTCTGTATGATTTTCCTGGGAATGATGCCGAAGACCTGCCCTTTAAAAAGGGTGAGATCCTAGTGATAATAGAGAAGCCTGAAGAACAGTGGTGGAGTGCCCGGAACAAGGATGGCCGGGTTGGGATGATTCCTGTCCCTTATGTCGAAAAGCTTGTGAGATCCTCACCACACGGAAAGCATGGAAATAGGAATTCCAACAGTTATGGGATCCCAGAACCTGCTCATGCATACGCTCAACCTCAGACCACAACTCCTCTACCTGCAGTTTCCGGTTCTCCTGGGGCAGCAATCACCCCTTTGCCATCCACACAGAATGGACCTGTCTTTGCGAAAGCAATCCAGAAAAGAGTACCCTGTGCTTATGACAAGACTGCCTTGGCATTAGAGGTAAAATCTGTTCAGATTAGCTTTTTGGGTCCTTTGACATTTGGTTTTAATTTTTAGTTTTAGTTTAGTTTCTGCTCATTTAAGCTTATATTCATGGAATTAGAGCACTGGATGATTTTGGAAGATACGCACTGTTAGCGTTTCATTTTAAAATTTTTTTATAGAGACGAGGTCTCTAATTTTAAAAGAGTTGTTTGCCCAGGCTGATTTCGAGGTCCTGGCCTCAAGCAATCCTCCTACCTCGACCTCCCAAAGTACTGGGATTACAGATGTGAGCCACCATGCCTGGCCCATTATTAGTGTTTCACAGCTTGTTTTGTTCTGTCCTATTCCTTGTTTGCCCCAAATTCTCAGCCTTCTTGCTCTTTCTTGTTCCCAAAGCCTAACAGATTTAGTTTTGCAGTTGTTGGTTTTTCTTCCAGTAAGGAAAGATAATGATTAAGGAAGACCCATGACCTAGAGGCAAAATCAACATATATGGTTCTGTATTTCTAACATTGGAATCAGTTGAGAAATATGAAAATGTCTTAGAATTTCTCTTGAGCTTGGTAGAGGAATGAATTTTTTTTTTTTTTTTTTTTTTTTTTGAGATGGAGTCTCACTCTGTCGCCCAGGCTGGAGTTCAGTGGCTCAATCTCCGCTCACTGCAAGCTCCACCTCCTGGGTTCACACCATTCTCCTACCTCAGCCTCCCAAGTAGCTGGAACGACAGGCACCCGCCACCACGCCTGGCTAATTTTTTTGTATTTTCAGTAGAGACAGGGTTTCACCGTATTAGCCAGGATGGTGTCGATCTCCTGACCTCGTGATCTGCCTATCTTGGCCTCCTAAAGTGCTGGGATTACAGGTGTGAGCCACCGTGCCCGGCCCAGGAATGATTTTTTTTGAGATGGAGTCTTACTTTGTCACCCAGGCTCCAGCACAGTGGCATGATCTTGCCTCATGGCAACGTCTGCCTCCTGGGTTCAAATGATTATCCTGCCTCAGCCTCCTTAGTAGCTGGGATTACAGATGCCTGCCACCATGCCCGTCGAATTTTTGTATTTTTAGTATAGATGGGGTTTCACCATGTTGGCCAGGCTGGTTTTGAACTCCTGACCTCAGGCGATCTGCCTGCCTTGGCCTCCCAAAGTGCTGGGATTACAGACATGTGCGACCACGCCCAGCCATAGAGGAATGATTTTAAAATACATCAGCCCTTGCTTGTTATGGATTTTGTAAATTAGAATAGCATGAAATAGAACTTGAACATTTTAATTACCAAGTCATTTTCTTTTCTTTTTTTTTTTTTTGAGACAGAGTCTCGCTCTATTGCCTTGTTGCCTAAGCTGGAGTGCAGTGGCGTGATCTTGGCTCACTGCATCCTCCGCCTCCTGAGTTCAAGTGATTCTCCTGCCTCAGCCTCCCGAGTAGCGGGGCTACAGGCATGCACCACCCTGCCCGGCTAATTTTTGTATTTTTAGTAGAGACGGGGTTTCACCATGTTGGCCAGGCTGGTCTCGAACTCCTGACCTCAGGTGACCCACCCACCTTAGCCCGCAAGTGCTGGGATTACAGGCATGATCCACTGCACTTGGCCAAGTCATTTTCTTCTAACTAAATATTACTTTTTAAAAAAACTCTTTCTCAGCTGGGCACAGTGGCTCATGCCTGTAATCCCAGCACTTTGGGAGGGCGAGGCTGGTGGATAACTTGAGGTCTGGAGTTTGAGACCAGTCTGGTCACAGACATGGTGAAACCCCATCTCTACCAAAAAATACAAAAATGAGCCAGACGTGGTGGGCATGCACCTGTAGCCTCAGCTACTCAGGAGACTGAGGTGGAACAATTGCTTGAACCAGGTAATTAGAGGTTGCAGTGAGCCGAGATCATGACACTGCATTTAAGCCTGGGCAATAGGGTGAGACCCTATCTCAAAAAAAGGGGGGAGAATGTTGAGAGAGAGCCTAAGTGCATTTCAGAAGGATGAAGTAAGGGACCCTCTTGCTTCAAAAAAACCAAATCCTGACTCACCAAACAGCCTGCCCACAGATAAAAGTTAGCTAGAATTGGTTTCATGGGTATTTTTCCATAGGTTGTCCTCAGTGTTTTTTTGTTTTTGTTTTTGTTTTGTTTTGTTTTGAGACGGAGTTTCGCTCTTGTTGCCCAGGCTGGAGTGCAATGGCACGATCTCGGTTCACTGCAACCTCCGCCTCCTGGATTCAAGCCATTCTCCTGCCTCAGCCTCCGGAGTAGCTGGGATTACAGGCATGTGCCACCATGCCCGGCTAATTTTTTTGTATTTTTAATAGAGACGGGGTTTCTCCATGTTGGTGAGGCTGGTCTCGAACTGCTGACTTCAGGTGATCTGCCCACCTCGGCCTCCCAAAGTGCTGGGATTACAGGCGTGAGCTACCATGCCTGGCCCTCAAGTTTTTCTTTGGACCAGTAGTAGTATCTGAATGAACTGCACCTGAAGGTTTGTTTCAATGTTTGATTTTTTGCCTCCCTTTCATGTTGGCTATAAGGAAAAGGAGCATTTGAGGCTGTGGTGGGGGTCAGGGACTGAGAGGCTCCAGGTCTCAGGAGGCTGCCTCCACAGATAGGAGTGCTGGCTGAGCAGGCCTTCCAGCTTTCTTTCCTTTTTTTTTTTTCGAGATGGAGTCTCATTTGTTGCCCAAGCTGGAGTGCAGTTGATAGAATCTCAGCTCACTGCAACCTCTGCCTCCTGGGCTCAAGCGATTCTTCTGCTTCAGCCTCTCAAGTAGCTGGGATTACAGGTGCCCGCCACCATACCCAACTGTTTTTAGTAGAGACCGGGTTTCACTATGTTGGCCAGGCTGGTCTTGAACTCCTAGCCTCTGATCATCTGCCCGCCTCAGCCTCCCAAAGTGCTCGGATTACAGGCGTGAGCCGCTGCACCTGGCCAGGCCTTCCAGCTTTCTCACCCACACACAGACCTGCCTAGGCACAGGTGCATGCCTCTGGCCTGGTCTATGCCTCAGCACCTTGGTGCTCTGGGCTGTTAATACCCTGTAGCATGCATTGTGTTTTCAGCCTTTTGAGGCATTTTCACGTCCATCATAGCATAGGATTGGGGAGCTAGGAGTCAGAGTGGGTGTGACTCGTGTGTGTTTGGCAGCTGCTCGTTGAGAACCTTGAAAGTCGAGGCTCCCAGTCAGAATTTTAGGTACCTGCCTGTTGACCTCTGGCTCTAGGATGTGTGTTTTAGAAACCTGTATCTAGTGTGCGTGCGTGTGTGCTCACTGGAGCGAGTACTAGGAGGTTGTAGGGAGGAATACCAGGTATTACAGAAGGGATCACTTAGAGCTTGGTGAGTGGGTGGATAAGTAGGTGCCTGAGAGAGGTCAGGAGTAGGAGGAAGGAAGCCTGGTTAATGATTGTGTATTTTAAGATAACCTACATACTTGGCCATACATAGTTCCTAGTCTCTCTGGCCCCAGAGAGAGGTTCTCCACACCTGAGCCTCATGACACTAACCCAGCCAGCTGAGCTTCAGCCAAGGGTTTGTTTGGTGCTTGACTGAGAGAGAATGTAAATGGGACCTGAGAAATAGACCTTTACCAAATTCCATTTAGTGGTATTTTGCTTTCTGAATATTTAAATGAAACTTTAGGTTATAGCATAAGTAAATTTTTTTTTTTTTCGAGACTGAGTCTCTGTCACTCAGGCTGGAGTGCAGTGGCATGATCTCCGCTCGCTGCAACCTCCACCTCACGGGTTTAAGCGATTCTCATGCCTCAGCCTCCTGAGTAGCTGGGGTAAATGTTTTTATGATTGTTATCTTCTAAAACTATTATTAGGATAGTGGTGCCTGTCTGATCTTGTTAAAAACAACTCTTGGGACTTTTGCAATTAGGTTACTAGGAAAAGTATTAAAATTAAAATGAGAAACAGACAAGTAGGACAAAATGTGCTGATAATTGAAGCTTCGTTATTCCCCTAGATAGTATTACAGAGAATGATGATGGCTTAGGTGACTTTATTCCTTAAATTATTTTACAATTTTTTTTAATCTTGATTTTCAAAAGAGGATTCCTGTAAGTAAAGAGATATTTTAAAACCAGTTTGTGTTTAGCTATTTTCTTTTCTTGCTGACTTTTCTGCAAGGAAAGAGTTGATCCTGAGATTTGATTTGAAGGGGAATACTTGGTATCTGTAAGGTGAGTAGAGCTTGTGTGATGAGACTAACGTCACTGAATAGCTGTAGACAGGTGAGCATGCTGGGCAAAGGGCAAAAGTGGCAAAAGACAGCCAGGGCAGTGGGCTGTTGCCATATCACGAAGGGCTGAGCTGAGGAGATTAACAATTTTCTTGCATTGCCTTCATTTGAGTCATGAAACAGCCAGTTTCTCACAACTGACAAGGTCAGGTTTACAGGCAATTTCTTTTTATATATTAATTTTTAAATTTAGAGCAAATGCTTGACTGTCATGTAATAATATCATTCTCATTCATTTGCATTCCAGTATGCTTTTCTGACTAAAACGGAAGAAATAGCAACTTTAGAATTGTACTTAACCCTGGGTACACACACCCATGACTATTTGTATGAAAATTTGTATTTAAGTGTCTAAATGCAGCCTCACCTGTGCTTTTCCCCCATGGTGTGGCATAAGAAAACAATTGGTGACACAAGCTGGGGATCTGTGGGAATTGAAGTCAGTGAAACAGATCGTGTGGAGGAAAAATAGTTTCCCAGGCTTACAAGTGAGACTTAAAGTGATTTGGGATGGAATTGGTATAAATCAAGCAGAAAGGTTGTATTGATACCTTAGGTCATTTAGTTCAATCATTTTCCCTGTGCTTTTAGCCCTCTTCAGAGTCTAACTCCATGGCCCTCCAGTCTCAACTTGGACACCTCCAAAAAAACATTCACTTCAACAAAAGTTTATTGAGTGCCTATTATGTGACAGGCTAGGAACTTGGGATACAGTAGTGAACAAAACAAAGATGTATTTCCTGTGGCACATCTGGAACATAAGTTGCTTTTTTTTTTTTTTTTTTTTTTTTTGAGACAGAGTCTTGCTCTGTCTCCCAGGCTGGAGTGCAGTGGCGCCATCTTGGCTCACTGCAAGCTCCGCCTCCCGGGTTCACGCCATTCTCCTGCCTCAGCCTCCGGAGTAGCTGGGACTACAGGCACCTGCCACCACGCCCGGCTAATTTTTTTTTTTGTATTTTTTAGTAGAGACGGGGCTTCACCGTGTTAGCCAGGATGGTCTCCATCTCCTGACCTCGTGATCCACCTGCCTAGGCCTCCCAAAATGCTGGGATTACAGGCGTGAGCCACCGCGCCTGGCCCATAACAGTTTCATGAGGTGGTCTGTCTCATGTTGTATGGCTGTGGTAGCTGACAAGTCTTGTGTTCTGGCTCTCCACCAGGGAGAAAGAAGCCACAGCCAAGTCCCCTTCTTGTGTTTGCCTAGCCCAGTGTGTGGACTTAAAAGTGCATGGCCCCATAGTTGTCCCTCTTGAGTTTTGTAGTTTTGTTGTTGGTTTGGTTTTTATTGGTCTTGTCATATGATCTGCGTACATCTCTGAATCCTTTTTTTTTTTTTTTTGAGTTGAAGTCTCGCTCTTGTCGCCCAGGCTGGAGTGCAATGGCGTGATCTCGGCTCACTGCACCCTCTACCTCCCAGGTTCAAGTGATTCTCCTGCCTCAGCCTCCTGAGTAGCTGGGATTACAGGCACCTGCCAACCGCGCCTGGCTAATTTTTTTATTTTTAGTAGAGAAAGGGTTTCACCATGTTGGCCAGGCTGGTCTCAAACTCCTAACCTCAGGCAATCCGCCCGCCTCAGCCTCCCAAAGTGCTGGGATTATAGGCATGAGCCACCACGCCCAGCCTCTGAATCTTTTAAAATCCTGGTTATGTCATCTAGCATATTCATTACCCTCCAGTTTCCTAACTGCAGGTTTTGTAAAAGCACCAACAGATCTTTGTACTAAAGTCCTTCTATGCAGCCTCTCCAGATCTGCCTCTTATATCTATAAAAAGACAGTGAGGTTGATCTGGCGTGACTTGTTCTTGGTGGGCTCATGCTGCTTCCAGATGCTCCACTTCCCATTCTAAATTCTCACAAACCATCTGTTAGCTAATCGCATCCAGAATTTTGTCTGGGTTTCATTTCAAGCTCACTGTTTTACATTTTATGGAATTTGCCATCTTTTGACAAAAAACAAGAGACTTGACCCTTCCTAAGTCTTCCAGTGTCCTGTGATGTAATTTCTCTATGACAGGAGACTAGTCTTGGACTCTTACTGCTGTTTGCCAGTGTGTTTGGTCAGCTCTTAAGAACACCCTTTCCTCATCTTTGGTGCTCCTTTTTTTTTTTTTTTTTTTTGGCATTTTTTTTCTTAGTGATACTCAGCGTTCTTTGAGGTCACCAGCATCCTCAACATTCTTGCTCTTCATTCCCATAATTGCTCTGTGTCATCTGTGATTGCGTTTTTATAATTTCTTCTTGGATTGTCTTTGCCCCATTTCAAAACCTGTAGTAATTTGGATTACATCTGGTCTCTGTGTCTTTTGAATTGGCCTTCCCAAGGGCCCATGGTACAACTTCCTTTACTGACTGACCTGGAATTATCAGATTCCCACTTTACCAATTGGTTTTGCTTCATTGCTTAGAATTAAATTTGTATTAGCATTTTCTTCATTGCTGCATCTGCTTGCTGAGGTGAAGTAATCTGCAAAGTAAGTTTAGGTTTCATTAATACTGATTGGACTTTGTATTGGACTCATGATGAATCCCTAAGAGATCATCATGAGTTCCTCCTGCTGGGTGGCCTGCAGTGCTCTTGGGGCTGTATGTGTTCATCATGAAGCATCTGACTCAGCCCTGGGGGTCCATGTGGCAAGCTTACAGGCTCCCAGTGTAATGGGGCTTCTGTCCCTCACCTCACGTCACATTCTAGCAACGTGAAGCCTTCTTACCAAGGCTTCCCAGAAAGGCCCACAAGTTAGCATTCACCTTAAGCAAGAATCTCAGGTGTGTCCTTCCCATGCCGTGGTGGTGTGTGGATGTCTGGTGCCCGAGGAATCATTTCCACTTGCCTCCTTGGACCTTTCATCAGGACTGACCAGGATCCTCCTCCACCCTTCTGTCTTTGACATTGTGTCAGTTGTCCTTCACAGCATCTCAGCTTTATTTCTTTAGTACCAAAAGTGCTTTTTTTCCTTGACTATAATACCATGCAAATGTAGGAATCTTTAGAAAGTCCTTTAGAATATTCTCGTATTTAAAAATATATACATATGTGTGTTTGTGTATGTGTATATATATATATATTTTATGTGTGTGTGTGTGTGTGTGTGTGTGTGTGTGTGTGTGTGTATATATATATTTTTTTTTTTTTTTTTTTTTTTTGAGATAGAGTCTTGCTCTGTCACCCAGGCTGGAGTGCAGTGGCATGATATCAGCTCACTGCAACCTCTGCCTCCCGGGTTCAAGCAGTTCTCTGCCTCAGCCTCCCGAGTAGCTGGGATTACAGGTGCCCGCCACCAGGCCGGGCTAGTTTTTGTATTTCTAGTAGAGATGGGGTTTCACCACCTTGGCTAGGCTGCTCTTGAACTCCTGACAACGTGAGCCACTGCACCCGGCCCAGAAAAAAATATTTTTAAAAGGTTTTTGTTCCTCTTTCCTAATGTGTAAATTAAGTCAGAATGCCATGGAATTGGGGCCCTGGTGTGGTTCAGGCAGGGCCTGTCCCATCCTGGTCATTAGGCTGACCTCTGTTTTCTGTGATAGCTGTTCTCTGGTGATAGCTGTTGAGTAAGAAGAACCATCAGCTAGGGGTTCACAGAGAGAAGTTTATTCTCATGACTGCTCCCACACTAAGAGCTTGAGGTTTATATAGTTTGCCAACTATCTACCTTCTGTCTATGAATTTACCTATTCTACCTACCTGATATAAGTAAAATGATACAATATTTGTCCTTTGGGTCTGAATTATTTCATTGGGTACAATGTTTTCAGAGTTCATCCAGATTGTAGCATATATCAAAACTTCATTTCTTGTCCCAGCATGGGGTGACTCACACCTGTAATCCCAGTGCTTTGAAAGGCCAAGGTGGGAAGATCACTTGAGGCAAGGAGTTTGAGACCAGCCTGGGCAACATAGTGAGACTCCATCTGTACAGGAAATTATGATAAAGACTTCATTCCTTTAGGGCTGAATAATATTCCATTGTTATGTATATATCACGTTTTGTTAATCCATTTATCTCTTGATGGATACTTGAGTTGTTTTCGTTATTTTGGCTATGGTGAATAATGCTGCAGTGGACATTGACACACAAATGTTTGAGTCCTTGCTTTCAGTTATTTTGGTTATATATCTCAGAGTGGATTTCTGGGTCAAATGGGTAATTCTGTGTTTAGCTTTTTTTTTTTGAAACGGAGTTTTGCTCTGTTGCCCAGGCTGGAGTGCAGTGGCACCATCTCGGCTCACTGCAACCTCCATCTCCTGGGTTCAAGCGATTTCTCCTGCCTCAGCCTCCTGAGTAGCTGGGATTATAGGCACGTGCCACCACACCTGGCTAATTTTTGTATTTTTTAGTAGAGACAGGGTTTTGCCATGTTAGCCAGGCTTTGAACTCCTGACCTCAACTGATCGCTCACCTCAGCCTCCCAAAGTGCTGGGATTATAGGCATGAGCCTCCTATGTTTAGCTTTTTGAGGAACTGTCAAACTATTTTCCATAGCAGCTGTACCATATTCCATTCCAACCAGCAGTATATAAGGGCTCCCTTCTTCACCGCCAAAAAAAAATTCTTCCACATCCTCATCAACACTTGTTATTTTCCATATTTTTTATTATAGCCATCCTAGTAGGTGTGAAGTGGTATGTCATTGTGGTTTTGATTTGCATGTTCCTAGTGACTGATGTTGAGCATCTTTTCATATTGGCTTTTGGCAAATCTTTGGATAAATATTTTCAAGTTCTTTGCCCATTTTTTAATTGGGTTATTTGAGCGTTTTTGTTTTTTATTTTGTTTTATATTTTTTGAGACAGAGTCTCACTCTGTCGCCCTGGCTGGAGTACAATGGCACTCACGATCTCGACTCACTGCAACTTCTGCCTTCCAGATTCAAGCAATTCTCCTGCCTCAGCCTCCCAAATAGCCAGGATTACAGGCACTCACCACCATACCCCGCTAATTTTTTGTATTTTTAGTAGAGATGGGGTTTTACCATGTTGGCCAGGCTCTTCTGGACTCCTAAAGTGAGGTGATCCACCTGCCTTGGCCTCCCAAAGTGCCAGGATTACAGGCGTGCGCCACCATGCCTGACCTTAGTTATTGTATTTAGGCTGTTGATCCATTTTAAATGACTTTTTGTGTATAGTGTGAGGTAAGGTTTCAGAGTCTTTCTTTTGCATGTGGAAATTGGTGCAGTTGTCCCAGCAAGGTTATTCTTTCCCTGTTGAATAGACTTGGCACCCTAGTCAAAAATCAGTTGGCCAAGCTGGGTGTGGTGGTGCACACCTGTAATCCCAGGTACCCTGGAGACTGAGGTGAGAAGATTGCTTGAGCCTAGGAGTTGAAGATCAGCCTGGGCTACATAGTGAGACTCCCACGTGTTAAAAAAAAATCACTTGATCATAAATGTGTGGGTTTATTTTTGACCTCTGAGTTCTATTCCATTGTTCTATATGTCTCTCCATATGCCAGCACCACACTGTTGATTACTATAGCTTTTTGTAGTAATTTTGAAGTCAAGGAAGTGTAAGTCCTCTAACTTTGATGCTTTTCAAGGTTGTTTTGGCTATTCAGGTTCCTCGCAATTCTATATGAATTTGAGGATTGGTTTTCCCATTGCTGCAAAAAAAAAGGCTGTTAGAATTTTGATAGGGATTGTGTTGTATTTGTAGATCACTTTGGGTAGTATTAGCTTTTTTTTTTTTTTTTTTTTTAATTTCTTTTATGAGGCAGGGTCTCACTATGTTGCCCAGACTGGTCTCAAACTCCTGGGCTCAAGTGATCCTCCTGTCTCAGCCTCCCAAAGTGCTGGCATTACAGGTGTGAGCCACTGCACCTAGCCAATATTAATATCTTAATCATAAGTCTTTCCATCCATTAACACAAATGTTTTTGCATTTATTTAGGTCTTTAATAATTTTTGGTATGCAAGTGTTTCACCATGGTTAAATTATTCTCGTTTTGTTTTGTTTTGTTTAGACAGAGTCTTGGCTTTGTCACCAGGCTGGAGTGCAGTGGTGCAATCTCGGCTCACTGCAACCTCCACCTCCCTGGTTCAAGCGATTCTCCTGCCTCAGCCTCCCAAGTAGCTGGGACTACAGACATGCGCCACCATGCCCAGCTAATTTTTGTATTTTTAGTAGAGATGGGGTTTCACTATGTTGGCCAGGATGGTCTCGATCTCTTGACCTCGTGATCCACCTGCCTCGGCCTCCCAAAGTGCTGGGATTACAGGCATGAGCCACCGCACAGCCTATTCTTGGATATTTTTATTTTAGATGCTATTGTAAATGGAATCACTTTTTTTTTTTTCTTCTTGGAGACAGAGCCTCACTCCCGCTCCATTGCCCAGGCTAGAGTGCAGTGGCACAATTCTTGTGCCTCAGCCTCCTGAGTAGCTGGGACTACAGGTGCCTGCCACCACGCCCAGCTAACTTTTTTTTGTATTTTAGTAGAATTGGGGTTTTACCATGTTGCCCAGCATGATCTTGGCGCCTCCCAAAGTGCTAGGATTCAGGCATGAGCTACCGTGCCCTGCCTGGAATTACTTTCTTTCTTTTTTTTTGGGATGGAGTTTCGCTCTATCACCCGGGCTGGAGTGCAGTGGTGTGATCTTGGCTCACTGCAAGCGCCACCTCCCGGGTGCACGCCATTCTCCTGACTCAGCCTCCCAAGTAGCTGGGACTACAGGCGCCTCCTACCACGCCCGGCTAATTTTTTGTATTTTTAGTAGAGACGGGGTTTCACGGTATTAGCCAGGATGGTCTCGATCTCCTGACCTCCTGATCTGCCTGCCTCGGCCTCCCAAAGTGCTGGGATTACAGGCATGAGCCACCGCACCCGGCTTGGAATTACTTTCTTAATTATTCATTACCAATATATAAGACGCAACTGATATCTATGTGTTGATCTCGTACCCTGCGACTTTGCTGAATTTGTATCTTTTCTTATATATATGATCGTGTCTTGACTTCCTCTTTTCCAAAAGCCCACATACTCTTGTACCACAGCATACTGGCCTGTGATACCTTTAGCCCCGCCCCCTACCTTTCCCAAATAAAATCTCTGTGTTAACCAGTAAACAGCCCTCTTGAATCAAGTTACTACTCTGAAGGATAGTGGTAATTTTAAGAAAGAGACCAAGTCTTCAGTATTAAAACCCTATTAGATAGCATTCAGTTGTGGGTTTGAGTGTATGAGATTACTTGACTGCTAGCCAGGGCACACAGACAGGGAGCCTAGCCCTCTTAAAGCCTCTATCTCTCTGGCTACTCTGATTCAGGTGCAGGTGCACAGAGAACACAGGGGCAGGCAGTGGACCCATGCAGCTCCGTGAGGGCCAGGGGTGTTTGTCTCCTTTGTGTCCTCTGTTGTATCTCTTCACGGCCTACACATAGATGTTCAATATTTGTTGAATGACTAGAGGAATAAAAGCCACAGAGAGCAGGATGATACCTGTCTGGTGATTATAGTACATGGGCTTTGTTTTGTTTTAGATATTTTGGGGGCTATAAGCCCCTTTGAGAATCCAGTGAAAGTTGTGCAGTCTTCAGAAAAACAGCATACATTCATGTATTTGCATACAACTTCGCAGGATGTTCTTTGATCACTGAGACCCATTCACATCACTCAAGTTAGAATTTATGATTCCAGTGTCACCAGTGTACTCCTGATCTTACTTTTATGTAACCTGAAAGCATACAATCTCAGCCTATCAGTACAGGGAGCGGAGACTGATTATGGAACCAAAAAACTGCTGTGACGACCAGTGCTTGGGCCCTCCAGTGCGTTGACTGCTCTTTGAATCAAGTGCCAGATGCCAGTCAGTAGAGTCATTTCCTGGACAACACTCTGGACAAGTAGGGCTGTAGGAAACTATTGCCAGCAGCAAGAGGTACCCTCTTGCCATTTAACTCTTGGTAGACATAAAAGGGCTGACTAGTGTCCCTGGCATATGTGTTTTAGAGTTAATGTGTCCACTCCCCAGGTGCTAAGTGCGGCCAGCCACAAAGATAGTGTTTTGACAGTTCTAATAATGATTAGGATTGGCCTGTTCCATAGAGTGAAAATTAATAAGGATGATGCATTAGGTATGTGCTTCCTCTTAATCTGTTGATAAGGTCAGCCACATCTCCCAGGTGTAGTTTGCCCCGTGAACTGAGTTGGTATCTACCCACATCAAGATTGGTCTGCCCTCTAAGACTATACTTTCAGGGATCATTTCTATAGTTCATTACTAGAGAAGTTTCTCTGAAGGTGTAGAGCACCCCTCCCTCCAAAAAAAAAAAACAGATTGATCTGCCCTCCACAGTGAGTGCTTCTTTGAGCTGGATCCGTGTACCATGAACCCAGAGGAAGAGCACCACACCAGAATAGGGAGTGATGAGGGAAACGGCAAGATGGCTGCCAAGCTACCAGCCATTTTAGGATCTGAGCACAAGCACTGTTTGGTAGAGCCATGGAAGAAGCTGGTCCATAGCCAGGCCTGTAACTGGACAGCAGGCTGCATAACAGCCAGGATATCTTTACTGTGTTGAGATAGAAAACAGCATGAAGAATGATGATGGTGTTTTAGCATGTGGAAACTCCTGCAAGGCCACAATGAGGCACTAATGGTCAAGGGGCCACCAGAAGTCTCTCAGCCATTCTCTTCCTAGGCTGCTCTTTGACCTACTTCTGCTGGTCCAGGTTCCCTCTGTCTAAGCAGTAGCTCCTTGAATCCTGTGCTCTGCAGCATTGAGTTAATAGTGTTTTTCTGCCACTTGCTGCTTTTATGTGTTTTCTGTCTCTCTCTCTTTTTTTTTTTTTTCAATAGAAGCTAGGTCTCACTATGTCACCCAGGCTGGTCTTGAACATGTGGCCTCAAGTGATCCTCCCACCTTGGCTTCCCAAAGTGCTGGGATTACAGGTGTGAGCCACTGCGCCCAGCTACACCAAGTGCAGTGACACGATTTTGGCTCACTGCAACCTCCACCTCCCAGGTTCAAGTGATTCTCCTGCGTCAGCCTCCCGAGTAGTTGGAATTTGGGATTACAGGCATCTGCCACCACGCCTGGTGATTTTTGTATTTTTCAGTAGAGATGAGGTTTTGCCGTGTTGGCCATGCTGGTCTCGAACTCCTGACCTCAGGTGATCCATCTGCCTTGGCCTCCCAAAGTGTTGGGATTACAGATGTGAGCCACTGCGCCTAGGCTTTTTCTTTTCTTTTCTTTTCTTTTTTCTTTTTTTCATTTTTTTTTTTTTTTTTTTTTGAGACAGGGTCTTGCTCTGTCACCCAGGCTGGAGTGCAGTAGTGTGATCACAGCTTACTGCACCCCTGCAACCTCTGCCTCCTGCGCTTAAACGATCTTCGCACCTCATTCTCCCAAGTAGCTGGGACTGCAGGTGCATGCCACCACGCCTGGCTCATTTTTGTATTTTAGAGACAGGGTTTCACTGTGTTGCCCAGGCTGGTCTTGAACTCCTGGGCTCAAGTGATCCACCCACTTCAGCTTCCCAAAGTGCTGGGATTACAGGTGTGAGCCACTGCGCCCGGCCACTTTGTGCTTTTCACACTATGTTATTATCTGACAAAGATTCATTGTGTATCCCACTCAAAAGACAGAAGTTTTTTAAGGATACGAACTGACCTGCCCATTTTCCATGGAGTAGATGTTCAGTAAATTTATTTAATTGATTAGGTAGGATCATGTAGAAAGTATCCTGTTGAAGACCGCCAGACTCACAAGTTAATTGGAAGGCGTGAGGTGTGAGTGTTCTTGGCAGCTTTCAATCCTTAGCCTCATCTTTAATCTTCCCGTAGTCTTCTTTGGCTGCTTAGTATCCATCACAGTCATTTATTAGACCCCGTTTTCAGCCTGTTCCTCATTGGTTTTGAGAGGACCCTTGTTGGTGACAAGGTTGGAAATCCTCTGATATATACAGTGTTGTGCTTCTCAGTGCTAATTCCAGCTCTTCCCTTCGTGCATCCAAAGGGTATGATCATTAGAGGGGGCGTGGGGTTGGGGGATGGGTTCTATTCAGGAATCTCTACTCAAGTAACAATCATTTAATTACTGCAAGAACCTTTCAAAGTTGGAAGGAAACTGAGACTTGGAGAACTTAAGCAGTTTGCTACAGTCATGTAGTTTCTAAAAGTGGCAGAACCAGGACATTTGTTTGGTGTCCTGCATGCTCCAAAGTTCATGGCACGGACCATTGGACTGTGCCATAAAAACCTTATGCCTGTTTTTATTTTGAGATGTAGTCTTGCTGCGTTGCGCCGGCTGGTCTCAAACTCCTGGGCTCAAGCAGTCCTCCCACCTCAGTCTGCCAAGGACCTGGAACTAGAGGCATGTACCACGATGCCTGGTTCTATATGTGTTTAAGCAGACAAAAGCTTATTTCTTATTGTCTTAGATCTTAGGTGGGTCTTATATTCAAGTAGCGTTTTTATGGACCTAAGTACACAATACAGAACCTTAGATTAGTGCTCTGCTGAACAGAGTAACACCCTGTCTACAATGACTACCACCTGAAGGTCTTTTTTTAAAATACACCTTTTTGTGTAATTTGACTTTAACCATTCTCAGAATCATGTGTTCATTTCTATCCTGTTGGGGTTAGTGGCCAAAATAGAAGGTTGGTGTGGGGTGGGGAGCTGCTTTGTGCTCAAAAGCTGTTTCTGTGTGTGTGTGTGTTTTGATTTTTGTTTTTTTGAGACAGGGTCTCACTCGGTTGCCCAGTCTGGGGTGCCGTGGCACTATCACGGCTCACTGCAGCCTCAGCCTCATGGGCTCAAGCCATCCTCTCACTTCAGCCTCCTGAGTAGTTGGGACTGCAGTCATGTACCACCACACCCGGCTAATTTTTCTATTTTTTAGAAGAGATGAGGTTTCACCATGTTGCCCAGGCTGGTCTCGAACTCCTGACCTCAAGTAATCCCAGGAGTTCAAGGTTACAATGAGCTGTAATCGGGCCACTGCATTCCAGCCTGGGCGACAGACCCCGTCTATAAAAAATTAAAAAATAATGTGCATGGTGGTGCACGCCTGTAGTCACAGCTATTCAAGAGGTGGAGGTGGAAGGATCACTTGAGCCCAGGCGTTAGAGGTTACATTGAGCAGGGATCTCACCACTACACTCCAGCATGGCTAACAGAGTGAGACCCTGTGTCTAAATAATAATGTATGGGCCCTTTGGATAAGGTAGTGTTTGTGATTTAATGTAAACTGTCTTTTTCTTGTTGCAGAGAAATGCTAACTTTGTCTTCTTCATCCATACAGGTTGGTGACATCGTGAAAGTCACAAGGATGAATATAAATGGCCAGTGGGAAGGCGAAGTGAACGGGCGCAAAGGGCTTTTCCCCTTTACGCACGTCAAAATCTTTGACCCTCAAAACCCAGATGAAAACGAGTGATTGCTGTTGCCCTGTTTCCTGCTGCTTTGTTGTTCTGCCTGTCCTAGTCTCCTTTGAAGTGGGAAAGCATTTTCTCTCATAGGCAAGTCACACTGCATTGCCGAAGTCCAGCTTTCTGCAGACTGGCAGTCGCACACACATTTGGAATGCACACAGCGGCTGCCTCCTGATGTTTGTATCATAGTCGTATTGTCAAAGAGTAGCCGATTTTAGAGTTCTTTTGGATCATAAACTGGAAATACTGATGGAAGCACACAAGTGGAGAGAAGTTGACATGGAAAGGGTCTTCCTTCTCATTGCTGCCCGTTTGTACATGGGACTGATTCTGTTGTGTTCACCAGAGAAAGCTTGAGGCCATGGCGAGATACTGCATGTTTGCTGTTCCACAAAGCAGTGGCTTAGCTGCCATCTTGCTTTTCTTTGGACAACAGGAAGTGAACCTTAAGGAAGAGAGAATTCTGTTCTAAAACTCCAAAATCTGGCTTTTTTTTTTCTTTTGTTTTGGTTTGGTTTTGGAAAACTAATTAATTAGACTTGTGTGGGGGTTTTTTTTTGTTTTGTTTTGTTTGTTTTGTTTTGTTTTTTTGAGACGGTGTCTCGCTGCATCACCCAGGCTGGAGTGCAGTGGCGCAATCTCGCCTTCCTGCAGTCTCCGCCTCCTGAGTTCAAGCGATTCTCCTGCCTCAGCCTCCCAAGTAGCTGGGACTGCAGGCGCGCACACCACGCCCAGCTAATTTTTGTATTTTTAGTAGAGACGGGGTTTCATCATGTTGACCAGGCTGGTCTCAAACTCCTGACTTCAGGTGATCCACCCGCCTTCAGCCTCCCAACGTGCTGGGATTACAGCCGTGAGCCGCCGCGCCTGGCCTAGACTTGTGTGTTCTAAACAGGTTAAGTAGCAGGTTGGGTTTTTATGATAGTGCAAGGAATGACTCATGCCTCTGAGCTTCTAAACTGAAGCTGCTGTAACTAAAGGAATCTGAAAAGAACAACCCTGAAGCAGAGGCCTTTATTGTCTTGGTTGCCAGTAGTACCTTGTTTTGCCATGTAGCAGACAACACACAAAATAATGCAGTTGTGGTGTGCCATGCTATGTGCACAGCCCCTTGGATTACTTTGTTTTAAAAAGCATCAGAGTTGGGGGTACTTTAGGGAAACCTTTGCTTACCTTGTTTTGCCAGTGATAAGAGCAGTGGGTTGGAGGGCACTTGGCCAGTTTTCTGTTCAGCTTTTCAGTGAATGTACCCCTTTAAGGTTCAGACTTAAACTTCCTTAAAAAGTGGCGTTGTTCATAGAATCGTTGGACTCATTAATGAATCGTTCAACTCCACTCACTGAAGCCCAGACCTCCGTGCCCAGGCCCAATCTCGTCAGGCTGCCAGAGAAAGTTGGTGCTGCTCATACTGGTCTCACAGTCTAAGTAAGTGTCTGTGATGCTCCCAAGCAAAGGAAATGCAAGCTCTGGAAATTCGTTAATGTATTTGATGTCTTAGTGTTTTAGTGACTAGGGAGACCATTAACTAGTTTATCATTAACCACTTATCAGTGTATTGATGTTAAAGCATTTCCCTGTTAGCTAAAAGAGGCCTGTTCATACAAGCCAACTGGTATATACGTGTGGTTCATCCATCATCTGCTGCACATAGCAGACTAGAATTCTGGGAACCCTGTGCAATTCAGTCTGCTCTCCCTTGTGGACCCTGGTAAAGAAAAGCCTCAGCTCATAGTGAACACAGCAGACCTAGAAATGTAGCAGCAGCCTACTGAGTAGCTTTCATTTACTGATCATCTGCTGTGACTGTGGCCCTGTCTGGAGGTTCCTAGGTTTTGAGATTTAGAGCAATGCATTCTGGAGACAGAACCAGCAGAACAGCCATTTTTCAATTTTTCTTTAAATCAGTATTCCATCAGGCAGATAACTGCTGTATTCATGAATCTTGAGAGTGTTCCTGAGACAGAATTAATGGTCATTTGGGAAAACTATCGCCATGGCTTCCCATCTGTGGTTTTCCTCTAAAAGCCTTGGAGATTAGCCCTTCCTTGCCAGTGAGAACGGTGACCGCCTCCTGCTCTGCACGGTCTGCGGCAGTTGCCGCTTCTGGTTAGGTGTGTCAGGTTGGCTTATTTTGGGTTCAGGCCTGGCGTAGCACCCACAAGTGGCAGACATATCACAAGAGTCCCCAGACTCTGCCTAGAAACAGTGTTTGCCCTTTGGCCAGTGACGTGGTTCATCCCGGCCCATGTTGAGCCATGAGTGGAGTTTCCAACAGAGGGAGGAATGTGTGCCTTGTTCAAGGAGGGCACGACCCTTAGGCCTTTTTCAACCAGATTTAGCTGAAGGGCTTGACACCTTTGAATTACAGCAGTTGACTCAGAGTGCAAGAAGTCTGGCCATTTTGGAAAGCAAGGTTTCCTTTCAGCCCTGTCTACTGACCAATACCCCGACTCACCTTGTGTGGCGCACTTCAGAATCAGATATACCTAGAGTATACCTGTGGTTTGGTTTTATAATTAATCAGCTCGTTACTTCAGCCCATGAAAATGGCATCCAGGGCTGCCAGGAGATTCAGAGCTCAAAACAAGGCGAGCTTGAGTTCTGCACTCCAGATATGTGCCAAAACTAGTAAAACTTAACGGACTTACAACCTTGTCAGTTTTTTTAATGAGGCAGGGATACTCTGTTTTTCACACTAAACATATGAATGCAGCACTGCTGCCTCAGCTCAGCTTCGTGCCTGGGTTCCCCACTGGTCTGGGAAGACTGTTGTGCTCCATAGAGCAGTGCACATCTGACCCAGAGGGTGGGTGTTCATAACTGCTACTTGCTCTGCTCTACCATGTTTAAAGAAATATTTGGATGTTAAATTAACTCACTATGGTTTTTCACCTGGGAAGGAAACAAATTACGTACTAGAGGGCATTGACTGGTTAAAAACTTGTGTATCCCGGGAAGGACCTGCGGTACAGGAGTCAGCCATGTCTGTGCTGTGTGGAACCACCTGATGACATGGTTAACGAGGAAGACGATGTGTTGACCGGCTGCCGTTTGAGGACTTTGGTCACCCAGACTAGACACCTTCTGTGCTCATGTTTGGAAAGCTGAAAGGGAAGGACAGCTGTGCCCTCCTGGGAGCTCATGTGTCCCTGGCGCTGTGCTAGCTTTCCTTTACAGCTGTTTACAGACAAGGCAGGCCTGAGGCAGATGGCCACTGCTCTTGTGATGTTTGCTCAGAGGAATATGAACATTTTATTTTTGAAAAGGGATGATGTGGTTTTTTGCCAGGTGTTTATAATTAATCCTTTAATATTATGGTTATTAACCTCTTAAACATGAATGAATTCTTGATTGTTTTAACACAGTACCTAAGACTAATGCTTTCTGTGGACACCACTGAGCTCTGCCTCAACTCCACCCTCTGCGACCGGAGGACTATGCCCCTAGTAACTGCTGTCGGTGTGGACGCTGTGCTGGTTCTGTTTTCTAAAGGAGCAGAAGGACAGGTCTCTGAGACAGGATCGTTGTCCCTACAGGAGGAACAGTGGCCTTGCTTCTTAGACGGTCTTCACTGTGTGTTTTAAAACAACAACAACAACAACAACAACAACATAAAACTCTTTTGACCTGTAACTTAAAGATCATAAACTTCAGGCAATAATATTTTCTGTGTAAGCTTTTAAAATTATTTTTGGGGATCATAGCTTGTTTTATTTTGTGCTATAAAATTAACAGTATTAAATGACTTATATTCTTAGAATACATCGAGTGTCTTTTCTTAACAGATTAGTGCCTTTTTATTTTTGTATTCCGTTTTACGTTACTGGTCCCAGCATCAAAACCCTTGTTTCCATGGCCTGTTTGTATATTGTCTCAATAAAACTTGCATCAGCCGGTGGTGGCGGCAGCTTCGGTGTTTCAGTGTCTCCTCAGTCCGCCCCCACTAGCCTCCTGGCAGTTCATCAGTGGTGAAATCTCTGATGCTTCTCAGAGACCCTTAGTGCTGCTGCTGACCAAGAGCTAGAATGAAGTCTTGGCATCCGCCCATTCCAACACTCGGGCACCCAGAGGAGAGCACCTGGGGTCTCCCTCCAAAAGAGAAATCTGCCTCCCAGAGTGTCTGTCTTGTAGGTATTGTATGGGAGCCTAGTGCTTGGCCTTCTGAGCATGAGGCAATAGTTCCCACAGGTTGCACCACCACAGAGAACTTGGATCTTTTTCCTTCTAGGCACCCATATCTGAGGCTTCTAGTAAATATTTCTTCAGCATGAGCTAACCAGGGTTGAATGGTATCAAGCAGAAGTCATGGGAAGTGAGCAGCCTCATTGCAGGTCAGGGCATGATATCTGTGCGGCTTTCTTGAATCCTTTTCTGTTCTTGGCTGTAGGTGGTTCTCCTGATGAACTTTGGGAGACCTCCAAGTGGATTGGCTTGAGGTGTTGGGAGGCCCACTGACACCCCCTCAGCCAGGGCCTTGTCTCTCCTACTCCCAGCTCTCAGTACATTTTATCTTTCACTTCACTGTACTCTATTCCCATGCCTATTTGTGTATTTTGAGGTGCATATTTTCTTGTAAAACCTCAGGAAGCCATTTTTAAAAATTATGGCTGGATGTGGTGGCTCATGCCTGTAATCTCAGCACTTTGGGAGGCCGAGATGGGCAGATCTGGAGTTCAGGACCAGCCTGGCCAACACGGTGAAATCTCATCTCGGCAAAAAATATAAAAATGAGCCAGGCATGGTGATGCAGGCCTGTAGTCCCAACTACTGTGCAGGGAGGGCCAAGGTGGGAAGATCTTTTGAGCTTGGGAGGCAGAGGTTGCAGTGAGCTGACATACCACTGCACTCCAGCCTGGGTGACAGAGGAAGATCCTTCTCACCGCCCTCCCCGCCCCCACCCCCACTAAGACAGTCTTGCTCTGTTGCCCAGAGCTGGAATGCAGTGGTGTGACGTCACCTCATTGCAACCTCCACCTCCCGGGTTCAAGCAATTCTTCTGCCTCAGCCTCCCCTGAGTAGCTGGGATTACAGGTGTGTGCCACCACGTCCAGCTAACTTTTGTATTTTTTAGTAGAGACGGGGTTTCACCATGTTGGCCAGGCTGGTCTCAAACTCCTGACCTCAGGTGAGCCACCCACCTCAGCCTTCCAAAGTGTTGAGATTACAGGCATGAGCCACTGCGCCCAGCTGAGACCCTGTCTTAAAAATAAATTTACCAGCACTTTGGGAGGCTGAGGCACTTTGGATCACAAGGTCAGGAGTTCAAGACCAGCCTGGCCAAGATGGTGAAACCCCGTCTCTACTAAAAATAAAAAAATTAGCTGGGCATGGTGGCGGGCGCCTGTAATCCCAGCTACTCGGGAGGCTGAGGCAGGAGAATTGCTTGAACCCGGGAGGCAGAGGTTGCAGTGAGCCAAGATCACACCACTGCACTCCAGCCCCATGGGTGACAGAGTGAGACTCCATCTCAAAAAAAAAAAAGTTAAAAATTTATTTAAGACAGTGTCTTGCTCAGGCTGGAGTGCAGTGGTAAGATGATAGCTCACTGCAGCCTCCAACTCCTGGGCCCAGGCAATCCTCCCACCTTGGCCTCCTCAGAAGCTGGGATTACAGGCATGACCCTCTGTGCCTGGCCCAGGATATATATATATATATATATATAGAACTATGAGGCTAAAATGTCCCTGGTTCCTACTTTCAGGTTTCTGCTGAATTTGAGAGAAGTCTGTCTTGAAATATCAAAACTGTCACATCATTCTGGAAGAAACAATACTCCAGAGACATCTTTGAAAACTACCTTTAGAGCCTGGTGCGGTGGTGCGTTCTTATAGTCCCAGCTACTCTGGAGGCTGAGGCTGGAGGATTGCTTGAGCCTAGGAGTTCCAGACTGCAGTGAGTTATGACTGTGCCTGCGAATAGCCACTGCACTCCAGCACGGTCGACATAGTGACACCTATTGAGACATAGTAGGATCTCAATTTTTTTTTTTTTTTTTTTTGAGACAGTGTCTTCTGCAGTGGTGTATTCTCGGCTCACTGCAACCTCCACCTCCCAGGTTTAAGCGATTCTCCTGCCTCAGCCTCCCCAGTAGCTGGGACTACAGGCTTGCGCCACCATGCCTAGCTACTTTTTGTGTTTTTAGTAGAGAGCAGGTTTCACCATGTTGACCAGGCTGCTCTTGAACTCCTGACCTCAGGGGATCCGCCCACCTTGGCCTCCCAAAGTGCTGGGATTACAGGCATGAGCCACCACCTGGCCAGCATCTCAATTTTTAATAAATAACTAAAAAATAACTTGTTTGAACAGGTATATCTTGGCCAGCAATGCTGGACTGGGTTCCTTTGAGGTGAGGGAAACTCTTGGACATGGGACCTAGTGGGGGCCTCTGCTTGCCTCCCTGCTGGGTTAACAGTACAGCTGGCCCAGCCAGTCTTGAAACCTTACCCTGCAACAAAAACTTGACACCTCCAGGCTGGTAATTCTGGAGGTGTCTTCTCTGCCAAGTCGGTGACTCCCCAACCCGCTATTATGGCTGGACTCTGCTCTTGCAGTCTTAGTGTACACCCTGGTTCTTCAAGGGCAGCAAGCAGGACTATTCCGGTAGCAACCAGAGCTGGAGCTCAGGGCCCCGCACTGGAAAGCTGGGGCAGCTTAGGTGGTAACTAGTGTGCTGAGGATGAGGGGCGCTATGGAGCCCAGGCGGGTTTAGGAAGCATTCTTGGCTTCCTGGAGGAGGGGAAATACTGGTAATTCAGGCTGAAGGAGCTGGATGGGGCCAGGGGCAGTGACTCACGCCTGTAATCCCAGAACTTTGGAAGGCCTGAGACGGGAGGGTCGCTTGAGCCCAGAAGTTCGAGACCAGCCTGGGAAACATGGCAAGACCTCGTCTCAAAAAAGCCACGCGTGGTATGCGCCTGTGCTCCCAGCTGCTTGGGAGGCTGAGGCTGGAGGATCGCTTGAGCCCTGGAGGTCGAGACTGCTGTGAGCCGTGATTGCACCACTGGACTCCAGCCTTGGTGGCAGTGAGACCCTGTCCCCAAAGAACTGGGTGATCTCGACCCTCCACATCGCTGGCTCTCCACGGGCGCTGCACAGTGGAGACCCAGGATCTGATTGCATAGGACTGGGCACTGGAGTTTAAGTTCTCCAGGGGGGTTTAATATGCAACGAAGTTGGGAACCACTACCAGTGAACCCCTTCATTCTGTGCGGCTCCAGCTCCCGGAAGCCCTCGGACAAGGAACTGTAGCCCATGTACCGCGTGACGTGAGAGCGGAGCCCGGGTCTGCCCGGGCGCGGGCCCGCGGCCACGGCGTTTGGATCCCAGATCCCAGCCCCCGCGCTCAGTCCGGGCTTCCTGACCGGCGCTCTCCGCGTCCCTTCTCGCGCGCCCTTACCTGGGGCTGGGGAGGTGGGGACAGAGCCGGGCGCAGTCGGGGGCACAGCCCTGAGGCGGGGCTGAGGGCCAGGCCGCCACGTCCCTGGACCCTGAAAACGGGCTCGGACCCCCGCTGCAGCGTGGACTCCGGTGTGGCCGCGGGGCGTGCAACCCGGACCCTGGCCAGCTCCGTGTCCTCCAGACCTTTACTCATGTCCCCGCATCGCCAGGCCGAGCTGCACCTTCGGTCCCCGCCCGCGGCAGCCGAGGTAGGGCATCTCCAGCGCCGACTCCGGGGAAGGTGGACATCGCACGGAAGGGGGTGAAGGGCAGGGAGGATCCCAGCTTGGGATGGGGGTAGAGGGTGGCGGACCTTGCGCGGGGCGGGTGTGGAGGGCGGCCCAACTCTCGTGGCCCCTGGTGCTTCCGGGAGCTCCGTCCTCGCTCTCGGATCCCAAGGAAGAACTTGACCTTTCCCTGACATCCTCCAGTGCCCATGGCTTCTGGCGTCCACGGATGGCGGGGAGGGGAGGGGGGCGCATTCAGCGACTGCAGAGACTGGGGGCTGTGGGCCGGGGCAGCTGCGGGGCGGAGGGTGGCGTGTGGTGGGGTTGGGTGGCGTGGGGTTGCAGAAGGCGGGGCATGGGGCCCAACGGCCGGCTGCGCCGCCCTTCTCCGTATGGCTCTTCGGAGCCGTTGCATTTGCCCTCTCAGGGCTTCCTGGGCTCTCGGCCCTAAGTAACCTGTGTCCCAGAGTCCCTGAGGGAGGCGCAGGATCACTGAGCTCTGCCCTCCCTAAGATGGAAGCAGGACCGTGTGGAGGAGGGACGGCCGCATGGGATGGCCAGGGTGGGGGCCCCAAGAGGACAGCCTCCGCCCGCTCGCCCGCCCGCCAAGGAAAGCCCTGGGGGAACACACTTTCAGGCTAAGGGGTCTGAGGAAGAGAAGACTAACAAGGGGGAAGCCCTCGAGATGCCCAACAGTCAAGTCCGGGAAGGACGGAGTAGATAACCAGTAACTGCCTAGAGGGTGGGAGCCAAGAAGAGGAGGGGCCTGGACAGGGCTGCAAGGAGGAAGACACAGGCCCCCATGCCAGCCTTCTGGAAACAGCGGTTTGCAGACCACCTGAGCTCACCAAGACAGCTCTGAAGAATTTAGGGAATTATGCTTTGGCTTCTGGGTTGAAGGAAAAAAATAGCTATAGGATGCAGCATTCAAAAGACCCGTAGGCAGGGCGCGGTGGCTCACACCTCTAACCCCAGCAATTTGGGAAGCTGAGGCGGAGAGGATCATGTGAGCCCCAGGGTTCAAGACCAGCCTGGGCAATATAGTGAGTCTACAAAAAAATAAAAATGAAAAAATTAGCTGGGCTTGGTGGCATACCTATAGTCCCAGCTACTCCACAGGCTGAGGTGGGAGGATGGTTTGAACCTGGGAGTTGGCCCAGGTGTGGTGGCTCATGCCTGTAACCCCATCACTTTGGGAGACTGAGGCAGGTGAATTACTTGAGGTTAGGAGTTTGAGACCAGCCTGGCTAATCATGGTGAAACCCCATCTCTACTAAAAATACAAAAATTAGCTGGGTGTGGTGGCCCACGCCTGTAATCCCAGCTACTCAGGAGGCTGAGGCCGGAGAATTGCTTTAACCTGGGAGGCGGAGGTTGCAGTGAGCTGAGATCGCACCATTGCACTCCAGCCTGGGCAACAAAGCAAGACTCAGTCTCAAAAAAGAAAGAAAGAAAGAAAGAAAGAAAGGCCAGGTGCGGTGGCTCATGCCTGTATTCCCAGCACTTTGGGAGGCCGAGGTGAGCGAATTGCTTGAGTCCAGGAGTTCAAGACCAGCCTGGGCAGCATGGCGAAAACCTGCCTCTACGAAAAAATTTTTAAAATTAGCCAGCCATGGTGGCACGCCCACTCCTGTAGTCCCAGCTACTCAGGAGAATGAGGTGGGAGGGTCACCTGAGCCCGGGAAGTGAAGGTTGCAGTGAGCCGTAATCGCACCACTGCACTCCAGCCTGGGCAACAGAGCGAGACCCTGTCTCAAAAGAAAAAAAAAAGAAAATATTTAAAATATTTAGGCCCAGCATGGTGGCTCATGCTTGTAATCCCAGCACTTTGGGAGGCCGAGGCAGGCAGATTGCTTGAGCTCAGGAGTTCGAGATCAGCCTGGGCAACATGGTGAAACCCTGTCTCTACCAAGAAAATACAAAAATTAGCTAGGCATGGTGACAAATGCCTGTAGTCCCAGCTACTCCGGAGGCTGAGGTGGGAGGATCCCCTGAGCCTGGGAGGTGGAGGCTGCAGTGAGCTGTCATCACGCCACTGCACTCCAGTCTGTGCCACAGAGCAGGACCCTGTATCAAAAAAAAAATATGTATTTTTAACACAATTACAAAACACTGTTTATAATTAAAAATAATAAAATGTTTGTAATAAAAAAACTTTTTCACGGCAGAATAATATTCCACTGTGTGGACTGAGACAGCTGGTTTTGTTTGTTTGTTTGTTTGTTTTTGTTTTTGTTTCATTTTGTTTTTTGTTTTTTTTTTAGACAGAGTCCCGCTCCTTCGCCCAGGCTGGAATGCAGTGGCGCGATCTCAGCTCACTGCAACCTCCACCTCCTGGGTTCAAGCAATTCTCCTGCCTCAGCCTCCCAAGTAGGTGGGATTACAGGTGCCCGCCACCATGCCCAGCTAATTTTTTTTTTTTTGTATTTTTAGTAGAGACGGGGTCTCGCCATGTTGGCCAACCTGGTCTCGAACTCCTAACCTCAGATGATCCACCTGCCTCGGCCTACTAAAGTGCTGGGATTACAGGCATGAGCCATCACGCCTGGCCTGAGACAGCTCATACTAGCTCATCGGTCACTGGGAGTGTGGAGCTTGTTGTCAATCGTGTGTGTGTGTGTGTGCACGCACGCGCGTGTGCGTGTGTTTAGAGAGGGGGTTTTGTCATGTTGCCCAGGCTGGTCTTGAACTCCAGGGCTCCAGCAATCCTCCTGCCTTGGCCTCCCAAAGAACTGGGATTACAGGTGTGAGCCACGCTCCTGGCCTGTTGCCAAATTGATGATAGAAATTCCTCATGGGGTCTAATTAAGTGCCACAGGGACAGGGCTACCCTGCAGCCCTGTGGGCTAGCTCTTGCCCAGCCCTCACTGTAGGAGTCCTCTGACCTCTTCCGCCTACCTCTTGCCTCCTTCCAGTCCAACACCAGTCTTAGATTTCTTTCCTGAAGACACATGCAACCGGGCACAGTGGCATATGCCTGTAGTCCCATCTACATGGGAGAATGAGGCAGGAGAATCCCTTGAGCCTAGGAGTTCAAGGCTGCAGTGAGCTATGATCGTACTCCTGAACTCCAGCCTGGGTGACAGAGAGAAACCCCATTTCAAAAACAAAACACATGTGATGAAGACTCCTTACCCAGCTCCCCCTGTTCCTCCAGACCAGCCAACCTCCATGCCAGGCCCCTGCCCAGAACTTCATGGCAAGCTGGACTGGACTGGCATATTCTGAGTTCTCCAGAATTTACCATCTTACCTCCTTGCCCACACTGTTTCTTCTGTGTGAATGCCCTTTTCCTCTCCTATGAACACCTACGGGCATCTGCCCTCAGCTCCTGCCACCTCCCTCCATGAGAACAGGGATTAAGACTGGCTATCCCTCACCAGGCGCGGTGGCTCATGCCTGTAATCCCGGCACTTTGGGAGGCCAAGGCAGGCAGATCACCTGGGGTCAGGAGTTCAAGACCAGCCTGACCAACATGGAGAAACCCTATCTCTACTAAAAATACAAAATTAGCCGGGCATGGTGGCACACGCCTGTAATCCCAGCTACTCGGGAGGCTGAGGCAGGAAAATTGCTTGAACCTGGGAGGCGGAGGTTACGGTGACCCCAAATCATGCCATTGCACTCCAGCCTGGGCAAAAAGAGTGAAACTCCATCTCAAAAAAAAAAAAAAAAAAAAAAAGTCCGGGCGCGGTGGCTCACACCTGTAATCCCAGCACTTTGGGAGGCCAAGGTGGGCGGATCACAAAGTCAGGAGATCGAGACCATCCTGACTCACACGGGGAAACCCTGTCTTTATGAAAAATACCAAAAAATCTTAGCCCGGCATGGTGGCAGGCGCCTGTAGTCCCAGCTACTGGGGAGGCTGAGGCAGGAGAATGGCGTGAACCCAGGAGGCGGAGCTTGCAGTGAGCCAAGATCGCGCCACTGCACTCCAGCCTGGGAGACAGAGCAAGAGTCCGTCTCAAAATAAATAAATAAATAAATAAATAAATAAATAAATAAATAAATAAGACTGGCTATCCCAGAGCCTGGGGACAGGAGAGTGTGCGCTGCAAAGCCAGCCATTTGAGGAGGGCCTAGTCTGAACTGAATAGGTCAATGGGCTGGAGCTGACTTTGGACAGAGTTGAACAACCCCAAAGAATCCAGTGGGTGCTGGGCATACAGTCGTCAGGCCTGTGTAGACAGACCTGGGCCGAGAAGAAGCTGGGCTGCAGTAGCCAGGGCAAGGCAGAGGGGCAGGAACAGGCATGGGCGATGGGGTTGGGCCCCAGTTCTTTGACCTGGGGAATCCCCCAACCTATGCTTCCATATGAATGAATCACTGTGCATCTGTGGGCACCACTGCATCAGCTTGCCCCTCCACACAGCTGCCCTTGGCTCATGTTGGCTGTGCTGTATCAGTCCTTCAACGTTTCCTGGGGATCAGTTAATTAAGTTGAGGTCTCTGCGTCTGGAAATCCGCCTCAGCCTGCAGGGAAAAGGCCCCTAGTCTTGTTTCTGCCTTCAGAACCCTGAGACAGAACAAGGAGAATCCTGCTGATTCTCAGATTGGGCTCCAGAGGGGCGACAGTGTCAATCACAATGTTAGATACTGAAGTTGGCTCAGTTCTTTTTTTTTTTTTCCTTCCCCTTCTCCCCTCCCGTCCCCTCCTTTCCTCTCCCTTCCCTTCCCCTCCCCTCCCCTTCCTCCCTTTTCTTTCTCTTTCTCTTTTTTTTTTGGCGGAGTCTCACTCTGCCATCTCACTCTGCAGTGGCGCAACCTCGGCTCACTGCAACCTCTGCCTCCTGGGTTCAAGCGATTCTCCTGCGTCAGCCTCCTGAGTAGCTGGGATTACAGGTGTGTGCCACCACACCCAGCTAATTTTTGTATTTTTAGTAGAGATGGGGTTTCATCTTGTTGGCCAGGCTGGTCTTGAACCCCTGACCTCAAGTAATCCTCCTACCTTGGTCTCCCAAAATACTGGGATTACAGGTGTGAGCCACTGCACCCGGCCTTTTTTTTTTTTTTCTTCTTTTGAGACAGGGTCTCACTTTGTCGCCCAGGCTGGATGTAGTGGCAGAATCATGGCTCACTGCAGCCTTGACTGCCCAGGCCCAAGCCATCCTCCCACCTCAGCCTCCCAAGTGGCTGGGACTACAGGCTTGCACCACCACACCAAGGTGAAGTGTTGTTTTGTTTGTTTTTTGTAGAGACAGTTTTGCCATGTTGCCCAGGCAGTGATCCTCCTGCTTCAGCCCCCACAAAGTGTTGGGATCACAGGCGTGAGCCGCTACGCCCGGCCACTTTCTTACCTAAAATACCTGCACACCCTACTTGGAGACCCTAGGGTGAGGGGAGTGGGGAACAGGAGAACCTGACAGTAGAGGGTACATGTAAGGAGGAGAGGGACAAGCTTGCTGTGTGGTGGGGTGCTCCAGGGCTGGGGGTGCCTAGGGATCCACCTCTCTCCCAGGCTGTGGAATTATCCTCCCCGCACTCACTGCTTCTCTAACCTTGGCTATCTCCTGCTGCCTTTGGGGTGTCTGATGGGCTTGAGGGACCTCCCAGCTGCTCTAGGTCATCTCACCGCAGCCATGTGCCCCATTTGGTACTGTCAAAGCTGCTGGAATATTATCGTCTTTCCAGAACTATCCCTGGGGCAATATCAGGACCTCAGGCTGCCCGGGGCTCAGAGCCCTCCTGGGTCTTCCTGGGGCCCCTGGTCCACATGCATCTCCACTAAGCCTGAGGGCCCTTCGGGAGAGGCAGCACTTTTAGCCTGCCCTTGGTTTTAGCTTTTGCTCTACGAAGATCTTGTGATTTCTGCCCCACCATGGGGCAGCAGGAACCTCAAGCACAGTGCCTGCGGCAAAGGGAGCCACAATGGACTTGCCCCAGGTCAGGCCTGCACTTGCCTTGTGTCAGGGTATCTCCCCAAGTTGCTGGCCTCAGTCCCTACACTGACCTGTTTCCCCAGCTTTATCTCTGGCACCCCAAACTCAGCAGCCCCGACCCCACTTCCCAAGCACCCCCTGTGCCTGGCTCTGTGCCTGTCATGGTGTCCTGGCAGCAGTCTGGGAGAGTATTTCAGTTACCTGCGGTGTCCTGGGAAGGCTGGAGCAGAGGGGTCCACTCACTGATTGCCAAGGTCACAGAACAGGACTTGCATTGTGCACTGGAGGCCCTGTGGTCTTGCATGAGCCTGGTAGGCCTCTCCCCTCCTGCTTCCAGCCCTCCATCTGGGAGGCCAGCCTGCCCAGGGCTGCTCTGCCACTTAGCAGCTGTGTGGCCCTGGAGAGTCCCTAACCTCACTGAACCTCAGTTTCTCCGTTTGTGAAATGGAGATAATACAAAGAGAACTTTCCTTCTCAGGCTGTTGTGATGGGTAAGGAAATAAATGCATGCAAAATCACAGCTGTAGTTACTATGAGGCACACTGTCTTCCTGGCTAGAGGAGATTCTGAAGGTGGGTGGGGCAGCAAGATCACCACGTGTATGAAATGGGGGCAGGCTGGTTGGAGACTGAGGGCACCAGCCCCAAGCACTGCCATCTGCCCTGTGATGGGACTCTCCTGTGGCAGTGGCAACGGTCCCACTGTGGAAGCAACACATGAGCTGAGAGGACTTGCCTGAACTGAGCCACATGTGCCCTCTGGGCCTGGTCACCCCACCACCTGCCCCCAGTGTGACCCATGCAGGGCCTGTTCCTGACCCTGAACGAGACCAGGACTCCCTGGGCTGCATTTCCTATCTGTAAAATTGTAGGAGGGTGGTGGTGGTGGGGGCTCGAACTTGCCCCCTGGGTGGGGTGGGGCATAAATAGTCCCAGAGGATGGCCTGGGAAGGCTGGCTGGGCCTGGCACAGGGGACTTTACTGCTGTCATTATTGTCCTCCTTACAGGAGAGGAGAGCAAGGCCCAGACCGGGGAGGAACCCACACAGCCTCTGTGCTCCAGCCTGCTTGAAAGACAAGGTCTACCTACAACGCAGAGATGCACACATTAAGGACAATGAAACACCCAAGTGTTAGGAACCAGAATAATCAGCCCTAATAGAGGGGAGGCTGATCAGGGAGGGCCTCCTGGAGGAGGAGGCACAACATCAGGGTGCACTGTGATTTCTGGAGACCCAAGGAGTTCTGGTAAATGACAGGTGAGAAAAAGAAAATGTAATAAAATATAATTGAAAACAGACCCTGGTATGTGTGGAGAGAGGGCCGGGAGGAACCTAGGACACCGGGGAACCTGAACTCCCCCAACCAGTGAAGGGAGCTGTGGGCAGCAAGGTTTGATTGGGGTTTTCTTTCTTGTGGAGGTTTCTCAGAGTGATTCAAGTTCCCCCACCCCGCCCACAGATGGTTCTGAGACTTTGGAAAGAAAGAAAAGGAAAAAAGACCCTGCCCGCGCCCCAGCTGGGCATCCCTGGGAGGTCGCGAGGATCCCCGGAGACCCAGACTCGGGCCCGGGGCGCCCCCGGCCAGAGCGGCCCCTGGCTGCCTCCCTACGCCCCGCGACTCCGGTCCGGACGCCGAGGGCCTCGGCCTGCCCCTGTCCCCCGGCCGCCCCCCACCTGCTCCGGCCCGGCGGGGCGGTGCTGGGCCCGCGGGCTCCCCGGCCGCAGTGCAAACGCAGCGCCAGACACGCCCCGCCCGCGCCTCCCCGCCCCCCCGCGCCCGCGGCCCCAAGCGGTTCCCGAGCCCAGGCCCGCGCCGAGCCCAGGTGAGCGCCCGCCCCGGGGACCCTGGTCCCCGGAACCCCGGTCCCCGCCCGCCGCCCCGCCTCTTCGCCCCGGCGCCGGGGGCCAGCGCTTGCGCTCCCAAGTCTCGGACCCCGGCCCGGCACGTTAGGGGCTGGGGGTTGGCAAGCGGGGCCAGAGGCACTGGCCGGGGTCCGAAGCTCACCTCGTCCTTCTCTCGTCCCACAACGGCCCCTTCCCGGCTCGCCGCGGGGCCCCACTGTGTGCCAGTCCCCCTTCTCGGGCTGCAAGGTCTGGCGGGGGCAACGGGACGGAGCCGGCGAGGCTGCTGGCATCGGCTTCCCAGAGAGAGGGAACTGCACGTGCAGAGGCGGGGAGAGTGGACAGAGGCTTGCCCTGAGCTCCGTGGGGGAGGGGAGAGCGCGGAGCCCCCACACTCGAAGGCAGGACTGGGATCAGATGCCACCCCTAGGACGCCTGGAAGCCACTGGGAGTCCGATCTGGGCAGGAGCCCTTGGGATGAGGCAGTGGGGGCAGGTGGCGAGAGGTGGAGGAGTGGGGAGAGGACCCTGCCCAGCCTGCACCCTGGGGGCGCCAGGAGCCCTGGGAGGGTCAGGTGGAGCAGGGGCCGCTCTGTGAGATGGGAGTAATCCAGTCCCGCCTCACAGGTCCTGGGGTCCCTGGGACAGACACAGACTCCTGCTGGGTGGTTAGCACTGGGCTCTGCTAGAACTTTTCTGCAGTGGGCAGCTCATGGGCAAGGAATAGCACTCGGGCGCTCTGCACTCTGGGGGTCCCTCCTGCCCTGCCCCTGGCAAGGACCTTTGCCTTTGAGTGGGGTGACTGGGCTCCAAGCCGATCTAGCACACAGTAGGCCGAAGGCACAGGGGCCCCACCCAGTCTCCTTCCTGGCCCAGGCCCTGGGGGATTCAGGTCCCTGGGTACTCGGGAAGGGACAGCACAGCCTGGGCAGGTCCCCAGTGGCAAGACCAGGTCTGACCTTTTCTGGGATCTGTGGCCCATCAGGTGAGGCCTGAGGTCAGCCAGGAAGGAAGCGGGCAGGGCTGAACCAGGGCTGAAACCAGGACCCAGGAAGGGACAGCCTAGTGCCCAGGGAAGGGGCAGGTGGGGCAGGTGGCAGTTGAGTTTTACAGACCTTCTTTGATGACAAGTGGGGGAAAGAGCCAAGGCACGCCCCAGTGGCTGTGGGAGCCACCGCCTCCTCCCCTGTAATGGGCACCTCGAGGACCGACAGGCGCAGGGGCCAGGCACCAAGGGTCCCTCTCCAACCTGGCCTTTTGTTTCCACCCCTTGCTCTCAGGCACCCACCCACGGCCCTTCCTGGTATCTGGACCAGACCAGGTGGGTCTCAGCCCCACCTCAAGTGAGACTTCAGGAAGAACTTCCAGAGGAAACTGGAGGATGGCAGTGGGATGGACTGTGGGGAGGTCATTTGCAAACAAGGCAGCTTATGCCTGTGCCCTGGGCCTTCCAAAGTCCACCTGTAGGCTGCATCTTCCGGAAGGCCCACCCTGTAGCCTGGAAGGCACCTGGCTACAGTGATCTCTCTGCTGTGCAGGTGTCCCCTCCCCCAGGGCACCTTGCAGGGCCTTAGGGTGATATGGGGGCTTTCTGGGCCCCTGCCCACCTTAAAACTGATCAAGGTGGGAGGGTGGGGTGGGAGGCCACAGGGATGCCCCTGCTGCTTGACCTTGATGGGACCTTGACCCCTTGCTTTCCCCATATGCTGTTGGGCATGACTGCCCACAGGCCTGGTGGGCGTTTGTGAAGGGCTGGAGTCGGGGGTAGGGGGAGCTTATGGCTGCTGGGCACAGGCGTGGCAGGGCTGTGTGCCTGGCTTCCCTTTCCCCTAACCCCATCAGGCCCGGGCTGGCCGCCCACTTCTGTTCACCACAGAGCAGGGTTTCCCTGGGGACCAGTGGACTGGCCCAGCCCCACACCGCCCCCCAGCCCCTCCTGGCCACAGCTTGAGCTGGGAGGAGGGTGGAGGCTGGGCCGCCTCCTGGACCCCTGCCCTCCCTGCCCGGCCTTCCAAGGCCCGGCAGCCTCAGTCCACTGCTGGGCCTGGAACACGGAGCAGTGGCTGCCCTGCGAGGAGGTGGGTGTCCGGAGTGCTAGCCAGGGTGGGGCTGGGCTAGGGGGAGCCTGATGTCACCCCCATTGTAGGAGGGAGAAGACCAAGGATGAGAAGGGCTTTGGCTTCCCCAAGGTGACCCCCTCTTTGAGCCTAGGCATAGTGGTCTCCCGGGAGAATGGAGGGTCCCAGAGCTCTCAGGCTGTGGGATTTGGAGAGGGGAAGGGGGGCACGAGGAGGCAGTAGAAATCAGGGAGGATTTCCTGGGCAAGGCAGCCGCGGGGCTGGACGATGGGCGGCCGAGGTTCGGGCAGAGGAACTCCACTGGAGGAGTGAGGGAGCTGAGCTTGGAGGGCTTCAAAGGGGAGGTGACCTCCAGGGCCCCACGCTCTGGGATCAGGCTCACGCCATGGTTCCCAGCTCAAATGTAAGACTCTTTCCGAAGCTCCCACTGTCTCTCTCCGTCCCTCTGTGTCTCTACCTGCCCACACGCCCCGGTCCTGATGGCTCCAGTCTCCCCTGCAGGTCCTAGAGCAGCTCCAGCAGGATGGCGGCTCCAGCGTCTCTAAGGCCTGCAGGGGGTCCAGCCCCATGGGGGGCGCCCTAGGCCTCCGACAGCTCCCCATCTGTGCTCCTGCCTGCCGGCCATCCTCAGGCCACTCGCCATGGGCGGCTGCTTCTCCAAACCCAAACCAGGTACCTCCTGTCTTCTTGTCTCCATCCTTTCTCCTCCCTCCCCGCCTCCTCCTCCCCCGTCTCCCCCCCCTCCCCCTCTGCACTCGGTAGGCCTCCGAAGTAGGTCAGGCTATCCAAGAACCCGCTCGGAATGTTAATACGCTGCCGCCAGGAGGGGGTAGGGGGCCTGGAGCAGTTCCCCCAGCTGGCCCCTGCTCCAGTGGGTGCCCCTTTTTCTTTGGGGCTTTGAGTGTTGGTGGTGGGAATAACAGCAGGACCCTTCTTGGAAAAGGAAAGTCAGGGTTCCTCCTGTTGCAGGGTTGGGGAAGGGGCTATGCCCCCAGGGCCAGGGAAGGGGGGAGCTGGGGACACGCTCAGCCACTCTGTGACCTAGGGCATGCAAGTTACCCCTCTGAGCCTCTGTTTTTCTCTCTGCAAAAGAGAGGGCCTGGCCACCCTGACCTCTTAGAGTTGCTGTGAGGGTGTAGTGGGCAGATCCTGGCTCTCTTTGCCTCCTCTGATCCCCTGTGTGGTCTCGGGCTGCCTTCTTGGCCTTTCTGGGCACACTTCCCCATTTATACAGGAAATCACCATCCAACCTAGCCTGAGCTACTCCAGCCAGAAGTGGGAGTGTCCTGGGGTGCTAGGGGAGGCCTGGGTCTTTTCTCCACTAAAGACTCATGTCTGCGGAGCTCTCCCTCTGGCCCCCCACTTTCCCTCTTCTCTCCTCACAACACCTGGGGAGGCAGGAGTGTGCAGCTTTGTCACAGGTGGAGAAACTGAGGCTTAGAGAGACCTCAAGAGCGCAGCCAGTGCTCCACTCAACCTGCCAGGCCACGCTGCCCCAGCCAGCTCACCCCAGCCAGCTCACCCCAGCCAGCTCACCCCAGCTCCCCTTACCTGATACCCATCAGCTCCGTTACCTTGGAACTTGTGAGGCTTTTCTCCCTTTCCTGGGTCTAAGGGAGAACTTGGGCGAGGGAGGAGGGCTGTGATGACCCACCAGGCAGAGGGACCCACTTGCCTCTGCTCCAAGAAGCCACTCTTCCTCCCCCGCTCCTGTGCTGTGGACACCTAGGCCTGGGCTGGATCCCTCTCTGCCTCAAAATGTGCCTTGGGCAGATGACGTCCATTGTCTCCCCCTAGCAGTGGGTGGGATGATGCCAGCTGGCCTCATACCAGGCGTCTGTGGCACCGCTGGGCTGGCAGGAGGCCCTGGCAGAAGATGCCACCTGCAGGTTCTTTTAAAGGACCCCAAATGGCTGGCCTGCCTGGGACCCGTGGCCCCAGGACTTCCAGTGTCGGGGGTGGCCACCCTCACCAAAGGCAGTCCTAAGAACTTAGGCAAATCCAGCCCTGCCCCTTTCTGGCTGTGTGGCCTTGGGCAGGTGATTTCCCCTCTCTGAGCCTCTGCATCCTCATTGTAAAGTGGGGCTGTTGTGCCTAGCATGAGGGCCTGGCACACCAGAAGCACTTGCGGAATTTTTTTTTTTTGAGACAGAGTTCACTCCTTCTCCCATGCTGGAGTGCAGTGGCGTGATCTCGGCTCACTGCAAGCTCCGCCTCCCAGGTTCATGCCATTCTCCTGCCTCAGCCTCCCAAGTAGCTGGAACTACAGGCGCCCGCCACCACGCCCAGCTATTTTTTTGTATTTTTAGTAGAGACGGGGTTTCACCGTGTTAGCCAGGATGGTCTCTATCTCCTGACCTTGTGATCCGCCCATCTCGGCCTCCCAAGGAATATTATTTGTTATCCCTTTTCTGAGCTGGGCTCTGTGCTGCCAGGCCTCCCCTGTGGGGCTGTAGCCAGAGGCTCAGGCCCCAGGTGCCCATGCTGGGCAGGTCAGGCATGAGGCTCAGGGAATTTCCAGATATGGGAGTGACAGCATTTGGGGCCTGAGGGTTCAGCTGGGGTCTTAAGGGGCCACAAAGAGACTAGATCAAGCAGAAGACCTCTGTGCAAATCCTTCACTTTCTATCTTGCTCCACTCGATTCTGTGGCTCCGTGTGCATCAGCACCTGCTTCCTGGGTTCCCTCTGTGCTCCTGTGTGTCCTGTCTGAGTAGTTGATAAGAAGGTATCAGACCAGTCCCTCACCTAGCTCAGAGCTAGGAGGAAGTGCAGCTCTCTTAGCATCTGTTCACCTGCCTTTTATTAGGCCATAACTGATACCTAAAGGCTTTCCATCCTCACCATGGCTGCTAGGAGGCTCAGAGCTAACTGGTAAAACACTGCTGCCCAACTCCATCTATTGAGCTTCTACTCTGGGTTACATACAGTATTTCCTTCAGCATTCACTGTCACCAACGAGGTAGGCATTTGCTGTTCTCTCTGTTTTATTTTCATTTTTTGAGATGGGGTCTCATTCTGTTGCCCAGGTTGGAGTAAAGTCGCATAATCATAGCTCGCAGCAACCTAGAACTCCTGGGCTCAAGTGATCCTCCCACCTCCTGAGTAGCAGGGACTACAGGCCTGCACCACCACGACTGGCAATTTTATTTATTTTTTTAACTTTTTTATTTTTTGAGAGACAATCTCACTCCCTCACCCAGGCTGGAGTGCAATGGCTTGATCTTGGCTCACTGCAACCTCCGCCTCCCAGGTTCAAGCGATTCTCCTGCCTCAGGCTCCCAAGTAGCTGGGATTATAAGCGCATGCCATCATGCCTGGCTAATTTTTATATTTTTAGTAGAGACTGGGTTTTGCCATGTTGGCCAGGCTGGTCTCGAACTCCTGACCTCAAGTGATCTGCCTGCCTCGGCCTCTCAAAGTGCTGGGATTACAGGCATGAGCCATCATTCCCGGCCAACTGGCAATTTTTAAATTTTTTGTAGAGACTGCATCTCACCCTGTTGCCCAGGCTGGTCTTGAACTCCTGGACTCAAGCGATCCTCCTGCCTTGGCCTCCCAAAGTGTTGGGATTACAGGCATGAGCCACCACACCTGGCCTTCTCTCCATTTTATAATAAAGGCATCTTAAGGCCCAAAGGGGCTAAGGCAGGTCTTATGGGCAGCCAGAAGTCATGGAGCTGGGGCTGATCCAGTTTTGTGGGTGAGCAGAGACGCCTCTCCCCTCTACCTTTCCAAAGGGCCCCTGACTTAATGGCTTCCATTAGACTGCATCAGTGAGTGGGCTTGGAGCCTTCTGGGAGGAGGTGGAGGATGAGAGCAGCCTGGCTTGGCATTATCTGGCCCCCCTGCCAGGCTATTTGTGAGCTCCCACAGCTTCCACAGCTGGTGTCAGCTAAGTCCAAAGTATTTCTCTTTTTAATTCTTCCAAAAACATTCTAACACCATTACATAAGGTATAGAAAATGGAATGAAAGCCCCACCCATAACCCCCCACCTGATACGATGGCCTCAGTGTGGCTCTGTGCTCTGCATCCTCCCTGCTGGGCTGGGGTCAAGGAACTGACCTTTTCTTTGCCCCTGTGCCCTGCTATGCCTGGGCCTGAGCTGAGGGCTGGGACTTGGGGCTGGGGAGGGGACCTGGCCAGCGTGGAGGATTTAGCAGAGCATGAGATGATGGATGGGCTGGGCAGCCAGGAGAGGCAACTCCTGAGCCTTGTCTGGGTAGATAGGAAGGATGGCAGCCCCAGCCCAGGGGACAGCTCAGGCAAAGGCCTGGAGGTGCATCTCGGCAGCCTCTCTGGGTTCTTGGTTTCTGGAGTGTCAGTTCTGAGGTGGAAGGGATGAGAGGTAAAACCCAGAGGTGCTGGTGCCTTGGGAAGTGAGAGAGGTACCTCCTGCTCCAGCATCGGGCCCATGCTGTGCCAGGGGCTTAGTGTCCATCACTCAGCTTCCTCCCTGCAGCAGCAGCCTGGGAGGCCAGATTATTGCTGCTAAAAATTCTGTTTATTGTTCCCTTCTAATTAGAAAAATATCCCAGGCACATCACAGGGAATTTGGAAAATGTGCAAAAGTATAAAGAAGAAAATGGCAATCTCTGGCTCACTCCCCGCTAGAGCTGGCCCCGTGGGCACGCTGGGGAAGTGGCTCTGTATGGAGGCTGTGGGGGGGGGGGGCTGTGCCCCCTCTGTGCCATCCACATGCATTCCCATGCTCAGGTTCACCCCCAGGGCACACGAGGACACTGAAAACCCAGCACCTGGTTAGTGATGAAGGATTCTCAAATTGGTGAGAAGAGCTATTTTGAGAAGTTGAAATCGGGCCGGGAGTGGTGGCCCACGCCTGTAATCCCAGCATTTTGGGAGGCCGAAGCGGGTGGATCACCTGAGGTCAGGAGTTCGAGACCAGCCTGACCAACATGGAGCCCTGTCTCTACTAAAAATACAAAAATTAGTCAGGTGTGGTGGCACACGCCTGTAATCCCAGCTGCTCAAGAGGTTGAGGCAGGAGAATCGCTTGAACCTGGGAGGGGGAAGTTGCAGTGAGCCAAGATCGCACCATTGCACTCCAGCCTGGGCAACAACAGCGAAACTCCATCTCAAAAAAAAAAAAAAAAGAAGAAGTTGAAATTATGCTGTGAATTATGCTGTGTACATTTTTTTTAATTTTTGAAAAAAATTCAAATATATGGGAAAGTTGTAAGACTAGAACAATGAACCCTTGACTTCCTGTCACCCAGATTCACTGGCTGGGAACTGAGCTGCTGCCACTTTTGAATTCCTGTATGTACATGAGTCATACCCTGAGATGTCAGGGACATTGTCATTGTCCATCAGAAGATGCAGGACTGTAGGGCCTCAGGGTTCTTTCTGCCACAGAGGTTTCTGCAGCCAGGAGAACTGCAGGGTCGAAGGAACTCAGCTCTGTGTCCCCCTCACTAACACTGTAATTGAAAAAGGAGGCGGGGTGTGGTAGCTCAAGCCTGTAATCCCAGCACTTTGGGAGGCTGAGGCGGGCAGATCACTTGAGGTCAGGAGTTTGAGACCAGCCTGGCCAACATGGCAAAACCCTGTCTCTACCAACCCTGTCACGCCACACCTCTGGCGTGGTGGTATGCACATGAAGTCCCAGCTACTGGGGAGGCTGAGATGGGAGAATCACTTGAACCCAGGAGGCAGAGACTGCAGCGAGCCGAGATTGCATGACTGCACTACAGCTTGGGCGACAGAGTGAGACCCTGTCTCAAAAAAAAAAAGAAAAAAGAGACATGCAGAAACGAATTCAAGCAGACCCGGGAGCACCCCCACCCATCCATGCCCCTCCGCTGCTTCGTGCCAGGTTTAAGGCTCTTTGCTGGGCTGGTGGTGCAGAGGGAATTCTGGGGAGGTTGCCAGGCAGGGCTGAGCCTCCTGGCACCCCGAGGAGCTGGCCTCTGCACCCAGCTTGAGGGATGGGGGAGGAAGTTGGCTGAGGTGGGGGGCTCAAGGCGCTGCCTTGCCCACAGTGGAGCTCAAGATCGAGGTGGTGCTGCCTGAGAAGGAGCGAGGCAAGGAGGAGCTGTCGGCCAGTGGGAAGGGCAGCCCCCGGGCCTACCAGGGCAATGGCACGGCCCGCCACTTCCACACGGAGGAGCGCCTGTCCACCCCTCACCCCTACCCCAGCCCTCAGGATTGCGTGGAGGCTGCTGTCTGCCACGTCAAGGACCTCGAGAATGGCCAGTGGGTTCTGGGCTTGCCTGGGAGCGGGGATCAGGGGTCCCAAGGTGGGAGGGTGAGGGGGCCATAGCCGGGGGTCGGGGTTGGCCTGAAGGGGCTATGACCAGCTGCTGCCCTGGTCACTGCCTTTGTGGCTTCTACCGGTCTGGGCCTGCTCCCCAGAAGGCTGGACACTGGGAGGAGCTGCCAGGAGGTTGTGCCTGGTGTCTGGCCTGACCTCTGAGTGCTGCGGTTCCCCAGGATGCGGGAAGTGGAGCTGGGCTGGGGGAAGGTGTTGCTGGTGAAGGACAATGGGGAGTTCCACGCCCTGGGCCATAAGTGTCCGCACTACGGCGCACCCCTGGTGAAAGGTGAGCTGTCAGGTGGGAGGCGTGAGGGGGACCTTCCAGGCCCCATGCCAGCTTGGCTCCTCCCCAGACCCCAGGATCTTCATCTATTAGTGAAGTCTCCTGGGCTGTGGGGAGGGGCCCGCAGTTGCCGGGGCACTGAGATCCTTGGGAAGCAACCCCTGCTGGTGGGCGCAGCCTAACACCTCCCCTTCCCAGGCGTTCTGTCCCGTGGTCGGGTGCGCTGCCCCTGGCACGGCGCCTGCTTCAACATCAGCACTGGGGACCTGGAGGACTTCCCTGGCCTGGACAGTCTACACAAGTTCCAGGTGGGGCCAGGAGTGCGATGGGGTGGGAACCTGGGGGTGTGGGGTTCGGGGCTGGTCCTGAGCAATGCAGCCCTTGCAGGTGAAGATTGAGAAGGAGAAGGTGTACGTCCGGGCCAGCAAGCAGGTGAGGGGATAGCTCGGGGCTCAGGCAGAAGGGAGGAGCCGGGAGGGCATCTTGGCCCAGAGAATGCCATGTGCAAAGCCCTGTGGTGGGAGGAGCTTGGCACGTGTCACTGGAGCAGAGTGAGGGGTTGCGGTAGGGATGAGGCTGGGCTGGAGCGCCAGGACCTGCCTGCCAGGATGATGGCATGCAGAGGATGGCAGTGACCCTCCACCCTCCTGGCACCCACAGGCCCTACAGCTGCAGCGAAGGACCAAGGTGATGGCCAAGTGTATCTCTCCAAGTGCTGGGTACAGCAGTAGCACCAATGTGCTCATTGTGGGTGCAGGTTGGTAGTGGGGTCATGAGGGGCAGGGTGGGAGATGGGATTGGTGAGAAGTGGTTCCTGGCCCACGGGCCCCTCCCCTCAGGTGCAGCTGGCCTGGTGTGTGCAGAGACACTGCGGCAGGAGGGCTTCTCCGACCGGATCGTCCTGTGCACGCTAGACCGGCACCTTCCCTACGACCGTCCCAAGCTCAGCAAGGTACAGGGGGTGGGGCAAGTAGGGACCCTATCCCTCTGGGTCCCAGTTAAGCCCACTTCAAGCCTTGCTTGTCACCCCATTGGGGTCTGGCCGGCTGCCCTCCCTGCTTATGCCAGGCCTGTCCGTGGTACCCCCAAAAGATCTAGATTTGTTGTTGTTGTTTTGAGACAGGGTCTCACTCTGTCGCCCAGGCTGGGATGCAGTGGCGCCTTCTCGGCTCACTGCAACTTCCACCTCCTGGGTTCAAGCGATTCTCATGCTTCAGCCTTCCGAGTAGCTGGGATTACAGGTGTGCACCACCACCATGCCTGGCTAATTTTTTGTATTTTTAGTAGAGATGGGGTTTCACCATGTTGCCCAGACCAGTCTTGAACTCCTGAGCTCAGCCCATCCGCCCACCTCAGCCTCCCAAGGTGCTAGGATTACAGGTGTGAGCCACTGCACCTGGCTTTTCTTTTTTTGAGACAGAGTCTTGCTCTGTCACTCAGGCTGGAGAGCAGTGCCTGTCTCACGGCTCACTGCAGCGTCGACCTCCACCTCCCGGGCTCAAACGATCCTCCCACCTCTGCCTCCCGGGTAGCTAGGACTACAGGCGCGCACCACCATGCCTGGCTAATATTTTGTATTTTTTGTAGAAATGAGGTCATTTTTGTCATGCTGCCCAGGCTGGTCTTGAACTCCTGGTTCAAGCGATCCTCCTGTCTCAGCCTCCCAAAGTGTTGGGATCACAGGCATGAGTCACTGCGCCTGGCCAGATCTGGGTTTGCTGAGTTCTGTCCTGCAGCCCCTATGTGACTGGGGCTGGCCCCACCTTCCCTGGGCCCCAGTGTCTTCTGCTGTAAACTGGCTCCTCTCAAGCTGGCTCTCCCCTGCAGTCCCTGGACACACAGCCTGAGCAGCTGGCCCTGAGGCCCAAGGAGTTTTTCCGAGCCTATGGCATCGAGGTGCTCACCGAGGCTCAGGTACAGGGTCAAGGGTGGGAAACAGGCCCGAGGAGGGAAGGTGGGAACCGTGAGGTTGTGTGGGCCCCTGGGGTGGGGTCTTGGTGCTCTACCTTCCTGGCCCCACAGCCCAGGCACCTGGGAGGTGCTCCAGGCTTGGGAGACAGCAAGGAGCTTTTTCCTGATGGGTCATAGGCACACACAGAGCCCCACGGTGTGTGGAGATGAACGATCAGGGCTGGATAGGAGATACTGGTGGGACTTGGGAGGGTAAGGAGAGGTTTGAGGGGAAGGTGATGTCTGAAGCGTAAAGAATGAAGCCCAGGTGGCAGGATCTGTTTTAATGGGAGCTTCTCAGAGGCTGTGGCTGGGCTGTGGGTGTACTGCAGGACCGGGGAGTGGGCGGCGAGGCCCAGCCCCATGCCCAAGCTCATGCTCTGCCTGGTGGGGATTGCAGGTGGTCACAGTGGACGTGAGAACTAAGAAGGTCGTGTTCAAGGATGGCTTCAAGCTGGAGTACAGCAAGCTGCTGCTGGCACCAGGGAGCAGGTGGGAGGGTCTCCTTTTTACCCATCGGACACTAGGCAGGGCACTGGCCTGGACGGGGCTGGGGCTGCCAGGAGGCCCTCACTGACACGGCCATGTCTCAGCCCCAAGACTCTGAGCTGCAAAGGCAAAGAAGTGGAGAACGTGTTCACTATCCGGACGCCAGAGGATGCCAATCGCGTGGTGAGGCTGGCCCGAGGCCGCAACGTGGTCGTCGTGGGAGCCGGCTTCCTGGGTGAGAGGTAGTGGGCAGTGGAGATGGTGGTCAGGTCGTCATGGCCAGTCCCAGGGAAGTTCTGGTCGAGGAAGGTGCAGGTGCCAGCCTGCCACCCCCTGCCCATCACCAGGGATGGAGGTGGCCGCTTACCTGACGGAGAAGGCCCACTCTGTGTCTGTGGTGGAGCTGGAGGAGACGCCCTTCAGGAGGTTCCTGGGGGAGCGCGTGGGTCGTGCCCTCATGAAGGTGAGCCCACCCCAGCACCCAGTGCCTTGGAGCCCTGGGGCCCAGCCCGGCCCCTGGCTGGGCTCTCATCCACCGCCCACCTGCCCACTTGCCCTGACAGATGTTTGAGAACAACCGGGTGAAGTTCTACATGCAGACGGAGGTGTCTGAGCTGCGGGGCCAGGAGGGAAAGGTGGGCCCTTCTCCCTTCTCCCTGCTGCTTTCTGTCCTCTGTCCCCTGAGCCTGGGAGCTGGGTCCACCTGTTTATCCACCCACTCCCCACAGCTGAAGGAGGTTGTGCTGAAGAGCAGCAAGGTCGTGCGGGCTGACGTCTGCGTGGTGGGCATTGGTGAGTTGGTGTGTGGGCAGGCAGGCACAAAGCAGCCCAGCCGTCTGCACATGCTCACATGTGACCTTGGGCTAGTCCCTTCCCCTCCCAGAGCCTCAGTTTCCACCACATCTGTCAAATGGGAACCCCCAACCGCCCCCACTTTACGGAGCTGTTGGGGAAGGTATGTACTGGGCTCAGCCCAGGCCTGGCACAGTGGATGCTCCCAGTGCCCGCTGCCCAGTAACACTCATCTCCATGCCCTGCGAGAGTTGACATAGACGAGACTCGAACTGGCTTCTGCTCCAGCTGAAGTGCCAATTTGGGTAGGGGCCAAGATGGGAGGTGGTAGCACCTGCAGGGGCTGAGGAGGTATGGCATGCTGTCCCTCCACTTAAGGGCCTCATGGAGCACTTCTTGGAGAAGGTGATATCTGAGGTCTTGCGGGAGGCACCGGGTCTGTGGGAGACCGGGTAGTGGGGACCAGGGTGCATGAAGGCCTCAGGTAGACAGCCCCTGGAGGATCAGTCTGGGGCTGGCACATCAAGCGCATGCTGTAGGGTGTGGAGAGTGACTACGCAGAAGGCAGGGACAGGGGAGTGGACACAGGCTTCCGTCCTGTCAGGTGCAGTGCCCGCCACAGGCTTCCTGAGGCAAAGCGGCATCGGTTTGGATTCCCGAGGCTTCATCCCTGTCAACAAGGTGGGGTGGATGGCACTGGGTGGGGAGGACCCGGTGCTGGGCTGGGAGTGGCAGGAGGTTCAGGTCAGGGCCCCTGTCACACCCATGGAGCTCTGGGCCCTCTCTCTACAGATGATGCAGACCAATGTCCCAGGCGTGTTTGCAGCTGGCGATGCTGTCACCTTCCCCCTTGCCTGGAGGAACAACCGCAAAGTGAACATTCCACATTGGCAGATGGCTCATGCTCAGGGTATGGCCAGTCCCGAGGCACATGGAGGGGTGGGAGGGAGTCTCAGGGTCTCAGTGTCCCCATGCCCATGCCTCAGTTGCTGACCTTGGGTCCTGGACACTGTTAGGCATCAAAGCTCTGATGTGGATTCTCTGGCCAGCCTCATCTCGGCGATCCAGCCAACACAGAGAGCGACACCCCACTGAGCCAGCCATAGCTCCTCAATCTCAGTTTTCCTTCTGGTAGTCTCTCCCTTTTTTGTCTTCAAGGACATATATTCTGCAGAATTCCTGATCAACCTGTGCATTACCCTGGGGAGGGAGGGAGGGATTTAGTGGATCACCTTCCCATTTATGCCTCTGTTTCCCTTGGGCCACTCAAGTATCTCTGTGAACTCAGTTCAGCCTCATGCAGGTCCCCGAGGTGCCATCTGAGCCCAGAGACGTGGGCTCAGTGGAGGCACTGTGCTTTCTGAGGAATAGCTTTCCCCTCCTGATGTTTGCTGGCCACCAAGTCCCCCAAGCCTCATCCACTGTGCACATCTGGTCTGGGCCCCTAAGCTGCAGGTGCCATCACATTAGTTGCCTCACTGCCTCAGAGAGAGGACTGCCAGACTCCCAGCCTGGGACAAAGGACTTCTCTGCACCCATCTCCCCTTTCCTCTGCCTTTACACCTGAGGGTCTGCTGCTTGAAACCCCACTTCTGGTACCAATTTCTATTCAAGTCCAAAGTCGAAAGTTGTTGCTAGGTTGTAAGTAACCAAGGCAACTTATCAGCCAAGTATAATTAGGATTTAACTGAGAGAGTTTAGGGGACTTTGAAGTACATCCAACTACAGGGGTCTACTGGGGCCTCATAGGAACTGGGGAGCCATCCACACTGGTCTCTTTGGGGCCTTGTGTGTGGCTGTCATCTGTGCTTCCCTGTGTACTTGTGCCCCATTTTCCTCCCTCTTCAGACCTGATACGTCTGATTAGGTGTCTGTGTGCACAGCTGAAATGGTGGCGTACTCCCCCAACCCCAAGAAGCAGACCTTCCAGAGTCAGGGCACTTTATTCAGATTCTTTAAGGAAGCAATCAAGTGGCTAGCTTTGAGGCAGGTGTTCCCCTGCACCAGTCAGCTGCAGGTGCAAGTGAGCAGTGGGCTGAACAATGATGTCTCTTGACCTCTGGGGAGACCAGGAGGAGTAGCCACACGTGTCAGGGGTCCCCAGGGCATCAGGAGCAGGTAGTGTGGGAGTGGTAAGAGCGAGAGTTAGGGTTCTCACGGCCCTGGGTCCCGCAGGGCGCGTGGCAGCCCAGAACATGTTGGCGCAGGAGGCGGAGATGAGCACTGTGCCCTACCTCTGGACCGCCATGTTTGGCAAGAGCCTGCGCTACGCGGGTAACCCCGGGGCCTCGGATGGGGGCGGGGCCGAGGGCGTTTAGGGGCGGGGCTTGGGTGTGGGGCGGGGCTGGGAGCCTAGGGGCAGGGCTATGACCGCACTAGGAAGAGGCCGGTAAGAACTCGCTGGCGGCAAGGCTACGAACTACCTAAAAGGACGTATGGAGCAGGGCCTGGGCGGGGTTAGGAGGGGATCCTGTGACGTCTCGTTCCCTCCCCCGGCTCACGTGGGTGCCACCCACCTGCCCGGCCCACAGGCTACGGAGAAGGCTTCGACGACGTCATCATCCAGGGGGATCTGGAGGAGCTGAAGTTTGTGGCTTTTTACACTAAGTGAGAGCACCGGGGTGCAGCTTGGCGCGAAGCAGCGGGAGCTCAGTCGGGAAGGGGGATTCATCCCAGGCAAAATCCCAGAACAAGAGCCCAGCCCTGAGCCCCGCTGAGGAGTGCTGGAGCTTCCTTAGGAAAGCCCGAAGCTTGTGCACGGTCAAGCCGCGATGTGCAAAGCAGGGAGGGCTGGGTGCTCAGGCCATTCTTGTTGCCCTGGGGTAGGTCCTTCCCTGGGCCCCAGATGGACAGCAGTGCATCAGGGTTTTCAAAAAGGGGCTGCTGCCTCGCAGTCCTCAGGCTTGGCCATCCTCTCCTTGCAGAGGCGACGAGGTGATCGCCGTGGCCAGCATGAACTACGATCCCATTGTGTCCAAGGTCGCTGAGGTGCTGGCCTCAGGCCGTGCCATCCGGAAGCGGGAGGTGGAGTGAGTGTGGGTGTGGGAAGCCTGGGGGTGGGAGTAGTTCCCTGGAGTACTGGCTAAGGTGCCTATGACAGCCAGCCGCCCCCACAACCCTCCAGGGCCTTTCCCCTCTTGGTTTGCATCGCCTGAGGCTTACAGGACTACAGGGAGGTGTGGGGCAAGGATCATGGTTTGAGAGCAGGCTGGTTATGTGTTCATGGTGGATGGAAGGGATAGAGATGTGTGTCACCAGGCAGGGCCAGTGCTGTGGGAAGGGGTCAGGGCCCAATGCATGGGCAATCACCAGGCGTGGGACACCTAACTGGACATAGTTGTGCTGAGCCTGGCAGAAGCTAGGTGGGAAATGCAGCTACTGATGCCCTGGGTATGCCCTCCACATAGATGGTGGGGGTGGTTCTAGGTTTCACTCAACACCAGCCAGTTCCCTTATCCTGGTGTGGTGTCAATGAGATTCACCCTCTGGGAGAGAGCTCCCAGGGACTGGGGACAGCCTGGAGGCCACTGGGAGGCTATGAGACAGGGGCAGGCTTCAGGCTGGAAACAATGGAGGACCAGAAGGGGACATGATAAATGACATGCTCTCTCCTTGGCCTTCTCTCCGTTTCTCTCTCTTGCCTTCGTGAAGGCTGTTTGTGCTGCACAGCAAGTACGTGTGTCCTTCATGTTGACCGTTCTGAGCCTTTCCCATGTCAGCCCAGACCCTCCACCCAATGGTCTTATCTCCCTCTGTCCAAGTACACCTCCCTGCTGGGCACTAGGGTCTGGCACAGAACAGACCCCCTGCTGTCCTCAAGGGCCAGCTGTTCAGGGTGCCCAGAGTGGAGAGCCTGTTTTCTTCTGTCTTGACCCCTCCTCCCCTCACTCCTGCAGGACTGGCGACATGTCCTGGCTTACGGGGAAAGGATCCTGAGCTCACATGCAGTAGACTTGGGCAGGCAAAGGGGGCACCAAGGGCACAGGCCAAGCCTTGGGGGCAGGTGCCAATCTCCAGTCCCAGGATCCCCCAGGGCAGAACCTGAGCCCTCCCAGTGCTTGCCTTCAGCCACCTGGCTCCCCTCCTGGGAGGCCTCTGCTGGATCCAGAAGATGCTCAACCCTCAAGGCCTCTGCTGCCACTGACAGCTGGCACTGGAGGCAGGACAAGCCCTGCCTCTTCTCCCTCTATTGGGACTGGTCCCCTGAAGAACCCTGCAACACGTTAAACATTACCGTAAAATTAAAACGCACAAATTTGCAGATCTGTATGACTCCCAGTGTAATTGGGCCAATAGGCACAGGACCAGACCACAGGGAAACAGGCACAATCACAGAATGCCAGGTGCCACACCAAGGAAATTTGGCCTGTGAACGCCCAGAGGAGGTAGCAACTAATTCTGCGCCCCAAGCCCTCCCACATCCCTCTCCCCCTCTGCGATCAGCGAACGCTTTTTGCTTTTGGCTCTGAGTTTTGAAGGAAGGGTATTCCAGGTAGAAGGGACAACATGCCCAAAGGTCTTGAGATAGTAAATGCTCCTTCAGAGGTGGCTCATGCTTGACACTTTGGGGCATTTGCCCACTTAGGGCTGTGGGAGCTGTGTCCTGAGACAGACCCCATGCTTTTCATAGCCGGAGCATTCTCAATCCCCATGTCGGAGGTGAAGGAGCTGAGGCCCTGCTAAGTAGGAATGAGAATCCAGAGGCTCCTCGCCGGGCTGCCTCTCAGTCAGTAAGAAAGCCAAGGGGAGAGGGGAGTTGCTGGGGGTCAGGGCTGAGGGCGCTAGCAGGAAAGGGAGCGTTGAGCCGCCTGCAGAGGCCGCTGCGAGCCCGGAACCCTCCATGGGGGATCCCGGCAGCGGCAGACGATCCAGGCCGGAGCCACGCGCAGACCCAGGGCATGCCGGGAACTGCGAGCCGGCCGCGGGTCTTCGGGCTGCGTGGGCCTGGGAGGCGCCGGGAAGAGCAGTCGCGACGGGGCTAGGGACGACACACTGCATTCACTGGAAGGGACAACGCAGCGCCAGTACATAGCCTGAAACGCTCCCCAGAAGGTCCCACGCTCGCCGCGCGGTCGACAACCGCATCCTGCGCTCGCCCGCGGTGTCTCGGCAAGCGGTAGGCTTGTCGGGAAGAGCTGGAGGGCGCAAGTGCGGCGCTGGCCGGACGTGCCGCACCGTCAGCGCAGGGCTCGCCGGGAAATGTGGTTTCTCCAGCCGGCCCGGGGCGGTGGCCGCAAGTTGGGCTTACAGCGCGGCCGATCCGGCGTGGACCCGGGATGGCTGGACCGGGCAGCACGGGGGGGCAGATCGGGGCTGCGGCCCTGGCAGGCGGCGCGCGGTCCAAGGTAGCCCCGAGCGTGGACTTCGACCATAGCTGCTCGGACAGTGTCGAGTACCTGACGCTCAACTTCGGGCCCTTCGAAACAGTGCATCGCTGGCGGCGCCTCCCGCCCTGCGACGAGTTCGTGGGTGCCCGGTACGGTGGGCTTCATGGGGTCCTGAGGACAGGAAGGGCGATCTGCGAGGGTCCCAGGGCGGGTCCAGGGGCGAAGCCGGGGGGTGGTGTCCTGGGGTAGGATCTGGTAATGAGGTGGATGGTGCTGTACAGGACGCTGTTCAGGGCAGGGGAGAGGGTTCCGAGGGAGTCCCAGAGCCCGATGTCCCGGGACAGGGTACTGGAACTAAGTTGTGTTTGTGGATATTGGGCTGGGGTCCCAGGTGCTCTGAGGTGGGGTGAGGAGTCCAGAGAGTCCTGGAGCCGTGTCAGGGGTCCTCACTTGCAGGATGATTGGTGTTATCTTAGAAGATGATGGATCTTAGCAGTTGAGAGGTGATACCTAACTTCCGTGGCAGCTCTCCTGCTTAGTCCCATTCCTTGGGTGCCCCCCAGGAGGGTCCTGTCCTTACCGCCCTCCACTCCTTTCTTTCCAGGCGCAGCAAGCACACAGTGGTGGCCTATAAAGATGCCATTTATGTATTTGGTGGAGACAATGGGTGAGTGAGTCTCAGCATCAGTGTTTGGACCAGGTAGGGAGAAGTACTGTGGTCAGGGACTGGGCCTGTCCAGCTCCATTACTGTCCTTTCAGATGCTAGCTGGTGCCTCTAAGCTTCAGTTTCCCCATCTGTGAGATTCCTTGCACTCACCTCCCTGGTCGTGGTGAGGATTAAATGAGATCCTGCACTCATGGTCCTCAGCACAGCTTCCAGTGGGTGGCACATGCTCAGTATGTGGAAATGTCCCTCTTCTGAGTAGATGCAGCCTTGAAAGAAACACAACCACCCTTGCGGCCAGCCCTGCCAGGCACTTTTCTTTCCCTGTGCCTCATCGGTATGGAGGACACAGTTTTATTTATTTCATGCATTTTTCACTTTTTGTGGGGGTTTTCCCAAATTGCTCCAAACATCAGGCAACAACGTGATGTTTTGTTGGTGGGCACACCTCCTTTCACATAAACTGTCTCCACTTAAGTTGTGGCTGGTTTCCTTATGCAGAGGGTGGAGTATTTGCACATGACTAGTTGTGTCCATGTGTCCTAGCCCTGCCTCTCAGCCCCAGGAACTAGCATGAAGCCCTGGAAGGTCTGGCCTCTTACTGGCTCTGCAGCCTTGGTCCTGTAGGCCTCCTTGGGGGGCGGGCTTGAGGATGGTGGGGTAGTCTGGACCCCACCAGGATCTGCATACTGGGCAGAAGAGCCTCCTTGGGCATGGTCCCCTGGCTTCAAGCCTGTCTTCCTCCCACTCTCTTTCCCCAGGAGTAGCCGGTGGGGCCCATTTACAAAAGCAAGTCAGAGTATGCTCCTCCTTGGCTCATCCTCCTGTAATGCCTCCCTGCCTCTCTGAGTAAAAGCCCAAGTCCTCATGAGAGTCTGCTGCTCCTCTGCCCTCAGTCCCTCACTGCACTGGGGCGGCACGGGCTGCCTTGCTATGTTTGGATTGTACCAAGTGCCCCCCTGCTCAGGCCCTTGCACTGCCCATTCTCTCCTCTCACCTTCCTGCCCCTCCTCTGATGTTTCTTGTGACTGAGGCCTTACTTGGCCATCTGGACCAACTGGAGACCATTGCTTCCCCTCCATACCTCTTACCATCTTCATTTGTTCCTGAGGCACACAGATGTTGGTTATTATCCATCTCTTCAGTCAAGGCAGGGCCTGTGCTCCTTTTACCATTGTATCCTGGCATCTAGAAAACTCCATAAATGTTTGTCAAATGAAGGAATGAAATGAAGAAGAGATGCCTACCCACAAGCATTTACTGCAGCCTTAATGAGAACCCTCCAAACCAGAAAGGGCTTTAGTGTCCAGTACAAGGCAGCAAGTGGGAAATGGGGGACCTTCATCCTCAAGAGTGTCCTTAGCAGGTAGTTTGTGTGACAACTGTGTAGCAATAAGCAGAAACATTTTTGCTGCAGTATGACAAAGAAATAGGATACAAATTTGTCTCACACTAGTCTTAACTTTATAAAGACTGCCTGAGTACAAAGAAAGATGGCCTCCTGCGGCACGTGGGGCAAGTAAGGAGGGGGGGGGGGCGGTATCACAATCACCACCAGCTTCTAGGCTCCTGGCTTCCTGGCTGCATGGCCTCAGACACAGCCTTTGAGCCACTAGGCTTTGTTGCCATCTGTGAAATGGAGGTGAGAGAGCACCCACTGGTGCAGACTAAGTGAGACCGTTCAGGGGGCACCCAGCACAGGCTGGGCATGACGGGGCACTGGGCTCCTGTCAGTTTGCCCTTCTTCCCAAGGGCTGGGTAGTGATATGCCAGCTGGTAGTGTTAGGTGGTGCAATGGCCAGTGAATTTGTTTTCTATTTGATTGTATGGCTTTTGCAACAAAGAAATGGCAGGGGCCAGGTGCAGTGGCTCACACCTGTAATCCCAGCACTTTGGGAGGCTGAGGTGGGAAGATCACTTGAGGCCAGGCATTCAAGACGAGCCTGGGCAGGAAAGCAAGACTTCGTTTCTATTTTTTTTTTTTTTTTTTTGAGATGGAGTCTTGCTCTGTCACCCAGGCTGGTGTTCAGTGGCGCCATCTTGGCTCACTGCAACCTCTGCCTCCCGGGTTCAAGCGATTCTGCCGCAGCCTCCCGAGTAGCTGGGATTACAGGCGCCTGCCACCATGCCAGGCTAATTTTTTTGTATTTTTAGTAGAGATGGGGTTTCACCATGTTGGCCAGGCTGGTCTCAATCTCCTGACCTCAAGTGATCCGCCCGCCTAGGCTTCCCAAAGTGCTGGGATTACAGGCGTGAGCCACCGAGCCCAGCCCATTGTCTCTATTTCTTTTTTTTAAGAAGTGGCAGGAAGATCAGAGAGAAGCAAAGGGCCTCTCCTGAGGCACGGGCAAGCACTTGCATTGCAGGGTACAGCTGCAGAGGAAGGGGATTGGGACGTGTGAATAGGGGTTCTGGAGGCTAGGGTGAGGTGTGAGGGTGACTCTGGCCTTTGGGCCATTTCATGCCTTCATGTCAGCTGCTGGTTGGGCTCCTGGTGGCCACATTCATGCTTTGGTCCTGACCCCAGGCAGGCTGGTGTCTGCCTGTGTGGCAGCCCTGGTGCCCATATCAGTTGGGGAGCCTCCTTTGTGGTCACCACTCTTGTTCTTGGGCATCAGCTGGTTGCCTGGCTGTGTTAGTGACCCAGCCCACAACAGCCCCCTACTCTACCCTGGCTACATGCAGTGCCCATCTCTGGGGTCACTGCAGAGTAGACCTGGCTAATGCCACCCTCTCTTCCGGCTGCCTTTCAGGAAGACCATGCTCAATGACCTCCTGCGGTTCGATGTGAAAGACTGCTCCTGGTGCAGGTGGGTGGCCCCGTGCTCCAGGGCCCTGCCTTTCCTCCTAGAACACAGTGGCACAGTGCTGGGTCCCAGTTGCTAGCAGAGTCTCTCTCATCATGGGAAGCTAGAAAGAAGCTTCCAGGAGGAGATAACCACGGCCTCAGGGATGCCACATCCAGAGCCGCCCTGTCAGGCTGAGGAGATCAAGTAACCACCCCGCACCTGCAGCTGCCAAGCTGGGCACACAGGGCGGCACCCTTCTGGGCTGTCCACCTCTACCTCGAGGCTGATGCTAGTATGGGTACAGAAGTTGCTATGTCTTTTCTCTCACACTTGATTTTGTAAGATGGCTAGTAGTTACAAATTAATTTAAAAAATCATTCTGAAGGCTTCACAATTATTTGTCAAAAATTGCTTAAGTATAAAACTCAGAAAAAAGCTAGGAGTTCAAGACCAGCTGGGCAACAAAGTGAGACCCTGTCTAGGAAGATAGATAGACAGATGATAGATAGATAGATAGATAGATAGATAGATAGATAGATAGAAAGAAAGATAGATAGATGATAGAAAGACAAAGAGAGATGATAGATAGATGATAGGTAGATTAGACAGATAGATGACAGATAGATAGATAGTGGATAGATGATAGATGACAGATCGATAGATAGATGATAGGTAGATGATAGGTAGGTAGATTAGATAGATGATGGGTAGATAGATGACAGACAATAGATGATAGATGATAGGTAGATAGATGATAGATGACAGATAGATGATGGATAGATTATATAGGTAGATGATAGGTGGATAGATGATGGATATATAGATTATATAGATTAGATGATTGATAGATGATAGGTAGATAGATAGATGATGGTTAGATAGATAGGTATTAAATGAAATTGATGGACCCCGTGCTGTAAGATGCTGCACTGCTGCTGAGAGCAGGAGTGTGGATGGTCCTGGAGTAGCATGAGGACCTGGTCACATTCTGTGAGTGGAATAAGCAATTTACAAAATATCTGCCACTTGATTCCATTTTAAAAAATTTCATGGAAGCCTAAGTATGCGTAGGAGAGGTGTGCAGGGAAGACCTCAAGGTGTTGCCAGAGGTTTTCTGGTAATGGGAATTTGCATGAGCTTTAGTGCCTATTTTGTTTTTTCCTTATTGGTGATTTTTTTTTTTTAAGTTTCTATGATGAGACAGGTATCACCTTCAAAATACAAAAGTGAAACGTAGCTGGGCGCGGTGGCTCACGCCTGTAATCCCAGCACTTTGGGAGGCTGAGGTGGGCGGATCACCTGAGGTCAGAACTTCAAGACCAGCCTGGCCAACATGGTGAAACCCCGTCTCTACAAAAATACAAAAAATTAGCTGGGCATGATGGTGGGTGCCTGTAATCCCAGCTACTCAGGAGGCTGAGGCAGGACAATCGCTTGAACCCAGGAGGTGGAGGTTGAGCCGGGATCGTGCCACTGCACTCCAGCCGGGACGACAGAGAGAGACTCCGTCTCAAAAAAAAAAAAAAAGAAAAAAGAAAGGCAGCACAGGGATGCAGGGCCACCCTGTGGGGGTGTGGACCTCATGGGTGACCCCCGCTGACTCTCACCACCCCTGTGCCCACCCCAGGGCCTTTACCACTGGGACCCCACCGGCCCCCCGTTACCACCACTCGGCCGTCGTCTATGGGAGCAGCATGTTTGTCTTTGGTAAGCAGCCTCTTGCCTCCCAGGGGCTGTGTCGCCCCGAGGCCCACAGACACCCTGCCCTTCTGCAGGCCTGGGGCATTTGTGCTCGTGCTGTGTACAGCAGGGGCTCTCTCTCCACCCGTGGCTTTGTCTGCCAGTCTTCGGAATTCTGCGCTGGATCTGGGACCCCTTGCCCTAACGGCCCTGAGCTCACAGGGTTGGGTGTCTTTCTGTGTTACTGAGCTGTGGCTGGGAACAGTGTCCTGCTCATCTCTGTGTCCCCAGAGCCCAGCACAGAGGCAGACAGGCAGCAGGTCGTTCCGGGGCTTGTGGAAGGAGTCCTGGCTTATGCATTTTCAGGGGGGCCAGATTCTGCTCCACCTTCCAGGGTTTGAAATCTCCAAGACTGCCCTTTGGGTTTGACAGTTTCTCACTCTCTTTACTCAGGGGGTTACACTGGGGACATTTATTCCAATTCTAACTTGAAGAATAAAAACGACCTCTTTGAATACAAGTTTGCAACTGGCCAGTGGACGGAGTGGAAAATTGAAGGACGGTGAGAAACTTTGCAGAAACATTTGGGACAGGCTGGGTCCTGGGTGGCATTGGACCTGGGATCTGCCCCCTTTTGCCTCCCAGATGAGGACCCTGAGGGCACGCAATAGCAGGGAGCTTGGGATTGGTGGAATATCCCCCGGTGCAGCTATGCATGGCCTGCTCCCAGCCCTTAGACTCCCTCCTTTCAGAAGAGACCCAAATGGACCAGGCGTGGTGGCGCATGCCTGTAGTCCTAGTACTTTGGGAAGCCGAGGTGGGAAGATCACTTGAGCCCATGACTTCAAGGCTGCAGTGAACCATGTGTGCCCCACTGCACTCCAGCCTGGGAGACAGAACAAGACCTTGTCACAAAAAAATGTTCAATAAGATCCAATGTACTGCTGATGGCGCTTCTGGGGTCCCGCTTTTTGAGCACCCCCTTTGATATTTTGGGGGCACCTAGGAGAAGGTTCTGTGCCTCTGTGGCTGTCTGAATTCCTCTTCAAGCCACTAGTCGGCCTCTGGGGCTGTTGTTTATTCCTAGTGCCTTGTGGAGGTCCTGAAGCCCCAGTGTCGGGTGGATGTAGCCATGCAGCCTGGCTGTGGCCCCTGCACTGACCACATGGGGCTGGGTGGCTCAGGTCTGTGCTGGGCGGCCTCACTCCCTCCCCTCTTCCCTCACACTCCAGGTTGCCAGTCGCTAGGTCAGCCCATGGGGCCACGGTGTACAGTGACAAGCTGTGGATCTTTGCTGGCTATGACGGCAACGCCAGGTGGGTGGTGGTCCGGCCTGTGCACCCCACCTCCGACAGCACTGAGACCCGGAGCAGGCCGTCCTGGCATTTGAGGGCTTAGGCTGGGAGGATTTTGAGTGCCTGGTGGATTTTGAGTGCCACTCTGTCTGGGGGTTTCTTGGGAGGGGGATGGGGAAAGAGGAGGATGGACAGATGGAGGTGAGGGCCACTGGGTGGAGCCCCGTGGCTACCAGAGTAGCTTGGATGAGGATCCTCAGCCAGGAGTTGCCCTGCGGAGCTGAGTTGGTGGGCGGGTGGGCGGTGCCCAGGCTCAGGCCCAGCCCTGGTTCTTGCCCAGGCCAAAGGCCTTTTCCTCCTTATTTTAGAAAGTTGGCTTTGCTCTCTTTTTCTGATCACAAAAGTAGCATATGCTGGTTTCCCAAAACTTCAGCATCATAGAAACTCCTAACGATGCAGTGATGGTGGCATCTGGGATATCTGTGTCCTCTCCCCACCCAGGAGGGACACTGAGTGAGGAGCTGGCACTGCCACACTGCCCTGATGTCATGCATGAGAGTACTTGTTCTGTCTGGGCCGGGCAGGGGGCCTGGCACAGCAGGGATTTGAGGCAGTGGCTGCCACCCCACACAGAAGTTCCCGCCTCATGGCCGCACAAGTCTCCTACCCTGTGTGGGGGTGGGGCTCCTCCCTGCAGCCATCCCTTCCAGCCAGGACTAGGCCCACCCTGACCACCAGACCCAAGGGGTCCTCACTGGTCTGTCCTAATACAGGTTGAATGACATGTGGACAATTGGCCTCCAGGACCGAGAGCTCACCTGCTGGGAGGAGGTGAGGGGCGTGGGGAGCCAGGGCGCAGGTAGAGGAGGTGAGGGGCACGGGGAGCCAGGGCGCAGGTGGAGGAGGTGAGGGGCATGGGGAGACAGGGTGCAGGTGGAGGGAGGTGGGAGGCAGGGGGAGCCAGGCTGGGGGTCGAGGCTGCTTTCTTCCCCTTGCAAAGCCCAGCCTCGACCTGAGCCTCGCTCTCCTCCCTGGTGACCTGCGGGCCTTCACGACCAGTTCCTCACTGTGGCTGCACAGTGATTCGAGGTTTGGTGCTTTGGATGGGCAGAGTGCCACGTGTGTGAGGATGTGGTTTTGCTTTAACGCACCCTTTATTTCAGTGCAGTGAGGGCCGTCTGCTATCCAGTGTCCTGCTCCCTGGAGCTCCCCCTGGGCTTGCTTTCCCCTTTAGAAACATGGAATTTATTTATTTATTCATTAAAAAAAATTGTTTTTCAGTCTTCTGGGCATGAAAAACATGAGTTTAGCCCCTGATGATTTAACCCTGACGATTTTAACCCCAGCTGTTCACAACTGGGCCCCGTGAAGTGGATGAGACAGGGCTATGAGCTGTTCCAAGACAAAGGAATCTGTGAATCCTCATCTGGGGAAGTTTCAAGAATAAAAGCAGTCCCATCTCAGCAGTCTCGAGTGTGGTGAAATGTGAGCGGGCCCTGTGAGGCCGGGGCTGAGCTGTCCTCTCCCCCTGCAGGTGGCCCAGAGTGGCGAGATCCCCCCATCTTGCTGCAACTTCCCCGTGGCTGTGTGCCGGGACAAGATGTTTGTATTCTCTGGGCAAAGCGGAGCCAAAATAACCAACAACCTCTTCCAGTTTGAATTCAAGGACAAGACGTGAGTACTCTGGCCAGTGGGGTGGAGGGAGGACGGTCAGTTCCCTCGAATCCTTCTGAATATGAAGAACGCCTCTTGCACCTGGTGGCCATGGTAACCATCCTTGTGAGCTCTGCAAACAGCAGGAGGTTACAGCCCGGAGCAGGGATGTGCGGTGCCCCTGGCAGGTCCCCAGGATATGGCTACAGCTTAGCAAGATAAGGCCTGGCGAGGAGGCCCCTGGCTAGGCCTCCCTCTGAACGTGAAGGACGTCCCCTTCCTCGTGAATAGCTTGGTCAGTGCCACCAGTAACAGACGTGGCCTGCATAGATCTCAAATAATGGCAGAAGACCAGAGGGGCCTGCAGGTCCTGAGAGGTCTGGCCCATGCTGCCCCTGGCTGCTGGCCAGCCCTTGATCCCTGCAATGGGGCTGCAGGAGAGGGCACAAGGAGTGTGAGCTGCAGGTACAGGGGGTTTGGGAAGGGACTTGGGAGCTTCCCTGGAGGCCACGGGTGCGTGGGAGGAAGGGCAGGGAGCCCCAGGATGAGGGAAATTGTCAAGGGCCTGGGGCTCAGCATGGAGCCAGATGGCATAGCCCTGCCAGGCCAGGATCTGTTCTGAAGTCTTCAGCTAACTTAGCAAAAGAGAGGACTTGCTGGGAGGTACTGGGAAGCCTGGGAGGTGGAAGGTGCTGGGGCAGCATCAGGATGTGGGGTACAGGCAGCTCCCAGGATGGGGACTCAGCTGTGGGGATGCTCTGACTGGGCAGCGTGAACACAGTGACCTGCAATGGTCTCTGCACAACTTTACTCCCCAGAGAGCAGGACTGCCTGGGCGGGTCAGATGCCACCCTCCTGCCCATCACTGCTGCCTGCTCCATGGGGAGAGGGGGGAGCTCTGGCAGGACCCTGCGGTGGGCCACATGGAGCCAGGCAGGGCTGGTGCCCGTGCTGGATGGGGTGAGAGGTGCTCAGCGCAGGTGTCTAGGCCCTCCCTCTGGACCCTGGGCTAGTCACCGTAAGGGATGCAGGGGGACCTCCCAGTGAAGGCCTGCTGTGGGGAGGCCCCGAGGGTGAGCAGGAGCCCCTGTCCCAGCATTGATTCACTGTTGTGTACCCCCAGGTGGACACGCATCCCAACTGAACACCTGCTCCGGGGCTCCCCACCACCCCCGCAGCGGCGCTACGGGCATACCATGGTGGCCTTTGACCGCCACCTCTATGTGTTTGGGGGTGCGGCCGACAACACGCTGCCCAACGAGCTGCACTGCTATGACGTGGACTTCCAGACCTGGGAGGTCGTCCAGCCCAGCTCCGACAGCGAGGTGAGGGTGCCCAGGGGTGTCCTGACCTGCCAGCTGGACACCAGTAGCTCCTACCCTGCTCCCACCCAGCTCCTCACAGCTTTGGGGCCCCCTGGGGTTCCAGACAGCTACCAGGAGCAAGGCCAGGACACCTGGGCCTCAGCCCTGGACACCTGCCCCGGCCTCCAGCCCCAGCTTCACCCCACAGCCTGCAGGTAGTTAACGCTTCACACCCCATCATGGCTGCATGGGGCTGCTGTGCTGCAGACCTTTCCTGGGAAGCCCACGGCCATGCAGCTCTTCCTTCTTTCAGAACCCACTCTCAAGGCCAGGATGGTGGGGGTCTCTGGGCACCTACCTGGCCCTTGCCAACTGGTCTCATGCCCATGTGTCTCCCCTCTTCAGGTTGGTGGGGCTGAAGTGCCCGAGCGAGCCTGTGCTTCCGAGGAGGTGCCCACCCTGACCTATGAGGAGCGGGTTGGCTTCAAGAAGTCCCGAGATGTGTTTGGCCTGGACTTTGGCACCACCTCAGCCAAGCAGCCCACCCAGCCTGCCTCGGAGGTACAGGCTGGGATCCTCATTAAGACTCCATCACCCCCTGAAACAGGTCCTGTGATCAACACCTCTCACACATGGGGAGACTGAGGCCCCGAGAAATACTTGCTTGGGGTCACACCACAAAGGGGGTACAGGGCCAAGGGCCCTCACCCTGCTGGCCAGGCTGCAGCTTTCTGGGGTGGGTGCCACACACTGGCCCAAGTGCCCTGACCACTCTGAGGGTCTCCATGGCCCGTCATGCCCCACTCGCCTACATGGGTACCAGGTCCCACCTGTGTCTGTACCCAGGGGCCCTCATCCCTTGGGGACCCTGCCCCCTGGCCCTTCATGGCCATGAGGTGCCGCATCCTTGCCTTACCTGGCTGCACCAGCCGCACTGTGGAGGCTCTGCTCCCCCACCATTCCACCCTGCCTTCTTGTCCCCCAGCTGCCCAGTGGGAGGCTCTTCCACGCGGCTGCTGTCATCTCGGACGCCATGTACATCTTCGGGGGCACGGTGGACAACAACATCCGCAGCGGGGAGATGTACAGGTTCCAGGTGTGGGGCCTGTGGGCCTGTAGAGCCGGCTGGGTGGACGGATCCCCCGTGATGAGAAACTGAGGCCAAGTTGGGGGGCAGGGCTTATCCAGGCCATTGCCAGGGCCACACCTGGCAGGATGGAAGCCTTGGGAGGAGCCCTGTGGGCTGAGGGTGGGCTGAGGTGGCACTAAAGTGGGCAGCCTTCGTGCAGTGGGGCAGGCAGATGGTGCTGGGGCTCACGGCAGAGTCAGTGGAGGGAGCCGGGCCAAGCTGGGCTCAGCACCAGAGCCTCACAGGCATCATAGCCTGGCCCAGGGCAGAGCCAGGGCCGACAGTGGCTTGCGTTGACAGCCCCTTCCCAGGCCTGGAGGAGCAGGTGGTCAGGGCAGGGACTCACAGCCACAGTGAGGTCAGGGCCAGCTTCCTGGAGGAGGTTGGGATGTGCTGGTGGGGGCCAGTGTGAGGACGCAGGTCCAGGCAGAGTGGAGACGGCAGAGCTCTGCTGAGGCCTGGGGCCCAGCCGAAGGCAAGAGAGGCAGGGGAGCCCTTTCCTGCTGTGGAGCCGGCCGTGGACAGTTGCAGGTGCTGAGGCTGGAGCCAGGCTGTATTTTCAGGGTGGGGTAGCGGCTGCTTCCTCTCCTCAGCCAGGCCCACCTGCCTCCTGGGCCCTGAGGGTCAGCATGGGCCAGGTGGGGACCTCAGGGTCGGCCTGCACAGCCACACTGGGGCCACCCTGCTGTCTGCAACATCTAGTCTCACTGGGCCCCTCTTGCAGTTCTCCTGTTACCCTAAATGCACGCTGCACGAGGACTACGGGCGGCTGTGGGAGAGCCGCCAGTTCTGCGACGTGGAGTTCGTGCTGGGTGAGGTGGGTGCCTGTCCTCGCACCCTGCTCTGCCTGCTGTGCCTGGGCAGTGGGAATTTCGCCCCTCAGAAAAACAGCTGCTGGCCTGGTGGTGCTGACCTTGGCTGGCTGGGTCTCTGTTCTCTGGGGCGAGGGTCCTGTGCCCTCTGCCAGTGCATCATTCTTTGTGCAGAAGGAGGAGTGCGTGCAGGGCCACGTAGCCATTGTCACAGCGCGGAGCCGCTGGCTTCGCAGGAAGATCACGCAGGCGCGGGAGAGGCTGGCCCAGGTGAGGTGCCTAACCGCCCTGCCCTGACCTGGCAGCCATGCCTGGTGTCCACTGGGGTGTCCTTGAGCTCCCTTCTCCCCACAGAAGCTGGAGCAGGAGGCCGCCCCAGTTCCCAGGGAGGCCCCCGGCGTGGCTGCTGGTGGGGCCCGGCCGCCCCTGCTGCACGTGGCCATCCGGGAGGCCGAGGCCCGGCCCTTCGAGGTGCTCATGCAGTTCCTCTACACCGACAAGATCAAATACCCACGGAAAGGTCCGCCTGGGTGGGGGTGGAGCAGGGTTGGTGTGGGCTGGGGTGCGGGCAGCAGAGCCAAAAGGTGGGTGCTGCCAGCCCTGCCTTACTGATGGGCCCCCTGAGGCTCAGAGGCTGCAGGTCACCCTCCTTACCCATGATCACTGCAGCTGGACGCCATCTGAGTCCCCCGAGGCCTTGTTCCTACCTAGTGGCCCCAGCCCACACTCTTCCATGGGGGGAGCCCTGCGCCCTGTGCCCTGCCCTCCCCTCTCCGGCTCCCTGAGATTCGGGGGCTCTGGGGCGCAGGCCATGTGGAGGATGTGCTGCTCATCATGGATGTGTACAAACTGGCACTGAGCTTCCAGTTGTGCCGCCTGGAGCAGCTGTGCCGCCAGTACATCGAGGCCTCCGTGGACCTGCAGAACGTGCTGGTTGTGTGCGAGAGTGCCGCCCGGCTGCAGCTGAGCCAACTCAAGGTGTGGGGTGGGGTCAGCGCAATCAGGGTTGGGTGGGGTGTGCTCAGGCTTAGGCCCCCTCCCTGCCCACCACTGTGAGCCCCTCGCCCAGCCTGGGGCCCTGGCTTGACTCTGCCTGCCTGCCTGTGCCTGTCTGCCCCAGGAGCACTGCCTGAACTTCGTGGTAAAGGAGTCCCACTTCAACCAGGTGATCATGATGAAGGAGTTCGAGCGCCTCTCCTCTCCACTGATAGTGGAGATTGTGCGGCGGAAGCAGCAGCCGCCCCCTCGCACTCCCTTGGACCAGCCAGTGGACATTGGTAGGGAGCCCCGTTCCCCTTCCCTGGGGGCTGGGAGGGATGGTGTTCATCTGCGGTAGGAGATTGGGAGCCATGGAGAGCACCTGCCAGGCCCTCGGGGTGGGGGTGGGTGCCATGGGACCCCAGAGTGCTCTCCTGGGTACAGGGAGGAAACAGATGAAGGCAGAAGCCCCCGACCCATGGGGCTTGCCACAGTGGGCTGTGTCCTGGTGACCTGGGATTTCCTGAGCCAATTTCTGGGGGTGGACATGGGGCACCTCTTTCGGGCTAGGATGTCAGGTCTGATGGCCCAGGGTCACGGTGATCAGTCTCTGGACTTCTCTTTGCTTGTAATGTCACAGGCCCCTTCATTCCCCCAGCTCTCCCTGGGGCTTGTGCTGACCCCGGTTGCTGGCTCTTGGTGATGTCTGCAGGCACCAGAGGCCATGCAGTGGGCCTGGAGGGGGCTTGATCATGAGGTCAGCGAGGGGGTACAGCAAGCTGGGTGGAAGATGAGACGCTGGGTGGTGGGCTGTGCGTGGGGCATAGTGCTTGAGTCGGCCAGGGCGCCGAGGGAGGACAGAATGTGGCTGATGGTACCTCAGGGCGAGTGAGGCCTTCTGCCTGGGTGAAGTTTTGTTCAGGGCAGCAACATGGGCAGATATGCAGGAAGGTAGTGCCGTGGGGCCCCAAGGCCAGAATCCCAGGCTGTACCTGCTCAGGGACCCTCCTACCCCCAGGCACATCTCTGATCCAGGACATGAAGGCATACCTGGAGGGAGCGGGCGCGGAATTCTGTGACATCACTCTGTTGCTTGACGGGCACCCACGGCCAGCCCACAAGGCTATCCTGGCCGCCCGCTCCAGGTGGGTGGGGGCTGGACAGGAGGGGAGGGTGGGCCTGGATGGTGTCTTCGTTCTGCTGACGGCCAGGTGCCTACCGCTCGTTGTCTGCAGCTACTTTGAAGCCATGTTCCGGTCCTTCATGCCCGAAGATGGGCAGGTGAACATCTCCATCGGGGAGATGGTGCCCAGCAGGCAGGCCTTCGAGTCCATGCTGCGCTACATCTACTACGGCGAGGTCAACATGCCGCCCGAGGACTCGCTGCATCCTCACTCCCCAGTGAACTCCCAGGTCCCCACCAAGGGGTCCTGGCACCCACCTCAGGTGGCTTTGAGGCCCGCTCTCCTGCCCCAGCTAGGTGATCTGGGCCCAGCGCCTCCCTCCAGAGGGTTTGCTGGTGCCTGGGGCTGGGCCTGGTGCTCTCTGAAGCAGTTGGCAGCTGGCAAGGAGGGGTTTGCAGCCAGGAGGAACCAGTGGGTTCCTGACCCTCACAACTGCCCAGAGGACGGGGTGGGTCATTGCTTTGTGTGACAGTTGAGCACAGACATGGAGGTACTCCTTATGTCACTTCAGTAGGGGTCTGAACATGGAGGGTCAGGATGCCTGTTAGGCCTGCAAGGCCATGGAACAGCGCTACAGATGTACAGACACTATTTTTCTCGGGAGGGGATTCATGGTTTTCTTTGGATCCTGAATGGGGCCTTTGACCCACTAAGTAGTTCAGAATCCATTTGGAGAGCATGCTGGCGTGGGGGCTTGGGGCTCCAGCTGCGCCCTTCCCTGTCCTTCCCTGGGAGGGTGCGGGCGGACCAGCTTCCTTTAGTCAGCTCCTTAACCAGGCCCCAGCTACTTGTTTGCGGCCCCCTACTACTACGGCTTCTACAACAACCGGCTGCAGGCGTACTGCAAGCAGAACCTGGAGATGAACGTGACGGTGCAGAACGTGCTGCAGGTAGCCCCCCAGCCCCGTGCACATGGCTGCAGCTCCCACTGAGTGGGTGAAAGGGGCAGCGCCTCAAGGTCCCTGCCATTGCAGATCCTGGAGGCAGCTGACAAAACGCAGGCACTGGACATGAAGCGGCACTGCCTGCACATCATTGTGCACCAGTTCACCAAGGTCAGGGCTCTGGCCTCCCCTTCAGGACTCGCTTCCCCTTGGCAGTGGCCATGCCCAGGCAGGGAGGGTGCCCAGGCTCTGTGGTCCCCTGCAGTGGTGGGCCCTGGGGGTGAGAGAAGCAGAGCAGCCCATCACTGGCCGCACCTTGCTTCATCCTTGGGACCAGCCTGAGCCCTGAGCAGGGTAGGCCCCACAGGGCTCCACTGCCCACCATGGCCCTTAGGTGGATCTGGTCCCATCTCCTTCCGGCCTGCTTGCCTTACAGGTCTCCAAGTTGCCCACCCTGCGGTCGCTGAGCCAGCAGCTGCTGCTGGACATCATAGACTCCCTGGCCTCCCACATCTCAGACAAGCAGTGCGCAGAGCTGGGCGCCGACATCTGAGGCCCTGTGGCGCCTGCCCATTGTGAAGAATCGCCGTGCCTGCCTGCCCTGCCTACTGAGAAGACTACCGGCTATGCGCATGCCTATGGCAGTGGGTGCACCTGCCAGGCCAAGGGTCAGGGTGCCCAGAGCCTCCAAAGAGAGCTGAGGGGATGTGGGGCCCCAAACTCATTAATTCACTGAAGACACAGGTCCCACAGGGAGCGGATGATGAAGCAGACCCCCTCCTGTCATCACCCTCTCCTGGTGTAGTGTGGATGCGAGGCCACGGCTCAGTGATGGGCTCACCACCCAGAAGTGGGGAGAGACTTTGGGCCTCCCACCCAGTGGGGCTTGGCCTGGCTTCTGTGGCCTGGGCGTGTTGTGGACTCAGGCACTGGGGCCTGTCACCAAGGCTCCTCCAACATGCGGGAGGAGGCTTAGCAGACTTGCGCTGCACCAGCGAATCTGCCTGGGCTGCTCCTGTCCCACCCACCCTCACTGAGATCCATGTAAGGGGCTCCTCTTCCCACCTGGAACTTGTGAGTGGGGACCCATGATGTATGGGTCTCACCTGACTTGAGGTGAATTTTGGAGTGAAGGGCCCTGAGGTCAGCTCCCAGGTCGGTCGTGCTGGGCCAGGCCTGGTTTTCACAGGGGCTGAAGGATCCCAGTCCACCTGTGTGCATGTCAGGGCTCGGCCGGGAAGAAGCCAGCAAAGTCCCCCGTGTCCCTTGCTGAGTATTCTGTCACAGACAAGCCTCCATTAAAGCCACAGCAGTGCTACCCACCACACACACCTTGCTGGCCCGGCCACCACTGCTGGCTTCAGCCCCTTGAGCAGCCCATGGCTTAGCAGACCCCCAGATGTAGGTCAGTGGCCTTACCTGTCTCTATCCATGCTGTCAACTCCTGCCTCCACCTGGGGTCACCCAGTCACATTGGGAAGGGCTGTGAAGGCCTCCAGGCTGGCCCCTTCCAGGGGAATCCTGGAGGCCTGGGGTGGGCTCCTGCCCCTTCTGCCCTGCCTTGCCCCTGCACTATGCTCTTGGCTCCTGTGGAAGGAGGGCTGCCCTCTTGCCCTAGTGAGGGCCCCATGTGGATCCACTCTAGTGCTGGGAGCCAGCGCTCCCTTACTGGGAACAGGATTCCAGGACCCCTTTCTTGTTGTGGCTGCCATGAAGCCACAGCTCCTTGGGGAAGTGACCTGCTCTCCTTTGGGTGTATGCAGGTGTGTGGGGGGCCCTGAGTGGCAAGTTGCTTAGCTAACAGGAGATCCATAGGCAGCCTGCAGGCTAGGAAGTGGCCTAGTGCAAGATGAGCTGGGAACAAGGGAGGAGAGAGCAGGAGCTGGGGCAGAGGCTGAGCCGGGAGGCCCTTGAGGTGAGGACACAGCAGGCCCAGGACCATGGCTGGGGAGGATATGTCAGCACCTGGAAGTGGAGTGCAGGCTGCAGCGCCCAGCCATGTGGGCCAGGTGCATTCACTCAGAGTGGGGCCACACACCCATCTACCCAGTTTCCACAAGATGTGGCTCCTGCCACACCCACAGGGCAGCCTCCTCCAAATCCCTCCTGGAGGGGCCTACCCAGAAGCCTCCTTGAACCAGTCTGCAACCCTGCTCTATGCTGACCCTTGTCACTGAACCCTGATCTAGACTTATATGAATAAATGAAATTACATGCCAAGGGCCCTAAAAAGCAAATTTTACGAAATTGTGTGGCAGTTTCTGGGACTAGAATGAATTTCATTTGTGCTCCTCGGCAGGGAGAGGCCATACTTGCAGTGAGTCACCCCAAGACGGAGCTGTTTGAGAACTGCAGCTGCAGCAAGGCCTTCCAGGTTCCTGGGAGTTGAAGGAAAAGGATGCTGAGGCCAGGACCTGAGTGCTTGTCTCCATGTTCTGGCCACCTCTTCCTAGATTTCCAGGGACTAGCTTGTTGGGGCTTTACTACCTGCTGACATGACCCAGGAGGTTGATGATTGTCATCATCATCCCCGTTTTTCAAATAGAGATGGTAGTGAAGGGGGCGGGGAGAGGGTTGTCCAGCTTACCCACCAGGCTGATGGGGCCTGTGGACAGAAGCCTGTCATGCTCCTGCTTGAGAACCGGATCTAGACTGGGTTTTAGAAGTGTTCTCAAAGGGGCTGGCTGGTTTAAGTCAGGGCTGTTTCAGATCCTATGGAAAGGGCGCCTGGAGCTGTCTTCCTGGCCCCTACTCACACCATCCTGCCCCTTCAGAGAACCCTGTGGGGCACGGAGCTGCGCTAGCAGGGCTGACTGCCACCTGTCTACCAGTAGCTCTGAGGGGTGAGAGCCAGGCTCCCTGTTCTCCTTGGCAAAGAGCTTGGACTGAGCCCTCTAGGAGCTGCAGCCACTGTCTGGGGCAGCAAGCTTAGTACTCAGAGGGGCTCCAGCCCCCAGCTGAGCCAGACAGCAGGCCCTCCGTCTAGAATCCGCTTTATTATGGCACCTGGTGGGTCTGGTGGGATCTGAGGGAGGAAGAGGCTGCAGTCTTGCTGGGCAGCCCCTCGGTCAGTCCAGCAGCCCCTCAGGCCATGCTGCTGCTCAGCTGCATGGCAAAGTCCTGCACATGCTCCTTCAGAGTCTGGCGGGCATCTGCCTGTGCCCGCTTCTCCCGTGCCCGCTCCTGCTGCAGCTTGGTCAGTCTCAACCGCAGCCGCTGCTCCCGCCGCTTGCAGGCCTGCAGCTGGCGCTGGGCCTTGTCAAGGGCATCAAGGGCTGCCTCGGCTCGCCGCTTCCAGAGTAAGGCGCTGCCCACCTGGTAGCTGTGTTCATTCTGGATGTAGGCTCCGGCGGGTGGGGGCAGGCGCAGCATATACGCTGAGGGGGAGACTGGCCGTGGTTCGAGAGGGGAGGGCTGCCGCTCTGGTGAAGGCTGGGCGCTGCAGCCTGCTTCATCTGCCTGGGCACCCAAGGGGCCCAGTAGGTCTGAAAAGGGGCTGCTAAGGCCAGGCTCCAGCCTCCCAGCTGGGGAGGCCGGCAAAGTGGCAGGTGCTGAGGCCTCTTCCACAGGAAAGCAGGTGACATCAGCAGGTGGAGGTGGAGAAAATGGAGTTGTGGGCCCTCGGCCCTCGGAGCAGCTGGTAAGGGGGAAGAGAGAGACTGATGGGCTAGGCTGAGGGCTTGCCAGACCCCCCTCCACCAGCCCACCTGATCCACCCTTAACACCCAAACCCGATCCACAGGTTCTGTGTAGCAAGAACCCTGTCCAGCGAGACTGCTGGCAGACACCCCTAGGGCCCAGTCCCTCAGCCTAGGGGTGGGAGTGGGGCATCCCCCACCCATATCACATACCGCTTCCTGCATCGTCTGAGCCGGCTGACTTCAGCGGGGCCAGGTGGGTAACTGTGTCCTTTGGTCTTGGTTGTCCGGCGCAACTTGGAGAAAGACTCAAATATGGTGGGGACTGCCCCCTCCTTTAGCCTGTGATATCCACTGCGGGGAAAAGCAACCCAGATGAGCTGGAGAGCAAGTGCTGCCTCCCCAGGCCAATCTGCCCCCAGCAGCAGCGCCGTGGGATGCTGGAAGGCATCGTGCAAACAATACGTCTGGGGAACGCCAAGTTACAGCTACACCAATCGCTTCCCCGCAGGACTCCTCACAGTCCAGGTGTGTGGAAAGCCTGCATAAGCCGAGCTGGGCTGACCAGCCAGAAAGAATTCTTTGATTTGTGGACTTGCTGGCAAGACTGGGGCTCTGAAAGATACTCTCTGGAAAGGCTCCTGTTTTCCCCTTGTGTCACAGGCACAGTGATCCTGGGGGTGGGTTTCACTGTGCAGAGCTGGGAACAGGAAACAGCCCCCTTGGACGCAGGCTGCTCAAGGGACTTCCATGACCTGCAGCTGTCCCAGTCCGCCGGGAGCCCCACATCCTACCCCAGCGTCGGCCGGCAGGGAGGCCCACCTGATTCCCACCAGCTCAAAGCAGTCCTCCTCAAAGTGTTTGGAGCAGAAGTAGATGTACTCGGATGCCGGGTCCCACAGGCCCTGGCCGCTGGGGTCCAGCCGCTGGCAGTTGGCCAGCCACAAGCCTCGCCTCGGGTTGTCCTTCTTGGGAAGTCTGTGGAGCCACAAACCCGTGAGCACCAGGCTGTCCACAGCCCTGGGCTCATGCTGCCCAAGCACCCCAGAGGGGAAACGCAGACCCAACACGCGCCGCCACGAGACCTCCCTGCGACCCCGCCGGGTAAGCACCACCGCCCGGGCACAGACGAGGCAACGGAGGCCTCGAGAAGAAAAGCAGTTTCCTCAGCGTCATCTGGCAGGTAACAGAGTGGGGCGGGTCCAAGCCGGCTAGACTTCCCGTCCTCCCCTTCCCGACTGCATTCAGTCCCGCCGGGACCGTTCCGCTTCACCTCCCACCCACAGGTTCAAGCCTCCTCAGTATCTGAGAAAGGCGCGAAGCCTCTACGCAGTTGCGACCCGAGGCGAGCAACAACTAGCGCATGCGCACGTGAGCCCGCGGCGCACGCGCGCTGACCTGTGGAAGGAGATGCCGCGGTTGCGCGTCTCGCGCGTGTCCCGTGTGCAGCAGCCGGCGGCGGAGCAGTGACGCGGCATCTGGGAAAGAGGCGGGAGTTAAGTCGCAAGCGGCTCTCCGGGCATCCGGAGGAGCCTCGCGCCTCCAGCCGCCGCTCCTCCCCAAGGGGCTCTGGCCTGTCGGGTCCCCCCCGGCCCGTTGTCGCCCCAACCCCGTCCCAGCCGATTCTCTTGACTTCTGTCAGCGGCACTCACGCTCTGGCCATTGCTGCGCCGCCGAAGTCTCGCGAGGGGTAGCGCGCGCCGGAAGTTGGTACCATAGAGACTGGAGAGCCGGAGGTGCCCCCGCCACCGGGGCGGGGCGGGGCGAGGTCCTAGCTAGCTGGGTTAGTAAGCGGCGCGAGCGTGCGAGTTTCTGACGCGCCCGCGTCGTCCCAGCTCCCTGGACTACCAGTATTGTCGCCCACGTGGGCTTCTCTTTCGTCCGCTCAGGCCTCACTTTTCTCCGTAAACACCCCGGCACGATGGAGCGGCCCCAGCGTTCGGGAGCGGCCCGGGAGCGGAAAGCGGCAGTGTCCTGGGAGCCTCGAAAGCCGCAGGGGCGGCAGCTCGCCTCGGAATGACCTCTGACGGAAGAAATAAAACGGGGCCTGGGACGCTTGCACGAAAGAACCCGACAAAAACCAGAGCCCGCACTCACTCTCGTACTGGGGAGGTGGACTTCAGGGAGGGTTATCTGGAGGAGGAATCTCTCAAAGTACAACACAGGAGAAAGACAGTATCGCAATACAGAAATTTTATTTTTTATTTTATTATTATTTTCCTGAGACCGGAGTCTCGCTCTGTCGCCCAGGCTGGAGTGCAGTGGCGCGATCTCGGCTCACTGCAAACTCCGCCTCCCGGGTTCACGCCATTCGGCTGCCTCACCCTCCACAGTAGCTGGGACTACAAGCGCCCGCCACCACGCCCGGCTAATTTGCAATACGGAAATTTTAATAGGTAATTAGCTCTCCTAGCGTTATGGTGGGGAATACAGAGGGATGGTTGCCTGCCGCACCCTCCCCTCACTATTCTTCGCCTTCTTCAGCCTCAGCTTCCACGGAATCCATGCCCACATCTTCATAATCCTCCAGAGCTGCCAGATCCTCGCGGGCCTCGGAGAATTCCCCCACTGCCATGCCCTCCCCCACGTACCAGTGCACTAAGGCGCACTTGGCCGAACTTATGGTCCAGGCAGGCCCAGGCCTCCGTGATGGCCGTGGTGTTGCTCAGCATGCACACCGCCCGCTGCACTTTGGCCAGGTCTCCCACAGGGACCACCGTGGGGGGCTGGTAGTTAATGCCCACCTGTCAGAGATGGGCAGCATAGAATGAAGTTTATATTGGCCTCAGAAATGGGAGCTCATTAAAAATCAGAGCTGTGGACCAGTTCCAACACTGTGTTTTAAGAATTGCTTCTATATTTTTTGGCATTATCTGTTATCTATCGACAATTAATATCCTTTGACGACTTTTTTTTTTCTTTTCTTCTCCTTCTTCCTCCTTCTCCTCCTTCTTTGTTGTTGTTGTTGAGACAGGGTCTAGCTCTGTTGCCCAGGCTGGAGTGCAGTGGTGCAATCTCGGCTCACTGCAACCTTTGTCTCCCAGGTTCAAGCAATTCTCCTACCTCAGCGTCCTGAGTAGCTGGGATTATGGGCATGTAAGATGGAGCCCGGAAGACGGAGATTTCAGTGAGCTGAGATTTCGCCACTGCACTCCAGCCTGGGCTACAGAGCGAGACTCTGTCTCAGAAAAAAAAAAAAATTATTACCCATATTACCCATACAGTAAAACACATGAAAAAGAATGAGAACCCTGTCTTGGGATATAAATACATCCAAGGTATATTGTATACTTTGTAAAAAGAAAAGTGAGTTGAAGTCTATGTATTTATGTGTAAAAAAATCCATGTAATAACATACACAGGCTAGAACCTTGGGCAGCTAGGGTAGCATCATGCCGGAGGAGGACAAACGCCTGCTGAGGTGGTGACCCTGCCTTGCCCTGCCAAGCACGTAGCAGTTAGCACCAACTAGATACAGACACACTCCACAGGAGTTGGAAGGGGCAGAGAGAAGGGTTCGTACCCTGATCAGGGAGTGTCCTCCCACAACTCTAAGGCCAAGCCTATCAGCCCTTCCAAGTGGGAGTGCTGCCAGCTTTCTGTTTACTGTGACCACCTGTGTGCAGCAATTGGGTCTGTCACCTACAGGAAAGGGACATACATATCTGCTGGCCACTGTCAACATCACCTGTATAACAAGAGATTAATATGCCTTGAATATGTACAGAATGTTTTTCAAAGGACAGAAGCAGCTCTGGGGAAGAAGAGGACTTCAGCTTTTCAGTCTTCTGCATTCTTTCAGTATTTTGCCACATATCAGGTTTTGTTTTGTTTTTGAGACAGGGTCTCACTCTGTCACCCAGCCTTGAGTGCAGTGGTGTGATCTTGGCTCACTGCAACCTCTGCCTCCTGGGTTCAAGCGATTTTCCCACTTTAAGTGATCCGCCTGCATCAGCCTCCCAAAGTATTGGGATTACAGGTGTGAGCCACCGCGCCCGGCCCATATCAAGTTTTTTTTTTTTTTTTTTTTTTTTTTTTTTTTTTTTTTTTTTTTTTGAGATGGAGTCTTGCTCTGTCATTCAGGCTGGAGTGCAGTGGCACAATCTCGGCTCACTGCAACCTCCACCTCCTGGGTTCAAGCAATTCTCCTGCCTCAGCCTCCAGAGTAGCTGGAATTACAGGCAACCGCCACCATGCCTGACTAATTTTTGTATTTTTAGTAGAGATAGGGTTTCACCATGTTGGCCAGGCTGGTCTTGAACTCCTGACCTCCGGTGATCCGCCTACCTTGGCCTCCCAGAATGCTGGGATTATAGGCGTGAGCCACTGACCGCACCCAGCTTTTTTTTTTTTTTTTTTTTTGAGATGGGTTTTGCTCTGTCGCCCAGGTTAGAGTGAAGTACAATGGTGCCATCTTGGCTCACTGCAGCCTCAACCTCCCGGGCTTAAGCAGTCCTCCTGTCTCAGCCTCCTGAGTAGCTAGCACTACAGGAAATGTGCCACCATGCCCAGCTAATTTTTTATTTTTTGTAGAGACAGGTTTTGCCACGTTGCCCAGGCTGGTCTCAAAGTCCTGGGCTCAAGCCATCCACCCAATGGATTACAGGTGTGAGACACTGTGCCTGGCCAACATAAGTACTTTTATAATAAAAAACCCAAATGTTCGTATTTTTTTTTCTAAGGGTCTTGTTCTGTCACCCAGGCTGGAGTGCAGTGGCGCAGTCATGGCTCACTGCAACATCTGCCTCCCAGTCTCAGGTGATCCTCCTACCTCAGCCTCCCAAGTAACTGGAACTATAGGTGTGTGCCATCACACCCGGCTAATTTTTTGTATTTTGTGTAGAGATGGGGTTTCACCATGTTCCCCCAATGGATCCTGAACTCCTGGACTCAAGCTTTTTTTTTTTTTTTTGGTGAGAGAGGGTCTCACTTGGTCACCCAGCCTGGAGTGCAGTGGTGCAATCTTGGCTCACTGCAACCTCCACCTCCTAGGCTCAAGTGATCCTCCCACCTCAGCCTTCCAAGTAGCTATAAGTGCGTGGCATCATGCCCGGCTAATTTTTTGTATTTTTGGTAGAGATGAGGTTTCACCATGTTGCCTAGGCTGGTCTCGAACTCCTAAGCTCAGGTGATCCACCGACCTCAGCCTCCCAAAGTGTTGGGATTACAGGCATGAGCCACTCGGTCCAGCCCCCAAATGTTTTTAAGCATGGAAAAGACTCTTCGAAAATAGCATATCCGAAGCTGGGTGCAGTGACTCACGCCTGTGATTCCAGCACTTCGGGAGGCCAAGGCGGTTGGATCACTTGAGTTCAGGAGCTCGAGACCAGCTTAGCCAACATGGTGAAACCCTGTGTCTACCAAAAATACAAAAATTAGCCAGGCTTGGTGGCGCATGCCTGTAATTCCAGCTGCTTGAGAGGCTGAGACAGGAGAATTGCTTGAACCTGGGAGGCGGAGGTTGCAGTGTGTTCCATTGTACTCCAGCCTGGGTGACAGGGCGAGACTCCATCTCAAACAAACAAACAAAAAAAAAGCAAATGGTTGTTAAAGAATGTATGGTTGGCTGGGTGCGGTGGCTCACACCTGTAATCCCAGCATTTTGGGAGGCCAAGGCGGATGGATCAACTGAGGTCAGGAGTTCAAGACCAGCCTGCCCAACACGGTGAAACCTCATCTCTACTAAAAATACAAAAAATTGGTCAGGCGTGGTGGCTCATGCCTGTAATCCCAGCACTTTGGGAGGCCGAGGCGGGCGGATCACTAGGTCAGGAGATCAAGACCATCCTGGCTAACACGGTGAAACCCCGGCTCTACTAAAAAATAAAAAAAAAAAAAAAAAAAACGTTAGCCAGGCGCGATGGCGGGCACCTGTAGTCCCAGCTACTCGGGAGGCTGAAGCAGGAGAATGGCATGAACCCCGGAGGCGGAGCTTGCAGTGAGCTGAGATTGTGCCACTGCACTCCAGCCTGGGCGACAGAGCAAGACTCTGTCTCAAAAAAAAAAAAAAAAAATAGCCAGGCATGGTGGCGGGCGCCTGTAATCCCAGCTACTCAGGAGGCTGAGTCAGGAGAATTGCTTGAACCGGGGAGGCAGAGGCTGCAGTGAGCCGAGATCACATCACTGCACTCCAGCCTGAGTGACAAGAGTGAAACTCCGTCTCAAAACAAACAAACAAACAAGAATGTATGGTAAATCACACTAAGACTGACAAAAAGGAACTTAAGAGCAAAGAGAATTAATTCAACAAGGTCCATCTAAGGCTGGACTATCTTCTGGGGGGAGGAGAGGCTGTGACTTTATCTCCCCACAGACTAGCCTCCCTACTGTCTCACAATACTTAGTTACAATAGGAAACCTCTGCACAGCATAGCATCTCCCACAGTGCCTGCCAGCTAAGGATGTCTTCACCTTCCAAATGTAACACTAATTGAAAGAAAAATTCCTCTACTCAAGTTGAGAGGCTTAATAATTAGACACAGAATGGAGGGTTTCACCTCCTACCTGTAACATCTTACATCTAAGGTCTGTAATCCTCCTATGTAACATGTAATGAACATTCCAGGTTGGTGTAACTGTTGTAGATTTTACCCTTCTTTTTCCTCTTTTTTTTTTTTTTTTTTTTTTTTGAGACAGTCACGCTCTGTTGCCCAGGTTGGAGTACAGTGGTGATCTTGGCTCACTGCAATCTCTGCCTCCCTGTCTCAAGCGATCCTCCCACCTCCACCTCCCCATTAGCTATGACTGCAGGCATGCACAACCATACCTGGATAATTTTTATATCTTTTGTAGAGACAGGGTCGCACTATGTTGCCCAGGCTGGTCTTGAACTCCTGGGTTCAAGCAATCTTCTCACCTGGGCTTCTCAAAGTGCTGGGATTACAGGCATGTGTCACTGAGCCTGGCCGATTTTACCCTGTTCTATGAATCACTTTAAATCTGTCAACTTAAAGATGGTTTGCATCAACGTGAGATGAAAAAGAGAGATGATCTGTGTCAAGGTGTTGTAAAGTGGCTGAGAGAGGGCCAGACAGATTCAAGAAGTTGTGTGCGTTCAGAGGCAAGTTATGGCCATTCCACATGGGAAAAAGAAGACACATACCTGTGACTTTCTCATATCATTTCAATCTGGAATGATCCTGGAACTTGCAACTCCTCAAACACCTTCAGAACTCATTGAGACTTATAAATGTGGGATCTATAGCTTTGCCTAATGTGGGAAACCACTGTAGACAGGGGCTCTTAACTAACCATAGGGCACAAAGTTGACCAACACAGGTGTGGTGAGGCATTTAGCCTAGTCATCACAACAGATCTTCGAGCCTGACATTCTGTTATTTGGCTTCCAAATACATGGTACTTTTCTTTTGGTAGACAACTGACTGTAAGCATAGCTAAAGGAGCACCAAATCATCAGTCTGATTGTGTGTGAGGCAGAGGTCTCTGCTTGGTTTGGAGAAAGGGCAAAGACCTGCCTTTGGTCTTCACAGTAAACACTGCACAATATATTTAAAAATCTTTACAGAAATATTAGTGTTGCCCAAAATTCAGTGACAACAGGTGACCAAGATGATGTAAAGTGTAAAAACCACTATTTATAACACAAAAAATGATAACATAGAACCTGACAAATTACTAAAGTGAGCAGTGGAGTAATGTGGAGGACAGACCAGGACCTGCAGTCAGATAATCTCTGATTTCTCTCTGCATCACTTGCTGCCTGTGAGGCTCCAGACACCTAAAGCTATCTCAGCCTTTGTTTTCTTTTCTTTTTTCTTTTTCTTTCTTTTTTTTTTTTTTGAGATGTAGTCTCGCTCTGTTGCCCAGGCTGGAGTGCAGTGGTGCAATCTCGACTCACTGCAAGCTCTGCCTCCCGGGTTCACGCCATCCTCCTGCCTCAGCCTCCCGAATAGCTGGGACCACAGGTGTCTGCCACCACACCCGGCTAATTTTTTGTATTTTTTAGTAGAGCCGGGGTTTCACCGTGTTAGCCAGGATGGTCTCAATCTCCTGACCTCGTGATCTGCCTGCCTTGGCCTCCCAAAGTGCTGGGATTACAGGCATGAGCCACCGTGCCCAGCCTCAGCCTCTGTTTTCTAAAGTGTAAGATACTGGTAATATTGCCCCATGAACTTTAAAGGGTAGTGGTTAAGGTATGAGGGAACATAAAGTATTTGGTAAAGTATAAGGCGGTAGGAAATAAATTACTAAAATTATTATCCTTGCAACCTAGCTGACGTGAAAAGGGGTTGTCTCCATAAAGGATGCGGGCCTTCAGGGGCAGCATTATTCTGCAGGTCTCCTGCTTCCTGATGGCACAAGGACTCCACATCACCCAGTCCTACCTTAAATCCAATCGGACACCAGTCCACAAACTGGTTGGTGTGCTTGCTCTTGATGGTGGCGACAGCCGCACTGACATCTTTCAGGACCACATCCCCTCTGTACAACATGCAGCAGGCCATGTACTTGCCATGGTGAGGGTCACACTTGACCATCTGATTGGCTGGCTCGAAGCGGGCACTGGCGATCTTGGCCACGGACAGCTGCTCATGGTAGGCCTTCTTGGCTGAGATGACCAGGGCGTAGGTGGCCAGGGGGAGGTGGATGTGGGGGTATGGCACCAAGTTGGTTTGGAATTCTGTCAAGTACACATTCAGGGCCCCATCGAATCACAGGGAGGCCGTGATGGAGGACACGATCTGCCCAGACGACTGAGGTTGGTGTACATGGGACACTCGATGTCCAGGTTGTGCTGACATGTCATAGGTGGCTTTGCTGTCGACTATGAAGGCACAGTCAGAATGTTCCAGGGTCGTGTAGGTGGTCAGGATGGAGTTGTAGGGCTCCGTCATGGCCATGGAGACCTGGGGGGCTGGGCAAATGGCAAACTCCAGCTTGGACTTCTTCCCGTAGTCCACCGAGAGCCGCTTCATGAGCAGAGACACGAACCCAGAGCCAGTGCCGCCCCCAAAGCTGTGGAAGATGAGGAAGCCCTGCAGTCCCATGCACAGATCTGCCTGAGAGAAACCAGACAACGTAAGCCAATGCCCGTGGGAGCCACACCACCAACCTCCACCAAGCCGGGGCCACTTCTCTTTGCCTCTGAGAGTTGATACGGATTCAGACCATCCATAATGAACACGCATCACACTTTGAAGCAGAGAAAAGCAGACAATACAGATCTATGCACAAATCACCACGCACACTTCACAGTAAGACGTTGCAGAGGTCTAGGAAGGCTGGTTTGAAGAAATACACAGAAGAAAAACGGATGGACTAACCAGAGCGCTCAGCCAGCCTGCTGGACTGGCACCCGTGGCTACAGACACTCTTGTTTAGCACCATGGAGAGCTCCCTGCACAGAAGCAAGGACTCAGGGCATTGCCCCCTCTCTACCTGAGAACTAGACTCAGCGCCCAGCACTGGATTTGATAATACAGGTACTCAAATACATGTGCTTTCCTCTTTACTCAGACACTTCTAGGGCTGGCAGGGTCAGACAGTAATCCCCCACTTTGTGGGGAGGCCCTGTTTTTGCTGAACAGCTCAAGGGCAGGAAGATTCTTTCTTCCACACACCCCTGCAACTGCCAATACTTGTTCTGTGTGACCCTTGCAGCCATCCTATGCGGTAGGTGCTACCATTGCCATGGATCAAGTGGGGACGCACAGATCCAAGCTCCTTCACCTCTCAAGGGAGTTGGGCCCTCCCACAGATCTCTTGGAGGAAAAAAATGGCCTTGCTGGGCCTGTCGATTTCCAGTCCCCACCCACCTCCCTCATGTACATGTGTCTGTTTGTGAAACCTTCATAGCACCTTAGCTTCCAGGCCCTCCATCCCGGCTGCCTCTCTGGCACTTGCCCTTTTACTGTGCGGGTCCAAAGAGACACCTATGTTCAGTTTGTCAAAGTCTGAAATAAGCCTGTCTTTTAATTTCACTGACTCCCAGTAGTAATTTTTTTAGAAGACAAACTGCTTCTCTGGCAGTTACACTCCAGGGCCAATTCTCAAAGGCCAAGTCTGGTGCCACCCCACTCCCTCTAAGCTGCTTGAGCCAGATGAGAGCTTCTGAAATGCTGCAGAAAAGAGCTCTCCTGGGGCATCCATTAAAATGCAGATTCACTGGCATTCCCCTAAGAGTTTGGTTCAGCAGGTCCAGGGTCAACATCTGCATGCCTCACCCAGGGTCACAGGTGATTGTTACTATTATTGGACCATTTGAGGAGAGGCAGGTAGAAGTGCAAATTCCTGGCAAAGCAAACACTCAGGGGCATGAGAGTGATGAGACCAAGGAATCCCAACCATGTCTTCTACCTCACCTGGAACAAAATCTATACCCTTTTTGCCACGGCCTACAGCCCTGCAGCCCTCTGCCCTCTCCACCCCACAGCCTGGCCACGCTTCCCTGGCTCCCTAGCCTAGGCACACTGCTGTCTGCCAGTCTGGGAAACAGGCCCGCATGCTCACTGTTCCTCTGCTTGAAATGCTCTCCCTCTGATCTTGCCATGGCTGACTCCTTCCCACCCTGCACATTTCAGCTTAAATGTCACCTCACAGAGGCCTCCCCAGCCACCTCTTTAAAGCAGGGGGTCCCCATTCTTCTCTAGAAGCATAAACTATTTGTTTCTTTTGCAGTGCCAATAATTACTCAGAATGATATTGTTAACATTGTCCCTTGAGGTCAGGAACTTGGTTTTGTTCAAGGTGGATCCCTGGTGGCTAAGTCAGTGCCCAGCACATACAGCAGCGCGCAATGAGATATTTGTGGAAGGAATGAAGAGTTCCGTGTGGCTGGAGTGGAAGAGGAGTGGGGCAAGGTGGGGTGTGGGGAGCAGGAACCAGAGCACATGCTCCCTGGCGATGTGCAGCGCGGTCCTGCCAACCCCCACCCATCCCTGCCCCAGGAAGCTGAGCTTTCATGGCCATGGTGCCCTGCGCAGGCATTACCTGCTTGGTCATTCAGCTGGTTGTAGCTCAGGTCCAGGGACTTCAGGTCTGTGTGGGCCAGCAGGAGTTCGGCAAGGTGCTGGGCCGCCTGCTCCTCCAGGCCATTCCCTGACAGCTGCATCTTCCGCATGGCCTGGTTCACTGTGAGGGCGGCACAGAGGGCCTGGGCTCCTGCCACTCCCAGCTGGTTCTCCAACAGGTCCACATCTGGGGGACGGAGCCACTCCTCAGCCAGTGGGATGCAAAGCCAGGTACCACCCCCCTCCCCCCTCTTCTGCCATCCCCCAAACCTCCAGGTCTGAGGCAGAGGAAAAGGACTTACAGGTTAACTGTCCTGGGGTTGCATGGTGGCTCTGGCTCCCAATGGCTGGGTCCCCTCTGCCCCTGACCTCCCCCTCCCTGTGTGCCCACCAGCTTCTGTGTCAAGCGGTTAAAACTGCCTACCTCCTGGTACTGTAGAGACTGCTGTGGTGGGGGGCAGCCACCCCATCAATGATTATGTCTGGCAGTGATATCACCACCCACTTCAGAAGCCCTCACTGCCCCATTGCCAGGATTGGCAATAATAGCCCAGGTGACTGTGCATGGAGCACTTACATGGGTCACACACTCTGCTGATCACTTCAGGAGTGCATTTCACTTCATGCTCACCACAGCCCCAAGCCTATGAGGTCTTGTGGGGGCCATTTCACAGATTGGAAACTGAGCTGCTTTCATAGGTCACCCCGTTTTCTCAGTGGCAGAGACAGCATTTGGATTCAGCTTCAATGAACTCCCACCTTGCCCACCCCTTTCTTGAACTTCCCCGCCCCCAACTCTCTGTGTTGCAGGACTTTCCACTCTGCATTCAGGCACTGGGGAGTCTCCCATGTGCAGGGCAGGGCAGGAGAATGGGTGCCAGCCAACAAGGAAGGAGAGTGGTGGGGTAGGGTGGATGAGGAAGGGACTTGTATCCAGCATCAGCTGCACAGCAGAGGGTCTAACTCCACCCCACATACCCCCTCCTGTGATGAGGCCCCTCCTCTATCCACCAGCAACACCAGCAGGACCCAGGTGACATGGCCCAGCTTTCAGGGGTGGAGGCACATCCCTGAGGAAAGGGAGGACTCACGCCTGCCCACCTGCCCCAGACCCAGCACCTACCGCAGATGCTGCTGCTTTTGCTCAGGGCACCTGCCAGGGCCTCTGTACCTGCCCCATAGAGCCCACTGTCCCAAAAGTTCAGCCACTTGACATATGGATTGGAGCTCAATGAGGAAGCCAGAGACCGGCGCCCTGGGACAGACAGAGCAAACACACTGGCCACTATCCTGGCTCATGCTCCAGGGCTCAGCCCGCTCCACGTCCCCCACCTGGAAAGTACCCCCCTTTCCACCTGCTTAAGGGACACATGCTTCTCCTTTTAGGCCCCACCTAGGTGTCCCCCACCCCCACCTCTCCCAGAGCCCCCAGCGGGTTAGAAGCCTGAAGGCTCCCCAACCCTTCATGCCATCTGTCATAGCATCAATCCCATCTGTCTCTCAGATGTCGAGGGTAGGGCATGCCTGGCACAGGCAGAAGCTGGGGAGTACAGGGGACAGACTCAGGGGCACTCCCATGGCTGTTGTCTCCCGGGGCCTCTCCCTGTAAGCCTGGACCCAGTGTCCTTCCAGTGGTACCTGGGGCCCCAGGCCACCGTGCAGCAGGTTCAGCTCTGGGGCACTCCCTTGGCACAGAAAGCAGAAGATGGGCACAATGCTATGGATCCAGCAAGACCTCAGGTACAGGGTGTCCCCGACCAGTTCTCCAAGTCCATGGGTGCCTGGTAGGAGACAGGGGGATGAATGTGAACCCCTGCATGGCTATAGCCACCTGCCTCCTCCCCTGCCCTGCATCACTACCTGGCCTATTTTTTGCCTCTAGAAGCACTGCTTCCTATGCTCCTTAGGACCACTGCCCGCATATGACAGATAAGAACATCGAGGCTAAGGCAACGCAAATCTTTTCCTTAAAGTCATACAGCTGTCAAAAGAAAGCTGGACAACCTGGGCAACATAGCGAGATAAAAAATTATTTAAATTAGCCAGATGTGGTAGCCCCCTGTAGTCTCAGCGACTCAGGAGGCTGAGGCAGGAGGCTCACCAGAGTGCAGAGTTCAAGGATGCAGTGAGCTATGATCCTGCCACTGCACTGAAAGCTGGGTGACAGAGCAAGACCCTGGCTCTAATAAATGAATACATAAAGTCTCACAGCTAGTGGTAGCTAATCCTGCCAGAGTCAGGCCTCTACCTGTCTGATGACAAATGGCACACTATGTCTTTTAACCTGATTGCAGACCACAAATGTTTTGTGAATATTTTCCCCAGGGAAAAAACCGGAAGTAGTTCTAAATTCTATACATCCATTATATTAGTTTTACCTGTGGATTGGGAAAACCCAGCTCTGATTGCATTTCAGGGCGGGACAGCCTTTGGTGCACTGTCTGGCGGGATTTTCCATTTTAACCTCCTTCTAGAAGCGCCTTCTCATGGTAAAGTTCCTGATGCCGCCAGGAGCGCCGAGGAGAGGGCAGGGGGCTGGAGACGCCCCGCAGAGGGCTACGTGCCCTGCTGGACAGAGGTCTCCTGCCTCCTCGGCGGCGCCAGCCCACCTCCCACAACCCCTGCGGGAGAAGCCCCCAAGGGGAGGAGACGGGCCTGGCCCCTGCCCCGAGCACCTTCCGTCTCTAGGTCGGAGTCTGAATCGGCCTTGGGACCCTGCTTGGCTTCGGGGACCCCTGCAAGACGTCCACAGGCCGCCGTCGCCTCTTCCTCCTGCTTTTTATCCTCCCCAGACCTCTGGCAGGAACCGCTCATCGTTACGCCCCTTTCGCAGCCTCAGACCCTGAGGCGGAGACCGCTTGGCGCCTCACTTAGAGCGCGACCCGGGGATGTGGGCGGAGTCTGCGGCTGCGCTGACCAATCGAGTGTGGCGTCCATCGACTGGCGTCTGCCACGGCAATTAGCGACGCGCTCCCCCGCGGCGGTCGCCCCGGCAACCCAGTGCTGTAGGTTGCCGTAGAAACCGTGGCTCTCCTGCGCTGAGGCTCCTCGCCTGAGAGGATAAACTGCACGCGCCACGGGCTATGCACTGGGCTGGGCGCCTTGTGGGCATCCTCCCTGCCTTCCTAGGGGGTTCCAGCATCGCCCCCCTTTCGTGGACTGGGAAACACGCCTGACTCCAGGACTTGTGTTGTCCTCACTGCACTGGGGAAGGTGGCGGGGGCAGCTTTTCAGGAGGGCCTGGGGAACTTCGCAGAGCCAGGTCACCCTCTCACTCTGTGCCTCTTAGTTATCTTGCATGCTCTGGTCTTTGCATACGCTGCTCCCTGCACCAGGAACCTCCATCCCCATCTTTGTCTGCTTGTCGAACTTCAGAAATCTGCAAGGGTCAGCTTAGAGGTCACTTCTTCCGGAAGCTTTCCTCAACACCCTCCCCGCCCTGCTGCTGCTGCCCTCAGGCCCTCCTCTCACAGCACTGATAACAGCTGTCCGTCTCCACCCTCCCACCACCTCCACTCCCACCCCAGGAAGTGAGGCCAGAGGGCAGGGACAGAGCTGCTGCTGTTCTCTGTGTGCCAGGGCCCAGCAAAGGGAATGTAGGGAGGGTGGGAGGTGCAGGGCAGCTGGGATTAGGGGTTGAGGGCTGGGTGTTGGAGGCTGGATCTGGATCCTGCTTTAGTGGAAGTGTCCCTTTAACAGCAACTGGCCTGGCCTGGCTCGGGCCCTGCTTTGCCTCCTGTTCAGCTGCGGCTGCAGCTGCCATGCTGACTCATGTGCCCGCAGCTAGCAGGAGCTGGCAGCATGGGCTCCCCAGGGGCTACGACAGGCTGGGGGCTTCTGGATTATAAGACGGAGAAGTATGTGATGACCAGGAACTGGCGGGTGGGCGCCCTGCAGAGGCTGCTGCAGTTTGGGATCGTGGTCTATGTGGTAGGGTAAGAGAGAAGAGCTTTTGGCCAGGCTGGAGGGGCAAGGGAAGAGGTGGGGGGTGGGGCTTGGTCCTGCTGGGTTGAAGTTGAGGGTTGGGCTGTTTAGGGGCTGGAGTGGAAGGGGGCAGATTGGGACGGGGTTGGGGAGAGCTAGGCGATACAAGACAGGAGAGCAAGAACAAGCTGTGTGTTTGTCCTGTGTGTCCACTTGCCTCCTTCCCAGGCCCCCACCCAGGCCCCACCCAGGGGGCACATGACATAGTCCTTAACATCTGTGAGAGCTGGAGCACTAGGCCCCCAGAGAGACCACCAGCTGTATCTCGGGTCAGGAGAGTCTGTAAGGGGGAAGCTGGATCTAGTCAGGCTGGGGGTGGGTGCTGGCTAGTGAAGGTGATTGTCTGAGGGCATTGGCTCTCTGATGCATGGCTGGAGCTTCTGTCTCATTCAGGGGGTCTGGAGTGGGAAGTGGGGCCAGAGAGGAGGTGGGGCCTTCGATGTTGGGCCGGGAGCCTGTAGGGTGTGGGGGGAGAACTGAGCATGTAGGGCTCAGCTCCGCCCCTGTCACTACACGCTGGGGACACACCACACTGCCCGACTTCTCCTCCCCAGGTGGGCTCTCCTCGCCAAAAAAGGCTACCAGGAGCGGGACCTGGAACCCCAGTTTTCCATCATCACCAAACTCAAAGGGGTTTCCGTCACTCAGATCAAGGAGCTTGGAAACCGGCTGTGGGATGTGGCCGACTTCGTGAAGCCACCTCAGGTGGGGGCCCTGATGTTGCTGACGGGGGCGCAAGTCCTTTCCCCACTGACAGCCTGAACACCCGCCATGCAGCCAGTGTGTGCGAGAGAGAAGCATGTGATGCCAGAGACGGCTGCGGGTTCTCAGGAAGGGCTTCACAGAGGAGTGGCACCTGGACAGGACTTTCAGGGATGTGTAGGAGGTTTTGGGGTGGAAAAAGGGGCCACTCAAGAAGCCAGGCCAGGGTTGGACGTGCTGGCTCACGCCTGTAATCCCAGCACTTTGGGAGGCCAAGGCAGGTGGATCACGAGATTGAGAGTATCCTGGCTAACACGGTGAAACCCCATCTCTATTAAAAATACAAAAAATTAGCCGGGCATGGTGGTGGGCGCCTGTAGTCGCAGCTACTCGGGAGGCTGGGGCAGGAGAATGGCATGAACCCGGGAGGTGGAGCTTGCAGTGAGCCGAGATTGCACCACTGCACTCCAGCCTGGGTGGCAAAGCGAGACTCTGTCTCAAAAAAAAAAAAAAAAAAGCCAGGCCAGAGAAACTGCATTTCCAAAGACTGCCAACAGAAAAGAAGGGAGTGTCCAGGACTAATGGCTTGAGCTTGAGAGTGGTGTGAGGTGCTGGGGCATGGAACTTCCCTGTAGCCCTGCTCCCTGACCTGGGGCACTACGGTCAGGTGCTGCTCCTCCCCTCTTCTCGGCTGCGTTTTCCTCCTCCCTCCACCCAGCTCATCCCCAGCCTCAACTGCCACTTCTGCTCCTCTGATGCCCAGGGTGTATTCCCAGTGATCACCTGCCCAGAGCACAGCTGTCTTCTAGGTGCACACCCACATGTCCAAAGATCAATTATTTTCCTCTCCTGGCATGGCCTCTGTGACGCCCACTAGTCATGGTGGCTGTGACATCCACTAGTGCCTCAGCCAGACCCGTGACTCACCCTGGACCCCTTCCTGTCCCTTCCAAGATTTTTCACCACTACCCATGCCATGCCATGCATGAGACTATGGCCTCCTAGAGGGTCCCTAGATGCCCCTCTCGCCTCCTCCCTTACTGCTCGGTGCACACCACGCAGCAGCCAAGCTGAACTTTCACACCAGGCATCATGAGAGCCTGCAGCGCCTGCTTCTACCCTCAGGAATTCCCCCAACCCTGCCCATGACGGTGTCCACACTTTCCTCCCAATCCTAATGGCTGCCACTCCCAGCACCATCTGGCCAGCCCTCACCTTCCCTTCCTGGGCATACATTCCCCAAATTCACAGTGCTCTCACGAGCAGCACTGGAGGGTCAGCCTTTCTTTCCAATGTCCTCGGCCACCCGTTGACCACAGACACAGCTTTCCCTCTTCTCCCTTGGCCCCTGCCATGCCAGTGCTGCTGTGTGTGAGATGGGAGACTCACCTCGTCTCCATCCTGAGCAGGTGCTGGGCCCAGCTCTCCCTTGGATCTTCAGTACTAGAAGCAGCAGGCTGTTGGAATATTCTGGTTGGAGCCAGGCATGGTAGCTGGAGCCTGTAGTCCCAGCTACTTGGGAGGCTGAGGCAGGAGGACCTCTTGAGTCCAGGAGTTAGAGGTTGCAGTGAGCACTGATCACAACACTACACTCCAGCCTGGGTGACGAAGTGTAATCCTGTCTCTAAATACACACATACACATGCACACACACACACAAATTTTGGTTGAGACAAGAGACTTGTCTCAAGAGATGGACATGGGCACAAGGCTTCCTGGTCTCAAAAATGGCCAGAACCACTGCCAGCCTCCCATCTCTGCTTCAGTCTGCCTTACAGGGGGACAGGGTTAATGACTTGATGGGGCCAACATCCCTTCCCTCATAAACCAGGCTGCCGGCTTCCGGCCTTTCCAGTCAACACGAGCCCAGCCAGGCCAACCTTGAGACTTGCCTCCTAGGGAGAGAACGTGTTCTTCTTGGTGACCAACTTCCTTGTGACGCCAGCCCAAGTTCAGGGCAGATGCCCAGAGGTGAGTTTACCCAGGATCCTCCCAGCGGGTCCCTTGTTCCTCCATCAGCCCCAGGGGGCCACCCGTGTTTCCCTTTCCCCTTCCCAGGTGGCTGAAGGCTCAGCCTGTGCTCGGTGTCCCCCAGGCACTGGGCTACATCTTTTCCTGAATCATTATGTTCAGTCTTCACATATCCCCTGCCTGGTAGGAAGTCCTGTGATCCCCATTTCAGAGGAGAAGACTGAGGCTCAGTGAGGTTGAGTCACTTTCTTAAGGCCTCCAGGCCTGTGGGTGACAGGACCCCGAGCTCTGGGCAGCAGCAGTTCCCATGAGGTGTCCAGGCCCTCCCATCCTGGTCCTGCCTCTGGGTACTCTCCAGGTTGGTAGTGTGACACCCAGAGCTGCGCACATGCTCAGGGAGGTTCTAATAGCAAGAGCCAAGCTGGAATATCACCTCCCCTTGTCTGTGCCCAGCCTCTATTAATATGTCCTGAGGCAGCTTTCATCTTTGTGGGCCAACACAGCACACTCTTGCTCATGGTGAATTCAGGATTGCTTATGATTTCTGGATAGTTTTTTTTGTTTTATTTTTGAGACGGAGTTTCACTCTGTCACCCACGCTGGAGTGCAGTGGCAGATATCAGCTCACTGCAAGCTCTGCCTCTCAGGTTCACGCCATTCTCCTGCCTCAGCCTCCGGAGTAGCTGGTACTACAGGCGCCTGCCACCACGCCCAGCTAATTTTTTTTTTTTTTTGTATTTTTAGTGGAGACGGGGTTTCACGGTGTTAGCCAGGATGGTCTCCATCTCCTGACCTCATGATCCACCTGCCTCGGCCTCCCAAAGTGCTGGGATTACAGGCGTGAGCCACCACGCCCGGCCTGATTTCTGGATAGTTTTTACATCAACCGTGGTCAAGCCAGAGTCCCCCACCTTGTTCTTCTTCATTTCTGATCCAGAAATGCTGATTCTCCCCCTGACATTTCACCTTTTCCCCTTGCCTGGGGATGTCCCTGGGATCCTGCATCTGTCACAGAGCATGCTCATTCTCTCCAGCTGTGAATTTTGTTTGAACTATTGGGACTCAGGACATAGTCCTGAAAGTTTACCTCCACAGTGACATCTTTAGGCAAGTCCAACATTTACGTGCCTCCTGGGCTGGAGGGTCGTTGTGCAGACAGCTGTCCCCTGAGCCCTGGTGGCTGGTCCTAGCACAGTTGCTGGAGACATCCCATGTCCGTAGTTGGAAATATGCACAAAGGATTGCTTACTCTTTTTGTTTGTTTGTTTTTTTGAGATGGAGTCTTGCTCTTGTCCCCAAGGCTGGAGTTCAATGGCACGATCTCGGCTCACTGCAACCTCCGCCTCCTGGGTTCAAGCAGTTCTCCTGCTCACCCCCTGAGTAGCTGGGATTACAGGTGCCCGCCACTGTGCCCAGCTAATTTTTGTATTTTAAGTAGAGACGGGGTTTCACCATGTTGGCCAGGCTGGTCTCGAACTCCTGGCCTCAGGTGACCCACCAGCCTCGGCCTCTCAAAGTGCTGGGATTACAGGCGTGAGCCTGCCGAGAGCTTGGTCGGGGAGACCTGAACCCAGCGGTGCTAAAGGAATTAAAGACAAACACACATAAATATAGAGGTGTGGAGTGGGAAATCAGGGGTATCACAGCCTTCAGAGCTGACAGCCTCGAACAGATTTACCCACATATTTATTGACAGCAAGCCAGTGATAAGCATTGTTTCTATAGATTATAGATTAACTAAAAGTATTCCTTATGGGAAACAAAGGGATGGGCTCTGGTTGGTTAGCTGCAGCAGGAGCATGTCCTTAAATCACAGATCGCTCATGCTATTGTTTGTGGTTTAAGAACGCCTTTAAGCGGTTTTCCGCCCTGGGTGGGCCAGGTTTTCCTTGCCCTCATTCCGGTAAACCCACAAACTTCCAGTGTGGGTGTCGTGGCTATCACAAACATGTCACAGTGCTGCAGAGATTTTGTTTATGGCCAGATTTTGGGGGCCTCTTCCCAACATGAGCCACTGTGCCTGGCAGGATGTGCTTACTCTTGGTGAACCCACACAATGTCCTTCTCTTTCTTAATGCTCAGATGTGCATTTAGTGTTCAGTTTGTAGACCGTTCTGAAATTTGGCTGGATCTGTGGGTCTGTGTTTTTCAGAATCTGTGCAATTCCTCTTTGTCTGCAACCACACTTCTGGCTCTTCCCATGAAACGTCAGGGCTGGGTCGTAATTATCAGATCTGACAACCTGGCTTTCCCGGAAGACCAGAGTTCTGCCAGCTCCTCTAGGGATCCTGGTGCCTGATCCCTCCCTTACATGCACCATGCTCTTTATAGTGTCACCTCCCTCAGCAGACACCGCTGAGCCTCCCCGCTGGGCCAGGGGGCTAGCTAGGCTAAATTCACAAAACTCCATCTCCCATACTTCAAAGACCACCCACATGGACAGCCCAGCCCAGGTGGCAGGTCCTATGATGGGACAGAGGCTGTAGGTGGGGGACCTAGGGCTGCACTTGAGCAGAATCTTTTTTTTTTTTTTCTTTTTTTTTTTTTTGAGACAGAGTCTCGCTCTGTCACCCAGGCTGGAGTGCAGTGGCGTGATCTCGGCTCACTGCACACCTCCACCTCCTTGGTTCAAGCGATTCTCCTGCCTCAGCCTCCCAAGTAGGTGGGACTACAGGCACACACCACCACACTCGGCTAATTTTTGTATTTTTAATAGAGACAGGGTTTTGCTGTGTCGGCCAGGCTGGTCTCAAACTCCTGACCTCAGGTAATCCGCCCACCTTGGCTTCTCAAAGTGTTGGGATTACAGGTGTGCCAGGCCAAGCAGAATCTTAAAAAAAGGTGGGGAGAAGCTGGTGAGCAGGTGGATTTGGTTGAAGCAGGATGTCGACACAGAGGGGGCTTGGTGGGTAAAGGCCCTGAGCTGTGTGAGGTGAGGTGCCTTTAGGGCTACCTGCCACTGGGTGGAGCTGAAGTGAAGATTTGGACTGGGGTGGGAAGAAGGTAGTTCAGGATTTCAGGGGCCCCTGTAAGCCCCACTAAGGAGCTAAACTGTTTTTGTTTGTTTGTTTTCTTTTTCTCTTTTCTTTTTTTTCCTGTAGCAATGAGGTCTTGCTTTGTTGCCCAGGCTGGTCTCGAACTCCTGAGCTCAGGCAATCCGCCTACTTTGGACTCTCAAAGTGCTAGGATTACAGGCGTGAGCCACTGTGCCTGGCAGGAGCTAAACTTGATTAGAGGAACAGAAGAGAGCCACACGTGGGCTCAGAGGCAGGGTGCTCAGTTTCCTGCACATTGGGATGCACCACTTGGGCTGCTGGGCATAGGTGGATGAGGGTATGGGAAGACGTGGGGGCCCCACTGGTGGTCACTGTGGGGTCTAGTTGGAGGAGACGGTAGCCCAGCTGGGGTGAAGAGGAGAGGCAGACACAGGACATAGGTAGGGACAAAGAAGCAGAGCATGTGGCTCTGCTCCGACCTCCACCCAATCACGACGGCCCTGTCTTTCAGAAAGTCCCACCGCCTCATTCTGGCTTCTCAGAGGCCCTCAGCCTTCCTTGCGCCCCTGGTGCTGGTGTTCTTCCTGCTGCCCCTGAGCTGAGTGCCCTGGGCAGCAGTGTCCATCCTCAGTTGGGGCAGGACCATGCCTGGGAGAGTGCCCGATGCTCAAGGGTGCCTTCGTCTCTGGGGTCTGGGACCCCAGAAAGCTCACCTGTCCTCCCCTTCTGCCAGAGCCCCATAGTCCTATGCCTCTGTGCAGGCATTAATGTCCCCAGGTTACAGAAGAGCGAGCAGGAAGGAGTAGCCTGTGGTCCCTCAGCAAGGGTGTGGGGTCCTGCTTCAATACCCAAGCCCCTGACTCTAGGGCCCTGATCTTTGTCAGCTATGTCCCCATGCCGGGCATCAAAAACTCACCCTCCCAAGGTATCTTCACCTTCCCTGATCTGTCATCCAAATTGGACCAGAGGAGCTAGACCTGGAAGAATCACTTCCGCATCCACCAGGGACAGAACTGTCAGGAGGGAAGGGGCAGGGTGCGTTGTCTCACGCCTGTAATCCCAGCACTCTGGGAGGCTGAGACAGAAGGATTGCTTGAGGCCAGGAGTTAAAAACCAGCCTGGTCAACATAGCAAGACTCCATCTCTACAAAAAAAAAATATTAAAAAATCAGCCAGGCACAGTGGTGTGTGTCTGTAGTCCCAGCTACTGGGAATACTGAGGTGAGAGGATTGCTTAAGCCCGGGAGGGCGAGGCTGTAGTGAGCCATGATCATACCACTGCACTAGAGCCTGGACAACAGAGTGAGACCGAATCACTAAAAATAAATTTTTTGAAAAAGGAGGAAAGGGGTCTCCCTTTGTCTTTGAAATACAGTACTGTACCTTCATCTGGCCAGGGCATTGCTCCGCTCCCTCCTCTGACCACCTCCTTTTATTTGCACCCTCCAGCTTTCCTGTGTGGCCCCACACTCAGGGTACTCTGGCGGCGGGGTGGTGAGGTTGTTTAAGGTGGGAAGGGGGCCTGTCCTTCCCACCTTGAACCTCCCTGCCTTTGAGACTGGGCTGTGGAGGGGAGACATCCCCTGTGCCATTGGTGACTGCTCTCTCTCCCACCTCAGCACCCGTCCGTCCCACTGGCTAACTGCTGGGTCGACGAGGACTGCCCCGAAGGGGAGGGAGGCACACACAGCCACGGTAACTGTGGGCTCTGTCTTCCAGTGCCCCCAGCAGGGTGGGGGCCGGGCTGGGATCCTGGGTGGCTCCTGAGTGCAGGCCCTGCTCGCCTCTGTCCCTGCATCTCTCTTTCTGCCAACAACCCCCTGGCTGAAGGCCTCCCCAGGCCTGCAGAGATTTGAAGGTCTGGAGTTCATCTTTTGTTTTCTAGGTGTAAAAACAGGCCAGTGTGTGGTGTTCAATGGGACCCACAGGACCTGTGAGATCTGGAGTTGGTGCCCCGTGGAGAGTGGCGTTGTGCCCTCGTAAGTGTCCCCACAATCCCCTACCCCAACTGGCGCAGGGCCCCAGGCCTGGCAGAGGCTGTCACCTCCCTTCCACCTGCAGGAGGCCCCTGCTGGCCCAGGCCCAGAACTTCACACTGTTCATCAAAAACACAGTCACCTTCAGCAAGTTCAACTTCTCTAAGTAAGCAGAGTGGGTCTCATCTGCCCCAAGACCCTCCTTGTCCCCTACCTCATCTGACCTTTCCCACTCCTCCCAGGTCCAATGCCTTGGAGACCTGGGACCCCACCTATTTTAAGCACTGCCGCTATGAACCACAATTCAGCCCCTACTGTCCCGTGTTCCGCATTGGGGACCTCGTGGCCAAGGCTGGAGGGACCTTCGAGGACCTGGCGTTGCTGGTGGGTCCCAAGTTGGGGGCAGGGTTCCTAGAGGGCTCTGGGAGAGGGTCCCGGGCCCACCCACCGGTGGAAAAGCTATGTGCTATGTGCAGGGTGGCTCTGTAGGCATCAGAGTTCACTGGGATTGTGACCTGGACACCGGGGACTCTGGCTGCTGGCCTCACTACTCCTTCCAGCTGCAGGAGAAGAGCTACAACTTCAGGTGAGGCCCCACTGCTCCCAGTGCCCAGCTGCTGGGCCCATCGCCCTCTCACTGTGGCGGCCAGGACAGACCACACCCAGGCCCAGGCCTCTAGATATTCCACTACGTGTGCAAGGGGGTCCCAGGAGCAGGAGAGAGCTGTTCTCAACCCCACATCCTCCAGCACAGGCTCCGTCCTGCTGCCCCAAGTCCTGAGCCCTCCACCCCATCTGTCCCAGGCCCCTGCCCAGCTCAGGCTCCTCACTGCCAGCCCTTCCTCCACCCCACCTCGCTTCTAGTATCTCCCCTCCACAGCAATGGGGTGTTTCATTTTTACTTTCCCCTTCTCCCCTTCAGCTTTGTTTTTTTTTTTTTTAAGACAGAATCTCATTCTGTCACCCAGGCTGGAGTGCAGTGGCCCGACCTCGGCTCACTGTAACCTCTGCTTCCTGGGTTCAACCGATTCTCCTTCCTCAGCCTCCTGAGTAGCTGGAATTACAGGTGCTCGCCACTACTCCCAGCTAATTTTTATATTTTGGTAGATAGAGATGGGTTTTCACAATGTTGGCCAGGCTGGTCTCAAACCCCTGACCTCAGGTGATCCACCCACCTCAGCCTCCCGAAGGGCTAGGATTACAGACGTAAACCACCATGTCTGGCCTCCCTTCCGCTTTTACCTAAACTTTTTTTTTTTTTTTGAGATGGAGTCTCACTCTGTCGCCCAGGCTGGAGTACAGTGGCGGGATCTCAGCTCACTGCAAGTTCCGCTTCCCGTGTTCACGCCATTCTCCTGCCTCAGCCTCCCAAGTAGCTGGGACTACGGGTGCACGCCTCCACGCCCGGCTAATTTTTGCATTTTTAGTAGAGACAGGGTTTCACCATGTTGGCCAGGATGGTCTCGATCTCTTGACCTCGTGATCCACCTGCCTCAGCCTCCCATAGTGCTGGGATTACAGGCGTGAGCCACCACGCCCGACCTTTTTTTTTGAAACGGAGTTTTCACTTTCTTGTAGTCCAGGCTGGAATGCAATGGCGTGGTCTTGGCTCACTGCAACCTCTGCCTCCTGGGTTCAGGTGATTTTCCAGCCTCTGCCTCCAGAGTAGCTGGGATGACAGGTGTGCACCACCACACCCAACTAATTTTTGTATTTTTAGTAGAGATGGTGTTTTGCCATGTTGGCCAGGCTGGTCTCGAACTTCTGACCTCAGGTGATCTGCCCACTTCAGCCTCCCAAAGTGCTGGGATTACAGGCATGAGCCACCAAGCCTGTTTTTTTTGTGTTTTTTTTTTTTTTTTTTTTAGATGAAGTTTTGCTCTTGTTGCCCAGACTGGAGTGCAGTGGCCCGATCTCGGCTCACTGCAATCTTTGCCTCTCGGGTTCAAGCAATTCTCCTGCCTCAGCCTCCTGAGTAGCTGTGATTACAGGTGCACACCACCACACCCAGCTAATTTTTGTGTTTTTACTAGAGATGGGGTTTCACCATATTGGTCAGGCTGGTCTCGAACTCCTGACCTCAGGTGATCCACCTGCCTCAGCCTCCCAAAGTGCTGGGATTACAGGTGTGAGCCACTGTGCCTGGCCTCAAGTTTCATAAATTGCATTTATTATCATGTCTTTGAGTCTTCTAAGCAGATCTATTGGATCCTTCTGCCACCGAGCGTCACCTCGTCATGCAGGCAGGCACACACGACCACCAGGCCTGGGGATGATGCCCCTCAACATAGCTCACTGCACCCCGTCTGATCTGGCTTCCCCAACCTCCCCAGCCCTTCGAAACCACGTGGGGCTGGCTCCCACCCACATCCTGTTCCCCTGACCTCTGTGCTGGCAAACCACCTGTGTGCATGTTCCTTCAGGCCCAGCCTCATGTCCCCTCCAGGAAGTCTACCCCAGTTCCCAGGGAAGAGTGAGTTCCCATCTCTGGAATCCCTCAGCCCTGAGCCTGCCCCTTCACATCCCCCGCTGCTGGGTCTGTTTAGGGACTCCTCTGTCCCCCGTCCTCTCAGCAGGCAGGGAACTTCTGAGGGACAGGTCTTCGTTTGCTTTTTCTGTTTTCTCACCAATTACATAGGGCTGAGACCCAGGACTCAGGCTTGGGCTGGGGGTTTATAGAGTCAATTGACAAGTTGGACAGAGGTCTGGCAGGGCCAGCCCCACCTGGGGGTGGGCAAAGCAGGTCACCAGAGCCTTCTTTCCTGCCCACAGGACAGCCACTCACTGGTGGGAGCAACCGGGTGTGGAGGCCCGCACCCTGCTCAAGCTCTATGGAATCCGCTTCGACATCCTCGTCACCGGGCAGGTAGGCACAGGTAGGGGTCAGGCCGGGGATGGGATGGGGCAGGCAGACAGGGCTGGAGGAGGCATGAGGCTGACAGTCGTGGGCTGAGAGGTTCAGCTCAGATCTCTCTCAGGCAGGGAAGTTCGGGCTCATCCCCACGGCCGTCACACTGGGCACCGGGGCAGCTTGGCTGGGCGTGGTGAGTGCGAGCACTGTGGGCACCTGCAGGCTGCAGTGAGTGCTGCTGACCAGGGTGTGTCCAATGCATGCTGGAGCCTCCGGTGCCTGCACATTGAGTCTCGGGGTGCAGGCTGGGGAGGTGGCAGGAGAGCAGGCTCGGGGGCTGGAACATGGGTTGGCCCTGCCTCTCCCAGGTCACCTTTTTCTGTGACCTGCTACTGCTGTATGTGGATAGAGAAGCCCATTTCTACTGGAGGACAAAGTATGAGGAGGTGAGCTGAGGTCGCTCTGCTTGGACCCTGGGTTCTGCCACACTTAGGAAGATGTTGGCTGGATCCCTGACCTGCTGTCCTCATCTGCAGGCCAAGGCCCCGAAAGCAACCGCCAACTCTGTGTGGAGGGAGCTGGCCCTTGCATCCCAAGCCCGACTGGCCGAGTGCCTCAGACGGAGCTCAGCACCTGCACCCACGGCCACTGCTGCTGGGAGTCAGACACAGACACCAGGATGGCCCTGTCCAAGTTCTGACACCCACTTGCCAACCCATTCCGGGAGCCTGTAGCCGTTCCCTGCTGGTTGAGAGTTGGGGGCTGGGAAGGGCGGGGCCCTGCCTGGGGATCTCAAGGATGAGGCCCCAGCATGGAGGATTGGGGGTAGAATTCCACCCTTGAACCCCAGCAGACAGTCCCTCCCCTGACTCCCACCTTGGTAGGGTGCTGCCTCAGGGAGCCATAGAAGTCGGCTGTGTTTTGAGACGGCGACAGAACCTGACCCGTGGAGACTGGGAGAGCCCAGCAGGCACCTGTATTGCAGGGCTCCGACTGCATGTGGCAGGGGCTCCTGCTGCGTCTGGGCCTGGAGGTCTCTCTCCCAGTGCTCTGTCCCCAGTGTTCCTAGCAGAGGTATGCTTACCAGCTGTCAGCACAGACCCTCCTGCTGCCTGGGTCCTGGCCCTCCTCCCCCATCTGCACCCCCATCATAGGTAGAGACCCCACCCTCCCATCGGTCCTACATGGGGCTGTGCAGCTGGAGCCAAAAAGGCAAGGTAGAAAGAGGAGTGATGGGGGAGGGGGATTGTTTCAGCTTCTCTGGTGCTGTGATGCCCCAGGAGAGTCCTAATCTAGGGAATGGGGTGGAGTAGGCAGATAATCCACCTCCCTATCCCCCAGGCAAGGGCGGAGCATGTGTCTTGGGCCCACACCTGCTTAGTTTATGAGGACCGGCTGCTTTCCAGTGGTAGCCCTTTTGCCATGGAGGTCTGGGAGAGAGAGCAGAGGGCGGCAGGGCTAAGTTGGTGATCATTGGGTTCTTCAGGACCTTCTATATCCCTCCTCGGTAACCCCCCAGCCCAACCCCTTGGAATCTTTCCTCCAGGCTTCCTGAGAGCCCTGGGGGTGGGAGGCTGTGGGAGGCTGTACATCTGAAATTCACTTCAGTCCAAGTCATACCTAGGAAGCTGTCTGGGCAGCTGCTCGAGGGAGGCCCTGGCTCTGATCCCAGGCTGGATGGAGTGGCTGGAAGGAATGGTTCCAAACAACACCACCGAGATCTCCCTCAGGCTGGCCAGGTTTTGCAGCTGGAATTCTCCTCTTGGTCCCAGGGCGGGGCAGGGAATTCTAAGTGTCCACCCCAGGGAGGCAAGGGGCTGCTTTCCACTGTGGGTACCTGGTGATCAGGGCAAGCTGTGGAGGGCCAGGGGTGGGGCTGAGACTGGGCTGACATCTAGAATCACCTGCCACCTGGAGCCTCAGTAAAATGCCTGGGGTCCCTGCTGCCTCTCAATCTCCAGAGCCATGTCCATGGGGAGGTGGGCTCTGAAGGGCGAAGGTGGGAGAGCAGGGCCCCTGAGGCCTGGGTATCCAAGGAGGGGCACGTGCACCTGATTCTCCTTGGGGCCCAGAGGAAGCTGATGTCATGGCTGGACAAAGTCACGGAGTAAAGCCAGCAAAGCCACCCTCTTCCTGTGTAGTCCTTACAGGCATGACTGGAAAGTTGGGGGGCATCTATGGTAGACATGGCACAGCCATGAAGAGACCAGTGGGGTGGTGCAGGGTGGACTTGGGGACCCTACCCCTGAAGACTGAGGCCCTGCAGCTACCAGGTGGGCTAGAAGGTAACTGGAACAGGCCTGGGCACTTGTGCACCCATGTAGGAGCATGAGGGCCACACTCTTTTCACCTCAAAGCCCTTGAAGAGTGGGCAAAGACAGCAAGAGAGCTGCAGCCTGGGCCCGAGCTCAGAAACAGCTGTCGCCTCAGTCTGCGCACAGGCATGCACCCCAGGGTAGTGCCTGCAGGGATGCATGTGTCCCCGTGGGGGTGCCTGTGCCAGGCAGGCCTCAGGTGCATGCCATGCTCAGAACCCTGCTGCCCTTTCTAGGCAGCCTCCTTGGGGCCCAAGCTCTGCTCCCTGGATCTGCCACCTAGCAGACGTGGGGAGCCTGACCCCATGCCTGTCATGGAACCCTCCTTGCCTGGTGTGTGTGGCTCCCCTCTTCACTGGGCACCTGGATCCAGGCCCACCTGTGTCCCTGACTCAGGGTGGTCCCAGGACTGGCACCTACTCTTTAGAGAGCCCCAGCATCTTTGATGTGGATTGGAGACAATTGCCTGGTTCCCTGGGGCAGGTGAAGACTTGGTGCCACAAAGAATGCCACAGTGGATACGCCAGCAGGCCACATGGCTGGCCAAGCAATTATTATTATGGATCCCTTGGGCTGTGGGCCTTCCCATCCACCCCACCACAACTGCCCAGGTAGCTGGAGCTGATCATAAACAAGAAGGCTCTGGGCAGAGTCCATGGCACCAGCACCAGCCAAGGCCCACTCCTGAAGACCCGAAGCCCAGCCCCTGGATGAAGGTCCTAAGGTCCTGAGGACTCCCCAGCCTGTGCAGGCCTGCAAACCCAGGCTGCCCACAACAGAAGGGGCTCTCGGCTTGTCTGGCCTCTCTGGCCTCCCAAGCAGGTGTGGGAGGGCGGGGCAAGTGTGGGCTGATCAGCTACTCCATATGGCCAGGGTCCTGTGCTGGTGCCTGGCTGGGGGGCTGCATAGCCTGCACTGTCTCCTCCAGGCTGCCCCTGGGGAATACCACGTAGTGTGTGGAGTTCAGCCCTGGCAGCTCCCGCTGGTTCTCCTTGCTATGCCGGATGCCATAGCCGAAATACACTGCAAGTCCTAGACAGGGCAGGAGGCAGGGCATGAGCCTGAGGTACAGGTTCCAGCCCTTCCTGTCCTCTTTGCCCTCCTCCTGACCCCGGTCCCAGCCTGGCCCCCACTCACCCATCAGCAGCCAGATGGAGAAGCGCACCCAGGTCAGATAGCTAAGTTTCAGCATGAGGCAGATGTTGAGGACGATGCTCAGGGCTGGAATCAGGGGAACCATGGGGATCTGAGGAGGCAGAGGCAGGGCAGGGCTGGGCCGGGCTGCAGGAAAGATCTGCCAGCCCAGGGCTCACTTTCTCGGGAATCCATAGAGCCTTTGTTCCTCACGGGAGATTGTGGAGACATGTGCTCACTCACCATGCAGAAAGGGGTGCGGGATGGGTGTGTGGTCCTCCCCAGCCCCGTGAGACTTGTTCATTCTGGGATGGTAGTGGGGGAAGGGGAGGCAGCTGCCTGGGCCGAGTGTGAGTGGGTGTTGGCTAGGGGAGGTACCTGAAATAAGTCTTCCCGATACTGTTGCTGGTGAGCCCCCAGGACAAGGAGGCTGAGCAGAAACATGACACTGGTGAGCAGGAGCAGCAGGATGTAACCCCAGTGTGGGAGGTGCAGGGTCGAGTTCCCAAAGACAAGCACGCAGCCTATGGTGATGGCTGAGGCCAACATAACGCCAAGCGCCCAAGTCACCACTGCTCCAGGGCTGTACCCATCCAAGAAGCCCAGGTAGGGCCTCAGGGCTGGCTTCAGCTCCCCTGGCTCAGGGACGGAGGCGTGTACAGTGCCCACCAGCTGTAGGTGGTCTGAGAAGGAGCTCTGCTGCTTGGTCAGGGGGCCAGGGCTGGCTGGGCCTGGGGAGCTGGGCGGGGAAGACTTCTGGAAGCGCAGCACAATGATACTGGTGGCCACGAATGTGTAGGCCAGGAGTGTGCCAAGGGACAGGAACTGAACCAGCGACTCCAGGTCCAGCAGCAGTGCCAGGAAGGCCGTGAGGAGCCCGAACGCCAGGGTGCCCGCCACAGGCACCTGTGTCCGGGGGTGCACATGGGCAAACACCTGGAAGAAGAGCCCATCGGCGGCCATGGCATAGACAATGCGTGGCAGGGAGAAGAGGAGGCTGAGCAGGACGGTGTTCATGGCTGTAGCAGAGAGAGTGGGGAGGGTCAGCATGGCGGAGAAGCCCACCAGGGGCCTCTGCTGGGGGTCGGTGCATGGGTGGCTCCTTGGGAACAAGGGCATGAGCTTGTCTGGGCTCTCAGAGTAAGCATGAGTTTGTGTAGGAGTAATAGATTGTCAGCGCTTTGCCCAAGAACAGGACATCTGGGTTAGGTCACAGGCCCACTGGAGCATCGGATGAGGGCTGAGTCCCTCTGCCTAGGAAATAATCTATAAGGACATGCCCAGAACTAATATGCTATGGACCATGTGTGGGGCGGTCCCTTCCAAAGTTTCTGAAGAAACTTTTTTTGAAGTGAAGAGTTTCTAATAATTAGCACTTTCCTTGCCCCATTATGCAACTAGTAAAACAGCCCCAGTTGAAGGTGCATTCCCCAAGAATCTGAGGACAAGGTCCCCCTTGCTCTTTTCCCTGCCACCCTGCCCAGGAAGAGTCTCTCACCGCAGATGGAGCCAGCTGCCACGATGAAGCCAGCCCACCTGTAGCCCCGCTGGTAGAAGGCATCTGCAAGCGCTGAGTCGGGGTCCAGGCTGTGCCAGGGCACCATGAGGGTTAGCACGGTGGAGACAAGGATGTAGGCACCAGCTGCAATGGCAAGCGAGATGGCGATGGCCAGAGGCACAGACCGCCGTGGGTTCTGGGCCTCCTCACTGGAGGCGGCAATGACGTCGAAGCCCACGAAAGCATAGAAGCAGGAGGCAGTGCCGGCCATGACGCCGGAGAAGCCGAAGGGTGCAAAGCCGCCTTCGTCAGCGCTCCAGTTGTGAGGCTGGGCCAGGATGAAGCCCAGGATGACAATGAAGAGAATGACAAGCAGGCTGATGGCCGAGAAGGTGTGATTGAGCCAGGAGGACACGCGGGCTCCACAGGAGACAAAGGCAGAGGCCAGGAGGATGATGCCAGCAGCCAGGAAGTCCGGGTAGTGGCCCAGGAGGGGCACCTGCCAAGAACCCACGTGGGTCTCAGTGAAGTTGCGGATGCTGTGGCTGAACATAGAGTCCAGGTAGCCACTCCAGGCACGGGCCACGGCGGCGCCACCGATGATGTATTCGAGGAGAACATTCCAGCCGATGAGGAAGGCCCACAGCTCGCCCATGGATACGTAGGTGAACAGGTAGGCAGAGCCCGTGCGTGGCACACGTGCCCCAAATTCTGCATAGCATAGGGCTGCCAGCAGGGAGGCCACAGCGGCCACACCGAAGGACAAGAGCACAGCAGGGCCAGCCACCTCCTTGGCCACGGCACCTGTGAGCACGTAGAGACCCGAGCCCACCATGCCACCCACGCCCAGAAGAGTCAGGTCCAGCGTGGACAGGCAGCGCCGCAGTGACGTCTCCATGGTGGAGTCCTCCAGCGGCTTCAGGCGGTTCAGCTTCTGGCATAAGCGTGCCAGGCTAGCAATGGTGGGCAGCCCCCGGGCCATGGCAGGTGGCCGAGAAGAGCACCGAGCCAGCTACTGGAACCTGCTAGGGCCAGAGGGGAATGACAGGATGCGTAGCCGGGGCCTGACCAGCCTTCCATCCCTCCTGGTCTGACCACCCCCAGTCCTCTCTCTGTCCCTGACCTGGGGACCTGGACACCCTCACCAGGGGCCTGCTGGAGAGCTGGAATGGGGCAGGTGTCAGAACCTGTGGGCAGGAGGTCACAGGAAGCCTGGAGGCCCTGTCTGCATCCCAGGCAGCAAAGGAGGCCTGGTGAGGCCCCACCTGCTCACCCGCTCGGTGGCCCTGAGGGGTGGGGAGGGAGCAGCTCCAGGGGGAGCAGGGTGAGAGGCTGGGAACGGCTCAGTGGTGGGGTCCCAGAGCCAGGTGAAACCGAGGCTTCCCCAGAGTCGAGCCGGACCCGGAACAGGAGCCGCGGCTCTGCGTCGGGGCGGGTGTGGCCCAGGCAGCCACCTGGCCACAGACAGACAGTGGCGGCTACATACACCCCCGCCCCTGCACCCGTGGCCAGGCTGGGGTATCCGCGCGCCAGGCGGAATGCAGGGGCGCCCTGGGCCCGCACACCTCCCCATGTCCGACACGCCGCTGCTGCTAGAGCCTGCTCCGCCGCGCCCCCGTCCCCGGACACCTGCGCCTTCGCCTGTTCTTGGGCCTGAGCCCGTCCCAGTCCCCGTCCCCGCAGGATCTGCTGCAACCCACCTGCTGCTGCCGCAGCCGCTGCCTCCGCTCTGAGCACTGAGCCCGCCCAGTTCGCCGGCGCCGAGCGCAGGGCCCGCCCCCATCCCAGGCCCCCCGCGCGGCCCCACCCGCTGCCACACACCCAGATATTTCACCCTGCCCACTCTGCCCGACCTCGCAAGGTCGTTACCGGAGCTCACCGGGGTCTAGGGAAGCCCTGTGACTGTGACTCAGTCACAGATGGAGAAGGTCAGACCGCCGGCTGACTGACTAGCCTAGGTCAGTTCGGGGAGGTTAAGGGCCACGTCTGAAAGTCCGCAGCCCACCTTCTTTCTACTGCAGCGGACACCCTTCTTGATCCCTCACCCCAGTACATGAACCCCACCCAGCTGGGCCCCAGACAGGCCCCACAGCACCGTCATGTGAGCTTCAGGCACAGTGAGTTAGATGAAGACATGGGTCTGGCAGAGTGGCCTGGGGCGGTCCCTGACCTCTACTCTTACAATGGAAGAGACTGCAGCCTTTTGAGAGAGTTCTGCGAATTGAGGGAATGCATTCTGGCTGTTTTGAGCCTGCAGCTACCACGTCCTGCAAGGAAGCAAGCAGCTTCTGGGACCAGCCTGCAGCCCTCCTGTGGGGGAGTAGAGCTCCTCAGACCCCAGTGGCAGCCCTTCCTAGCCTAGGCACCTCTGGCAGGCCGGGAGGGCCCTATGGGACCCCAATAGCAGATCCCCACTTGTGTTTATCAGCGACAGCCACTGTGTCCTGAGTACTGCATTCCAGTGCCCCACGCCCCAGGCAGGCAGCTATGCAACAATACACCTGGCTAATTTTTTAATTTTAATTTTTTTAGAGACTGGGTCTCACTATGCTGCCCGGGCTGGTCTCGAACTCTTGGCCTCCCAAAAGGCTGTGATTACATTCATGAACCATGGCTCCTGGCCTCCCCAGAACGCTATACTAGACATGTGTTCAGGCTTACATGTGGTTTGTGGAATGGAATCTTAGGAGCATCTGCAGCCTATCCAGCCTATTGGGCTGGTGACAGGATGATGGACTCCCAGACAAGATGGTGCCAATTTGGAACATTCTGCCTCGGCCAGAATGCCAATACCTTCTAATATTTGGCTGGTATTGTCTTGAGGAACTTCTCAGATGGCTCCCACTTCCGGTGGGATGGTAGCTTCCTTACCCCATCCCTGTGTTGCCTGAGCAGACGTCCCTTGTCCTGAAATGTCACCACAAAAGTCTAGGCACTTCAGGCCAGAGGGTTAGGCAGATTTGTAATGGGAGCTCCCCAAAGGCCTTACCAATGACTGCCTTATTGCTGGTGTCCAGTGTTTTGGAGTGTTGACTTTTTATCTACCTGGAGAAGGTGTGACACCACACCCTCTGCCACAGGCACCAACATACAACGGATATGTGAGACTAAGCAGGGCTGATGCAGTAAATTGTACATTTCCAGAGATATTTCCCTCACTACTGAGTGAGACAGCTACACAGAGCAACCCCACAGTGATGCAGTGAAGACAAACCACCAGGAAACAAAAACTTTCTAACTCATTCTGCAAGGCCAGGATTACCCTGACACTAAACTCAACAAAGACATCACAAGAAAAGAAAACCACAGACCAAAATCCCTTATGAATATAGATGTAGAAATCCCCAGCAAAACACAGTGGACTCTTGAACAACACAGGTTTACTAATACATAGATATTTTTCAACCAAATGTCGATCAAAAATACAGTATTTGGCTAGGCCCAGTGGCTCACACCGGTAATCCCATCACTTTGGGAGGCTGAGGTGAGAGGATCACTTGAACCCAGGAGTCTGAGGCTGCAGTGAGCTATGATCCTGTCACTGCACTTCAGCCTAGGTGGCAAAGCAAGACCCTGTCTCCAAAACTACTAAATAAATAAATTAAAATAAGTGGTGGGTGCCTGTAATCGCAGCTACTTGGGAGGCTGAGGCAGGAGAATCGCTTGAACCCGGGAGGCAGAGGTTGCAATGAGCTGAGATGGCGCCATTGCACTCCAGCGTGGGTGACAGAGCAAGACTCTGTCTCAAAAAAAAATAAAAAACAAAAAACAAAAAATTCATATGGAAATGCAAGGGATCCAGAATAGCCAAAATACTTGGGTATTTTGCCTGGGTAACATAGGGAGACCTCACCTCTACGGAAAGGTAAAAAAATTATATGGGCATGGTGGCATGTGCCTGTGGTCTCAGCTACTGGGAGTCGGGGGTGGTGTTGAGGTGGAAGGATTTCTTGAGCCTGGGAGGTTGAGGTTGCAGTGAGGCATGTTTGTGCCACTGCACTCCAGCTTGGGTGATAGTCAGACCCTGTCTCAAAAAAAAAAGAAAAAAGTAAAGAAAGAAATTAAAGGCAACATAAATAAATGGAAAGACATCCCATGTTCATAGACTGTAAGACTTTAAATATAAAATGGCAGTATTCCCCAAACTGGTCTACAGATTCAGGGGTTGCATAGATTGAGTGCAATTCCTATTGAAATCCCAACTACCTGTTTTGCAAAAATCATCAAAATTCATGTGGAAATGCAAGGGATCCAGAATAGTCAAAATACTTTTGAAAAAGTTTTGGAGGACTTACAATTCCTGATTTCTAAACTGATTGCAAAATGACTGTAATCAAGATTGTGGTGGTGACATAAGAGTAGACACATAGATGAACGGAATAGAATTGACAGTCCACAAATAAACAGTTACATTTATCGTCAAGTGATTTTTTAAAAATAGACTTTATTAGCTGGGAATGGTGGTACACGCCTGTAGTCTCAGTTACTCAGAAGGCTGAGTTGGGAGGATGGCTTGAGCCTAGGAGGCTCAAGGCTGCAGTGAGCTTGATCATACCTGTGAATAGCCTCTTCACTCCAGCCTGGGCAACATAGCAAGACCCTGTATCTAAAAAAAAAAAAAGTTGAGTTTTCAGAGCAGTTTTATGTTCACAGCAATATTGAGCAGAAAGTACAGTTCCCATATACTTCTGCTCCCACACACGTGTAGCCCCCTCTCCCACTACTGACATCCAGCACCAAAGGGGCATATTTGTTACAATCGATTAACCTACATTGACACATCATTATCACCCAAGGTCTATAGTTTACATTAGGGTTCATTCTTCCGGTTGTACATTCTATGGGTTTGGACAAATGTGTAATGACACATAGACACACCATTATTGTATCACACACAGTAGTTTCATTGCCCTAAAAACCCTCTGTGCTCTGCCTGTCCCTCCCTGCTAACACCTGGCAACCACCGATCTTTTTCCTGTCTCCATAGTCTAGTCTTACTTTTGCAGAATCTTATATAGTTGGGATTATAGAGTATATTGCCTTTTCAGGCTTCTTTCCCTTAATAATATGCATTTGAGATTCCTCTATGACTTTTCATGGCTGAATAGCTCGTTTTAATTTTATTTTTTATTTTTGAGACAGAGTCTCACTCTGTCGCCCAGGCTGGAGTGAAGTGGAGTGATCTTGGCTCACTGTAGCCTCTGCCTTCAGGATTCAAACGATTCTCATGTCTCAGCCTCCCGAATGGCTGGGGACTGCAGGCGTGCACTGTCACACCAGGCTAAATTTTGTATTTTTAGTAGAAATGGGGTTTTCCCATGTTGGCCAGGTTAGTCTCAAACTCATTTCCTCAAGTGATACACCTGCTTCAACCTCCCCAATGTGCTGGGATTACAAGCGTGAGCCACCCAACCAGGCCTGTGCTATTTCTAAAATGCAGGAGATGAAGTTGCCATGTGAAAGATGCAACATTCTTATCTTCAAGGATGAGAAGTTGAAATGAGAGAATTCTATACAGACCTTGTTAAAACACTGTTATCTTTTAAGCCTCCCCATATAATTTAGTTGCCTCTTCATAACTTATTATTATTTGTCCAATTCAGTGTATAAGTAACAGACTCTAACTTCTTCTTTGGGTCTTCAAATGTCCTTATGAGGGTTCCCAACCCATGTAAAACTTGTACTCAATAAATTTGTGGGACTGTGTGGTGGCTCACTCCTGTGATCCCAGTGCTTTGGGAGGCCGAGGGGGGCTTGCTTGAGTCCAGGAGTTCAAGACCAGTCTGGGCAATATAGTGAGATCCCGGTTCAACACTTTTTTTTTTTAATTAGATTGGTGTGGTGGGTGGCATGTACCTGCAGTTCCAGCTACTCAGGAGGCTGAGGTGGGAGGATAGCTTGAGCCCAGGAGTTTGAGGCTGCAATGAGCTGTGATCTCACCACTGCACTCCAGCACCCCTTATTTATAAATAAATATAATGGCTAGCCTTAGGGACTCTGTTCGCAAGATTAAAGAACAGAAATCAGATGTAGAATAGCATATAAATAAATTTATGTGCTTTTCTTCTGTTAACCTGTCCTATGTCAATTTAATTCTTGGGCCCAGCTGAGACTCTAGGGATGGAAGTGGAGTTTTGCCACCCCTACAGTTTCTGGTGACAAGGATGGGATCCTCTCAAGCCTAAAGATGGGATCCTGGGAGAACAAATAAAAGCGGGCACAGGTAGGAATTCTTACCAAAGTGAACTCTTTTTTTTTTTTTGAGACGGAGTCTCGCTCTGTAGCCCAGGCTGGAGTGCAGTGGCACGATCTCGGCTCACTGCAAGCTCTGCCTCCTGGGTTCACGCCATTCTCCTGCCTCAGCCTCACACGTAGCTGGGACTACAGGCACCCGCCACCACGCCCGGCTAATTTTTTTTTGTATTTTTGGTAGAGACGGGGTTTCACCGTGTTAGCCAGGATGGTCTCAATCTCCTGACCTCGTGATCCGCCTGCCTCGGCCTCCCAAAGTGCTGGGATTACAGGCATGAGCCACTGCGCCCAGCCCAAAGTGAACTCTTCTGGATCTCTGTCTGTAATGCCTGGTTGAAAGAGGAGAGTAAAATTTTTCCTTGTCCCTTTCTAAATTCAAACTGGCAGGAGAAAAGCATGGTAAGAATTGATTCTTTGAGTTATGACTCTTATGTCAACCTTAAATAATGAGATTCAGAAAATATCAGCTAGGCACGTTGGCTTATGCTTGTAATCCCAGCACTTTGGGAGGCCAAGGTGGAAGGATCACTTGAACCCAGGAGTTGGAGGCTGCAGTGAGCTATAATTACATCACTGCATTCCAGTCTGGGTGACACAGACCTAGTCTCCAAAAAACAAAAACAAAAAAAACCAAAGGAAATATGATTTTTATTCTAGTGCAAAGCTTGAGGATGGACACCCAGGAAACAGCTTCCAAAGGGTTGGGGTCATTGCTCCAAAGTGGGGAAGCTAAGGTTTCACTCATAGAGGCAGAAACAGTGTCAGCAGGATTGCAACATCTTCTGTACAAATCCAGTATGTTAGATTCCATTAGTACAGCTTGCTACATTCCAAGGAAAATTGTTTCAACATTCTGTGAGAAGAAGTCAAGCTCTGAGGTCATCTTATCTCTGATGCTGCTCAGACATTTCTAACCATTTACAGGGAAAAGCAGAAGTTGCAACTGCATGCTCCATGCCTCAGGCCACATGGCCACATTCCTCCTGAGGCTCATAATAATGTAAAGTTCCAACAGCTTGGTGGTGGCTCACGCCTGTAATCCCAGCACTTTGGGAAGCTGAGGTGGCTGGATAACTTAAGAAAGGAGTTTGAGACCAGCCTGGCCAACACAGCGAAACCCCGTCTCTACTAAGTATACAAAAATTAGCCCGGCATGGTGGCGGGCACCTGTAGTCCCAGCTACTCAGGAGGCTGAGGTGGGAGGATTGCATGATCCTGGGAGTTTGAGGCTGTAGTGAGCCATGATTGCAGCACTGCACTCCAGCCTGGGTGACAGAGGGAGACCTTGTCTCAAAAAAAAAAAAAAAAGAATTATTTGATTTCACACTTCCGAATTTGGTATTTGGCTCTGCATACATAGTGGCTATTGACCCACAGCCTCCCAGAAATAAGGCTTGTTTTCCATGTCTCTGTTGTGTGGTTTATCATATCTTGTTTTATGTCTTGAGAACATGGCTCTGTGACCAATTGAAATATTCTCTTTGGTTTCTGCCAGCTGCAGGGGTTGGGAGGACAAGTCCTTGTTAGGCTGCTAGCCAGCTGCCCAGGAATCAGAAACACAGTGTCTCTGTCCAACGGTTCCAGCTCTCAGAGGAGTTTGTCCTACTTGTCTCAGCTTTCATTGCCTTGATAACAATTAGGATATTTGCCTGCTTAGGCTATCTTGAAAAAGACTTTGGATCTTGAGGGGGATTGTATCTTTTCCAGCCTGTTTGGGATGCTCTTCTGTGCCTCCAGTTAAGCCAGAAAAGGCATACTGATTTTAAGCCATAAAAAGGCTTATTGGTTTTGAGTCACAATTAAAGTAGGTATAACATTGAAGATTTGGACTTTTGAATCTAAAAGCTTTTTTTTTTTTTTTTTTTAAGACAGAGTTCCGCTCTGTTGCCCAAGCTGGAGTGCAGTGGTGCAGTCTTGGCTCACTGCAACCTCTGTTTCGTGGATTCAAGTGATTCTCCTGCCTCAGCCTCCCGAGTAGCTGGTATTACAGGCATCTGCCACCATGCCTGGCTAATTTTTTGTATTTTTAGTAGAGACGGGGTTTCACCATGTTGGCCAGGCTGGTATCGAACTCCTGACCTCATGATCTGCCTGCCTCAGCTTCCCAAAGTGCTGGGATTACAGGCATGAGCCACTGTGCCCAGCCTAAAAGTATTTTTATTAAAGCGTGCTATTGGCCAGGTGTGGTGGCTCACACCTGTAATCTCAACCTTGTGGGAGACTGAGGTGGGAGGATCGCTTGAGCCCAGGAGGTTGAGCTGCAGTGAGCTATGATCTTGCCACTACTGCACTCCAGCCTGGGCAACACAGTGAGACCCCATCTGTAAACCGTCCCCCCCCACAAAAAAGGGTGCTTTCATCCCAAACAACCGTCCTATTGGTAACTAGAGAAATATCAAATTAAAAAGAAGACACAAAGAAATATAGGCCAGGCACGGTGGCTCATGCCTGTAATTCCAGCACTTTGGGAGGCCAAGGTGGGTGGATCATGAGATCAAGAGATCGAAGCCATCCTGGCCAAAATGTTGAAACCCCATCTCTACTAAACATACAAAAATTAGCCGGGCGTGGTGGCGTGCGCTTGTAGTCCCAACTACTCAGGAGGCTGAGGCAGGAGAATCACTTGAACCCAGGAGGCTGAGTTTGCAGTGAGCCGAGATCATGCCATTGCACTCCAGCCTGGGTGACAGAGCCAGACTCTATCTCAAAAAAAAAAATAAAATAAAATAAATATGGTTAGCTTTAGGGACTTCCTTTAATCTTCCTCAATATTAAAGAACAGAAATCAGATGTAGAAAAAAAGTTGAAATCTGCACCCTCTGTAAATTATCCTCCTCCACCCACCTGTGCTCTGCTCAACCCCCAAGTCCCTGTCCCTGATCCCCCAGAAGGTCTTTCGGATATCTGGGCCCCTGACTTACACTTACCCTCCTCAAAACTTGGCCCTATTCTCCTTAGCAAATTTCTTTTAGACCTAAAACTTCTCCAAATATCCTTTCAATGCCCAGCTGCCTACTTTAACTTCTCTTTTCCTATAAAATTCACAGAAAGCACCCCAGCCTGTTTTCCAGGCCCAAGATATACAGGTGACATGTATATACTGATAGCCAGAAAATAGACCTAACACAGGCTCTGGGAATGAGCAGCCAGGCTTGCTTCACTGTACCTTACAATTCCTCCTACTTCCTGGGGCTCTGTAATCAAATCTCATCAGCTCCAGGCATTCCCATGTTTAGGCCGAAACCACAAAAAAGTCTACTGGACTATCGTACTCTTAGGAAAAAGAAACCATAAAAATTACCCTAGATCTCTGATAACAAAAAATATGCTCTGAAACTCCTTGGAGAAAATCTACATTCTTTCTCAGTTTTCTTGCTCTGTCGCCAGTCTTATCATATCTTTAAAACTTAAGGGCCAGGCACAGTGGCTCAAGCCTGTAATCCCAGCACTTTGGGAGGCTGAGGCAGGCGGATCACGAGGTCAGGAGATCGAGACCATCCTGGCTAACACGGTGAAACCCCGTCTCTACTAAAAATACAAAAAAATTAGCCAGGTGTGGCGGCGTGCGCCTGTAGTCCCATCTGCTGGGAAGGCTGAGACAGCAGAATGGCGTGAATCCGGGAGGCGGAGCTTGCAGTGAGCCGAGATCGCGCCACTGCACTCCAACCTGGGTGACAGAGCAAGACTCTGTCTCAAAAAAAACAAAAAACAAAAAACAAAAAACACAAACTTAAGTATCTGAGGAACTGGGCTGGGCACAGTAGCTCACGCCTGTAATCCTAGCACTTTGGGAGGTCAAGGTGCGCAGATCGCTTGAGGTCAGGAGTTTGAAACCAGCTTGGCCAACATGGTGAAACCCTGTCTCTACTAAAAATATATATATATAAAAATTATCCATCTGCTGGGGAGGCTGAGACAGCAGAATGGCGTGAACCCGGGAGGCGGAGCTTGCAGTGAGCCGAGATTGCACCACTGCACTCCAGCCTGGGTGACAGGACAAGACACCATCTCAAAAAAAAAACAAAAACAAAAACAAAAAAAAACTTAAGTATCTGAGGAATTGGCTGGGTGCAGTGGCTCATGCCTGTAATCCTAGCACTTTGGGAGGTCAAGGTGGGCGGATCGCTTGAGGTCAGGAGTTCGAAACCAGCCTGGCCAACATGATGAAACCCTGTCTCTATGAAAAATATATATTAAAAAAGTTAGCCAGGTGTGGTGGCATGCACCTGTAATCCCAGCTACTTGGGAGGCTGAGGCAGGAGAGAATTACTGGAACCACTCGGGAGGCGGAGGTTGCAGTGAGCTGAGATCATGCCATTGCACTCCGGCCTGTACAACAGAGCCAGGCTCCATCTCAAAAAAATAAAATAAAATAAAATAAAAGAATCTGAGGAATTAACTAGAACAACCCCCAGTATGCTAGTCTGAGATTAAAAAAAGTGTTGAATGTTTAACATTTTAGGTGCTTTACTTCAATAATGTTTGATATTTGCCTAATATATATGTCATAAAAATTGCCAGCAAAATAAAACTTAAGATAATAACTAGCTTTGTCTAATGTTTCATGAAGTTTTCACAATTCAGATATAATTGTTAAATAAACTAAACTTATATAAATGCAAGTGGGAAAAAATTTGTAAATAAGTTATTATTATTATTTTTTGAGACTGGGTGTTGCTCCATTGCCCAGGCTAAAGTATAGTAGTGGGACTGTAGCTCACTGCAGCCTTGAACTCCTCTTGCCCCAGTATCCTGAGTAGCTGGGGCAATGCCTGGCAAATTTTTAGAAAAATTTTCTTGTAGAGTGGAGTCTTGCTATGTTGCCCAGGCTGGTCTCAAATTCTGGGCCTCAAGCAACCTCCTGTCCTGGCCTCCCAAAGTGCTGGGATTACAGGTGGGAGCCACTGTGCCCAGCTATAAATAATTTTTTACTGTTTTAATTTTTATTTTTGACTGACTCATTGCTAGCCAGAGCTCGGGTTTCTGTCACCCACAGCCTGGGAGGCCTTAAGTAAGTGATTCAACCTCACTGAGCCTCACTCTTTGCCTCTGAAATGGGGATCACAGGAATTCCTGCCAGGCAGGGGATATGTGAAGACTGAACGAAATGATTCACACAAAGATGTAGCCCAGTGCCTGGGGGACACTAAGCACATGCTGAGCCTTCAGCCACCTGGGAAGGATAAAGGGAAACACGGGTGGCCACCTGGGGCTGATGGAGGAATGAGGGGCCCGCTGGGAGTATCCTGGGCAAACTCACCTCTGGGCATCTGCCCTGATCTTGGGCTGGCGTCACAAGGAAGTTGGTCACCAAGAAGAACACGTTCTCTCCCTAGGAGGCAAGTCTCAAAGTTGGCCTGGCTGGGCTTGCATTGACTGGAAAGGCCAGAAGCCGGCAGCCTGGTTTATGAGGGAAGGGATGTTGGCCCCATGAAATCATTAACCCTGTCCCCACGTAAGGCAGATTGAAGCAGAGATGGGAGGCTGGCAGCAGTTCTGGCCATTTCTGAGACCATGAAGCCTCATGCCCATGTCCATCTCTTGAGACAAGTTTCTTTCTCATTTGTTCAACCAAAATATCTTTTATTTTCTTTCTTCTTTATTTTTTTTTTTGAGACAGAGTCTCACTGTCACCCAGACTGGAGTGCAGTGGCATGAACTCGGTTCACTGCAACCTCTGCCTCCTGGGTTCAAAGGATTCTCCTGCCTCAGCCTCCTGAGTAGCTGGGATTACAGGCGCACAGAGTTTCACTTTACTCGTCCAGGCTGGAGTGCAGTGGTGTCATCAACCCTTACTGCATCCTGTAACTCCTGGGCTCAAGAGATCTTCCTGCCTCAGCCTCCCAAGTAGCTGGGACTATAGGCTGTAACTACCATGCCTGGCGTCAACCAGAATATTACGACAGCCTGCTGCTTCTAGTACTGAAGATCCAGGGGAGAGCTGGGCCCTGCACCTGCCAGGATGGAGAGGAGGTGAGTCTCCCATCCCACACACAGCAGCACTGGCATGGCAGGGCACAGGTGAGAAGACAGAAAGCTCTGCCTGTGGTCAAAGGGTGGCCAAGGATGTTGGAAGGGGAGGCTGACCCTCCAGTGCTGCCCATGAGAACACTGAATTTGGGGAATGCATGCCCAGGAACGGAAGGTGAGGGCTGTGCAGAGGGTGCTGAGAGTGGCAGCCATTGGGATTAGGAGGGATGGGTGGCCACTATCATTGGCGGGGGGCCTCCTGAGGGTAGAAACAGGGGCTGCAGGCTCTCATGATGCCTGGTGTGAAAGTTCAGCTTGGCTGCTGTGTGGTGTGCACCAAGCAGTAGGGAGGAGGCGAGAGGGGCATCTAAGGGCCTTCTAGGAGGCCATAGTCTCATGCAGGCATGGCATGGGCAGTAGTGAAAAATGTTGGAAGGGACAGGAAGGGGTTGAGGCTGAGTCATGGGTCTGGCTGAGGCACTAGTGGATGTCACAGCCATCATGACTAGTGGATGTCACAGAGGCCATGCCAGGAGAGGGAAATAATTGATCTTTGGACATATGAGTGTGCACCTGGAAGACAGCTGTGCTCTGGGCAGGTGTTCACTGGGGCTACATACACCCTGGGAATCAGAGGAGCAGAGGTGGGTGGAAGTTAAGGCTGTGGATAAGCTGGGTGGAGGGAAGAGGAAAATGCAGCTGAGAAGGGTGGAGGAGGAGCACCTGACCGAGGTGCCCCAGGTCAGGGAGCAGGGCTACAGGAAGTTCCACGCCCTGGCCCCACCACACCCCTCCCACACCACTCTCAAGCTCAAGCCATTAGTCTCAAACACTCCCTTCTTTTCTGTTGGCAGCCTTCGGAAATGCAGTTTCTCTGGCCTGGTTTCTCAACCCATCCCTTTTTCTACCAGAAACCTCCTACACATCCCTGAAAGTCCTGTTCAGGTGCCACTCCTCTGTGAAGCCCTTCCTGAGAACCTGCAGCCACCTTTGGCATCACATGCTTCTCTCTCGCACACACTGGCTGCATGGCGGGTGTTCAAGCTGTCAGTGGGGAAAGGACTTGCGCCCCCGTCAGCAACATCAGGGCCCCCACCTGAGGTGGCTTCACGAAGTCGGCCACATCCCACAGCCGGTTTCCAAGCTCCTTGATCTGAGTCACGGAAACCCCTTTGAGTTTGGTTGTGATGGAAATCTGGGGTTCCAGGTCCCGCTCCTGGTAGCCTTTTTTGGCGAGGAGCGCCCACCTGGGAAGGAGAAGATGGGCAGTGTGGTGTCCCCCCAGCGTGTAGTGACGGGGCAGAGCTGGGCCCTACATGCTCAGTTCTCTCCCCACACCCTACAGGCTCCCAGTCCAGCATCCTCTCTGGCCCCACTTCCCACTGTAGACTCCCTGAACGAGACAGAAGCTCCAGCCATGCATCAGAGAGCCAGTGCCCTCAGACAATCACCTTCACTAGCCAGCACCCACCCCCAGCCTCAGTAGACCCAGCTCCGAGCTTATAGACTCCCCTGACCGGAGATATAGCTGGTGGTCTCTCTGGGGGCCTAGTGCTCCAGCTCTCACAGATGTTAAGGACAATGTCTTGTGCCCCCTGGGTGGGGCCGTGGGGAGGGACTGGGAAGCAGGCAGGTGGACACACAGGACAAACACACAGCTTGTTCTTGCTCTCCTGTCTTGTATTGCCTACCTCCCACCCCGTCCCATTATGGCCCCTTCCCCTCCAGCCCCTAAACAGCCCAACCCTCAACTTCAACCCAGCAGGACCAAGCCCCACCCCCGACCTCTTCCCTTGCCCCTCCAGCCTGGCCAAAAGCTCTTCTCTCTTACCCTACCACATAGACGACGATCCCAAACTGCAGCAGCCTCTGCAGGGCGCCCCCCCACCAGTTCCTGGTCATCACATACTTCTCCGTTTTATAATCCAGAAGCCCCTAGTCTGCTGTGGCCCCTGGGGAGCCCATGCTGCCAGCTCCTGCTAGCTGCGGGCACATGAGTCAGCATGGCAGCTGCAGCCGCAGCTGAACAGGAGGCAAAGCAGGGCCCGAGCCAGGCCACGCCAGCCGCTGTTAAAGGGACACTTCCACTAAAGCAGGATCCAGCCTCCAACACCCAGCCTTCAGCCCCTAACCCCAGCTGCCCTGCACCTCCCACCCTCCCTACATTCTCTTTGCTGGGCCCTGGTGGCACACAGAAAACAGCAGCTCTGTCCCTGCCCTCTGGCCTCACTTCCTCCGGTGGGAGTGGACGTGGTGAGAGGATGGGGAAGGACAGCTGTTATCAGTGCTGTGAGAAGACGGCCTGAGGGCAGCAACAGCCCCGGGGGGGCTCTGAGTAAAGCTTCAGGAATAAGTGACTTCTGAGCTGACGCTTGCAGATTCTGAAGTTCAACAAGCAGACAAAGATGGGGATGGAGGTTCCCAGGGGAGCGAACAGCGTATGCAAAGGCCAGCGCATGCAAGAGAACTGAGAGCCACAGAGTGAGAGGGTGACCTGGCTCTGCGAAGTTCCCCAGGCCCTCCTGAAAAGCCATTCCCAAGTGCAGTGAAGAAAACACAAGCTCTGGAGTCAGGCATGTTTCCCATTCCATGAAAGGGGGGCGATGCTGGAACCGCCTAGGGGAGGCAGGGGGATAAACGCAGCAAGGCGCCCAATCCGGTGCATGGTCTGTGGCGCATGCAGTGTATCAGCCCGGGCGAGGAGCCTCAGCACAAGCCGGCCACAGTTTCTACGGCAACCGACAACACCGGGTTGCCGGGGCGACCGCCGCGGGAGAGCGCGTCGCTATTGGCTGTGGGGGGTGCCTGTTGCTGGACGGCACATTCGGTTGGTCAGCGCAGCCGCAGACTCCGCCCACAATCCCGGGCCGCGCTCTGGGCGCGGGGTCAAGCTGTCTCCGACTCAGTGTCTGAGACTGCGAGAGGGTCGTAACCATGAGGGGTTCCTGTGAGAGGTCTGGGGAGGATGAAGAGCAGAAAGAAGAGGCTATGGTGGCCTGTGGGCGTCTTTCAGGGGTCCCCGAGGCCGAGCAGGGTCCCGAGGCCAATTGGGACTCCGACCTGGAGACGGAAGGTGCTCGGGGGAGGGGGCAGGCCCGACTCCTCCCCTTTGGGGGTCTTCTCCCGCAGGGGTTGGGGGAGGCGGGCTGGGGCTAAGGCCAGCAGGGAACGTACCCGCCTGCGGGGCGCCTCCAGCCCCCTGCCTTCCCTTCATTGCTCCTGGAAGCATCAGGATAAAATGCAAAATCCCGCCAGACAGTGCACCAAGGGCTGTCCCACCCTGAAATGAAATCAGAGCCGGGTTTTCCCAATCCACAGGAAAAACTAAGCTAATGGATGTATGGAATTTAGAACTATCTCGGTTTTTTCTCCCGTAAAATGTTTACAAAACATTTGTGGCCTGCAATCCAGGTTAAAAGACACAGCATGCAATTTGGCATCAGACAGGCAGAGGCCTGACTCTGGCAGGATTAGCTACCACCACTAGCTGTGGGATGCTCAGCGCAGGCCAGCCATGACTTCTACTACAAACAACATTGGGTTGCTTGGGCTCATATTTATTAATAAATAAATATATAAATAAATTATTTATTTATTAGAGCCAGGGTCTTGCTCTGTCACCCGGGCGTCAGTGCAGTGGCAGGATAATAGCTCACTGCAGCCTTGAACTCTGCACTCTAGTGAGCCTTCTGCCTCAGCCTCCTGAGTAGCTGGGACTACAGGAGACCACCACGTCTGGCTAATATAAAAATTTTTTGGCTGGGTGGGGTGGCTCACGCCTGTAATCACAGCACTTTGGGAGGCCCAGGCAGGCAGATCACCTGAGGTCAGGAGTTCGAGACCAGCCTGGCCAACATGGTGAAACCCCGTCTCTACTGAAAATACAAAAAACTAGCCCAGTGTGGTGGTGGGCGCCTGTAATCCCAGCTACTCGGGAGGCTGAGGCAGGAGAATTGCTTGAACCTGGGAGGCAGAGGTTTCAGTGAGCCGAGATCGTGCCACTGCATTCCAGCCTGGGTGACAGAGCAAGAGTCTGTCTCGAAAAAAAAAAAAAGAAAATTTGTCTAGCTATGTTGCCCAGGTTGTCCAGCTTTCTTTTGATAGCCGTATGACTTTAAGGAAAAGATTTGCGTTGCCTGAGGCTTGATGTCCTCATCTGTCATATGGGAGCAGTGGTCCCAAGAAGCACAGGAAGCAGTGCTTCTAGAGGCAAAACATAGGCCAGGTAGTGACACAGGGCAGGGGAGGACACAGGTGGCTGTAGCTGTGCAGGGTCCACATTCGTCCCCCTGTCTCCTGCCAGGCACCGATGGGCTTGGAGAACTGGTCAGGGACACACTGTACCTGAGGTCTTGCCGGGCCCATAGTGTTGTGCCCATCTCCTGCTTTCTGCGCCAAGGGAGCGCCCAAGAGCTGAACCTCCGGCACCGTGGCCTGGGGCCCCAGGTACCACTGGAGGGACACTGTATCCAGGCTTACGGGGAGAGGCCTCGGGAGACAGCAGCCATGGGAGTGCCCCTGTGTCTGTCCCCTACACTCCCCAGCTTCTGCCTGTGTCAGTCATGCCCTACCCTCCACATCTGGGAGACAGATGGGATTGAGGCTGTGACAGGTGGCGTTAAGGGTTGTGGATCCTGCAGGCTCCTAACCCGCTGGGGGGTCAGGGAGAGCTGGGGGTGGGGGGAGACCTTCACAGAGCCTAAAAGGAGAAGCAGGTGTCACTTAAAACAGGTGGGAAGGGGAGGGCTTTCCAGCTGGAGGATGTGGAGTGGGCTGAGCCCTGGAGCATGAGCCAGGATAGTGGCCAGTGTGTTTGCTCTGTCTGTCCCAGGGCGCCCGGGCTCTGGCTTCCTCATTGAGCTCCAATCCATATGTCAAGCGGCTGGACCTTCGAGACAATGGGCTCTGTGGGGCAGGTGCAGAGGCCCTGGCAGGTGCCCTGAGCAAAAGCAGCAGCATCCATGGTAGGTGCTGGGTCTGGGGCAGGTGGGCAGGCGTGTCCTCCTTTTCCTCAGGGATGTGCCTCCATCGTTGAAAGCTGGGCCGTGTCACCTGGGGCCTGCTGGTGTTGCTGGTGGATAGAAGAGGGGCCTCATCACAGGAGGGGGCATGTGGGGTGGAGTTAGACCCTCTGCTGTGCAGCCGATGCCTGATAGAAGTCCTTTCCTCACCCACCCCACACCATCACTCCCCTCCCTTGCTGGCCAGCATCCCCCTCTTCACCTAGCACATGGGAGACTCCCAGTACCTGAATGCAGGATGGGAGAGTCCTTCCACACAGAGAGGTGGGAGTTGGGCATTGTAAGAAGCAGGTAGGCAATGTGGGAGTTTGATGGGGCTGGATCCAAATGCCAGTTCTGCCACTGAAGAGCTGGATACCTGGGCAAGCAGCTTAACCTCTCTGAGCTTCAGTTTCTGATCTGTGAAATGGCCCCCAAAATACCTTATGGGCTTGGGGCTGTGGTGAGCATGAAGTGAAATGCACTCCTGAAGTGGTCAGAAGAGTGTGTGACCCATGTACGTGCTCCATGCATGGCCACTTGGGCTATTATTGCCAATCCTGGCAACGGGGCTGTGAGGGCTTCTGAAGTGGGTGGTGATATCACTGCCAGATGCAGCCATCGACGGTATAGCTGCCCCCCACCACAGCAGTCTCTACAGTACCAGGAGGTAGGCGGTTTTAACCACTTGACACAGAAGCTGGTGGGCACACAGGGAGGGGGAGGTCAGGGGCAGAGGGGACCCAGCCATTGGGAGCCAGAGCCACCATGCAACCCCAGGACAGTTAACCTGTAAGTCCCCTTCCTCAGCCTCAGACCTGGAGGTTTGGGGGATGGCAGAAGTAGGGGAGTGCCTGGCTTTGCATCCCACTGGCCGAGGAGTGGTTCTGTCCCCCAGATGTGGACCTGTCGGAGAACCAGCTGGGAGTGGCAGGAGCCCAGGCCCTCTGTGCCGCCCTCACAGTGAACCAGGCCATGCGGAAGATGCAGCTGTCAGGGAATGGCCTGGAGGAGCAGGCGGCCCAGCACCTTGCCGAACTCCTGCTGGCCCACACAGACCTGAAGTCCCTGGACCTGAGCTACAACCAGCTGAATGACCAAGCAGGTAACGCCTGCGCAGGGCACCATGGCCATGAAAGCTCAGCTTCCTGGGGCAGGGATGGGTGGGGGTTGGCAGGACCGCGCTGCACATCGCCAGGGAGCATGTGCTCTGGTTCCTGCTCCCCACACCCCACCTTGCCCCACTCCTCTTCCACTCCAGCCACACGGAACTCTTCATTCCTTCCACAAATATCTCATTGCGCGCTGCTGTATGTGCTGGGCACTGACTTAGCCACCAGGGATCCACCTTGAACAAAACCAAGTTCCTGACCTCAAGGGACAATGTTAACAACATCATTCTGAGTAATTATTGGTGCTACAAAAGAAACAAATAGTTTATGATTCTAGAGAAGAACAGGGACCCCCTACTTTAAAGAGGTGGCTGGGGAGGCCTCTGTGAGGTGACATTTAAGCTGAAATGTGCAGGGTGGGAAGGAGTCAGCCATGGCAAGATCAGAGGGAGAGCATTGCAAGCAGAGGAATAGTGAGCATGCGGGCCTGTTTCCCAGACTGGCGGACAGCAGTGTGCCTAGGCTAGGGAGCCAGGGAAGCGTGGCCAGGCTGTGGGGTGGAGAGGGCAGAGGGGGCTGCAGGGCTGTAGGCCGTGGCAAAAACGGTGAAGATTTTGTTTCAAGTGAGGTAGCGGATGTGATTGGGATTCCTTGATCTCATCACTGTCATGCCCCTGAGCATATTCAGGAGCTGTCTGCTTTGCCAGGAATTTGCACTTCTACCTGCCTCTCCTCAAATGGTCCAATAATGGTAAGGATCACCTGAGACCCTGGGTTAGGCATGCAGATGCTGACCCTGGACCTGCTGAACCAAACTCTTAGGGGAATGCTGGTGAATCTGTATTTTAATGGTTGCCCCAGGAGAATCGTCTTTTTATTTTTTATTTTTTGAGACAGAGTCTCGCTCTGTCACCCAGGCTGGAGTGCAATGGTGTGATCTCTGCTCACTGCAGCCTCTGCCTCCCAGGTCCAAGCAATTCTCCTGCCTCAGCCTCCTGAGTAGCTGGGATTACAGGTGCGTGCGACAAGGCCTGGCTAATTTTTCTATTTTTAGTAGAGATGGGGTTTCACCGTGTTGGTCAGGCTGGTCTCGAACTCCTGACCTTGTGATCCGCCCGCCTTGGCCTCCCAAAGTGCTGCGATTACAGGTGTGGGCCACCGCGCCTGGCCGAGAATTGTTTTTCAGAAGCACTCCTCTGTCTCCAGCTGCTTAGAGCAAGTGGGGTGACATCAGCCTTGGCCTGTGAGAATTGCCTCTGGCATATAACTGCCAGAGAACCAGTTTGCCTTCTAAGAAAATTATTGCAAGAAGTCAGTGAAATTAAGTGAGGTGGCCGGGCCCGGTGGCTCACGCCTGTAATCCCAGCACTTTGGGAGGCCAAGGCAGGTGGATCATGAGGTCAGGAGATCGAGACCATCCTGGATAACACGGTGAAATGCCGTCTCTACTAAAAATACAAAAAATTAGCCGAGTGTGGTGGCAGGCGCCTGTAGTCCCAGCTACATGGGAGGCTGAGGCAGGAGAATGGCATGAACCCAGGAGGCGGAGCTTGCAGTGAGCCGAGATAGCACCACTGCAGTCCGGCCTGGGCGAAAGAGCGAGACTCTGTCTCAAAAAAAAAAAAAAAAAAAAAAAAGTGAGACTTGGCAAGGCACTGTGCCTATCTGTAATGCCAACACCACTTCGGGAGGCTGAGGGGCGAAGATTGCTTGAGGCCAGGAGTTAGAAACCAAACTGGGCAACATAGGGAGCCCCAGTGGTGACAACAAATGATTAAAAAAATTAGCCCCGGGCAACAGAGCGAGACTCCGTCTCAAAAAAAAAAAAAAAAAAAAAAAAAATTAGCCCCAAGTGGTGACATGTGCCTGTAGTCTCAGTCAGGAGGCTGAGGTGGGAGAATTGCTTGAGCCCAAGATGTCAAGGCTGCAGTGAGCCGTGATTGTCCCACTGCACTCCGGGTTGGGCAACAGGGTGAGACCGTGTCTTAACAACAACAAAAAATACTTTCTTTCCTCTTTAGTGCCTGTTTCCCTGTTATGATGTTAAAAGCAGGTACTGTGATGTGCAGCTGGTTTCTGGCTCTTCTGCAGGCGCTTTCTTGTGTGTATAAATGTTCGCTTTGGTGTTCCTGTGAGGGTTGTAGGATGACCGCTGGAGGGTTCTGTTCGGCCATGTTGCTCCGCCTTCATCTCTAGGTCTCGCTATTTTGCCCAGGCTGGTCTTGAACTCCTGGCGCCAAGAAATCCTTCTGCCTCAGCCTCCTGAGTCGCTGGGACCACAGGCTCACACCACTGCCTGGCTTTCACCTTCCTTTCTCTACCACCCCCATCTCCTCTCTACCACAGCTGTGCCAGCCCTGTTGCCTCTTGCCTAGCCTATGGCACCAGCCTTCCATCTGGTCCCCCAGCCTCTTGCCTCTGCCCCCACCCAGCCCAGTCTATCCTGGACACCTGCCACTTGCTGAAATGCTAATCCAGCCTCATCACTTCCTAAGGCCCTCCCTGACTCCTTGCCACTTGTATGTGCTGCCTAAGCCCCTTGGCTTGGCACACAAGGCCCCTCAGCATCTCTCAAGTGCCCATTACTCCTTCCTCACCTCACTGGCTTCCCCCTCCCCAGGCCCAGCTCCAAGCCTGCGTGCATTTCCACAGGTGCCTCTGCCATTTGCAGTTTCCTGTGTCTCCTCCCCACTGTGCATAAGCCTGTGTGCATTTCCACAGGTGCCCCTGCCATTTGCAGTTTCCTGTGTCTCCTCCCCACTGTGCATGCACACACCCCTGGGGAATTCCTCAGTCCTGAGTTATCTCCTCTGTCCTCTTTCCTGACTTCCCCCAAGACAGGCTGGCCACCACTCTGTTCTCACGCCTCCCCCTTTTAGTCTAAATGAATAGCTCACATCCCATACATTTGCATTTGTATCTCCCCCATGAAATGTGAGTTCCTTAAGGGCACCGCAGGCCCACATTAGTTTCATGTCTGTGACCCTCCTGCCCAGCAGAGGCTCGGCACGCAGTGGGCATCAGTGTGATCTTTTGAAGGAGTGAAGAGAGTGAGTCAGAAGGTCTCTCTTGGTGTTTCTGAAGGGGAGACACTTGGACCAGCCCTGGCAGAAAACACAGGACTCACCGAGCTTAACGTGAGCTGGAATCACCTCCGGGGCCCAGGAGCTGTGGCATTTGCCAGGGGACTGGAGGTATGAAGCCCCCACCTAGTCGGCCCTACAGCCTGTCTGCTGGGGCCTGTCTCCCAGGGGCCACCTCCCTGTCTCTGCAGCTCCTCGGAAATGAACCTTGGATCTTTTAAGCACAGCTTAAAGACTGTTTCTTTAGGTGATTTTAATTTTCCTGGCTTCACTTAGTGACCACAATACACTGTGCTCACCGTCACATACTTTCCTGAAGGGTCACTGTTGAATATCTTGCACCTTCCCCAGACACCATAGACACCCAGCTGGGAAGGGACATCTGTGCAGTCTGGTGACACATGCTCACTGTTGGGCATACGCAGGTGGTTTCCTGAGATGACACCTTGCACCCTTGGATGCCAGCACAGCCTCTCAAACACCCACCTGTTCCCTTCCATGTTGTGGTTCATAGGGCTCGGGAATGGGTGGCTCAAGCTGGTGCTAGGGTGGTACAAGGTGTCTGCAATGTCCCCAGTGCCAGATACCCTGTGGGGCCCTCCTCAGGCCATGGCAGCTGCTGTCTTGCCCTGATGCAGGGGCTGACCTTGGGGTCCTGCCCCACAAGATGGCATGTCACACTCTGTCTTGCCAGAGCACCTACCCTTCTCCCCATCACAGTACGCTGGACAGGTTTCATCCAACAGCTGTTCACTGGATCTTGGGATCCCTGCCCTCTAGAGCCATTAAGTGGGTGTGGAGTCCGATCAATGTTTCTGGGGCCTGCTGCTGCTCTGCACACGCCCCTCCCAGTCTCTCTGAGGGCCATTCACGTCTACACCGGTCCTTTCCTGTTGTGCTCTGGGCCACTGGGCTCTGTTGACCACCATCATCCAAGCTGCAGCCACCAGGGGGTCTGCATGGCACTTTCCTGACCCTTCCTTGGAGCCTCTCCCCTTCTGCCCTTTATCTCTTATCTTTGCACCTCAGGGCTCCTGGTCTCTGAGGCTGTGGCACCCTGGCTTGCTCCACTGTCAGATGGGGTCCCATGACTTCACTCTTTGGTATTCTAGGCAAACATCTTCCTTAAAGTTCTAGACATCTCATACAATGGCTTTGGGGATCCTGGAGCCTCTGCGGTGGGTGAGGCTCTGAAGGCCAACAACGTGTTGGAGGAACTCAACATGAGGTGAGGATCCCCGGGGGGACACCCCAGGAATCATGGGCTCCATGATCTTGCTGCTGAAGCACACAGTCTACCCGTGATGGGGATTCCCGTGATGGGGCTTGAGCCACAATCCCAGAGCAGCTCTGTCATCCTTATCACTGGAGTTTATAATTTTATTTATTTATTTAAAACAGCATCTTGCTTTATTGCCCAGGGTAGAGTGCAGTGCTGTGATCATGGCCCACTGCAGCCTTGGCCTTCCCAGCTCAAGCAATCCCACCACCTCAGCCTCCCAAGTAGCTGGGACTACAGGAGTATGTCACCAAGCCTGGCTAATTTTTTCTTTTTTGTAGAGACAGTCTCCTGCTGGCCTTGAACTCTTGGGCTGAAGCAGTCTTCCTGCCTCAGCCTCCCAAAGTGCTGGAATTACAGTCATGGGGAGTTCATCGTTGTTACATAGAGACCTGTGATTCCTATAGCACAGGCGGATGGCTGCGAATTGCACACGGTGTATAAAGCATCTCCGGCAGAGCCTGGTGCATGGTGGGTGCTCCATGCAAGCTTTCCTCCCTTGCAGAAGACGAGCCAGGGCCAGGTTCTGTGGCTCACAACTGTAATCTTAGCACCTAGGAAGGCTGAGGCGGGAGGATCCATTAAGGACAGGATTTTGAGACCAGGCTAGGCAATATAGCATGACTCCATCTCTATGCGAAATCTAAAAATTGTCCATTTCCGGTGGCATACACCTATCATTCCTGGTACTTGGGAGGCTGAGGCAGGAAGATTGCTTGAGCCGAGGATTCAGGATTTCAGGCTGCATTGCAACAGAGCGAGTAAAACGAGCCTAGTCTGGGTGGGGCAAGGCAGGACCCTGACAAGTGGGCCCCAGTGCCTGTTTTGCTCAGCATGTGGCTACTGGAGCATGCCCTGTGTGAGGGGCTCCTCCAGGCCAGGCAGCGTCCCAGCCTAGCCAGGAGGCACAAGCCCAGAGGGAAGAAAAGAGGCGGATGCCAGGGAGGTCACGGGCCAGAGGCCAGGGAGGTCATGGGCTGCTGTGGCTGAGACCCTCCCCAGGGGCAGCTCCCTGTGGGCAAGAAGGCCCCACTCAATCCTGCCCAGCTTTCCTCCCCATGGGAGGAGCTAAGACTGGAGGCAGCCGCGGAGGCTGAATACGGAGGTGCAGCCAGAGCTGGGGTCTGAGAAGTCAGAGAGAAGCGGGACTGACTCCGGAGACAAAGTGGTCCAGGGCGGTGCTGAGGACTGGAGTTTGGGAACGGCAGGAGGAGGAGAGGCCTTGAACATAAGCTAGGTGATTTTCTGGAACAGGCGTTGTAATGGTGATAGGCATGAGGTGTCAGCTGGGGCAGAATATGTGGGAGCACTTGCAGAGCTCAGAGGAGCGGCAGCTGGTGTCCACCAGGACAGGGACGCTTTAGGTGTGTTTGCCGTGTGATTCCTCTGAACGGTGTCATCTCCACCTTTTACCTGTTGATCTGTCCAGGGTTCCTGGGGTGTGAGTGGAGGGAACAAGAGACCCAACCTGGTGGCTGCAATGGCAGCTCCAGTGGGCACCCTGGGGCAGTGGGCTCTGCACCGCTGCTTGGAAGGTTGCACAATGCATGTGCCTGTTGTTTTTGTTGCAGTAACAACCGCATCTCTGCGATGGGAGCCCTGAGCCTGGGCCTGGGCCTCCGGGTCAACCAGACGCTGAGGATTCTTGTAGTGAGTGCTAGCCTGATGACTGAGACACCAGCACAGACCTGCCCTGTAACAGTCCACACAGATCCCTCCCCCACAGCCCCCACCCAGGGGCAGCAGGCAGGTGCACACAGGCTGGCTCACTCCCTTGCCACTCACCCTGAATCTGGGGCCTGGCCCTCCTCTTCTCCCCTTCATCCCTCCCAGCCTCTCTCCCACATCTTCTTGCTGCCCTTCCTCCTCTGTGGGCTGGGGTGCTGCTCTGCTGAAGGTGGCTGGGCACCCCTTGTGTCTCCCTCATCTTCTCCCCTGCCTTTCCTCTGGCCTTGCTGAGACCCAGGCCCCACCCAGGTGTTCTGTTGGCCACTGCTCAGGCCCACCTGAGGCCTGGTGTTCCCAGCTGGGGTTCCTTCCCCTGGGTTTGCAGGTGGGGAGGGAGTGCTGAGCAGGACAGGGAGCAGAAGACAGACACAGGAGGGAGGCAAGCCGGGAGCAGGTCCCCAGGGGACCACTGTGCCCACAGCAGGTACGTGCTGGGGGACAGTATTGCCAGCTGGGTATGGACATCCAGCTCTGTCGGCCCTCAGCTCCCCACCCTAGCCTTACTGGGCTTCTCCCATAGCTCTCCTCCCCTGCTTCCTGCCTCACAGGAACCTGGACCTCTCTGAAGCATAGACCTGCGTTTCGAGTCACCTCGTAGACAGTCCTCTAAATGTCCCAAAGACACGTGGGAATGTGAGAGTCCAACCTGAACGCATACCCCCCTCTAAGGGCCACCTCCTGGTGGGGGGCTCCTTCTTCCTTCTTCCCAAGTCACCAGCTGGGGCCCAGAGCCTGCCTGCCCCTCCCTTTTCCACACCCTCCCTCCCACCTTCTGCAGGGGCTCACCCTGCTGACTCCTCCCTCTTCTGACTTCCTCTCTTAGCTTCTGTGAACTTGCGGGATTCCTGGCTGCGGTTCTTTCTTCCCAGCTGCTACCCAGGACCAGAAACATGCCCTGCTTTAAAACTGTTGGAGTTTTATCCCCTCTGGATAAACCCAAGCTTTGAGTGCATCATGTCATGCGGAGCTAGGTGTGGTGGCTCACGCCAATAATCCCAGCACTTCGGGAGGCTGAGGCAGGCAGATCGCTTGAGGTCAGGAGTTTGAGCCCAGACTGACCAACATGGTGAAACCCTGTCTCTACTGAAAACAAAAAGATGAGCCAGATGTGGTGATGCACACCTATAATCCCAGCTACTCTGGAGGCTGAGGCAGGAGGATCCTTTGAACCCAGGAGGTGAAGGTTGCAGTGAGCTGAGATCTCACCACTGCACTCCAGTCTGGATGACAGAGCAAGACTCTGTCTCAAAAAAAAAAAAAAAGTAACATAGCATGTCATGGGGGATCTGGGCTCTGCCAGCCCCTCTCTTCCAAGTTCAGTGCTCTCACCCCAAGCTTGGAGCACACACACACACACACACACACACACACACACACACACACACACGGTACTATTTTTCACCCCTGCCTTTGTTCCTCTGCTGTTCTTGCTGAAGTGTCCAGCTCCGGCCACCTCACCTGGGAAGCTCCGCTGAGCCCTGCCCAGATACACCTCCCCTCCCAGCCTTTCCCTCCCAGGGGAGCTGGTGCACACTCACTCACTGCGCTGATCACACCACATTTCATGATGCTTCCTTTCCCTCCCCTCTCCCCAGCAGGCAAGTTCTTAAAGGCAAGGGTGTGTCTTGTGTGTCTATATCAATCGGAGGCCTCTCCCTTCCTTTCTTCCCTGACCCAGCAGCCTCACCAGAGCATTCTGTCTGACTATCTGATGGAGACACCTTCTGAGCCGAAACAGTGTGGCCATAGTGGCTGTGTCCTCAGAGATGAGGAGCCCCTCCTTCCCTTTCACATTGCTCTCTGGCCTTCCCGGACCTGGCTTCTCGCAGCTTTGTGTGCGTGTTTCTCAGGTGTCCAGGAATCCCATGCGAAGTGAAGGCTGCTTTGGTCTCCTCAAGTCTGTCCAGGACAATCCAGCCTCTGCCCTGGAACTGCTGGATTTCTCAGTAAGAGCATTTTATAAACCTCGTTTCTGATCCTCCCAGCAGCCCTGTGAGGTATCATAATTTTAGAAGAAGAAAGTGAGGGTTACAGAAATCAAGAGCCCTGCCCAGTTACACAGCGTGGCAGAAGCAGAGTTGCAACGGGACTTGAATGCAGGCATGGGGCCACTCAGCTCTGCCCGCTCCAGACTGCTGGTTCCACGGGATCTCACCTGGGGCACCTGCCTGGGTTCTTCATTGGCTGAGAGAGGATAAGTGGAGGTCTGGGCATGATGCTCCCTATCCACTGAGGTTTCGATCTGCAGGCGCAGCACCTGCAAGGCTGCCCTCTGCCCCTCCCCTGACTGTCTGCAGGTGGACTGTGGTGCTGGAAGCTTCACTTGAGTGGCTGTGAGAGAGATTAGGATCCCTTTTCATTCAATTTTGCCACTTTTTTTTTGAGTCAGGGTCTCACTCTGTCACCCAGTTGCAGTGCAGTGGTGTGATCGTAGCTCACTGCAGTCTCAAATTCCTTGGCTCAAGTGGTTCTCCTGTCTAAGCTCCCCAAGCAGCTGGAAGTACAGGTACAGGTCACCATACCTGGCTAAAGTTTTTAGAGATGGGGGCTTGCTATGTTGCCCAGGCTGGTTGCAAACTTCTGACCTCAAGTGATCCTGTGCCATGGTCTCTCATGTCTTGGGTCAATTTTGATTTTTTTTTTTTTTTTGAGACAGAGTCTCACTCTGTCGCCCAGGCTGGAGTGCAGTGGTGCTATATTGGCTCTCTGCAACTTCCGGCTCCCAGATTCAGGCAATTCTTCTACCTCAGCCTCCTGAGTAGCCAGGATTACAGATGTGTGCCACCACGCCCGGCTGATTTTTTTTTTTTTTTTGGTATTTTTTTTAGTAGAGATGGGGTTTCACCAGGTTGGCCAGGCTGGTCTCGAACTCCTGACCTCAGGTGATCCACCCACCTCGGCCTTCCAAGTGCTGGGATTACAGGCATGATCCATTGCGCCTGGCGAATTTTGATTTTTTTAATGTAGAAAAAGTGCCAGGTGAGATGGCTCACACCTATAATCTTAGCATGTTGGGAGGCTGAGGTGGGAGGATCCCTTGAAGCCTAGAGTTCAAGACCATCCTGGGCAACACAGAAAGGTCCCCATCTCTACAAAAAGCTTTTTAAAAAATTAGCCAGGCATGTGGCACATACCCGTAGTTTCGGGTACTCAGAAGACTGAAGCAGGAGGATCACCTGATCCCAGGAGTTTGTGGCTTCAGTGAGCTATGATTGTGCCACTGCACTCCAACCTGGGGAACAGGGCCAGATTCTGTCTCAAAAAAAAAGGGAAGGAAACAAAAAAAATTGAGTTACAAATCAGTGCTGATTCTAACCCTGATTTTTTTCAACCCAGACTTGAGTCAAAGCCTTTCCAGAAATGTGTCTGTGTAGTTTCAATTCTTCAGGTTTGGGACAACCGATGTCAAACGTCCTTACCATTTCCTTCTAATGGCCTGTTCTTGCCTTAACCATGTGCCTGCTGCTCTGAGAATTCCTGTCAGCACTGGATCTGTCATTCTAAAAGAAATAGAATGTCATATGGCATTATCCTGCCTGAATATACACTTACTTGTCACAATGTATGGTCATTATCAGAAGCCCCTAGTCTTGTGGGAATGCCATGGGCTTTGGAATCAGTTCAGGGTTGGGACCAAATCCTGTGTCTATCAATGTGAGATCCTGGACAAGATTCTGAGTCAAAGAATCATAAACGATCAATCAATAACAAGCCTGGGATGGGCATGATGGTTCACGCCTATAACCCCAGGACCTCGGGAGGCCAAGGCAGGTGGATCACCTGAGGTCAGGAGTTCGAGACCACCCTGGCCAACATGGCAAAACCTGTCTTTACTAATAATACAAAAATTTGGCCGGAGTTGGTAGCTCATGCCTGTAATCCCAGAACTTTGGGAGGCCGAGGCAGGCAGATCACCTGAGGTCAGGAGTTCGAGATCAGTCTGGCCAACATGGTGAAACCCTGTCTCTACTAAAAATACAAAAATTAGCCGGGCATAGTGGTATGCACTTGTAATCCCAGCTACTCAGGAGGCTGAGGCAGGAGAATCACCTCCAGGAGAACCCAGAGGCAGAGGTTGCAGTGAGCCGAGATCGTGCCATTGCACTCCAGCCTGAGCAACAAGAGTGAAACTCTGTGTTGTAAAAGATAGAAGAAAAATTAGCTGGATGTGGTGGTGCTCACCTGTAACCTCAGCTACTCGGGAGGCTGAGGCAGGAGAATCGCTTGAACCAGAAAGCGGAGGTTTCAGTGAGCCGAGACCATGCCAATGCATTCCAGCCTGGGTGACAGAGCGAGACTCTACCTCAAAAAAACCCAAAAAACAAAAAAACAAAGAAAAACAATTAGCCTGAATTGAATATTCTATCTTCTATTCCTTAACTGTTGTTATCTGTTATCACTAGTATAATCTGACTAGCCCAGATTTTATTCTGAGCTTTGAGGGAAATAGTTTTGAAGACTTATAGTTCAAGGAAAATCTTTCCCTAGGCTCAGACTTGTGTTTTTGTGAAATGGGGCTAACGTCTACCCCGCAAGGCCATCATGAACATAAGCTGAGATGACAGACCTAAGGGAAAGGCCTTGCACAGAGAAGGACTCCATCAGTGCCAGTTCTGTTCTTCACAACCCCTTGGTTTTTTGTTTTTAATTGAGGAACAACATCTATGCTGAAAAATGCACAAAGATTAAGCATAGAGCTTGGAGAATTTTCACAAACAGCATAGGTGTCTATGTAACCAGCCCCCAGATCTGGAAATACAGCATAGCCGGGCATGGTGGTGGGCACCTGTAGTCCCTGCTATTCTGGAGGCTTAAGCAAGAGGATAGATAGCTTGAGTCCAGGAGCTCAGGGATGAAGTGAGCTATGATTGAGCCACTGCACTCCAGCCTGGTGACACAGTACGATCCCATTTCTAAATAAATAAATACAGCAGGCCTCTAAACATCCCCCATTGTCCCCTTCTCTCCTGGATCTTACTAGTTTGCGGGTATGAGACTGTCATCCACAGGGGAGAAGCTGCCCGAAGGAGCTTCTCTGAGACCTTGCGTGTGTGAGTGAAAAATGGTGAAGTTCTCAGATAGTAACAAAGTTCATCCTTGTAATGGGTGTCTCCTTAGGATATCCAGGTGAACGCAGAGTTTGATGGCCTTGCTAGCTCAGTGAGGGGAATTCTTCCAGAACTCTGCATAAAGACTGGCGCTTGCAGAGTGGAGTATAAAAAGGAGTTGCTGCCAGTCTTCAGATCAGCCCTGCCAGCGTCTGTCCCTAAGTGACCTTGGAGTGTGGCTTCCTCATCTCCAATCAGCTGCTTTGACCTCCAGGGTGAGGAGCTCTTTGACTCACGAGGCCTTGTTACCACTTGTGTCTGCACTGAGTCCTCACGTCAGCCGTGTGCTAAGTCCACACGGTGCTCACACACCTGTACCCTCCTCTGTGCCCCACGGACCCTGCACTCATCTGGGCCTTCATGTGCTCTCACTCATTCCTGTCACACAAACCCCTACTAAGTACTGCACATTGAACTGGGCATGGTATCCAAGATGCCCAAGCAAGTCCCTGCCCTCCCCATGTTCATGTTCTGGTGACCTCAGGAAACTATTAAAATGTAAGGAGGGGTGCACACTCTACTTTTGAGAATGCAAACGGGCACAGCCTTTTTGGAAGGCAGTTTATCATCATGCACTGAGAGCCTCAAAACTGCCTGTGCCCTTTGATACAATCATTTGACTAATGTGCTCTAGAGAAATAACCAGAGATGTATAAAAGATTGATGCCTAAAGATGCTCATGGGGCCGGACGCGGTGGCTCACACTTGTAATCCCAGCCCTTTTGGAGGCCTAGGTGGGTGGATCCCTTGAGGTCAGGAGTTTGAGACCAGCTTGACAAACATGGTGAAACCCCAGCTGTACTAAAAATACAAAATTAGCCAGGCATGATGGCGCACACCTGTAATCCCCGCTACTCAGGAGGCTGAGGCAGGAGAATTGCTTGAATCCTGGAGGTGGAGGCTGCAGTTCTCACCATTGCACTCTAGCCTGGGCAACAAGAGCAAAACTCTGTCTCAAAAAAAAAAAAGATGCCCATGGAAATGCTGTTTATCATAATGAAAATTGGAAGTGTCCCCAATAACGGGATTGGCCAATTAAAATTTGGATATGTTAAATGTTAAAAGCCACATGCTCAAAGAACACTTAACCATTCATGAAAATACACATGATTAATGTTCAGTGAGAAAATTGGGAAGAAAAAAATCACATGGCAGCTGGGTGCAGTGGCACGTGCCTGTAGCCCCAGCCATTCAGAGGCTGAGGTAGGAGGATTGCTTGAGCTCAGGAGTTGGAGACCAGCTGGGGCAATACAATAAGACCCTGTCTTTAAAAATCAATCAGTCAATCACATGGCTTGTCTGACAGTTCCTCAAAAGCTTAATCATAGAATTACCGTATAACCCATTATTTCCATTCCTAGGTATATACTTGAAAGAAATGAAGACATATGTCCCCACAAGAACTCGTGCATGAATATCCATAGCAACATTATTTATAATATTCTAAGAGTGAAAATGCCCACCAGTGGATAAATGCAATGTGGTATATCCATACAGTGGAATATTATTTGGCAATAAAAAGGAATTTGAGGTGATACCAATGTTCTAAAATGTATTGTGGTGATGGCTACGTAACTGTGCATATTCTAAAGGCAATTGAATTACAGATGCTTTACATGAATGAACCGTATGGTATGTGAACGGCATCTCAATAAAACTGTTTCGAAAAGAAGGAAAAGGACGGACACATGCTGAAAACGGGTGAAACTAGAAAACATGGCGCTAAGTGAAAGAAGCCAGCCACAAGATCACGTGTCGCATGACCGCATTTATGTGAAACATCCGGAGTATGCAAATCTATACAGACAGAAAGTAGATTATACATTGCCTAGGTGCAGAGAAATGGAAGTATTGGAGGTTGACGGCTAAAGGATGTGGATTTCTTTGGGGGGTGATAAAAGTGTTCTAAAATTGATTGTGGTGATGTGCGACTCTATGAATACGCTAAAAACCGCTCGATTGTACATTTTAAATGGGTGATTTATGCGGTATGTGAAATACATCTCAAGAAAGCTGCTGCAAAAAATATCATACGGGTTGAGCCTAGTGGTATTAAAAAAGTATAAATATGGCCAGGCGCGGTGGCTCACGCCCATAATCCCAGCACTTTGGGAGGCCGAGGCGGGCGGATCACGAGGTCAGGAGATCGAGACCATCCTGGCTAACATGGTGAAACCCCGTCTCTACCAAAAATACAAAAATTAGCCGGGTGTGGTGGTGGGCGGCTATAATCCCAGCCACTCGGGAGGCTGAGGCAAGAGAGTTACTTGAACACAGAAGGTGGAGGTTGCAGTGAGCCAAGCTCACTTCACTGCACTCCAGTCTGGGTGACAGAGCAAGACTCGGTCTCAAAAAAAAAAAAAAAAAAAAAAAGGAAGAATCAGGCTCAGCGCACTGGCACATGCTTATAATCCCAGAAATTTGGGAGGCCAAGATGGGAGGATCACTTGAAGCCAGGAGTTCCAGACCAGCCTGGGCAGCATCGTGAGACCCCCGTTTCTACAAAAAACATTTAAAAATTAGCTGGGCATGGTGGCATGTGCCTGTCGTTCCAGCTACCTGGGATGCTGAGGTGGGAGGATCACTCAAACCTGGGAGTTTGAAGCTGCAGTGAGCCATGATTGCACCACTGCACTCCAGTCTGGTTGAGAGAGTGGGAACCTGTCTCGAAAAAAAAAAAAAAAGAATGGAAGGATCAAACTGGGCATGGTGATGCATGCTTGCCTGTAGGCCCAGCCTACAAGGGACGCTGAGGCAGGAGGATCATTTGAGCCTGGGAATTTGAGCCCAGCTTGAGCAACATAGTGAAATCCTGTCTAAAAAAGAAAAAAAGGAAGAATCAAATAATTGTTCCAAAGTCTTTCAAAAGGAGTATTGAGTCCCAACTCGGCACTTTCCTGAGCAGGGATATGTCTCCTCTCCTTCTCACTAAGGAGCCAGAAACTCACCCCTTCTCACTAAAAAAGTGAGAAAAATAAAAATAGCTCAGAGAACTTTGAGCTATGTGAGGCACGCAGAATTTATCAGGTCCGGAGACATGAATATGGGACTTCAGGCAGGGCATGATGGCTCACGCCTGTAGACTCAGGAGGCCAAGGTGAGCCCAAGGTGGGAGGATCACTTTAGTCCAGGAGTTTTGAGACCAGCCTGGGCAACATCAGGAGATCCTTGTCTCCTCAAAAACTTAAAAAAAAAAAAAGCTGGGCATGGTGGCACACACCTGTGGTCCTGAGTCAGGAGGTTGAGGCTGCAGTGAGCTATGACCATACCAGTGCATTCCAGCCTGGGTACACAGCGAGACCCTGTCTCAAAATAATAATAACAATAATATGCTGGGTGCAGAGGCTCATTCCTGTAATCCCAGCTCTTTGGGAGGCTGAAGTGGGTGAATCACTTGAGGTCAGGAGTTCGAGACTAGCCTGGCCAACATGGTAAAACCCTATCTTTTCTAAAAATACAAAAATTAGCCAGGTATGGTGGTGCATGCCTGTAATCCCAGCTACTTGGGAGGCTGAGGCAGGAGAATCGCTGGAGCCCGAGAGGTGGAGGTTGCAGTGAGCCGAGATCATGCCACTGCACTCCAGCCTGGATGACAGAGCAAGACTCTGTCTCAAAACAAAACAAAACAAAACAAAAAAATAATAATTATAATAATGAAAAGAAAAAGAAATGAATATGGGACTTCAGTAACATATTTCTTATCCATGCCCGGGGGCAATTGTTTAAAGGCATTTTGTTCCTGACTAGCTTAACCCATTATCTTCCTGTTTCTGGAATTTATGATACAAAGAATAATGTATAGACAACCAATAGCTTATGTCGTTTTAATATAAATTCTTGTGGCCAGGGAAGCTGAAGTGATAGGATTGTTTGAGGCCAAGAGTTGAAGACCAGCCTCAGTGAGACCCATCTCAATTTTTTAAAAAAGAGCAATTCTTGGTAAACCACTTAGGAACTGCCTCTTCTTTTCTCTTAAAAACAGCATCTCTGGCCAGGTGCAGGGGTTCACACCTGTAATCCCAGCACTTTGGGAGGCTGAAGCAGGCAGGTCGCCTGAGCCCAGGGGTTTGAGACCAACCCTGAGAACATGGTGAAACCCTGTATCTACAAAAAATACAAAAAATTAGCTGGGCAAGGTGGCACATGCCTGTAGTCCCAGCTATTCGGGAGGCTGAGGTGGGAGGATCACCTGAGCCTGAGGAGGTTCAAGGCTGCAGTGAGCCATGATCTCACCACTGCACTCCAGCCTGGGCAACAGAATGAGACGTTGTCTCAAAAAATAAAATAGGCTGGGCACGACGGCTCACGCCTGTAATCCCAACACTTTGGGAGGCCGAGGCGGTGGATCACGAGGTCAGGAGCTCGAGACCAGCCTGACCAACATGGTGAAATGCCGTCTCTACTAAAAATATAAAAATTAGCCAGGCATGGTGGCACGTGCCTTTCCCAGCTACTCAGGAGCCTGAGGCAGGAGAATCGCTTGAACCTGGGAGGCGGAGGTTGCAGTCAGTCGAGATCCTGCCACTGCACTCCAGCCTGAGCTACAGAGCGAGACTCCGTCTCAAAAAAAAAAAACAAAAATAAAAAAACAAAAGAAAAACAAAATGAAAAACAAAATAAATAAAATAAAATAAAATAAAAACAGCATTTTGTAACTGCTGCTAATTAAGAGTGTATATTCAAAGCAACTTGAATCTCCGCTCCAGGGCTGAAGGTCTTAAATGTGGCAATAATAAACTTTTTTTTTTTTTAAGAGCTCTGTCACTCAGGCTGGAATGCAGTGGCACAATCACAGCTCACTGTAGCTTTGAACTCCTGGGCTCCAGCAATCCTCCCACCTTGGCTTTCCAAAGGAAAAGGGATTACAGGTGTCAGCCACCTCACTCAGCCTTCTCCCTTCTATTTACCTTCTCCCTTCTATTTTAGTTTGTTATTCTCCCCTTTTAAGAGCTTCTTCCTTATAGGTTTAACCCTGATAGGCAGACACACTTTGTTCTCATTCTCTTTTTTTTTTTCTGTCACCACAGAATATTTTGCATGCCATAGAGTTTCAAACTGTCTTGAAATGAACGGGTTCACATTTATGTTCTGGTTCACAGAGTGAGTATCTCTATCCACGTGGGGCAGGCAGGTGTCCAGATAGGCAACGCCCGCTGGGAACTGTACTGCCTTGAACTTGCAATTCAGCCTGACGGTCAAATGCCAAGTGACAAAACCATCGGTGGTGGGGATGACTCCTTCAACATGTTCTTCAGTGAGATTGGGGCTGGCAAGCACGTGCCCAGAGCAGTGTTTGTGGACCTGGAGCCCACTGTGGTTGATAGGTCCTCGGGCACTGGATGGCAGCTTTCCTGGGAGAGTGGGAGAGCATTGGTAAAACCCCACGTGCGCTCCTGTGAATCCCCCTGCAGAATGGATGGGATAGACAAGCAAATGCCCATGGCATTGTTAGGGCGGAAACTGAAAGTTTCATGTTTAGTGTATGTGAGACTCAGCTCCTAATTTAGGATGTATGGGAAAAGCTGCTTTGCCAGCAGTAAGATGGGCTGTGGAGAGATTCCCCTGTGGCTGCCTCAGCCCTGCACAGGTGGCCCTGCCTGCAGGGTGTGGGGCATTGATTCCCTCCTGAATGCTGTGCACTGTCTCATGCTGGTGCATGAAGAGTCTTGATGTGCATCTTAGGCGTAGAAGGTAAGTACAGAACATCCATTTCCTTCATCCAGATTAGAAGTCCCAGATAGTTTCCAAAGAGAGCTGCAAAGAGATAGTACCTTTCAGTGTCCCCCAGGAGGTGACAATGTCACCTGAAAGCACGTGGGACCCAGGCCACACAGGTTGATGGGACTGCCCTTCAGAAGTCACACTGACCTGGTGACTGTCCAGTTTGTAAGAGATTTTTAACTTACAGCCTTTGATGTAGTAGCTAAGGGTAGGAAAGATGTATGTACCTGTAGAATTACCAGTGCTGGGGGACGATGCGAGAGCTTATTTCCCTTCACTGGGAACTGTTTATGCTGACATTTATTTATGTATTTATTTATTTATTTATTTATTTATTTATTTATTTATTTAGAGAAAGATTCTTGCTCTGTTGCCCAGGCTGGAGTGCAGTGGCACGATCTCGGCTCACTGCAACCTCCGCCTCCTGGGTTCACGCCGTCCTCCTGCCTCAGCCTCCCAAGTAGCTGGGACTACAGGCGCCCGCCACCACGTCCAGCTAATTTTGTTTTTGTATTTTTAGTAGAGATGGGTTTTCACCGTGTTAGCCAGGATGGTCTCGATCTCCTGACGTCATGATCCGCCCGCCTTGGCCTCCCAAAGTGCTGGGATTACAGGCGTGAGCCACCGCGCCCGGCCTGTGCTGACATTTATACAAGAACTGACTTTAACTTCCTAGGGCCTTAAATTGCATTTGTGATTGGTTATCACAGAGACATTTTCTACCAGACACCGCCACTGTTGACCTACAACATGTAGCTCATGTACTTTGAACAGCATGTACTTTGTAGAAGTGAACAGTCCTGGAACGTGTTCACCTTGGTGTACAGTAGGCCTTAAAGACTCACAGCACATGTGGTCTCTTTGTAGGTGAAGTGCACACAGGGACCTACAGGCAGCTCTTCCACCCAGAGCAGCTGATCAGTGGGAAGGAAGATGCAGCCAATAATTACTCCAGAGGCCATTATACCATCGGCAAGGAGACCTTGTCCTGGACCGGATCCACAAACTGGTAAGAAGAGAAGGCTTCATGTGGACGTTGTCCTGCACAGGAGAATAGGCCTTGGATGGTGAAAGGAAGGTCATTTTCGCAGCACTTAGAGCAGCATCTTGAGTCCGACTAAGTCTGCAACGTCTTACTATGAAGTATGCGTGGTGATTTGTGCATAGATCTGTATTGTCTGCTTTTCTCTGCTTCAAAGTGTGATGCGTGTTCATTATGGATAGTCTGAATCCGTAGCAACTCTCAGAGGCAAAGAGAAGTGGCCCCGGCTTGGTGGAGGTTGGTGGTGTGGCTCCCACGGGCATTGGCTCACATTGTCTGGTTTCTCTCAGGCTGATCTGTGCATGGGACTGCAGGGCTTCCCCATCTTCCACAGCTTTGGGGGCGGCACCGTCTCTGGGTTCATGTCTCTGCTCATGGAGCGGCTCTCGGTGGACTACGGGAAGAAGTCCAAGCTGGAGTTTGCCATTTGCCCAGCCCCCCATGTCTCCATGGCTGTGATGGAGCCCTGCAACTCCATCCTGACCACCTACACGACCCTGGAACATTCTGACTGTGCCTTCATGGTCGACATGTCAGTGCAACCTGGACATCGAGTGTCCCATGTACACCAACCTCAGTCGTCTGATTGGGCAGATCGTGTCCTCCATCACGGCCTCCCTGTGATTCGTTGGGGCCCTGAATGTGTACTTGACAGAATTCCAAACCAACCTGGTGCCGTACACCCACATCCACCTCCCCCTGGCCACCTATGCCTTGATCATCTCAGCCGAGAAGGCCTACCACGAGCAGCTGTCCGTGGCCGAGATCGCCAGTGCCCACTTCGAGCCAGCCAATCAGATGGTCAAGTGTGACCCTCACCATGGCAAGTACATAGCCTGCTGCATGTTGTACCGAGGGGATGTGGTCCCGAAAGATGTCAGTGGGGCCATCGCCACCATCAAGAGCAAGCGCACCATCTAGTTTGCAGGTTGGTGCCCGACTGGATTGAAGGGAGGACTGGGTGATGTGGAGTCCTTGTGCCATCAGGAAGCAGCAGATCTGCAGAATAATGCTGCCCCCAAAGGCCCGCATCCTTTGCGGTTGCTTGTCTGGAACCGTCACCCTGCCCCTGTTCCATGGGCTAGGCTCATGGGCATAAATCAATGAACCAGAGTGATAATTAATTCAGTGGTGTCTTTTGAACTTCCTTTGTGAGTCATCACACTATGTATCTGTGGTGAGGTTTTTGTGTTTTTTTAAGAAAAAGGTATTTTTTGGAGGATTTTGGTGCCCCTTGCTTGGACAGCAGAATTTGTGTGGAAAAGATAGGTTGAACTTAGTAGAAATTTTATGGGCATTTTGGGGAATCATGTGGGTGGTGTATATATTTTAACTTGGGCATTATTATAAACTGCTCTCACTAAGTCTTGCTTCATCTAAGTATGTCCAGGTTGTGCCGACATGTGTCATAGGTGGCTTCGTTATCACCCATGAAGGCACAGTCAGAATGTTCATCTGTAGAAATTATACCCAATTTAAATGTCTTTTGGAGTGTTTGATTTAAAGAAAGACTATCAAGAATCTTTTTGTGACGAAAACAGCACCATCTTTATTTCTCTTTTGGGAAGCCTAGTAATGTTGGCCTGTGTTTGCCTCAGACAGAAAATCTGTCCCCACCTTCCACTGACACATGAAAGAAACCTTGCTGTCCCCTTTCAGCTTTTCCAGGAGTTGGTGACTAAATCCTGTCGCTTCTCCCTCTGCTGGACCTCTGCGTCCTCTGCTTTGCTTTCCCTCCCTCCTCTGGCTCAGACATCCACTGCCTCTGGGGAGACCACTGCAGTCAGCTCTAAGTGGGAATTCCTACTCTGGGCTTCTCCTTCTCTCCTTCAGGGGTGAGCATGGCTGCTGGACTAGCCGCCCAATTTTGTAAATAAGGTTTTGTCTGAACACAGCCACCACACCCCTTCATCGCAGATCAATTTTGCTGTCCAGCCTCAGAGTGGGGTAGGTGTGACAGAGTCCATGTGCCTGTAAGGCCTAGAATTTGTATGATCTTGTCACTTATAGAACAGGCTTGCTGACCCCTGCTCTAGTTGACCCCATGCACTACTCAGGATGTGTTATTCTCAAGTTCTGAAACTTGGAATGCTTCCCTTTTGGTTCCCACCTTGGAATGTCACTTCCTACTCAAGCAAGCACATGGACTACTCTTGCTGCTGTGGTAGCTCCATTCAAGTGATCTTTGACCTGTCACCTTTGCATATTTCACAGTGGCTTGTTTGGTGGGACAGCAGGGGGTATGACCTTCCCCGTGGTATCACAGTTGTGTACTCACAATCTATCTGGGTGGAAAAAGTTGAGCTACAGAATTTCATTACTATCTTGTAAAACCCTTTGGAGTAAATAATCTATAAAGAAGACAAGTAGTGTACATTTTCAGAGGGAAGACAGTCTTTACCTGGGCACCTATCACATGTCACAGTTGCTAGGACACAGCCCTTCGGGCAGCTTGGGATCCTGCCAGGGTGGCCACCTCCAAGGCTCTTTTCTCTTTATTCCTTGGCTGGAACCGTCACCCTGCCTGGCACAGAGAAGGGCTTAGTGAGGTTTGTGGGGGTGAACTGAGCATTCTCCTCGTCACCTACAGGGGGTCTTCTGTTTGAGGAAAGGTAGCCACCATTTCTAGGTTTGATACAAGCTTCACGGACCGCTTTCTTGCCCTTCTCTGGCAGGTGGGCATTAACTACCAGCCCCTGACGGTGGTCCCTGGGGGAAACCTGACCAAGTTGCAATGGGCCATGTGGATGCTAAGCAACATCACAGCCATCACCAAGGCCTGGGCCTGCCTGGACCATAAGTTTGATCTCATGTATGCCAAGCAGGCCTTTGTGCAATGGTACATGGGGGAAGGCATGGAGGAGGGGGAGTCCTCTGAGGCTCGCAAGGACCTGGCAGCTCTGGAGAAGGATTATGAAGAGGTGGGCATGGATTCTGTGGAAGCGGAGGCTGAAGAAGGCAAAGAATACTGAGGGGAGGGTGTGGTGGGCTCTCCTGCCGCCCCCAGCATGGCTGCTTTCAGGTTGTTTGCAATTAAAGTTTCTCTATAAAACCAAGACCTCTGTGTGTCATGCTGCTTGGCTCTGCCTACAGGAGCAGGTGGGACCCCAGAGCCTGCATGGACAGTCAGTGGGGTCCCAGCCTGCCCTGCTGGCATGCGGTTGGGGTGCAGCAGGAGTGTATGTACTTAAGGAGCTGCCATGGAAGTGACTTGACCCAGGAGAAACAAGCCAAGCGTTGAGTGGATAGGTTTCCTAAATTCTAGGAAAGCTAAGTCAGGGTTTCAACTGAATTTGCAATTTTTGGGGCTTTTCTATTGATGGGATGTACTGGCTAAAAAGAAGAGCCTAGAAGCAGAGTGTTTAAATCTGAGGTCTATGAATGGGGCGTGTCCATGAAATCCCTAAAGCTGTAGGTCAAATGTGTAAGGTCAGGACATTTTAGAAGGGGGAAAGTGTTACTGAGTTCTCCACAGTATTTGTGACCCACAGAAGGTCACAACACACCCATCCTGACCCCCCACTGCTCCATGGTAACCTGGAAGGCAGCATTTACCCTCCACGCACACACACGGTCACCTTGCCCCTCAGCATTGTCAACTGTCTTGGTAGAAAACCTTGCACCTTTCACTTCAAGTGAAGTGTGTTAACATCTGTTTGTAAAAGACCTGGGAATCCAGATATCTTTTCTCAGAACCAAAGTCAGCTCCAGGAAGTTGACTCAAGGTGAAGTGACCTGGTTAGTTCAGCTGTGGCACAACCAGGACCTGCATAAAAACCTCATTCTATGTTTGTGCCATAATATCATCAAAAAACAGTAGAGAACATATGACCCGGACCCTCTGCATCTCAGAAAGACTTATTATCAACTGAAGGAGACAACACGTAGCCTTTGCTGGGGACAGTGGTGTGACAAGTCTCTGGCCCATCCTAGGTGCTGCCCCGCACCTGCTGCCTTCTTCCAGGCCCACCCCACTTGGGCAGCCTGGTAGCGCTGGGCTGGCGGGGTGTCCTCTGGCTGGATCCTTTGCGGCCGCTGCATTCCAACAGGGCCGGCACTCTCCCGAGGGAGGTGCTGTCTTTGTTTCTCCCTGAGGAGACACAAAGCGCAGCCAATAGGAACGGACGAGCCCCGTAACTGCAGCACCTACTGAAGTGTGCTCCTTGAGCAACATTTGTGTCTGCACATTTCCCTCAAAGCCACTTCAAGCTGAAAGCCCTGTATCAGTCCTGAGTCCTGAGGCTCAGAACTGCCAAAGGCAGGTCATGCCCCAGAAGCCCTTGGCCACGGGTCCATTTAGGGAAGGGTAAGGGTGGCTGGTCCATACTTGGCCTGGACAAGGAACCTGGTCTGCCCTGATGGCGCCAAGCAGCAGCAGCAGCAGGGACTTGCCACTTCATCCTCCAGGTGTGTTCACGCTGAACTGTACATCTGAGCTGCCTTAGATGGTGACAGGCAGGAAACACTCCAGTCACCAAGTACTGGAATTGGGTTTCTGATTTTGATTTTGGAAGCTCTCACATTGTTTCCTACCTACCCGAGTATTCTGCAAACAGTGGTCAAGCCTTGTAGGGAGACACCCTGAAACTATTGCTATGGAATAAAAGATGAAATGCTCCTGATTATTGTAAATACAAAATTGCATGCAGGATTGTGTAAAGACAATGCCAGCTTGGACTGCCAGAACGAGCCAACAGCACGTGATGTCCTTCCACCTGCAGAGAGCCTATGAATGGACGTGCAGTCAGGGAGGTTTCACATCACCAAGATTCCTATCCCAGAAAAGCAGATATTCATAGCTCTGGGAATGGAATGCAACCCTTGTGGAGAGCCTATAAACGGATGCATGGGGGGCGCCTGTCCATATGGATAAGATACGGCTATAAACGCCCTCATCTTGCCACAGCTCTTCTAGGCCTCTTTAGGGTGAAGGCATACTCCCTTCTGAGAATTTCTGGTCTAACCAGTTGTCTAGCTTCACGTCCTGTTTCCATGGATTGTTTGTAACCAGCTTTTGTTGCAATTGTTACTGCTGATTAATATCTTGCTAATCATAGGTTATGGAAAGACTGTGTTTCTGTTCTAAGACTCTGTTAGAAATTACTGATGCACACACTATATTGTAAATTCTTATCTTTGTATACCGTACTTCTACATACAAATGTACTGTACTTCTACATACAAATGCTATGTTAAAGAATTACTTCATCCCCATGTGACCATCTCACCTCATAATCAAATGACCCTAAATCCCTCACTAACCTACCCCCGCCCTCACTAAACTTAATAGTAAATGCTGGTATATCCAGTGCATTGTTGGCACCATGGGACCAGAAGGCAGTGACCCCCTGGACCCAGCTTTCACTATCTTGTGTGTGTCTATTATTTCTCAACCTGCCAATCCACCTAGGAGCAAAGAGAGAGCCCCATTGCATTGCGGGCTGCTGGCCAGATCCCTCAATAAAGCCTCTCACTCTGGAGTTTAGCTACTGGATTCCATGACTGGGTTCCTCCCGTGGTCTGAATGCTTGAGACTTTCCTTCTGACCACCAGAGAATCCCAGATGAAGACCACTGGTTCAGATTTCCCTCGATTTGTAATTTGCTTACTCCTTTTTGTGAAGATAGAAAGATCTGCAACCACACTTGGGCCAGAGCTTTATTTTAACGGGATGGATTTCCCTGGACTTGGTGTTGTCAGCATCAGCAAGACCGAGAGGACCCTCTAGAGGACAAATGTGCTTGGGTAGAAGGCTTGCCCATGGGGTCACAGCCCCCCATGTGGAGTACCTTGGCCAGGGCTCTCCTTTGCTCTGGCCTGGTAGAGTCTGCCCCATGGGCTCTAACCAGGGCATGTGTCCCCTGCTTGACTCACAGTGTTGGGTCTCCCATTTTGTCCCCCCAGCTTTGTCCTGACCAAGAGTGTGCCTTGACTGCTCTGTGACCTGGTCAGCTGTATGTTCCCCCTGCAGGCTCAAACCCTAGCTGGGGCCTTGCTTCTTACCAGACACTGATAAACATGTTGTTTGTTGCCTGAAACAGTAAAAGATCTGACATGTTGCTAAGCATGTGGAAACTGGCCCCGCCCCAGCCAAATTCCTTGCACCCTTATATAAACTCCACACTCCACCCCCTCACTGCAGCATGCCTAGGCAGAACCTCCATCCTTGCCGTCCCTCGTGAGGCCATACTGCAGCCTTGTGTGTATGGAAGTTCCCCTAACACATGCTTTGGACTGACCACCCTCACATTAAGTGCTTCTTCCTTTGGAATTCCAACTGGCTCTCATCCCAACTGGCTCTCAGTCACCCAAGTGGAAGGTCTGGGGCAGTCCCTTGCGGGAGCTCTCCTGCCACCACTTTTGGGGTGAGACCAGATGACGGTTCAGCCAACAGAACACTCAGCCTCAATCCTGGTTCTTCCCTGGCCTCTTACCAAGTTTAGTCAAATCACCTGCAATTGGAAACTGCGCTCTTGAAAAAAAGATGCAACCAGGTGTTTTAGGGATCCATGAGGACATTTCCGTTTCACCATTTGTCATCTTGAACAAGTGGAGGCTCCTGTGTCTGAGACGCCATGGATCTTGGCTACTCCAGAGGCCACTCCAGCTCCCTTTCCATGCCAATACTGAAAAGAAAATTCTCCCCAAATCCCTGCAGGGATAGGATGGCCCTCCTTGTGAGAGTTTCTGGGGAGTTCTTCCTCAGAGAATGAGATCTTTGCTGCTCGGTGGGTGGTGAAGGTTATGGTGGTGTCACGCTTGGAACTCTGTCAGCTTGGCACACTCAACTCAAGAAAGACGGAGTCAGGGTTGCCCAGAACCAAGGAGGGGTGCAGCCAGAAGCATGTGGTGGGTGAAGTTTGGCCACCTCAGTCTACCAGTGACTCGTGGAAAAGGCACAAAGCAGAGAATGGCCACCTCGCATTTCCTTTGGTACAAACTGCCATTATTTTAGTCTCCACTGACTGGTCGGGGGAAGGACCCCATCTCCCATGAGCAGATGAGCCCCACCACCCTGCAGCAGCTCCCACAATGGGCCAGCATCCTCCTCTGAGGCCACAGTCCCTCTGCGGGCCAGGCCAGACAGAGTCAGAGCGTCTGTAGCCGCGGTGTTTAGGTGTCCCCGTGCTCTCAGGGTGACTAATGTCCAGCTCCCCACAGCACACGGCAGGGCAGTCTGCAGACCTGGGCCTGACTCAGAGCTGGCTTCCCTTCAGCTTGGCACCATCTGAGCTTCCTCTCTTCCCCTCAGTAATGACTCGGTCCCTTCTGGAAACAAGGATGAGAGGGAAGCAGAAAGGAGGAAGTAAGGGTTTTGAAATTTTTTTTAAAATTTTTTTGGTTTTTAGAGACTGAGTCTTGCTCTGTCACCTGAGCTGGAGTGCAGTGATGCAATCACAGCTCAGTGCAGCCTTGAACTCATGGCCTCAAGCAATCCTCCTGCCTCAGCCTCCAGAGTAGTGGGACTACAAGCATGTGGCCACACCTGACTAATAATGCTTACCTTTAAATCTGACAGGGCTGACAAACCCTTAACATAACTTTGAGCCATAATGGATATTAAGAAAACAATTCTGGAACCCTTCAGGAATCATGTGCTCTTGGGGTTAGTGAGGAGCCCTGTTCAGGCCTCCTCACTTTATGAAGGACGAGGAGGCCCAGAAGAGAACGACCTGCAGCATCTTGCAGTGGGAAAACCAGCTTTTTTTTTTAGCTCTGCTCCCTTGGGAGGGGCTACTGAGTCAGATGGGTTGGACAGTGGGGTTGAACCAAGTGTTACTGCAAGTTGGGGGGGAGGGTGGGGTGACTGATGTCCCCAGGCCTGGTCCCTGGAGGGTCCTTCTATGCACCAAAAACAGTCAATGACCAATGCATGTTAAAACAGACTTCATGCTATAACCCCAGGCTTTGGGAGGCTGAGGCAGGAGGATCCCTTGAGGCCAAGAGTTCGAGACCAGTCTGGGCAAAAACGTGAGACCCTATCTCTAAAAAAAAACAAACCCAAAAAACAAACAAAAGCTGGGTGTGGTGGCCTGCACCTGTAGTCCCAGCTACTCAGGAGGCTGAGGTGGGAGGATCACTTGAGCCCAGGAGTCTGAGGCTGCAGTGAGCCATGATTGCACCACTGCACTCCAGCTTGGGTGGCAGAGGGAGGCTACCTCTAAAAAAAAAAATTAGATTAACAAAACTTAAAAATACAAAAATAAAACAACAACAAAACCAAAAACAGCCTGGCTCATTCTCTTCAAGGTCAGTGCTCCTGCTACTCTGAAACCAGCTGGTGACCACTCGGCATTTTGTGAGCCCCTAACGAAGCAAATCTCAAAATGCAGCAGCCTGTCAGCCTCTCATGATCTGGGGAATCCCTGAAGCTGCGGAGTGGGCCAGACCAAGCTGGGACGCCCTCTGCCATTTACCTTTGGTGTGGCCTATGTGAGCCCAACTCCCCACCATTTCCCATCTGGGCAGAGCTGGTTGGGGAATGAAGATGTGTCCCTTCTGCTGGTCCCCAAGGGTGGCCTTTCTTGTTTCGTAGTGGCAGCGCGAACTTGCGGCAACATGGGCTGACCAACATTTGTGTTAGGAAGGAAAACGGGCAGAGGTGACGTGAGAGAACTGAGAGGGAAGGAAACCACCACTGGCCCTGCTTGAGAAGCAGCCGCAGCCAGGGCAGGTGGCATCAGCAGTGGTGTCTCACTGGCAGGGGCAGGGGCAGCACAGCAGGCCCTTTAGTCTGTGGCTCGCCTAATACTCCTGTCGGACAGTGCTGCTCCAACACATTCATGACATGCCTTCAGCAAACCCAAGTCAGGGGCATGAGCCACACATGCAATTTTTTTTTTGAGATGGAGTTTCGCTTTTGTTGTCCAGGCTGGAGTGCAATGGTGCAATCTCTGCTCACTGCAACCTCCACCTCCCGGGCTCAAGCGATTCTCCTACTTCACCTTCCCAAGTAGCTGGGACTACAGGCATGTGCCACCATGCCCGGCTAATTTTGTATTTTTAGTAGAGATGGGGTTTCGCCATGTTAGTAAGGCTAGTCTCGAACTTCCCATCTCAGGTGATCCACCCGCCTCAGCCTCCCAAAGTGCTGGGATTACAGGAATGAGCCACCACACCCAGCCACAATTTTAAATTTTCTGGTAACCACTAAAATAAAAGAAAATGTGGAATTAGAATTCAAATAATATATTTTAATTAACCCAAAATATCCAACATATTATCATTTCAACATGTAATCAGTACATAAGTTTTTCATGAAATGTTGCAATCACTTTTTTTTTCCTTTTTATTTAAATAGAGATGGGAATCTCACCATATTGCCTAGGCCAGTCTCAAACTCCTGGACTCAAGTGATCCACCCACCTTAGCCTCCCAAAGTGCTGAAATTACAGGTATGAGCCACTGTGCCTGGCCCTGCATTCACTTCTGTTCTTTTGTTTGTAGACACTGGATCTCGCTATGTTGCCCAGGCTGGTCTCGAACTCCTTGCCTCAAGTGATCCTCCTGCCCTGCCTCCCAGTGTTGGGATTATAGCCGTGAGCTACCACGCCCTGCATTCACTTTTGTGCCAGTCCTTTGGCACCTGCTGTGCATAACACACGCAGTGCAGTGACCATGCCAGCCATATATAGCTCGTGGTTCCCGTATCAGGCAGCACAGCTCATGTGAGACTCATGGCTTCCACATACCAAACGTCATCTTACATGCTCTGGACAACTTTAAAAAATGTGTAGTTTCCCTAAACTTAGAGACCGCTTGACTGCATTTAGTTTTCCCTCAATGACTCCAGACCCTCACCACAAGCATTGCCCGTCTGTTCTGGTGTCTTCTGTTTCCCCTCCCTGTGGGTATGAGTGAGCCTGGTGGCGGTGGTCCCCGCAGGCTGTCTGGATGGCTGGGGGACAGGCATCCAGAGAGGCTGGGGCGCCTGCTGCAGTTCACAGAGGCAGGCTTGAGTGGGCCTGGCCCGCGGCCTGGAGAACTCCACACCCAAGTCCTGTGTGAAATCTATGGCCTCCATGCCCTCCAGCTGGATCACTCTGACAACCCCCTCTTATGTTCTCCACCCCAGATTCTGCCATTACTGGGGCAGCTGGAGCTCCGTGTGTTTGGATGCTGCAACACGCGGGTCTCAGAGAGCTCTCGGTATCCCATCTGCGGGCTCTGCCTCTCACTCCGCAGCACACTCCTGGTGTGGCCCCACCTCTGCCCCACTCCCCTCCACCTTCTCCCCAGGTTTCCCTCTATCCCCACGGGGCATCCCCCCAGGGCCTCTGTGCCCTCATATCCTGGCCTTCTGCCACCCAGCCTGCAGGACAGAGCCCTTGAAGAGCAAAGACCCTGAGGGGCCCAGCATGCCAGGCCGCTCCAGTCCTCGTGTTTTGGGTATCCTCTCACTTCTCTCGGAGCCCCCGTTCACCCACACGGCACCCCTGATCCTCCTGGCCCCTTTATGCCCGTGTTCCCAGCACCACGACCCCCGCATACATCTTTTTTTTTTTTTTTTTTTTTTGAGATGGAGTCTCACTCTGTCTCCCAGGCTGGAGTGCAGTGGCGTGATCTCACCTCACTGCAACCTCTGCCTCCCAGGTTCAAGTGATTCTCATGCCTCAGCCTCCCGAGTGGCTGGGATTATAGGCATATGCCACAACACCTGGCTAATTTTTTTTTTTTTTTTTTTTTTTTTTTGTAGAAATGGGGTTTTGCCATGTTGGCCAGGCTGGTCTCTAATTCTGGATCTCAGGCCATCCGCTCGCCTTGGTCTCCCAAATTGCTGGGATTACAGGCATGAGCCACTGCGTCTGGCCCCCGAATACATCTTGACTATGTCCTGCCACCTCCCTCCTCCTGCCCTGGGCCCACCAGCGCCTGGACAGCACTCTGCCTCGCCCACCCCCTCCCACCACCCCAGCTCACACCTTCGGGGCTCTGCTGACCCCTCCTGTCCCGCCCTGTGTAACCCTTACTGCTCTCCTGCTCAGAAGCCTCCTCCTACCTCCATCATTGGCGGTTTTTCTCGCCACCTCTCATTGGAACGAGTGGGACCATCTCACTTCACTGCCACACCCTCTGCACTGACAGACAGCCGGGCCCGGCACCCAGAATCCCTGGGTGAATGGCAACATCCCTTAGAATGACAAGGACTCTGTTCCCAGTTTCTTCCTCCCCGTGGAAACCTGCCCTTCAATTGCTCATCTCAGCCTGCAGTCCGTGCACCCCTACCCCAGCCTGTCCCTCAGCCCCTCCTCACCCTCCCTTGGGCCTGAGCTCTGGTTGGCAGTGAGGTGGGCGCTGTGGGGAGGAGCGTACAGGAGGTGCGACCAGAGCCCCTTGGGCTCTCACAGGCCCCTGGCTCTGGGCCCCTGGTTTCATCACACCTGGTGACACCTGGAAGGTGGCCCCAACTCAGGAGTGAGGCGGGCAAAGGGGCTGAGTGCTGGAGTGTGGCCACGGGACCAGCACACGGCATCTGTGTGGTGCTGCCCAGGAGGCTCGGAGAAGGCGGGAGCCTCTGTTTCAGCCTCCAGACTTCCTGTCGGGGTAGGGGACAGCTTCTAAGAGGCAAGGTGTTTGTCACGCCTGGGGCTGTGCTCTCCAGCACAGCACACCACCCCTCAGCCTGCTGTCCTCCCTTGGGGTGGGTGGAATTCTTTACAGGGCACAAGTCTCACTCACCACAGTTCGCCTCTGGGGTGTGGGATGTTGATCCTGTCCCCAGATGCCAGCCCAACTGTGGGCCATACCATGTCTCTAATAAACAGAGCCAGAAATCGTGCCCTGTCGCTAAGCCACAGGGCAGCGTTGGCCTACATGGTCTTGCCCTTGCAGCTTACAGGTTTTCCTGCCTCCTGGGGCCGGGCACTTTCCATGGAAACAAGGGAGAGCACCAACCACCAGAGATAAGCCAATAACCACGACCTGAGAAAGAACAGGCAGCAAGAGAGGCGGAGGGAATGGGGTGGGGTAGGGGCTGGAGAGAAAGGTGAGTGTGTGGCAGCCAGGCTGTGGGGCAGAACCGGAGAGCCCGCAGGCCAAGGGCCCAAGGAAAAGAGGGGTTCGCAGTGGGGTTATTGTTCCTGGCAGAGAAAAAGGAGGCCTCTGGAGGTCAGAGAGAGACGCAAAGAGAGCAGACAGAGCGCGGGGTCAGTGAGGCCTCTGCGCAGGTGCCTGGGGCCTCTCAGGGCAGGGGGACTGGGTGCCCAGGCCCTGCCCCCATGGGGGCAGCCGGCTCTCCGCCCCTTCTCAGGATGCCTGTGTGGGTGTCCTCATGCTTCCAGGTGGGGAGCCAGCTCTGGGCCTCCTTCCAGTGGCCGGGGAGGTTTTGCTGCATTTCAGAGGGAGCCGTCAGGAGCAGAAGCAACATGTGGGGAGGAAAGCAGAGACGGAGGCTCCACCATGACACACTCTCAGCCTCAGCATCTGCTCAGCCCCAGTCACCATGCTGGAGAGAGGAGGCCCTTCAGGCCCCGCAGGCCTCTGTACCCTGGGAGTTCTGCCTCTGACTCTTGTCCTGCAATCCTCAGAGGGAAGCTGGCCAGGGCTGGTCAAGCCCCTGCATAGGACCTGGGCCCAAGTGGGGTACAGGCAGGGGGTGGCAGGAAGACTTCTGCCTGCCCTGCTCCCTCGGCACTTTCCTGGAGGCTGTAATGCCACAAGACAGGATCAAAACTGTGCTGTTGTTTTTTTTTCGAGAGGAGTCTCACTGTCACCCAGGCTGGAGTGTAATGGTGTGATCTTAGCTCACTGCAACCTCCGCCTCCTGGATTCAACTGATTCTCTTGCCTCAGCCTCCAGAGTAGCTGGGATTACAGGCGTGTGCCACCACACCCAGCTAATTTTTGTATTTTTAGTAAAGATAGGGTTTTACCATTTTGGCCAGGCCAGTCTCAAACTCTTGACCTGAAATGATACGCCTGCCTCAGCCTCCCAAAGTACTGGGATTACAGGTGTGAGCCACTGCTCCTGGCCCAAAACTGTCTTTTAAAAATATTTTTGGGGGTGCTGGGTGTGGTGGCTCACACCTGTAATCCCAGCACTTTGGGAGGCCGAGGTGAGCAGATCATGAGATCAAGATATCGAGACCATCCTGGCCAACATGATGAAACCCCGTCGCTGCTAAAAGTACAAAAAAATTAGCTGGGATTGGTGGCGCATGCCTGTAGTCCCAGCTACTTGGGAGGCTGAGGCAGGAGAATCACTTGAACTTGGGAGGCGGAGGTTGCAGTGAGCCGAGATAGCACCACTGCGCTCCAGCCTGGCGACAAAGCGAGACTCCGTTTCAAAAAAAAAAAAAATCTTTTTTTTTTTTTTTTTTTTTTTTTTACAGACAGGGTCTCACTCTGTCATCCAGACTGGTCTCAAACTCATGGCCTCAAACGACCTTCCCCCCTTGGCCTCCCAAAGTGCTTGGATTGGAGGCATGAGCCCCTGCGCCTAGCCCAAAGTCGTCTTGATTCCTGACTTTGTGGAATGGAGGCATGAGTGAAGAGGTGGGGAGAGGCTGAGGAGGAGGAGCCCTAGCCCACCTGGAGCACCGTGGGGCACGCACTCTGCGTCCACCTGGCCTGGACATGCCTCCTAAGGATAACAGCGAAGCCAGGGAGCAGAGCCCACGGATGGGCCCTGCAGCTGCTGGGCTGAGACCGACAGACAGGCGTGGTCACTCCGGGCCATGCTGGCGCTGTGCTGCCCCTGCCCCTCTCCACCCCACCTCCCGACCACTGGGGCAGGGACAATGGGCCCGGCTCTGACTTCGGGCACGCTCGTCGTGTGCAGAGACACGGCCGCAGAGTCCTGGGGCTCGCTCGCCATCCTCTGCCCGGCACACATCGACTTGAGCATCTGGAAGACGGCCACGGGGGCCACGTTCAACTTCACCTGGCTCTGAAGCTGGCCGCTGTGGGCTGCATGAGAATGGTGTTTCTATAAAACATGGGAATTGCTGGTCAGACACAGTGACTCATGCCCGCAATCCTACCATTTTGGGAGGCTGAGGCGGGAGGATCGCTTGAGCCTAGGAGTTTGAGACCAGCCTAGGGAACACAGCAACACCTCATCTCTACACACACACACACACACACACACACACACACACACAATTAGCTGGGCATGATGGCATGCACTTGTAGTCTCAGCTACTAAGGAGGCTGAGGTGGGAGGATCACTTCAGCCCAGATTGAGGCTGCAGTGAGCCATGATCATGCCATTGCATTGCAGCTACTTGGGAGGCTGAGGCAGGAAGATCATGTGAGCCCAGGAGTTTGAGGTTGCAGTGAGCTGTGCCTCTAATCCCAGCACTTTGGGAGGCTGAGGTGGGCGGATCACAAGGTCAGGAGTTCGAGACCAGCCTGACCAACATGGTGAAACCCCATCTCTACTAAAAGTATTTAAAAAATTAACCTGGTGTGGTGGCGGGCGCCTGTAGTCCCAGTTACTCAAGAGGCTGAGGCAAGAGAATCGCTTGAACCCAGGAGGCGGAGGTTGCAGTGAGCCGAGATCATGCCATTGCACTCTAGCCTGGGCGACAGAGCAAGACTCCGTCTCAAAAAAAAAAGATTATGCTGAAATTTACCACTATTGGTATGAATGATCAGTATTCACCAAGCATATCTGAACATGCAAATGTTTAAGAAATAAGCATAATAAGGATATAGCTTGGGTTAATAGGATTCTCATAGTTTTTTTCCCCTATGAAACATAAGTAATAATTTTAGCATATTTATTATGGATTATACTCATTTAAAAAGGACTTTAAGAAGTTGTGCTTTGGGAGGCAGAGGCAGGTGGATCACAAGGTCAGGAGTTCGAGACTAGCCTGGCCAAGATGGTGAAACCCCATTTCTACAAAAAATACAAAAATTAGCCAGGCGCAGTGGCGGGCACCTGTAATCCTAGCTACTCTGGAGGCTGAGGCAGGAGAATCGGTTGAACCCAGGAGGCGGAGGTTGCAGTGAACTGAGATCGTGCCACTGCACTCTAGCCTGGGTGACAGAGCAAGACTCCATCTCAAAAAATAAAAAAAAGAAGTTGTGGATGTGAATAATACATTTCTCTAATAAAAATTTAAATTGTATAATAGTTTAATAAAGTGTTTACATTCATTGATTTTTTTTTTTTTAAGACAGAGTTCCGCTCTGTCACCCAGGCTGGATTTCAATGGCATGCGATCTTGGCTTACTGCAACCTCTCCCTCCTGGTTTCAAGCAGTCCTCCCACCTCAGACTCCCAACTAGCTGGGACCACAGGCGCGTGGGTTACCATGCTGGGATAATTTTTGTAATTTTTTTGTAGAGATAGGGTTTCACCATTGTTACCCAGGCTCTGTGCTCAAGCAACCAGCCTGCGTCAGCCTCCCAAAGTGCTGGGATTACAGGCATGAGTCACTGCACCTGGCCTCAGTTATCCTTTCTATTACATCCTATGATGTTTTCATAGCCTACAAGGCATCAATTTCTTCTTAATAATTGTCAGTCTGGCCAGGCGCAGTGGCTCATGCCTGTGATCCCAGCACTTTGGGAGGCCAGGGCAGGCACATCACCTAAGGTCAGGGGTTTGAGACCAGCCTGGCCAACGTGGCAAAACCCCCTCTCTGCTAAAAATACAAAAATTAGCCAGGTGTGGTGGCGTGTGCCTGTGATTACATGCTACTTGGGAGGCTGAGGCAGGAGAATCACTTGAACCCAGGAGTCAGAGATTGCAGTGAGCTGAGATCGTGCCACTGCACTCCAGCCTGGGCAACAGAGTGAGACTCTGTTTCAAAATAATAATAATAATAATAATAGTCAATCTGGTTAAAGAGGTAACAATGATCTATTAATGCTTTGGGAAAACAATTTGGGTTGCCTTTGAAGGCCAGGGTTTTTAGTTCATTCAAAAATATTTATTTAATTTATAGCATGTGCCAAGCATTTTTTAGCTTCACAGTATACAGTTGTGAACCAATCAGATAAGGCCCTAACCATTTTTGGCATTCTGTCTAGTTGGGGTGGGATGGGGGCTTAATTAAGATAGAGATATAGAAAAATGCGCATCTATATAACATAAGTATGGAGTTGAGAGGAAGCAACTAACAGTATGTTAGAGATGTTAGAAGTAATATTTTGCAGGTTTGTAACCTCTATTTGACTTTTAAGTTTGGGTAGTGTTAATAGTTGAAGATAGTGTAAAAAAGCCTTAATTTTCACTTTCCTTGCTGGTAAAGGTATGTTTATTTAGACTGTTCATTTATTTATTTCTCACTCTGTCACCCAGGCTGGAGTGCAGTGCTGCAATCTCGGCTCACTGCAAGCTCCACCTCCTGGGTTCACGACATTCTCCTGCCTTAGCCTCCTGAGTAGCTGGGACCACAGGCTCCCGCCACCACGCCCGGGCAATTTTTTTTTGTTTGTTTGTTTTGTATTTTTAGTAGAGAGGGGGTTTCAACGTGTTAGCCAGGATGGTCTCCATCTCCTGACCTCGTGATCCACCCGCCTCAGCCTCCCAAAGTGCTGGGATTACAGGCTTGAGCCACCGCGCCTGGCCTAGACTACCCATTTAAAGTAGTGTTTAACATGGCTGGGTGTGGTGGCTCCCTGTAATCCCAGGAGACTGAGGTGGGCAGATCACTTGAGGTCAGGAGTTCGAGACCAGCCTGGCCAACATGGTGAAACTCAGTCTCTGCCAAAAATACAAAAGTTAGCTGGGTGTGGTGGCAGGCACCTGTAGTCCCAGCTACTCAGGAGGCTGAGGTAGGAGAATCACTTGAACTCAGGAGGCAGAGGTTGCAGTGAGCCGAGATCGTGCCACTGCACTCTAGCCTGGGCAACAGAGTGAGACTCTGTCTCAAATAAATAATAAATACATACATACATAAATAAAAAAAGTAGCATTTAACACAACAATCCTGTGAAAGCGATTCTATTACATATCCACAAGCTAATTAGCTGCACACTCTTTCCTGTATTTTACAATTTAGCATGATTTTAGGCCCCAGTCTTCTCTTCAAATCACTGGTGTTTTACATTTGGCAAAGAATAGGAAGTTACTTTTGATTTATGGAGTGATTATATTATTACTTTAAAAATGTGTTAATATTTTAGGACAGTTTGGAGCCTCTATCTTTTTTTGAGTTAGTATTTCAATTCTCATTACTTATTCTAACAGCTTCTAAGTGAAAATAGTATTTAGGCAATTAAATCGGCATATGTTTTCAGGAATTTTCTTTCATTTTTAAGTTTTGTCATCATTGAGGTTAATGTTTTAACCTGGTGTTCAGTTATGATATATATAAACAGTTTGTGAAGTGAAATAGTCTTAAGTATGATGTGTGATGCACCTACAAATAAACGAAAATGGCGTGCACCATGTCTCTTTACTGTGGGAACTGTACTGGAAGATTTATGAAAGCATGTGACATTGCACCTAAAGTTGTGTTATTAGTGACTATAAGCAGCAGTGCTAAATTTTTCTATTGTACTTGATGAATGAATGCATTTAGTCTAGTCACAGTTACTTTGGTTTAAATGCATTTGTCTTTAGGGTTTGTATTAGTTTTCACATTGCTATAAAGACCCCAGACTGGGTAATTTATAAAGAAAAGCAATTTAATTGACTCACAGTTCCACAAGGCTGGGGAGGCCTTAGGAAACTTACAGTCATGGTGGAAGAAGAGGCACATCTTACATGGTGGCAGACGAGACAGAATGAATGAGCTAAGGGAGAAGAGCCCCTTATAAAATCATCAGATCTTGTGAGCACTCACTCACTATTATGAGAACAGTATGGGGGAAACACCCCCATAATCTAATCACCTCCCACCAGGTCCCGCTCTCAACACATGGGGATTATATGGATTACAACTGGAGATGAGATTTGGGTGAGGACAGAGCCAAACCATATCAGGTTTTTATTTTTTTTAGTATTTTATTTTATTTTATTTTTTGAGACAGAGTCTCGCTGGAGTACAGTGGTGCAATCTCGGCTCACTGCAAGCTCCGCCTCCTGGGTTCACACCATTCTCCTGCCTCAGCCTCCCAAGTAGCTGGGACTACAGGCACCCGCCACCACCACTGGCTAATTTTTTATATTTTTAGTGGAGACGGGGTTTCACCGTGTTAGCCAGGATGGTCCCGATCTCCTGACCTTGTGATCGGCCCGCCTTGGCCTCCCAAAGTGCTGGGCCCATATCAGGGTTTTAAAAAATGTGTTTGTAATTTGTACTCTCGGCAGGGTATTCTTGGGCTGCAGGGGTTGTTGTCAATGTGTGATTTGTGTTTTTATTTTATAGAATAATGTGATGTACCGATTTTTATAAGTGATAGATAATTCGAATAACTGTATATTTGACAACCTATTAAAATATTTTGCATTGGAACTTCTTTCATTAATTGTAACATGCTAACAAACTGATAGTGGTTTAAAAATAACTCATTCATTGAACAACAACAACAAAAGAAAAAAGGTTAAAAGTAAACATTTTTATGGGAAATCTCTTATCCAAAATTCTTTCAAGATTTTACCTTATTTAGTGACTAGTTCTGTATTTTTGCATGAGGAATAAATATGTCTCTGGAAGGAAAAAAACTATTGCTATTAATAGTTATATGAACCTTCTAGAACCTAATCTAATACCAGACAACTGAGGCTAAAGAAATGCTAGATTGCAGCCCCAGTGGCCAGACATGAATATAAGAAGGAAAACAGGCTGGGTGTAGTGGCTCACGCCTGTAATCCCAACATATATATGTATATATTGTGGTGGCTCACGCCTGTAATCCCAGAACTTTGGGAGGCCGAGGTGGGCGGATCACGAGGTCAGGAGATTGAGACCATCCTGGCTAACACGGTGAAACCCCGTCTCTACTAAAAATACAAAAAAAATTAGCCTGGCGTGGCAGCGGGCGCCTGTAGTCCCAGTTACTCAGGAGGCTGAGGCAGGAGAATGGCGTGAACCCGAGAGGTGGAGCTTGCAGTGAGCTGAGATCGCGCCACTGCCCTCCAGCCTGTGCAACAGAGCAAGACTCCATCTCAAAAAATAAAAATAAAAAATAAAAAATAAGAGTTTAGTCCTCACATACCTATGTTTTACATCAATCCCCAAATAGTTCTTTCCCACAAAGCATACTGGACCAATAGTACAGAAATGATTTGTCAACTTCCAACTTTGTCCAGCTAGAAAAACACTAGAAGCCAGTTAAAATGTTTGAGCAAGACAGGACAAATGCTCTGTTTCTTCCACAAACAAATTGCAAATAGGAAAAAAGGAGGGAGAAAGAGCCTATAGATTAAAAGAGATTTATGAAGTGTGCTATCCAAATGCCAGGTGCAGACTTTGTTTTGGCTTCTATGAAACAAGTCAACTTTTTTTTTTTTTTTTTTTTTGAGACGAAGTCTTGCTCTGTTGCCCAGGCTGGAGTGCAATAGTGTGACCTCGGCTCACTGCAACCTCTGCCTCCTGGGCTCAAGCGATTCTCCTCCTTCATCCTCCTGGGCAGCTGGAATTATAGGCACCCACCACCACGCCTGGGTAATTTTTGTATTTTTAGTAGAGATGGGGTTTTACCACGTTGGCCAGGCTGGTCTCGAGCTCCCGACCTCGTGATCCACCCGCCTCGGCCTCCCAAAGTGCTGGGACTACAGGCATGAGCCACTGCACCCACCCAAAACAAGTCAACTTTTTAAATGAAGAAATTTAAACAAACACTGAATATTTGATGATTTTGAAAAATTACTGTTATTTATTTTTTCAATGTCATATTACTATGGCTATGTTTTTAAAGAAAGCCCTTATCTTCTTGAGGTATACTGAAATATTTAAAAATGAGATAACAGATGACTGGCATTTCCAAAATAATCCTTTTTGGGAAAAGGGATAAGAGTGAAATATGACTGATTATGAGTTGGTAATTGTTGGAACTTGGGGTTCATTTTTCTAGACTCTACTTTTTAATGTATTTGGAACTTTATTACTAATTGCTATCACTTTCATTAATACTGATTACAGAAATAAAAAATCAACAAATGAAAAATTCAAGACACCCCCAAAAAGGAACAATGACATTTTCATACATGATATCATCTACTATTTCAATAATATCTAAATAGAGGACAGTTGAGGATGTGACATGGAATACTGGGGTAGAATTTTTTTTTGAAACGGAGTCTTGCTCTGTTGGCCAGGCTGGAGTGCAGTGGTGTGATCTTGGCTTACTGCAAGCTCCGCCTCCCGGGCTCAAGAGGCTGAGACAGGCAAATTACTTGGGGCCAGGAGTTCAAGACCAGCCTGGCCAACATGGCAAAATCTCGTCTCTACTAAAAATAAAAAAAATAAGTCAGGCATGGTGGCACATACCTGTAGTCCCAGCTACTTCGGAGGCTGAGGCATGAAGATTGCTTGAGCCTGGGAGGCAGAGGCTGCAGTAAGCCGAGATTGTGCCACTGCACTCCAGCCTGGGTGACAGAGCGAGACTCTGTCCCGTGCCCCAAAAAAAGTCCATTGTGATTCTTGTCGTTGTCTTACTGTTGAAATGTTTACCTAAGTCTTTCGTTCAAATGGGATGCTCGAGAACACTTCAGGAAAAATGAGAAACAATTAAAATTCTCCAGGCCAAACTTCTTTATTTATTTATTTGGAAGGAGTTTCTCTCCTGTTCCCAAGGCTGGAGTGCAACGGCGAGATCTCGGCTCACTGCAACCTCCGCCTCCCAGGTTCAAGCGATTCTCCTACCTCAGCCTCCCGAGTAGCTGGGATTACAGGCACCCGCCACCACACCCAGCCAATTCTTTTTTTTTTGAGACGGAGTCTCGCTCTGTCGCCAAGCTGGAGTGCAGTGGTGTGATATTGGCTCACTGCAACCTCCGCCTCCCGGGTTCCAGCGATTCTCCTGCCTCAGCCTCCTGAGTAGCTGGGATTACAGGCATACACCACCACTCCCAGCTAATTTTTGTATTTTTAGTAGTGACGGGGTTTCACCATGTTGGCCAGGCATGCACCGCCAGGCCTGGCTAATTTTGTACTTTTAGTAGAGACGGGGTTTCTCCATGTTGGTCAGGCTGGTCGTGAACTCCCAATGTCAATTGATCCTCCCCCCTCCACCTCCTACAATGCTGGGATTAGAGGTGTGAGCCACCGCACCTAGTCTTTTTTTTTTTTTTTTTGTATTTTTAATAGACACGGGTTTCGCCATGTTGGCCAGGCTTGTCTCGAACTCCTGACCTCAGGTGATCAGCCGACTCAGCCTCCCAAAGTGCTGGGATTACAGGCGTGAGCCATCGTGCCTGGCTGCCAAACTTTATTTTTAAAAACATTTAAGGCTGGGCATGTTGGCTTACCCCTGTAATCCCAGCACCTTGAGAGGCCAAGGCAGGAGAATAGTTTGAGACCAGGAGTTCGAGACCAGCTGGGGTAACATAGTGAGACCCCATCCCAATTAAAATATATATATATTAAAAATATTAAAATAGGCTGGGTGCGGTGGCTCACACCTATAATCTCAGCACTTTGGGAGGCCGAGGTGGGCGGAACACCTGAGGTCAAGCGTTTGAGATCAGCCTGTACAATATGGCGAAACCCAGTGTCTACTAAAAGTACAAAAATTAGCTGGGTGTGGTGGCATGAGTCTGTATTCACAGCTACTCGGGAGGCTGAGGCAGGAGAATTGCTTGAACCAGGAGGTGGAGGATGCAGTGAGCTGAGATTACACCACTGAACTCCAGCCTGGGCAACAGAATGAGACTCTGTCTCAAAAAAATAAAAAATTAAAAAATAAAAATTAAAATCATTTAAAGTTCATTTCTTTAGAATATTTCTCTCAAATTATAAATGTAATATTTTAAGCTTCAGTAAGTTAAAGTTACAATACAATAAAAAAGAATTACTGTAGCAGGAGAAAAATAAACCATGAGTGATGTAGGGGGACTATTAAATGGATATTAATTCATAACAGCATGGATTTTTAAAGTTTTTTCCTTTTTTTTTTTTTTTTTTTTGTGACAGGCTCTTGCTCTGTCACCCAGGCTGGAGTGCAGTGGCACGATCATGGCTTACTGCAGCCTCAACCTCCTGGGCTCAAGTGATTCTCCCACCTCAACCCCTTGAGTAACTGGGACCACAGGTGCGTGCCACCATGTCAAAATCATTTTGTGTGTGTGTGTGTTTTTTGTAGAGATGGGGTTTTGCTATGTTGCCCAGGCTGGTCTCAAACTCCTGGGCTCAGTGATCATCTGCCCTTGGCCTCCCAAAGTGCTGGGATTATAGGCGTGAGCCACTGCGCCTGGCCTTTTCCTTAATATTAAATGAAGTATTATTTATATTACAAACCAATTATTTGGAGAAACCCCGTCTCTACTTAAAATACAAAATTAGCTGAGCGTGGTGGCACATGCCTGTAATCCCAGCTACTAGGGAGGCTGAGGCAGGAGAATCGCTTGACCCCGGGAGGCGGAGGTTGCGGTGAGCCGAGATCGTGCCATTGCACTCCAGCCTGGGCAACAAGAGCGAAACTCTGTCTCAAAGAAAACAAAAAACAAAAAAATACAAACAAACCAATTATTACGAAAATGCTATTGGAGAAAGAAACTGTAAAATCTGATCAACTGAGGATCTAGCAGTACTAAAAAATATCACCATTCAATCAGGACAACTAGCAATTCTATATTATATTTAGGGAAGTTTTCTAAATAATCCATTGCAAAGTGAACAATTGAGGATTAACAGTCTTTGAAGAAAAATAATTAAAAAGGCAAAGTTCCAAGGTGAATGAAGAACTGATGCAGAGGAAACAGATACATCAGAGAGCATAAGAAAACTTTAAAAAATTCCAGTGAGTGTGGTCAGAAAGAGGGAAAGGGGTGTTTCCTCACCTCACCAGCTACACAATCATAAAGCAGTGTAGCCTTCATGAGGGAAATATTTCAACCCAAGAATTCCATACTCAGTCAAATCAACTACCAGAACACTGAGGGCACAATGAGACATTGCGAGACATTCAATAACTTGAAAACATTACCATCCTCAATCCCTATGGGGGAAAAAAGAAATGTTACACAATCAAGCATGTATGTGTATACATAATATGTATGTATGTATAATACATCTACATACATATAGATATTCCTGCTGCCCACGAAAAGACTAGCAAATCATCAGAAGAGTAATCCAAAAAACCTGCCGTGAACATAAAACAGTGGCAGCTGACTATGATCTAGAAGCAGCAAAGAAAGTTAGGAAGAAAATAGGAGGAGGGCTAGGCGCAGTGGCTCACGCCTGTAGTAGTCCCAGCACTTTGGGAGGCCAAGGTGGGTGGATCCCCTGAGGTCAGGAGTTTGAGACCAGCCTGGCCAACATGGTGAAACCCCATCTCTACCAAAAATACAAAAATTAGCTGGGTGTGGTGGCGGCCGCCTGTAATCCCAGCTACTCAGGAGGCTGAGGCAGGAGAATCGCTTGAACCTGGGAGGTGGAGGTTGCAGTGAGCCAAGATCGTGCCATTGCACTCCAGCCTGGGCGACAGAGCAAGACTCCGTCTCAAAAAAAAAAAAAGTAGGAGGAGCTCTTCAGTACCCAAGCCTGCACAGCTCTCTGCAAAAGCAGCGGGGCATCTATCTGCCTTCTCTCTGGGTCCAGTCACACCACGACTTGGCTTTGCAGGGAATAAAATGTGCATTACCATAATTATTATAAATGCTATTTACTGGTTTTCAATTCTTATGACCAACTTAGACAAAACAAAGAAAACTTCATTATAGTCACAGAACATAAACATTATACATTTTGACAACACAAAACTGATATACTCCTAATTCTCAAATGAAAATAAATTTTAAGGTGGCAGCCACAGATATAAAGGAAATTAATTAAAATACGATTCCATGTTAATAAGCTAGAAAGTATTGATAAAATTGATGGTATTTCTAAGAGACTATAATGACAAAATCAGCAAAAGAAAATCTAAATAGAATACTAATTTTGGAAAATATTTGGAAAGAAGTCTAACAATATCTCCCACTGAAAAGCACTGTATTTGCATAGTTTTGTAAATGAATACTTTGAAACTTCATTCTCTGAAATATTCTTTTTTTGTTTTCTTCTTTTTTTTTTTGAGATGGAGTTTCGCTCTGTCGCCCAGGCTGGGTGCAGTGGCGTGATCTTGGCTCACTGCAAGCTCCGCCTCCTGGGCTCACGCCATTCTCCTGCCTCAGCCTCCAGAGTAGCTGGGACTTCAGGTGCACGCCACCACGCCCAGCTAATTTTTTTGTATTTTTTAGCAGAGATGGGGTTTCACTGTGTTAGCCAGGTTGGTCTCGATCCCCTGACCTCGTGATCCACCCGCCTCAGCCTCCCAATGTGCTGGGATTACAGGTGTGAGCCACCGTGCCTGGCCCTGTAACATATTCTTGAACACAAGACTGGACGCTTTATAGTTTTTCCTAAAACTTGATCATAACTCTGATACTACAGTATTCCAAGGGTAATATACAAAAGTTAAGACCACAGACTACAGACTACTCCTCATTTGGGAATATCGTTTAAAAAAATAATAAAACATGAATACAAAAGGCTCAACTGTGCAGGTAGAGAATAAAATGCCATGGCTAAGTGTTTTATTCTGGGACTGCTTGAATGATTCCATAGTATTAGGCATATTAATCTAAACAAGAAAAATAGTCAAAGACGAAAATCACGATGGTCTTGAATAGCCATATTTCAATATTAATTTCTCATTAAAAGTCTTAGACTTTTAGACTAATAAGAGTTTTTTTAATGTTTAAAAAAATCTGACTGGGCGCGGTGGCTCACGCCTGTAATCCCAGTACTTTGGGAGGCCAAGGCGGGTGGATCACGTGAGGTCGGGAGTTCGAGACCAGCCTGACCAGCATGGAGAAACCCCACCTCTACTAAAAATACAAAATTTAGCTGGGCGTGGTGGCGCATGCCTGTAATCCCAGTTACTCAGGAGGCTGAGGCAGGAGAATAGCTTGAACCCAGGAGACGTGAGTTGTGGTGAGCCGAGATCGCGCCATTGCACTCCAGCCTGGGCGACAAGAGTGAAACTCTATCTCAAAAAAAAAAAAAAAAAAAACTTTCAAATTAACATTCAATTTTAATGGAAAAAGTCTAGAATATACCTTAAAATAAAAAACAAGTAAAATATTTATAGTAACTACGAGGAAGGAGGCTTTCACTTTTCATGGCATACCCTCCTGTAATGTTTCAATTTATTAGTTTTGAGCATCCTTTTTTTTTTTTTTTGAGACAAGGTCTTGCTCTGTCACCCAGGCTGGAGTGCAGTGGCATGAACGTGGCTCACCGCAGCCTTGACCTCGTGGGCTGGGAACACAGGCACACCACAGCCATGCCTGGTTAATTTTTTAGTTTCTATTTTTAGTAGAAATGGGCTCTCATTATGTTGCCCAGGCTGGTCTTGAACTCCTGGGCTCAAGTGATCCTCCCACCTTGGCCTTCCAAAATGCTGGGATTACAGGTGTGAGCCACCTCACCCAGCAATAACTGTCTTGTGACACAAACAGGTGGATTGGTGCTGTCATCAATAATAATTGTGACTAATTAGCTCATCAGGTCCTAGGATGGCTTTGGGGCAGCAGTTGGTGCAACTTCTGGTAACTTCTGTCATCAAACTCTGGTTATGTGGATGTCTCTGAGTCATATCAATGTAGTAGCCTCTTCTGAGTAGGAATGGTATTTGTGTGTCTCTGGGTCTGAATCCCTCGTGAAACTATAAGCTCCTTGAGGGCAGGTATTATTTCTCATTGCTCTTAGCAAGTCACCTGTTGTTTGGCATACCCAGCTGTCCTCTGGAGACTGTCCTTTACTTTCTGCATCCACATAGCTATAGTAGGAGCCACCATATTTGCGCAACATGGCCCTACCAATGGCTGCTGTTGACTGGACTGGAGATAGAGCCCATCTTAAGCCAAGCCACTGAAAGCCTCATGGCCCCACTCATGGATGTTGTTGATTGGACTGTGGGTAGGGTCCAACCCAAGCTGGACCAATGGAGCTCTTCCTCAAGATTTTGGAATTAAGTTTAAGAGAAGGGATCTTACTGACCCAGCTTGAGTATTTAGAGGAGCTGTTGACACCATTATTTTTCCTGTGAACAGGGAACTAGTTAACGAAGAGAAGTGGTGCTCATAGAGGAGAAAAAAGAATGAGGGACACAGAAAAAATACATCTTAGATTTCCTGGCATCTCTCAGTTCCTGTTTCCAGGCCTGTAGGGAAAAGAAAGAGAGATCAGACTGTTACTGTGTCTATGTAGAAAAGGAAGACATAAGATACTCCATTTTGATCTGTACTAAGAAAAATTGTTTTGCCTTGAGATACTGTTAATCTGTAACTTTAGCCCCAACCCTGTGCTCACACAAATATGTGCTGTATGGAATCAAGCTTTAAGGGATCTAGGGCTGTGCAGGATGTGCCTGGTTAACAATATGTTTGCAGGCAGTATGCTTGGTAAAAGTCATCGCCATTCTCGATTAACCAGGGGCACAATGCACTGTGGAAAGCCACAGGGACCTCTGCCCAAGAGAGCCTGGGTATTGTCCAAGGTTTCCCCCCACTGAGACAGCCTGAGATATGGCCTCGTGGGAAGGGAAAGACCTGACCGTCCCCTAGCCCTACATCCATAAAGGGTCTGTGCTGAGGAGGATTAGTAAAAGAGGAAGGCCTCTTGCAGTTGAGATAAGAGGAAGGCCTCTGTCTCTTGCATATCCCTGGGAATGGAATGTCTCGGTGTAAAACCCACTAGTACATTTGTTCTATTCTGATAGGAGAAAACCACCCTGTGCCTGGAGTTGAGATATGCTGGTGGCAATGCTGCTCTGTTACTCTTTGCTACACTGAGATGTTTGGGTGGAGAGAAGCATAAATCTGGCCTACGTGCACATCCGGGCACAATACCTTCCCTTGAACTTATTTATGACACAGATTCCTTTGCTCACATGTTTTCCTGCTGACCTTCTCCCCACTATCACCCTGTTCACCTGCCGCATTCCCCTTGCGGAGATAGTGAAAACAGTAATCAATAAATACTGAGGGAACTCAGAGACCGGGGCCGGTGCGGGTCCTCCATATGCTGAGCACCGGTCCCCTGGGCTCACTGTTCTTTCTCTATACTTTGTCTCTCTGTCTTATTTCTTTTCTCAGTCTCTCGTCCCACCTGACGAGAAATACCCACAGGTGTGGAGGGGCTGGCCCTCTTCACAGGCCCCTCCCAAAACCTGGCTGCATCAGATCTCCCCCCACCCCTTCACTGCTTGAGTCAATTTGAGTGAGTCTGTTACTTTCAGCCAAAAGTATCCCAAGGAATTTAGAGCCTGAGAGAAGTCCAATGTCACACTGCAGGCCAATGAAGAACTATCCTCTTTCTGCTGACTCTCAAACGCAAAGTTCTTTGGGGCAAGAAAGAAACAAGGAAGAAAAAAATCACTCACATCTGTTGAAGACTTACTATGTGCTAGGTATTTTGGAATGTCATTTATTTAATGTTTACCATGGCAGAAGGTAGATTTTATTCTATTAGCTTACAGATAAGGAAACTGAGGCTCAGATATGTTGAATAACTTGTCTAGAGAAGAAATGGGGATTATATTTAATTATTTTAACAAATTCCATGATTGTCAGTTACCTCCTGTTGCTTTTTTTTTTGAGACAGAGTCTCGCACTGTTGCCCGGGCTGGAGTGGAGTGGCACAATCTTGGCTCACTGCAACCTCTGCCTCCCGGGTTCAAGTGATTCTCCTGACCCAGCCTCCTGAGTAGCTGGGATTACAGGCATGGGCCACCACACTCTGCTAATTTTCTATTTTAAATAGAGATGGGGTTTCACCATGTTGGTCAGGCTGGTCTCAAACTCCTGACCTCAGGTGATCCACCCACCTTGGCCCCCAAAGTGCTGGGATTACAGGCATGAGCCACTGCACCCGGCCCCATATTGCCTCTTAAAAGGTGTGCTATCAGCATGAGGCTGTTGAAAGATAATAAGGTAGCCAGTGAGCACCCTAGGAGGAAGGTGACTAGTACGTTGGCAGTCAGCCTCTTGAAATCTTGTAGAGTACAGACAGAACCAAGAGTTGAGACAGCCATGTCTCCCCCACATTTTAAGACCATTCTCTTTCTAGAACTCACTCACTGCCTTCTGGTTGCTTTAGGACTCCCAGTACCCACCCAGACAGCCCCAGCTCCAGCCTCTGGAGACATCTCCTTAGTGGGTTCTCTGCATGCCCTTCCATCCTTGGGAAAACCCAGAACAAAACCAGATCTTCCAACAGAGGCTCTGCAATGGAAAAATCCCAGGGGACTGAGGTGCATGATCTGCTTTGGAGCACTCAGGGATATCTGTCTCCTCACACTGGGCTGGTTGTGGTGAAGGGTGCACCGGGCTCTTTTAATGTACACATCTGGATTGAACTGAGATTCCCACAGCAGATTTCCTAATGGTGAGTGGAGGACAACAGATAAATAAATATAATTAGGAACAGTATCCAGACTGACGCATGCTGAAGAGTTTCAGCAGGTACCAACAGATATATTCAGGAGTCAGAGAAGCTTGGGAAATTCCCATAGTCATAAATTGTAATCTCCGGGTCAAGTTAGCTGACCATCAGAAATCATCCTGGCAGGTCTTTTAACACTGCAGTTTCCTGAGCCTGACTTCTGAGGATTCTGATTCCATAGGCCTGTGGTGTATTTGTCATTTTGAGAAGCCTCCAGGGGGATTCTGACAACTGGCCAAACTTAGAGAGATTCACAAGGCACATTGTCACATTAAAGGCACTGAAAAGTCCTGTAATAATGACACCCACATCATTTCACTGAACCAGTTTATCAAAGTTACTTGAACACAGATCTCTCCCTCTATATATTTTGTACACCTGTTTTTACAAGGTCTACTGCTCAGGGAGCTTGCCAAGATTTCCTCTTAATAATTCTATACTAATATCATAAATCCAGGTTTTTTTATGTCTTTCCTACCATTTTGTAGTATCCACTGGCTGTTCTCTCCTTGAAGGCAGGAATAGTGTCTGTTTTATTTGCAATATCCCTTATGCAGAGTCTGAGTAAATGAGTCTTTTAAGATAATCTCTGAACAGGGGATGTGGCCCTCTGCCTCCCCGGTTCAATGAAGTACTTTGATACCAGGGTGGAAGAGAGATTTAAAGCAGCATGTCATAGTAGGAAAGGCTGCAGAGCCACTTTTGGTTGACAGTCATGGATGATGAGTGCCAGCAGTCCAGCTCCTTCTCCTCTGAGCTGTTTCTCCACTGCTCTGAGATCAACCTCTTAACAAACTTGGTCCCCAGGTAAAAGCCCTCCTGAGACATTTGGTTAAGAAGAGGAGTTTCCCATTTCTCCCCTTCTCCTTTCAGCCACCAGGCATTGAAGGGAGCAGTGCTGAGGCCATTTAAATGGGCTTCTCCATAGAATGGGCCCTTCTGTTGGAAACTGGGTTATGCACAAACCATTCACAATGGCTTTTTACACCCCAGAAGCACTAAGATCCCCCTAATCTTCAGTCAAAACAGAGCATGAAGGGTGGGGTATTCATCCCAAAGGCACTGGGCATCTGAAAGTTAGGGAGGGGTGGGACCACCCACATTCAGGGCTTTGATTTTCCAGCCAGAATGACAAGACCACAAGACCCCCAGGAGGACTCCATCCTTCTCATTCTTTATGTGGTGGACCCTTAAAAAGTGCAAGGTGGGAGGCTGAGGCAGGCGGCTCATGAGATCAGAAGATCGAGACCATCCTGGCCAACATGGTGAAACCCCATCTCTACTAAAAACACAAAAATTAGCCGGGTGTGGTGGCACACGCCTGTAATCCCAGCTACTTGGGAGGCTGAGGCAGTAGAATGGCATGAACTTGGGAGGCAGAGATTCCAGTGAGCTGAGATCGTGCCATTGCACTCCAGCCCAAGACTCAGTCTCAAAATAAATAAATAAATAAATAAATAAATAAATAAATAAAATAAATAATAAATTAAAAGTGCAAGGCTTTTTTTTTTTTTTTTTTTTTTGTGACAGAGTTTCGCTCTTGTTGCCCAGGCTGGAGTGCAATGGTATGATCTCGGCTCACTGCAACGACTGCCTCCCTGGTTCAAGCGATTCTCCTGCCTCAGTCTCCTGAGCAGCTGAGATTACAGGCGTTCGCCACCACGTCTGGCTAATTTTGTGTTTTTAGTAGAGACGAGGTTTCACCATGTCGGCCAGGCTGGTCTTGAACTCCTGACCACTGGTGATCCGCCCACCTCGGCTTCCCAAAGTGTTGGGATTACGGGGTGAGCCACCGTGCTGGCCACAAGGCATCCTAACAAGAGTTTTGCTACCATTATCTCCCGTTACAGTTGAGGAAACTGAGGCATGCAGAGGTTAAATGAAGCACCCATCAGAGCCAAGCAGTTAGATGGCAAAGTTGTATTAGTCTGATTTAAGAAAAGTTTAATACAGGTACCATTTACAGAGGTGCAGACAGTGTATTGATTTTTTTTTCTTTTCTTTTTTTTTTTTTTTTTTTGAGACGGAGTCTCACCCTGTCGCCCAGGCTGGAGTGCTGTGGCTCGATCTCGGCTCACTGCAATCTCCAGCTCCCAGGTTCAAGCGATCCTCCTGCCTCAGCCTCCTGAGTAGCTGGGATTACAGGTGCCTGCCACCACACCTGGCTGATTTAGTAAAGATGGGGTTTCACCATGTTGGCCAGGCTGGTCTCGAACTCCTGGCCTCAGGTGATCCGCCTGCCTCGGCCTCCCAAAGTGCTGGGATTATAGGCATGAGCCACTGCGCCCGACAGTATATTGGTTTTCTATTTCTCCATAATAAATAACTACAAACTTAGTGACTTTAAACAACACCCCTCCATTAGGTCATAGTTCTGTAAGTTAACAGGCCAGGTATGGCCTGATTGTCTCCTCAGTGTGTCACAAGTTTAAAGTCAAGGTGTTGCTGAGGCTGTGATCTCATCTGAGGCTCAGGGTTCTCTTTCAGACTTTTTCCAGTTGTTGGCAGAATTCAGTTAGTTGTGGTTGTAGGACTGAAGCCCCCACTTCCTTGCTGGTTGTTGTCCAGGAACCACTTTTATCTTTTAGAGACCACACTCAAAGTCCACAGGCAATTCACAGCATGGATGTTTGCTCCTTCAAGGCCAGCAGGTGGCTGTCTCTCACTCTTCAACTCTCTTTGACTTCTAAGGGTCACCTGATTAGGCCAGGCCCACCCAGGATAATCTTCCTTTTGATTAACTCAAAGTCAACCTAATAACAGTGTGAAATGCCATCATATTTGCAAGTCCAGCCCATCCTCAAGGGGAGGGCATTATGCAGGGGGTGTTCACCAGGGGAGCAACAATCTTGGCAGCCAGTTTAGTATTCTGCAATGCAGAGACAGGAAGCAGGAAACCACCAGGAATACTGCAGCTCCCTGGGAAGAGCAGTGGCGGGACTTGATTACAAGCCCTAGTCATGAATAGATGAGGAGCTGAGAGACACAGAAGGCTGTGGGGAGAGGGCCACCAGGAAGATGCTGGGTCCTTTGGTTGAAGGACACAGCTAGTCCATAGTTACTTGGCAAGGAGGGAGCTAGAAAAATAAATAGCCTGACCTCAGTTTCCTTTCTTTTTTCTTTCTTTCCCTCCTTCTTTCTTTTTTTCTTTTTTTTTTTTTGAGACAGAGTTTTGCTCTTGTTGCCCAGGCTGGAGTGCAACGGCGTGATCTTGGCTCACTGCAACCTCCACCTCCTGGTAAAAGGGATTCTCCTGCCTCAGCCTCCCAAGTTGCTGGGATTACAGGTGCCCACCGCCATGCCTGGCTAATGTTTTGTATTTTTGGTAGAGACGGTTTTGCCATGTTGGCCAAGCTTATCTTGAACTCCTGACCTCAGGTAATCTACCCGCCTCGGCCTCCCAAAGTGCTGGGATTACAGGCATGAGCCACTGCGCCCGGCCTTCTCACTTTCTTTTTTGAGATGGAGTCTCACTCTGCCACCCAGGCTTGAGTGCAATGGCGAGGTCTCGGCTCACTGTAACCTCCACCTGGGTTCAAGCGATTCTCCTGCCTCAGCATCCTGAGTAGCTGGGACTACAGGTGTGTGCCACCACACCCAGCTAATTTTTGTAGTTTTAGTAGAGACAGGGGTTTCACTATGTTGGCCAAGCTGCTCTCGAACTCCTGACCTCATGATCCGTATGCCTCAGCCTCTCAAAGAGATGGCAAAGATCCCAAAGATTACAGGTGTGAGCCACCGTTCCCGGCCACTTTCTCACTTTCATCTTCTGTTGTTGCTCTCCTTTGGCTGATCTTAACATGAAGCTGAGTAAGGGAGCCAGCTTATTGATGCAGTCAGTAGAAGCCAGCTTCCCAGGGAGATCCAGGTTGGGGGAATATGGAGTGTGGATCAGGAGAGGTAAGGAGATGATATTTGGCAAAAGTACTTCTTAGAGTCACACATCTTGTAATGATAGACCTCAGATTCAAATTCAAGTCTGTTTAAAGTCAAATTATACCATCTATGCATCCTTCCATGCATCCATCCATGCATCCATCCATCTATCCATCCATCCATTCTTCCATTTCCTGAGTGCCTACTGTGTGGCAGGCATTCTGCTAACCTAACAACCCAGTGAGAGACATACTTATATTCCTATTTTATAAAGGCCCAGAGAGGTTAAGTAAATAATCCAGAGTCACACAGCCAGGGAGTGGCAAAGCTAGAATTCTTATTTAATTCCAAACTTGATTTCTACCCTCTCCACCACCAACCACCCATATATATCCACTGACCAACCTATTCATTCATCAGACTTTTACTGCATGTCTCAAGTAAGCTATGCACTGTGTTTAGAGCTGAATGAGACACCATTCTTATGTCTCCATGATATTCACAGTCTGGTAGGAGAAACAGACCTGTATACAGGTTATTGTGCAGTGGTCGGGGACAGGAACTTTGAGAGAGGAACGTATGGTGCCCACTTGTGGGCATATAGGAGTGAGAGGTCTGCTCAGCTGGGGAAAGACAGCATCCTTTTGAGGTGGGTTTTGAAGGATGCATAAGATTTTAAGGGGACAGTGCATCTTGGAAGGGCATCATATCTTTGTAGTCCAGCTGCCTCTCCTTTGCTCGAGCTTCCTTCCTTCCTTCAGGGGTTAATTTGGAAGGACTGAGTTTTGCTGTTATTGAGCAAACAGAGTCCTCTAAAGTGCATAGCCCAGGGGCTGGAATGGAGCTCACGATGTATGTGTGGGGGAGAAAAACTACTTTGATTTGAATTCCTGTCTGGCTATTTTTGAGATGTTATATATGACCTTATGAGGGCCCTTCCCTATGTGGTCATGTCTATAAGAGATTTCGTATCTTTACCCACTGGTGTCAGGTTGGCTGGGTGACTTTCAGCCAATGGGATATGAGTGGAGGTGGTATGTGCTAATTCTGGGCAGACCCATTAAGGGCCCTTCTGTGGTCACCCTTTGGTCTCCCTTTTTGTGATACTATGGATAGTCTTTATTTATTATTCTCCAAGGGTTGTGCCTCACCTTCCCTTTTTACTGCTGCCCCAAGACCATCAGGTTTCCACAAGGGGGTTGCTTCTTTAGCCTTAATCCTGGAATGAAGTGATGAGGGTCAGAGCCAGAGCTGAGCTGCAAGTGTGTGTCACATTCCAGAGGAAGGAATGGTTGTTACTCTAAGACATGGACTTTTGAGGTCATCTGTTATCATAGCATAGTGTAGCCTAAGCTGACCACAGCAAGGCATCTCACCTTTCGACATGTTAGTTTGCTCATCCATAGAAGTGGATTAATAGTTGTAGTCGCATGGCAAAAACCCATCCCTACAAAAAAAAAAAAAAATTAGCCAGGCATGGTGGTGCACGACTGTAGTTCCAGCTACTCAGGGGGCTGAGGCGGGAGGATCATCTGGGCCTAGGGAAGTTGAGGCTGCAGTGAGCTGTGATCACACCACTGTACTCCAGCCTGGGTGACAGAGTGAGATCCTGTTTCAAGAAAAAAACATATCTGTAGTCATGTTATTGGGTTTTGTGAAAATTAGGTGAAATTGCTCAGTAAAAGCACAGTTTCTAGCCCAATGTGTGTCTGCACTTTGCAGATGTTCAAGACTCTTCTTCCAGTCCCTTTCTCTGTCATACTTATTTCTCCCCAGGGCCTTTGCATGTCCATGCTCTTCCTTTGCCTGAGGCTTTTTCTCATTTCCTTCTTTACTCAAGATCCCATATGCAGACCTAGCTCCCCCAGGGGGCCAGATAAGGATGGGCTTAGAGCCCCAGAAAAGTCAGGACAGGAAAGGGATGAGAAAGGTTGCACTTCAGCAACCAGAATCAGGAAATCTAGAAGAGAGTTCCTTTAACCTCAACATGTGCATATATTTTGTGCTTTATGGTTTTGCATTCTTTTAATTTTGATTTACATCGGGTATCTTGGCTGGGCGTGGTGACTCATGCCTGTAATCCCAGCACTTTGGGAGGCCAAGGCAGGTGAATCACTTGAGGTCAAGAATTTGAGCTCAGCCTGGCCAACATGGTGAAACCCCATCTCTACTAAAAATACAAAACTTAGCCAGGCGTAGTGGTGGGCGCCTGTAATCCCAGCTACTTGGGAGGCTGAGGCACCAGAATCACTTGAACCTGGGAGGGCGGAGGTTGCGGTGCTGAGATCATGCCACTACACTCCAGACTGGGCGACAGAGTGAGACTCTGTCTCAAAAAAAAAAAAAAAAAAGTGACATAATTAAAAGAGCCATCATCTATGGCCTTTAAGTGTCATGTGTGTGCTCATCTTTCCTTGCTTTACTACTCAAAGATTATCTTTTCCATGTGACCTGCTCTTTCCTGCCTCTGTCACCACCAAACATCAAAGCCTTAAGTTTTGTTTGGCTGTTTGTTATCTCTTGAGAATTGAGCACCAGAGCTATTGGGTGGGCTTGATGTTGACCTACAATGCAGGATGTCTGTGGGCATGACTCTCTCCTAGGCACTCACAGACACTTGAAGCTGGGGACTGAGGTCCTCTAGTGTGTGTCTGTGGGGGTGAAGGAGTGCACCCTCATCCTCCTGCACTTTCGGGTCTTGTAGCAGCAACTCCCTGTTTCTGTCCTTTCTACTTACTGCTGGTTTCATCACACTCCCAGGGTTAATTTAAAGAACCAGCCTCGGTGTGATGCACCTACAACAAACAGAGCCACTTCTGTGGGGAGCTCTGGAGCTGGGATGGCCCCTCAGAGTCTAGAGGTGGTGAGAGCGCTGGAGCTTCATCACCGTGCTAACTGTGTCCCTGGAAGAGTGAGGGAGCTTGAGTGATTCCTTACCCAAGGGCCGTCATAAAAGGTCTCAGCTGATGCCTACTGCCGATCACATTCAGCTATTTGGGAAGAGATGTTCAGTCCTTAAGAGGACATTATTAGTGGACATCACTCTTTCCACAAAAGCCCCAGTCTTGTGTTACTTAGTCCCACTAGCTTCTTTAAAGAAACCCCAAGAGCATTTCCTCCAGGAATCTGTTTGATCTCTTTTCCTGGGGGAGATTTCCAGGTGATTCTCATTGGAATGAATCCTAGGTCCTGTTGCTGCTGCTGGTCTCACACTGTGACTGATGCTAAGTCCTTCTCTTCCACCACCATTCTGGATTTTCCTTGCTATAGCCTAAGTGTTTATGTCTCCCCAAATTGTCAGCGTTGGAGCACCAAGAAGACAGGCAGCACTGACAGTAGCAGAAGAGTAGGAGGTGGCTGTGGCACCCCACGCCGAGCAGGAGCGGGAGGAGTTCCTGGGCGATGGGGCCGCAGCCTGGGCCGATGCTGACCATGGGATGAGATCATTCTTCACTCTGCACCGTGACCATCAGGGGGCGCCCCAACCACCTTTTCTGCCCCACATCGTGCTCTTGCAGTGTTCTCCCCGCAGGTGCTGCATGGAGTGAGTGGCGGCATCCACCGTGAGGAGGAGAGGAGCTCTGATACCCTCAGGACCCGCCAGGAGGGGCATCACGGAGGCTTCTGGACGACTTGGAGCTGTGTCCTGGGGAGAAAACCGCTCCTGTCTGGGCCCTGAGTGCTGAGGAGGAAGCTGCCATGCACTTTTCCCTGGCATTTTTCCTGCATGGTGAGTACAGAAGCTTTAGTTTTCTGGTATGTTCTGTTCATTCCTCTCCTGTTCTCCCTGGTTTTCCTCTTTCTCTTGTAGTGTTTTAGTATTTATTTTACAGTGGTATTCATTCTCTGAAGGCTTTTGAGGGTGTCAAGTGTAGCAGACTGTGGTATTTTTAGGGGTTTAAGACTTTTTCTGGGTGGGGGGGAGGGGGGAGGGATAGCATTAGGAGATATACCTGATGCTAAATGACGAGTTGATGGGTGCAGCACACCAACATGGCACATGTATACATATGTAACAAACCTGCATGTTGTGCACATGTACCCTAAAACTTTAAAGTATAATAATAATAAAAAAATCTTGGTTTTTATTAAAAATAAATAAATAAATAAATACATTTCTAGTTCTGAAAAAAAAAAAAAAAACCAAACCAACAACAGAAAAAGACTTTTTCTGAGGGAACCTCCCCTGTGTAGAGGGAGAGAGAGGGAAGCCCCGCTCAGGTTGGAGTCAGGGCCAGGCCCAGTTCTGGCTGGCTGCCTCGTGTCCAAGCCTCAGAGGGAGGATTTGCATTGGGCCTTGCTGCATTTTTAAATCTTCGTTCCTGCCATCAGGACCCAGGGGTCACTCTTCTTCACTTTTGGGCAGCGCGTGTCCTCTCGTGTCCCTCCCACCGTGGCCGCCTGACCAGGGGCGAGGGACTCCTCGGTGTGGGTTTTTTGTCCTCTTTGCAGAAATGTCTGTTCTGGGCCTCTGCCCAGTTTGGGGTGGATTATTTTTTGTTGTTGTTTTAAATTGCTATTTAGTACTGTTAATGTGTTGTATATTTTCGGTAAGAACCCCTTAGCAGTTATATGATTCCTCAAAACTTTCGTCCAAACTTCGGGCTCATTTTTTCCGTTGTGGCACAGAAGCTTTTCAGTTTCTTGTAGCCTCACATGGTTGTTCTTGCTTTCCTTGCTTGTGATTTTGGTCCCCAATTTAAAAAAATCATTCACAAACCATTCCATTCTCCATGAGGTTTTTACCCCTTATGTATTCCTCTTTTTCTTTTTGAAACTCTTTCCAACTGATGAGCATGGATTCAAGTTGTCCTGAAAGTAAGCTCCCCCTATCTTTTCTTACAGGAATTTAATAATGTTTTGTGGTTTCAGGTTTTGTGTTGAAATCTTTAATCCATTTTGAGTTGATTTTTGTGTATCGTGTAACAGAAGGGTCCTATTTCTTTTCTTTTCTTTTTTGCATATGGATATCAGTTTCCTCAAAATGATTTCATGAAGAAACTCTCCTGTCCCCATTGTGTCTTTCTGATCTCTGGTGCCGATTTCATTTGCTCTGGAGTTATACCCAGTAGTGGGATTGCTAGATCTTACAGTATTTGCATTTTCTGTCATTTTCTTTGAGACGGGGTTTCTTCTGTCACCCAGGCTGGAGTGCAGTGGTGCAATCACAGCTCACTGTGGCCTCTACCTCCACAGCCCAAGCAGCCCTCCCACCTCAGTCTATGGTAGCTGAGACCACAGGCACACACCACCATGCCTGGCTAAGTTTTTAAATTTTTTGTAGAGACAGGGTTTTGCCATGTTGCCCAGGCTGGTCTCGAACTCCTGAGCTCAAGTAATCTGCCCACATTGACCTTCTGGTAATTGTATTTTCAGTTTTTTGAAAATGGCAACTTCCAACTTTTTACCATAGAATATGTACTAATTTATCTTCCCATCAACAGGGTATAAGAGTTCCCTTTTCTCCAAATCCATACCAGCATTCTTTTTAAAATTTTGTGGCCAGGAACAGTGGCTCATGCCTGTAATCCCAGCACTTTGGGAGGATGAGGCATGGTGGTGTGCACCTGTAGTCCCAGATACTTGAGAGGCTGAAGTGGGATGATCACCTGAGCTAGGGAGGTCAAAGCTGCAGTGAGCTGGGATCACGACACTGCACTTCAGCCTGGGTGACAAAGTCTGAGTCCCTGTCTCAAAAAATTAAAAAAAAACTTTTTAGTAACATTTATTTCAATAAAAGTGAAACGGCATCTGAATGTGGTTTTGAGGTACATTTTTTTTCTGATGAGAGACGTTGAGGACCGTTTCTCTTACATGTTGGTCAATTTTGTGTCATCTTTGCAGAGATGTCTACTCAAGTTCTTTGTATTGGTTTGGATATGTATTTTGCTACATTGTATTTTTTTTCTGTGTATATGTTTGATAACAACCAGTGATTGAGTTATCGCTTACATGATTCCCTTTCTTTTTTTTTTTTTGAGACAGAGTCTCATTCTCTCACCCAGGCTGGAGAGCACAGTAGCACATCACATGACCATATATATTGGCTACCTACAGCTTTGCAATGTAATTTGCTATCAGGAATTGTGAGTCTCCCAACTTAGTTTGTATTTCTCAGGATTCCTTAGAGGTTCAGGGCCATTAGTGGTTCTATGTGAATATTAGCATTTTATATTCATATTTCTTAAATTTTTGCCATGTATAATAACATACACAATTAGAAGTTATGCTGGGACATGTTTTTTTCTTTGGGGACATTTTGATACATGTATACTTTGAGTAATGATCAAATCAGGGTACTTATCATAACTATTCCCTCATTGAGGTATTATTTCTTTGTTGTGAGTACATTCAAATTGCTCCCTTCTAGTTTTTTGAAAAATACAATATTTTGTTAACCAGAGTTACCCAGCTGTGGCATAGAAAACCAAAATGTGTTTCGCCAAACTCACTGTAACTTTGTTTCCATAACCGATCCCTCCCATCCCCCTCCTATCCCCCTCCTTCCCCTCTCCTCAGGAAACCGCTACTGTACCTTCTGCTTGAAGGTAAAGTTTTTTGGATTCCATATAAGTGAGATCACATAGTGTTTGCCTTTCTCTACCTAGTCGATTTCATTTAATGTAATGTCTTCCAGGTTCGTCTGTGTTTTTGCAAATGACATGTTGTCATGAATTTTTATGCATGAGGCATATTTCATCATGTCTGTATGCTGAAGTCCCTTCATCCTTTCATTGGTTGGTGGACAGGTAGGTTGATTTCATACCTTGGTTACTCATTGTTAGTGAGTAGTAGGTCACTAAACCTCAGAAGGCAGCTGTTGCTTCAACAGACCGATCTCATTTTCTTTAAGCTCACAACCACGGTTAGAATTACTAGATGAAACAGTTCTTGCATTTTTAATTTCTGAGGGTGCTCCAAGTGGTTTTCTCAGTGCGTTTCATCATTGAAATTTCTCCCAATAGTGTATAAGAGGATCTCTATATCTAACAGCACCCTGAACTTTTATTTTTAAATTATTTCTGTTTTGGTATTATTCATTTTACTTAGCGTTAGATAGTATCTGAGTGTGGTCTTTATTTACAGTTTTGTGATGACCAGTGATGTTGAGAAACACCTTTTTTACCTTTTAATCAATATCATACCTTCTTTTCAGAAATGTCTGTTATTCAGGTTTTTTTGCCCAGTTTTTTTGGGGGTATTGGGTCTTGTATGTTTTGTCCCTCTGTAGTGTTAGTTTCTGCTGTTGTCAGATAACACTCCCTTTCAGATATATGATTCCTCATAATTTCCTTTTTTTGATGTGTAAAAAGATAAACCTATTGTGGCAACAGCCAAGAACGGTAATAATCAAATGCAGGAATTAGGTGCCATTTATATTTCCCCACTCAGAGTATAAGACTTCCTGCCTCACAGAAGTAAATGAGATTTTTCTGTGCATATAGTAAAATTTTACTTTTCATATTTTAATTTTTCGTGTCCTAAAAAGTTAACACAATTTAATTAAAAATTAAAGCCACTAAAACATTTATGTAACAATTTCTTTTTAAATTTTACTTTAAGTCCTGGGATACATGTGCAGAATGTGCAGGTTTGTTACATAGGTATACATGTGCCATGGTGGTTTGCTGCATCTATCAACCCGTCATCTAGGTTTCAAGCCTGGTATGCATTAGGTATGTGCCCTAATGCTCTCCCTCCCCTTGCCCCCAACCCCCTGACATGCCATGGTGTGTGATGTTCCCCTCTCTGTGTCCATGTGTTCTCATTGTAACAATTTCTTTAATTACCACATAAGGTACTATGTTATCTGACAAATCTATGTTTTACAGAGAAATTGTAGAAAAGTCATTCACAAGTTTCTTCTTGATTTCAAACTGTAACACAATGTTGTAAGTAATGCAACTAGACAGAATTCGGCTGGATATTGAAATTCAACATAATAAAAAATATATATGCTGGTTTATCCATACTACTCACACTGTTAGTATGAATGCTCTATCCTAAAGACAGAAACAAGTGTCTTAGTGAATCTATATCATTACAAACTAGATTAGCTTTTCTCCTTTTGAATTTTAGAAAAATACAAAAATTCAATTGCCTAATTATTGTACACAGTGTTTCAATATATGCATGACTAAAGCAATTATAGGATTTTTTTTTTTTTTTTTTTTTGAGACAGAATCTTGCTCTGTCACCCAGGCCTGAGTGCAGGGGCGCGATCTTGACTCACTGCAACCTCCACCTCCTGGCTTTAAGCGATTCTCCTGCCTCAGCCTCCCGAGTAGCTGGGACTACAGGCACACACACCACACCCAGCTTATTTTGGTATTTTTAGTAGAGACAGGGTTTCACCATGTTGCCCAGGCTGGTCTCGAACTCCTGACCTCAGATGATCCACCCACCTCGGCCTCCCAAAGTGCTGGGATTACAGGTGTGAGCCACCATGCCTGGCCACAATTATAGTTTTTATATAGGAGTAAGAAAGGTCTTAAATGGAAAGATTAAAAAGGATTGCAAATCACATGGCAGCAGAAGGGAGCTATAATTATAACATGTCAGCAAGAGAACCAAAAATCACCTTTCAAATCTAGAGGATTATGGAAAGATATCTGAAAAAATTGTACACTTCTGATAAAGGCAGTTTATTTTACACAAAATGCTTACCAATAATGTGCATGAGGAAAAAGTGAACTCAGAAGTTGACAAGGGAATTCAAAGAGGGAAGAAGAATTTTTGTACCAAATGCTGCTTGAATAACAAAATATAAATATTTGCATCCCATTCTCACTCCATACGGAAAACAAATGGGTACTTCTTTCTAACCTTGGAACAGGTAGAAGTTTCTTGTAAGGACACAGAAAGCTCTAACCCTACATAAAGACATTTATAGGTTAAACTTCAGTGAAAATTAAAGGTTATCAAAAGACACTATAAACATGAATATGCAAGCCACAGACTTGGGGAAATATATGTAATACATGCATTTGTCAAATAATTCATCTCATATAAAGAACTTTTACAAGTTAACAATACAGAGGCAAACAGGCCAATTAAAAAGTAGAAAAACTTGAACAGACAGTTTGCAAAGCAAGACATACAAATAGCCAGTGGGTATATTAAACAATGGTCAACATCACTAACAGTCAGGAAGATGCAAGTTAAAATCTCAAGATACAATTTCATTTGATTTCACATTTTAGCCACTGTAATGGCAAAATCAAAACGACTGATAATACTAAATGTTGATGAAAATAAGAATTAACCAACACTCTCATAAAACTGGTGGAATTGTAAAACAACTACTTTGGAAATGGTGTAGCAATTTCTTGTAATATTAAATATACACTTAACCTATGACTCAGCACTTTTACTCCAAGCTGTTGATCCAAGAAAAATAAAAATGTACATTTTAGTACATTTTTTAGTACATTTAGTACATTTTTTCTAGTACAAGTCTATGTGTGTATGTATGTGTATGTATGTGTATGTATACACACGTACACCTACGTAGACTTGTACTAGAATCTAACATAGCAGTCTTATTTACGTTAACCCAAACTTGGAAATGAGCCAATGTCCTTTGACAGTGAATAAATAAATAAACCATGGTGTATCACACAACAGTATATATTCAGTGATTAAAAGAGAACTATAGAATCGCACAACAGCATGGGTGAATCTCAAAACAGAAAAATGTATTTAGAGAAGGAAGCCAGACATTGAAAAGTGTGGATGTGTGATTCCATTTATTTGAAATGCAGCCATAAGAAAAATTTATCTTTGGTGACAGAGCTCAGAAGGTAGTTGTTTTTGACCCATGAAGGTACTGACTGGAAAGAGATGTGAGAGGATTTTCTGGAAATGTTCTATATTTTGACTGGGATAGTAACATGAGGGTCTATAACTGTCAAAGCTCACAGAAGTGAACATTTAAAACTTCTGCATTTTACAAAGTATAAATTGTTCCATAATTTAAAACAATAAACAGTCTCATATCATTCATTCCTTCAACAAGTAATTATACAGGCCTTGCCTTTTAGTAGTTCTGCAGCCTTGTGAAGATTTGAAGATTTCTTAACCTCTCTGAGATCATCTAGCTCAAGCCAAATGGGATAATCATAAAAACCACCTCACCAGGGTATTGAAAAAATTAGTTATAAAATGTTTAGGTCAGTGTGAGGCACATACTAGATCCTCAGTAAACATTAACTGATTCTATATTTACCATTCAGCACCCAGACTTGAGAAAGGGGCAAGGCAAAGAGGAAGCTCAGCCAATATGGTTTAAAGAACACTAAACTGTGTAACAAAACTATTTTACATTTTATAGACTTTATTTTTATTATTTTGGTTGACAAGTCAATTGTATAGATGTCTTGAGTACAATGTGATGTTTTGATATGTGTACACAATGTGGAATGATTAAATAAAGCTAATTAACATATCCATCATCCAGCTCACCTTTGTGGTGGGACATTTGAAATTTACTCTTAGCAATTTTGAAATATATGATAGATTATTATTTACTATAGCCACCATACTGTGCAATAGATCTCAAAACTTTATTCCTCCTAATGAAAACTTTGTACCCTTTGAACAGCATCTCCCTGTCTGCTGTACCCCCCAACACACCCCAGCCTCTCATAACCCCTTTTCTACCTGTTATTTCTATAAATTTGGCTTTTTTAGATTCCACATATACATGAGATCATGTACTTATCTATCCTGTCTGGCTTCTTTCACTTAGTGTAATGTTCTCCAGGTTTATTCATTTTGTTGCAAATGACATAATTTCCTTCTTTTAAAAAAATGCCCAGCAGCACTAATCATTAGGGAAATGCAAATTAAAACCACAACAATATCACTTTATATCTGTTAGAATGATTAATATTAAAAAAAGAAAGGTAACAAGTGTTGAAGAGGATGTGGAGAAAATGGAACCCTAGTACATGTTGGAGTGAATGTAAATCAGTACAGGCATTATGAAAAACGGCACAAAAATTAATCAAATAACTAAAAATACAATTACCACATGAGGTCAGGTGCAGTGGCTCACACTGTAATCCCAGCACTTCGGGAGGCTGAGGTGGGAGGACTGCTTGAGCCCGTGAGGTGGAGGCTGCAGTGAGCCGAGATCATGCCACTGCACTCCAGCCTGGGCAACAGAGCAAGACTTTGTCTCAAAAAAAAAAAAAAAAAAATTACCACATGACCCAGCAATCCTACTTCTGGCTATATCCAAGGAAATTGAAATCAGTATGTCAGAGAGGTACCTGCACCCCCATATTTATGGCACATTATTCACAACAGCCAAGATAGGGAACAACCTAAGTGTCTATCAACAGATGCATGGATAAAGTGTATGTGTGTATGTATATATATATTATTATCCTTTTAAGTCCTAGGGTACATGTGCACAACGTGCAGATTTGTTACATATGTATACATGTGCTGTGTTGGTTTGCTGCACCCATTAACTCATCATTTACATTAGGTATTTATTCTAATGCTATCCCTCCCCTATCCCCCCACCCCACGACAGGCCCCGGTGTGTGATGTTCCCCACCCTGTGTCCACGTGTTCTTATTGTTTAATTCCCACCTATGAGTGAGAACATGCGCTGTTTGGTTTTCTGTCCTTGCGATAGTTTGCTCAGAATGATGGTTTCCAGCTTCATCCCTGTCGCTACAAAGGACATGAACTAAACTGGCTAGCCATATTTAGAAAGCTGAAACTGGATCCCTTCCTTACACCTTATACAAAAATTAATTCAAGATGGATTAAAGACTTAAATGTTAGACCTAAAACCATAAAAACCCTAGAAGAAAACCCAGGCAATACCACTTAGGACATAGGCACGGGCAAGGACTTCATGACTCAAACACTAAAGTATGTATTTTTTTAAAGAAAATCCTCTTCAGTGATTTTCTAATTTTTCTAGATTTTCTAGTTTTTCCATGCCTATTTTCAGCAGGTTGCATTGACATGTACGTGGTGACTTAGCTTTCTGAAAAGAGCTATGGTATAATGAATATATGCCACTTGCCAGAAACCATGGTCAACACCATACATACCTCATTCCTAAGTGACCTATAAACATAGCAAGGCTGGCATTACCATGCCCATTTTATAGATGAAAAGATCAAGGCTTGGTGATGCTAAGAGACAGGTCTAAAGCTACAAGTTTACAAAGTAACAAAGTCAATTTAATCATAAGCACATTCATTTCTTTGTTCACTTTTCAGATACAATGTTTAAAAATATGTCAAATGATAAGCATTGCCTATTTGTTTTACTCTGAAATATAGGGATGTCCTTTGCCAGCTACTTAAAAATGTTTTGTCCTTACTCTGAAATATGAATAACTGATGTGTTTGTTTTTGAGACAGGGTCTTACTCTGTCACTCAGGCTGAAGTGCAGTGGCATGATGTCGGCTCACTGCAACCTCTGCCTTCCAGGCTCAAGTGATCCTCCTACCTCAGCCTCCCAAGTAGCTGGAATTACAAGCATACACCACCAGGCCTGGCCGATTTTTTGTAGAGATGGGGTTTTGCCATGTTGTCCAGGCTGGTCTTGAACTCCTGAGTGCAAGCAATTTGCCCACCTTGGCTTCCCAAAATGCTAGGATTACAAGCATGAGCCATAGTGCCCTGCCTACTGTTGTTTTTTGATAACTTGTCTGCCCTCTTCCTCCCTTTCTTACCCTCCCTCCCCTGATGGTCTCCCTCTCCTTTATAGATACAGGGCCAGTGGCCTCAAGCCAGTACCTTGGATGTTTACCTCTACTGTATTTTGGGCTAGGACATTATAATTAAATTTAATAACTATTGAAACAAACGTCAAGTTAAGATTTTGCTACAAGAAAGGTGGGTGGACATATATTAATAGTTTGGGAGTAAATGTCAATCTTTACGTTCCTGAGACCTTATATTTTATTTATTTATTTATTTTGAGATGGAGTCTCGCTCTGTTGCCCAGGCTGGAGTGCAGTGGCATGATCTCGGCTCACTGCAAGCTCCACGTCCCGGGGTTCACGCCATTCTCCTGTCTCAACCTCCCCAGTAGCTGGGACCACAGGCGCCCACCACCACGCCCGGCTAATTTTTTTTTTTTTTTTTGTATTTTTAGTAGAGACGGGGTTTCACCGTGTTAGCCAGGATGGTCTCGATCTCCTGACCTTGTGATTCACCCGCCTCAGCCTCCCCAAGTGCTGGGATTACAGGTGTAGTAAGCCACTGGCCCAGTCTCTTTTTTTTTTTTCCTGGCAGTTACTTTCTAAATTACATGTTTTTTGTTTTTTCCTTTAAAACCTTTATTGTTGACAGGTTTTTCCACTTACATTATTTATCTTGCCTGGGCCATGCTCTTCCCTAAAAATTCCACTAGAGAGAAACTAGCTTCCAAGCTTTTTCAGGTTGTTAGCAGAAGTAACTTCCTTGAGGCTGTAGCTCCAAGGAGCTCAGCTTTTTGCTGCCTGTTGGCTGAAGGCTGCCCACAGTTCCTTGCCATGTGGGCTTCCTCAACTTAGCAGTTTACTTCATCAAGCCAGCAAAGTGGATATGTGTCCCAGTCTCCTACGACGCAGTCCTAAATAATGTGGTGAAGGGAAGTCGTAATCAATGTCATCAATGGACTCAGATAAATCACATCATTTTTGCTGTGTTCTCTGGGTTAGAAGAAAGTCACAGGTCCCATTCACATGGAAGAGGAAGGGATTTCACAAAAGCATGGACACCAGGCACTTTATATCTATCCATGCCCACATTTTACAGAACAAGAGAAAGACCATAAAATGAAACTCTTGAGAAATGATCATTCAACATATGACTTTAGTTGCCAACCTCTCAGGCTACTTTTAAAAATATAAACATATGTTCCAGTTTAGATATATGAATATTTGAACACTTTCCTGGAGTCCTTCTTTTAAGATCACAAATAGGGAATATAACTTTATAGCTTAGATGATATATAAAAAATAAAGATCAGATGTAACCAGAAACTGAGTTTCTTTTTTTTTTTTTTGAGATGGAGTCTCACTCTGTTGCCCAGGCTGGAGTGCAGGGGCATGATCTCAGTTCACCACAACCTCTGCCTCCCAGGTTCAAGTGATTCTCCTGCCTCAGCCTCCCAAGTAGCTGGGACTACAGGTGCCTGCCAGCATGCCGGGCTAATTTTTGTATTTTTAGCAAAGATAGGGTTTCACTATGTCAGCCAGGCTGGTCTTGAACTCCCGACCTTGTGATCTGCTTGCCTTGGCCTCCCAAAGTTCTGGGATTACAGGCATGAGCCACTATGCCTGGCCCAGAAACTGAGTTTCTACTCTGGCAAGTTAAACAAAAAATTAGTACATATCAGGCTGGGTGGCTCTAGGCCACATGCAAGCAAGCTGCAAACTGAATTGCCTCTGCAGCTGCAGAAGGCTAATTTCTACATTGATATTTGGAAACACTAACAGCTAGAAAACACCACTCTACTCATTTTTAAAAATAAGATCATATTAAATGATGTTACATGCATCATTTATATATTGCTCGCAGTGCCAGCATCCTCAAATATGGTTTTAATTTTGGTAGATATCTTGCTAGGGGGAGCACATTTCCAAGTTATCCAGATATAGGGCCCTCTTTCCTTCTCTTTCTGTCCACGTGCAACCAGATGCTTTGTGGAGTTAAAGTTGACATTTATTTAAATGCCACTTGGTGTCTGGTTTTTCACCTTTAATTTAGGGTTTTCTAGCTGGGATGTAAAAGAATCACTTGGAGGGATTTTTCAAAATACCAATGGCCAGGCCACTAGCCAGTCAATCAGAAGCAAAATCTCCTTGGATGGGACCTGGAAGTCTTTACAGTTTTCCAGCATTTTAATGAACATCCCTGATTAAGAACCACCGGGTCTTAAGAGTGTGGCATATGTATTTTTCAAGTTCCTAGAGGCTCTCCAAAACAAAACAAAAAAAATCTGCTTTATTCTCTGCCTGGTGTTGATGCATCAGTCTCTTTAGCCGTTAGTCTGATCCTGGAAATTTATGGTCATAATTTGATGAGCAATGTTGGGAATGACTTCTTCCTTTTTTTTTTTTTTTTTTTGTTTTGAGACAGAGTCTCACTCTGTTGACCAGGCTGGAGTGTAGTGGGGCGATCTCCGCTCACTGCAACCTCCACCCCAATACTTTCATTTTTAAATATTATTTATGGCATCCAGATTTGCATAAGATGGACTGGGTCAATGGCCATGCCCTTTATAAATCAATATTCTTAAGTTCTGCAAATTCAGTTTCCTAAAGAGCCAAATCACATCCTACTCATCAGCAAGGCGGGTAGACATCATTTTCACAATCACTTCTAATTTTCCACCATTGTAAAAAAAATAAAATATGTAATCACTTTCTTATTGTAAAATAAAGAATTTACTTTTCCAGGACCTACTGCCTCCCTGTTCCCCCCCTTTTTTTTTTTTTTCAAACAATCTTGAACCCTTTGTCACGAGTCAGTTGCCAAGAGAAGCCTATTTGTTGGTTTGAGAGCAGTTCATACAGACACAGACCACTTCCTCTGAGAATTCATTTGCTTCCCCAGGATGGAATCTGGCTGGGCCTCTGACCTTGCTGGTCACGTGGGCCGGGGCCTCCATCAGTCATACCCTGGACTCCTATCTGTGTCTAAACACCACGCCCCACCCCCAACTGCACGGCAGCCACTCGCATAGCACTCTGGGAGGGCTGTGGGCATGAGCAGCGAGGACTCCATCAGCAGCTCCCCCACATAAGCCCTGCTGATGAGGGGGCTTGCGAAGCAGCTTTGATGTGCTGGTAAATCCAGGTGCAAAACAGAACTCAAGTTAAGGCCTCCGCACAGCACTGCGTTCTAACTGTGAAGGATTCTTACTCTAGTGTCCTGTGTGGAGGTATTGGAATTGTCCATTGCTAAGACTCAGAGGAGAAAAGCACTTAGCATCGCAGGACTTGGAGCACCGGTGCTGAGGCAACCCTTCATTCATTCGTCGGATGTGTGTTAAGGCCCAGGGCAGGGGTCAGGGATTCTCCTCTCACACAGCACGTGGGTGGCAGGACCAACACCGGGTCTGACCTCCCAGCCGGGGGCACAGGCTGCTAACCCCAGGCCTGGAATCTGTCAGATGCCCTTCCCGTGCTGACTTGACTTAGACAGGCCTCCTGACCTTCCCACAAAGGTCATGTGTGATTCGCAGGGGTTCTGGCCGCTTGAAAGGTTCCTGAGAAAGTACATGCAATGAGGACAGAGCTTGCAGAGGGAGGACAGGCATGCAGAAGGCTCTGTGTGCAGCCCCAGACCTGGGTACCTTCGTCACCGTCCTCACCCCACCTCCGGGTGCGCAGATAGGGAGCAGGTCTCCTGTGTTATGGCCCAAGCAGGGCTGTTAGGACACTGAGAACATTCCCTCCTCCCGCAGGAGAGAGAGGTCCAAGGTGCCCTACATCGTGCGTCAGTGCGTGGAGGAGATCGAGCGCCGAGGCATGGAGGAGGTGGGCATCTACCGCATGTCTGGGGTGGCCGCAGACATCCAGGCACTGAAGGCAGGCTTCAACGTCAGTGAGTGTCGGCCTGCGCAGGACGGGATGGAGGTGTGGGCAGTGGTGTCCACGATGAGATCTCAGAGTGCTCCATGGCCCAGGCATGTCACATCCTTCTCTGTGTCTTTTCTTCATTTACTGTTTTATTATTTTTAAAAAAGAGAAAACAAGAGTTGTACAAACAGCTTCTATAGAAGCCAGTTTTTACACCATCGTACCCACTCGTGCCACTTGGTGCAGTGGACCAGGGGCTTCTGCGGGGCCTTGGCCTTCCTGCCTTGGGGTTGGACAGGAGGTGGAAGCCCAGGACTCAGTGCGGTCTGTCCACTGCCCTGTATGAGGATGTGGTGGGCAGAGGGCACTGATGAAATTCAGCGCAGGCCGGGGCTGCAGCCTCTCCGCCTCCATCTCACCAACCCTCACAGGCTTTGAAGGACCCGGACCTGCCTCAAATGCCAGGGGAGGGCACTGAGACCCCAGAGGGTCCTTCCCAGCATCTTCAAAGCAACAGGATTTTGTGCCTGCAGATCCTTCTTTGCAGCACACACCACCCACCCTGACCAGGACCCCTAGAATGCCCAGCATCCCTGGGAGGGCCCTGTGGTAGTTTCAGCTCCCTCTGAGGGCCCAGAATGAACCTGGCCTGTGGTGAGGATGTAAGCACCAATGGCCAATTGGGTCCAAAGGAAGACACCGGTTCAAACACTGAAACCAATCAGATTCTCCCACGGCCTTCCTGCTATCAGAAGACACTGGTGCAGGGGTGGTTGCTATGTACAGGGCAGAGCCACCCAATCCCCACGCAGGCGCTGTGTCCTGCCATGCTGGCCTCCTCCTGGCCATCACATCAGGCCAAGCAGGGGAGAGGAATGGGAATGCCCACGCACCCCTATCAACTCTGCAGACACAGAACCATGCACAGCTCTTGGGAGGAGTCAGATGAGCTGCTCAAAGCCCAGGAGGGACCCACACAGTGGTCAGCATGGCAGGGACGGTGCTTTAGCCAAGGCAGGGATGGTGGGTGACTCACTCAGGATCTTCAAGGAGGCCGCTGCATTTCCGTGCTCTTTCCAGATAACAAGGACGTGTCAGTGATGATGAGCGAGATGGACGTGAACGCCATCGCAGGCATGCTGAAGCTGTACTTCCGTGAGCTGCCCGAGCCCCTCTTCACTGACGAGTTCTACCCCAACTTCGCAGAGGGCATCGGTGAGCACTGGAGGCCTTGGCCTCATGGGAGACGTCTCCTCCACGTGCACTGCTGCCCTCAGAGGCTGTGAAAAGTGAGGTGTGGGAACCCGAGCTGTGCTTCCTCTGCCATGGTCGGAATTTTAACCCAACCTCAAAAAGCAGGGGACCAAAACTGAGCCTATCCTGGAAGGCCTTGCCCATCCCCAGAGGGCTCCCCATCCATATTTCTCAAGGAGGCCAAGTGGGTGAAATGGTCAGCACTGCCGTGCTGTGGGGTCCTAAAGTCTGCTGTCCTCCTTCCTGCAGACCAGGGCTAAACACTGGTGCCCAGGTGCTCTTGCCATGGGTCCTGGTCCAGCCAAGCATGGTTTCAAACATGACCTGACCCTTAGTCAACCTGGAGGCTGATGTCTAGAGTGGGCGCTGGAGCGTGCAGCACCTGTAGCCTGTGCATCACCCTTAGGGCAGGTCTGCCTCCCGGGCCCATGCACAGAGGACCTGGTCTCCCAGCCTGCAGGTGCCCCTGTGGTGTCCAGGATGTCGAGGGGGTCTCTGCGTACTTGGTGGGGCTGGGACCCTCCCACTTCCCACCTCCTTGTGTCCCTCACTCCCCTGTTTCATTCCATGCTGAGCCTCCCCTGCCTTGGGCTCCCTGGGGAGGGGGTGGTGGCAGGAGTTGCCCGAGGGCAGCTCTGCCCATGAGCAGCTGCTCTAGCGGCTCCTCCTGCTGCTGTTTGCCGGGTGCTGCTGACCCCTGCGAGGTAGAGAAAAGGCGTTCAGGTGGTTCACACCCCACACAGGTGCCCCTCACAGGGTCCTCACTGGCGGCCAGCGCTGTGGGTGTGACGATGATGACAAGCCTAAACTGCGCAAGGACTCGTGTCCCTGGCGCTCCATGTGACCACCTCGGGAGAGGTCTCCGGCTTGTCGTAACCCAGGGGAGTGACCCACTGCCTCCTGCAGCTCTTTCAGACCCAGTTGCAAAGAAGAGCTGCATGCTCAACCTGCTGTCGTCCCTGCCGGAGGCCAACCTGCTCACCTTCCTTTTCCTTCTAGACCACCTGGAAAGGTAGCCCAGCTCTCTTGTGGCTGCCCAGGACTCCAGGTCTCCAGGCCGTGGGGTGCCCCTCTGCTCCCACCAGACCCCCAGCACCAAGGACCTTTTCCCCCGACCCCTGTCTGCAGTAACTCACTGCTTCTAAGGACTAGCACCACTGCCACCCCCGCCCCTGCCTCTCCTCTTTGCCACCCTCCTCCCTCTGCACTGTGGCCTTAACAAAGAGCTCAGAGCTTTGGCCGTGGCCAGCAGTGCATTTGGACCGCCCCCCCTTCCCTCCCAAGCACATCAGGAAGACCTCCCCATCAGCCCAGAGCTGGCCCCTTGTCCTGGGCCACTGAGACCCAGAAGTACCAAGGCTGGAGTCAGCTTGCAGCACAGCCAGGGTCGAGGTCACTCCCTCCCTGAGGACTCTAGCACGGCACAGCCCCTCTGCCTCTCTCCTGGTGGTGGCGTTGAAACAGCACCCTCTGCTTCGGTCCTCTACAGGATGGCAGAGAAGGAGGCAGTCAATAAGATGTCCCTGCACAACCTTGGCACGGTGTTTGGCCCCACGCTGCTCCGGCCCTCCGAGAAGGAGAGCAAGCTCCCTGCCAACCCCAGCCAGCCCATCACCATGACTGACAGCTGGTCCTTGGAGGTCATGTCCCAGGTATGGGAAGACAGCCTCCAGCCCATGCAACCCCAGCCTGACAGAGGTGGCCTCTGCCTGCCCCACCCCCAGTCCTGCCCATCTTCCGACTTGCATTGTATGTGGTGGTGGCTGAGATTCAGAGACAGGGACTTGCCTAGGTTTGCATGGATGGGAGTGATAGGGGGTGCCTAGGCCACCTCCTGGTCCTGCTGGTGCACCTTGCTGGGGGCTTAAAACCACCCCAAGTGTTCGAGTGTGGTGGCTCATGCCTGTAATCCCAGCACTTTGGGAGGCCGAGGCAGGACAACTGAACCCAGGTGTTTGAGACCAGTCTGGGCAATGTAGCAAACCCCATCTCCAGAAAAAATACAAAGAAAAATTAGGCAGGCATTGGGGCACATATCTGTAATCCTAGGTATCTGGGAGGCTGACACAGGAGGATTGCTTGAGCCCAGGAGTTAGAGGCTGCAGTGATCCATGATGGAGCCACTGTACTCCAGCCTGGGGGACAGAGCAAGGCCCTGTGCATCTCTAAAATAAATAACCACCCCCCACCCAACAAGTCATGCCTTGTCAGGACCCCACCCCACCCCCGTCTCACTGTAAGGGGTTCATGACACCAGCAGGGGTTTCTAGCACCTGAGGTGGACTTGGGATCTTGGGCCCCAAAGACCTCCCACCAGCAGCTGTGCGCCCCCTTCCGAGCCACTCTCCTCTTCCCCACTCCGCGAGGGCAGGTCGAGGTGCTGCTGTACTTCTTGCGGCTGGAGGCCATCCCTGCCCTGGACAGCAAGGGACAGAGCATCCTGTTCTCCACCGATGTCTAAAGGTCCCAGTCCATCTCCTGGAGGCGGACAGACGGCCTGGAAACCTCTGGCTAATCAGGCCATCTGTAGAGTGGGAATCAAGATTTTCTGAGGCATCCTTGGGCCACCCCCAGGTGTCAGGCCATCTGCCAAGAGACAGCGGCCCAAAGCAGAAGGACAGGTGGCCTGGGCAGATCCCGCCCAGGTCTGAAAGCCCCAGGCTGGCCTCAGACTGTGGGTTTTTTATGTGGCCACCCGAGGGCGCCCCAAACCAGTTCATCTCGGAGTCCAGGCCTGGCCCTGGGAGACAGGGTGAAAGCAGTGGTTTTTATGAACTTAACTTATAGAGTCCAAAAGATTTCTACTGAATCACTTGTCAAGAAGCGCCCTCTCTGGGGAGAAGGGAACGTGACTGGATTCCCTCACTGTTGTATCTTGAATAAACGCTGCTGCTTCATCCTGTGGGGGCCATGGCCCTGTCCCTGTGTGGGTGGGGCCTCTTCCATTTCCCTGACTTAGAAACCACAGTCCACTTAGAACAGGGTTTGAGAGGCTTGGTCAGCACTGGGTAGCGTTTTGACTCCATTCTTGGCTTTCTTCTTTTTCTTCCCAGAGGGATTTTTGTGCAGAAATGGGTCTTTTGTTGCCGTGTTAGTCCTCCTTGGAAGGCAGCTCAGAAGGCCCGTGAAACGTCGGGGGACAGGACCCCCAGGGAGGGAATCCCAGGCTACGCACTTTAGGGTTCGTTCTCCAGGGAGAGCGACCTCGTCCCCCGATCCTGACCGCCCTTCCGGCCCACGCTCTCCTGTTTGGCTTCCACAGGCCTGGACTTCTCTGGCTTCTCTGCCCACACACTCCCTGCCCCCAGTGTCCCTGCCCCTGCCCCAGCACAGGTGACTTCATTTCTGTCCTCTCAGCTCAGTGGACTCGCTCAACTTTTGTATAAGTCTCCACTTGGTGGTAGCAGCTTGCTGATGACTTGTTTTAAAACTTTCATCCTAAATAACCTTTTGATACTTGAATATTTGTAAGTTTTATACATAGTTTCTAATTTTTTCCCCAACAGATCCAGATACCTAATAAGATGCTGGAATGTAATCCCTGGACAATCCGTGTCCTGGCAGCATTTGGTCTTCCTCTAAGCGCCTGGCTCCGCTGTTCTCAGGAGTGGGTTCTGAAGTCTCTGGAGAACAGGATACGTGGAGGGTTAGGAAGGGGCCAGGCCTAGAGACGGGAGACTCCCTCCCGGAGCAGGTGGAGGCACAGGACCATTCGCTACCCCATCTGCCGGCACCTGCGGGGGAGCCCAGGCATTGTTTGTAAACCCTCCTGACTACCTGACTCAAAGAAAACAGAAGCATGGAGGCCGCCAAGTATTTTCAAGAAATAATCCCATGAACGTGGCATCACTTTTTTAGAAAGAGGGGCTTGGGGCAGGCAGAGGAGAGAAGGGAGAGCAAACTGAGAGCCAAGTTTCCAGACGGTCCTGCAGGAGGAGAGGATGCAGCTGCGCAGAGGGAAGCAGGATCACATTTAAGGAAGTGTGTGGGGTCCCTGGATGACACCAGCACCCAGTACGGCTCTGTCTGGCAACCGCTCCCAAGGTGGCAGGAGTGGGTGTCCCCTGTGTGTCAGTGGGCAGCTCCTGCTGAGCCCGCAGCTCACTGGGGAGCCTGACAGCGGGGCCATGTGCCTGACACTCCTCTCTGCTTGTGGACCTGGCAAGGCAGGGAGCAGAAAACAGAGCCACTTGAAGGCTTTCTGTCTGCGTCTGTGTGCAGTGTGGATTTAGTTGTGCTTTTTTCTTGCTGGGAGAGCACAGCCACCATTTACAAGCAGTGTCACCCTCGTGGGTGGCGAGGACAGAACAGGAGCCTCTGCTCTCTGTACCTATCTGGGCCCGGTGGGCTCCCTTGTCCTGGCTTCCATCTCTGTCTCAGCAACCATTCAGCCCTGCGCAGGAACACGTGTTGCTTAGAAAAGCCAAATCCAGCCTTGTCTCTGCCTCCTCTGGTCTCATGATGTGCATCTGTTACCTTGAAACTGGAAACCAGTCTATCAATGTCTGTGCCAATTTTTTATTCCCTCCCCAACCTCCTTCCCCATACGACTTTTTATTTATGTAGGATGTGTGCTGTCTAATGATGGGATGACCACACTTTTCCATGTTCTAAAAGTGCTCCTCTCCCGCAGGGTCCCAGGGCTGGTGGTTGCTTTGGGTCTACAGCTACGTCTTACCCGCCTCCTGCCTCAACAGCCTGTGTGGTGGCAAAGCCGGTGTGGGGCTGGGGAACGCAGCGTTCTCCAGGAGGGGGACCCGGCTCTCCTTCTGCAATGCAGGCGAAGGCCTAGATGCCAGTGTGACCTCCCACAAGGCGTGGCTTCCAGACTCCCCGGCCGGAAGTGATGCTTTTTTGCCGTGGGCCCTGGGTTTGAAGCAGCCTGGCTTTCTCTTGGTAAGTGGCTGGTGTCTTAGCAGCTGCAATCTGAGCTCAGCCACCTACACACCACCGTGGCCGACACTTTCATTAAGAAGTTTCCTGAGACGACTTGCGTGCATGTTGACTTCATGATCAGCGCCGCTGGGAAGAACCCCTGAGCCGGTGGGGTGGGGCTGGAAGCAGCAGGTGCAGTGATGGGGCTGGGTGCCCAGGAGGCCTCAGTGCTCAATCAGGCCAAGGTGGCCAAGCCCAGGCTGCAGGGAAGGCCGGCCTGGGGGGTGTGGGTGAGCACAGGCAGGCACCAGCTGGGCAGTGTTAGGATGCTGGAGCAGCATCCGTAACCCCACTGAGTGGGGTAGTCTGGTTGGGGCAGGGACCGCTGTTATTTTGGCAGAGAGAGATGATCCCCACTGGGGAGAGGCTGTTCTGACTCTGCAGGTGGGACAGGGACAGATGGCCACCAGGGTGACCCGGCTGGTCTTCCTTTGCTATGCTAAGCCCTGGGACATGGAGGATTCCTGCCACACAGCCTGGGCCCGGGTTCTTACCTGTGGCCACCGCTCTGGCACGAGCCCCTCAGTCTTGGGTGGTTTCTGCCTGGTCCAGGATTTGGTGTTGCTGCTGAGTCCAGCCTTTCCACCACCTCCGCATGGGCTGTGGGTGTTGTCAGCTGCCTCCCGCCTTGGCTTCAGTAGCTCACCCAGCTTACAGGGGAGCTGCCCTGGGCTGGAGATGGGCATGCACCCTGGGTCCTACTTGAATGAATGCAGCTTGAGGAGACCCGGCCATATACACTGGGCCACAGGTTACCTTCGGCAATGCCCACATCAGCCGTCAGCCTGAGCCTCCCCAGGAGAGCAAGGCTCACACGACAAAGGCTGCCCGTGGCCAATGAGGTGGCTGAGCCCAGCCAGGACCTTTCTCGGACTCCCGGGATGTGGCTCTGCTCGTGAGCTGCCTGGTCAGCTCTCTCGGGGTGAGAGGGGCTTGTCACACGGGCCCCTGCCTGCGGTGTGACCCTTCTCAGCTTCTCTCAGCAGCCCTGCCTGCGGAGTGTCACCGCCACCATGATCATTTCCCTGACACTGCGAGGGTGTGGGGACGTCCTGGGTAGAGACAGGGCCCGTGGCAGCAGCAGGCTCAGGGGCGCCCTGCACTGGTGGGCTGGGGACCTGGTGGAGACCACGCCAAGGGCTGGACAAGGGGACGAGCCTCCACCCTGGCCTCTCCGCAGGCCTCAGCAGCCCCTTCCACAGGCAGAAGGGTTGACACTGGGTTCTGCCCTCACTGCAAGAGCTGCAAGTGCCACGTGCTGTTCTGCCCAATCTGGTGTCTGCAGGTGAGGGAAGGGCTGCCGCTGGCCCGTTTCTGAGTGTTCAGCACCTAAGGGTGACAGCACTGTCTGTCCCTACCCTCCGGGTCCTGTTTGAAAATCAAGCCCATGCTCACAGGCCGATTTTTTTTTCTTTTAGAGACAGGGTCTCACTTTGTCACCCAAGCTGGAGTGCAGTGGTGCGATTATAGCTCAATGCAGCCTCCAATTCCTGGACACAAGGGACCTTCCTGCCTCAGCCTGCCAAGTAGCTTGGACTATAGCTGTGTGTTTTCTTATTATTTTGTAGACATGGGGTCTGGCTATGTTGTCCAGGCTATTCTCAAAATTCCCGGCCTCGAGCAATCCTCCTGCCTTGGCCTCTCAAAGGTTGGGATTACAGGTGTGAGGCAAGGCACCCAGCTCAGCCACAGAGCCCTGTTGCATCTCTCTTACTAGGAGCAAGAGCTGACTGCCCCCTCATCCCCATTCCAGAGTGTTGGGGCTGTGTTCAGCCGAGGCCGGGCCACTGGCATGGCCCAGGGAGCGGGATCATTCACTGCTGCCCCAAATCTGAGATCATTCCACCTTGACAAGACTTCCTCATCCAATCCCTTTACTTGACAGCTGGGGAAACCAGTGCACACAGAGCACCCCCAGCTCACTCGGGGTCTCAGAGCTGATCCATGAGCGGAGGCTGAGATCCTGGGATCTTGTCCCCCAGCCTCCCTGCAAGCTTACTCCCTTTCTGCTGGAAGAGATGGGGCCGGACCTCGACCAGCAGCCCTGGCCTGGACATGACTGTGCTCATGCAGGTATTGAGGCCGAGATGCTCCAGCATCATATGTTTTTCTTTTTTTTTTTCTTTCTTTTTTGAGATTGGCTCACTGCAACCTCTGCCTCCCGCTTAAAGTGATTCTCCTGCCTCAGTCTTCCAAGTAGCTGGGCCTACAGGCTTGTACCACCACACCTGACTAATTTTTGTATTTTTACTAGAGACGGGGTTTCCCCATGTTGGCCAGGCTCGTTTCGAACTCCTGACATCAGGTGATCCACCTGCCTTGGCCTCCCAAAGTGCTAGGATTACAGGCATGAGCCATGGCGTCACTTAAATGTAGTGAGAGGCCGGGCTTGGCGGCTCATGCCTGTAATCCCAGTGCCTTGAGAGGACGAGGCTGTCAGATCACCTAAGGTCAGGAGTTCGAGACCAGCCTGGCCAATATGGTGAAACCGTGTCTCTATAAAACAATAGAAAAAAATATCCCTGCATGGTGGTGAGTACCTGTAGTCCCAGTTACTCAGGAGGCTGAGGCATGAGAATCGCTTAAACCTCAGAGACGGAGGCTGCAGTAAGCTGAGATGGCGCCACTGCACTCCAGCCTGGGTGACAGAGCAAGACTTTGTCTCTAAATAATTAAATAAATATGGCTGAGCATGGTGCCTTAGGCCTGTAATCCCAACACTTTGGGAGGCTGAGGCAGGTGGTTCATGAGGTCAGGAGCCCGAGACCAGCCTGGCCAAGACGGTGAAACACTGTCTCTACTAAAAATACAAAAATTAGCCAGCTGTGGTGGCAGGCACCTGTAATCCCAGCTACTTGGGACACTGAGGCAGGAGAATCGCTTGAAACTGGAAGTCAGAGGTTGCAGTGAGCCGAGATTGCACCACTGCACCCTAGCCTGGGTGATGGAGCAAGACTCCATCTCAACTAAATAAATTAATAAATACAGAGCAAGATTCCATCTTAAATAAATAAATAAACATACACCTGTAATCCTAGCACTTCGGGAGGCTAAGACAGGTAGATCACCTGAGGTCAGGAGTTCGAGACCAGCCTGACCAATATGGCAAAACTCCATCTCTACTAAAAATACAAAAATTAGCCAGGCCTTTTGACGTGTGCCTGTAGTCCCAGCTACTTGGGAGGCTGAGACAGGAGAATTGCTTGAACCCAGGAGGTGGAGGTTGCAGTGAGCCAAGATCTCGGCTGTACTTCAGCCTGGGTGACAGAGTGAGACTCTGTCTCAAAAGGAATAAAAAAAATACAAAAAAAAAATGTAGTATGATTGCAGAGTCGTGCCACGGAAGCGTGCTGGTCCTATCCATGTAGTGAAGGCTGATTTCATACAGAAATGTCACAATAACTTTTTTTTCTTTTTCTTTTTTTTTGAGACGGAGTCTCGCTCTGTCACCCAGGCTGGAGTGCAGTGGCGCGATCTCAGCTCACTGCAAGCTCTGCCTCCCGGGTTTATGCCGTTCTCCTGCCTCAGCCTCCTGAGTAGCTGGGACTACAGGCCTGTGCAGCAGATGCTGGGGGGCCACTAGGCCCAGGCAGTCTTGGGACTTGTGTCTCTCCTGCTGTGCATCCATACTGGGTGCTTTAGAAATGGCAGGCAGACCAGAAGCCCCTGTTGCAAGTGAGGACAAAGTGTGGGAAGGCCGTGAGGGTCTGCAGTACTAAATGGCCTTGTCCTCAACCTGCAGTGCACTCCTGATGCGCTGGAAAGCCGCCTCCTTCTCCTGGTCCAGGTCTTCAGCAGTGACCCGGTACCCCAGCTCTAAGGGAGGTGGCAGCATCAAAGGCTCCCCTCGCCTGCGTGGCAGCAGGGGAAACTTGCATCTACAGGGCCTAGAGGCCTGGGATCTGGGGGAGCCACCCCTGGGGGCGAGTGTCTGCCCTGGTGCTGTATCTGCCATCTTTTCACACTGGGTGTGACCTGAAGAGACAGCCTGAGGTCCGTCCTCACTCACTGTGTTTCAGGAACTGAGGGTCAGCTGGCAGTGGGATGAGGCTGGCCCCCTTCTCCGCTTTCGTTCCGGGAGGCCTCCCGTAGAGCGGTAGGGGCTCGAGATGGCATTTCGTTTGGGGCACGAGCTGGTCCGGGAGGTCTGGGATCTCTGGTTCTGACCTCTGGGCACCTGCTGCAGCTGTGGCTGAGGCCCAGAAATGTGAAGGGCCTCCATCCACTCCAGTAGTGACCCCAACGTGGGGTTCAATGTGGAGGGGGGAGGGGCTGCTGCGGCAGCTGCAGGAGCAGAAGTGCCACACCTTGTTCTTCTCATGCCCGCATCCATGCTTGCAGCTGGGAAGGGGGCAGGAATCAGCGAGGTGACCTGGGCTGAGTCCTGGGAATGGGAAGAGGTGGCAGGAAGGGGATCTGAGGAGGAGAACAGGGGGCCTGGTGGTCTGTGCTTCTTCCCAGACATGGGAGCTGTAGAGGGGACCCCTGCAGCAGATGCTAAGGGGGCCAGTAGGCCCAGGCAGTCTTGGGACTTGTGTGTCTCCTGCTGTGCATCCATACTGGGTGCTTTAGAAACGGGAGGCAGACCAGAAGCCCCTGTTGCAAGTGAGGACAAAGTGTGGGAAGGCCGTGAGGGTCTGCAGTCCGAGATGGCCTTGTCCTCAACTTGCAGTGCACTGTTGATGCGCTGGAATGCCGCCTCCTTCTCCCGGTCAAGGTCTTCAACAGTGACCCGGTACCCCAGCTCTAAGGGAGGTGGCAGCATCAAAGGCTCCCCTCGCCTGCGTGGCAGCAGGGGAAACTTGTGTGTACTGGGCCTAGAGGCCTCGGATGTGGAGGAGTCATTCCTGAGGGCGAGTGTCTGCCCTGGTGCTATATCTGCTGCCTTTTCACACTGGGTGTGACCTGAAGAGACAGCCTGAGGCCTGTCCTCACTCACTGTCTTTGAGGAACTGAGGGTCAGCTGGCAGTGGGATGAGGCTGGCCCCCTCCTCCGCTTTAGCCCCGGCAAGCCTCCCGTGGAGCTGTAGGAGCTGGAGATGGCATTTCGGTTGGTGCAGGAGCTCGTCCAGGAGGTCTGGGATGTCTGGTTATATCTGATTTCTGACCTCTGGGCATGGAGGTCTGTCTGCAGAGGCCCGGGCCCGGGCACAAAGGGAGAGAGGCCTCCATTGTCCCGCAGGGGCCGAAATGCAGACGGTGCATCCCCGGTGACCTCGGGGACCCTTCTCTGATCACCAGGATTCTCTTGGACTCTAGGGTCCTTGTCCTGCTCAGGCATCCCTGCCCCGCTCTCCTTGAGGGCCCTCAACACTATCTTCCCTGGACACAAGTCTGGGGACAGCCGGGTGTTGTGGACCCCAAAGGGGTGACTCCCGGCTCCTGGGCCCCACAGAGAGTCCATGTTCTCAGTGCAGTGGCTGAGCTGGAGGACGCCCTGGAACTCGGAGCACACAGCACTGGCTTGCTGTGGTACCTGTGCAATCAAATTGAAGGCAGGATCCCAGGAAGGAAGGCAGGGCTTGCAGGATCACGGAAAACCTTCTTAGAGTTGTCTTGACACCACTGATGTCAAGTGTCCGGGTGCTTGTAGGATGGCCTGCCACTCAGTCCACGGGCAGGAGCAACGGGGAGATCCCACAGGCAAAGTGAACTGGGGGATGGGCTGAACGGGCTCCAGGCAACTGAGCCCTACTGGCAGGTCCTCGGCCTGGGCCCGAACAGGAAGGAGGGGCACAGAGTGCCCAGGTAACCGCTCCTGGGAGCAGTGGGGAACCGTCGGTTGCTTGAACTCTCGAGAGCTGGGCTCTGAGCGTCCTCGTCCAGCCGCCAACTCGGCCAACGGCTAAGCCAGCAGTTTCTTCTGTTGCCGGGCAACGCGCCTTTTAAACCTGAGGGAGCGGGCGCGTGAGCACATCAGGGCGCCCGTGACAGAGCGAGCTTAACGGATTAATAAGCGCAGCCAGGTACCCGCGCGAGGCACTTGCTGGCAATGGCGGGAGGCGGACGTGGGGGGTCATGCAATAGGTACTGGAAGGAGAGAGGCGAGCACAAAGGTCGCGGGAGGAACAGGTGCCCACAATGGTGGCAGATCTGCCCGTGGATCACTGAAGATTCCTGCTCTCCTGCTGAGGTGGAGATTGCAGTGAGCTGAGATCGCACCATTGCACTCCAGCCTGGGCAACAAGTGCAAAACTCAGTCTCCAGATAAAGAAAAGAAAAAGAAAAAAAAGAGGCCGGGCGTGGTGGCTTATGCCTATAATCCTAGCACTTTGGGAGGTCGGGGCGGACGGATCACGAGATCAGGAGTTGGAGACCAGCCTGGCCAACATAGTGAAACCCCGTCTCTAGTAAAAATACAAATTTAGTCAGACATGGTGGCACGCCCCTGTAGTCCCAGCTACTCCGGCGGCTGAGACAGGAGAATCACTTGAACCCGGGGGCTGGGAAGGGATTGCGATGCGCCGAGATCGCGCCACTGCACTCCAGCCCTGGGCAACAGAGCCAGACTCTTTTTTTTTTTTTTTTTTTTTTTGAGACGGAGTCTCCCTCTGTCGCCCAGGCTGGATTCCAGTGGCCTGATCTCGGCTCACCGCAAGCTCCGCCTACCGGGTTCACGCCATTCTCCTGCCTCAGCCTCGGGAGTAGCTCGGACTACAGGCGCCCGCCACCACACCCGGCTAATTTTTTGCATTTTTAGTAGAGACGGGGTTTGACCGTGTTAGCCAGGATGGTCTCGACCTCCTGACCTCGTGATCAGCCCGCCTCGGCCTCCCAAAGTGCTGGGATTAAAGGCGTGAGCCACCGCGCCGGGCCGAGACTCTGTCTTAAAAAAAAAAGGCCTGGGCTGTGGCACTTTGGGAGTCGGAGGCGGGCGGATCACGATGTCACGAGTTGGAGACCAGCCTGGCCAACATAGCGAAACCCCGTCTCTACTAAAACTACAAAAAATTAGCCGGGCGTGGTGGCGGGCGCCTGTAGTCCCAGCTACTCCGGAGGCTGAGGCAGGAGAATGGCGTGAACTCGGGAGGCGGAGCTTGCAGTCACCCGAGATCTCAGCACTGCACTCCAGCCTGGGTGACAGTGCGAACCTCCACCTCAAAAAAAAAAAAGAGAGAGAGAGAGAGAGAGACAGAGAGAAAAAGGTTTATTGATTTAATGTACTTTTATGCCTGTGTTCTTCAATTTGCTTAGGAAAGACCCACACTTGAGAGCTGGGACTGTGTCCCTGATTGTGGACATGAAATATGTGGTTTCTTGCCAAAACTAGACACTGAATAATTACGATTTAGTTGAGCTAGAAATCCATTTGGTTTCTTCCATATTTTCCCAAAATTTTCATCCTTTTTTTTTTTTTTTGACATGGAGTTTCGCTCTTGTCCCCCAGGCTGGAGTGCAATGGCGCGATCTCAGCACCTGCTGGCAATGGCGGGAGGCTAGGGGACGCTGGCGGCATAGGTACTGGAAGGAGAGGCGCGCGCACAAAAGACTTGGGAAGACCTGGCGCGCACAATGGCTGCAGATCCGCCAGTGGATCACTGAAGATTCCTGCTCTCCTGTTGAGGCGGGGATTGCAGTGAGCTGAGATCACACCATTGCACTCCAACCTGGGCAACAAGAGCGAAACTTCGTCTCACACACACACACACACACACACACACACACACACACACACACGAAAGAAAGAAAGAAAAATTAGTGGCCAGGCGTGGAGGCTCACGCATCCCAGCACTTTGGGAGGTCGGGGCGGGCGGATCACGAGATCAGGAGTTGGAGACCAGCCTGGCCAACAGAGTGAAACCCCGTCTCTAGTAAAAATACAGATTTAATCAGACATGGTGGCACGCGCCTGTAGTCCCAGCTACTCCGGCGGCTGAGACAGGAGAATCACTTGAACCCGGGGGCGGGGAAGGGATTGTGATGTGCCTAGATCGCGCCACTGCACTCCAGTCTTGGCAACAGAGTCAGACTCTCTCTCTCTTTTTTTTTTTTTTTTTTTTTGAGATGGAGTCTCCCTCTGTCGCCCAGGCTGGATTCCAGTGGCCTGATCTCGGCTCACCGCAAGCTCCGCCTACCGGGTTCACGCCATTCTCCTGCCTCAGCCTCTGGAGTAGTTGGGACTACAGGCGCCCGCCACCACACCCGGCTAATTTTTTGTATTTTTAGTAGAGACGGGGTTTGACCGTGTTAGCCAGGATGGTCTCGATCTCCTGACCTCGTGATCAGCCCGCCTCGGCCTACCAAAGTGCCGGGATTTAAGGCGTGAGCCACAGCGCCCGGCCCCGAGAGTGAATATCTTTTAACAGTGTTTTTCCTGATCTTTTCCAACATCTTCATTGTGGTTCTGTCCTTTATTTTTTGGTTAAATCCAGAGGTTTACTTCTGCCTGTATCTTTCCAAACTATTAATCTGTTCACAATCACTCTCCCATTTAAACCCTTCAGCAGCCCCAGTACCTTCGTAATAAGGTCTCCTTAGCTTGGTATCCAGAACACTTCAATACTGGGCTTTGACCCCTGTTCTCCTTCCCCCACCTCTGTTTAGGTGCTTCACTGAGCTGCACCGAACAGCTCTTGGCCCCTTGAAATCTCTGCAGTCTCCTTGTCTCCCTCTGCTGGAATATTCTTCTCTCACTTCATCTGATCATTGCCTTCAAAACTCAGCTCATTTTCTTATTTCCTTGCCCTTTTCATGTCCCTTGTTTTCCTCCGATTAAATTAATGTTCCAAACTCAAAAGAAAAACAACTCAGCTCAGGCATCACCTTGCCTGGAAGGCTTCCCTAGTCCTCCTGCCTCCCGCAGACTTGTCTGGCACCCTGTGCATTTGGGATTTGGCACACTATGTCTCATCTGCGGCCTCCACTGGACGATGAGACCGTAAGTGTGTGGCTTGACGGAAAGTTGTTGACTCTGCTGGGGTGCTGGTACAGTGCTGGGCACGGCAGTGTTACAGAGGAAGTGAGCCACTTAGTTTCTGCCCTTAGGAGCTTTTCTTCTAGTTGCAGTTGACCCTGCCAGCTGTGAGACACCTCCCAGTAGTGCATACCAACTTTCAAAGTCTGTTTAATTGTATCTTAGTGTCTGATTCCAATTTTATTTCTTGAAGGAGGGGAGTGTCTCTAATGTCTTATTTTGGCACCCAGAGACCAGGTAGGCATCATTTTTGTCCCAAATTGTGGAAGGAATGTACATTTGGCACAGATTACTTCCCTTTTTTCTCTTGTACACCTTTCACCTTTTTTGTTTTTGTCTTTTTTTTTTTTGAGTTTGATGTGTTTGGACAGTAAGGGTTTACGAGATTAAGATTAAATTTCAACTTTGTCTATTGTGCATATAGCCTAAGGAAAACAAAAAGAGGAAAAATACATTGCCTCTAAAAAGAAGACTCATTATTCAACTTTTTTTATTTTTAATTGTTTTCAGAGACTGGGTCTCACCCTATCACCCAGGCTGGAGAGGTGATCACAGCTCACCGTAGCCTTGAACTCCTGGGTTCAAGGGTTCCTCTTGCCTTAGTCTTCTCACTAGCTGAGACTGCAGGCCCGCACCAGCACACCTGGCTAATTTTACAAAAATTGTTTTGGAGAGATGTGGTCTTGCCATCTTGCCTAGGCTGGTGTGGAACTCCTGGGTTCAAGCAAACCTCCCACCTTGGCCACCCTAAGTGTTGGGATTACAGGCGTGACCCATTGTGCCCAGCCTAAACTTTTTTGTTTTTTTTCAATGCTGAGCTGTACACAGAAGAAAGTAAAGGTCTTGGTCAAGCCTAGGAAAGAAGTATGCAAAGAAACTGGTGGCAGGCTGGATGTGGGCATATTTCGGGGCTTTGGAAGGTGAGGAGGAGAGGATTGCTTGAGGCCGAGAGTTCGAGACCAGCCTGGGCAACATAACGAGAACCTGTCTGTACAGATAAACATTTTATAATTAGCCAGGTGTATGTACCCTAGAACTTAAAGTATAATAAAAAAAAATAAAATAAAATTCGCCAAGTGTGGTGGTGCGCACCTGTAGTCTCAGCTACCTGAGAGGCTGAGGCAGGGGGATCTCCTGAGTCCAGGTGTTTGAGGCTGCAGTGAGCTAGGATCACACCACTGTTCTCCAGCCTGGGCTACAAAGCGAGACTCTGTCTCTAAAGAAAAACATACTGGTGGCATTGTCAAGATTTGTCAAGAAATAGCCATTATGCTGGGCCCAGTGGTGTGCACCTGTAGTGCCAGCTTTTCAGGAGGCTGAAGTGGAAGAATCTCTTGAGCCTAGGAGTTTGAGTTCAGTCTGGGGAGCATTGCAAGAGCCCAGTCTCAAAAATATTAGGTCAATAAGATTTATTTTAATTAAACAAGAAAAAGAAATATCTGCTAAAATTTAAAGCTCTTCTATTCTTCCTCTGTCTCTTCTATTCTTCCTCTGTCTCTTCTAGTGTTCTTGGGGAAGATCCCGACTTAGCCATTTTCCAGTGGCACCTCTTCCACCATGAGTTCCTGAGGCAGTCCGATGGGGCTACTTTATTCCAGAACAATCACAGTGAGACCTTTTCTCTCAATAAATGCCCCTTTTCTCTCCTTAATATATTCTCTTGCTTACAAAACACTGGTGTCTCCTTATCATGGTTTGGTTCTACCCCACTGGGCCCAAGAATTCTTGCCCAGGAGCAACTGAATTTTCTTCTTGCTTGCTTTTTAAAACTTTGGTGGGGTAGAGCCAATTTTAAATCTTCTGATCCATTTTTTCATTGCTTTTCTCGCCCTTCTGCATTTTCTGCAAATTCCGTTGAATCATTGCAGTTACTTAGGTTTGCTTCATCTCCCCCATTACAAACTACTTGCTGGAGTTTTCAACCCTAGTTCCCTCATTTTTATGATTTATGCTCATTTCTTTGTACACTTCGTCTTGCTCCATCTCCCAACTCATGGCCTCTGGCCCTGGATTATTGTTTTAGCCTTTTATTTTTTGTCTTCTTCTACCTCAACACTTATCTTCCTCTCCCAGTCTCCTGTACCCTATCACCAAGGTTGTCATTAACCTTTCATATTATTCCTCATTATCCATGTATTCATTTGCAAATAAGCGTATATTAACAAAATCACAGGTTTATGGAGATACAATTCACATACCTTAAAATTCAGGCTTTTAAAGTGTACCTTTCATGTGGTTTTTGGTATATTCACAAAGTTATGCATTGATCACCACCATCTGATTCCATAACATGTTCAATACCTCAAAAAGAAGTCTGTACTCATTAGTAGCCATTTCACATTCACCACTCCCTCTGGCTCTGGGCAGTCACTGATCTTTGTGTCTCTATGGATTTGCCTAGTCTAGGTATTTTTATGTAAATGGAATCATACAACATGTGACCTTTTGTTTGGCTTTTTTCATTTAGCAAAATGTTATTAAGGTCTATTCCTGTTGTAGCATGTATTAGCACTTCATTTCTTATATGCTGAATGATATACTTTATTTGTCCATCAGTTGTTCATGCTTTATTTGTCCATCAGTTGATGAACATTTGCGTTTTTGCCACTTTGGGCTATTATGAATAATGCTACTGTGAACAAGTGTGTACAAGTTCCTCTGCAAATTTTTGTGTGGACATATCCTTTCAGTTCTCTCAGGTGTATATCTGGGAGTTGAATTGCTGGGTCGTGTAGTAGCTACGTTAAACATTTTGAGAAACTGCTAAAATGTTCTCCAGAGCTGTACCATTTTACATTCTGTGTGTGAGGATTCCACGTTCTCCACTTCCTCACCAGTGTATGGATTTGGGGGTATACTTTTTAAAAAGTGGGATTGGGCTGGGCACAGTGGCTCACACCTGTAATCCCAACACTTTGGGAAGCTGAGGTGGGAGGATCACTTGAGCCTAGTAGTTTGAGACCAGCCTGGGCAACATAGGGAGACCCTGTCTCTACAAAAAATAATTTAAAATAAATTAGCTGGGCGTTGTGGCACACACCTGTAGTCCCAGCTACATGGGAGGCTGAGGTAGAAGGATTCCCTGAGCCCAGAAGGTTGAGGTTGCAGTGAGCCATGATGGCAGCACTATACTGTAGCCTGGGTGTCAGAGCACGACTCCGTTTCAGGGAAGAAAAAAAAAAGTGGGATGATATTTTTGACACTTTTCTTCTTGTTTTCTTAATTTCATACTTCTGGAAATTCCATTAAATTAGCTGGTACCACTCTAACTCATTGTGTTTCATGGCTGCATAGTAATATTGCATAATATAAATATACCATTCATTCATCAAAGTTAGCAGATATTGACTGTTAGGTGCCAGGCACTGCTCTAAGCGTTGAAGAAAAACACACAAAAACTTTTGCATTCTTAGAGTTTATTTTCCAATGGAGGGGGTGGAGGGAGGTAAGAATTTAGGAAATAAATTAATTACATATATAGCATAGGGTTTCACCAGTGAGTGCAGCTTGAATCGTTGGCGGCTTTCTTAGTAGTATAAATACAGTACTAAAGATGAAATTACTCTAAATGGTGTTACTTAAATTACTGTAATAGGTATTACTATTAGTCACTTTGCAGGTGAAAGTGGAAACACCATCGTAAAATGAAAAATAGGAAACAGCTGGTTAATGTGGCTCTGGAATTTTTCTAGGACATAAACTGATGAGCTAGAAAAGTAAATGTGTCAGTCCTTGGTAGCAAAGTTTGTACGTTTATAAATTTTATCCAAATCCTCTTAATCTAGTGATTAATAGACACTCTTCACAAAAGGATGAGTGAGGTATATGTGTATGTGTTGAAAGGTTCCGAAGGATGCAACTGAGAGTACTTTTTTTGTGTCATGGATCCTTTTGGCAGTCTGGTGAAACCTATAGACCCCGTCTGAGCATAACGTTTTAAAATGCATACGTGGCCGGGTGTGGTGGCTTACACCTGTAATCCCAGCACTTTGGGAGGCCAAGGTGGGTGGATCACCTGAGGTCAGGAGTTTGAGACCAGCCTGGCCAATTAGCTGGGCGTGATGGTGCGTGCCTGTAATCCCAGCTCCTTGGAAGGCTGAGGCAGGAAAATGCCTTGAACCTGGAGGTTGCCATGAGCCGAGATTGCACCACTGCACTGCGGACTGGGCCACAGAGCAAGACTCTGTCTCAAAAAAAAAAAAAAGAAAAGAAAAAAAAAAGCATACATAGGCCAGGTGTGGTGGCTCACTGCTAGCCTCCTAGCACTTTGGGAGGCAGAAGCAGGGAGATCACTTGAGCTCAGCAGTTCAAGACCAGCTAGGCAACATAGTGAGACCCCATCTCTATCTACAGTTTCCTGCAGAGATCAAAGTAAAGTTCAGTGTAGGTGGTGGTTGTTGGGGAAGACACTCAGGAAGAGGACATGGGCTGAGTGTTCAGAAATGGTCAGGATTTGGATGGGGAGGGCATTCTACTCCCAGTTAAGTCCTGATAATGCAAAGGCCTCAGCAGGCCTTTTACAGATTGGAGAAATGACTGTCAGTGGTTTTAAGGACCAGTTTAGGTGGGATGATGCTGGACACAGAAAATTGGTTTGAATGATAATGAGTTTGGGATTTCGGCTTAAAGTAAGTCCCCAGAGCCCAGGCCACTGCTGCTGAGCCCCAGCCTGGGAACTGGAGGAAGCAGTCCCAGTTGCTGACCTCTTGTGGTCCCTGGCTTCGGGTGTGCAGTGCATCCTTAGTTATGACTCCTTGATTAATATTTTTAGCTTCTGGCTGGGCATAGTGGCTCATGCCGATAATCCTAGCACTTTGGGAGGCTGAGGCAGGAGGATCACTTGAGCTCAGGAGTTTGAGACCAGCCTGGGCAATATAACGAGACCTCATCTTACTAAAAATCAAAAGCATTACCTGGGCATGGTGGTACACACCTGTAGTCTCAGCTGCTTCAGAAGTTGAGGTGGGAAGAACTGGTTGAGCCCAGAAGGTTGAGGCTACAGTGAGCTGTAATTGCACTACTGCACTCTAGCCTGGGTGGCCCCCATCTCACACACACACAAAAAGAGCGAGACCCCGTCTCAAAAAAAAAAAAAAAAAGGGGAGTTCCTCATTTGCCATGAGTGGACACCTGCTTCTTTACTGCTTCAAAGTGAACACAGCTATTCCTTGTAAAGGGTTGGTTTTACTGTAAGGAAATCTAGAACACCTGTGTGTGAATGCCCCCTGATTTTCAAAGAAATGAGTGGTTGCATCAAAATCAAGCTTATATTTGTGGAAAATCACATGTTGCCAAATTCTCTCATCAAGAACCCTTTATTAACTGACTAATTGTGGGCCATGGTGGCAGGCACTTAACAAAGACCATGGCAGCAGACCTCCCTCAACTGGAACCCTCAGTTAAGCGGGATTTTGTTTTTATTTTGGAACTCCACCTTCAGAAGGGCAAAAATCACAAGATGTGGTAGCAAGGGTTTATTCTAGAAATTAGCTTCCAAGCAGTCGTCAGCCCAGTCTGTATGTCTTCCGCATCTATAATTATAGTAGCAGAAGAGAATGGTGAGCCTGGGGCACTGCAAGATCCTAAATCAAAGATTAAGGCATATTAACTCTACCCTCGCTGGAAAGTGGTCAGTTGTATTTTAAAAAGCTTTACAATAGACTTTCTAATAATGAGAGTTGAAGCAAAGTTTCCACCTAACCCTGTAATTAAATTCACCAGAAGACCCCATTTCCCATTATCCAGACGACCAAGGCTTTGCCGAACACCACCGTCCCTGCCCTCTAGGAGAGGTCATCCAAGGCCAGCAATGAAACAGTCAATCAATTTGCAAATGGACGGGAGGACACTGACAGGATGTGTTCACTGGGGGTAGGTGTCTACTGGGGGAGAGAGGCCAGGCAAGTCTGTCCTTGTTTTCAGTCTAGCAGGAGTGAAGGGGAGGCCAGAGTAACTCCTGAGTGGTCAATCTAGAAAGGCCTTTTGGAAGGGCTGGAATTTTAGGCATTTTTCTTAAGTAAGAGGAGAGTGACGTCCTGTTGGAATTGTGGGGTAGGGGATATTCTGGGCACTTCTAAAGGGGTGGAGAAACCTGAACGTCCTGGGATGGGAACCCTAAGGGCGTAGATTTGTAAAAATTGCTGCAGTCACTTGCCATGAGGACTGGGTATCTGGGCTAGAGACAGGTGGGCGACATCAGAAAGCTGTGAGTGGATATCCTGGAAGACCACTGAGAGGAGGAGCCAGGAATGGCACCAGACATTTCTGAAGGTGGGGGGCCCAGAGGTCGAAGCAAAGCGGGGCCTGTTTCTGTACCAAAGCAAGAGCTTCTGTATATCCATCAAAACATAATCAGGCCAGGCGTGGTGGCTCATGCCTGTAATTCCAGCACTTTGGGGGGCTGAGGCGGGTGGATCGCTTGAGGTCAAGAGTTCAAGACCAGCCTGACCAACATGGTGAAACCCCATCTCTACTAAAAACACAAAGAAGCCAGACGTGGTAGTGGGTGCCTGTAATCCTAGCTACTTGGGAGGCTGAGGCAGGAGAATCTCTTGAACCTGGGAGGCGGAGTTTGCGGTGAGCCGAGATTGCACCACTGCACTCCAGCCAGGGCAACAAAAGCAAATAAAACAAAACAAAAAAAACTCCATCTCAAAAAAATAAATAAATAAAACCATAATCAGAGCAAAGACATTCTAACAAAACTGTGAACTCGGAGAAATTAGTGATGCCTGCTTCCCGTCAACTTTCAGGTGTCCAGGCCTTCTCTTTATTAAAACAGAAAAAAAAATCTGATACCAGTTGTGTGTTCTTTCTTTGATGTAGTGCAGTTTGCCCAGGCTTGCCTTAAGTTGGTGCTATTTTTGTGTATTTAATTCTGTTTCCGCATGTGACCCATTGTCTGATGCTTCAGAATGCAGTCTGCTGCCTCCTTTTTGATAGCAACTCTGAGAACACCGTCTCTGCTCTCGGCAGGGCACTGGGTACACCTGTGGCATCGCTGGTGCCATGGCATGAGGCAGGCTTCCCACTTCACTTCTCAAGGACCCATTTTATTAACTCTCCTTCCCCCAGGAGCTCCGTATTTTGAAATCTTTTGTTTCCCAGACAATTAGGGAGTAATTAAACCTTTTTTCCCACATGATAACAAGTATGATCGTTCACACTTGATATAGTCCAGTTCTAAAGCAAAATTAGTCTAGTGGTCTGGGTTGCGGATGACCAAAGCACACATATGTTCCATCCATTAGGTTGCTTAGCCCTGTGGTTAGGGAAGGCGGGGTTATTGTTAGGTGATTTTGAAATCTCCAAGGTCATCAGTTTCCCAACCCCATGTGCTGCTTTGGATAACCTGGGTGGTGTTTGCCCACTACTGCTTTGCATTGGTGACCTTGATTGACCATGCTAGGTGGCACTTTTCAGCAGGGTGAGGAAAGGAGATGCACAGTTGAGCAGCCGTCATTTCCTCCGGGTCCGATCACACCTACCCTATCCCAGCCAGATACAATCTATCCCTTTTTAAAAAGACTTTCGGAGAATGAAATTTTACAGTCTTTTTTGTATAATGCCCCCAAAAGGAAATCTTGATTTTCACTTAAGATTTGATTTGAAGTAAGTCATGATTTAGAACAGCAGATAAAATGCATTAGGGTAAAGTATTATGTAAAGGTAAGGTGAAGAGATACTGGTTTCTACTTCAGGAGGTAGCTTATATTTGTTTGCTTTAATTAATTAATTCATTCATTCATTTTTGAGATGGAGTCTCGCTCTGTTACCCAGGCTGGAGTGCAGTGGCACAATCTTGGCTCACTGCAACCTCCGCCTCCCGGGTTTAAGTGATTCTCCTGCCTTAGCCTCCCAAGTAGCTGGGATTACAGGTGCCCTCCACCACGCCCGGCTAATTTTTGTATTTTTAGTAGAGATGGGGTTTCACCATGTTGGCCAGTCAGGCTGCTCTCCAACTCCTGACCTCAGGTGATCTGCTGCTCCAGACTCCCAAAGTGCTGGGATTACAGGCGTGAGCCACCGTGCCTGGCCTAATTTTTGAATTTTAATTTTTTGATGGAGGTAACGGTGACTATAATTCTGTTACAAGAATGTAGAAAGTCACGCCTGTAATCCCAGCACTTTGGGAGGCTGAGGTGGGCAGATCACAAGGTCAGGAGATTGAGACCATCCTGGCTAACACAGTGAAACCCCAAATATAAAAAAATTAGCTGGGCGTGGTGGCGGGTGCCTGTAGTCCCAGCTACTCGGGAGGCTGAGGCAGGAGAATGGTGTGAACCCGGGAGGCGGAGCTTGCAGTGAGCCAAGATTGCGCCACTGCACTCCAGCCTGGGCAAGAGAGTGAGACTCCGTCAAAAAAAAAAAAAAAAGAATGTGGAAAGTAAAATGTGAAAGTTCCCCTCCTTGTCTATGCCCCTTATTGACTTTGATATAGATTCTTTATAGTTTGGTATATATTCTTCCAGACCCTTTTCTGTGTATATACTTACACAAATATATTTTTTCTGACATAAATGGAATCATGCAGAACATATTGTTCAACAACTTGATTTTAAAGGGATGATTTACTTCACTATTTTTTCAGGCTTAATTTTATGGCTATATCAGAACTGATTTGGTTATTTTATAGCTGGCTGAAGCTGTAATTTGTGAAATCATTGGGGAGTAGTGAGCCTCCTTCCATAACTATATAACAATAAATTTTGCTATATCAGGAGAGCAAGTCATAATAAAAATATTACCCTTAAATCTTAATGTATTTAGTGAGAATAATTGACTTGTTTATTCTGCATATTTTCTTCAAAAAACACATAAATTCATCAAATTAAGCACGTTCGTATTTTATTGACTATTTTGCTATAATTTTGAAATTATGTTAAATTAAAATGAAGCCTGTTTGAAACCTGTTAAGATGACAACCATAAATACTTAGTTTTGTGTCTAATTCAGTTAAGCGTTCTTGTTTGTTCATGGACCAGAAAAAAAGTTTTCCTGTGTTTTCAATTCCCAAGTGACTCCTCCAGATAGAATGAACTGGACCCGAGTAGTCTTTAAGGTTGCTGGCTACGGGCTCAGCATTTAAGACTTTAACCCAAAGGAAGAGAACTTTTTTTCTCAAGCCCTGCAGCAACAGTTATTGCTGTAAAAAGATTATCATTTCAAAGTGTTGGGTTACTTCTCACGTTCATGGGAATGACTTTCTTTAAAACCTCTGGGAGCAAGAGCAGTTTCTTGGATGGCTCATCTTTAGACCTGATTTTTAAAATAGTTGCTCTTTTTTTTGTTTTTTTTTTTGTTCAGACATTTATTGAGCACTTCTTAAGGGCCAGGCATGGTGTGAGGCACTGGGATGTAACAGTGATTATGACAAAGTCCCTCAAGGAGCTCACAGTCTAATGGTAAACTACAGAGTAAACTGAGGCACAGAGTGGTAAATGACTTACCCAATGAGGTAGAAATAGCTAGGTATGTGAAAATGTGGGAGCAGAGCTGGAGAGAGGGCAAGGTACAACTTGTCCTAAGTAAAACCCCTTGGACTGACTCAACAGCAAGGCTGCATACACAAACATTACAAAATCTACTTGCAAAAACCTGAAAGGAGTTTCCAATTATCACCATGACTGAATTCATGTTTCACAATGAATTCAGCTATTTCCTGATGACATTTCTATCCTTGCCCCCAAAGCCACTGGGCATGCCACCGATCTGCTGGGAGACAGCAATTAGGTAGACAGCTTAAAACCAAGAAGTATCTGACTCCAATTTTAGCACTGAAAACCATATTAAAATACTTTAATTAAATCCACAAACATAAATGTGTAGCACATTTATGATACTTCTACATGTAGAAGTTTGGAAAAAGTCTCTTCTAACCCTCATCCAGAGGATTCTAATAAGTTATAGATACCAAAGAGATTAGAGAATTTGTCTGTCACTTTCCATATATACATTATTTTGGCTGTACGAGAGTGAAAAGTGTCACTCAGACATATTTCGTAAGTAATCTCAACATTATACAGATATATACAAAGACATCACATTTAAATTCGTGTGTACATCTATGCAATGTACAACAGTAACTGCAAACATGAACCAGTGTAAGGCAATTTCTTTTGTGACATATGACATACTCCTTGAAGGGAAGGGTAGAGTCCACAAAGAACTGTCCTTTTCAGCCTGACTGTCTGTCTTCATGACACTCTGTGATGAAGCTACTTCAGGAGGCAAGATGTCTATTTCACTGACAAAAAGCAGTGAATAATTATAAAAGGAGTTGTTTTCAAATGTGGAAACCACAATTACTCAGTAATCTAAGTGGTGAACTCCTCAAAGACACTACTGGCCATGATGCCGCTACTGAGAACGAGAGCACTTCATGGATAATTTATTGCTCTGAGAATCAAATTTGATGCGTAATTCTCCAGGAAGATATTCCCAAAAAACTCAGTGATACATAAATTCTCAAATGCCATCAGTTGCTTACTTCAAGCAATTCTTCACTTTGCTGAGGATTTTCTTCTTCCTCAGGGCCTTCTGGATGAGTGCTCTCAGATGAAGAGGTCCTGACACCTTCAGACCTTTTGTTACTGGTCTGACCCTGCTCCACTTCTCACAAATAGACATCGATAGGTCCGTTGGTGCTCCTTATGTGCACTGTGATAGAGTCTTCTCTGGGAGCTGGAACATCCAATCTGGTTTCTGCTGGAGCTTTAACTGCAATGACGATCTGTTCATGGAAGGCCTGAATGCTATGAATGTCTTGATAGGTCACATATGCTAGTCTTTCATTTTCTTTGTCATCTGTTAACTCAAACAGCTGCTGAGCACAATCCTTAATTAACTCATCCAAAGCATCTTCCATTGCTGGTAAGTCAGCAAGTTCCTCCTGTAGCTTCTTTTGTTGGGGAACTGCTCCAAAATTGCTAAGATCAGATCCTATCCATCTAATATGGTTCTTGGATTTCTTTTCAACGAGGTCGATTCCATCTAAGACATCGGTGATGTCATACACTCTCCGCTTTCGGACTCCCAGTTTCGTTGCAACCTTGTTTAAGTCAAGAATACCCCCGGGAGCAGATTTCTCATGGACACATATTGTACATTATCTTCTAAATTAATCCTTATTTTTGATGGCAGCAGGCCCTCCACGTTGATGGGGTCTCCTCCGTCGGGTGCAGGAGGAGACTGGGTAATCTCCTCGCCGGCCGCTGCTGACTCATGCTGCCCGGCCGGGCGTCCTGCTCCCCTCGCACCCCACGAGCTCTCCCGCCCTCTCGCGCTCAGCTCGAGCACCGCCCCCCACGCGCCGATTTCCAAGGGCCCAGCACCTAAGGGGTCCGCGGCCTCCTCCGAGGCGTCGCCCGGCTAGGCCGTCCCTCCCGCCAGTAAACGCGGCACGGCCTCACGTGCCCGGGAGCTCCCGACGCAGACGGAAAAGGAGCAGGGAGACCCGCGGATCTCAAGTCGCCCGGCCCGCCATCTTCCCGCATGCGCAGTCAAAATAGTTGCTCTTCTGGAGAGATGGCTGTGGGATTCATGTGTCATAGTTATCCCTTCTTAAACATCAGTGTTTGACTTTCTATCCCTTGTCCTGAGACCTCTGAGGGTAGCCCCTGTTTTAGCAGAATCTACTTCTAATACTTTCCTAAGAAGGCTTTCCCAAGAAGTTCATTCAACAAATAACCGAGTGCCTTCTACAAGCACTCATTGTTCTGTTATCTCCGGTGCCACAGAATTCACAGTTAAAATCATGACTAACATTTTAAGTCGTCACCTGATATGTATTTTTAATCTTTAATAAATAGAAGCATTAATTAAATACACTGTGACATTCGGGAACTCTTTTTTATTCCTAAGGTACATCTTTTTTCTTGCCATTACTTAACCTCTTTTCTTCCTGTTTTGTTCTCAGCTCTCCTTTACAGCCATGAGTTACTAGTGCCCGGTGCCACCACGAAGAGGGGGTATCTGTAGGAGTAAGATGATGAATAGCAGTGGTAAGGGGAGAGCGAGGAGAAGGGAGGGGGCTCTGAGGAGGCTAAAGGGCAAACTTTTATTCTTGAAAATACACAAATATCCCAAGTCCTGGGTGTGTGGAACGTCCTTATTACTGCTGGGGATGTTGCTTGTCTGTGGGAATTGGGAATTTCACACCTAGCTCTGAATTTCTAGGAAGCCCGAACAAAAGAGAAATAGAAATAGAGAAATCACATACTTCCCACCAGAGAGGAGACACCATCCATACCAGAGGAGACTCGTATGGGGGGTGGTGAGGATAAGGCCGATCCATCTTCCCCACCTCATACTCTGCCTCCTGCAGTGTGGCCTCCCTGAGGGCGCCCTGGCAAGGGAGGGTGTGGGACCCTCATCAGTATGGCTCTTACAAATTCCCAGAAGCTGCTGTAGCAGCTCAAAGAGGGGCAGGCTCTTCCAGGTCTGTTCCTTGCCAGATGCCCTCTCCCAGCCTGGGGTTAACCCTAAGCAGGCATTGATCTGCACTTTGCTCAGAGTCACTGGTGACCTCCCGGGTAGCCAAGAGCTTCCCCCTTCTCCGTGAGCCCTCTGAGACTGCAGGTCCCAGACGGTTGTAAATTCTGCCTGGTGGAAATTGCCAAGGCTCCAAAGCAGGCACCTGCTGCCCTCAGGAGCCTCTGTGCAGGGCCATTCTTCTCCCTGCAAGCAGCACTTCTCGGAGACCTTTCTGGTTTTCCTCTTCAGCTTTGTTTGGCAGTGGTTTGGTGTTGGTTTGGAGATGGTGGTGTGTTGGGAATTATGCTTCACATAGATGGACATGTTTGTTAGCGGGAGGAATGATGGTGCAGATATTCATTCCGGGCTTACCCCAAACTAGGTAACCCTTTATGACATTGTTTAGAGATGATTTGCTGAACAGTTTCATAATGCCTTCTGATGTTTCAGTACAAAAAATAGCTTGCTGAACAATGTTACAATCTGTCTTCTGATATTTCATTACAAAGAAGCAAGAGCACATTCTGAGCACCCTGCCCAGTGCTTTCACCTTCTCTCTGTTGGAGCAGGTGATTGGTTCCAGCTCTGCGTTTTGGCACCTCTGTGGCTGGGCATCCCTCTGAACTGTGCACTTCTAGAAGGGAGCAACAAGATAGAGAACTAATATGCCTCTAGGCCTGAGTTCATTTTGGAAAAATCTTTGTAGATTTCTTGCCCAATCCTCTTATTTTAAAGGTGAATTGTCCTAGAGGGAAGAAAAAGACCATGGTGACCTGGGTGGGTAAAGGGTGGAAGTAGTACTGGAAAACGCCCCTAACAGGAGATGAGAAAGAGACTCTGGTGCACGTCATCTTTGTTTTAATTAAAACGTTATGCAATACAAACATTCGCCTTCCCACTCTTCCCCCTACCACAGAGGAGCTGTAATTTCCCATATTTGGAATTTGGGGAGAGCTGGGCCTCATTTGAAGATAAGGCCAGATTCAGTCTCTGATTTGGGGGGAAGTAAGTAATTGAGAGAGCCTTGAGGACTGTGGTATTTATGGTGAATATATCAGAACTATGTGTGTCTCCTTGTCATCATTTATTCAACACCTCTGATGTCCTAGAGCTGGTGCTATGCCCATCAGTATCTGACTCTTGTTTTCTTCTGCATATTTTCCCTTTTGCAAATGTATAGGCATTCAGCTTTAATCAGGTAGGCTTTTTACTCTGTGATCTGCAACGGGGATGACTGAAGTCATGTGGAGGATTTTAAGTAACTAATCTCTTAAGACATTCAGAGCATAATCTTCCCTAGCCCGTGATCATCCTGCCTGCATCCGAGAGATTTGTGAGGCTCTGCAAAGGAGGCTGGATGTGGACTTTGGCATCCTTTGGAGAGACTGGGTGTCTTCCTTGCTGGTGACAGGTTTTTGTTTGCTTTTGGCATGGGAACAGGACCTGCTGTTCATTTACCATGTCAAGAGAGTTCAAGATGCCCCATGAATGTGACCAGTGTGTTACTAAATCTCCGTACTGGTACAGAGAACAATGGCAGGCCAAACACACATGAAGACCCTGTCTAGGCTCATTGATGTTTATGCAGTTTGTGTCCAGGGCTGGTTCTCAGGGAGAAAAATAGATAAGATCTGCAAAATAGATAAGAGAGGACTGCTGGTCAGTGGTGTTCCCTGACATTTTTCCCTGAATGATACCAGGTTAATCAAAAGATAAGGATCTAAAATATTTTTGTGCTCTGCTTATAATTTGAATGTGACTTCATATGTGTGTCATCTGTTGGACTAAATTGGATTGCAGTTGCTCTTCAAATTGTCATTCCTTTATTTTCTATTTCTACCTACCTCCTGATGTTAGCTCAGGTTCCTGCTACCAAGGTGTCTTGCAAAAAAATTTGGTGACTATTACTCTAAGTGAAGCCTTTGATACTTTCTCTTAATACAATGGTTAAACCTCTAACAACGTAGACTAATGAGGAAGATTAGTTTGAATTAGTAAAATGTCTGAATTACCAAATATTTTTCAAGAACTTCACTGTTATTACTTTTAAGTAAATACTGTAACTCAAACTAGGCTAATAGAATGCCTAATAAAGATCCTTAGGGGATCCTGCTTTAGGAGAGAAATAAGAATGATTTGCAATTAGTGCACCAATTGTTTATGTAAATGGAATTTCTGAAATACTAGACTGAGCTTGAAAACCGTTTGTTCCCTTAAGTATTTTAAATAGTCCCTACGGAACCCCTGTGCATGCTGGTAGTTGTTTATATGCTGTATAGAGACCTGTTTCATGAAGACATAACTCAACCTTATATCATCAGTATCAGAAATTCCAAGTTAGTGATGGCCAGGATCCTCACCTTCCAAGATTAGATTAGATCTCTCTGCCAAACGCTTCCATAGCACATGCAATTGTCTGTTGTAACACTAATCAATACATTTAACAAATATATGATGTATTCTGCTATATGCTTTGCCAGTGTGTGAAATGGAGGAGACATAACCCTCATCTTTGTGTAGTTTATAGGCTAGCAAAGAAGTCAGGCAGTAAACAAATAAATGCATTTATAATTAATTACAATCCTGAAGTTAGATTGTACTTTTGTAAGTAATGGTTTAATCAACTAGATTTTAAGTTCCATTAAGATAGGGGTTACTTCTGTGTTGTTTGTCATGGTGTCCCAAATCCTTCCTTAGCCTACTGCCTGGCATAGAGTAAATATTAAGTTGAGCTTTATTGCCATTTTGATAGGTCAGAAGCAGTCGAATGTCAATAATGTCACATAGTTCAACCTAATAGTTGCTCAGTCAATATGTATTGAATGTTGAATGCATGTTGTAATCAGTGATCCTATGGTAGGCTGCATTTCACACAGTTTTCTCTAGCCAAAGAAATGCTAGCTATGGTTTTGAAAAGGAATTCTAAAACTTCAAACAGCTAAAACTGGTGATATAGACTGTGGGACTGGAGATCTGTGAGACTGGAGTGCCTTTTGTCCAGTATATTTTCTATGCAGTTCTTGGTACATTTCCCAGCCTCAGGTGGGAGCATGTGTATTTGGGTCTGGAGTGCTTGTCAGTAGCCCAAAGAACCTGGGAAGAGTATGCTGGAAAGCTAAGATGGAAGGCAGGGATAGGAGCTGTTTGGCCTGAAGAAGAAAGTGGCAGGAAAGATATTGGCATAGCCAAAGAAGCCTTCCCTTTAAGTCCTAGTGTAGGGAGACTTACTTTTCCAGACCAGAGCTCATGAGATCATGCACTCATTCCACAGATTTGTGTGAGTCTGTGATGCGCTCAGTTATGGCTAGGCATGGGCGTTCCTTATTGTGAGCTTCCTTTTTGTGCCTGGAACTTCTGTCTGAAGGGTTGTGGGCTGGACTGTAGACCACTGGTCCTCAGAGGCAAGGGTTGAACTGAGGAGAAAGCCCCAGCTGGATCCTGCTGGGAGAAGCCCAGCACTCTGGCCTGGGGCCTGCTCCCTATCTGTGGAACTGGGAGTAGGGCCCAGGCTAGGGCTTAGATCAGAGCTTCCCAAACCTTCTGTGTTAAGAACGTTTTTGCATCTGTTTGGATTTCATGGCTGTTTTTCCATTTTCCGTGCACACATGTCCAATTATACCACCCTATTATAATGCACACTCTTTTCTCACACCCACAGGATAATTTGTAGTTCCACAGCTATTTGTTGAGCATCCTCATCTGCCAGCACAGGATGGGGGTGGCAAGTGAGGGGAAACACAGATATGTGGTATTGGTCCCTGCCTGTGGTAGACGTGATTGGTTACCTACAGTGGCTCTTCTTTTCTCTTCCTGCTGGCAGGACCCAGTTGGGTTGGATGCCACACCTCTCCCACACGCCACTCAAGGAAAGGTGACCCTGCCTCCAGCTCTAGGGTATGTGCTGATTGAGCTGAGCCCATCCTGGAGGCCCGTAGTTTAGACATGGTTTTGGCCACTGAGGTATGAGAAGTCTGCTGGGAGATGCTGGGAAAGATGTTTTTCCTTGTAAAAGGAAATGCAGAAGGGACAGCTTCTTTCACTAGATTCTCGGACGTGAAGCAGCCATCTTGTTGCAATGAGGAAAGCAGGTTTGTTGAGGCCAGCAGACGGGAAGAGATGGGAAAAACCCTGAGGGCCAAGCCCCTGAAGACTGAACCGTCCAATCTCCATACATTTTGTCCTCACTGTTGAAGCCAGTTGAGTGGGAATTTTCTACTACTTATAGTCGAAGGCAACCTATATTAGACACTCCCTCAAAGGAGCATGAAATAGGATTTCTTCTTGTACCATTCAGATTATCATCAAAAAGCACATTATTCAGAGACAGAGCTTAGCTTTGTGGTAAGGCAGAAAGGAGAGGGGAAAGCAAGTTGGTAGGAAAGAGTTGAGTGAGGAGATTGTATTTTAAATGGGTCCTGAGGGAGGATTAGGATTTGTGTGGGAGGAGCAGAAGGGCGTTCTGGGGAAAGGAATGGTGGCATGAGCAAACCTGTGAAGACAGGTATGGATGTGGCACTGCCGAAAAACAGGGAGATTATGTCCTGACTAATTCCGTGGACAGATTCTAGAGCACCTCAAATTGTGAGTTTATATGGTGACACGTGACTTATGCAGCGGGAAAAGTACTGCAGGCTCATGAATGGGGGAGAAAGGAATGAAAGTGGGCCTTGGGAAGAAGGATAAGGATTAAGTAGCTGGGTACCAGGTTCTTTGGAAGGGGAAAAAAGTAAAAGGCCAGTGACAAGCTCAAGCTACTGAAATAACTCACATTTGAGTTGATAGCAGTGCGGGGAGGGAGTGAAGCTGTCAAAGGAAGATTGTAATAAATTAACTGGCAAAGAAGGGTAAGATGGATATCTAGGAGAGGAAGATGGAAGAGGAAGATTTTAGGAAGATGCTGTTTGCTTTTTGCCACTATGGCTTTGAGGTAATGAGGAAAGATCTAAGTAATGAGGCGTTGAATTCATTTGAAAATAGGGCTAGACTTTGGGAATGAGAGGCCAAGGGTTAAGAGGATGTGGTAGAGGCAACTCACTAGGCATGCACATACTCCAGATTTTCCAGCCTCCCTCACAGTTCAGTTGGGGCCATGTGACTAGTGTTAGTCAATGAAGTGGGAGAGGAAGGAACCAGGGAAGAGCCATGTATTCCTCCATTGATTCCTCCCATGCCACAGCAGCCTTGGGCTAGGGCCAGAAAGTGTGGCTGCCAAGACGGGGAGGGCTGTCCTTCCAGGACCAGACTTTGACGGTTGTTGCTCAGCTGGGAAATGCTGGTAGAAGCGAGATCTGAAGCTGTAATGGGTGGCAGTGCTGACAGCTATTTGTGTTGGGTCTGGGTGGTATGTGGTCTTCAGGGTACAGTTGTCCACCTTCTCCTGACTTGATTTGCTCAGGGGTCTGCATTCAATGGGCTGGAGCTTGCTGGCCAACTCATTCTACCTCTAGGACTCTCAGTGTTTCTGGGGGCAGGTTTACATCTTGGCTGTCCAGGGAAGGGGATCCTTGTTCATGAGCTGTGCTAGTGAGAAGGCTGCTCTCTCCACAGGCACCAGAATGCCAAGTGCCTTGCAGAGGAGAATGTTTGGGTGGCTGATGTCCAGTGGTGACCAGGTGGAGCGTCTCAATTATCTGGCTAAACATGGAGCTTCAGGAAGAAGTTCCAGATCTCCAGACTTGAATAAGAATAAGGTGCAAATCCCATCTTTCAAATCTTTCCCACTCTCAGAAGAGTCAAAATGTGCCTTTTCTGCAAGCAGTCCGGAGCTAGGCACTTTGCATACGCTTTGTTACGATGTTGCATCAATCTCGCCTGGCTGAATCACGGTGTTTTCCTAAGGGTAAAGGGCCCCGTGAGTGCTGGGAGGCCTTTGGCATCTGGTTTTCGTCAGGCAGCAGGTAAAAGTGCAGATGGCGGGTCTGATCGTGCTTTAAAAAAAGCAGAGTTAGAAACGTGGGAAAGGCATTTGAGAGGCACCTCTTACTCTGTGTGTGATCTCCCGTGCATCCTGTTTCTTCTCTAACCAAACACCTCAACTCCTAATACCCAGAGGAAAACCCTTCAGACTTGGGAGACAGCCGGCATTGCTGGCACTGGCCTCTCTGGAGCTTTTCTCGATAAGTTTGAAAATTTAAAGACAGTGGTGGCACTGTTTCTCTGTTGAATGGAGAGTTGACATTCTTATTTTTCCTTCCTCTTCTGCAAAACTGGGGTGTCATCAGATCAGTGTTTGCTGCTGCTGTTGCGTTCTTGGGTAGCCACTCTTTTTTTTTTTTTTTTTTTTTTTTTCAGAGGGAGTCTTGCTCTGTCGCCCAGGCTGGAGTGCAGTGGCCCAATCTCAGCTTATCGCAACCTCTGCCTCCCGGGTTCAAGCGATTCTCCTGCCTCAGCCTCCCGAGTAACTAGGATTACAGGCGTGTGCCATCACACCCGGCTAATTTTTGTATTTGTAGTAGAGAGACGGGGTTTCATCATGTTGGCCAGGCTGGTCTTGAACTCCTGACCTCAGGTGATCCTCCCGCCTTGGCCTCCCAAAGTGCTTGGATTACAGGCTTGAGCCACCGTGCCCAGTCAGCCACTCTTATTTTACACACTGCTTCTGGCTGATAGGCCTACAAGGTCTAAGCTTAATCCCAGGAAAAGTGCTACCCGAATGGTCTGTCAGTCAGCCTTTTGTTTGTTTGTCTCGTTCCGGTCATCCTTGCCTCTGTCCACCCAGACAACATTCAATCAACATTTGTTATGGAGCCAGCAGTATGATTTTGCAAGTTACTTTTCTAAACTCTCATTTCCTCATCTGTAAAATAATAGGAGATACTCATTAGGGTGATTCTAAGAGTTAAATGGAAACATCTGAGGAAAGCACTTAGCATCGGTCTGGCACATAGTAAGTGCTCAGTAAATGATGGTTGTCATTATTGTTGAGCAGAGCCAGGGGTTGCCACCCCAGTCAGCTGATTGGCTGTAGACATGGTGTGACCATATGGAGCTGGGATTTGGGCCACACTCAGCACATAGTTGTGATCCATAAATGCACAACCTTTGGACCCCATTGTCACCTCCCTTGGAATATCTTGGTGTTCTTGTTTCAGTCTGATAAGGCCATTGTAGCTGGGTTCTAGGTATCTCTGAGCATGGAGCACTCACGCCAGCCTCAGACATCGCTGTCAAGGGCATCAGCAGCAGTGAGGTGATTCCTCAGCCGGTCATTTGGGCATCGCTGCCTGGGTCTCTCCTGAGCTTCAGCTCATCTTTTTTGTCACCTGCCATACCTTTGCCTCTAAGTGTCCCCCAGTTTTTATTGCTGCCCTCTCCATCCGCACCAGTGCCTCTCTCTGCCAGTTCCACTGTTCTCTCGCCTGCTCTTTAGGATTTCCTTTGTTTTGCCTCCTTGCCTGGTGCTTTCAGCGAGCAGCGCTGACGTCATCTCAGGAACCGTGCTGCGTCTGAGGGAAGAACCTGCAATAACTTTAAATAACTTTAAACCTGCAAATGCTTCTTTGCAGGTTTAAAAGGATGACTATAAACTATGACGTCATGCCTAGATTCATTCTTGACCCAACCAACAAGCTCTTGACATTCTCTGAGTCCAGGTTGACTGTGATGAAAGGCAGCTAGTGTTCCCAAATGGCCCAGGGATCAGGTCTTCATCGCTCCACTCAGAGGGAAGCATCCTCTCTCTGCTTTTTAAATAGACTTTTGACTGGGGCTCCAGCAGCGCGGGGCGCGCAGACCTGGAGTTGCATGGAGGCCAGAGCCACGACACCCGCCTGGGGAACGGAGCAGCCCCAGGAGCTGATCCCCGTCCACCTGCCCCACGGAGCCCTCGCCGCCCGCTTGCCACTGCCTGCATGGCCCTCCTGTCCCCGGCCCCCCAGCCCTCCTTTCCCCAGCTCCCCCACCCTCCTGTCCCCGGCACCCCAGCTTCCCAGCCCCCGAAACCGCCCCCCCACCTCGACCCGGCCCATGCCGCAAGTCGCCCGCTGCGCGGACCCGGCCTCCGCCCGCCTCCTGCGTCCTGGGGGAGGCGGCTGCCGGGGGTGGTGGGGGAGGGGGAGGGGGAAGAGGCCGCCCTCCGCCCGGGTGCGGGGAGGGGGCGCAGGGGTGTCCGGCCAGGCCCCCCGCCTCCCCGCCTCCCCGCAGCAGCTGCCCCGCGCCCGGGCCGCCTAATACTTTTACATTTTAACTTTTATACTACAGTGAAAAGTGATTTACACACCACCACTGCAATATTACAGTGTTATGAATGTGACTATATACTTACCTTTCCCTGTGAACTTTTTTTTTTGGGACAGAGTCTCGCTCTGTCGCCCAGGCTGGAGGGCAGTGTCCATGATCTCGGCTCACTGCAAGCTCTGCCTCCCGGGTTCAAGTCATTCTCCTGCCTCCGCCTCCCGAGTAGCTGGGACTACAGGCACCCGCCACCACGCCTGGCTAATTTTTTGTATTTTTAGTAGAGACGGGGTTTCACCGTGTTAGCCAGCATGATCCCCCTCTTCTGACCTTGTGATCCACCCGCCTTGGCCTCCCAAAGTGCTGGGATTACAGGCGTGAGCCACTGCGCCCGGCCTACCTGTGAACTTAATATCTTAATGTTTTAATGTTGCTAATCAGAATCCTTTTATTTCAACTTGAAAAACTGCCTTATAAGGCAGGTGCAGTGGTGATGAACTCCCTTAGAATTTTTTTGGTGGGAGTCTGGGAAAGACCTTATCATCTCTTTTTCATTTCTGAAGGACAGCTTTACAAGTTGTGGCCTTCCTGATTGGCAGTTTTTTTCTTCCAATACATTGAATATAGCATCCTATTCTCTCCTGGCTTATAAGGTTTCTGCTGAGAAATCCACTGATAGCCTTATTGAAGTTTCCTTGTATGTGATGAATTCCTTTCTTCTTGCTGCTTTTGAAAGTCTCTGTCTTTGACTTTTGATATTTTAATTATAATACATCTTGGTATTATGGTCTTTGGGCTGGCCTTTTTTGGGGCCTCTGAACTTCATGTGTCTGGAAGCCCACTTGCCTCTAAGAATTTGGAAAGTTTTTACCCATTATGTCTTCAAATATACTTTCAGGCCTTTTCTATCTTTTTTACTTCTAGGAAGTCCATAATATGTTTGACCCACTTCATGGTGGTGTCCTATAAATCCCAAAGGTTTTTACTTTATAAACTTTTTTTTCTTTCTGGTCTTCTGACGGGATATTTCAAATGTCCTGTCTTTAATTTCACAGATTCTTTCTTCTGTTTGATCAAGTCTGCAATTGAAATTCTCTATTGCATTTTCATTTCATTCATTTATTTATTTTTATATATTTTTGAGACAGAGTCTGTGTCACCCAGGCTTGAATGCAGTGGTGCCATCTTGGCTCACTCCAACTTCCACCTCCCGGTTCAAGCGATTCTCCTGCCTCAGCCTCCCTAGTAGCTAGGATTACAGGCATATGCCACCATGCCTGGCTAATTTTTGTATTTTTAATACAGATGGGGTTTTGGCATGTTGGCCAGGCTGGTCTTGAACTCTTGACCTCAAGTGATCCGCCTGCCTCGGCCTCCCAAAGTGCTGGGATTACAGGCATCCGCCACGGCACCCAGCTTGCATTTTCATTTTATTCATTGTATTCTTCAGTTCTAGAATTTCTGTTTGGTTCTTATTATTTCTGTATCTTTATTGAACTTTTAGTTTTGTTCATCTACTATTTTCTTGATATTATTGAGTTGATATATACATTCTAGTAAATTTCACTGAGCTATCTTAATTATTTTGAATTGTCAGGCAATTTGTAGATCTCTATTTTTGGGGGGTTGATTACTGGAGATTTATGAGTTTATTTTGGTAGTGTCATATTTGCTGATTCTTCATGATCTACAGACTTTCATTAATGTCTATGAAGAAGCAAATACCTCTTCTTCTTTTTTTTTTTTTTTGAGACAGAGTCTTGCTCTGTCACCCAGCTGGAGTGCAGTGGCGTGATCTCAGCTCACTGTAACCTCCACCTCCCAGGTTCAAATGATTCTCCTGCCTCAGCCTCCCAAGCAGCTGGGATCACAGGCATGTGCCACCACGCCTGGCTAATTTTTTTGTATTTTTTGTAGAGACAGAGTTTCACCATGTTGTCCAGGCTGGTCTCAAACTCCTGGCCTCAAGTGGTTTGCCCGCCTTGGCCTCCCAAAGTGCTGGGATTACAGGTGTGAGCCACCATGCCCAATCTCTTTCTGTCTTTATAGATTGGTTTCAGCAGGTACAAACCTTTTCCTGCTGGATCCCTTGACTGGATCACAGTCAAGTGGGCCTGGAGCCATATCACATGGCTGCTGCCTGGTCTGCAGCTGAATCTCTGATTGGCAGGCCGCTATCAAGGCATAGGTTGGTGATGCAGTTTCTGCTGGATCCTCAGGAGAACTGGACTGCCTCTGATACCCTGATTGAACAGGACTGGAGCCAGGTCATGGGGCCACTTCTAGTTCTACAGTCAAGTCTTCAGATATCAGGCCTATTACCAAGGGCATGGACTGGTATAGCTCCCTGTGGGTCCCAGATTGAGCTCCTGCTGGCTTACTAGGTAGGTCCATGGGAAGACAGGACTGCCTCCAGACCACAGTAGAGCAGGGCTAGAGCCAAGTCACAGGACAGCTTTGGTGACCACATTTGGGTTCAAGATTGGTGGTCCTCTTATTAGGAGAATGGATGGTATGTCTTTCACCAGGTCCCAGGATGGGCTGGACTGTGCCCAGACTGTGGCAAAGCAAGACTGGAATGGAGTCACAGGGCTACTTTAGTGTCCATAGCTGAGACTGAGATCAGCAGGCCTGTTACCAAGGGCATGTAAAGGCATCACTGAATTCCTGGGCAGGCACGACTGACTGTGGTAGAGTGGGGCTGAAGCCAGGTCAGGGCTGCTTTAGTTTCTGCAGTCAGGACCATGGTTAGAAGGCCTGTTACTGGGGGCATAAATGGTCATGGTTCCTCCTAGGTGCTTAGTGGATGGGGCTAGTTGCAAGACCATGATCTAGTGGAGCTGGACCCAAGTCCATAGGAGGACAAAGCTGCTTTCAGTCTGCAACTGGGAACCTGTCACTGGTGTGTGGACCTGCCTTCTCAAAGCAGCTCTCCTTGGTTTTGGGCTTTGCTAGAGTTTTGCCACCTCCTGCCTGGATATTAAAACTCTTGCAAAGGCAGTTTTGTCCATGAATGGCTGCCAGATCATTGTTTGTGTGGGGAGAGGTGAGTGGAGGGCCTCCTGTTCTGCCATCTTGCTGATGTCACCCTAAGATGATTATTTGAATTCTTTGTCAGGCAATTTGTAGATCTTCATGTCTTTGGAGTCAGCCACTGGAGTTTCATTTTGTTTCTTTGGTGGTGTCATATTTTCTCATGCTTCCTGTTCTTTGAAGACTTAGATTGCTTTCTTCATGTTTGAAGAAGGAGTCATCTTTTCCACTCTTTACTAACTTCAGGAGAGAAAGACCATCAATTAGCTAAGCTATAGATTCTGGGGGTCTCTCAGTCCTTTTCTGTGGGTGGTCCTTCCCTTTTAAGGGGGATGTCTTAGGATTTTGTCCCTTGTCTTCATTTCACAAATGAATAAAACAACCAGACCAGACATAAGTAAGGAAATACAGCACTTGAACAACACCTGAAAAAACAACTAGACCTAACAGACATACACAGGATATTCTACCCAACAACATAATACACATACTTCTCAAGTATACATGGGACATTTTCAGGATAGACCACATAACACATCACAAATTAATTCTCAATAGGGGCTGGGTGCAGTGGCTCACATCTGTAATCCCAGAGTAATTTGGGAGGCTGAGGCGGGTGGATTGCTTGAAGCCAGGAGCTTGACATCAGCCTGGCCAACACGGTGAAACCCCATCTCTACTAAAAATACAAAAATTAGCTGGGCATGGTGGTGCGTGCCTGTGATCCCAGCTTCTTGGGAGGCTGAAGCGTGAGAATTGCTTAGGAGCCCAGGAGGTTGAAGCTGCAGTGAGCAGAGATTGTACCACTGTACTCCAGCCTGTACTTCATGACAAAGAAAATGTACCATTGTACCACTGACAGAACGAGACCCTGTCCCAAAAAAGGAAAAAAGCTCAGTAGATTTAAAACGATAGACATCATACAAAGTGTCTTCTCTGACCACAACAGGATAAAGTTAGAAATCAATAACAGAAGATTTTAAAAAGTTCACAAATTAGTAGAATTTAAACAACACACTCTCAAACAACCAATGGATCAAAGAAATCACAAAGAAATTATAAAATTCTTAAAGACAAATGAAAATGAAAGCACACTATATCCAAACTTATGGGCTGTGGCCAGTTGTGGTGGCTCACACCTGTAATCCCAGCACTTTGGGAGACTGAGGGAGGTGGATAGCTAGAGGTCAGGAGTTCAAGATCAGCCAGGCCAACATGGTGAAACCCTGTCTCTACCAAAAACACAAAAATTAGCTGGGAGTGGTGGTATGTGCCTGTAGTCCCAGCTACCCAGGAGGCTGAGGCATGAGAATTTCTTGAACCCAGGAGGCAGAGGTTGCACCACTGAGCTAACACCACTGCACTCCAGCCTGGGTGACAGAATGAGACTCTGTCTCAAAAAACAAAGAAACAACAAAAAAACACAACTTATGAGTTGTGGTGAAAGGAGTGCTAAGGAGGAAATTTATAGCTATAAACACATTAAAAAAAGAAACACCTCAATTCAACAACATAAGTTTACACATTAAGAAACTAGAAAAAGAAGAATAAAACTAAACCCAAAGTTAGCAGAAGGAAGGAAACAATAGAGATCAGGGCAGAGATAAATGGAAAAGAGAATAGAAAAACAATAAAAAACAAAACCAAAAGTTGGTTCTTCAAAAAGATTAATAAAACTGACAAGACTAAGGAAAAGGGAAACAATCTAAATTACTTAAAACAGAAATGTATTTGAGAATATCTTTATATATTTCTGTCTGTCTGTCTGTCTGTCTATCTGCCTGTCTATGTTTTAGAAACAAGTGTCTGTCTATGTCTTAGAGACAAGGTCTAGCTCCATTGCCCTGGCAACAATCAGATGCAACCACAATCAGTGGCACAATCGGCTCACTGCAGCCTTGAATTCCTGGGCTCGCCACTATGCCAGCTCTTTTTTTTTTTTTTTTTAAGAGACAGGATCTTGCCATGTTATCCAGGCTGATCTTGAACTCCTGGCCTCAAGGAATTTTCCCACCTCGGCCTCCCAAATTGTTGGATTACAGGCATGACCCACCATTCCCAGCCTAGAAAGGATTATAAAAGATTACTATAAATAATTGTGTGCTCATAAATTGGATAACCCAGATGAAATAGATGAATTCCTAGACACACAAAACCTACCAAGACTCAATTATAAAGAAACAGAAAGTCAGAATAGACCTAACCTAGTAAGGGAATTGAGTCAGTAATAAGACAATCTCATGACAAAGAAAAGTCCTGGACCTGATAGCTTTACTGGTGAGTTCTGCCAAACGTTTAAAGAAGAACTAACACTGATTCTTTTCAAGCATTTCCAAAGAGTGGAAGAGGAGTGAATACCTCTTAACTCTTTCTATGAGGCCAGCATTACCCTGATACCAAAGCCAAAAACACTGTAAGAAAATAAAACAACAGATCAATATGCCTCTGATCATTGATGCAAAAACTCTAAAAATGCTAGTATACTGGGTGGGGCACGGTGGCTCATGCCTGTAATCCCAGCACTTTGGGAGGCTGAGGTGGGTGGATCACCTGAGGTCAGGAGTTCAAGACCAGCCTGACCAACATAGAGAAACTCTGTCTCTACTAAAAATACAAAATTAGCCATGTGTGGTGGTGCATGCCTGTAACCTCAGCTACTCGGGAGGCTGAGACAAGAGAATCGCTTGAACCCGGGAGGTGGAGGTTGTGGTGAGCCGAGATCATGCCATTGTACTTCAGCCTAGGCAACAAGAGCAAAACTTTGTCTAAAAAAAAACTATCATACTGAATTCAGCATCATATTAAAAGGATTATACACCATGACCAAGTGGGATTTATTCCTGGAATGCAACGATGTTTCAATATATAAAAATTGATCCATATAAATTCAGATAATTAATTTTAACTGATGTATAGTTTTACATTATATGCACATACCACGATTCACTTTTCCATTTTCCTAGTAATGAGCTTTAAGATTATTTCCAATTTTTAGCTATTACCAATAATGTTTCAACAAACACCTTTGGACATCTCTTCTGCAAATGTGTGTGTATTCTCTTGGAGAAGGTTTACCTTGTGGAACTTCTAGTGTGTATGTGTATGTGTGTGGGTATATATATATACACATATGTATATATTTTCAACTTTACTATATATTTCCAAAAAACTCTTCAAAGTGGCAGATTTAAACTCCCCTTCACCGTATATAAATTCACGGTTCCTAAAGCCCTTGGCATAGTTTTGTGTTTTTATAGAAAAGGGCATAAAGTCTTATTGCTGTTGAATTGTACCTTGCTCTTTTCAATTGTCTTTTCACAATAATTCACTATTTATCATCTGTTGTGAATATTGTGTAGTAGTTCTTAATCATTTTTTCTACTATATTATTTATTTTATATCATTAATTTGTAGAAATCCTCTTTATATAATGGATATTATACTTTTCAATTATATATTTTGTAAATATTTTACCCAATTTTCTGGCTTGCATTTAACCTTTATTTAGGATGCCTAGGATTTTTCATTTTAATACAGTCTAATTTATTTTTCTTTTCTTTTCTTCTTCATGCATTCTGGCATTTGATTAATAAGCCATTTGTTGCCCAACGTCATTAGTTCTCTGTATATACTTTTAAATATCTTAAACATGTAATATTCATAAGTAATTTCACAAGTAGTTTAAGATTTGAGTCTTTAACCTAAATAGATACAGGATTTTGTGATATGCTGTAATATACAGATTTTTATTTCTATATGGATAAAAATTTATATGTTTTTTCTGACATCATTTATTGAATAGTATAATTTTTCTACTGACTTTTAGTATCATATCTTTTATTACAAGTCCAATGTATTCAGCATATCTATGGATCTATTTCTTGGTGCTTCCATTTTTTCCCATTGTTTAACGGTGTATCACTGAGCCAAAGCAAACCATTTTAATTATTATAATTAAAACACATTTAAATATTGATAGGCTATTATTGTTCAAAATAACTTTGGTTCTTTCTTTCCATTGATTATTTTAATATGACTTTTCCAATCAAGTTCTAAAAAAATACTGGTGGTATATTTATTGAAATAACTTTAATGAAATTAAATGAAAGATCATGTATTTGTTTTCTGAATTAATTCTTAGATACATTAATGTTTTATGTTACCATGAATGTGATATTATAATATAATATTTTTAATTGGTTGCTACTGTTTATAAGAATTTCATTTTCTGTTTACTTTGCCTTCATATCTGAAAACCTTGCTGATTTGATTAGTGCATCCACAAATTTTCTTGGATTTTCTATGGGTAATTACAAATCTCCACACAATGAGGTTGCAGTGAGCCAAGATCACACCACTGTACTCCAGCCTGGGCGACAGAGTGAGACACCATCTCACAAAAACACATAAACAAACAAACAGAAACTCCACACAATGACAACGTATGTGCTTTCTTTTTTTCTTCCTCTTTCTATAATATTTCTTTGTCCTATCTTAACTGAACTGGCCAGAAACCCCAGGACAATGATAAATACGAGCAGTGTCAACAGACATCTCATTCCCTTTCCTAGCTTTTATAAAAATAACGATTATGCTTCAACATTACATATGGTGGTGTCGATGGTTTTGTTATAGATAAGCTTATCAGGTTAAGAAATTTGTCTGCGTTTCCTAGTTTGGTATAAAGATTTTAATATAAATGAATGTTGTATTTTATCATCTTATTTTTTTCCTACATCTGCTAAGGTAATCCTGTGTTTTCCCCTTTTCAATCTCCTAATGTGGTGAATGACATTAAAATACCTTCTATTGTTAAAATATTCTTGCAACGCTGTATAGAACCAATGCCTTTATTCTGTATTGCTGATGGATTTTTGAAAAATATGTAGGTGGACTTAGTTTTCTAAGGGGAATAGAATTTCTAATATATTTAAAATATTTTGCATGTATGTTCTGAAGGACATTGGTGTGTCATTTCTATACCATCTGGCTACTAGAGGAGCCGACTGAAAGTCACACTGCCGGAGGAGGGGAGAGGTGCTCTTCCGTTTCTGGTGTCTGTAGCCATCTCCAGTGGTAGCTGCAGTGATAATAATGCTGCAGTGCCGACAGTTCTGGAAGGAGCAACAACAGTGATTTCAGCAGCAGCAGTATTGCGGGATCCCCACGATGGAGCAAGGGAAATAATTCTGGAAGCAATGACAATATCAGCTGTGGCTATAGCAGCTGAGATGTGAGTTCTCACGGTGGCAGCTTCAAGGACAGTAGTGATGGTCCAATGGCGCCCAGACCTAGAAATGCACATTTCCTCAGCACCGGCTCCAGATGCTGAGCTTGGACAGCTGACGCCTTGGATCATCTGCCACTGATCTCTGGTCAACATTTTTATCACCCAACACAAAAGAAGCAGAGATTTATCAAGTTACTTAAACAACCTGACCCTTTCATCTTTTGCTACACATACTCTTGTAATTGATCTCTCCATGAATTGTTTTCTGTTTAAAATATCTAGAATGTTTTCTGCTTCCTGACTTGATTCTAATATTGTATAGGTACTAGAAATGGTTCTAGAAATAGATCTTTATAGATGAGAATCTGGAAGTGGTTTGCTGACCTGTTTCAGTCTGAATGAATTCCTGACCTTGTTGTCGGGAGGAGACAGAAACCTGATCATCTGTAGTGTACGGTGGTATCATGATTACTTAAATCATCAAATGTGGTTATTGGGAATGATGTGTTTTTTAAAGTGGTACATGAGAGGTAAAATTGCTATTGTAGTTGACTGTTGCAGTTATAATTTTGTCAACATGGTCTGTAAGAGTGCAATGGAGTCGGCCCGGTGTGGTGGCTCACGCCTGTAATCCCAATACTTTGGGAGGCCAAGATGGGCCGATCACGAGGTCAGGAGATCGAGACCATCTTGGCTAACACAGTGAGACCCCATCTCTACTAAAAATACAAAAAATTAGCCATGTGTGGCGGCACACGCCTGTAGTCCCAGCTACTCGGGAGGCTGAGGCAGGAGAATGGCGTGAACCCGGGAGGCAGAGCTTGCAGTGAGCCGAGATCGCGCCACTGCACTCCAGCCTGGGCGACAGAGCAAGACTCCATCTCAAAAAAAAAAAAAAAAAAAAAGAGTGCAATGGAAAGCTGGTAGAAAATGGACATTGTTTAAAGACCAAAACAACCACACTACTTTGCTAATCCCTATCAGCTAAAGCCTAGAGAATATATGAGGCATAGATTTACATGGTGTTTGACTAAGGCATGCAGAATATAATCTTGACATAGGCTAAGTTTATCAACATAGATACCTAGAGATTCTGAAGTTAAAGTCTTAGCCCAAGAAGTTAGAAGTGGTGCTCAAGTTTGTTTGTCTGACAGAAACTGTGAATCCACACTGGCCTGCTTATTTTGAGGTTGTGTTGCCAGAGCTTTCCTAGCATAATAAAGAGAGGTGCATACAAAGGAATAGGAATAGTAGGAGGTGGGGGTAAAAATATCAGGTGTGATCCACATGCCAAGCCGACCCGCGCTGTGTCCCACAGGAAGCCCAGAAGATGTTTCTGTAAGAAATTAAGGATTCGTTTGTTGGGGAGGGCTGCTGGCATGCTTGAAAAGTACTGTGACGGCTGAATTTTGTGGGCTTGGGGAGATTGCAGATTCTCTGATTTCAAGGGGAATGATGTGATCCTAGAGTTGCAAAGAACAAGTGACAGTGGAGGCGCTTATGCTTTGTGACTGCACTAGAGACAAGGAAGACACAACTAGAATAATGGGGAGCAGGAATGGAGCGGCCAACAGAATATCTGACTGTTAGGGATCTTTGATGAAGGCTGATTCTCAGGGAGTGAACTACATCAGTGACCAACTATTTGTCTTTATATAACTGGGTAATGTGGATGGATTCTAATAAAGGGACTACTTACAGCACAGCAGGAAAGTCACAAAGAAACCAGACAGAAGAGTGTAAGTAGTAAGGGGCCAAGCAGTCACCTGACTAGAGACAGTGCCAGCTTGCCAAGAAGGCACCAGACAGAAGCTGTGATCTTCAGCAAAGGGACACAGTCTGCCTGTGCTGACCCTGCAGGGGCAGAGGTGGGGGATAAACACACTCTTCTCTCACCTATCTTCTGCCACCCCCTCCATTAGCTGAACCCCAATAAAAGCATGAGGGTAAGGGAGATCTCTGAAGTATCCAATTCAGGTGAGCCTCCTAAGGAACAAAGCAGAATGCAGAAAAATTAAGAGTGGGTCTAGGGAATAAAATAGAGATATGCACCAGAGTATGATGATGTGTCTGGGAAAGAATATACAAATACTTTTAAAATTACTAGACAATAAACCTGAGATGACACTAATACAGGTAAATCTCATTTAATGGTAATATATTCCAAGAAATGCATCATTAGGTGATTTTGTGGCTGTGCAGACACCAAAGAGTGTACTTTATACAAACCTAGACAGCGTAGCCTACTACATACCTAGGCTATATCGTACAGCCTATTGCTCCTGGGCTACACACCTGTGCAGCATGTCACTGTGCTGAATACAGTAGGCCAATGGTCCGCAACACCCAAGCCATGGACCAGCACCGGTTCGTGTCCTGTTAGGAACTGGGCACAAAGCAGGAGATGAGTGGCTGGCCAGCCGAGCATTACTGCCTGAGCTCCGCCTCCTGTCAGATCAGCAGCAGCATTAGACCTTCACAGGAGCACAAACCCTATTGTGAACTGCCCATACAAGGGATCTAGGTTATGTTCTCCTTATGAGAATCTAACTAGGCTGGGTGCTGTGGCTCACGCCTGTAATCCCAACACTCTGGGAGGTCGAGGCAGGTGGATCACAAGGTCAAGACAATCCTGGCCAACATGGAAACCCCGTCTCTACTAAAAATACAAAAATTAGCTGGGTGTGGTGGCGCATGCCTGTAGTCCCAGCTACTCGGGGGACTGAGACAGGAGAATCACTTGAACCCGGGAGGCAGAGGTTGCAGTGAGCCGAGATTGTGCCACTGCACTCCAGCCTGGCAACAGTGGGAGACTCAGTCTAAAAAAGAAAAAAAAAAGAAAAAAAAGAATCTAACTAATGCCTGATGATCTGAGGTGGAAGAGTTTCAGCCCAAAGCCATCCCCACTCCGTGGAAAAATTATCTTTCACAAAACCAGTCCCTGGTGTCAAAACTTTGGGGCCCACTGCTGTAGGCAGTTATATCACAGTAGTAATATCTAAACATGGAAAAGATACAGTAAAAACACAGTACATTGGGAGACCGAGGGGGGCGGATCACCTGAGGTCAGAAGTTCGAGACCAGCCTGACCAACATGGAGAAACTCCGTCTGTACTAAAAATACAAAATTAGCTGGGTGTGCTGGCGTGGGGCTGTAATCCCTGCTACTCGTGAGGCTGAGGCAGGAGAATCACTTGAACCCCGGAGGCAGAGGTTGCAGTGAGCCAAGATCGTATCATTGAACTCCAGCCTGGGCAACAAAATAAAACTCCTTCTCAAAAAAAACAAAGAAAAAAATATATATATATATTACAAAATTTAAAGAGAGTGGTACACCAGTAAAGGACATTTAGCATGAACAGAGGTTGCAGGACTGGCAGATGCTCTGATGAGTCAGTGAGTACTTGGTGAGTGAATGCGAAGGCCTAGGATATTACTGTACATAACTATAGACTTTATATGCACTGTACACTTAGGCTACACTAAATGTATTTAAATTTTTTCTTTCTTTAACAAGTTCATCTTAGCTTATCATAACTTTATAAACTTTTAATTTTTTTAATTTTTTGATTCTTTGATAATAACACATCTTAAAACAAAAACACATTGAACAGCTGTACAGAAATACTTTATATCCTTATTTGATAAGCTTCATTTATTTTGATTTTTTATGTTTTAAACATTTTTGTTAAAAACTAAGATACAAACACACACACTAGCTTAGCCCTGTAAGGGTCAGGATAATCAATATCACTGTCTTCCATCTCGAAATCTTGTCCAAGTGAAAGGTCTTCAGGGTCTTCAGTGGCAATAACATACATGCAGCTGTCATTCTCTATGATAACAAGGCTTTCTTCTGGAAGAACTCGTGGAAGACCTTCCTGAAGCTGTTTTATAGTTAATTTTTCTTAATGAGTAGCAGTACTACACTCTAAAATATGAATAAAATCTATAGTATTATACATACTGTTGATCCTTGAACAGTGCAAGGGTTAGGGGACCAGCTCCTATGCAGTTGAAAATCCATATATAATTCTGGGCTATCCCCAAACTTAACTTAATATACGATATATATCATATATAATATATATGATATATATCGTATATATTACATATGATATATATCGTATATAATATATACGATATATATCATATATAATATGTATGATATATATTATACACAATATGTATGATATATATTATACACAATATGTATGATATATATTATACACAGTATGTATGATATATATTATACACAATATGTATGATATATATTATACACAATATGTATGATATATATTATATACAATAAGTATGATGTATATTATATACAATATGTATGATATATATTATATACAATATATGATATATATTATATACTATATGATATAGATTTTATACAATATATATGATAGAGATTATATACAATATATATGATAGAGATTATATACAATATATATGATACAGATTATATACAATATATATGATACAGATTATAAACAATATATATGATACAGATTATATACAATATATATGATACATTAGATACAATATATATGCTAGATTATATACAATATATGATATAGATTATACACAATATATATGATATAGATTACATACAATATAAATGATATAGATTATATACTATATATGATATATACGGTATATCGTATATATGATATAGATGATATATCGTATATATGATATAGATGATATATCGTATATATGATATAGATGATATATCATACCTGATATAGACGATAAATCATACATGATATAGATGATATATATCATATATGATATAGATGATATATATCATATATGATATATCATATATTATATAATAAATGAAAAATATTATCTATAATAAAAGACATATATTACATAATAAATGATATATATTATGTAAAATATATGATATGTATTATATATTATATCTGATATATATTATATATTATATATTATATCTTTAATCTGATATATATTATATATTATATCTGATATCTGATATATTATATATTATATTATATATAATTATATTATATTATATTATATATAAAATTTATGATATATATAATATATTATATATAATTTATGATATATATTATATATTATATATAATTTATGATATATATTATATATTATATATAATTTATGATATATATTATATATTATATTTCATATATATTATGGTATATTATATATAATTATATTATATATTATATTATATATAATATACCATAATATATCATATATTATATAATATATAATATAATATAATATAATCATATATAATATATAATATATTTTATTATAAAATATATTATATTATGATATACTATATATTACATATTACATTATACAATATTTTATATAATATATAATATATATTATATATTATACTTTATTATATTACATATATAATTATACATTATTATATTTCATATATAATTATATATATTATATTATATATAATATTCTGTATAATAATATATATTATACATAATATTATATATTATGTTATATATAATATTATGTATAATATATATTATACAGAATATTATATATTATATTAAATATAATATTATATCTTATATTAAATAAAATATTATATATTATATTAAATAAAATATTATATATTATATTAAATATAATATTGTATATTATATTAAATAAAATATTATATATTATATTAAATATAATATTGTATATTATATTAAATATAATATTATATATAAGGGATGCAGGATGTAAAAGGAAATTATATATATGTTATATATTATATATATTATATTATATATAATTATATATATATATTTGGGGGTGCCCTATTTCCTATCTCATAACTTATTTTAAGAAGCACAGCATAATAATGTGTGGACTTGGGATTCAGTTTTTGAAACGAAACACTGAGCCTTCGATGACCTTCCTGTACATCTGAAAGCACACCTGTCTGCATGGCAGCAGTTGGACCTCACAGTGTGGATTGTGCCTTCACCCTGGAATGTTTATGCCCTATCACCATGGTGATGGGATTAGGGATCTGCTGCCCTTGGTCCTAAGTGCCACTATCTGTGCTGAGTTTTTCAAAGGTCAGAGCAGATTGAACCTTTGTGGTTTCATTTTCCCTGATTTTGATTTTTCTTATGGGGAACCTGTGTGGCTGCATTCAAGGTATGTTCATACTGGCCTGTCAAATGCGATCTTTTCAAATTACTAGTTAATGCTTTCAAAATATGTTATTTAAAAAATTAGCCTCTGTATTTTCCATATGCAGTTATAAATATGTTTCATGATTATGTTTTATTCCTCAATTTATATATTTGATTATTGTACCAAGCAGAGTATCTTTGAAATTTTTCTTCATTTAAAAAATATGTATCTTGACTCAGGCCTGTAATCCCAGCACTTTGGGAGGCCAAGGCAAGAGGATCACAAGGTGAGGAGATGAAGACCATCCTGGCCAATACAGTGAAACCCTGTCTCTACTACAAATACAAAAAATTAGCCAGGCATGGTGGCAGCTGTTGTAGTCCCAGTGTGAATTGGGATTCAGTTTATTCCCAAATTCCCAAATTATATATATATATATATATATATATATATATATATATATATATATATAAAATATATCTATAATATATTAAATATATTATATATATAATATATATTATATTATATATAATTTTATGTATATATATATTTGTGGGTTCCCTATTTCCCATCTCATAACTTATTTTAAGAAGCCAGCATAATAATGTGTAGGCTTGGGATTCAGTTTTTGAAACAAAACACTGAGCCTTTGATGACCTTCCTGTACTTGTAAAAGCCCACCTGTCTGCATGGCAGCAGTTGGACCTCACAGTGTGGATTGTGCCTTCACCCTGGAATGTTTATGCCCTATCACCATGGTGATGGGATTAGGGATCTCCTGCCCTTGGTCCTAAGTGCCACTATCTGTGCTGAGTTTTTCAAAGGTCAGAGCAGATTGAACCATTGTGGTTTCATTTTCCCTGATTTTGATTTTTCTTATGGGGAACCTGTGTGGCTGCATTCAAGGTATGTTCATACTGGCCTGTCAAATGCGATCTTTTCAAATTACTAGTTAATGCTTTCAAAATATGTTATTTAAAAAATTAGCCTCTGTATTTTCCATATGCAGTTATAAATATGTTTCATGATTATGTTTTATTCCTCAATTTATATATTTGATTATTGTACCAAGCAGAGTATCTTTGAAATTTTTCTTCATTTAAAAAATATGTATCTTGACTCAGGCCTGTAATCCCAGCACTTTGGGAGGCCAAGGCAAGAGGATCACAAGGTGAGGAGATCAAGACCATCCTGGCCAATACAGTGAAACCCTGTCTCTACTACAAATACAAAAATTTAGCCAGGCATGGTGGCAGCTGGTGTAGTCCCAGTGTGAATTGGGATTCAGTTTATTCCCAAATTCCCAAATTATATATATATATACATATAAAATACATATATAATATATTAAATATATTATATATATAATATATATTATATTATATATAATTATATATATATATATTTGTGGGTGCCCTATTTCCCGTCTCATAACTTATTTTAAGAAGCCAGCATAATAATGTGTGGGCTTGGGATTCAGTTTTTGAAACAAAACACTGAGCCTTTGATGACCTTCCTGTACTTGTAAAAGCCCACCTGTCTGCATGGCAGCAGTTGGACCTCACAGTGTGGATTGTGCCTTCACCCTGGAATGTTTATGCCCTATCGCCATGGTGATGGGATTAGGGATCTCCTGCCCTTGGTCCTAAGTGCCACTATCTGTGCTGAGTTTTTCAAAGGTCAGAGCAGATTGAACCATTGTGGTTTCATTTTCCCTGATTTTGATTTTTCTTATGGGGAACCTGTGTGGCTGCATTCAAGGTATGTTCATACTGGCCTGTCAAATGCGATCTTTTCAAATTACTAGTTAATGCTTTCAAAATATGTTATTTAAAAAATTAGCCTCTGTATTTTCCATATGCAGTTATAAATATGTTTCATGATTATGTTTTATTCCTCAATTTATATATTTGATTATTGTACCAAGCAGAGTATCTTTGAAATTTTTCTTCATTTAAAAAATATGTATCTTGACTCAGGCCTGTAATCCCAGCACTTTGGGAGGCCAAGGCAAGAGGATCACAAGGTGAGGAGATCAAGACCATCCTGGCCAATACAGTGAAACCCTGTCTCTACTACAAATACAAAAATTTAGCCAGGCATGGTGGCAGCTGGTGTAGTCCCAGTGTGAATTGGGATTCAGTTTATTCAGTTTATTCCCAAATTCCCAAATTATATATATATATATAATTTCCTTTTACATCCTGCATCCTTCAACGTTACATCCCCCACCCCACAGATTAAGTTATTCCCCAGGGGAGAATATGGCAAAGTCTATTTTAATGCAGTTTTTAACCCAATTAAGAACCTATGAAATCATTACTTTCCAAAACTTTGGAACAAAGCCACAGTAGTATGGATCCGTTGGAGGCTTTTCACACAATAAAATGTACCTCTCTTTGTTTTTAACATGTTTTTCCCTTCCTCTCTTCTTTTTTTGTGAAATGTGTATTTACTTTAATATATTTGTAGTAAGTCACTTCCATGCACATATTAATTTTTTAAAGTAATAAGTATGTGTATTGTCTACGTGTGAAAGAAAACACACATTTATTTTTATGCTTTGGAAGTTATCCAGAATCATGGAATTGTCAATCACAGTCAATCACCCAACCTACTCACCTTTCCAGTGTAATCTTAGTCAAATTTTTTTTTTGTTATCCAATGAGATGCAGTATTTCAACTCAGAAAGATAAATAGAGTGAATTTATAGAGACTATTAACTAAGAACATACAGTTTTATTTATACTCAGAAGCAAGTAGATTATGTACATATATATGAAGATAAAAATTAAAAGGATAATTGTGTAAATTTGCATGTAGAGGGCTTTGAAAACCTGTTTACTTGTTAATGCTGTTTTGATGTATTGTGTCTTTGTTCTCCCGACCCATCGTCCAGAGCTCTCTGCAGGAGCTAAGTGCTCATCAGTTCCATGACTTGGAAACTGTCTAAGTTTAGAGGCACTTGTATTTGTTAGTAAATAAGGCAAGATGATATTGTTTCACAGGTTTTAGTGCCGAAGACTGAATAGATAAGCTGCTCCACCCAGTACACTGGTGTTCATTTCATGGTCATCTCATCTGTTAACCATGGATATAAAACATTTATCTTCAATGATGGGGTTTTACCATGTTGGTCAGGCTGGTCTCGAACTCCTGACCTCAAATGATCCACCCACCTCCACCTTCCAAACTGCTGGGATTACAGGTGTGAGCCACTATGCCTGACTGATTATTTTCATAACCAAGAAAAGAAATAAATACAATTAATGCTGGTGCATGGTATTAAATCTAGTTTTTAAAAAATTCACACATAAACAAGGCAGAACCCTATACCCTCCATGATAAATGCAGTAGCAGTGTATGTGGGTCTGTGGAGGTTGAAAGGGACTTGGTAGATGTCAAGAAGCTAGTGGCAGTCCTGCTGGGCTTTTAAAGGGTCTGAAGAAGTGACAGGATGCTGTGGTTGAATCCTAGCATGTATTTTAGCATTTGTTCATTTGGAGTTGATTATTTCACGTTGCTTTCATTTGCCATTACCTGGAAAGCCAAGGGCTCTACTCTCATTTCCTTGCTGCTCTTTCTTTGCCTTCCTTGGTCCGTGAAGAAGATGGTCCAGGAGAAGCTCATTCCATGCTTGTTAACCAGGCACGCCCCTAAGTTCCAGTCCCTGAGTCATTCATGAGTAGCACTGCCAATGAACTGACAGCCATGCTGTGTCCCTCCACATCCCCTAGGTGACTCGAAGAAGCCTTCCAAAAAGCATGTGAAAAGGAAGCCCTACTCTACTACCAAGGTAAAGTAGCCTGTCTTTGCCTAAGATGTAAATGTTGTTTTCTTGGATCCTTTATTTTTCAGTTGATATCAGCTATGGGAAAATTCTCCACTACATTATAGGTGTTAGATAATATTTCCTTGGGGATGGAGGAGGTGTATTTTACCAACTGACACCTGATTCCAGAGGACGTGCAAAATTGGCAGTGTCAGATAGTACACTGGGTGTTAAGGGATGTTTTCTTCAGGAACAAGCTTTCCACTTTAGATAAGAATTCTGCAATTGCTACTCAAAAATTACCTAGACAGAAACATTCTTCAAGAAAAGCTCCTGTGCTTTCCTAAGGGAACTCTACTCTAGAGTTGGGGCTTTTGACTTGAACCTTATTTCCAGTCTTGGTTACCCAGAGTTTCCAAGTGAACAAAAGACCTGTGTGAGCCATCCATAGCATAGCCTGATTCTCAGAGTGTTTTCCTTCTCTAATTACAGGTGACTTCAGGGAGCACATTCAATGGTACGTATTCTGGAATCACTCACTGGTTGTTAGAAAAGGATTCTACAGGAAATCTGGAGCTTAACTGCTGGCTTTTGTCTGGAGAGCCTCCATGATCCAAGACATCTGGTGGGAATGAGGATGTAGGGTATAGTAAAAGAAACTGGTTTTCCTGGTGACATACTCTTTTTATCTATGTATAGTTTCTGGGAACATGTTCACATTAGGTTGTGTGTGGGTATGTGTGTATTAGGGCGGGGGTGGGGTGAGGTGGTCTGTGTGCAAGTCTGCATGATTTGCTTGTGAATGTGTGTCTATGTGTGTTTCCCCTAGGAAAAAAATGTTGTGTTTACCCAGCACAACTCTCAGTGCCATTTTTCTTAATTTAACAAATCAGACCACATACTTTACTTACATTAGTTCACACCTCATCATCATCATGCCCATATGTTGTGAGCTTGTTTATTGAGCCCACATGCCAGATGGAGAAACTCAGCCACATAAATAAATGTGCCCTGGTTCACTTGCTGCATAGTGAAGAGTCAAAATGTTTACTCATACGGTGCTAATGTTGAAGGCCTGAACTACAACCTCTATTTATCAGCCAGTGAAGAGATCACTATTCCCCATGCAAGGGAGTTCCAGCACCCTCTATGCCTGGAATTACCCACACCTGCAGAGATCCCAAACGCCATCCCTCACATAAGACAGCCTCATGATCTCATAATCCAGGTAGCTATGTAGACATCTTCCTGCAGGTGTCACATAGTCCTTAGTGTGAAACCAACATAGAAAGCCCATGTTTCTGATCAAATCACAGGTTCTGAAACACTAAGGGAGGCACTAAGTAGGACAACGTGGTGCCTGCGTGTCATAGCTGGGTCTCCTCAAGACATGGATCAAGTCCAGTAAGAATTGGGGAGATGCTTTAGAGTCTTGATGGAGTTATCACCACAAGCCCTCTGAGCTACACACTTTAGGGATCATGACCATTAAGTACTCAAATTACCATTTGGTTGCTATCCGGGTATCCGTCGTCCTTGTGGCAACCCTCTTGTGAAGCTGGTGTGGACAGCCTCAGTGCTGGAGCTGTGCCTGCCTTCTGAGTGGACCCTTTCTGTGTTAGCAGGTGGGTACAAGCGTGGGGGTCAGCACACTCAGTGGATTTACACACACAGCGTTGAAGAGTAAGGCTGGGCTTCATTATTTATACATTTTCAATAAATGATGATCTTCATAACATAAAATCAATGATGTAGTACACTAGAATACTGTCCCTAGTATTGAATCTTGTCTCTCAGCAAAGGGTTGCTTAAAGTCACGTGACAGATTCCATTCAACTGATGACACATGCTGTAGCAGCAGTTAAAGCAGTCATTTGAAAAGGCTTTTACTATAAACTTACGTGTGAGCCTGAAGTGGGGGATAAAAGAGGCGATTAGCTCCCCTGTGCCATGTTTCTATTATGTGCGTGGTGGAGGAAAATTACACAGGAAGGTGATGGAGAGAACAGAGCAAAGGATTGGACAGGTCCATTGAACCCATAAGACTATGGTGAGGTTAGTGAATGAGATTGGTCATTTTAGGTCAAATTTTACCCAGAGCTGGTGCAGCCACTGCCCATTCTTAGCCAGACCTTATTGCAGGCAGCTCTGATCAATAGTCAAGGAGGCAGTGGGGCTTGCAGACTTAATTCATTAAATCACCAAAGCACCAGCCCAAACGGCCACTTTTCCAGTTAATTGACAGTAGCTTGCATATTCAGGTTTGATCAGTGGAAGGGAAGTTACTCTTTGCAGACCCATCTTTTGACAATCATTTTGTGGTGTCGGAAGGTCTGAGCAGCCTCGGGAGGCAAGCAGTCCCTGGTCCCTCAGTGTAGTCACTGGAGGAGACAGTCACTGAGAGGCAGCTGGCAGGGTGAAGGGAAAGGGGAGGCAGGCCACAGAGATGACAGCCTTTAAGCTGTCATACTGGGAGGTCAAGGATCTGAAAGAGGAAGGAGAATTCTTTATCATTAAGGACCTGTCCTTATCTCAGGCATTTCCTCCAGAGCATCACCTTTGTCCACCCACACACCTTGGGCTAGGAGGACTGGAGAAAGACAGTGAGGGGTCTCTTGGGTCTCTGGCACAGGGCGTGATGAAGAGGTGGCAGTTTTTCAGGAATCTCTCTCTCTAGGGAACCAAATACATTTCCCATCTCAGGTCCTTCACTCAGCGGGGTTGAGGTTCTGCTCGTCACTTATCATCTCTGAATGTCAGCACCCTCAAGTGTAAAATCTCAGCCACAGCCCCTCCTCTGCACCCCCTGCAGGGCTGATGTTCTCCATAAACCATAAGGCGTCATGCCCACGGAAAAGCCGAACAGGAAAGCATGCTCCACTGCCCCGGAGTCATGCAAGTTCCCCCTCCATATTCCGCCACTGCTAAGTGTCCAGCTTATTCCTCCTGGCATGTAGTAAACACTTAGAGAACATTACTGAAGTACCAGTCCTCTCTAAGGTTTTCCTGTATTTAGTGATTTTTTAGCCCTGCACTGTGATACTAAGAAGTAGGGCTTAAATAGGGCCTAAAAAGTATTGCTAAAATTACATTATGACAGTGCAGAGAACTGAGGGCAGAGGGAGGACATGAGCTTGCCAGGTCCACATGGCTTAGTGGAATTTGAATCCGGGCCCCCACTCTGCACCAGCCCTGCACTCACAGTCATCCGGCTGTGTTCTCCTCTCCAGGAAGGCACTGCCCACGCAGTCTGTCTGATAGAGGTGTTGAGTGCTCACTGAACTCCGTGATCTTCCTGAAACCCAACTTTGATTCAGTGGGCTCTGCTTGGAAGCCTGTAAAGAAAAGGATCATAAGTTTAAACTTAGAACAGATTATCACTATTTTCCCTCTGGTCTTCTGTCAGCAAGATGTCAACAGCCCTATCTATTGTCAATGCATTAACCAGCATCTTCTCTGATAGAGAATACAAGAAGATATGCTGTGCACACCAACCAGTGTAGGAGACCTCATGGCTCCCGGGTAAAGAAGAAGAGGTACCCACAAGAAGGTACTGTGGAAGTTCATTAATTAAGTTGATTCAAGAATTGCAGTTGCGGGGAGTATTCAGTGTCCCATATGTAAGAGGAAACTATGAAGAGACTAAGCCATATTTTTTAATGTGTCAGGATTCTAATTTGCCTGGTCAGTAAATATTGCTACCACCACAAAAGTAAATATCTACTTAAAAGTCAATTTTGGTTCATGTTTAATGATAGACAATGTTTCAAGCTAATGTCTAGAACTTACCTGGTTGTTAAACATAAGCATAGATCTCCCTGAAAGAGTGGTGCTATATTATTATTTTTCAATTAATATATTTCTTTAGAGAGTTTTAAATTGACATAAAAACTGAGCATATGGCCGGGCGTGGTGGCTCACACTTATAATCCCAGCACTTTAGGAGGCCAAGGCAGGCGGATCATCTGAGGTCAGGAGTTGGAGACCAGCCTGGCCAACATGGTGAAACCCCATCTCTACTAAAAATCCAAAAAAATTAGCCGGGTGTGGTGGCAGGCGCCTGTAATCCCAGCTACTCAGGAGGCTGAGGCAGGAGAATCGCTTGAACCCAGGAGGCAGAGGTTGCAGTGAGCCAAGATCATGCCATTGCACTCCAGCCTGGGTGACAAGAGTGAAACTCCATCTCAAAATAAATAAATAAATAAATAAATAAAAATTGAGTATATAATACACGAAGTTCCCATATTATTCTGTCTCCTCACCCTCACTTCCTAATTTCACCTATTAGTAACATCTTACATTACTGTGGTACATTTGCTAGAATAATGAGAAAATATTGACACATTATTATCTGAAGTCTACATTTGCATAATGTTCATTCTTTCTGTTATACATATATATGAATTTTGAAATATTTAAAACATTATGTTCACCCTTATGGTCTCATAAAGAAAATGTTCACTTCCCTAAAAATCCTCTCTTCTCATTAATCTCTGTCCTCTTTCTCCAGAAACCTTGGCAACTATTAATATTTTTACTATCGCTTCAGCTTTGCCTTTTCCAGAATGTCATATAGTTGGAATCATATATTATGTAGTTTTTTCAGATGAATTTATTGCACTAAATTGATGTACGCTTTAGCTGCTTTCATGTCTTTTTTATGCCTTAATGGCAAAAAATGGCACATTAAATCACCAAATAATATTGCATTCAATGAATTTTTGTCTTTTTATTCACCTGTTGAAGAATTCGGTAGATTTCATGAGAGAAACCATCTGGGCCTGGTGCTTTCTTTTTCGGAATGCTCTTAATGTGAATTCAACTTATTTAATAGACATAAGTTTATTCAAATTAGGATCCTAGCATGACCTTGGGAAGATTGCCTTTCAAGGAATTGATACATTTCACTGAGGTTATCAAACTGCGGTCATAGAACTGTTCATGATATTCCTTTTAATGCCTAACAGTTCAGTAGAGATGGCTCCTCTTTTATTTCTGAAATTGGTCATTTGTGTTATCTTCTTTTTCTTGGTTAGCCTGCATATCAATTCATTCATTGTAATGAGCATATCAAAGAACCAGCTTTTGGTTTTATTGATTTTCTGATGATTTCAGTGTTTTAATTTTATTGATTTCTGTGATGTTGTTTATTACTTTTACTTGCTTTCCATTGCATTCCTCTATTTTCTATAGTTCCCTAATTGAAACATGATATTACTGATTTTAGGTCTTGTGATTTTTAGTATATTGCATCCAATGCTATAGATTTCCCTCTAAGGACTGCTTTTGCTACATCCAGAAATCTTGCCAAGTCACATTTTCTTTTAATGTAGTTAAAAGTATTTTTAATTTTCTATTGAGACTTCTTCTTTAACCCATGAGTTATTTAAAAGTGCATTGCTAATTTGCAAATATTTGGGGATTTTGTGGCTCTTTTACAGTTGTTGAATTTTTGTTGTCAGGTATGTGTTGCAAAAGCAGTCGTCTACCTCATCTTGCCACCACCCAAGATGGCCCAGGATGTGGGCTCTCCCTGAGTGAATCTTTGGCAATCTGCCAACCTGATGTGTTCGGCCTCCTTCTTTAGTCTGAGCTTGCCTTCTGCTTAGAAAGGGCCATTCTCAGTTCTGGCAGGGAGTTTTCCCAACATTGAGAAGGTGGCATTCTTACTCCCCACTGCAGCCTGCACCTCTGACCGGTGGTCAGCAGACAGGACAGAGGTCCTCATCAGACAGAGTTCAGCAGGGTCTCTGACCAAAGTGCATCTTCAGAGTCTGCACCTACCCACTGTGACCACGGGCAGGCTCTGAGTCCTAAAGCAGGAGGAACTGTGCGACCATCCTGATTGGAAATTTGTGAGGATCACCGTGTTACTCAAGTAAGGTCTTTGGAAAGTGTCGTATTACTACTGTTTGTGAACTGCTTGTTGGTGGCCTGGCTGAGCCACACACTTTATGAAAACCAGGACCCCTCAGCTGGTGTGGGTGTCTATGCAGCCTGAGACCCTCATGTGAACAGCCTCGTGGCAGCTGTCTTTGCCCCTTGCCACCATCAGTGCCTCCTTGTTCCTGGGCACTGCTTTCTCTGATGGTGCTCCATTGTTTTCCTGCACCTCAGTGTCTACAGCTGGATGTCTCTTCCGCAATCTAGGCGAGGGGGCATCAACGGCAGTTCTGCTGTGGCACTGCCCTCCTTCTTAGCTTGTCTTGCTCTGTCTTAGGCTCCCTCAAAGATCCCACCCTTCAGGTTCTTCCACAAGTTTCTTATTGAAATCCGAGCAGAAAACTATGACCAATATGACCAATCCTATACCCACTGAAGACATGAATGAAGAATTAAAACAATTCTCCATGGACTCTACCATATAGATCCCTAGAAGTAATTTCTAAAAAAAAAAAAAAAAAAATCAAGGAAGATGTAATAGTTTTCCATAAATTAGAATACCCTACATGTACAATTAAATGAAATGGCTAGTATAGTCTTGAAACCAAAACCAGATAAGGTAAATTAAATTCTGTGATATTTTAAAATACTGTAAATTCTGACTAATGTGAGTTAATCTCAATATATGAAATAGTAGATTAACATTGAAAATGCAATAAATAAAATTAGCTACCTCAAGAGTTTAATGGAAAAAAATGTGATTATTGCAATAGATTCAGGAAATTCATGAATAACATTCACCCTATATTTGTAGGACAGCTATCTAACTTTAAGTGACCTGTGACAACCATTTGAATTAATGCTGCTTTCACAGCATATCTCTTGGCTTGTTAAAAACCCGACAAGAATTTCCGTAACATTAATTTATTTTTAACACCTATATTGGGTGTGAACCCACCATAAAGTTTGCCCACTGAAAAGGTCTACAATTTGATGCTTTATTAAATTGATACTGTGTGCACCCATCACCACGATCTAATTTAAATATGTTTCCCTCACCCAAATTCTCTCTTGCGCACTGGCAGTTAATCCCCACTCCCATCTCCAGCCCTAAGCAATACTGCTGTGACATTCCATCTCCATAAATTTCCCATTTGCTTAATAGAAATGGACATATATATATATTTGGAATCTGACTTCCTTCATTTAGCATACTATGTTTGAAGTTAATTGACGTGTTAGCACGTGCTGGTCATGTGTTTTCCTTCATAGTCTGCTGTGTTTACTCATACAGATAGTGTTTATTCATTTATCAGTTAATGGACATTTAATTGTTTTGTTATTTTCTTTGATGAGTAATGTAGCTTTGAGCATTCATATACAGTCATGTAATGCATAATGACATTTTGGTCAAAAAAATTTTTTTTTTTCTGAGACCCAGGCTGGAGTGCAGTGGCACAATCTCGGCTCACTGGAACCTCCACCTCCCAGGTTTAAGCAATTCTCATGCCTCAACCTCCCGAGTAGCTGGGACAACTGGCACACGCCACCATGCCTGGATAATTTTTGTATTTTCAGTAGAGACAGGATTTTGCTGTGTTGGTCAGGCTAGTCTCAAACTCCCAGCCTCAGGTGATCCACCTATCTCTGCCTCCCAAAGTGCTGGGATTATAGGCATGAGCCACCACACCCAGCCTAATTTTTTTAAGAAACAAGGGAACTATTTTCTAAATTACTTTTGCCAATTTATATTTCTACCATGATGCATAGCACTAATTTCACCGTACAATGTATGGTAGGCCCCAATATGTAAGAAATGATGAAAATAACACATAAAGATTGGTATAAAACAAATAAGATTATCATTGTTGCTATCATCTTTGTCAAATTCTGAAAACAATCTGAGTATATTTTTATATAAATATGCTTGGCAACATAGCTGAAAAACGCATTATCAGTTACATTTATCAGTAACAAAGACATAAATTTGAAGGGGGAACAACACTTGTACTAACAACGCAATGTCAGAATTAACATAAAAATTCTGCTGGTCACTTTGGAATATTTAATTGCCTGGGGCAGTGTTTAGTAGACAAATGAGCATCTATGGAGCACTCAAAGTAGGGGAATCAACAGAACTTGGGTTTGAAAAGTTATCTGGGTTTAGAGCGTGAAACTTTGTTAGAGGACACGCACCTTGCATGAGCGAGGTGCCCTGGTGTGTGTGGACGTACCATTATGCTTGGAGGTACAGCATAATGGTGGCTTCCTCCAGAAAGGGACATTTGGGGTGGATTCATTCCATCTAGACAACACAGCCTGATGTGGCATGGACATGAATGGAGGTGAAATGGTCAGTAGTTGAGAGGATCAGTCCTGACAAGGGCCGAGGTGAAAAACCTGGGAACCCCTTCAGGTACAAAGTCTTCAGTTGAAAAAGGAGGTGGTCACAGGAAATACTGAGACAGGACAGCAAAGCATGGGAGACAGAGTTCTTGGCCCTGCAGGGTGAGTAGTGTGGATTCTCAAGTTTTCTCCTCTCTCCATTAATTTCTTTCCCAATGCAGATGACTTCCATCATACAGTCTTCAGCAACCTTGAAAGATTGGACAAGCTTCAGCCCACTCTTGAAGGTAAAGGAAGGCAGCTAACAAGACTGGCATCTGGGCTTGGCTGTGCGTGTTTTCTATCGTGGGGAAATATATATAACACAATATTTATCATTTGAACCTTTTAACCAAAGTGTGCACTCCATGGCATTCAATATATTCACAGGGTTGCATAACCAACACCACTATCTACACCCACAATTTTGATGATTTCTTACGAAACCTTGTCCACAATAAGCAATATAGCACCTTCCCCCTATTTCCAGCCCATGGTGATTCCTATCCCACTTTCTCTTGTATGAATTTGACTATTCTAGGCACTTCATGTAATTACAATTATACAATATATTCCTTTTGTGTCTGGCTTATTTCACTAAGCATAATGTTCTCAATGTCCACCCATGTTGTATCATCTTTCAAAATGATGTTCGTTTTTTACAGATGGATGATGTAGCATTGCATGCAGACCACCTTGCTTTTATTACATTCATTTGTTCACTGATGGTTGGATTATTTCCACCTTTTGGCTCCTGTGAAAAGTGATGCTACAAACATTAGTATACAAACATCTGTTTGATTTCCGTTCTCTATTCTTTGGGGTGCCTAAGAGTAGAGTTCCTGGGTCCAACAGGGGTTCTATATTTAACCTTCTGAGCCACTGCAGACTGTTTTTCACAGTGGCTGCAACTTTATCCATTTCTACCATCAATGTATCAGGGTTACAATTTCTTTACGTCCTTCTTCACACTTATTTTCCTTTAAATCATCCTAGTAGGTGTATATTGGTGGCTGCTTGTGTTTTTCATTTGCATTTCCCTAATGACTAATGATCCTGAGCAGCTTTTCCTGTGCTACTATCTGTGGCTGTATCTTCTTTAGGGAAATATATGTTGAAGTCTTTTGCCCATTTTTAAAGAGTTGTCTGATTTTTATTTAGTTAGTTTGTTGTTGTAGATTTTTGAATATATCTTAAATATATTTAAAATATATTCTAAATTTTAGTCTCTTACAAGAGAAATGATTTGCAAATATTTCCACCTTTGTGTAGAACTTTAGATTCACAAACTTCGTTAATTTGTATGAAATCCTCAGCAGTTGACCCCAAACAGATAAGACTGAAGCAGTATTTTAGGAATAGTTGAAAGTATGATCACCACAAAACATAAGCGTAATCAAATCCTGCAAGCTACATGTAAGGCACAATGACAAATAAGGCAGCAAAGGGCCATCTGGTGATTAGTTCACCACACTTGTTGCAACTGTTTGCGCTGCAGAGTTAAAACACACCAGCATTCAACCCGTGTCTCCTCTCTTGAAGTAAACTGTCGTATGTTGGCTGGCCTGAACAAGCGTAGATATTCTCCATCCTCAATTAATATGCATGCATGACAAAGAAAAGGAGGCCTGGATGAAAAAATATTGTGTGATTAATAATTATGCTTTAATTAATTTTAAAGGATATAATTTCAGTACTTCTAATTCTCCCATCAGCAGTTATAACAAAGGATTAGTGAATAAATACCATAGACTGTTTTGCCTAGAATTGAATCCAATCTATCTATTAAACTTTGCTTGTATTCAAGTGCAAAATGCTAAAACACATAACTGCAGTGACAGCCACTGTGGATCCTCAGAGGTAAAAGTAGTCTTGGGACATAAATCCTGCAAGCTAATATTGTTTTTACAGGTTTAGAAAACCATTTAGCTGGGTTTCAAACCTCACAGTGTGAGCAGTGGGACTCTCATCAAACTATAGCATGTGCTTCAGTACCATTTGTAGACTGACTCATTCCCATTTTCTTCAGTTGCCATCAGCAAAATGCCAGGGACTCTATTTCTTGCTCCTTAGCTCCTCGTTCTTGCCTGTCTTTCCACGAGGGAAGATTTTCTAGCAGGAGCTCAAGCTGTGCTTTTAATGAAACACATCCACACACACTGTCCTGTTGTCCACATTAAGCAGAGCTCCCTGAATAACTCATGAACAAAAGCATCTATGACTAACTGTTGCTCTGTGTCCTCCTAGCCTCTGAGGAGTCTCTAGTTCACAAGGACAGAGGAGATGGAGAGAGGCCAGTCAACGCGAGGGTAAGGTTGCCTTGCTTTCTCTGAAATAGAAATGTTCCTTTCTTGGTGTCTTTCTTTTTCAACTGACTTTACATGTGAAAAAATGACAATGTCCATGACAGGTATTAAATGCAGTTTTCTGAGGGGGAGGAAGAAGTGACTCTTAGCAACTGATATGTAATCCAAAATGGCATTTAGCTATGACGGCTTCAGGTTGTGGACTGTATCCTTGGGGTCCTTGTCCTTGGAAGCAATGTCTTCTCCTTGGATTCAGGATTTTGCACTTGCCAACCTACGTGGACCTGAGAGATCCACCATCCAGAAGCTGATGTCTTTTCCAGTGTGTATCCTACCCTTGTTTTGGAGGCCTTGAAGTTGACTACACTTTCTGATCAAGTTTTCAGTATTCATTGAGAGAAACAGAGCCTTGTGCAAACAATCCACAACATGAGATACCCCTGAAAAAGCTTTGTTTCTGTATTGCAGGTGGTGCAGGTGGCCCCTCTGAGGCTTGAATCTAGTAAGTATTCTGGAATCACTTGCCAAGAAAACAATCTGGATGCCAAGAAAGGTGTGGCATCCTTGCCTGGTTTCAATGTGAAGAGCCTCCCTGATCCTGGGATTGTGATAGGAATAAGTATAGGGGAAGTGTTTTTTTAAAACCTGAATTCCCCAGGGAAAAATTATGGCCAAATTTTGAGGAAGCAGCTGTGCTCCCTTTTGGGTGGTGCTGAGTTGGGTGCTTGAGGATTGGTGGTGTCTTGTGTGAGGCTGCATCGTGTGGTGTGAATGTGTGTGTTTCTGTACAGGTGAGGCTGTGTGTTTTCTCAGGAGAGATTTCCCACTTATACAACCCAATCACCAGTGTCCACTTCTAACAATAAAATCCACCCCCGCTCTACTCTCTCTGTACAGTGACTCCTCCACCCTCACCAGAGCCATCCCCGGGTCTGCCTTATTATCCCCACTGCTCAGGTGGAGAACCTGAAGGGCCAAGGGAGTGGCCCCAGCTCCCGAGTTCCTGAATGAAACAGTGAAAACACGAACCCAGGAGTGTGGACCAGTGCTGACGCTGACATGCACTTAGTCATGGGGTGTTCACCACCACACACGGAGTCCAGCATTCATGTATAAGCCCTAAAGCAACGAGCCCAAAAGGCCCCAGACACTGCCCATCATCATAAAGTGGCCTCCGTGGTCACACAACCCAGGGCAGTTATAGCCTCATCTCCCCACGGACCGACATAGTCATCAGTGTGTCAAAAGCACAAAGATCCCCAGGTGTTTGGCTCAGCTCACAGATCCCTTTTTTTATTTAACTTTTCAGTTCAGGGGTACATGTGCAGGATGTGCAGGTTTGCTACATATATAAATGTGTGTTATGAGAGTTTTTTGTACAGATTATTGCATCACCCATATATTGAGCCTAATATCAGTTATTTTTCCTGATCCACCCCCTCCTCCCACCTCCCACCCTCCAGTAGGCCCCACGCTCACAAATTCTAAGAGGAGTGGGGGACCACAAAGGCCAGTGTGGCCCACTTCAGTTGTGAAGTTAATTTGCTCAGCAACTGGCCAAAGTCTATAAGGATGGGTGATGTATTTTAGTAGATTTAGTAATACTATCTTCCCAAGCCCTAAAATGCTCAAATCCTGCCAGCCAAAAATGGTGAGGAGGGACAGATAGGAACTCTGTGTGGCACTTGGTTATTAGCCTGGCTTCCATCCCTTAGTGGCAACTCTCTTGTATATGTGGGTTAAAGACCCTCAGCCTCAAGCCAAGCCTCCTCCATGAGGAGCCATCTCACTATTGACCGGCTAGTGCCGGGTATGGCCACCAGCCCAACTGAAACAAAATGTTGCTTTAAAACAAGTGTAAATCTCATACATACAACAGGCAAATGCAGAAGCAGTGTGGTCTCGCAAGTTGTAAAGAGGACAGTCGCAATTTTGCTGGACTTCAACCTGGGTAGAAGACATGAGGGAACCTGTCACTAAATCACGGCAGAGTTCAAGGCCACTTGTAGACTATTTCATGTTACAGAAGGTGGCCTTTAGCTACTAAGCAAAGGCCTCTGTTTCTCATTTCTTTCCTGTTCATCTTCTTGGTCATCCTTCTTCCGCAAGGGAAACGAGCCCAAGCAAAAGGCAGTTTCAATATTAATTTGACCGAGGTTTTGTGCAGTTTATTATCATCCAGGTAATCAGGTGCAACCCAGTCTGCCTAGCCGCCCCCCTATCTCTGCTCTGTGTTTTCATTTAATAAACATTTTGGTCTACTTACTATGTGCTAGATTTTCTCGAGACCAAGTAAATGAGATAGAATCTTTATGCTGGCAGCTAAGTTAGATTTCACATAACTGACAAAAATTAAAATTTCTGATTTCTTGTAAAAATATTTTGTATGTGTGAATGCATACTGAATGTAAAGTGGATAAAAAACTCACACTTGCACTCATGGAAGGCTTTTCATGAATTTGTCAATTTTTATTTTTTATATTTCCCCACTTCACCAGATAATGCATACCTGAACCTGGAAACTGATTCCCACTGCAGAAAGTGTTCTGAGCCACATCCCTTAGCTTCACTAGTGCAGGTCCACCTGGGAGGATGTCCCAGCATCAGCTTGACCCATGCTGTGATCAGCCACCTCCATGCATCACACCAAGCAAGCCCCTGGGTGATTCACAGTCTCCACCACCAGGGCACTGACCTTAACTCTGTGTTTTTCTAGCTCCCCATGAGGACACCGTACACGACATCACTAACGAGGACGCCACACACGACATCGCTAACGAGGATACTGTACACGACATCGCTAACGAGGCCGCCGACAAGGGCATCGCCAACGAGGATGCCGCCCACGGCATCGCCAACGAGTACGCCGCCCACGGCATCGCCAGCGAGGACGCCGCCCACGGCATCGCCAGCGAGGACGCCGCCCAGGGCATCGCCAGCGAGGACGCCGCCCAGGGCATCGCCAACGAGGACACCATCCAGGGCATCGCCAAGGAGTACGCCGTCCACGGCATCGCCAACGAGGACGCCGCCCAGGGCATCGCCAACGAGGACGCCGCCCAGGGCATCGCCAACGAGGACGCCGCCCAGGGCATCGCCAAGGAGGACGCCGCCCAGGGCATCGCCAACGAGGGCGCCGCCCAGGGCATCGCCAAAGAGGACGCCGCCCAGGGCATCGCTAACGAGGCCGCCGACAAGGGCATCGCCAACGAGGATGCCGCCCACGGCATCGCCAACGAGGACGCCGCCCACGGCATCGCCAGCGAGGACGCCGCCCACGGCATCGCCAGCGAGGACGCCGCCCACGGCATCGCCAGCGAGGACGCCGCCCAGGGCATCGCCAACGAGGACGCCATCCAGGGCATCGCCAAGGAGTACGCCGTCCACGGCATCGCCAACGAGGACGCCGCCCAGGGCATCGCCAACGAGGACGCCGCCCAGGGCATCGCCAACGAGGACGCCGCCCAGGGCATCGCCAAGGAGGACGCCGCCCAGGGCATCGCCAAGGAGGACGCCGCCCAGGGCATCGCCAACGAGGGCGCCGCCCAGGGCATCGCCAAAGAGGACGCCGCCCACGGCATCGCCAACGAGGACGCCGCCCAGGGCATCGCCAACGAGGACGCCGCCCACGGAATCGCCAGTGAGGACGCCGCCCACGGCATCGCCAGCGAGGACGCCGTCCAGGGCATCGACAAGGAGGATGCCGCCCAGGGCATCGCCAACGAGGACGCCGCCCAGGGCATCGCCAACGAGGACGCCGCCCAGGGCATCGCCAAAGAGGACGCCGCCCACGGCATCGCCAACGAGCTGTATACGACATCGCTAACGAGGACACCCTACAAGCCGTCGCTAACAAGTACACTGTACACAACATCGCTAATGAGGGCACTGTACAAGACATCACCAATGAGGGCGCTTTATACGACATTGCTAATGGCACCGACAAGGCACGCTAACGTGGACGCTGTACACGACATTGCTAATGAGGACAGCGTATAAGACATCGCTAGTAACTATCGCAAGAACAAAAAACCAAACACCGCATATTCTCACTCATAGATGGGAATTGAACAATGAGATCACATGGACACAGGAAGGGGAATATCACACTCTGGGGACTGTTGTGGGGTTGGGGGGGGAGGGATAGCATCGGGAGATATACCTAATGCTAGATGATGAGTTAGTGGGTGCAGCGCACCAGCACGGCACATGTATACATATGTAACTAACCTGCACAATGTGCACATGTACCCTAAAACTTAAAGTATATATATAAAAAAAAAGACATCGCTAGTGAGCACGCTGTATACGACATCGCTAATGAGGACACCATACAAGGCATCGCTAACGATGACGCTGTACACAACATCACTAATGATGACACCGTATAAGACATCGCTAATTATGACGCTGTATACGACATCGCTAATGACACCGTACAAGGCACGCTAACGAGGATGCTGTACACGACATCACTAATGAGGACAGTGTACAAGCCATCACTAATGAGGACACTGTATATGGCATCGCTAACGAGGACACTGTACAAGCCATTGCTAACGAGGACGCTGTACACAACATCGCTAATGAGGACACCATATAAGACATCACCAATGAGGATGCTGTATATGACATCGCTAATGGCACCCACAAGGCATGCTAACGAGGACGCTGTAGACGACATTGCTTATAAGGACACCGTACAAGACATCGCTAACGAGGACGCTGTATACGACATCGCTAATGAGGACGTTGTATATGACATCGCTAATGAGGATGCTTTACAAGACATAGCTAATGAGGTTGCTGTATATGACATCGCTAATGAGGACATTGTATATGACATCGCTAATGAGGACGCTCTATACGACATCACTAATGAGGACGCTGTATACAACATCGCTAATGAGGACGCTGTATATGGCATCGCTAATGAGGATGCTGTATACGAATTCGCTAATAAGGACGCTGTATATGACATTGCTAATGAGGACACTGTACAAGACATCTGTAAAAAAGAAGATGCTGCCAATGTAAGACACTTTTCTTTGTCTTGAACAGAAATGTTACTTTCCTGGCTTCTTTCCAATCAGATGTAGACATGAACATCTGCCAGTGTGCATTATCGATGTCATCTGCAGTTTAATCAAATGTAGACATGAACATCTGCCAATGTGGACTATTTATGACATCTGCAATTCCCTTGGTGTGGTGCTATTGATTGGCAGCCTCTCACCAACCCATGCCAGGCACACTGGGGTGTGGTAGATGGCAGCATCCACGATCCACTGCAATGCAGAGGTGTTTCCCTCCACAGCAGTTTTCCCCCATGGATTAAGAGTTGTGAAACTGCCAATCTAGATACACTTTAAAGATAAATTCTGTGGGAAAAGGTCTTGTCTTTTCCACAGGTGTCTTCCGTGCCAGTTTTGGGGGACTTCGACCTTTGACTCAATCACTATACCCCTTCCTATTTTCTCTCTCAAGTTGTCGAGAGACTATCAGATCTGTGTGACGTGTATGGCATCATTTCACCCTCCTAATGTTTTCTTTTCTATAATTGCAGGAGCCATTGACACTGGAGAATGATACGTACCCTGAAATAACTCACTTCCTGAGGAAAAAGCGCCATCTCTAGGGTACAGAAACCTGATTCTGGGCTCCTTTTGGGAAGGAGGATTTGGGGTCTGGTGAGAGCAAATGATTTTGCAAGTATAAAACCATGTCCAGAGAGGCTGTAGGGATATCTGTGAGCCCAGAGGAAACACCAGGGGATCCTGTGCGAAGCACCATGGCTTCAGCTAGGGTGGGAGGAGTGGGTGGGCCTCTCTCTAATGACTTATCCTGGTGTTTGTGTTTCTAAAGATTTGATTGTGGAGAGCATATCTGATGATGGGGATTTGTAGGTAGGTAACTGCTTTCCACGTAAGATCCAATTGGAGAGAGTTCCCAGGGGCCTTCGGGGTATCCATGCTGCTTGGGAGGTTAAGGGAGGGGGCATGAAATCAAAACGAAACAGGAAATATGTGTCATATCGGATTTGGTCTTTTCCGGGTTTATTGGCATAATAGTTAGAACTGTCTCTCTGGGCTATGAGGGTGCTGTGTTATTTAAAGGTGGTCTTTCCCAGAACACCTGGCCTTTTCTTTTCTGCCTCTGCCAAACATCACAGCCTTTGGGTTGGATTAGTCAGCACCCCTTGGGATTGTGCAGAAGAGGTTTGGGGTTGCATTGAGTGTCACCTGTGGTGAACAGAATCTGAGGGACACAACTCTCTCACAGGCACTTCCTCCAACCTGGAGACAGAGTTCTCCTGGTGTGTGCCCAGGGGTGGAGGAGAAATTGACAGTCTGCCTCTGAACTTTCAGGACTTTAAAAAGCACTCATGTTTCCATCCTCACTGTTGACTCCTGGCTTAAAGGGATCTCCCGGGGTGAGTGAGGAGGCGGGATCGGACCCTGGCAGTCTGACGGCAGCACCTGTGTTCCTCTGCACTGGGCCGTGGATGACATTACATACCTTGGTGAGAATCAGGAATTGAGGCTAACCACATCTGAAATTGAGATGGGCCTTGAGTCATATAAATAGTTTGGAAAAGATGCATTTTACTACGCTATTGAAAGAAACCATTTATTTCTCACTCCAGCAGGATAAATGGTTTTCAGTATCCATTTAACTGCTCATTGACTCTTACTGTAGATGAGGAGGTGGCCAGCAGCCCCTGCCCTCCCCCAGTTGGTAGGCCCAAGGTAACCAGCAATTGACTGGATATAATGGAAGAGTGGTGCATTCGGGGGTATCTGTATTAATGGGACCCACATGATATGGATGAGAGCTATTAGGGTGAGAAAAAGCCTGGGAGCACAATGAAATATTTAAATATTAAACAAAACATTGTTGAAATCTCCATTGTACTTTAGTAGTTGAAGTCATTCTTGTGGTCATCACTGCCTTTCCCAAGCATAACAAGCTACTTAATATCACATGGACCCGTGCCATGAGGAATGATGATCAGTTTGTAAAATGCCAATAAAACAATTGCCTATATAAGCCACAATGTTTCATCCATATATTTCAATTTCCATGTGTAAGTATAGTTCAAATTTCAGAAATTTATTATTATCTAATAGAATATGCATGGTATATCAATGAGCAATTATCATACTGTTTCTATTAACAATTATTTGTATGATGAAAAAAGCAGACTCCCATTCTTGGATTTTTCTCAGTTTGCACACATTAGCATGACAGCCCCATTTCCACCTGACATGTGCCAGCAAGAGGCCAGGAACAGAGGCTTTTCTTATTAACTAAGATTTCTAAATGTATTACGTATTCACATTTAGAAACTCTAAATATCATAAAAGGTTAGCAAGGAAGTTTCCCTTCCACTCTGAACTTCCAAACACCAAGTCAACATTTTTGTTTGCATATCATCCCTGCAATCTATGTGCAAATAGAAGCATGCACCTGGAATGCAGGCTGATGTGTGATCATGTTTACACAAAGTCCTCTGCACCTCTGCATATATCACTGGGCAATGCACCTTAGTTATCATTCCACATTTCAAATGTAAATCCATTGTATTGTTTCAGAGCTATAAAGTACTGCACCCCATGACTATTCCCAAAATTACTTAAGCACCCCGCTATGGGTATCCATTTGTTCTGTTTCCAGTCTTGCTCTTATAACCAATGCTGTAGTGAACAGCACTGTGTTGAGAAGCGGTGAACGTGGGCATCTTTGTCTTGTTCCCTTCCTCAGGCGGAATGCTTTCAACTCTCCCCCATTCAGGAAAATGTTGGCTGTGGGTTTGTCATAGATAGCTTTTATTACCTTAAGGTATGTCCGTTCTACGCTGATTTTGATGAACGGTTTTAATCATAAAGAAATGCTGGATTTTGTCAAAGGCTTTTTCTGCATCTATTCAGATTATCATGTGATTTTTGTTTTTAGTTTTATTGATGTGATGTATCACATTTATTGACTTGCGTATGTTAAACCATCCCTGCATCCCTAGTATGAAACCCACTTGAATCATGGTGGATTATCTTTTTGATATGCTGTTGGATTCAGTTAGCTTGGTTGTAGCATTTCTTATTATTCCATCTGTGGAATGTATTGGTTGAAATAATGAAAACATGTTCTATCCTCACTGCTTAGCACTTTGTGTTTCTTTAATAGCCTTCCCAACAGGGCAACATAAAAGCAGGAGCCCTGCTAGTCTCCCCTTAACCCGGAATCCCCCCTTCTCCACAGCTCGCTCATTGGACAGGATAGACTGGGCGCCCAGGCTTCAAGGTAAGGACGTGCTCTGTCACCTAGAGGTGCAGTGCTTGGGAAGGCCAACCTTGGAGGGTTGCCTGCCAGCTTTACAGTGACAGAGGTGTTGAGAGGGACTGACCACCAGTGCATAAGGCTGTGCTTTGTTGGTGACATAAAGGATTGTTTCACAGATTGTTGGGGAGGGACAATCCCAAGGCCTCCCCTGGCCCTGGTGCTGGCTCTGCACAAAGGCAATAAGAGAGGGATGCTGGTAAGGGCTGACCTGTTGCTGTGCTGGGGAGGAAGGTGCTGGGCTGAAATTCAGGAGGCTGAGGATGCAGCAGTCCCATAGGAGGTACATGACCTTCAGGATACATTTTCTTCATTGATGATCAATGGAAATGAGAAATCACTGACTATTTTTTCTATCATTGGAATCTACTCTCCACTGCTCATGCTGTTCCTGTCTTTTGGGGAAGATGGAGGATCAATCAGTGTGCACTGCACTGAGTGGAAGGAAGGAGAACTGTGACAAAAATTAAGGAAGGATGAGAGACGGGAGGGCCCTTCATCCAGCTGCTTGCAGAGTCCTCCTGAGGAGGAAAGCCCCGTGGCTCCCTGGAGAAGGAGCATTGAGGGCTGCGTGACTCCCACAGTGAAGTGTGTGGTATGTCTGAGGACACCCAGGCTGGTGGTCCATGAGGAGCCAGTGGCAGAGTGAGAAGAAGAAAGGCCAGGAGGGTGGCTGGAGGCCAGGCTCTGAGTCATTCTCCATGTGATGGAAACAGCCGGAGCCCAGTGGGCTTGGAGGTACAGGATGCGGTGGCTGATGACAGAACAATGTGGAGAGAGGCGTCATTTGTCAAATCCTTACTTTGTTCTGGGCATTGTGCTAAAAATTCTGATGGCTCATCCCATTTAGGGGCTGAAAGTTGCAGAGGTTTAGGAAGCTCACCCACGATACTGGAGCCCCCATCTCCTGCCCTAGTGCTGTCCACCTTCTCACCCAGCCACCACCTGTTTCGGGGGAACACACAGAAGTGGTAACCTCTTATGGAGAGGCAAGTAAATTCTGCTGTTTTTGTTATTCACAGAAAAACACTGGCTCGTGTGGGTTGGGAAGGTGAAATACCAGAAGTATTTCATCTGGTTATTTCTACCCATGCGACTCCTATAGTATTGAAATGCATAGGTTAGCATTTTTGGCCAATTTACTCAGCATTCTGGGTTAAAGGCTTTTATTTATTTTATTTATTTATTTATTTATTTATTTTTGAGATGGAGTTTCACTCTTGTTGCCCAAGCTGGAGTGCAATGGTGCGATCCTGGTTCATTGCAACCTCCGCCTCCCAGGTTCAAACTATTCTCCTGTCTCAGCCTCCCAAGTAGCTGAGATTATAGGCACATGCCACCACACTGGGCTAATTTTTTTGTATTTTTAGTAGAAATGAGATTTCACCATGTTGGTCAGGCTGGTTTCGAACTCCTGACCTCAGGTGATCTGCCCCCCTCGGCCTCTTAAAGTGCTGGGATTACAGGCGTGAGCCACCACGCCTGCCCTAAAGTCTTTTAAAATTCACTTGTATAAGTTGACTTAGTTTTCTTTAACCTTGTAGAAAAATACAAAAATGGCAATCTCTTTTATCACACAAATAATGTCTTTTTAATGGAGTGATTTTTTTCTAATTGAGGTATTATGTACTTTTCATTTACTAATTATTGTTTACATTTGAAGTGTTTTATGAATTAATATTTAATTGCATAGATGAAGATTACTAGTTATAGGCATTTTACTAACCAATACTCATTAAGCATAGCGTGGATTCCTATGACATCAAGGAGCTATTTTATTTGGTAAAACGAAAAAGCACAAGAATGAACGAACGCAAGAACTGAAACAGTGGAGACACCTAGAATGACTTGTCTAAGATCTAAATCATTTTGTTGTCTTCCCAGCGTACTTATTATCCTGATCATTGTCATCAGCATTGTTTGGGTCCTTTTAGCACAGATTTCTCAAAATGGGTAACTCCATAACAGTTGGAAGCTTACGAATTCATATAATTTGTAAGAGGTCAATTTGGGAGTACCTATCTATTTTAAAATTCCAATAACCTGGGAATTTCATCCCATGTCTAGAGTCTTTTATGTAAAATATTTCCACAATTAGGAGAAATATGTGCATGGGGATTTTCTATGTAGCGGTGTTTTGATAGAATAGAAAATTGGGATAAACCAAATTTCCATCACGAAGGAAATAGTAATATGCTGAATAATAATACAGCGAATATTATGCAGGCTTTAAACATCAAAAAAGAGTTCAACTTCTGACTTCCGATGATGGTGTTGAAGCAGGTCACTGCTGGTTTACATTTGATTTTCATGTGGGAACTCTGGAAGTCCGCCTTAGTGATTTTACATGTGGCTAAATTGAGCTAATGACAAGCTGTTTGCAGTATGGCAAAATGGAACTTTAAAACAGTATCTTGTCAACAACCAAGAGGACCTGTTTCACATAAAGCCCACGCATTCATCTGCCTGTCCATCATTCTGTCTGTCCACACGGGCATCATTCGTTAGTGGAACTGAGTGCCCGCTGTCGAGCTGACAAGCCCATAACCTCCCTGTTCCTAGTCACACATTAATTCTTCAACAAGTCCCTTTTGATAGATTGTGATTAAGCTTAGCTACTATTTCCAATTGCTTCCCCAAACGTACTTCTCACTGTTCTCCCATCACACCCTTCAGCCCATCCATGCGGGGTTCCTTTGCTTTTCCCACCTTACACCAAACTCCCTATTTTTACTCCCACTTTTACCTCCTCTCCAAGACACAACAAACAAAACTAGCATTTTAAAACTTAGTTGTAATCTTTCTTCCTTCATGAAAATTTCTCCAACAGCCACTCCCACGGTCCTGTGTGTTCCGGATATTTTAAAATAATGGCTATAAGGTTGAGCACTTCAGGATACGCTGTTTTGCTGTGTGCAGATGGAGGCAGTGGCTGGAGTGAATGAACGGCAACACTTGCTGGCAACCGGCAGAAGCTGAGAGACAGGGAACAGGCTCTCCTCCAGAGCCTCCAGGAGCCAGGCCTTTGGACAACTTGAATGTGGGCTTCTGGGAGACCATGCGTTTCTGTTATAAGCAGCCCAGTCTCTGGCAGTTTTTACGGCTGCCCCGGAACACTCATCTATACCTGTCTGACAAGGTCAAGCTCCAAGGAAGGGACTCTCTACATATCTACATTGTTTGCAGATTTTACAATAATCATTTATTCTTGCATGGCTGATCATTGTTAACCAATACAAATAAAATAATAAAGAAATGACCCACATTTTATGTTGGGAGTTTGATCTGCCATTTATCAAGTATGGAATCTTGAACAAGGGGTTAAACATCTGAATGTCTCCATCACTTCATCTCTAAAGTGGGGGTGCTCACACCCACTGGGCTCCCCCGCCCAGGTTGGTGCCGGACTCTCCCTGGGCCCCCCTGTTCTCTCACCAGCCACATCCATTCTCCCCCCAGAGGCGCTAGTGACTGTGCGTGGCTTTCCATTCCCACCACGTTTGTCTCTAACCCCAGTGGCAGATCAGTGTAAGAACACAGCTGAGTGCTCCTCGCCTCCTTGCCCCTTCAAGGGCCCCTCACCACCCACCAGATCAGGTGCAAACTTCCAAGCCTTACTGGATCCCCTTCCACATTCTGAGCTCCGCCTGCCTTCCCATCGCTATCCTTCCCCACCTGCCTCCCTGGTAGAGAAAAGCGGAGTGTGTGATGCTGTCTGAATGCTGAGCACGGCCTTTTGCAGCCAGTCCACTGTGTACGCTGCCCCTATCGGAGACCTCCACCTTAACCCTTTCCAGCCTGGAGGCTCCTCCCAGGGCCCCACAACAGAAGTGACTTCCCTTGCCTTTGAATTTCTATAGCACAATCCCTACTGCCCCCCGTTAAAACTGCAAAGTCCTTTTGTGGAAAATAACTTTATTCATGACTGTGTTTATCACACTATCTTATGGAGAAGAGATGATCAATAAATATTTGCTGAATAAATGAATAGCAGTTACAAAACACTTGATTCATATGGAATTAATGTTGGTTCTCAAAGTGAAAAATTACAAACAGCACTGATATTCAGCCAGTATACAAGTCTGGTCACAGCAGTTGTATAATACTGAAATACCCCCTGCCACTGACCTTTGGCCCCCAGATGCCTCCCACTGCCACTGCTCTCCCCACTGGGAACCCCTGAAGTTCCCACAGGCTCATAACTAAAGGGCTAATGTCTTGCACAGCAGCGAGCACCCAGGACCGAGCAGCCACATGGCCGGGTCTGCTGGTGAAAGCATCCATTCTGACTGATCAGGACCTGAGGGGCCTCATGGTTACATATTTTGATAATATCCCTAATTATAAATAAGGCTCAGTTATATAGTTTGAAAACAGTGCTTCTCCTCATTGCAAAATCTCTTAGAAGACTCCGTAGATCCAGGAACGGAAATGGAAAATGACAGCGTGTCAATCTCTGAAGGTTTTGGGCATTTCCATTAGCACTCCATCTTCATGTAAACCAGAAGATATGCAGTTTCCTGCCTAGAGAGAAGAGAAGACACATCAGCACAGCGGCATGAAACCTTCATCAGAAAACAATGCTTCATTAATCCGTGACAGGACAAGCGTCAGCAAACTTCCAGGCGGCTGGATTAGGCCTTCATCTATCCATCACCTTGGAGAGGAACAAAATAGGTGGCCTGGGAAGATAAGCACTATGTTTCTATTAGTTAATATCTAAAGCGGAGGTTAACAAGCTATGGACACACAAGCCAAACCCAGCCCTCTTGGGGTTTTTTAAATCTACTTTCAACTTTTATTTTAGATTCAGCGGGCACATGTGCAGGTTTGTCACATGGATATGAGCATACTCCCCAACAGTTGGCCTTTCACCCCTCCCCTCCCTCCCCATCCAGCAGTTCCCAGTTGTTGCCATCTTTAAGTCAATGAGTCCCCATGTTTAGCTCCCATTTATAAGAGAGAACATGCATTATGTTTTGTTTGGTTTTTGCTGGTTTTTTTTTTTTTTTTTAATGGAGTCTTGCCCTGTAGCCCAGGCTAGAGTGCAGTGGCACAACCTTGGCTCACTGCAACCTCCGCCTCCCAGGTTCAAACGATTCTCCCTCCTCAGCCTCCCGAGTGGCTGGGACTACAGGCGCCCACCACCACGCCCGGCTAACTTTTTGTATTTTTAGTAGAGACAGGGTTTCACCGTGTTAGCCAGGATGGTCTCAATCTCCTGACCTCATGATCTGCCCACCTTAGTCTCCCAAAGTGCAGGGATTACAGGCGTGAGCCACCGTGCCCAGCCTTTTGTTTATTTTTTGATGAGACGGTTCTTGCTCTGTCACCAGGCTGGAGTGCACTGGCACAATAATAGCTCACCACAGCCTCGTGCTCCTGGGCTCAACTGACCCTCCTGCCTCAGTTTTAGCTTCCTGAGTAGCTAGGACTACGGGTGTGTACCACCATGCCTAGCTATAATAATTTTTATTTTTTTGTAGAGATGGAGTCTTGCTTTGTTGCCCAGGCTGGTCTTGAACTCCTGGCTTGAAGTGATCCTCCTGCCTCGGCCTCCCAAAGTGCCGGGATTAAAGGTGGGAGATCGCACCCAGTCTCCAACCCTCTTTTTGCAAGTAAATGTAACTGGACCCCAGCCATGCTCATCTGCCCATGTACTGTCTACGGCTGCTTTTGCTCTACAGGGCAGAGTTAAGTGGTTGCAACAGACACTGCACAGACCACAAAGTCTGAAGTACTTTCTCTCCAGCCCTTTACAGAGAAAGTCTGCCAACCTCTAATCTCAATAACAGGGAAATCAATGACAACCACAAAGTGACAAAGATTGGGTGTCTAAGATGGATGTTCAGAATAAACAAGAGAGAAAGATGAGAAGTAGAAGGAGGATTTCAAACGCAAGCTTCACCTAATCCGTTATTTTTCAAATGACCAGGCCTATCTCTGTAGCCGAAAATCACCTCAAATAGGATCTCTGATATACAGTCTCCAAAAGCTCAGCTAAGAAACTTACAAAGTCTCTCTGCCTTAACTTCATCCACCTTTTTTCTCTCCAGCTTCTCCTCGGTAGTTAATGATTATAAAAATATTTATTGGCTCATGCCTGTAATCCCAGCACTTTGAGAGGCCGAGGCGGGCAGATCACGGTCAGGAGATCGAGACCATCCTGGCTAACACGGTGAAATCCCGTCTCTACTAAAAATACAAAAAATTAGCCAGGCGTGGTGGCGGGCGCCTGTAATCCCAGCTACTCAGGAGGCTGAGGCAGGAGAATGGCGTGAACCCACAAGGCGGAGCTTGCAATGAGGTGAGATCCCACTACTGCACTCCAGCCTGGGCGACAGAGCAAGACTCCATCTCAAAACAAACAAACAAACAAACAAAAAAACAGTGTGATGGCCAGGCGCAGTGCTCATGCCTATAATCCAAGCACTTTGGGAGGCTGAAATGGATGGATGGCTTGAGCCCAGTAGTTTGAGACAAGCCTGGCAACATAGCGAGACCTCATCTCTACAAACATCTTTAAAATATGCCAGGCATGGTGGTGCATGCCTGTAGTCCCAGCTATTCAGGAGGCTGAGGTGGGAGGATCACCTGTGCCCGGGAGTTCAAGGCTGCAGTGAGCTATGATCACACCACAGTGCTCCAGCCTGGGCAACAAAGCAAGACTCCATCTCTAAAAATAAAATAAAATTTAAAAAAAAGATCTTCGCTGTAAAAGAGGTACGCTCAAATGCAATAAAAGCATATAAGAAGGCCGGGTGTGGTGGCTCATGCCTGTAATCCCAGCACTTTGGGAGGCCGAGACGGGCGGATCACGAGGTCAGGAGATTGAGACTATCCTGGCTAACGCGGTGAAACCCCATCTCCTCTAAAAGTACAAAAAAATTAGCTGGGCTAGGTGGCAGGCGCCTGTAGTCCCAGCTACTGAGGAGGCTGAGGCAGGAGAATGGCATAAACCAGGGAGGCAGAGCTTGCAGTGAGCCTAGATCACACCACTGCACTCCAGCCTGGGTGACAGAGCGAGACTCCGTCTCAAAAAAAAAAAAAAGAAAAGAAAAAGAAAAGAAAAGTTCTTCTGACATTTGTGTATGAAATCAGCCTTCACTACATGGATAGGACCAGCACGCTTCTGCGGCACGACTCTGCAATCTTACTACATTTTTTTTTACTTTGTATTTTATTTATTCCTTTTGAGACAGAGTCTCACTCTGTCACCCAGGCTGAAGTGCAGCCGAGATCTCGGCTCACTGCAACCTCCACCTCTTGGGTTCAAGCAATTCTCTTGTCTCAGCCTCCCAAGTAGCTGGGACTACAGGCACACGTCAAAACGCCCGGCTAATTTTTGTATTTTTAGTAGAGATGGAGTTTTGCCATATTGGTCAGGCTGGTCTCGAACTCCTGACCTCAGGTGATCGACCTGTCTTAGCCTCCCAAAGTGCTAGGATTACAGGTGTACATTTATTTATTTATTTGAGATGGAATCTTGCTCTGTATTTATTAATTTATTTATTTGAGATGGAGTCTTGCTCCATCGCCCAGGCTAGAGTGCAGCGGTGCAATCTCGGCTCATTGCAACCTCTGCCTTCCAGGTTCAAGCGATTCTCCTGCCTCAGTGTCCCAAGTAGCTGGGATTACAGGTGCCTGCCACCACAGCTGGCTAATTTTTGTATTTTTAGTAGAGACAGTGTTTCACCATCTTGGCCAGGCTGGTCTCGGGCTCCTGACCTCATGAACCACCTGCCTCAGCCTCCCAAAGTGTTGGGATTACAGGCCTAAGGCACCATGCTCGGCCATATTTATTTATTTAATTATTTAGAGACAAAGTCTTGCTCTGTCACCCAGGCTGGAGTGCAGTGGCGCCATCTCAGCTCACTGCAGCCTCCGCCTCCGAGGTTTAAGCAATTCTCATGCCTCAGCCTCCTGAGTAACTGGGACTACAGATACTTGCCACCACGCAGGGATTTTTTTTTCTATTTTTTTGTAGAGACACAGTTTCACCATGTTGGCCAGGCTGGTCTCGAACTCCTGACCTTAGGTGATCTGACAGCCTCGTCCTCTCAAAGCACTGGGATTACAGGCATGAGCCCCTTGCCCGGCCTCTCACTACATTTAAGTGACGCCATGGCTCATGCCTGTAATCCTAGCACTTTGGGAGGCCAAGGCAGGTGGATCACCTGAGGTCAGGAGTTCGACACGAGCCTGGCCAACATGGGGAAACCCCGTCTCTAGTAAAAATACAAAAATTAGTCAGGTGTGGTGGTACAAGCCTGTAGGCCCAGCTACTTGGAAGACTGAGGCAGGAGAATCACTTTAAGCGGGAGGCAGAGGTTGCAGTGAGCCAATATCATGCCACTGCACTCCAGCTTGGGTGACAGAGTGAGATACTGTCTCAAAAAAAAAGAAAAAAAGAGAGAAAAACATATGATGCCGGGGCATCTCGGCCTCAATACCTGGGTGAGCACAGTCATGTCCAGGCCAGGGCTGCTGGTCGAGGTCCGGCCCCATCTCTTCCAGCAGAAAGGGAGTAAGCTTGCAGGGCGGCTGGGGGACAAGATCCCAGGATCTCAGCCTCTGCTCATGGATCAGCTCTGAGACCCCGAGTGAGCTGGGGGTGCTCTGTGCGCATTGGTTTCCCCAGCTGTCAAGTAAAGGGATTGGATGAGGAAGTCTTGTCAAGGTGGAATGATCTCAGATTTGGGGCAGCAGTGAATGATCCCGCTCCCTGGGCCATGCCAGTGGCCCGGCCTCGGCTGAACACAGCCCCAACACTCTGGAATGGGGATGAGGGGGCAGTCAGCTCTTGCTCCTAGTAAGAGAGATGCAACAGGGCTCTGTGGCTGAGCTGGGTGCCTTGCCTCACACCTGTAATCCCAACCTTTGAGAGGCCGAGGCAGGAGGATTGCTCGAGGCCGGGAATTTTGAGAATAGCCTGGACAACATAGCCAGACCCCATGTCTACAAAATAATAAGAAAACACACAGCTATAGTCCAAGCTACTTGGCAGGCTGAGGCAGGAGGGTCCCTTGAGTCCAGGAATTGGAGGCTGCATTGAGCTATAATCGCACCACTGCACTCCAGCTTGGGTGACAAAGTGAGACCCTGTCTCTAAAAGAAAAAAAATTGGCCTGTGAGCATGGGCTTGATTTTCAAACAGGACCCGGAGGGTAGGGTAAACGTGTGGGTAAATCTAAATGAATGTTATTGGTATAAAATTACAGTAGTATAGAAAATGATATCTTGTGGGGTTTAAAATAAATAAAACATACTGAAATATGTATTGGTACAGTTATATATCTGGGATTTGCACTGAAATAATGTGGGGTAGAGGGAAGCAGGAAAGAGTATACATGAAATGAGCTTGGCCATAAGATTGTTGTTGAAATTGAATGGATACTCGGGGCTTCATTACACAATTCTCTTTACTCTTACATAGCTCTACACTCTCAACATAAATAAGAATAAAAACACAAAAAACACACAGATACATCTATGCACACACACATATTTAAAATACACAAAAATATTAGCATATAAGTCACTGGGGGTAAATTTAGTTCCTGTTCCAAGGTTCTTGTACTGACTAGGAAGAGGATAGAAGTACTAACTCATAGGCTGGGCGCGGTGGCTCACGCCTGTAATCCCAACACTTTAGGATGCCGAGGTAGGCAGATCTCTTAAGGTCCGGAGTTCAAGACCAGCCTGGCCAACATGGTGAAACCCTGTCTCTACTGAAAAAGAATACAAAAATTGGCCGGGCATAGTGGTGCACACCTGTGGTCCCAGCTACTCAGGTGACTGAGGCAGGAGAATTGCTTGAACCCAAGAAGTGGAGGTTGCAGTGAACCAAGATTGCTCCACTGCACTCCAGCCTGGGCAGCAGAGGAAGACTCTCTCTATCTCAACCACAACAAAAAGTACTAGCTCATGTTAGACTTTGATAAGGGAAGGATGCATGTTGTAAGCTCTAAAATAATCCAGTCATCTTTTAAAATAACTCTAAGACTGCACAGTTATGAAACTAATAGAGAAGGAGGAAATTAAATAATAAAAATAATAAATCCAAAACAAGATGTGAGAGGAGATAAGAAGAAATAGAATAGGCATGGAAAACAAATTGGTGGTGGGTTTCAACCCAAATAAATCATTAGTTACATTTAAAAGGACAATAAAAATTAAAATAATTGAAAATAAAGTAAAACCCAACTAATGCCTTTTATATAAGGGTACAGAGAGGTGGAAGATCATGAAAAATATGTCATGCATGTACTAACCAAGAAAGCTGTATAACTTTTTTTTTTTTTTTTTTTTTTTTTTTGGAGATAGAGCCTCACTCTGTCTCCCAGGCTGGAGTGCAGTGATGTGATCTTGGCTTACAGCAATCTCTCCCTTCTAGGCTCAAGCGATTCTCCCACCTCAGCATCCCAAGTAGCTGGGACTACAAGTGTGCCAACTTAGAATTATATTAGCCACACCCAGCTAATTTTTGTATTTTTTGTAGAGGCAGGGTCTCGCCATGTTGCCCAGGTTGGTCTTGAACTCCTGGGCTTCAGTGATCCACCCACCTCGACCTCCAGCAAAGTGCCAAGATTACAGCCATGAGCCACCATGCCCAGCATAACTATTTTTAATGAAGTAGACTTTAAGAAGAAAAGTATTATTAGAGGTAAGAGACACATCACAGAAAAGAAGAATTTACTAGGAGCCAGGCGCAATGGCTCGTGCCTGTAATTCCAGCACTTTGTGAGGCCAAGGCGGCGGATCACCTGAGGTTGGGAGTTCAAGACCAGCCTGACCAACATGGAGAAGCCCTGTCTCTACTAAAAATACAAAAATTAGCCAAGCATGGTGGCACATGCCTGTAATCCCAGCTACTCAGGAGGCTGAGGGAGGAGAATTGCTTGGACCCAGGAAGTGGAGGTTGCGGTGAGCTGAGATTGTGCCATTGCATTCCAGCCTGGGCAACAAGAGCAAAACTCTGTCTCAAAAAAAAAAAAAAAAAAAGAAGTTACTAGCTAGTTTCGGTAATTCTTAACAACCAGGAAACTGGATGTGAAAGTTTTTCAGAGAAACTAAACCAATAGATTATACATAGAGAGAGATTTATTTAGGAATTGGCTCACATGATTGTGGGGACTAGCAAGTTTTAAAATCTGTAGGGCAAGCCAGCAGGCTATAAATTCAGGTAAGAGTTGATCTCGAAGTCTGGAACCTAAAATCTGTAGAGCAGTCAGCAGGCCAGAAACTCAGGCAGGGTTTGTGTGTTACAGTCTTGAAGCAGAATTCCTGCTTCTCTGGGAAACCTCAGTTTTTGTTCTTAAGGCCTTCAACTGATTGGAGGTGGCCCACCCATATTATGGTGGGTAATCTGTTTTACTTAAAGTCAATTGACTGTCAGTGTTAATCACATCTATGAAATAACCTCCCAGCAAGATATTGACAAGTATTTGACCAAACAACAGGACACCATAGCTTAGCCAAGTTGACACATAAATTAACCATCAGGAGCAAGTAGAATATCCAAAAAACAACATACTAGGGGTATTATATCTTATATAGCTATTATAATTATATAAAACATATAATTATAGAATGACGATATTAAGATAACCATTAGAACAAAAATATAAACTTTTCTTTCTTTCTTTTTTTTTTTTTTGAGACCAAGTCTTGCTCTGTCACCCAGGCTGGAGTGCAGTGGTGCAATCTTGGCTTACTGAAACCTTTGCCTCCTGGGTTCAAGTGATTCTCCTGTCTCAGCCTCCCAAGTATCTGGGATTACAGGCACCTGCTACCATGCCCAGCTAATTTTTGTATTTTTAGTAGAGACATGGTTTCACCATGTTGCCCAGGCTGGTCTCCAACTCCTGACCTCAAGTGAGCCACCCCCCTCGGCCTCCCAAAGTGCTGGGATTACAGGTGTGAGCCACCACACCCAGCCAAAAATCACCTTTTTTACAAGGATCAAAACAGTCATTATGCTGGAGATGACAGACCTCACTGTCACCATGCTCCTTTTGTATGTCTACTAGGCACGGTGCTGGGTCCACACTCACAGAAACCTTAGGAACTCGCACCCAGGGGCTCCGGCTGTAGCAGAATCCCAAGAATAAAACCTGGTGCTGAAAGAGTAGGAGATGAGGCCAGGTGCCATGACTCACTCCTGTAATGCCAGCACTTTGGGTGGCCAAGGCGGGTGAATCAAGAGATAGAGACCATCCTGGCCAACACGGTGAAACCCCGTCTCTACTAAAAATACAGAAATTAGCGGGGCGTGGTGGCTGGCACCTGTAGTCCCAGCTACTCAGGAGGCTGAGGCAGGAGAATCATTTGAACCGAGGAAGCAGAGGTTGCAGTAAGCTGAGATCGCGCCACTGCACTCCAGCCTGGTGACAGAGTGAGACACCGTCACAAAAAAAAAAAAAAAAAGCAGGACACTGAACTCTGGGAGGGCCTCCTGGTGAGAGGTGAGCACAGAGGGGAGAGATGGAGGCAGGAGCATGGGCTTCTGGTGGCCCCAGCAGACCCTGTGGCAGCGTGGCCAGGGTCCTCTGCAGGGAGGAATCTTGGCCAGGATGACGCTGTAGCAGGCCTCTTCCTGAGGCCTCCAGCCAGCCCGGCCAGGGTCCCAGCGTCCAGTGACCCCTGTTTCACAGCAGCAGCTGGGGCCAGCCCCAGGCTCTCTTCCACTCCCAGCTTCTTAAAACTGGAAGTGGAGAGAGTTGTTTGATAAAACACTGGGGCAAACCACATCCTCTCTTCACCAAGGGAGAGTTGGAGGGGATGCCGGCAGAGGGAGCTTTAGAGTAGAGACCCCTACCCAACCAGTGACCGTCACGCACACAGCAGGGCATGCTATGGAGACCCCCAGACAGTCACTCGGGGAGACCCAGCAGGTCCAGACTCTTCAGAGATCTGTGGCAGCAGGTCCCCACTCCCAAAAGCCACGTGCCCACGGGTGGTCTCTGGTGCCTGAGACCCCAGTCTCATTTGCATCTTTGCAACTTCGAGTTTAAGTGGGTGTCGCATCTCTGTATGTCCTCCCGAGCAGAGGAGGGGCACAGCCTGGGGTGGCAGCTGGCGTCAAACCCTCAAATCCCCTGAGAGCCACTGGGGAGACTAAGCAGTCCCCAGCCCCTACTTGTCCCTGAGCTGCCATTCTCAGCCCTGTGGGAGGAGACAGAAAGCCCTGAAGAGAAACCAAAGGACCAGGTCAGGAGGGGCTGGGGGGGGGTGGCATGAGCAATCAGGGCAGGGAAGGATGCACAGATGGGGGAATGGAGGGAAGAAGGAATGAATGAAAAGGTGAATGAATGAACAAAGAGAGAGAACGGCCACTCCTCCCTTGCTTTAGTTTACAAAGTACTGGGATCCTCCCAACAGCCTGCAAGACAGAATTTCTGGGAAGCAGACCAGGTGGCTGGCAGGGAGGGGAGGCTTGCCCTGGCTTTTGTGGGCCCAATGGGAGGCAGGGGGCAAGAAGGGGCATCCTGTGTGTGTCCTCCCTGCAGCGGCAGCAGCACCTTCCTGGAAGAGGGTCAGGAAACACCCGCTGTGGCCCCTCTCCACCACGCCCTCATCCAGGACACCAAGTATCAGTCACTCAGCTCACGAGACCCAGGCCCTGACTCAGGGAGAGAGGATGTGAGGGGTGGGGCACCGGGCTCCTCAGGACTGAGAGACCTGAGATGTGGCCCCGGGCTGGGTGTAGGGGCAGACTGGCTATGGCAGCATTGTGTGTACCCCAGCAGGCCAGTACCCACGCAGGGAGCCTCCAAACCCCTTCACCCATGACCCTGGGAGAAGACCGCAGCCTTGGAGAATTGGCCTCACTGAAGGGGCCTGCGCCGGCCAGCAGGGTCAGGCGGGGCCAGACAGGTTCCCACCTGGGATATGCAAATGGGCCTCCTGAATCCTGGAGCCAGGTATGGACTCACACACCACCATTGTCCCCAAGTCCCCATCTGCCCCACGGGCACACCCTGCCGCCTGTTCTGTGCAAGGGCCCTGAGGCTGTCTCCTTGCGCTCAAGCCCTGCAGGTGCTGAAGCCCACACACACGGCTCCTGCTTCCTGGGCCAGTGCACGTGCACACACACACACGTGCACACACACACACACCCCCACAAATATACCCACACACAATCACACACATTCACACATACCCACCCCCCCATACTCACACTCACACATTTACACACACCCACACACCCACACTCACACACTCACAGTCACACACACCCTCACACAGCGAAACACAATCACACACATTCACACCCACCCACACCCCCACACACTCACACTCACATATACTCACACACACCCACACACACATACACAAACACAATCACACACATTCACACACACCCACACTCACACATACACACACCCAAACACGATCACACACATTCACACACACCCACACCCCACAAACACACTCACACATATACCCACACACACTCACACATAATCTCTCACACACACACATGCTCACACACACACGCCTTCTCCAGGAGGGGCTGGCTGCCAAAGGCCACCCAGCTTCCTCCCACGTCTCACTCACCGTACAATATTTGAGAAGACCTTGGAGTCAGCAGCAACAGCGGCGTGGGCAAAGGCCGGGGGTCAAATGGGGCCTGGTGTCGAGAGAGGACCACAGCCAGCACAATGACAGCCAGCGCCAGCCCCAGCCCCAGCCCCAGCAGGACCAGGTCACCCATGGCTCCGTAGTCCTGGGCCATGGCTCTGCGGCCCAGAAGGAGAGGGGAGGCCGGTGGGCAGATGGAGGGACAGATGGGTGGGCAGATGAATGGACAAGAAGATGCATAGATAGACTCACAGGTAATTGGACAGATGGACAAACAGGTGGGGGCTGAAGACAGACACGAAGATGGATCGACAGACAGGCCAGATAGCTAGACAAAGAGGACAGTAAGAGAAAGATGGTCAGATAGACAATGGGACAGAGATGGGCTTACAGATGGGCGGACAGACAGACAGGTCTGAACAGCGGGCTGCCAGATGGACAGATGGGTGAATGGACAGATGGCTGGCAGCTGTGGCGAGCTGCTGCCCTCACCAAGTGCACACTACGGAGTGGCCAAACTCATGCCTCAACTTCTAGTTTTCAGCTCCTGCTTGTTCCTGGCAGGAGGCCAGGCAGCAAAGCGTCTGAGGGGAGTTTTCTTTGCCTAGAGAAGTCAGCTGCTGTGTTAACTCCCTCACTGCTGGTAGGTCCAAAGGCCCCACCTACTGCCCGCCAGAGCCCATGGTCACACTGTCGCAATGTGCAGGAGAACTTGGTGCGTGCTGCACTGCGGTTGCCAGGTAGGGGCAGGGCTCCCTGGAACCTCCACACCATTCCCCAGGTTCTCAGCAGCTCTGGGAAAGCAGAGCTGGGGCCGCTTAACTCTGCCCTGGATCCGGCAAGGCTGCCCACCTCCCAGAGTGGAGCCCTGCTCCCCAGCTCCCATCTCTATCCCCTAACCCTCTCCGCATGGCCCAGCCTAGTCAGCATCAAGGTGGAGCTGAACAGAGGCAGAAGGAGGAGGACCCAAGGTGGTGTCACTCAGGACCCGGGTTCAAGTCCTTATGTTTCTGCAGCCTGGCCTGGGTCCCCCAACCCCCCCAGGGTGACCAAGGGCTTCCCAGTCTGCACAGAGGACAGGGGGTCTTGACAGCATCAAATGCTGGTGACTATGAGACACTTACATGGGAAATGCAGACAGACCATGCCTCTAGCCCTTGGCACCAGGCACCATCCATCCCTGGGACTTGCTGTCCTGGAAATGCAGCATGGACCTCCAGGGAGGGGGGCTGTGCCATGTGGGGGCCCCACCCCACCTGCAGCTCTTTCCCACCCTGGCTGCAGGTCTGCTTCTCTGAATCCAAATCCGCTACTACTGTGCTGGCAGCGCAGCCTCTCTGGGGACACTGGCCTGGCTCTGTTCTCCCCAGGCCTCAGGGTGCCTAAATGGGAGGCAACCAGGGGAGTGAGGACCCACTGAGGGGCTCCGTTGACCAGGCTCAGCAGGGGTGCAGGTGATGTGGGGTGGAATCCTTCCCACATGGCCCCCACAGTCCTCCCCGCTTCCTCCCCAACTGAACACTGCCTGCTCCAGATGTGTACACCTGGAGTCTGGGCCCCTCCATCTGGGCAGCAGAGAAACTGAGGCACAGAGACAGACTGTGTCCTTACAGGGCACACAGCCTGCCAGGCCCCTATGTCCGGCCAGAGCCCCTGGTCAGCCTGGGCTGCAGTGATTGTTTAGAGGTAGGCTGTTCCCACGGCTGCCTCTCACGGTAGGGGGGCCTGCGGACGCCTCCTCCCGCCCCCACCCGACTCCCAAGCCTCAGTGACATTGCTCAACCAGGAACTGAAGTGCATTCCTGGGCTCAGGCCAGCCCACCCACCCACCCGCTGCAGTCCTGGAAGCCCAGAGGCCTGGGCAGCAGGAACAGTGGAGACAGCAGTGTGGGGGACGTCCCCCCTCCTCTCCCCACCATCCTCGTCAGGCAGAGGCCAGGGTGCAGGGACCACCGGAGCAAAGGCCCAGGGAAATGAATGGGTGTCATTCTGGTCCTGACCCGAGGCACAGCCAGGAAGGTCCCTGTGGGGAAAAGAAAGAGATATCAGACTGTTACTGTGTCTATGTAGAAAGAAGTAGACGTAAGAGGCTCCATTTTGTTGTGTAGTAAGAAAAATTCTTTTGCCTTGAGATGCCGTTAATCTGTAACCCTAGCCCCAACCCTGTGCTCACAGAAACATGTACTGTGTCGACTCAAGGTTTAATGGATTCAGGGCTGTGCAGGATGTGCTTTGTTAAACAAATGCTTGAAGGCAGCATGCTTGTTAAGAGTCATCACCACTCCCTAATCTCAAGTAAGCAGGGACACAAAACACTGCAGAAGGCCGCAGGGACCTCTGCCTAGGAAAGCCAGGTATCGTCCAAGGTTTCTCCCCAGGTGACAGTCTGAAATATGGCCTCGTGGGAAGGGAAAGACCTGACCGTCCCCCAGCCCGACACCTGTAAAGGGTCTGTGCTGAGGAGGATTAGTAAAAGAGGAAGGCCTCTTTGCAGTTGAGATAAGAGGAAGGCATCTCTCTCCTGATCGTCCCTGGGCAAAGGAATGTCTCAGTGTTGATTGTATATTCCATCTGCTGAGATAGGAGAAAACTGCCTTAGGGCTGGAGATGGGACATGCTGGTGGCAATACTGCTCTTTAATGCATTGAGATGTTTATGTATATGCACATCAAAGCATAGCACCTTTTTCTTAACCTTGTTTATGACACAGAGACATTTGTTCACGTGTTTTCCTGCTGACCCTCTCCCCACTATTACCCTATTGTCCTGCCACATCCCCCTCTCTGAGATGGTAGAGATAATGATCAATAAATACTAGGGAACTCAGAGACTGGTGCCAGCGTGGGGCCTCCGTATGCTGAGCGCAGGTCCCCTGGGCCCACTTTTCTTTCTCTATACTTTGTCTCTGTGTCTCTTTCTTTTCTCAGTCTCTTGTCCCAGCTGATGGGAAACACCCACAGGTGTGGAGGGGCAGGCCACCCCTTCAGGTCCCTGAATGTCCTTCCTCAGGAAATGATGGGGGAAGGGGTGATGAGAATGAAGGAGACGATTTAAGTCCCTCACCCCCCGAGGTAGTCCTGGGCTGAGCCCCATGGGACCTAGAGAACCAGGGTGTACCCCACCAGCGTGTCGGGTCCAGGAAGCCTCGTGGCCAGCTCCCACTTCTCTTCCTGCTGTGCAACCCAGAGCAAGGCCTGCCCCTCCAGCTTCAGTCTTCTCCCCTGCAAATGGGGCCACGGCCTTTCCTCTCAGGCCAATATAAGGATTGAGGCCGGGTGCAGTGGCTACCCCTGTAATCCTAGCACTTTGGGAGACTGAGATGGGGGGACTGCTTGAAGTCAGGAGTTAAGACCAGCCTGGTCAACATAGTGAGACCCCATCTCTATTGGTTTAAATTTTTTTTAAAAAAATTAAATAAATAAAATAAGGATTGAAGAGTGACTTGTACACCAGTTGAGCCCACCTCCATCTCACCCTTGCAGAGCCCCAGAGACACAGCCCTCCAGAGCTCAGACCCAGTGGGACTTGACTCCACAGGCATAAAACCCTGTTTGTCTATGGGCCCTTTGGAATCACCAGGTTTTCGGGGCTCCTGAAGGATAGCCCCGACCTGGCCTCACCTGGCCCCTGGCCCCAGTGCCCCTGGTGATATCCAGGTGCTGGGCTGTGATCACCGCCTCCCACCAGCCCACCTCCACCAGCCCTTCCCAGAACCCTGCTCCAGGTGTTGGGCTGTGATCACCGCCTCCCACCAGCCCACCTCCACCAGCCCTTCCCAGAACCCTGCTCCAGGTGTTGGAACTGTGCACAGAGGAGGGAGCAGGCCCCGAGGGAGGCCTGGAGGGGCTGCCAATGGTGAAGGCTGCTGTGTCGAGCTGTTTCCTTCCGGACCCACTCCCTCTGGGCTGCGTCCCCGGCTGGTCCAAGCCCTGATCCCTGGGATCTGGGGACATCTTCCCGTTTGCTGTTCCCTGAGAACCAGGCCTCCCTCTGGAGAGGATCACAAGCTTGGGTTTCACTCTGGGCTTGCTCTTGGGAACCCCCCAGGGGCATGGCTCTGACCGAGATGTTTTCCTCCAGCCTGTTGCCCAGTCCCCATTCCTCGGACCCTCAGCTTCACCTCCAGTGTCATCGGCAGGGTGAGCTGGACGCCTACGGGTCTGAGAAGGCGCCCGGGTTCCCAGCATCGGCTGGCCACCCTCTGCCTAAGAAAGCGCCAGGGTCGTGACACCCCCTGGTGGCTGATCCTAGGTAGTGTCACTGCCCAGCCCCAGTAAGGGAGGGCCTGGCCCCAAAGTCTGAGGGATCAGGGTGGGAAGGGGCAGGGTTTGGTGTGAACCTTCCCCTGGCCCCCAGCCATGTGCCTTGCTCTCCCCATGCTGAAGATGCTGAGGCTAGTTCCAGTGTCCGCATTGTGAAGATCTCCGAATCCCACCTCTCTGTTCCTCCCCAGCCAGATGGCTCCATTTCACACACAATACACTGAGGCCCAGAGAGTGGGGAGACAGGCCAGGGAGGCCACCTGGAGCCTGGCACAGTGGCCTCATTTATTATGCTGCTCTGCTGCTCACAGGGGAAGCCCGTCCCCCAAAGTCCTCTTCCTCATCCTGGTGAGTATCTTGTCCCTGGATTGCTTGTCAGCCTTGTCTGCCTGGAGCAATCAGTAGCCAGCAGGTTCCCCGCCTTTCCTGGAGTCCGAGGCAGCTGCCCAGCCACCAGCCGTGCGGACGATGGCTTGCACCACAGCGATGAAGGTGGACGCGATCTGGGTGTGATGGTGCCGGGTCTCCAGGGCTGCAGTCACTGCCTGGGGGTGGGAGGAGAGGGGAAGCCTGAGCAGGGCTCCAGATGCCACCTGAACCACACCTGTGTGGTCACAGGCCTCAGCCCAGGTGGTGCCATTTCAGGCCAGGTCATCAGGAAGAGCAGGTTGGGGCCTGCTGGGTCTCACTGGAGCAGGGGGCTTGGCTCTCATGTCACAGGGGCTCCAGATGGCCCAGGCACTAGAGAGAGGACACCAACCATTGTCCACTCTGTGATGATCCAGGCCTCCAGCCCAGGATGCCCTGGGACCCCACACCGTGACTCAGTTTCTCCAACCCCTGGCCCACCTGGTCAATGTTTCTCTCCACTGTCGTGACGTTGGGCAGAAGCTTGTTGTGCAGCCGGGGCTCCTCCACGGCCCTCTTCACGTCATAGCCGAACCAGAGGTTGTAGATGATGGCCTGGGGCATGGGAGTGTGATCAGGGTGGCTTGGGGGCTGTGCAGAGTGGGCAGGGCCAGGGAGAAAAGGGGTGACACATACCAGTGCAGTGTCTGTGGTGATCTGCGTGCCCCCAGCAGCTCCCACCACCATCCGGACCTGGCCGTCCTGGCCCACCATGATCGTCAGGCACATGGACAAGAGCGGCTGCTTCCCTGCGGCCGATGGGAGAAGACAGGGATGCCCGTCAGCTGCCTGCCCAGGACACCCGCCCCTCTCCACCCCAGTCCCCCACCCCCCGGACCTCCACCCCATACCTGGCTGGATGAAATTGGCAGGTGAGGGGGGTGCCCCAAACTCATTGGTGAATGCTGGGAGAGCTGAAGTCGTCCATTCATTATTGAACAGGATCCCACTGACCGGGGAGCAGACCTTGGAGCCAAAGCTACCGCCCAGCCAGGTCAGACAGCACCCGACCTTGCCTGGCCCAGCCTGGTCCCTATCCACCCACTGAGGCTCAAACATACTCACTGAGAGGCCCAGGATAAGCTACCAAGGTTGGGCCTCAGTTTCCCACCAGGAAAAGAGGTGATGGAGCCACCTTACTGGATAAGTGGGCAGTCCCTGGGCCACCCGCCCCTGGCCCTTTCCCACCCAGGCGGCCCAGCAGCCCCTACTAGAGGTTGATGGTGCTGGTGGCGGACACAGCACTGCCGTCCTCTGCGACGACAGACAGGTGAGCAGTGCCCCCGTCATCCGGCGTGTAGAACTCGGGCTTGTAGTAGGAGATCGGGTGAGTGGTGTGGTCAGAGATCTGGGACCGGAGCTGGGCAGCGAAGAACTCAGAGGTCATGTTGCGGACCACCTGCTGAGACCCCAGAGC